>NT_167251.2:0-1274639 GCF_000001405.40 Homo sapiens | reverse complement strand
TTCCTATTGAGTTTTTAATATCAAACAGGGAGGTTAGTAAATTGTTTTCTGATTCTTCTACAAAAAAAAAAGTCTAGAAGAGGGACAGGGAATGTAGTGTGCACCACTTATTATTATTCTAAGTAATAATTTTTACTTACGAGGTCAACACGAGTGCAAAGGGCTTAGTGATGCATCTTATTCTTTAATTTTGGACAGTAACACCCTCAGATGGTATTTTTATTGGTTTGTTTTATATCCCCCTTTTCCATTTGCCCTTCTGTTTTGAAGTGCTTTTTCTTAAAACTTAAGTTCTTTGCCTCCATTTTCTTATAAACCCAATTTCCTCTTTAGTGAAACTCTACCATTTGAAAGGAACCTTTCTATTGTAATTTACAAGCTGTGAATAACTGCTATGTAATTCTTTCCAAGGATTAATAAACTGAGAGATGATTTGAACCAACAGAGGTAGGGAAAGATTAGAAGGGGGATGCAAGTGGCCACAGGTCTTAGAGGCGGCCAGCAGAGGGCGCTGCTCCAAGGTGAAGGTCGCACCCTGAGAGGTCATCCTTTTTTGTAGGACCAGACTGGGGTGTAAGGACAGTGCCTCATCCTCACAACGACAGACCCGTGTTCTGGGTGTGGATTTGCCTCCCTTGCCTGCGGGACTTCTGCTAGCACTGCCGTTCCTAGACTTAGACCATGCTAGAATGAGTCCAGGAACCTAGGAGAGGAGATGGGAGTGGCTCCTCCCACTGTGGCCCCTAATAATTCACATGAAGAATTTTTGCTTTCCTTGCCAGGGACCCGGGACTCAGTGGGTCCAGAGGTCCTAGTGCCAAAGGAAGAAATGTGTAGATCAGGAAATACTATTATGGTTTTATTCAACTGGAAGCCGAGGCTGGCCATTTATTGTATTTATTTATTTATTTATCTATCTATTTATTTATTTATTTATTTTGAGACAGAATCTCACTCTTGTTTCCCAGGCTCCCAGGCTCAAGAGATCCTCCTACCTTAGCCTCCTGAGTAGCTGGTACTACAGTCGCATGCCACCTTGCCCAGCTAATTTTTTTCTTTTCTTTTTTTTTTTTTTTTTGAGACGCAGTCTCATTTTGTTGCCCAGGCTAGAGTGCAGTGGCGCGGTCTTGGCTCACTGCAACCTCCACCTCCTGGGTCGAAGCGATTCTCCTGTCTCAGCCTCCGGAGTAGCTGGGATTACAGGCATGTGCCACCGCGCCTGGCAATTTTTTTTTTTAGTAGAGGCGGGGTTTCACCATGTTGGCCAGGCTGGTCTCAACTCCTGACCTTGTGATCCGCCTGCCTCAGCCTCCCAAAGCGCTGGGATTGCAGACATAAGCCACCGCGCCTGTTTTTTTGTTTTGTTTTGTTTTCTGACAGAGTCTCTGTCACCCAGGCTGGAGTGCAGTGGTGTGATCTCAGCTCACTGCAACCTCTGCCTCCTGGGTTCAAGCGATTCTCCTGCCTTAGCCTCCCAAGTAGCTGGGATTATAGGCGCACGCCACTATACCCAGCTAATTTTTGTATTTTTAGTAGAGGTGGGGTTTCACCATGTTGGCCAGGCTGGTCTCAAACTCCTGACTTCAGGCGATCCACCCACCTCGGCCTCCCAAAGTGCTGGGATTATAGGTGTGAGCCATCAAGCCCAGCCCTGCCCAGCTAATTTTTACACTATGGGCAAGTATGCTGCCCAAGAGTGCTCTGGAACTCCTGGGCTCAAGTGATCTTCCTTCCTCGGCCTCCCAATGTGCTTGGATTACAAGCATGAGCCACCTTGCCCAGCCGAAGCTGGCCATTTAAAGTTCCTCATGCTGCTGAATCAATAAGGATGGAAGGCGGCTACTATTATGGGCTAAGTGTTTGCCTCCTCCCCAAATTCTTTTTTTTTTTTTTTGAGATGGAGTTTTGCTCTTGTTGCCCAGGCTAGAGTGCAGTGGCGCGATCTCTGCTCCCTGCAACCTCCACCTCCCAGGTTCAAGTGATTCTCCTGCCTCAGCCTCCCGAGTTAGCTGGGATTACAGGCATACGCCACCACACCCGGCTAATTTTGTATTTTTAGTAGAGATGGGGTTTCTCCATGTTGGTCAGGCTGGTCTCAAACTCCCGACCTCAGGTGATCTGCTGACTTCAGCCTCCCAAAGTGCTGGGATTACCGGCATGAGCCACCGCGCCCAGCCCCCCAATTTTTTTTTTTTTTTTTTTTTTGAGACGGAGTCTCGCTCTGTCACCCAGGCTGGAGTGCAGTGGCATGATCTTGGCTCACTGCAAGCTCTGCTTCCCGGGTTCACGCCATTCTCCTGCCTCAGCCTCCCGAGTAGCTGGGACTACAGGCGCCCGCCACCACGCCTGGCTAATTTTTTGTATTTTTAGTGGACACGGGGTTTCACTGTGTTAGCCAGGATGGTCTCGATCTCCTGACCTCGCGATCTGCCCGCCTCGGCCTCCCAAAGTGCTGGGATTACAGGCGTGACCCACCGCGCCCGGCCTCGGCCCCCAAATTCTTATGTTGAAGCCCTCACCTCCATGTGATGGTATTAGAAGGTGGGGTCTTTGGGACGTAATTAGGCTTACAGTGCCCCATGATGGGATGAGTGTCTTAAAAGAAAAGACCAAGTGGTCTGGCTAGTGGCTCACCCCTGAAATCTCAGCACTTTGGGAGAAAAGACCAGGTGGTCTGGCTAGTGGCTCACCCCTGAAATCTCAGCACTTTGGGAGGCCAAGGTGGGTGGATCACTTGAGATCAGGCGTTTGAGACCAGCCTGGGCAATACGGTGAAAAGCCATCTCTACTAAAAATACAAAAATTAGCTGGGCGTGGTGGCGCAAGTCTGTAATCCCAGCTACTTGGGAGGCTGAGGTGGGAGAATCACTTGAACCCGGGAGGTGGAGGTTGCAGTGAGCCCAGATCATGTCATTGCACTCCAGCCTCCAGCCTGGACAGAGAGAGCATCTGAGAGTCTCTGTCTCAAAACAAAAAGAAAAAAAAAAAAGAAGAGACCAGAGAGCCTTTCTTCTCTTTGTCCACCAAGTGAAGATATGGCAAGAAGGCAGCCATCTGCAAGCTAGGAAAAGAGCCCTTGCCAGCACCCAATCATGCTATCACCCTGATATGGGACTTCCCAGCCTCCAGAACTGTGAGAAATCAATGTCTGTTGTTTAAGCCACCCAGTATGTAATAGCAGCCTGAGCTAACTAAAACCATCACCGAACTAGCCTCTTTACCTATGATTAGCAAGAGGAAAATGGCTCTGTTACTTAGTAGAGGAAGGAGGCTATGTCTGAAAGCCAAAAATTCACTGGGGACACATCTTAGCAGGCTCTTGACCCTAAGACCTGGTTAATGGAAAAGTAGAGCAACCCAATAAAAACAAGACCACCAAGAAGTCAGGTCTTATGGAATAAAGTATTGAGTGTCCCTATGAGGCACAGAACCCTTCGAAAGGGGATTGGAAGAAGTGGTGGAAGAAGGCGGCTATGATTATCAACTTAGACTTCATGGCCATTTGTAGAAGGAGGCTTCTAACAGCTATGTTTTATGTTAATTGGCTCTTTTCTCTTCTTTTTTCTTTCAACCTTATATTAAGAGCATTGGCAGAAGCTAGCGGTTTTGGTATCCTGTAATTATTAGTTGTATAACCTTGGCCAAGTAACTCAACCTTTCTGTGCCTCAGTTACTCATCTGTAAAACAGGGTAATAAGTCTCAACCTCGTACTTATGTTGTTATAAAGATTTAACACTAGGCTGGGCATGGTGGCTCACACCTGTAATCCCAGCACTTTGGGAGGCCGAGGAGGGTGGATCACCTGAGGTCAGGAGTTCAAGACCAGACTGGCCAACATGGCAAAACCCTGTCTCTGCTAAAAATACAAAAAATTAGCTGGGTGTGGTGGCACGTGATTGTAATCCCAGTTACTCAGGAGGCTGAGGCAGGAGAATTGCTTGAACTAAACCTGGGAGGCGGAGGTTGCAGTGAGCCGAGATCGTGCCACTGCACTCTAGCCCAGGCAACAGAGTTAGACTTTTTTTCAAAAAAAAAAAAAAAAAAAAAAAAAAAAAAAAAAAAAAAAAATTAACACTTTGAACAAAAAAGAAAAAAATAATAAAATTTAAAAAAGATTTAACAATTGGGCCAGGCATGGTGGCTCATGCCTGTAATACCAGCACTTTGGGAGCCTGAAGACGGAGGATTACTTGAACCCAGGAGTTCCAGACCAGCCTGGACAACAAAGCAAGACTTTGTTTCTACTTTAAAAAAAAAAAAACCAAAGTCAGGTGTGGTGGTACACACCTGTGATCCCAGCTACTTGGGAGGCTGAGATGGGAGGATCCCTTGAGCCTTGGAGGTTGAGGCTGCAATGAGCCATGATCATACCACTGCACTCCAGCCTAGGCGACAGAGTGAGGCCCATGTCAAAAAAAAAAATGATCCCCAACATTTAGCAGCTTAAAACAAAAAACATTTATTATATCACACTTTCTGTGGGTCAGGAATCTGGGAGGGACTTAGCTGGGTGGTTCTCCTCAGTTCTCTTGGGATGTTTCAGTCAAGCAGTGGCCTGGGGCTGCACTCTTATCTGAAGACTCAATCGGGAGAAAATATGCATTCAAGGTCACTCATTGGTTGTTGGCAGGCTGTAGTTCCTCACTGAATATTGGTTGAAGACTTCATTGGCTTACTACCTGGACTTCTCCACACACTGCCTGAATGTCCTCCCCACATAGCTAGAGTGAATGAACTAAAAAAGAGAGAGAACACACACAGCCCAGGTAAGAGTTCAGTCTTTCTAAGTCATTATATGAAAACGATTTTTTTTTTTTTGAGATGGAGTCTCGCTCTGTCGCCAGGCTGGAGTGCAGCAGCACGATCCCAGCTCACTGCAACCTCTGCCTCCCGGGTTCAAGTGATTCTCCTGCCTCAGCCTCCCAAGTAGCTGGGATTACAGGCGTGTGCCCCTATGCCCAGCTAATTTCTGTACTTTTAATAGAGACGGGGTTTCACCATGTTGGCCAGGATGGTCTTGATCTCTTGACCTTGTGATCCGCCCACCTTGGCCTCCCAAAGTGCTGGGATTACAGGCGTGAGCCACCACTCCTGGCCAAAAAAGATTCTTGCACACACATGTTTATAGTAGCACTATTCACAATTGTAAAAATGTGGAACCAGCCCAAATGCCCATCAATCAATGAGTGGCTAAAGAAACTGTGGTATAGATATACAGTGGAATACTACTCAGTCATAAAAAGGAATGAATTAATGGCATTTGCAGCAACCTGGACGGGATTGGAGACTATTATTCTTGTTTTTTTTTTTTTTTTTTTTTTTTGAGATAGAGTCTCACTTGGTCACCCAGGCTGGAGTGCAGTTGCGCAATCTTGGCTCACTGCAAGCTCTGCCTCCTGGGTTCACACCATTCTCCTGCCTCAGCCTCCCAAGTAGCTGAGACTACAGGCGCCTGCCACCATGCCCGGCTAATTTTTTTTTTGTATTTTTAGTAGAGGCCGGGTTTCACCATGTTAGCCTGGATGGTCTCGATCTCCTGACCTCGTGATCCGCCCACCTCAGCCTCCCAAAGTGCTGGGATTACAGGCATGAGCCACCGCACCCGGGCTAATTTTTTTTTTTTTTTTTTTTTTTTTTTTTTTTTTTTTTTTTTTTTTTACTAACCAGGGGTTTAACATAAATACAACCAGCATAGAAAGACCCAAAACTATACAGAAACCAAAACCAGAATGCCATGTGGTGGAGGCAAAGGGCAGAATTTCTGACCCCTTTGGCTCAGCTGCCCTTCCCCACAAATAAAAACCAACAAAGAGGACAAATCAGGACAATAAAGAAGATTCATGCTAAGCTGTGGCAGAGGGGGGAAGGTATGATCGGGTGGGGGTGGGACAAGGAATGGCCATGGAAGATAACTGGGTCAGGTTGGACCCTGGGCTGGGAGGGGGAGGGCAAGGCCCCTCACCACAACTTAAGCCAAACCTAAGCTGCCCCCAGGTGCCATAGGTCCCTGTCCCAGCAGGGAGGCTGATGGGCCTGGGCCCATGCCCCTCCCCACCTTTGGGGGTCAGATAGTGGCCACCCAGGTCTGCTGGGTTGGGGCCTGACACAGGCTCTGCATGCCCATTCGGGCTGCCTGTGGAGAGAGAATGGAGTCACTGTTTAACCATGCTACCTGCCTCAGTCCCAGCAGACCACAGGAGATTGGCCCCAGACTCACTGAGTGCCTGCAGCAGCCGTACAGACACAGCATCCTTGGCCACCTCATGCCCATCCCGGCCATCTAGGGTCAGCACAACCCAGATGAGGCCGCTGAAGGGCACCGGATGCCCAGGAATCACCACCTGGTACCAGAAGCGGTGCCAGCCAGCAGGTCCTATGCCCAAACACTTGGTGAGGAACACAGGGCTGCCCAGCTTCATTCGTTGGCACAGCAACTGCAGGGTAGCCCGAGCCCCTTGGGACCCTAACTTGTCCCTTGCCAAGGCCAACTGGCTGCCCTCTGGCTGTGGGGACCGCAAGGAGGGACCCACAAGCTGCTGGCGAAGTCGCTGCTTCAGTTCTGGCTTGAGCCACTCCACAGCCACCTGCTCTCCACAGAGGTGTGGCTGCCCTTCCTCCAGGGCCTTTTTGGCCATGGCAGCGGTCCAGTGCGAGCTGAATTTGAGCACAGCGATCTGCCCGGGCGCAGGTCCGGGGCTGGGCAGCAGCCGCGCCTCCTGCAGGCCGGGACCCAGCGGCTGCAGCGCGGGCAGCAGCGCGGGCAGCAGCGCGGTGCGGGTCAGATTCGGCGGCAGGCAGTCAACGCTCAGCTCACACTTCCCGGTGCTGCGGCACACGAGCAGCGGGCAGGACGGCCGCAGCGGGTGGTTGTGCAGCGGGCGATGGCGGCCTGCGCGCCGCGCCGCGAGCTGCAGCGGGCATATGCGAAGCCGCGGTTCAGGCCGCTGAAGGTCATCATCAGGCGGAACTCGTAGAGGCGGCCCACGCGCTGGAACAGCGGGATAAGCTGGTGCTCATACACTTCCTGAGGCAGCCGCCCGATGAACACCTCTGACCCAGCCGGCGGCGGGCTGCCCACCCAGCCTGGGGGTGGCCCGCCATACTTCCTCTGCCCGTTCACCTGCACCAGGCGATGCCTGTCTGCCTGACCCACGCCTCCAGCGCCGCCTTGTTCTCTGGCTTCACCCTCTCACACCACAGCTCACAATCCCGCTTGGACTGCATGGCTCTCTATTCTCTTTTTTTTTTTTTGAGACGTAGTTTCACTCTTGTTCTCCAGGCTGGAGTGCAATGGCGGGATCTTGGCTCACCGCAACCTCCGCCTCCCGGGTTCAAGCGATTCTCCTGCCTCAGCCTCCCAAGTAGCTGGGATTACAGGCATGCGCCACCATGCCTGGCTAATTTTGTATTTTTAGTAGAGACGGGGTTTCTCCCTGTTGGTCAGGCTGGTCTCAAACTCCCGACCTCAGGTGATCCACCCACCTCGGCCTCGCATAGTGCTGGGATTACAGGCATGAGCCACCCAGCCCTGTCTATGGAGACTATTATTCTCAGCGAAGTAACTCAGGAATGGAAAACCAAACATCGTACGTTCTCACTCATAAATGGGAGCTAAGCTAGGAGGATGCAAAGGCATAAGAATGACACAATGGACTTTGGGGAATCAAGGGGAAAGGAAGGGAAGGGGGTGAGGGATAAAAGACTATTAATTGGGTGCAGTCTATATTGCTTGGGTGATGGGTGCACAAAAATTTCACAAATCACCACTAAAGAACTTATTCACGTAACCAAACACCAGCTGTTCCCCAATATCCTATGGAAATAAAAAAATTTTTTTTAAAAAAAGAGTTCGGTCTTTCTGTAACCTAATCTTGGAAGTGTATATTACTTCTTCCATAGGCTATCAGTCTCCCAGACCAACCCTGCTACAGGGTAGAGGAGACTACATGGTATGTGAATACCAGAAAGTGGGGGCCATTGGGGACTGGCTATTTGGAGGATGGTTACTACAAACTATATTTGTAATTTTTTTTTCTTGAGATGGAGTCTTGCTCTGTTGCCCAGGCTGGAGTGCAATGGCACGATCTCAGCTCGCTGCAACATCCACCTCCTGCGTTCAAGTGATTCTCCTGCCTCAGCCTCCCGAGTAGCTGGGATTACAGGCACGCACCACCACACCCAGCTAATTTTTTGTATTTTTAGTAGAGCCGGGGTTTCTCCATGTTGGTCAGGCTGGTCTCAAACTCCTGACCTCAGGTGATCTGCTCGCCTCGGCCTCCCAGAGTGCTGGGATTACAGGCCCGAGCCATGGTGCCTGGCTATATTTGTAATTTTTTAACCACTAAAAAAAAAAGAAGAAGAAGAAGAAAAAGAAACAAGTATGGGAAGATATTAAGATCTGATAAAACTGGGTTATACTTATGCAGGTATTCATTACATTATTCTCCATAACTTTTTAAATGTTTAATAATAAAAGTAAAAATATTTTCCCCTTAAAAATGTGCAGAGCATACCTCAAATAATGTTGACAAAGAATCCTAAAGACAATTATTATTATTATTATTTTTTGAGACAGGTTCTTGCTCTGTCGCCCAGGCTGGAGTGCAGTGGTGCCACCTGAGCTCACTGTAAACTCCGTCTCCTGAGTTTAAGCAATTCTCCTGTCTCAGCCTCCTGAGCAGCTGGGACTACAGGCGAGCACCATCATGCCTGGTTAATTTTTATATTTTCAGTAGAGACGGGGTTTCCTCATATTGCACAGGCTGGTCTTGAACTCCTGGCCTCAAGTGATCCACCCACCTTGGCCTCCCAAAGTGCTAGCATTACAGGCATGAGCCACTGTGCCGGGCCTCTCAAACTCCTGACCTCAGGTGATCCACCTGCCTCGGCCTCCCAAAGTGCTGGCATTACAGGCGTGAGCCACTGCGCCCGGCCGATCTTCCTTCCGTTCTCCCTTCCCCTCTTCTTCTTCTTCTTCTTTTTTTTTTAATTAATAGAGATGGGATTTTGCCATGTTGCTTAGGCTGGTTTCAAACTCCTGGGCTCAAGCTATCTGCTCGCTTCAGCTTCCCAAAGTCCTGGGATTAAGGGCGTGAGCCACTGCGCCTGGCCCCAGTAAGGATTTAAAAGCTCAGGAATTATTAGTCAGCTTCCTTTTTTGTTCATCCTGTTGTTTGTTCATTTCAGTCTATTCCCTTTTTATAATTTCCTTCTTCATAAGGACTATTTCTCCTTGTACTTTTGTGAGAATTCCTGTAACTTGTAATCCCAGCTACTTGGGAGGCTGAGGCAGGAGAATCACTTGAACCGGGAGGCGGAGGTTGCGGTGAGCCGAGATCAAGCCATTGCACTCCAGCCTGGGCAACAAGAGCAAAACTCGGTCTCGGAAAAAAAAAAAAGAAAAGAAAAGAAAAAAGAAAGGAAGGAAGATCCTCATTGGACAGAGCAAAAAGCAGAATTGATGGCACTGAAAATGAAATCAGCGGCTGATGTACAAGTTCCAGAATGTCTCCTAGAGTAACAAGGAAATCCGGGTGTGGTAGTTTATGCCTGTCATCCCAGCACTTTGTGAGGCCAAGGAGGTTAGTTAGCTTGAGCCCAGGAGTTGGAGACCAGCCTGGCCAACATGGTGAAACCCCATCTCTACAGAAAATATAAAAGTTAGCTGGGTTTGGTGGTGGGTACCTGTAGTCCCAGCTACTCTGGAGGCGAAGGAGGGAGGATCACCTGAGTCCCGGGAGGTCAAGGCCACAGTGCGCCTTGATAGAGTTTTGCCACTGCACTCCAGCCTAAGCAACAGTGAGACCCTGTCTCAATAAACAAACAAACAAACAAATAAATAATTGTAGAGACAGAAGATAAAATGGAGCCCGGTGCAGTGGCTCACGCCTGTAATCCCAGAACTTTGGGAGGCTGAGGTGGGCAGATTACTTGGCCCAGGAGTTTGAGACCAGTCTGCCCAACATGGTGAAACCCCGTCTCTACTAAAAATACAAAAATTAGCCAGGCATGGTGGTGTGTGCCTATAATCCCAGCTACTTGAGAGGCTGAGACAGGAGAATCGATTGAACCCAGGAGGTGGAGGTTGCAGTGAGCTGAGATCACACCACTGCACTCCAGCCTGGGTGACAAAGCCAGACTCTGTCTCAAAAAAAAAAAAAAAAAAAAAAAAAAGGCCGAGCACGGTGGCTCATGCCTGTAATCCCAGCACTTTGAGAGGCTGAGCCGGGCAGATCACCTAAGGTCGGGAGTTTGAGACCAGCCTGACCAACATGGAGAAACCCCGTCTCTGCCAAAAATACAGTATTAGCAGGTCGTGGTGGCACATGCCTGTAATCCCAGCTACCTGGGAGGCTGAGGCAGGAGAATCGCTTGAACCTGGGAGGTGGAGGTTGCAGTGAGCCGAGATTGTGCCACTGCACTCCAGACTGGGCAACAAGAGTGAGACTCTGTCTCAAAAAAAAAAAAAAAAAAAGAGAGAGAGAGAGAGAGACAGGGTTTCACCAGGTTGGCCAGGCTGGTCTTGGACTCCTGACCTCAAGTGATCTGCCCGCCTCAGCCTCCCAAAGTGCTGGGATTACTGGTGTGGGCCACTGCATCTGGCTCCCACCATCTCTATTAAAATAAGATAAAATAAACATAAAATAATGAACCGACAAAATAATAATACAATTCATTGTAAGTAAAATGCTATCCTGAGTTCTGTGAGTCATTCTGGATAATTCAAATTCTCTAGAATTACCACCTCAGCTGACTTTTTTTTTTTTTTTTTTTTTTGTAGAGACCAGGCTGGTCTTGAATTCTTGAGCTCAAGTGATCCGCTTCCCTCAGTCTCCCAAAGTGCTGGAATTACATGCGTGAGCCACTGAGCCTGTCCTACAAATTCTTTATTATACAACACACAGTAGATGCTCAATAAATATTTGCTAAGCAGAAACATACACTCAAAATACCAGAAATTATCAAGGAAGTTGCCAGTTGGTCTCTTGGGTTCTTCCTCCCGACAGGTATACACACCTATTGTAAAGATGAACACATTAGGCTGTGAGAAACCAATACTGTTAAACATTCCAATCAGGTGACAAACTCCCTGGGCTCTGGTTTATATTACCAAGCACCTGATGATAACTTGGCTTCCTGTGTGGCTTGTTTATAGAAAGAGAATGCTACCCAGGCTGACGTGAGTTGCATTTCTGAGTTGATTTCTCACTGTAAATTAATAAACTGGCATTCTGGCTACATAGATCAGTCTCTTTGAACTCTTTGTACCTTCCACCATTAGTGTGATTTCTAAGGCTGCAAGCCAGACACTGCCCAAGACCCAGCACTGGACTCTGGTGAGTTCTTCCAGCTGTTGCCACCCCAGGAGCCTCTGGGAGCCCCTGGGAACCATCCAGCTTGCTCTCTGTCTCTACATTTCAGGGTGTGGGTTTCAGGGCATTCACAACATTCCTGCAACAGAAGAGTTTTGGGAACACCCCCAGCAGGATGTGGGTGATTTGAATGTATGTCAGAGATGTGGTTGTAACTGAGAAATCTTAAGCCTAGTGAATTTTATTCCACTTGACTTAAAGAAAGAGCACGTGAAAGAAGGGGATCTGAGGACATCTATGAACAGGGCCCCGAGGGCATGAACTTACTAGTGTTTATCTGACTAGTGTTTATCTGGGCCTGTCTAGTCTGGAGAACCTGACTCTGGTGTACCCAAGCTTGCTTTGCAGTGGCTGTAGAGGTTTGCTCTTTTGGAGGGAGAAGATAATTCACTCCTCCAACACCTGAATGAGGGTAGATTAACCCACCTCCTTCAGCTGCAGTTTGGCAAATTTCTCTTCTTTGATTTAATGCTCAACGGACAAACTTCCTTTCTTCTTCTTCTTCGTCTTCTTCTTCTTCTTCGTCTTCTTCTTCTTCTTCGTCTTCTTCTTCGTCTTCTTCTTCTTCTTCTTCTTCTTCTTCTTCTTCTTCTTTTCTTCTTCTCCTTCTTTTCTTCTTCTCCTCCTTCTCCTTCTTCTTCTTTTCCTTCTCCTCCTCCTCCTTCCTCCTCCTCCTCTTCCTACTCTTCTTCCTCTTCCTCTCCTCCTCCTCTTCCTCCTCCTCTTCCTCCACCTCCTCCTCCTCCTCTTCCTTCTTCTTTCTTTTTTTTTTTTTTTTTTGGTTTTGAGACAGGGTCTCCGTCACCCAGGCTGGAGTGCAGTGGCACGATCTCGGCTCACTGCAACCTCCACCTCCTAGGCTCAAGCGATCCTCCCACCTCAGCTTCCCATGTGGCTGGAACCACAGGCGTGAGTTACCATGCCCGGCTAATTTTTGTATTTTTTGTAGAGACAGGGTCTCTCCATGTTGCTCAGGCTGGTCTTGAACTCCTGAGCTCAAGAGAGCCTCCTGTCTCAGGCTCCCAAAGTCCTGGGATTACAGGCATGAGCCACCATGCCCGGCCTCAACAGGCAACCTTCTGATTAATAATTAGACCTCTGTGCCGGCCGTCGTGGCTGATGCCTGTAATTCCAGCACTTTGGAAGGCCAAGGCGGGTGGATGGCTTGAGGTCGGGCGTTTGAGACCAGCCTGGCCAACACGATGAAACCCGGTCTCTGCTAAAAATACAAAAATTAGCCTGGCATGGTGGCGTATGCCTGTAATCCCAGCTACTTGGGAGGCTGAGGCACAAGAATCGCTTGAACCCGGGAAGCAGAGGTTACAGTGAGCTGTCATATATAATGAAACAGTTTTACTAAACTTAGGAAGCAGTGACTTGGTGTCTCTAGAAATTGCCTAACATACACATTCCAGGATACATTCTCTGTCATCTGGAATCTCCTCCCTTCCACAAACCCACGCTGTCTTAAGCACTATTTTCCTATTTGTTGTTGACCTAATCTAGAAAAAAGCGGCCATCACTCTTTCTCCCCCACTCAGTCCCTCAGTCCCGAAACACCCTTATTCTCCGCACTTGTCACCCCACCCTCTGCTGCCCCCACCGCAGCGCGCAAACGCACACGAGTTTAAAGTTTAGGTTGTGATGCTATCCTCGCCCGCAGATCACAGGACAGACATTCTCGGGGACAACTTTGCGAGGCCATGTGCTCGTCCCCCTTAGGAAGGAAGAGGGAGAAATCCCTGCGGCTCGGTTTTGTTCCAATGGTCTGCTCAGCGAGTGATTCCCGTTTCCCCAAAGGCTGCCCCTCATTAGCATGAACGGGGACGCGGGTGTGGAGAAGGGGTTAGGGGAGAGAAAGCAAGCAAAAGCCCAGGCTCACTTTTAGAGCCTGGGAACCCTGTCTGCAAAAATGACAGCTAGAGCTTTCTGGCTCCTCTGTTTAATCGTCGGATCATCCCCCGAAGCTCCGGTGGAGAGAAAAAGTAAGATCGGTGTAGTGCGGAGCCCTGGGAGCCGAGCGGGGATCTGGGGAGGGGGCGCCCAGGCCTCAGCCGCCGGCCGACAACCGGGCCACCTTCCGTGAGGCCGCACACGCGCCCACAGGCCCGCGCCTGGCGCAAGCCGAGAACCGCGCGTTGCGGCGCCGCGGGCCCGCGTCGGAGGAAGCCCCGAGACGCGCGCGCTCACGGGCCCTACGCTTCCCCGCCGCCCGGCCGCTCGCGCGCGCCGCCGAGGGCCCCGCCGGCCCTGCCCACCCCAACCGGCCGCGCGCCGTCGTGCCGGCCCCCGGCTCACCGCCCGCACCGCCGCCGCGCCTCAGCTTCAGCTTCGGCCTCAGTCAGCCGCGCAGGGACGCGGAGCCCTGCGCCGAGCCCTGCGCTTGCGCTTGCCGGGCGGGCATGGACGGGCGAGAGGCGTTCTGCAAGCGCGAAATCGGTGAGCCCGGCCGCCGCGCCGCAGCCCCGCGAGTCTTTCCGAGTCCCGGAGAATCCTGCACGCGAGATCCCAGGGCTACCGACCCATGCGGGCCGTTTCGCTGTTGCTAAAAACCAACGCCCAGGGACTGGGAGAGGAACTGGGGTTCCCAAACTGTTTTTTGGAAGCAGCGATGAACGGGATAGTGCATGACGTGGACGTGCTGGGCGCGGGCATCTGGCTGGTGGATCGGGACGGGCTGTACAAGATGAACCGCCTGTACCTCACTCACCCCCGACGGCTTCTTCTTCCAAGTCCACATGTTAGTCCTGGACTCCTCCAGCTGCAGTAAACCGTGTCCAGAGTTTAAACCTGGTATTGAAACTGAGCTGAATGACGCTGCATATGTACTTTATGCCACCGTTTGTAACGTGGGTGCCACAGCCCGGGCTGTGGGTCGCCCAGTCTTTTTTTGGGAGGGATGGGGGACAGTATTGTAACATGATTAGGATTTAGACGACAGGTATTATTTCCGCCACTCTGTGATTTAAGCACTGTCAGCCCCACCCCCACGGGTGAGAAAGGCAGCTGTTGGCACAAAGCGGGTTGTCAATAAATAGATGTTGACAAATGGAGTGAGCGACCACCAAACACCATTGCCAGAAGGGACTGTACAGAACTGAGTTTAGAAAAGCTGCTTTTTTGGGGGAGTGTGTGGAGGGTTGGTAGCGGGGAATACCCACTCCCACATCTTTTTTTTTTTTTTTGGACAGAGTCTCGCTCTGTTGCCCAGGCTGGAGTGCAATGGCGCCATCTCAGCTCACTGCAACCTCCGTCCCCCAGGTTCAAGCCATTCTCCTGCCCTCAGCCTCCCAAGTAGCTGGGATTACAGGCTGAGCCACTGCGCCCGGCCCCACTCCCACATCTTTCTAGGCATGTGCTCTGGGAAATCCTGATACAATGTGATAAGGACCTTTGTTCTGTAATGTGGGCTGGTTACGTATTGCTTTCCCTTCCCCACACCCCGTGCTACTTTTTGTATTTTTAGTACAGATGGGGTTTCACCATGTTGGCTAGGCTGGTCTCAAACTCCTGACCTCAAGTAATCTGCCCGCCTCGGCCTCCCAAAGTGCTGGGATTAAAGGCGTGAGCCACTGCACTGGCCTGGTTGGGTTGGTTATCTTCTAAAGGTCGCTAGACTGTTTCCACCTTGCCTGTAGACTAAATATCAGTTTCAACTTGTGCAGCAAGATAGTAGATTGCAGCTTAGGTATTTCTTAAAGGCCTTATATTTTCTGTTTCATGGCATTTAAAAGACGCTATGAATTAATGTTCTGGTTATTTTGTCCAGGCAGCAGGTATATTGTGATGGGCCACATCTACCATAAGAGAGGGCAGCTTCCTACAGCTCTGCTCCAGGTCCTGAGAGGCCATCTCTGTCCAGGGGATGGACTGCTGAGGAGCAGCAGCAGCTATGTGAAAAGGTTTAACCCAAAAAGGGAAGGGCAAATTCAAGGTGCAATTCATACCCAATGCATTTGAAACAACCATCCTGGCATTTCTGGATCACAAGAGACATCGGCAACAAGACATGAAAGGTCTATCTTCATGTAATGGGTCCTCCTTTAGAAGAGAGCCCAAAGCTACTCTATGAATGACCTGCATAGTTACAACTGTAATCTCGAAGGTGTCACTTTGTTATTTACAAGATGCTTCTTAAATGGGCTGCTCCTGAGCTCAGTGTCAAGGTGATTCAACTGTTGTGCCAGACAGTGATTTACACAGCTCAGATAACTGACCTGTCTAGTTAACAGATCACTGCTTCATGTTTTTAAATATTTTAATTTAATACATTCTTTAGTAGAAATAGTCCACAAAACATTTTCTTCAATTTAAATATACAACTTTTATATCATGTATCAAACCAGATTTTATATTCAAACTATCACATTTTAAATTCTTCACATAACAGTAAGCGCACTAGTCAAAAGACATTTACCTATGAAACGTCATTTAGATCAAACACAAGGGTCAAAGCCCAGGACAAGAATTAAAATTTTACACTTAAAGAGTACCAAGCCGGGCGCGGTGGCTCACACCTGTAATCCCAGCACTTTGAGAGGCCAAGGCGGGCGGATCACCTGAGGTCGGGAGTTCGAGACCAGGCTGACCAACATGGAAAAACCCTGTCTCTACTAAAAATACAAAAAGTAGCCGGGTGTGGTGGCACATGCCTGTAATCCCAGCTGAGGGAGGCTGAGGCAGGAGAATCACTTGAACCCAGGAGGTAGAGGTTGTGGTGAGCCGAGATCGCGCCAGCCTGGGCAACAAGAGCAAAACTCCGTCTCAAAAACAAACAAAGTGTACAAAAGGGCCAGTGTGCGGATGGGTGGATTAAAAAAATAAATTTAAAAAAAGTGCTAAAGGGCTTACTTCAGGCAAAAGTGTTCCTGATGTACCAAAGAGTAAGATATAGTTTATTTTCATGCCTCCCTGCTCCTAATAATGTATGTTTTGTGCTGAACTGGCAGCTATCCCAATGTGAACTGTATTCTGGGTGTATCTGATGTCATTTTTCTATTAAGACCAAGTATAATGTTTGCTTGTAAAGCAATAAATCTTGCTTTGAAATTAGACCTTGGATGCACCTGTTTATTTTTGTTTTGTTTTGTTTTAGACTTTGAGCCCTAAAGGTTTGAGAAAAAGCCTTTCTCAAATTCATTCCCCAAACCTTGGAACCAATATTAACCAATGACAGCTCACAAGCAAGTGAATTCTAAACATTTTTCAGTTGGTTTTAAAAAGGTTTAATCACTAGCTAAATTAAATATTGATTTTATACCTGAGTCCACAAAGACATGAGAGTATTTTTTCAGAAGATAAGGCTGTACTTCAGTTTATAAGAAGTACGGTGAACAGAGACACCACTAATGCATAGATGAAGATGACTGCCTAAAGAGAGACAGGGGAAGGAATTTCACTGGAGAGAGAGCAGCCTATTTGGCCTCACGGTGATACACCCAGGAAGGTCAGAATGTGTCCTGACGCTGTCCATGGCACCCAGTAGTAGCACTGTACACATAAAGGACATCCAGGATGGGACGCTAGGGAATCACAGGAGCCAAGAGGCAACAGCCTAACATTACAATACCTGATACTATTATTTGTTCCAATTATGGGGCAGACTGGTAATAAAGAGTTGAGAGGTTCTGAGTGTTCTATGGTAAAGCACTACTGAGAGATTTCTAGAGTATTTTCCAAAAATGAGTTTTGTCCAAATTTATTATAAATTTTACTAGAATTGCTTTTTGGGAGTCAGATGCATTATTGCATGATAGAATTATAGCTAATGAAGAGCTTCTGAGCTAGTTTTCTTTAAGATAAAAAAAATTAACTCAGGCATAACTCAGGCCAGTCAAATCAAAGTTGAATTTTTAAATGTCAAAAGGCTAGGCCGGGAGCTGTGACTCACGCCTGTAATCCCAGCACTTTGGGAGACCAAGGCGGGTGGATCACAAGGTCAGGAGTTTGAGACCAGCCTGGCCAACATAGCGAAACTCTGTCTCTACTAAAAATACAAAAATTAGCTGGGCATGGTGGTGCATGCCTGTAATCCCAGCTATTGGGGGGCAGGAGGATCGCTTGAACCTAGTAGGCAGAGGTTGCAGTGAGCCGAGATCGTGCCACTGCCCTCCAGCCTGGGCAACAGAGCGAGACTCTGTCTCAAACAACAACAAAAAGTATATCTATATGGCTAGTTTCTTTAGTTGAATTTGGTTCAAATTGGATCAAGTGGTATAATCTTCTAAGAAAAGACTTTTAGTATCTCGCTCCAAGTATCTAGAAGTACCTTAGAATGTTTCAAATTATTAAAAATACTTCTCGGTTGGCTCTTCCCTCCACCTCCTCAAGTACTTCATTATTTTATCCATGGAATATCCCCATTCTCACATTAAGGGCAAGAAATCTGAGACCTATGGTAATAGTTTCTTTTTTTCTTTTCTTTTCTTTTTTTTTTTTTCGAGAAGGAGTTTCGCTCTTGTTGCCTAGGCTGGAGTGTAATGGCGTGATGTCAGCTCACCGCAACCTTTCCCTCCTGGGTTCAAGCGATTCTCCTGCTCTAGCCTCCCAAGTAGCTGGGATTACAGGCATGCGCCACTTTACCTAGCTAATTTTTTTTTTTTTTTTTTGTATTTTTAGTAGAGATGGGGTTTCTCCATGTTCGTCAGGCTGGTTTCGAACTCCCAACCTCAGGTGATCCACCTGCCTTGGCCTCCCAAAGTGCTGGGATTATAGGTGTGAGCCACCACGCCCAGCCATATCATGATAGTTTCAATCAGGAAGAGTGAAAGCTGTAATAACCATGTAACTTTGTCTAACTAAGTGTGCAGAGATCTGAAAGGCCACCAGGTTGGCTCTTTAACATAAAGAAGTAGAGTTTGCCTAAAGGAATTAACAGAAATAGGGAAATAACTTTTATTTGCAGATCCCAGGAAGGTAGATTACAAACAACAGCAAATCTTAGTGTCTCTAAATAACACTCTAGGAGATTTGGAATATAAAAAGGTAATTATTTTACTTCAGAAAATATCTCCAAAAGTTCACTTTTTTTTGAGACAGTCTTGCTGTGTCACCCAGGCTGGAGTGCAGTGGCACAATCTCAGCTCACTACAACCTCTGCCTCCCCAGTTCAAGCCATCCTCCCACCTCAGCCTCCTGAGTAGCTGGGACTACAGGTGTGTGCCACTCGTCCAGCTAAATTGTTGTATTTTTAGTAGAAACAGGGTTTCACCATGTTGGTCAGGCAGGTCTGTAACTCCTGACCTTGTGATCTGCCCGCTTCAGGCTCCCAGAGTGCTGGGATTATAGGCGTGAGCCACCATGCCCAGCCACAATTTTATTTAAACCTCCTGTAGAATTTGGATAGGAGAATAAAAGCTTTACCAATAGGAAAATACTTTTCATGAAATGGTTTCAAGGATTGTGAACTTGGCAGGTGAAGCATAACAGTTATTGAAAATACTTTTAGCCAAGGAAATCTACTGATGCAAATTAAATATATTTACAAGCCCAAGGCCTGTGGTAGAAACATCCTAAGAGTATCACAAATGTACAGTTTACTGCCTGGATTATTGAAAGCAAAATAGCTGTGTTATATAGATCTTAATAGCAGAAGCTTTCAAAGATTACTCACAGAAAAGTAGCTTTCGGAACTCATTATGTTCTATAAAAATGTATGTTTTTCTTTCTTTTTTTTTTTTTGAGATGAAGTCTCACTCTTGTCCCCCAGGCTGGAGTGCAATGGCGTGATCACGGCTCACTGCAACCTCCACCTCCCAGGTTCAAGTGATTCTCCTGCCTCAACCTCCCTAGTAGCTGGGATTTCAGGTGCCTGCCACCATGCCTGGCTAATTTTTGTACTTTTAGTAGAGATGGGGTTTCACCATGTTGGCCAGGTTGGTCTCAAATTCCTGACCTCAGGTGATCCCCCCTGCCTCGGCCTCCCAAAGTGCTGGGGTTACAGGCGTGGGCCACCACACCTGGCCAGGAATGTATGTTTTTCAAAAATTACTTTTGAAAGACTAAAGCTCTATAGTTGATAAAACTATAAAATGTCTTTATGTATTTGTATGGTGATAGAAACTGTAAAACACTTTATACCATTAAGTACACATGAAATTGATATCTTCCTGGTCTCAGGATTTCCATAAAATTTACCCTTTTTAATTTGGCAATGCTAACAGCTACAGAAGACATATTAACCAACCAACCATTGCTTCATTAGAAACTGCACCAAATCCAATGTCAAAAACATTACTTTATTTTTCTAGTATGAAATGTCCTATTACGTACAAAAGAATTGCTGTTTAGAATTTGCCACAATTTGTTGAAAACATAGCAATCTATTGCCTACAGGTAGGAGAGTTCTTGCTGCAACAAATTTTAAATGATTAAGCCCATATATATTTCTATGTATATGAATAAATAGAGCAGAAATACTGTGACGTGATGAGATGCAGAATAATTTTATAATTCATTAAAATGTAGAATTCTTGCATCAGCACAGTGCATACAATATGTAACTTTTTTTAAAAAGTAAAAGGACAAAATAATCCATATTTAACTATTTCCATCTTAATATTTTAAGCAAAAATGTTTTCATGTTTTCATATTGAGTGATTAGTCTCTTTAGTTTGTAAACATAGGTTTAAGTGACATCTTCATGTACAAAAAGGAATGGGCTTCATTAGATAAAATTAAGCCAGAATAACCTGTACACCTGAGCCTGTAATAAGAAAGAATTGGGAACTGTAGCAACATCTTTCTTTTAAGAAACCAAGGTCTGGGAAAGGTTTTGCATAGCAGGGAAACGTTGAAAGGCAGGAAACTTTTAAAAGCAATAATTAGATAAATTCCAGAAGTTGATAGGACAAAGCTAATATGAGTTAGAATAAAATCTAGTAGAATTCTTGCAAAGCTGCATAATCCAGCTATGGCAGATTTTATAGAAGCTATTACCACAATGCAGTAATACAATGTGTAAGAACATTGAAAGGAAGAACATGCAAAATACATCTTCCTCATTTTCTTCCTACTGCTTACACTACTTTTCCTTACATGGAAGAAACAAACAAACCAACAAGCAAAAAACAAACCCAATCAACAAATAACACAGAGGATGAGATCATCTAACAAAAAATGTCCTTCATAAAATATAAGTAGCTGTCTGTAATTGGTAATTTGCCCGGTATCACAGAATGTACAGATGAAGGCAATGTGTATCTTGTCGCATTACCTTTTTCGTTAGTATGATCAACTGATGCGACAGGATTAGCACCCCTGAAGATTTTTCTCTGACGTGATGACAATTGACTGGGAATGATAAAACGAGGGGCCACTGCTGTCCAGGAGAACTCCAGGTACAATTAGATTCTTTTGCCTTTCATGACCTTGCAGCCCTCCCTCCCCACAGAGGCTTACAGATAATCATTAGCGCACATTCAAAGACACCTCTGTCTGTGGGAGAAAAACTATCTCCACTTATTTTGTTTCACATACATCCATAGTTGAATTTTAATACAAAAAGAAAAATTAGAATCTGACAAATGTTTACAAAGAAGATACCTTCAAATAGATTTTACTCATTTTAACCTGGTGTGGAGTAATTGACAAATTGTACTGTTATATTCAAGGCACCAGAATCTGTAGTCCAGGACCACTTAGCCCAACCTTTATGCAAGCTTGATTTTAATCTACCATGAACAATAAACTCATTGTTGATTCGCAGTTGTGTGTGTGTGCACATGTGTACATAGCAGCGCCTTTCATAGAAAGAAAAGACATCTAGAGGTTGTCTTGTACTTTTACGTACAGGAATCATTGATAAGATAGGGATGGATTATATGTAACCGTGGCTGGATTTTATAAGAAAAAATAATTAGTTGACAAATGAGGGCAGCAATAAAAAAGCATCTTTTTTGCAACAATAAATAAATACAGTCAAAAGTTTTCTTTGAGACTCTAAACCAGCTTCTTCACTGAAGAGCAGACGTGGCATTTCCATGGAGTTATACTTGACCCCACAGTATCATTTTTTCTTGCTTTCTTTTTCTTTTTTTTAATAAACAAAATTTTCTCGCTTCTGCCACAATAATAAAACCATTTGATCTTGACAAGATAATGGTGTCGTTGACTTTTCTTTTTTCTTTTTCTTTTCTTCCTTTTTTTGTTTTTGAAACGGAGTTTTGTTCTTGTCACCCAGGCTGGAGTGCAATGGCTCAATCTCGGCTCAATACAACCTCTGCCTCCCGGGTTCCAGTGATTCTCCTGCCTCAGCCTCCCAAGTAGCTGGGATTACAGGCATAGGCCACCATGCACAGCTAATTTTGTATTTTTGGTAGAGACGGGGTTTCTCCATATTGGTCAGGCTGGTCTCGAACTCCCGACCTCAGATGATCCGCCCGCCTTGGCCTCCCAAAGTGCTGGGATTACAGGCGTGAGCCACCGCACCTGGCAACTTTGCTTTTTTCTTGTCCATTGGACAAAATTGGCCAATAATATAATTGGACTGTTATGACCGATAAAAACAAAGTTAGATCAAGTCTTGTCAGGATAGCCTCACTAAAAAGATCTGGCTCCTTAATTTAAAATAGTTCAGGCAACAAGATTCTTGCTGTGTTTTATGTTAGGTTAACATGCTGAACTTTAGGAAGCTGTAGACTGCAGTTTGTTGTTGTGAGACCTACAGAGTATAGAAAAAGGGAACAATTGAGCACCTTTCATTTTTGAAAATGATGCTTTATGCGGATGCCAAAGTAAATAAATCTGGGAGAAGCAGCCATGTTCTTTCATTCACCCTTGGCAAGCGAATAGAAAAGAACGATTAAGAAATTTTTAACCTATAATAATAAAACTTTTCACTGTACAATAAGCATAATAGCTCACTGGAAAAAGCCAATATTTAAAATATGTATGTATATATATTTGTCTAATAAAGATTACAACATTTTCAGGCAACTGGACAAATAGAGACATTTACAGAAGCATTACCATTGTGGTGAAAGGTGCGTGCGTGTGTGTATGTGTGTGTTTATTTACACGGATGAGGGGAATATAAAGGGAAAAATTATGCCAAAACAAAAGAAAAAGCAATTTTAAAATCACATTTTTCTATTAAAGTCCAGAAAGTCTCCCAGTTTCACACAGTTTTATTCACAACTTTTTTTTTTTTGAGACGAAGTCTCGCTTTTGTCCCCAGGCTGTAGTGCAAAGGCACAATCTTGGCTCACTGCAACCTCTAACTCCCAGATTCAAGCGATTCTCCTGCCTCAGCCTCCCGAGTAGCTGGGATTACAGGTGCCTGCCACCACGCCCGGCTAATTTTTGTACTTTTTGTAGAGACGAGGTTTCACCATGTTGGCCAGGCTGGTCGCAAACTCCTGACCTCAGGTGATCCGCCCGTCTCGGCCTCCCAAAGTGCTGGGATTACAAGTGTGAGCCACCAAGGCTGGCCTCACAACTTTTGTCAGTAAACCAAATTACTGTACAGTTACCAGGACTAAGTCAAAGGACTTTATATTGCAATAGCAGATAAATTTATATTGCAATAGCAGATAAATACAGTATTCCAATAGTTTACAATTTTTAAACACATTGTTTCACGTGGCTGCTAGAATAAATTTTTGACCACTATACATCGTTAACATTAAAAAATTATATTAGCTAACCTGACTTTTTGGGGGGCAATTTTGGATTACGTAATCACAAGGTACAATAAAACAGTGACCCCAACATCCAGTTCTGATTCCAGTTAAAAATTTAGACTAAAGATATCACAATCCATAAGAAAAGAAAGAATATGGATGGTATAAATGATGAATTATAACAAAGTGCAGTAATGAAAACAATGTGCAAACAATGCTGGAGATCATAAATTACAATGGGAAAATATGGCAAAGGAAATTCTGGAAACCCATAATAAAATCAAGTTTCAATAACTGGCTAGTTATGTTTCATTCTACCTTAAATCTGGAAAGCAATAGAAATTCCCTAAAAATGCGACAGCAAGTTGTCTTTATACAATTCTTTGCATTGTAATTTTTTTCTTTTTTTCTTTTCTTTTTTTTTTTTTTTTGATTTGTTTGTTTTGAGACAGGGTCTCACTCTGTAGCCCAGTCTGGAGTGCAGTGGCGCAATCATGGCTCACTGCAGCCTCAACCTCCAGGGCTCAGGTGATCCTCCTACCTCAGCCTCCTGGGTAGCTGGGACTACAGGCACGTGCCACCATGCTCAGCTAATTTTTTGTATTTTTTGTAGAGATGGGGTTTCCCCATGTTGCCCAGGCTGGTCTCAAACTCCTGGGCTCAAGTGAGCTGCCTGCCTTGGCTTCTCAAAGTGTTGAGATCACAGGTGTGAGCCACTGCACACAGCCTAATTTGTTTATTTAAGCAGAATTGAGCAAACGTCTCCATTCAGCTCCCATGTGCTTTAATGAAAATTATGTCAACTTGAGTATATTAAAAAGCTACATAAAATAACCAGGTGGCAGGAAGACATCCTAAGTGGCCCCTACACTATGCGGGCCCAGCCTAGGTCTCCTTTGCTCCTTTACCAAATTCCCTTTGTCTTGCCACAGGCCCCAGGACCTCCAAGCAACTTCCTCTCCTTCATCAGCAGTTGCCAGCAGTCATCCTCTGGGCTCTGCCAGCAAGTTGGCAGCAGGGTAGGATTCACACCCCTTGGCTTCTACCTCACAGTTACCACCAAAGGCCTTTCCAATTTAAAAAAGCAATTTTAGAAATTGAACCAGAGGAATAACCACCATGTACAAATCAAAAAGCATAGAGGGGCTTATAATGAGAAGTCGTGTTCCTCTGTCCTACCTTAACTCCCTCTGAAATCCAGGCTCCCTATGATCAATCCCCTTGACCTTTCAGTTCTATGGGTAGATTTCTTTTCTTTTCTTTTCTTTTCTTTTCTTTCTTTCTTTCTTTCTTTCTTTTTTTTTTTTTTTTTGAGACAGAGTCTTGCTGTTGCCCAGGTTGGAGTGCAGTGGTGGGATCTCAGCTCACTGCAACCTCCTCCTCCTGGGTTCATATGATTTTCCTGCCTCGGCCTCCCGAGTAGCTGGGACTACAGGCGTCTGCCACCACGCCCGCCTAATTTTTTGTTATTTTTAGTAGAGACGGGTTTTCACCGTGTTAGCCAGGATGGTCTCGATCTCCTGACTTCGTGATCCACCCCACTCGGCCTCCCAAAGTGCTGGGATTACAGGCGTGATCCACCGCACCTGGCCTCAGTTTTTTTTTTTTTTTTTTTTTAAACAGGCAAGTTCTTGCTGTGTCACCCAGGCTGGGGTGGAGTGGCTCGATCATAGTTCACTGCAGCCTCAAACTCCTGTACTCAAGTGATTCTCCTGCCTCAGCCTCCCAAGTAGCTGGGACTATAGGCACTCATCACCAAGCCTGGTTAATTTTTTTTTTTTTTTTTTGGTAGTAGAGACAAGGTCTCATACTGTGGCCCAGGCTGGTCTTGAACTCCTGGCTTCAAGCTATTCTCCCCACTCGGCTTCCCAAAGTACTGGGATTACAGGCATACGTCACCTTGCCTGGCCTTTCACTTTTATTTTAGGTAAACTGCTTTTAAAATACCCTCTTAGAAACCATCTTCCTTGCTACAGAAGAGAGAAAGCACGCCGTGGCTTTTCCTCAAAGGAAGATCACTGTGGGGGCTGGGCGCGGTGGCTCATGCCTGTTATCCCAGCGTTTTGGGAGGCCGAAGCGAGCGGATCACCTGAGGTCAGGAGTTTGAGACCATCCTGGCCAACATAGTGAAACCTCGTCTCTACTAAAACTACAAAAATTAGTCGGGTGTGGTGGCACGTGCCTGTAGTCCCAACTACGCGGGAGGCTGAGGCAGGAGAATCGCTTGAACCTGGGAGGCAGAGGTTGTATTGAGGTGAGATCACACCACTGCACTCCAGCCTGGCAACAGGGTGAGACTCCATCTCAAAAAAATAAAATAAAATAACCGAGTATGCACAATTCAACTGTAATAGATACTATCAATTTACCCTCCAAAGTGACCATACCAATTTATACCCCCAGCAGCCTTGCTAAAAGTATTCTAAGATATTAATTTTATGGTTAATAAAATATACACTGAGACTTCTGAAAAAACTTCAAATTCAACTCATGTGTACCCACAGGTTCCTTAATAACACCATAATAATCTGGTGCATCATTAGGGTCTACTGGTTCAAGGAAAGGCCGGGCCATCTTATGGGCCTATAATGAAAAAGTAGGCATTCTTATTGTCAGTGAAAACACTAATTCCATTTAAGATTCCCAGTTGAGTCACTACATCAATGAACCCAAAAGTCAGTTTTAAATGCGATACATGAAATACTTTATATTAGGTGATTTCTGCTCTAGTAATAAGTTACCTAAGATGAGCTTCCTCTGCAATAATGGTACTCAAAGCTTGGTCGGAAGACCTTGGTGTGGTGAAGGGGTGGGTTGCCCCTCCACACCGGTGGGTGTTTCTCGTTAAGTGGAACGAGAGACTTGGAAAAGAAAAAGACACAGAGACAAAGTACAGAGAAAGAAATAAGGGGGCCCAGGGTACCTGCGTTCAGCATATGGAGGATGCTGCCAGCCTCTGAGTTCCCTTCGTATTTATTGATCATTCTTGGGTGTTTCTCGGAGAGGGGGATGTGTCAGGGTCATAGGATAATAGTGGAGAGAAGGTCAGCAGATAAACACATGAACAAAGGTCTCTGCATCATAGACAAGGTAAAGAATTAAGTGCTGTGCTTTAGATACACATACACATAAACATCTCAATGCCTTACAAAGCAGTATTGCTGCCCGCGTGTCCCACCTCCAGCCCTAAGGCGGTTTTTCCCTACCTCAGTAGATGGAACATACAATCGGGTTTTATACCGAGACATTCCATTGCCCAGGGACGGGCAGGAGACAGATGCCTTCCTCTTGTCTCAACTGCAAAGAGGCATTCCTTCCTCTTATACTAATCCTCCTCAGCACAGAACCTTTAAGGGTGTCAGGCTGGGGGACGGTCAGGTCTTTCCCTTCCCACGAGGCCATATTTCAGACTATCACATGGGGAGAAACCTTGGACAATACCTGGCTTTCCTAGGCAGAGGTCCCTGCGGCCTTCCGCAGTGTTTGTGTCCCTGGGCACTTGACATTAGGGAGTGGTGATGACTCTTAAGGAGCATGCTGCCTTCAAGCATCTGTTTAACAAAGCACATCTTGCACAGCCCTTAATTCATTTAACCCTGAGTTGACACAGCACATGTCTCAGAGAGCACGGGGTTGGGGGTAAGGTTATAAATTAACAGCATCTCAAGGCAGAAGAACTTTTCGTAGTACACAACAAAATGGAGTCTCCTATGTCTACTTCTTTCTACACAGACACAGCAACAATCTGATCTCTCTTTCTTTTCCCCACAGTGTGGGGGGTGGAACACAAGCTTAGAAGTCACAAAATCAGTATTCTGGGCCCTACATGATGAGCTGTCACTGAGTGATGCTGGCATTGCAACTGCTTCTGTAAACAGGTGGGATGGGTTCAAAGTGTGGAATCATTACCACAGCTGATTAATGATGAGGTGGCAGAGATGTGATGTTAGATAACATTCAACCACACATTGAGACTACGATTCCCTTTTTAGTTTCTTCAATTCTTGTGATTATGATAAAAATAGAAGAAAGTTTCAATCCAATGCACTATATCCTTTTATTTCCCCCCATTGTTTTGAGACAGGGTCTCGCTCTGTCATCCAGGCTGGAGTGGAGTGGCACGATCATAGCTCACTGTAGCCTCCTGTGCTCAAGTGATCCTCTCACCTCAGTCTCCCGAGTAGCTGGATAAACAAGTGTGTGCCAACATGCCCAGCTAATTTTTTATTTTTAGTTTTTGTAGAGATGGGGTCTCACTTTGTTGCCCAGATTGGTCTCTAACTAATTGACTCAAGTGATCCTCCTGCCTTGGCCTCCCAAAGTGCTGGGATTATAGGTGTGAGCAACCACACTGGCCTTCTGTGTCTTCAATACATCTGTATCACTTGCTAATCCTGCAAACCATACCTATCCTGGTTTTCTTTTCTTTCCTTTTTTTTTTTTTTTTGAGACAGATTCTCACACTGTCACCCGAGCTGGAGTGCCATGGCTCGATCTTGGCTCACTGCAACCTCTGCTTCCTGTGTTCAAGCGATTCTCCTGCCTCAGCCTCCCTAGTAGCTGGGATTACAGGCTCACGCCACCACACCCGACTAGTTTTTTGTATTTTTAGTAGAGACGGGGTTTCACCATGTTGGCCAGTCTGGTCTCAAACTCCTGACCTCATGATTTGCCCACCTCAGCCCCCCCAAAGTGCTGGGATTACAGGCGTGAGCCCCCGTACCCAGCCACCTTTCTGTCTTTCATAAGGAAAATAATAACTATAATCTAATCATACTGTTTCTCAATCCATGGGAGTGAGAGGAAGTTTCTTTAAAAATAAAATGTATAAAGAAGTGAGTCATGTTAGATTATCTGAGTGTTAGATAAGCTGAGGTGGTGTGGGGATATGGTAAAGCTCATGACACTGGTATGTGAAGGACTGAAGTTTGTCAAGCCCTTCACTAGACTAGCTGAGACTCAGTAAATAATCACTCTAAGATTGGAAACTTGAAATCCTAACATTGGAAACTTGAAATCCTAGAAATGCTTCCAAAATTATGCCAGCTGATTTCATTTTCAAATGCTGCACACAGAGGGGCTCTCATCTGTAAGGAACGGAGCACCCTCTTCAACTCCTCATCATCCTTCTCTGTTAGTGGTGTGAGCACTGTCATGACATCCTCTGTTGACTGGCACTGTGGACAGACATACTCATCAATGAGCTCTGCCTCACTCTGCAAGATGCCAATGCAGCACCCATGGTACCAATTCTGACACCGATCATGGCCAATAAAAAATCTGCAAGATCCGAAATGGAAATGTGAGTTCAAAACAGATGGGATGATGTTACTTATAATAAAGCATGCACCTGAAAATTTGCTAAACCCTGGGATATAAAATAGTTTTAGTATTGTGGTTTTAATACTTTCAAGATCGACATTCCAGTACATTAATTTAGTATTTTTGATGTTACGAACAAGCAGTAAAAAAATTTATAAGAACACTGTAATTTTGGAGAACCAATTTAAAGATAAATATGAAACATTCAATTGATTTTACAGCTGAAAACAAGTCACAAATCTTTCAACTAGTACTGTACCATGTGGGAGTTCAAAATCCTATAAGGTAATAACAGAGTCTCAAAGCTTATACCCAAATTAGTGTTTTTCTAACCTATAATAAAGCACCATTTCAAACACTGATAAAGTCCAAACAAGTCAAGCTATTTTAATCTCATTAATTTCTATGTTACATATTGAAGAATCAAATTTACCATTAAACCACATTTTCCCCAATGTGTCTCAAACATTCACTATGAAGCAAGATAAATTTTGAAGGGTAGGTAAAAAGGGAAAAAGAGAAAAAAAATGAAAAGGAATTTGTAATGTAAGTGTACAACAAATGTAGAAAAAATCTGCTTTTTATTTTAAAGTAAATAAGTAACCAGTCAGAGCAATTTGGCTTCCTAAATTATTAAATGTGATGCTCTTATTAGAACTCACTGTGACTGCAGGTGTTCTGCAGATACAGTACAATTCCTCACTGCTGTCCTCTTGTGCCCATTTACAATCATTACAGATGTACACATCCATTTTCTTAGCCTCCTTTTCTGCGATGCCAACACATTCTCCATAATACCAGTTAGTACAAAGATCACAGCCAATATAGAACCTAGAAGTATTCACAACGAAAATGACAATGTAATTGTCGTTTTGAGCTGCATGGTACTTAAATCTGTCTTCCCTGCCTTGCTTCATTTTTTTACAGGATAACTTCCTGCTATGAGTCAGCTAAACATTCCTGAATCCAACCATTCTACCCCTGGCAAACTCCAGTATCTGATGCTCTATCACATGTGGAAACAAAGTCACTCACATCGGTTTCAACAAGTACACTGCTTAGTGAAATATGGGTCTTTAAAAACATACTGGAATTTGAAAAAATAAACCACACACTGATGGTAATGTCTTCCTCTGAATGAATGTGTGTAAAACTGTAACAGGCACAAAAACCAAAGCCAAAGAATCAAAGACTTACATCTGTCAAACCTATTCCACAGAAGCCATTTCAATATCAGGGCTATTTCTTAGATAGGTTTAAAAATGTATCTCACAATTTAAATTTGAAAACAAAGCAAAGCGCAAACACCAAGTAGAAGTTACACTACACGGACCATGCAGGTCAGCCAGGTGTAGAAGATAAATGGTCAAAATATGCTAAGAAGAAGAAAACTAAGAAAGGTACATAGAGCAATTCAATCTCTACCAGGTTTTCTGAATAAACATTGGAATTTAATCAAATTAAAAATAATTTCTCATAATGGAATATGGCATGGGCCAGTTTTTCAGTTAATATAATGTTTGTGACAATGTGGGCAGTGGCCTGGCTAATTAACGGGTAGGGAACGTGGAAGGAGCTGCTTCAGTTCAACATCGGGGACATGGTATGGGGAAGGATGCAAAGATAGTTATCCAGAATCTGTCTACACTGCTTGGCAGGGTCTACACTGCTTGGCAAGGCAGAGCTGTGTAAGTGTGTGATTGTGGAGTGCACAGTGGCCTCTGTAATAAAAGACGTAATGACAAAAGAAAAAGTAAATGTAACAAACGCTTATACAGTGTGTCTACAAGTGTTGATAGGCACAGTGTAGGAACATCATGTCAAAGTCATAGTGAGAATTACCATGAATCACAGGGAAGCAGGCTGGCCTTGCTGATACCATTGGCACTCCTAGCTCTACCAAGGCATTTCTTGGTAGATTCACCTAGAGGAATGGAAGTCGTCCTCAAGCTTCAAATTGACCTGCTTCATGAATGTGAAGGAATACTATATGGCTATGTAGTTTATCCTGTTACCACTAACTTTTTTCTTTTTTCTTTTGTCTCGCTGTATAACCCAGGCTGCAGGGCAGGGGCAGGATCACGGCCCCCTGCAGCCTGGACCTCCCAGGCTCACATGATCCTCCCACCTCAGCCTCCCGAGTAGCTGGGACTACAGATGTGCACCACCAGGCCCGGCTTTTTTTTTTTTTTTTTTTTTGACGGAGCCTTGCTCTGTCTCCCAGGCTGGAGTACAGTGGCATGATCTCAGCTCACTGCAACCTCTGTCTCCTGGCTTCAAGCAATTCTCTTGCCTCAGCTTCCCAAGTGGCTGGGATTACAGGTGTGTGCCACCACATCTGGCTAATTTTTGCATTTTTGGTTGTGCCACGTTGGCCAGGCTGGTCTCAAACTCCTGACTTTAGGCGATCCACCTGCCTTGGCCTCCCAAAGTCCTGAGATTACAGGTGTGAGCCACAGGGCCCAGCCTCTTTTCATATTTTTTTTAAAAAGTTTTAATGAGCAGTGAGGACGACCAGAGGTCACTTTCATCACCATCTTGGTTTTGGTCGGCTTCTTTACTGCATCTTGTTTTTTCTTTTTTTTTTTTTTTTTGAGACTGGGTCTCACTCTGTCACCCAGGTTAGAGTGCAGTGGCACAATCTCGGCTCAGTGTACCCTGCACCTCCCAGGCTCAAGTGATCCTCCCACCTCAGCCTCCCAAGTACCTAGGACCACAGGCACGTGCCACCAAGCTCAGCTAATTTTTTGTATTTTTGTTAGAGACAGGGTTTCACCATGTTGGCCAGGCTAGCCTTGAACTCCTGACCTCAGGTGACCCACCTCAGCCTCCCAAAGTGCTGGGATTACAAGCGTGAGTCTCTGTGTCTGGCCAACATACTATTGTCTCAATATGCATTTTGCCATACTTTTTAAGCGCATCTCTTCTGCTATCCTGTAGTACAACTTACTCTTGGAAATGATCAAAGCAAACTATATTACCCTAGGGACAAACCCATTGTGATTGGCATCCACGAACAAATTTGGTGTAAAGAAATCATATCTATGACCAAGAGGGTTTCTTTCTTATTTGGAGATAAGAGTCTCACTTTGTCACCCTGCCTGGACTGCAGTGACATAAACACGGCTTGCTATATAGCCTTGACCTGCCAGGCTCAAGTGATCCTCCTGCCTTAACCCCTTCAAATAGCTACAGGTGCTCACCACCATGCCCAGCTACTTTTAATTCTTTCTATATGGTCACTTTCGATCTTTTAAAGTGTATTTTAATGTATAATTTTTTTTTAAGTTAAGAAACATGCTGCCTCCTGATGCTTATGTTAAAGAACCAAAAGCATGAAAAAAATTAGAGGCCGGGTGTGTTGGCTCAGGCCTGTAATCCCAGCACTTTGGGAAGCCGAGGCAGGTGGATCACGAGGTCAGGAGTTCAAGACCAGCCTGGCCAACACAGTAAAACCCTGTCTCTATTAAAAAGTACAAACATTAGCCGGGTGTGGTGGTGGGCGCCTGTAGTCCCAGCCACTCAGAAGGCTGAGGCAGGAGAATAGCTTGAACCCAGGAGGTGGAGGTTGCAGTGAGCTGAGATTGTGTCACTGCACTCTAGCCTGGGAGACAGAGTGAGACTCCGTCTCAAAAGAAAAAAAAAAATAGAATAATTAGTGTCAGTGTTAAGCTAGTGCTGAGATCATAACCACTGTCAACAGGCACTCAAAGAGAAGGAAGAACAAGGTGCGCAACAGGACTCAAGGAAGATCTCCCAGGAAGAGGGATTCGAGCCTGGCTAAGGAGCAGGAAGGGAAAAGGGCATCAGCTAGGATTTGTTCCTGTGTCACCCAGATTACCACTTGCTCACCATGACTACCACTCTCTCACCCCCATGTCTCCATCATTAAGGGTCTTTAGTCAAAGGGAAGACACAGGGTCTTGAGGACTGAGGAAAGGAGGACCTAACAGAAGAGACCAGAGCTCCTGGTCTTAACATCCCCAGTCCTGTTATATGCATGTATCAACACAAACTTCCAAACACGCCCATGGGTGAGCAGAATTGAACAGCACGAACTGCATGCAAGACTATTTATCACTGCGTAACTAGGACATGCCTCTCCACTACTCACAAATCATGTTGCCCAACTTTTTCAAAACCCTTTTGGCTCTCACTTTAATTCTCATGTTTAATCTCTTGAGGTACTGATACCTGAAAACAGATGTCATTAATTTCCCTTATAATCTTGACCTCCCTATTGTTACTGAAAGTACTACCATTCTTAGGGAGGCGTAGGTGATGCATTCCTCTCTCTACATTCTATGTGTCAAGGCCAGAAGAACTCTAAAGTACCTCCTGGACTGATCTTCCATTTAGGACTACAAAACCCACCAGCTATCTTGTCCTTGTCAATCCATCCTGCAGAACAGAAGCTATGCTTCAAGATCTTCTGATCATCCCAATACCCAAAATTAAACAGATTCGAAATAGATTTGAGACAGAGGGCTACACCAGTGGTTCAACAGCACCTCTGTGATTTGATGTGGTTCTGTTTCATGTTTATGCATGGTACTGCTGGGAATACAGCATATCTTCTCGGGGTGTCAGGAGTGAAAAAGGCCTGAGGATCACGATCCAGCCCAATCCCTATTCTACAGAAGAGGGGGAAAGTACAGTTGCTATAGCCTGATCCTCTAAGTACTGCCCAATACAACATACGAGGGAGTTTTGATTAATTTCCTATTCACACACTCAGGCTCTTGTTACACCGAGTTACTTGAGACTGCCCACACTTTACTATCAGTGCCTGCCGCTCCCTCCCGCTCTCTCCCCCTCCCTCCCTCAGTCTGCCTGTCCTTACTCTCCACATGCCCATCCAGGAAGCCTACGCCGACACCAATCCCCTTAAACAGGGTATATAATCTCGCCCTCCTTTAAATGCCCACTGCACTTTGTACCTCACTTGTAACGATCAGAAATTATACTGAAAAGATATTAAGTTGACACTGGTGGGAATAATATTGTCAAACCAGTGACAAATTCTGTTTGAGGTAAATCTATGGTTCATTGATGGCATCTCTGCCACTGATCTCCACTGTCACAATCCTTAGAGGACATAAATCACTAACTGTCCCAGGATAACACCAGGGCTTTTGTTTTATGAAGTCATCAGAGGTTCCAAGTTTTAAAATTCCAGGTAAGTATTCTCAGAAGTCTCACATAAGACTGAGACTGAAACACAAGAACCATTCTGTTTTACATACAATTTCTTAAAATTAGCAAATGCTTAATTTCAAAGTGCTGTCAGAACTTTACCAAATGCCTATTGAAAACACTTCCTATACAATCCTTCTCATTATATCGGCAATGTCATAAAATCTATAGGCTGAAGTAATTCTAAATTTAAAAAGTAAAAATAAATTAAAGCATTATTCAGCCATATGCTTTCGGCTAAAGCAAAACTAGGTGGTTGCAATTTTATACTAAAAAGTTGTCATCCTTACATTTTTTCCATAAAAGGAAAACAATCTTCAATAAATAAACCTTTCATGACTTTAGTAATATCAATTAATGCCTCTGCATTGTTATATTACCTACAAAATACTGAGTTATTTCTTATATTAGGAGTTATTTCTTATGTTAGGAATGTCACATGTCAGTAATTAAGCCAACGCTGTAAACTATAAAAATTAATCAAATTACTCTAAATTACCAATAAAGTAAATTCCTCTTTCAGCCTTCGCAGTACAACAGGATTCAAATTCATCAATCATACTTCTTTATGTGTTATTCAGATATCTTAAACCAGTTCTAAAATTTTTTTCTTCCATCTACACATTTACCTGACAGCCTTCCACCCAAGAAGTACAGACTATAAAACCAATGAAACTAGTACTTAGCCTAAACAACTCACTGTCACGCGTTGTTACTCATTCGAGGCAAGTGGGCATGTTCTAAAAGTTTGGAATTCAAAATGTCACTCACATCCGGGGGGTGGGGGGCGAGGGGAGGGAACTTAAAGGGTGGGTCAATAGGTGCAGCAATCCACCATGGCACACGTATACCTATGCAACAAACCTGCACGTTCTGCACATGTACTCCATTTTGTTTTTAGAAGAAATAAGGAAAAAAAAAGTCACATCCATTTTACCATAATCTTAAGAAATAATGCGTTGCAAAAGGTAAAACATCCAAATTAACATCACAGCCAATAAAGGAAAACGCCTGGAAAGCAATATGAAATAGCAACTCAAAAACAAAGTAACTCTTGCAATGAAAAACATTCACTGGGCCAGGCCAGGTGGCTCATGCCTGTAATCCTAGCACTTTGGGAGGCTGAGGCGGGCGGATTGCCTGAGTTCAGGAGTTCAAGAACAGCGTGGGCAACATGGTGAAACCCCATCTCTACTAAAATACAAAAAATTAGCTGGGCATGGCAGCATGCACCTGTAGTCCCAACTACTCAGGAGGCTGAGGCAGGAGAATTGCTTGAACCCGGGAGGTGGAGGTTGCGGTGAGCCAAGATCGTGTGTGCCATTGCACTCCTCCCTGGGCAACAGAGCGAGACATTCACTGATCAAATTGTCCATCAAAATCCAATTAGAAAAGAACAACAACAACAAAAAACCAATTAGGACAATTTTTAGTTTCCTAAATCCAAAATATTTAGGGGTTATGACACCCACTGTAGAATTATCGAAAATTCATGTACTACAAGTTCTCATCTACTAACAATAATTTATCCAACCAATCTTTGATGAGCACTTGCTATGTGCAAAACACTTACAGGAGCTGCAGAGGGAATAAGCTCAATACCTATCTCTACAGAGTTAATAATTTCATATAAGGATAGGACAAGTAGACACACAGTAGGCTACAGGTGTCATTAAGAAAAACAAAATCTCAGGCCAGGCATGGTGGCTCACGCTTGTAGGCCCAGCACCTTGGGAGGCTGAGGCAGACGGATCGCCTGAGGTTGGGAGTTTGAGACCAGCCTGACCAACGTGGAGAAACCCCGTCTCTACTAAAAATACAAAATTAGCCAGGCGTGGTGGTGCATGCCTGTAATCTCAGCTACTTGGGAGGCTGAGGCAGGAGAATTGCTTGAACTTGGAAGGCAGAGGCTGCAGTGAGCCAAGATCGAGATTCTACCATTGCACTCCAGCCTGGGCACCAAAAGCAAAACTCCCTCTCCAAAAAAGAAAAACAAAATGTCACAAAAGTATCAAAAGTAAACACATTTTTTTAAAGAACACCTAGCTACAAATTGTAATTTAAGTCAGCATATGCACAGCCATCAATCCTAAATATTATTTGCTAGGCCTTCAAATACGACTTAAAGTTAGCTGAACTGCCCTGCCAAAATGTCTCAGCTCTGTCTAACCAGAAAAAACTTCCTCCAGGGGTGTATGCAATCCAGTCTCCACGTTTCAATTACCGGCTCTGGGTACAAAGACCAACATGTGATTTCTTAAGGTAAAAATTATTACTATAAAAGATGTACTAGGCCAGGCACGGTGGCTCACGCCTTTAGTCCCAGCACTTTGGGAAGCTGAGGTGGGCGGATCATGAGGTCAGGAGTTCGAGACCAGCCTGGCCAACATGGTGAAACCCCATCTCTACTAAAAATACAAACATTAGCCAGGCGTGCTGGTGGGCGACTGTAATCCCAGCTGCTGGGGAGCCTGAGGCAGGAGAATCACTTGAGTCCGGGAGGTGAAGGTTGCAGTGAGCCAAGATTGCGCCATTGCACTCCAGCCTAGGCGACAGAGCAAGACTCCTTTAAAAAAAAAAAAAAAAAAAGCACTAAAATTAAGTTGGCAAGAATTTACATGTACTCCTTTTTACATATACATAAATATCTGACATTTGATTCATTCCCTTCATTCTCCAGCCAGCCTCCCAGGGCAAGTCTGGCGAGGATTCTGACCATCGGGCAAAAGAAATTACCTTTTTTCAGTTTATGTTAGGACAACCTACGTGGGTTTACATTTGGCTTAATATAATACTACCCTACTTCTCCAATAAGTATTTAAGCATTTATTAAAAAACAGAAACTTTTCTTTTTTTTTTTTTTTAATTTATTTTTTTATTGATAATTCTTGGGTGTTTCTCACAGAGGGGGATTTGGCAGGGTCATGGGACAATAGTGGAGGGAAGGTCAGCAGATAAACAAGTGAACAAAGGTCTCTGGTTTTCCTAGGCAGAGGACCCTGCGGCCTTCCGCAGTGTTTGTGTCCCTGATTACTTGAGATTAGGGATTGGTGATGACTCTTAACGAGCATGCTGCCTTCAAGCATCTGTTTAACAAAGCACATCTTGCACCGCCCTTAATCCATTTAACCCTGAGTGGACACAGCACATGTTTCAGAGAGCACGGGGTTGGGGGTAAGGTCACAGATCAACAGGATCCCAAGGCAGAGGAATTTTTCTTAGTGCAGAACAAAATGAAAAGTCTCCCATGTCTACTTCTTTCTACACAGACACGGCAACCATCCGATTTCTCAATCTTTTCCCCACCTTTCCCGCCTTTCTATTCCACAAAGCCGCCATAGTCATCCTGGCCCGTTCTCAATGAGCTGTTGGGCACACCTCCCAGACGGGGTGGTGGCTGGGCAGAGGGGCTCCTCACTTCCCAGTAGGGGCGGCCGGGCAGAGGCGCCCCTCACCTCCTGGGCGGGGCGGCTGGCCGGGCGGGGGGCTGACCCCCCCACCTCCCTCCCGGACGGGGCGGCTGGCCAGTCGGGGGGCTGACCCCCCACCTCCCTCCCGGACGGGGCGGCTGGCCGGGCAGAGGGGCTCCTCACTTCCCAGTAGGGGCGGCCGGGCAGAGGCGCCCCTCACCTCCCGGACGGGGCGGCTGGCCGGGCAGGGGGGCTGACCCCCCCCCACCTCCCTCCCGGACGGGGCGGCTGGCCGGGCGGGGGGCTGACCCCCCCACCTCCCTCCCGGACGGGGCGGCTGGCCGGGCGGGGGGCTGACCCCCCCACCTCCCTCCCGGACGGGGCGGCTGGCCAGTCGGGGGGCTGACCCCCCACCTCCCTCCCGGACGGGGCGGCTGGCCGGGCAGAGGGGCTCCTCACTTCCCAGTAGGGGCGGCCGGGCAGAGGCGCCCCTCACCTCCCGGACGGGGCGGCTGGCCGGGCAGGGGGGCTGACCCCCCCCACCTCCCTCCCGGACGGGGCGGCTGGCCGGGCGGGGGGCTGACCCCCCCACCTCCCTCCCGGACGGGGCGGCTGGCCGGGCAGAGGGGCTCCTCACTTCCCAGTAGGGGCGGCCGGGCAGAGGCGCCCCTCACCTCCTGGACGGGGCGGCTGGCCGGGCAGGGGGGCTGACCCCCCCCACCTCCCTCCCGGACGCGGCGGCTGGCCGGGCGGGGGGCTGACCCCACCACCTCCCTCCCGGACGGGGCAGCTGGCCGGGCAGAGGGGCTCCTCACTTCCCAGTAGGGGCGGCCGGGCAGAGGCGCCCCTCACCTCCCGGACGGGGCGGCTGGCCGGGCAGGGGGGCTGACCCCCCCCACCTCCCTCCCGGACGGGGCAGCTGGCCGGGCAGAGGGGCTCCTCACTTCCCAGTAGGGGCGGCCGGGCAGAGGCGCCCCTCACCTCCTGGACGGGGCGGCTGGCCGGGCAGGGGGGCTGACCCCCCCCACCTCCCTCCCGGACGGGGCGGCTGGCCGGGCGGGGGGCCGACACCCCCACCTCCCTCCCGGACGGGGCGGCTGGCTGGGCGGGGGGCCGACCCCCCCACCTCCCTCCCGGACGGGGCGGCTGGCCGGGCAGAGGGGCTCCTCACTTCCCAGTAGGGGCGGCCGGGCAGAGGCGCCCCTCACCTCCCAGACGGGGCGGCTGGCCAGGCGGAGGGCTGACCCCCCCACCTCCCTCCCGGACGGGGCGGCTGGCCGGGCAGAGGGGCTCCTCACTTCCCAGTAGGGGCGGCCGGGCAGAGGCGCCCCTCACCTCCCAGACGGGGCAGCTGGCCGGGTGGAGGGCTGACCCCCCCACCTCCCTCCCGGACGGGGCGGCTGGCCAGGCGGGGGGCTGACCCCCCCATCTCCCTCCCGGACGGGGTGGCTGGCCGGGCTGAGGGGCTCCTCACTTCCCAGTAGGGGCGGCCGGGCAGAGGCGCCCCTCACCTCCCGGACGGGGCGGCTGGCCGGGCGGGGGGCTGACCCCCCCACCTCCCTCCCGGATGGCACGGCTGGCCAGGCGGGGGGCCGACACCCCCACCTCCCTCCCGGATGGCACGGCTGGCCGGGCGGGGGGCTGACCCCCCACCTCCCTCCCGGATGGGGCGGCTGGCCGGGCGGGGGGCTGACCGCCCCCCACCTCCCTCCCGGACGGGGTGGCTGCCGGGCGGAGACGCTCCTCACTTCCCAGATGGGGTGGCTGCTGGGCGGAGAGGCTCCTCACTTCTCAGACGGGGCAGCTGCCGGGCGGAGGGGCTCCTCACTTCTCAGACGGGGCAGCTGCCGGGCGGAGGGGCTCCTCACTTCTCAGACGGGGTGGTTGCCAGGCAGAGGGTCTCCTCACTTCTCAGACGGGGCGGCCGGGCAGAGACGCTCCTCACCTCCCAGACGGGGTCTCGGCCGGGCAGAGGCGCTCCTCACATCCCAGATGGGGCGGTGGGGCAGAGGCGCTCCCCACATCTCAGACGATGGGCGGCCGGGCAGAGACGCTCCTCACTTCCTAGATGTGATGGCGGCTGGGAAGAGGCGCTCCTCACTTCCTAGATGGGATGGCGGCCGGGCGGAGACGCTCCTCACTTCCCAGACTGGGCGGCCGGACAGAGGGGCTCCTCACATCCCAGACGATGGGCGGCCAGGCAGAGACACTCCTCACTTCCCAGACGGGGTGGCGGCCGGGCAGAGGCTGCAATCTCGGCACTTTGGGAGGCCAAGGCAGGCGGCTGGGAGGTGGAGGTTGTAGTGAGCCGAGATCACGCCACTGCACTCCAGCCTGGGCACCATTGAGCACTGAGTGAACGAGACTCCGTCTGCAATCCCGGCACCTTGGGAGGCCGAGGTTGGCGGATCACTCGCGGTTAGGGGCTGGAGACCGGCCCGGCCAACACAGCGAAACCCCGTCTCCACCAAAACCAGTCAGGCGTGGCGGCGCGTGCCTGCAATCGCAGGCACTCGGCAGGCTGAGGCAGGAGAATCAGGCAGGGAGGTTGCAGTGAGCCGAGATGGCAGCAGTACAGTCCAGCTTCGGCTCCGCATGAGAGGGAGACCGTGGGGAGAGGGAGACGGAGACGGAGACGGAGAGGGAGGGAGAGGGAGAGGGAGAGGGAGAGGGAGAGGGAGAGGGAGAGGGAGAGCAGAAACTTTTCAATTTAACCACTTCTACTACCCTAGTCTCTCTGAGAAAGACATGACACACCTCACTTCAAGGAAAAAAGGGTCCTTTTTCCTCACAAATACTTCCTCATAAACTTTATTTTAAAAATGATTTTAAAACCAGATTCTAATTTAATTAATCTAGATTTGCAAAATTATAAAGGACAAGTCTTGCTGGTTGTTGCTTCGGTTATGTTAATTTCACAATTTAGTACACTGCAACTACGTATTTAATACAAAGCAGCCTTTGGGCGGGGCGGGGCGGTTAACAAAATGCATCTCAGCACCAGCCTAGAGAAACTTTTCTGTGTGTAAACAGAAGAGGGGTTACCATGGAGAAATTCATTACGGATTTCGGGAGGGCTTTTTCCTCAGACATAGAGTGAAAAGAATAAGTCGTTGTGCAATAAATCTGATACTGACGCTGTGTGACTTAGAAGTTGGTCCAAAAGTTCATCTTAGGCAATTATGCCTAGATGATCAACTACACATCTTCTGCAACAGGTGACACGAACCTGCATTTCCCAAGCAAGGCAAAGCGATCAAATGAGTTAAGACGCGTGTTCCTGCGGTCTTGTAAATTTTTGATTTAACCAAAACAATTTTGAATCAGATGAATTACCAAATTTGGTTGGGTCTTGTTTGGCTTTCTGCTTTGCTTTTTAATCAGCCATTTACCAGAAACTGTTGCACGGGCCCGTTAGCACTCGAAGAATAAAAACAAACACACAAGACCAGATAAGGTTCCCTTACTAACCCAAATGATCCGTTTCCTTAACATAATTTTAAAACCACAGCTAGGGGTGTGAAAACAGATTGTGGCACACAATCTGTCCAAATCCTTAATTCCCTTTTAAGGAACAGATATATAATAAAAATCCGAAAGGAACCACATTAGAAATGAAAAGAGGTTTGCAAAACAAGAGGCTTCTTTCATTCCAGAAAACTACCAAAACAAGGGGAAAAAATGAAAGCAATGGATATGTGTTTGCCCAAGTTTCAATCTTGCCCGGTGGAGACACTACACTGGTACAAATTCTGAGGAGGAAAAAGAGGAGGTTGGCGGGAGGCGGGAAGAGAGAGCGAGTGTGGCCCGCAAACTGCAACAATGCAATCTCCATTATGAACAATGCGCCTCTTTCCTCCTATAAATCTGGTTTTTTGCCACTTGAGGTGCCCTCACATTTCTCCTCTGGGGGTCGGCGGGGTTGGGGGGAGATCGGAGCAGGATGCACAGCACACGAGTGAGCAAAGGGGGAGGGCAGAGAAGGTGGGGAAGGAGTCTGCAGCAACTGGGCTGAGTGGGTACCTGGAGTGCTGCTGTAGGTACCATGGCTCCTGACGCTGCTTTCCGTGCAGTAACTGGCGTCCTCCTACACCACTTTGTTGACGGCCCTCCGGACCGCAGCCGTCCGGGCCAGGTGGCTGCCCCCGCCTCCCCCCGGCCGGGGCGCTGGTGCTGGGGTGGGGCCGGCGGCGGCGGCTTTCTCCGGCTACTGCTGCCCATCCTGGGCGAGCTCAGGCGCGTCTTGGGCGCCACCTCAGCCTGGCGGCGACCCACCTGCCCCGGCTGCTACCGCGTTGCCGCGAGCGGAACCCCGGATGGGTCCGGACGTGGGCAGCGGCAGCGGCGGCGGGGCCGGGGCGCAGCGCTCCGCAGAGGGAGCCGCGGGCTGCTTGGTCGGCCTGCCCCGCCGGCCCCTCATGTTGGAGCCGAGGCGGAGGGAGAAGGGAAAGCGGCCGGGAAGGGGCGGGCGCAATGGGCGCAGTGGGGGCGGCTGGGGCCGGGTGGGGAGGCCAGAGGGGCAGGGCAGGAGGGGCCCGGCCTGCGGAAGCGGTTGGAGGGAGAAGGCTCAATCCGAATGGCTGGGGCCCCACTGCGGATCGCCTTCAGCCGCCATCTTGTTTCTTCCGTTAACGGAGCGCGGTCACGTGAGCTGAGCAGCCTACGAGCCTGGGACGGGGCGAGGTGGCGCGGCGGCCGCTAGGGGGAGCGCGGGAGCATTGAGTCGGGGGGCGGAGAGCCTGGGGCGCCGGGGCTGGGCGCAGCGCGGCGCGGCTGGACTCCGGGCTTGGTGGCGCTGTTGAGAGAGACGCGCAGCTCGCGAAATGCCCCGCGTCTAAGGCCTTCGGAGACCATAGTCTCCGAGGACCCCTGGCTGGAGCCCAAAGCCGGCCAGACCTCCTCCCTGCGTCTCCCCTTCCGCGGCTCGGAGAGGAAGGCAGGAGAGCCCCCAAATATTCCCCTCCCGCCCCCTAGGGAAACTGAAGCTGCAAGAGCCAGCGAAAGAAAAAAAAGTCTCGGAGTGGGGCGGCCCGAGCGACCTACGGGACGGGGCAGCGGCAGCGACCGAGGGAAATTAGTCGGGGTGGGGGAACAGGGAGACAAGCCCCCAGAATTTAGGAAACTCCTAAATTCTACTAAAAATACAAAAATTACCTGGGCATGGTGGCGGGTGCCTGTAATCCTAGCTACTGAGGAGGCTGAGGCAGAAGAATCGCTTGAACCCCTGAGGTGGAGGTTGCAGTGAGCCAAGATTGCGCCATTGTACTCCAGCCTGGGCGGCAAGAGTGAGACTCCTTCTCAAAAAATAAAATAAAATAAATCAAGAAAAGTCTGGAAACCATGCCAACTGGTGAAATGAATAAAGAAATAAATGTTGTCTGGACTGAGTGGCTCACACCTCTAATCCCAGTACTTTGGAGGCCGAGGCGGGCAGATCACTTGAGGCCAGGAGTTCAAACCAGTCTGGGCAACATGGTGAAACCCTGTCTTTTCTACAATTGCAAACAAATTAGCCGGACGTGGTGGTGCATGCCTGTAATCCCAGCTACTCGGGATGCTGAGGCCCGAGAATCGCTTGAACCTGGGAGGCAGAGGTTGCAATGAACTAAGATCACACCACTGCACTCCAGCCTAGGTGACAGAATGAGACTAGGTCTCAAAAAAAAAAAATTATAATTCAGTAACATAGTCAGTTACAAGATAAACATTGAACCTGCCTCCTAGGTTCAAGCGATTCTCATGACTCAGCCTCCCGAGTTGCTGAGATTACAGGGGTGTGCCACCATGCCTGGATAATTTTTTGTACTTTTAGTGCAGACGGTGTTTCACCATGTTGGTCAGGCTGGCCTCCAACTCCTGACCTCAAGTAATCCACCCACCTCAGTCTTCCAAAGTGCTGGGATTACAAGCGTGAGCCACTGTGCCCGGCCTCAATTTGGGTTTTTATGGAAGCTTCATTACAGAGTCATTAATGATTACACCGTTGGCCGTTGGTGGTCAGCTTAACCTTCAGCCTCTCTCTCTTTCTCAGAGGTTGAGAGTGGCACTGAAAGCCCTGACCACCAGCCCCAATCCTGAGGCTCTCTAGGAAAGCCTAATCAGTCAATCATTAGCATAAAAAAAAGACTTATTTTGCAGATTCTGAGGGTTTTAGGAATTGTATGCCAGGAACCAGGGAGGAAGATCAAATACGTGTTTCACAGTCTCACAGGACCACATAGAGGAGATTGGTCATCAGTGTTTCTCAACAGAAGCGCTTTGGCCTTTTGGACAAGCCAGTTTACACACTGTAGGAAGAAGTTTAGCATCTCTGGGCCCGGATACCAAAGGCTAGTACCAGCCTCATCATTTTTACAACCAAAAAAATAACCTTGCCCGCTCCCTATACATTCCCAAACACTCTCTAGGAGGTGTCAGAACCACTTCCGGCTGAGAACCACTGGAATACATTTTGGAATATCCAAAAAATGTACTTCCATTTTAAGAAAATAATGTGGGATAGGTGTTTTTCGTTTTTTAATTATTTGGAGGAAATTGCCAATGACAAGTGCTTGAACAAAAAATCCAAATTACAGACTAGTGTATATATAGTATGATGTATCCATTCAATTCACTCAGCAAATGTTTATTTGACACTTAAGGTGTGCCATGCACTGTTTCCATTCCACATTCTGTACAGAGTGGGAAAATATTTGTAGTTTATATCCTTTATATGGAAATAAATAGGTCAGTTGCACTTCAAAGCCAACAAATAAAAGTGATCTCTAAATCTAAACCCCAAAGACAATCATTTTTAAACAACTTTAGAATATATCTTGTATATATTGTTTTAATGCATGTGTTCATATATAAACACATTTTATACAAAAACAATCTAATGAGGAAGAAAAATTATACTTTGGGAAAGAAGGAGCCGGGTGCAATGGTTCACGCCTGTAATCCCAGCACTTTGGGAGGCCAAGGGAGGCGAATCACATGGCGCCAGGAGTTCAAGACCAGCCTGGCTGACATAGTGAAACCCCATCTCTACAAAAATACAAAAATTAGCTGGGCGTGGTGGCGCACACCTGTAGTCCCGGCTACTCTGGAGACTCAGGCAAGAGAATCGCTTGAACCGAAAAGGCAGAGGTTGCAGTGAGGCGAGATCGCGCCACCACATTCCAGCCTGGGCGACAGAGCAAGACTCTGTCTCAAAAAAAAAACAACACATTATTGCTAGGGTAATTTGCTTTTGAGTTCGAGACCAGCCTGACCAACATGAGGAAACTCCGTCTCTGCTGAAGTTTCAAATATGTATAAGTACTGGCATATTTTAAAAATACATTTTACTTTCTTTTTAGTTTATAAGATATGTGATTCCTTCTTTACATCTACCTATTTTTATTTCTGCCTCTTTTTTTAAATAGGGTTAATTTTTTTTTTTTAATGGAGTCTTGCTCTGTTGCCCAGGCTGGAGGGCGTAGGGCTGCCTCTGCTCACTGCAATCTCCGCTTCCCGGGTTGGAGCAATTCTCCTGCCTCAGCCTCCTGAGTATCTGGGATTACAGGCACCTGCCACCATGCCCAGCTTTTTTTGTATTTTTAGTAGAGACGGGGTTTCTCCATGTTAGCCAAGCTGGTCTTGAACTCCTGACCTCAAGTGATCCTCCCTCCTCAGCCTCTCAAAGTGCTGGGATTGCAGGTGTGAGCCACCGGGCCCGGCCTGTCAAATTGCTCTATAATTTCATTTGGAGTGAATTCAGATTAGACCATTGATTTTATTGGCTTTTTTTTTTTTTTTTTTTTTTGCTTTTTGAGAAGCAAGGCCTTATTCTTTTTCCTAGGCTGGAGTGCAGCGGTGCAATCACACCCCATCGCAGCCTCCCCCTACCCAGATCAGTAAGTCCTTCCGCCTCAGGCTCCCAAGTAGCTGGGACTACAGGCGCGTGCCATGCCACCATCTCTGGCTAATTTTGGGGTGTTTTTTGTTGTTATTGTTGTTGTCATTGTTTTTTTGTAGAGACAAGGTTTTGCCATGTTGCCCAGGCTGGTCTCAAACTCCCGGGCTCAAGCAAGTGATCCTCCTTCCTCGACTTCCCAAAGTGCTGGGATTATAGGCATGAGCCACCGTATGGGCCCTGGTTGTCTTTTTTTCATATTACACATTTTCATTTTCAAACATTTGAATTTTGCAAGCGTATTTTGAGTGAGAGGAGTTTTGTTTTCTTCTCTCCTGAAGCCCAGTGTAGCCCAGTCAACCCTTAACTTCCAGCAGGGAGCCTATCACTGCCTCACACACAGCATGTTAGCCTCCCTTACCCCCGAGAAACTCTTACTGTTAGTGTTCAGCCACCACTTCCTCCTTCTGCATCTGGAGTCTAGAAGGCCTGCAGTTTTAGTCCTGCTCACAGTTTTGTGTCTGTTCCATTGAGATTGTTGTAACTTATTTAAGCATGACTATGTCTTTTCAATTTCTCTTTTTTATATTTTACTCTCACTTGTATGTTCTTGAAGGGAGAGGGAGGATCAAAGTGTGCACCCGCTATACCATCTTGGTTCTCCCAAAATCCGTCCCACGATGTTATAAAAATATATGAACTAGGAAATGAAACTCAAGGTTTTCTTTCTAACCAAAGAAGAAGTTCAGTCTCTCTCTATAAATAGAGAAGGGCTGTTGAATAATTTGTCACATTGCTTCTCTTTTGACTTTATAAGACTAGATAGTCTATAGACAGAGAAACAGATTCATTAAACCAGGGCCATTCAGGTTTATTTGGTAAAATATTTGTGATATATTTAAAAGCTTCCTGAGGTACTCATGTAATGATTGTTACTAGTATAATTGGTGCATAGGGCTGGGTGACCCTGCAAAAAAAGAGGCACAGCAAACTTTATTTCAGGTACAGATGGACCTTACCTTTAGGCAAATCCTTGAAATTTTGGCGTGTGGAATCAGGTTTTCCTGTGGGTTTTTTGTTTGTTTTTGGCTTTTCATAGACATCTATATGAAGTCTCTGCTTTAGAATCTATAAAACTATAGCTTCAGAGGCTGGGCGCAATGGCTCATGCCTATAATCCCAGCACTTTGGGAGGCTGAGGTGAAAGGATCACTTGAGGTCAGGAGTTCGAGACCAGCCTGGCTAACAGGGCGAAACCCCGTCTGTACTAAAAATGCAAAAATTAGCCAGGCATGATGGCAGGCACCTGTAATCCCAGCTGCTTGGGAGGCTGAGGGAGGAGAATCACTTGAACCCAGAAGGCGGAGGTTGCAGTGAGCCGAGATCATGCCACTGCACGACAGAGCGAGACTCCATCTCGAAACAAAAAACTGTAGCTTCAGAGATTCACTTAAATTATCATTTATAGGCCAAGAGAGTTGTGGCTCACAGCCTGTAATCCCAGCATTCTAAAAGGCTGAGGTGGGTGGATCACTTGAGGCCAGGATTTTGAGACCAGCCTGGGCAACATGGCAAAACCCTGTTTCTACAAAAAGGAATTTGCTGGGTGTTGTGATGCACACCTGTAGTCTCAGCTACTTGGCAAGGCTGAGGCCAGGGGACTGCTTGACCCAGGAGGTCGACCCTGCAGTGAGCCATGATAGCACCACTGTACTCTAGCCGGGGCGATCAAGTGAGGCCCTGTCTCCAAAAAAAAGTTTTGTTTTGTTTTGTTTTAAGACAGGGTCTCACTTTGTCATCTACATTGGAGCACAGTGGTGCCATCACAGCTCACTGAAGTCTTCACCTCTCAGGCTTAAAGGAGCCTCCAACCTCAGCCTTCCAAGTAGTTGGCACTACAGGCATGCGCCACCACACCTGGCTCATTTTTGTATTTTTAGTAGAGATGGGGTTTCACCATGTGGTCAGGCTGGTCTTGAGCTCCTGGACGCAAGTGATCTTCCGCCCTCGGCCTCCCAAACTGCTGGGATTACAGGTGTGAGCCAGTGTGCTGGATGAATTTTTTCAAAGAAGGAAAAATAAAATTAATTCGGCCCTTCATTAAAAAAATTAAAAACTCTTTAAAGGAAACGTGGGCTAAGTTATTTTTCTGAGAGACTATAAGATTTAGGAAGAAAAATAATCATGATGAAACGTTTTGGGAATATTTTTGGTATTTAAAATTATTGTAGAAATTTATAAATGTGTCAGATTTTGGCTAGGCACAGTGGCTCACACTTGTAATCCAAGCACTTTGGGAGGCCAAGGTGGGCAGACCACCTGAGGTCAGGAGTTCGAGACCAGCCTAGCCAACATGGTGAAACCCTATCTCTAAAAGAATTTTTTAAAAAAATTTTAAGTCAGATTTTAAGAAATATTCTTATGGCTGGGTACAAGTGGCTCATAACTGTCATCCCAGCACTTTGGGAGGCAAAGGCAGGCAGATCACTTGAGCTCAGGAGGTAAGTTACCTGGGCAACACAGCAAGACTCCATCTCTACAAAAAAAAAAGTAGCTGGGCATGGTGGTGAGCACCTGTAGCTATTTGAAGGGGTTAAGGCAGGAGGATCACTTGAGCCTGGCAGGTCAAGGCTATAGCAAGCCGTGTTTATGTCACTGCAGTCCAGGCAGGGTGACAAAGTAAGACTCCTATCTCCAAATAAGAAAGAAACCCTCTTGGTCATAGATATGATTTCTTTACACCAAATTTGTTCGTGGATGCCAATCACAATGGGTTTGTCCCTAGGGTAATATAGTTTGCTTTGATCATTTCCAAGAGTAAGTTGTACTACAGGATAGCAGAAGAGATGCGCTTAAAAAGTATGGCAAAATGCATATTGAGACAATAGTATGTTGGCCAGACACAGAGACTCACGCTTGTAATCCCAGCACTTTGGGAGGCTGAGGTGGGTCACCTGAGGTCAGGAGTTCAAGGCTAGCCTGGCCAACATGGTGAAACCCTGTCTCTAACAAAAATACAAAAAATTAGCTGAGCTTGGTGGCACGTGCCTGTGGTCCTAGGTACTTGGGAGGCTGAGGTGGGAGGATCACTTGAGCCTGGGAGGTGCAGGGTACACTGAGCCGAGATTGTGCCACTGCACTCTAACCTGGGTGACAGAGTGAGACCCAGTCTCAAAAAAAAAAAAAAAGAAAAAACAAGATGCAGTAAAGAAGCCGACCAAAACCAAGATGGTGACGAAAGTGACCTCTGGTCGTCCTCACTGCTCATTAAAACTTTTTAAAAAAAATATGAAAAGAGGCTGGGCCCTGTGGCTCACACCTGTAATCTCAGGACTTTGGGAGGCCAAGGCAGGTGGATCGCCTAAAGTCAGGAGTTTGAGACCAGCCTGGCCAACGTGGCACAACCAAAAATGCAAAAATTAGCCAGATGTGGTGGTACACACCTGTAATCCCAGCCACTTGGGAAGCTGAGGCAAGAGAATTGCTTGAAGCCAGGAGACAGAGGTTGCAGTGAGCTGAGATCATGCCACTGTACTCCAGCCTGGGAGACAGAGCAAGGCTCCGTCAAAAAAAAAAAAAAAAAAAAAGCCGGGCCTGGTGGTGCACATCTGTAGTCCCAGCTACTCGGGAGGCTGAGGTGGGAGGATCATGTGAGCCTGGGAGGTCCAGGCTGCAGGGGGCCGTGATCCTGCCCCTGCCCTGCAGCCTGGGTTATACAGCGAGACAAAAGAAAAAAGAAAAAAGTTAGTGGTAACAGGATAAACTACATAGCCATATAGTATTCCTTCACATTCATGAAGCAGGTCAATTTGAAGCTTGAGGACGACTTCCATTCCTCTAGGTGAATCTACCAAGAAATGCCTTGGTAGAGCTAGGAGTGCCAATGGTATCAGCAAGGCCAGCCTGCTTCCCTGTGATTCATGGTAATTCTCACTATGACTTTGACATGATGTTCCTACACTGTGCCTATCAACACTTGTAGACACACTGTATAAGCGTTTGTTACATTTACTTTTTCTTTTGTCATTACGTCTTTTATTACAGAGGCCACTGTGCACTCCACAATCACACACTTACACAGCTCTGCCTTGCCAAGCAGTGTAGACCCTGCCAAGCAGTGTAGACAGATTCTGGATAACTATCTTTGCATCCTTCCCCATACCATGTCCCCGATGTTGAACTGAAGCAGCTCCTTCCACGTTCCCTACCCGTTAATTAGCCAGGCCACTGCCCACATTGTCACAAACATTATATTAACTGAAAAACTGGCCCATGCCATATTCCATTATGAGAAATTATTTTTAATTTGATTAAATTCCAATGTTTATTCAGAAAACCTGGTAGAGATTGAATTGCTCTATGTACCTTTCTTAGTTTTCTTCTTCTTAGCATATTTTGACCATTTATCTTCTACACCTGGCTGACCTGCATGGTCCGTGTAGTGTAACTTCTACTTGGTGTTTGCGCTTTGCTTTGTTTTCAAATTTAAATTGTGAGATACATTTTTAAACCTATCTAAGAAATAGCCCTGATATTGAAATGGCTTCTGTGGAATAGGTTTGACAGATGTAAGTCTTTGATTCTTTGGCTTTGGTTTTTGTGCCTGTTACAGTTTTACACACATTCATTCAGAGGAAGACATTACCATCAGTGTGTGGTTTATTTTTTCAAATTCCAGTATGTTTTTAAAGACCCATATTTCACTAAGCAGTGTACTTGTTGAAACCGATGTGAGTGACTTTGTTTCCACATGTGATAGAGCATCAGATACTGGAGTTTGCCAGGGGTAGAATGGTTGGATTCAGGAATGTTTAGCTGACTCATAGCAGGAAGTTATCCTGTAAAAAAATGAAGCAAGGCAGGGAAGACAGATTTAAGTACCATGCAGCTCAAAACGACAATTACATTGTCATTTTCGTTGTGAATACTTCTAGGTTCTATATTGGCTGTGATCTTTGTACTAACTGGTATTATGGAGAATGTGTTGGCATCGCAGAAAAGGAGGCTAAGAAAATGGATGTGTACATCTGTAATGATTGTAAATGGGCACAAGAGGACAGCAGTGAGGAATTGTACTGTATCTGCAGAACACCTGCAGTCACAGTGAGTTCTAATAAGAGCATCACATTTAATAATTTAGGAAGCCAAATTGCTCTGACTGGTTACTTATTTACTTTAAAATAAAAAGCAGATTTTTTCTACATTTGTTGTACACTTACATTACAAATTCCTTTTCATTTTTTTTCTCTTTTTCCCTTTTTACCTACCCTTCAAAATTTATCTTGCTTCATAGTGAATGTTTGAGACACATTGGGGAAAATGTGGTTTAATGGTAAATTTGATTCTTCAATATGTAACATAGAAATTAATGAGATTAAAATAGCTTGACTTGTTTGGACTTTATCAGTGTTTGAAATGGTGCTTTATTATAGGTTAGAAAAACACTAATTTGGGTATAAGCTTTGAGACTCTGTTATTACCTTATAGGATTTTGAACTCCCACATGGTACAGTACTAGTTGAAAGATTTGTGACTTGTTTTCAGCTGTAAAATCAATTGAATGTTTCATATTTATCTTTAAATTGGTTCTCCAAAATTACAGTGTTCTTATAAATTTTTTTACTGCTTGTTCGTAACATCAAAAATACTAAATTAATGTACTGGAATGTCGATCTTGAAAGTATTAAAACCACAATACTAAAACTATTTTATATCCCAGGGTTTAGCAAATTTTCAGGTGCATGCTTTATTATAAGTAACATCATCCCATCTGTTTTGAACTCACATTTCCATTTCGGATCTTGCAGATTTTTTATTGGCCATGATCGGTGTCAGAATTGGTACCATGGGTGCTGCATTGGCATCTTGCAGAGTGAGGCAGAGCTCATTGATGAGTATGTCTGTCCACAGTGCCAGTCAACAGAGGATGTCATGACAGTGCTCACACCACTAACAGAGAAGGATGATGAGGAGTTGAAGAGGGTGCTCCGTTCCTTACAGATGAGAGCCCCTCTGTGTGCAGCATTTGAAAATGAAATCAGCTGGCATAATTTTGGAAGCATTTCTAGGATTTCAAGTTTCCAATGTTAGGATTTCAAGTTTCCAATCTTAGAGTGATTATTTACTGAGTCTCAGCTAGTCTAGTGAAGGGCTTGACAAACTTCAGTCCTTCACATACCAGTGTCATGAGCTTTACCATATCCCCACACCACCTCAGCTTATCTAACACTCAGATAATCTAACGTGACTCACTTCTTTATACATTTTATTTTTAAAGAAACTTCCTCTCACTCCCATGGATTGAGAAACAGTATGATTAGATTATAGTTATTATTTTCCTTATGAAAGACAGAAAGGTGGCTGGGTACGGGGGCTCACACCTGTAATCCCAGCACTTTGGGGGGGCTGAGGTGGGCAAATCATGAGGTCAGGAGTTTGAGACCAGACTGGCCAACATGGTGAAACCCCGTCTCTACTAAAAATACAAAAAACTAGCCGGCTGTGGTGGCGTGAGCCTGTAATCCCAGCTACTAGGGAGGCTGAGGCAGGAGAATCGCTTGAACACAGGAAGCAGAGGTTGCAGTGAGCCAAGATCGAGCCATGGCACTCCAGCTCGGGTGACAGTGTGAGAATCTGTCTCAAAAAAAAAAAAAAAAGGAAAGAAAAGAAAACCAGGATAGGTATGGTTTGCAGGATTAGCAAGTGATACAGATGTATTGAAGACACAGAAGGCCAGTGTGGTTGCTCACACCTATAATCCCAGCACTTTGGGAGGCCAAGGCAGGAGGATCACTTGAGTCAATTAGTTAGAGACCAATCTGGGCAACAAAGTGAGACCCCATCTCTACAAAAAATAAAAATAAAAAATTAGCTGGGCATGTTGGCACGCACTTGTTTATCCAGCTACTCGGGAGGCTGAGGTGAGAGGATCACTTGAGCACAGGAGGCTACAGTGAGCTATGATCGTGCCACTCCACTCCAGCCTGGATGACAGAGCGAGACCCTGTCTCAAAACAATGGGGGGAAATAAAAGGATATAGTGCATTGGATTGAAACTTTCTTCTATTTTTATCATAATCACAAGAATTGAAGAAACTAAAAAGGGAATCGTAGTCTCAATGTGTGGTTGAATGTTATCTAACATCACATCTCTGCCACCTCATCATTAATCAGCTGTGGTAATGATTCCACACTTTGAACCCATCCCACCTGTTTACAGAAGCAGTTGCAATGCCAGCATCACTCAGTGACAGCTCATCATGTAGGGCCCAGAATACTGATTTTGTGACTTCTAAGCTTGTGTTCCACCCCCCACACTGTGGGGAAAAGAAAGAGAGATCAGATTGTTGCTGTGTCTGTGTAGAAAGAAGTAGACATAGGAGACTCCATTTTGTTGTGTACTACGAAAAGTTCTTCTGCCTTGAGATGCTGTTAATTTATAACCTTACCCCCAACCCCGTGCTCTCTGAGACATGTGCTGTGTCAACTCAGGGTTAAATGAATTAAGGGCTGTGCAAGATGTGCTTTGTTAAACAGATGCTTGAAGGCAGCATGCTCCTTAAGAGTCATCACCACTCCCTAATGTCAAGTGCCCAGGGACACAAACACTGCGGAAGGCCGCAGGGACCTCTGCCTAGGAAAGCCAGGTATTGTCCAAGGTTTCTCCCCATGTGATAGTCTGAAATATGGCCTCGTGGGAAGGGAAAGACCTGACCGTCCCCCAGCCTGACACCCTTAAAGGTTCTGTGCTGAGGAGGATTAGTATAAGAGGAAGGAATGCCTCTTTGCAGTTGAGACAAGAGGAAGGCATCTGTCTCCTGCCCGTCCCTGGGCAATGGAATGTCTCGGTATAAAACCCGATTGTATGTTCCATCTACTGAGGTAGGGAAAAACCGCCTTAGGGCTGGAGGTGGGACACGCGGGCAGCAATACTGCTTTGTAAGGCATTGAGATGTTTATGTGTATGTGTATCTAAAGCACAGCACTTAATTCTTTACCTTGTCTATGATGCAGAGACCTTTGTTCATGTGTTTATCTGCTGACCTTCTCTCCACTATTATCCTATGACCCTGACACATCCCCCTCTCCGAGAAACACCCAAGAATGATCAATAAATACGAAGGGAACTCAGAGGCTGGCAGCATCCTCCATATGCTGAACGCAGGTACCCTGGGCCCCCTTATTTCTTTCTCTGTACTTTGTCTCTGTGTCTTTTTCTTTTCCAAGTCTCTCGTTCCACTTAACGAGAAACACCCACCGGTGTGGAGGGGCAACCCACCCCTTCACCACACCAAGGTCTTCCGACCAAGCTTTGAGTACCATTATTGCAGAGGAAGCTCATCTTAGGTAACTTATTACTAGAGCAGAAATCACCTAATATAAAGTATTTCATGTATCGCATTTAAAACTGACTTTTGGGTTCATTGATGTAGTGACTCAACTGGGAATCTTAAATGGAATTAGTGTTTTCACTGACAATAAGAATGCCTACTTTTTCATTATAGGCCCATAAGATGGCCCGGCCTTTCCTTGAACCAGTAGACCCTAATGATGCACCAGATTATTATGGTGTTATTAAGGAACCTGTGGGTACACATGAGTTGAATTTGAAGTTTTTTCAGAAGTCTCAGTGTATATTTTATTAACCATAAAATTAATATCTTAGAATACTTTTAGCAAGGCTGCTGGGGGTATAAATTGGTATGGTCACTTTGGAGGGTAAATTGATAGTATCTATTACAGTTGAATTGTGCATACTCGGTTATTTTATTTTATTTTTTTGAGATGGAGTCTCACCCTGTTGCCAGGCTGGAGTGCAGTGGTGTGATCTCACCTCAATACAACCTCTGCCTCCCAGGTTCAAGCGATTCTCCTGCCTCAGCCTCCCGCGTAGTTGGGACTACAGGCACGTGCCACCACACCCGACTAATTTTTGTAGTTTTAGTAGAGACGAGGTTTCACTATGTTGGCCAGGATGGTCTCAAACTCCTGACCTCAGGTGATCCGCTCGCTTCGGCCTCCCAAAACGCTGGGATAACAGGCATGAGCCACCGCGCCCAGCCCCCACAGTGATCTTCCTTTGAGGAAAAGCCACGGCGTGCTTTCTCTCTTCTGTAGCAAGGAAGATGGTTTCTAAGAGGGTATTTTAAAAGCAGTTTACCTAAAATAAAAGTGAAAGGCCAGGCAAGGTGACGTATGCCTGTAATCCCAGTACTTTGGGAAGCCGAGTGGGGAGAATAGCTTGAAGCCAGGAGTTCAAGACCAGCCTGGGCCACAGTATGAGACCTTGTCTCTACTACCAAAAAAAAAAAAAAAAAATTAACCAGGCTTGGTGATGAGTGCCTATAGTCCCAGCTACTTGGGAGGCTGAGGCAGGAGAATCACTTGAGTACAGGAGTTTGAGGCTGCAGTGAACTATGATCGAGCCACTCCACCCCAGCCTGGGTGACACAGCAAGAACTTGCCTGTTTAAAAAAAAAAAAAAAAAAAAAACTGAGGCCAGGTGCGGTGGATCACGCCTGTAATCCCAGCACTTTGGGAGGCCGAGTGGGGTGGATCACGAAGTCAGGAGATCGAGACCATCCTGGCTAACACGGTGAAAACCCGTCTCTACTAAAAATAACAAAAAATTAGGCGGGCGTGGTGGCAGACGCCTGTAGTCCCAGCTACTCGGGAGGCCGAGGCAGGAAAATCATATGAACCCAGGAGGAGGAGGTTGCAGTGAGCTGAGATCCCACCACTGCACTCCAACCTGGGCAACAGCAAGACTCTGTCTCAAAAAAAAAAAAAAAAAGAAAGAAAGAAAGAAAGAAAGAAAAGAAAAGAAAAGAAAAGAAAAGAAATCTACCCATAGAACTGAAAGGTCAAGGGGATTGATCATAGGGAGCCTGGATTTCAGAGGGAGTTAAGGTAGGACAGAGGAACACGACTTCTCATTATAAGCCCCTCTATGCTTTTTGATTTGTACATGGTGGTTATTCCTCTGGTTCAATTTCTAAAATTGCTTTTTTAAATTGGAAAGGCCTTTGGTGGTAACTGTGAGGTAGAAGCCAAGGGGTGTGAATCCTACCCTGCTGCCAACTTGCTGGCAGAGCCCAGAGGATGACTGCTGGCAACTGCTGATGAAGGAGAGGAAGTTGCTTGGAGGTCCTGGGGCCTGTGGCAAGACAAAGGGAATTTGGTAAAGGAGCAAAGGAGACCTAGGCTGGGCCCGCATAGTGTAGGGGCCACTTAGGATGTCTTCCTGCCACCTGGTTATTTTATGTAGCTTTTTAATATACTCAAGTTGACATAATTTTCATTAAAGCACATGGGAGCTGAATGGAGACGTTTGCTCAATTCTGCTTAAATAAACAAATTAGGCTGTGTGCAGTGGCTCACACCTGTGATCTCAACACTTTGAGAAGCCAAGGCAGGCAGCTCACTTGAGCCCAGGAGTTTGAGACCAGCCTGGGCAACATGGGGAAACCCCATCTCTACAAAAAATACAAAAAATTAGCTGAGCATGGTGGCACGTGCCTGTAGTCCCAGCTACCCAGGAGGCTGAGGTAGGAGGATCACCTGAGCCCTGGAGGTTGAGGCTGCAGTGAGCCATGATTGCGCCACTGCACTCCAGACTGGGCTACAGAGTGAGACCCTGTCTCAAAACAAACAAATCAAAAAAAAAAAAAAAAGAAAAGAAAAAAAGAAAAAAATTACAATGCAAAGAATTGTATAAAGACAACTTGCTGTCGCATTTTTAGGGAATTTCTATTGCTTTCCAGATTTAAGGTAGAATGAAACATAACTAGCCAGTTATTGAAACTTGATTTTATTATGGGTTTCCAGAATTTCCTTTGCCATATTTTCCCATTGTAATTTATGATCTCCAGCATTGTTTGCACATTGTTTTCATTACTGCACTTTGTTATAATTCATCATTTATACCATCCATATTCTTTCTTTTCTTATGGATTGTGATATCTTTAGTCTAAATTTTTAACTGGAATCAGAACTGGATGTTGGGGTCACTGTTTTATTGTACCTTGTGATTACGTAATCCAAAATTGCCCCCCAAAAAGTCAGGTTAGCTAATATAATTTTTTAATGTTAACGATGTATAGTGGTCAAAAATTTATTCTAGCAGCCACGTGAAACAATGTGTTTAAAAATTGTAAACTATTGGAATACTGTATTTATCTGCTATTGCAATATAAATTTATCTGCTATTGCAATATAAAGTCCTTTGACTTAGTCCTGGTAACTGTACAGTAATTTGGTTTACTGACAAAAGTTGTGAGGCCAGCCTTGGTGGCTCACACTTGTAATCCCAGCACTTTGGGAGGCCGAGACGGGCGGATCACCTGAGGTCAGGAGTTTGCGACCAGCCTGGCCAACATGGTGAAACCTCGTCTCTACAAAAAGTACAAAAATTAGCCGGGCGTGGTGGCAGGCACCTGTAATCCCAGCTACTCGGGAGGCTGAGGCAGGAGAATCGCTTGAATCTGGGAGTTAGAGGTTGCAGTGAGCCAAGATTGTGCCTTTGCACTACAGCCTGGGGACAAAAGCGAGACTTCGTCTCAAAAAAAAAAAAGTTGTGAATAAAACTGTGTGAAACTGGGAGACTTTCTGGACTTTAATAGAAAAATGTGATTTTAAAATTGCTTTTTCTTTTGTTTTGGCATAATTTTTCCCTTTATATTCCCCTCATCCGTGTAAATAAACACACACATACACACACGCACGCACCTTTCACCACAATGGTAATGCTTCTGTAAATGTCTCTATTTGTCCAGTTGCCTGAAAATGTTGTAATCTTTATTAGACAAATATATATACATACATATTTTAAATATTGGCTTTTTCCAGTGAGCTATTATGCTTATTGTACAGTGAAAAGTTTTATTATTATAGGTTAAAAATTTCTTAATCGTTCTTTTCTATTCGCTTGCCAAGGGTGAATGAAAGAACATGGCTGCTTCTCCCAGATTTATTTACTTTGGCATCCGCATAAAGCATCATTTTCAAAAATGAAAGGTGCTCAATTGTTCCCTTTTTCTATACTCTGTAGGTCTCACAACAACAAACTGCAGTCTACAGCTTCCTAAAGTTCAGCATGTTAACCTAACATAAAACACAGCAAGAATCTTGTTGCCTGAACTATTTTAAATTAAGGAGCCAGATCTTTTTAGTGAGGCTATCCTGACAAGACTTGATCTAACTTTGTTTTTATCGGTCATAACAGTCCAATTATATTATTGGCCAATTTTGTCCAATGGACAAGAAAAAAGCAAAGTTGCCAGGTGCGGTGGCTCACGCCTGTAATCCCAGCACTTTGGGAGGCCAAGGCGGGCGGATCATCTGAGGTCGGGAGTTCGAGACCAGCCTGACCAATATGGAGAAACCCCGTCTCTACCAAAAATACAAAATTAGCTGTGCATGGTGGCCTATGCCTGTAATCCCAGCTACTTGGGAGGCTGAGGCAGGAGAATCACTGGAACCCGGGAGGCAGAGGTTGTATTGAGCCGAGATTGAGCCATTGCACTCCAGCCTGGGTGACAAGAACAAAACTCCGTTTCAAAAACAAAAAAAGGAAGAAAAGAAAAAGAAAAAAGAAAAGTCAACGACACCATTATCTTGTCAAGATCAAATGGTTTTATTATTGTGGCAGAAGCGAGAAAATTTTGTTTATTAAAAAAAAGAAAAAGAAAGCAAGAAAAAATGATACTGTGGGGTCAAGTATAACTCCATGGAAATGCCACGTCTGCTCTTCAGTGAAGAAGCTGGTTTAGAGTCTCAAAGAAAACTTTTGACTGTATTTATTTATTGTTGCAAAAAAGATGCTTTTTTATTGCTGCCCTCATTTGTCAACTAATTATTTTTTCTTATAAAATCCAGCCACGGTTACATATAATCCATCCCTATCTTATCAATGATTCCTGTACGTAAAAGTACAAGACAACCTCTAGATGTCTTTTCTTTCTATGAAAGGCGCTGCTATGTACACATGTGCACACACACACAACTGCGAATCAACAATGAGTTTATTGTTCATGGTAGATTAAAATCAAGCTTGCATAAAGGTTGGGCTAAGTGGTCCTGGACTACAGATTCTGGTGCCTTGAATATAACAGTACAATTTGTCAATTACTCCACACCAGGTTAAAATGAGTAAAATCTATTTGAAGGTATCTTCTTTGTAAACATTTGTCAGATTCTAATTTTTCTTTTTGTATTAAAATTCAACTATGGATGTATGTGAAACAAAATAAGTGGAGATAGTTTTTCTCCCACAGACAGAGGTGTCTTTGAATGTGCGCTAATGATTATCTGTAAGCCTCTGTGGGGAGGGAGGGCTGCAAGGTCATGAAAGGCAAAAGAATCTAATTGTACCTGGAGTTCTCCTGGACAGCAGTGGCCCCTCGTTTTATCATTCCCAGTCAATTGTCATCACGTCAGAGAAAAATCTTCAGGGGTGCTAATCCTGTCGCATCAGTTGATCATACTAACGAAAAAGGTAATGCGACAAGATACACATTGCCTTCATCTGTACATTCTGTGATACCGGGCAAATTACCAATTACAGACAGCTACTTATATTTTATGAAGGACATTTTTTGTTAGATGATCTCATCCTCTGTGTTATTTGTTGATTGGGTTTGTTTTTTGCTTGTTGGTTTGTTTGTTTCTTCCATGTAAGGAAAAGTAGTGTAAGCAGTAGGAAGAAAATGAGGAAGATGTATTTTGCATGTTCTTCCTTTCAATGTTCTTACACATTGTATTACTGCATTGTGGTAATAGCTTCTATAAAATCTGCCATAGCTGGATTATGCAGCTTTGCAAGAATTCTACTAGATTTTATTCTAACTCATATTAGCTTTGTCCTATCAACTTCTGGAATTTATCTAATTATTGCTTTTAAAAGTTTCCTGCCTTTCAACGTTTCCCTGCTATGCAAAACCTTTCCCAGACCTTGGTTTCTTAAAAGAAAGATGTTGCTACAGTTCCCAATTCTTTCTTATTACAGGCTCAGGTGTACAGGTTATTCTGGCTTAATTTTATCTAATGAAGCCCATTCCTTTTTGTACATGAAGATGTCACTTAAACCTATGTTTACAAACTAAAGAGACTAATCACTCAATATGAAAACATGAAAACATTTTTGCTTAAAATATTAAGATGGAAATAGTTAAATATGGATTATTTTGTCCTTTTACTTTTTAAAAAAAGTTACATATTGTATGCACTGTGCTGATGCAAGAATTCTACATTTTAATGAATTATAAAATTATTCTGCATCTCATCACGTCACAGTATTTCTGCTCTATTTATTCATATACATAGAAATATATATGGGCTTAATCATTTAAAATTTGTTGCAGCAAGAACTCTCCTACCTGTAGGCAATAGATTGCTATGTTTTCAACAAATTGTGGCAAATTCTAAACAGCAATTCTTTTGTACGTAATAGGACATTTCATACTAGAAAAATAAAGTAATGTTTTTGACATTGGATTTGGTGCAGTTTCTAATGAAGCAATGGTTGGTTGGTTAATATGTCTTCTGTAGCTGTTAGCATTGCCAAATTAAAAAGGGTAAATTTTATGGAAATCCTGAGACCAGGAAGATATCAATTTCATGTGTACTTAATGGTATAAAGTGTTTTACAGTTTCTATCACCATACAAATACATAAAGACATTTTATAGTTTTATCAACTATAGAGCTTTAGTCTTTCAAAAGTAATTTTTGAAAAACATACATTCCTGGCCAGGTGTGGTGGCCCACGCCTGTAACCCCAGCACTTTGGGAGGCCGAGGCAGGGGGGATCACCTGAGGTCAGGAATTTGAGACCAACCTGGCCAACATGGTGAAACCCCATCTCTACTAAAAGTACAAAAATTAGCCAGGCATGGTGGCAGGCACCTGAAATCCCAGCTACTAGGGAGGTTGAGGCAGGAGAATCACTTGAACCTGGGAGGTGGAGGTTGCAGTGAGCCGTGATCACGCCATTGCACTCCAGCCTGGGGGACAAGAGTGAGACTTCATCTCAAAAAAAAAAAAAGAAAGAAAAACATACATTTTTATAGAACATAATGAGTTCCGAAAGCTACTTTTCTGTGAGTAATCTTTGAAAGCTTCTGCTATTAAGATCTATATAACACAGCTATTTTGCTTTCAATAATCCAGGCAGTAAACTGTACATTTGTGATACTCTTAGGATGTTTCTACCACAGGCCTTGGGCTTGTAAATATATTTAATTTGCATCAGTAGATTTCCTTGGCTAAAAGTATTTTCAATAACTGTTATGCTTCACCTGCCAAGTTCACAATCCTTGAAACCATTTCATGAAAAGTATTTTCCTATTGGTAAAGCTTTTATTCTCCTATCCAAATTCTACAGGAGGTTTAAATAAAATTGTGGCTGGGCATGGTGGCTCACGCCTATAATCCCAGCACTCTGGGAGCCTGAAGCGGGCAGATCACAAGGTCAGGAGTTACAGACCTGCCTGACCAACATGGTGAAACCCTGTTTCTACTAAAAATACAACAATTTAGCTGGACGAGTGGCACACACCTGTAGTCCCAGCTACTCAGGAGGCTGAGGTGGGAGGATGGCTTGAACTGGGGAGGCAGAGGTTGTAGTGAGCTGAGATTGTGCCACTGCACTCCAGCCTGGGTGACACAGCAAGACTGTCTCAAAAAAAAGTGAACTTTTGGAGATATTTTCTGAAGTAAAATAATTACCTTTTTATATTCCAAATCTCCTAGAGTGTTATTTAGAGACACTAAGATTTGCTGTTGTTTGTAATCTACCTTCCTGGGATCTGCAAATAAAAGTTATTTCCCTATTTCTGTTAATTCCTTTAGGCAAACTCTACTTCTTTATGTTAAAGAGCCAACCTGGTGGCCTTTCAGATCTCTGCACACTTAGTTAGACAAAGTTACATGGTTATTACAGCTTTCACTCTTCCTGATTGAAACTATCATGATATGGCTGGGCGTGGTGGCTCACACCTATAATCCCAGCACTTTGGGAGGCCAAGGCAGGTGGATCACCTGAGGTTGGGAGTTCGAAACCAGCCTGACGAACATGGAGAAACCCCATCTCTACTAAAAATACAAAAAAAAAAAAAAAAAATTAGCTAGGTAAAGTGGCGCATGCCTGTAATCCCAGCTACTTGGGAGGCTAGAGCAGGAGAATCGCTTGAACCCAGGAGGGAAAGGTTGCGGTGAGCTGACATCACGCCATTACACTCCAGCCTAGGCAACAAGAGCGAAACTCCTTCTCGAAAAAAAAAAAAAGAAAAGAAAAGAAAAAAAGAAACTATTACCATAGGTCTCAGATTTCTTGCCCTTAATGTGAGAATGGGGATATTCCATGGATAAAATAATGAAGTACTTGAGGAGGTGGAGGGAAGAGCCAACCGAGAAGTATTTTTAATAATTTGAAACATTCTAAGGTACTTCTAGATACTTGGAGCGAGATACTAAAAGTCTTTTCTTAGAAGATTATACCACTTGATCCAATTTGAACCAAATTCAACTAAAGAAACTAGCCATATAGATATACTTTTTGTTGTTGTTTGAGACAGAGTCTCGCTCTGTTGCCCAGGCTGGAGGGCAGTGGCACGATCTCGGCTCACTGCAACCTCTGCCTACTAGGTTCAAGCGATCCTCCTGCCCCCCAATAGCTGGGATTACAGGCATGCACCACCATGCCCAGCTAATTTTTGTATTTTTAGTAGAGACAGAGTTTCGCTATGTTGGCCAGGCTGGTCTCAAACTCCTGACCTTGTGATCCACCCGCCTTGGTCTCCCAAAGTGCTGGGATTACAGGCGTGAGTCACAGCTCCCGGCCTAGCCTTTTGACATTTAAAAATTCAACTTTGATTTGACTGGCCTGAGTTATGCCTGAGTTAATTTTTTTTATCTTAAAGAAAACTAGCTCAGAAGCTCTTCATTAGCTATAATTCTATCATGCAATAATGCATCTGACTCCCAAAAAGCAATTCTAGTAAAATTTATAATAAATTTGGACAAAACTCATTTTTGGAAAATACTCTAGAAATCTCTCAGTAGTGCTTTACCATAGAACACTCAGAACCTCTCAACTCTTTATTACCAGTCTGCCCCATAATTGGAACAAATAATAGTATCAGGTATTGTAATGTTAGGCTGTTGCCTCTTGGCTCCTGTGATTCCCTAGCGTCCCATCCTGGATGTCCTTTATGTGTACAGTGCTACTACTGGGTGCCATGGACAGCGTCAGGACACATTCTGACCTTCCTGGGTGTATCACCGTGAGGCCAAATAGGCTGCTCTCTCTCCAGTGAAATTCCTTCCCCTGTCTCTCTTTAGGCAGTCATCTTCATCTATGCATTAGTGGTGTCTCTGTTCACCGTACTTCTTATAAACTGAAGTACAGCCTTATCTTCTGAAAAAATACTCTCATGTCTTTGTGGACTCAGGTATAAAATCAATATTTAATTTAGCTAGTGATTAAACCTTTTTAAAACCAACTGAAAAATGTTTAGAATTCACTTGCTTGTGAGCTGTCATTGGTTAATATTGGTTCCAAGGTTTGGGGAATGAATTTGAGAAAGGCTTTTTCTCAAACCTTTAGGGCTCAAAGTCTAAAACAAAACAAAACAAAAATAAACAGGTGCATCCAAGGTCTAATTTCAAAGCAAGATTTATTGCTTTACAAGCAAACATTATACTTGGTCTTAATAGAAAAATGACATCAGATACACCCAGAATACAGTTCACATTGGGATAGCTGCCAGTTCAGCACAAAACATACATTATTAGGAGCAGGGAGGCATGAAAATAAACTATATCTTACTCTTTGGTACATCAGGAACACTTTTGCCTGAAGTAAGCCCTTTAGCACTTTTTTTAAATTTATTTTTTTAATCCACCCATCCGCACACTGGCCCTTTTGTACACTTTGTTTGTTTTTGAGACGGAGTTTTGCTCTTGTTGCCCAGGCTGGCGCGATCTCGGCTCACCACAACCTCTACCTCCTGGGTTCAAGTGATTCTCCTGCCTCAGCCTCCCTCAGCTGGGATTACAGGCATGTGCCACCACACCCGGCTACTTTTTGTATTTTTAGTAGAGACAGGGTTTTTCCATGTTGGTCAGCCTGGTCTCGAACTCCCGACCTCAGGTGATCCGCCCGCCTTGGCCTCTCAAAGTGCTGGGATTACAGGTGTGAGCCACCGCGCCCGGCTTGGTACTCTTTAAGTGTAAAATTTTAATTCTTGTCCTGGGCTTTGACCCTTGTGTTTGATCTAAATGACGTTTCATAGGTAAATGTCTTTTGACTAGTGCGCTTACTGTTATGTGAAGAATTTAAAATGTGATAGTTTGAATATAAAATCTGGTTTGATACATGATATAAAAGTTGTATATTTAAATTGAAGAAAATGTTTTGTGGACTATTTCTACTAAAGAATGTATTAAATTAAAATATTTAAAAACATGAAGCAGTGATCTGTTAACTAGACAGGTCAGTTATCTGAGCTGTGTAAATCACTGTCTGGCACAACAGTTGAATCACCTTGACACTGAGCTCAGGAGCAGCCCATTTAAGAAGCATCTTGTAAATAACAAAGTGACACCTTCGAGATTACAGTTGTAACTATGCAGGTCATTCATAGAGTAGCTTTGGGCTCTCTTCTAAAGGAGGACCCATTACATGAAGATAGACCTTTCATGTCTTGTTGCCGATGTCTCTTGTGATCCAGAAATGCCAGGATGGTTGTTTCAAATGCATTGGGTATGAATTGCACCTTGAATTTGCCCTTCCCTTTTTGGGTTAAACCTTTTCACATAGCTGCTGCTGCTCCTCAGCAGTCCATCCCCTGGACAGAGATGGCCTCTCAGGACCTGGAGCAGAGCTGTAGGAAGCTGCCCTCTCTTATGGTAGATGTGGCCCATCACAATATACCTGCTGCCTGGACAAAATAACCAGAACATTAATTCATAGCGTCTTTTAAATGCCATGAAACAGAAAATATAAGGCCTTTAAGAAATACCTAAGCTGCAATCTACTATCTTGCTGCACAAGTTGAAACTGATATTTAGTCTACAGGCAAGGTGGAAACAGTCTAGCGACCTTTAGAAGATAACCAACCCAACCAGGCCAGTGCAGTGGCTCACGCCTTTAATCCCAGCACTTTGGGAGGCCGAGGCGGGCAGATTACTTGAGGTCAGGAGTTTGAGACCAGCCTAGCCAACATGGTGAAACCCCATCTGTACTAAAAATACAAAAAGTAGCACGGGGTGTGGGGAAGGGAAAGCAATACGTAACCAGCCCACATTACAGAACAAAGGTCCTTATCACATTGTATCAGGATTTCCCAGAGCACATGCCTAGAAAGATGTGGGAGTGGGGCCGGGCGCAGTGGCTCAGCCTGTAATCCCAGCTACTTGGGAGGCTGAGGGCAGGAGAATGGCTTGAACCTGGGGGACGGAGGTTGCAGTGAGCTGAGATGGCGCCATTGCACTCCAGCCTGGGCAACAGAGCGAGACTCTGTCCAAAAAAAAAAAAAAAGATGTGGGAGTGGGTATTCCCCGCTACCAACCCTCCACACACTCCCCCAAAAAAGCAGCTTTTCTAAACTCAGTTCTGTACAGTCCCTTCTGGCAATGGTGTTTGGTGGTCGCTCACTCCATTTGTCAACATCTATTTATTGACAACCCGCTTTGTGCCAACAGCTGCCTTTCTCACCCGTGGGGGTGGGGCTGACAGTGCTTAAATCACAGAGTGGCGGAAATAATACCTGTCGTCTAAATCCTAATCATGTTACAATACTGTCCCCCATCCCTCCCAAAAAAAGACTGGGCGACCCACAGCCCGGGCTGTGGCACCCACGTTACAAACGGTGGCATAAAGTACATATGCAGCGTCATTCAGCTCAGTTTCAATACCAGGTTTAAACTCTGGACACGGTTTACTGCAGCTGGAGGAGTCCAGGACTAACATGTGGACTTGGAAGAAGAAGCCGTCGGGGGTGAGTGAGGTACAGGCGGTTCATCTTGTACAGCCCGTCCCGATCCACCAGCCAGATGCCCGCGCCCAGCACGTCCACGTCATGCACTATCCCGTTCATCGCTGCTTCCAAAAAACAGTTTGGGAACCCCAGTTCCTCTCCCAGTCCCTGGGCGTTGGTTTTTAGCAACAGCGAAACGGCCCGCATGGGTCGGTAGCCCTGGGATCTCGCGTGCAGGATTCTCCGGGACTCGGAAAGACTCGCGGGGCTGCGGCGCGGCGGCCGGGCTCACCGATTTCGCGCTTGCAGAACGCCTCTCGCCCGTCCATGCCCGCCCGGCAAGCGCAAGCGCAGGGCTCGGCGCAGGGCTCCGCGTCCCTGCGCGGCTGACTGAGGCCGAAGCTGAAGCTGAGGCGCGGCGGCGGTGCGGGCGGTGAGCCGGAGGCCGGCACGACGGCGCGCGGCCGGTTGGGGTGGGCAGGGCCGGCGGGGCCCTCGGCGGCGCGCGCGAGCGGCCGGGCGGCGGGGAAGCGTAGGGCCCGTGAGCGCGCGCGTCTCGGGGCTTCCTCCGACGCGGGCCCGCGGCGCCGCAACGCGCGGTTCTCGGCTTGCGCCAGGCGCGGGCCTGTGGGCGCGTGTGCGGCCTCACGGAAGGTGGCCCGGTTGTCGGCCGGCGGCTGAGGCCTGGGCGCCCCCTCCCCAGATCCCCGCTCGGCTCCCAGGGCTCCGCACTACACCGATCTTACTTTTTCTCTCCACCGGAGCTTCGGGGGATGATCCGACGATTAAACAGAGGAGCCAGAAAGCTCTAGCTGTCATTTTTGCAGACAGGGTTCCCAGGCTCTAAAAGTGAGCCTGGGCTTTTGCTTGCTTTCTCTCCCCTAACCCCTTCTCCACACCCGCGTCCCCGTTCATGCTAATGAGGGGCAGCCTTTGGGGAAACGGGAATCACTCGCTGAGCAGACCATTGGAACAAAACCGAGCCGCAGGGATTTCTCCCTCTTCCTTCCTAAGGGGGACGAGCACATGGCCTCGCAAAGTTGTCCCCGAGAATGTCTGTCCTGTGATCTGCGGGCGAGGATAGCATCACAACCTAAACTTTAAACTCGTGTGCGTTTGCGCGCTGCGGTGGGGGCAGCAGAGGGTGGGGTGACAAGTGCGGAGAATAAGGGTGTTTCGGGACTGAGGGACTGAGTGGGGGAGAAAGAGTGATGGCCGCTTTTTTCTAGATTAGGTCAACAACAAATAGGAAAATAGTGCTTAAGACAGCGTGGGTTTGTGGAAGGGAGGAGATTCCAGATGACAGAGAATGTATCCTGGAATGTGTATGTTAGGCAATTTCTAGAGACACCAAGTCACTGCTTCCTAAGTTTAGTAAAACTGTTTCATTATATATGACAGCTCACTGTAACCTCTGCTTCCCGGGTTCAAGCGATTCTTGTGCCTCAGCCTCCCAAGTAGCTGGGATTACAGGCATACGCCACCATGCCAGGCTAATTTTTGTATTTTTAGCAGAGACCGGGTTTCATCGTGTTGGCCAGGCTGGTCTCAAACGCCCGACCTCAAGCCATCCACCCGCCTTGGCCTTCCAAAGTGCTGGAATTACAGGCATCAGCCACGACGGCCGGCACAGAGGTCTAATTATTAATCAGAAGGTTGCCTGTTGAGGCCGGGCATGGTGGCTCATGCCTGTAATCCCAGGACTTTGGGAGCCTGAGACAGGAGGCTCTCTTGAGCTCAGGAGTTCAAGACCAGCCTGAGCAACATGGAGAGACCCTGTCTCTACAAAAAATACAAAAATTAGCCGGGCATGGTAACTCACGCCTGTGGTTCCAGCCACATGGGAAGCTGAGGTGGGAGGATCGCTTGAGCCTAGGAGGTGGAGGTTGCAGTGAGCCGAGATCGTGCCACTGCACTCCAGCCTGGGTGACGGAGACCCTGTCTCAAAACCAAAAAAAAAAAAAAAAAAGAAAGAAGAAGGAAGAGGAGGAGGAGGAGGTGGAGGAAGAGGAGGAGGAAGAGGAGGAGGAGAGGAAGAGGAAGAAGAGTAGGAAGAGGAGGAGGAGGAAGGAGGAGGAGGAGAAGGAAAAGAAGAAGAAGGAGAAGGAGGAGAAGAAGAAAAGAAGGAGAAGAAGAAAAGAAGAAGAAGAAGAAGAAGAAGAAGAAGAAGAAGAAGAAGACGAAGAAGAAGACGAAGAAGAAGAAGAAGACGAAGAAGAAGAAGAAGACGAAGAAGAAGAAGAAAGGAAGTTTGTCCGTTGAGCATTAAATCAAAGAAGAGAAATTTGCCAAACTGCAGCTGAAGGAGGTGGGTTAATCTACCCTCATTCAGGTGTTGGAGGAGTGAATTATCTTCTCCCTCCAAAAGAGCAAACCTCTACAGCCACTGCAAAGCAAGCTTGGGTACACCAGAGTCAGGTTCTCCAGACTAGACAGGCCCAGATAAACACTAGTCAGATAAACACTAGTAAGTTCATGCCCTCGGGGCCCTGTTCATAGATGTCCTCAGATCCCCTTCTTTCACGTGCTCTTTCTTTAAGTCAAGTGGAATAAAATTCACTAGGCTTAAGATTTCTCAGTTACAACCACATCTCTGACATACATTCAAATCACCCACATCCTGCTGGGGGTGTTCCCAAAACTCTTCTGTTGCAGGAATGTTGTGAATGCCCTGAAACCCACACCCTGAAATGTAGAGACAGAGAGCAAGCTGGATGGTTCCCAGGGGCTCCCAGAGGCTCCTGGGGTGGCAACAGCTGGAAGAACTCACCAGAGTCCAGTGCTGGGTCTTGGGCAGTGTCTGGCTTGCAGCCTTAGAAATCACACTAATGGTGGAAGGTACAAAGAGTTCAAAGAGACTGATCTATGTAGCCAGAATGCCAGTTTATTAATTTACAGTGAGAAATCAACTCAGAAATGCAACTCACGTCAGCCTGGGTAGCATTCTCTTTCTATAAACAAGCCACACAGGAAGCCAAGTTATCATCAGGTGCTTGGTAATATAAACCAGAGCCCAGGGAGTTTGTCACCTGATTGGAATGTTTAACAGTATTGGTTTCTCACAGCCTAATGTGTTCATCTTTACAATAGGTGTGTATACCTGTCGGGAGGAAGAACCCAAGAGACCAACTGGCAACTTCCTTGATAATTTCTGGTATTTTGAGTGTATGTTTCTGCTTAGCAAATATTTATTGAGCATCTACTGTGTGTTGTATAATAAAGAATTTGTAGGACAGGCTCAGTGGCTCACGCATGTAATTCCAGCACTTTGGGAGACTGAGGGAAGCGGATCACTTGAGCTCAAGAATTCAAGACCAGCCTGGTCTCTACAAAAAAAAAAAAAAAAAAAAAAGTCAGCTGAGGTGGTAATTCTAGAGAATTTGAATTATCCAGAATGACTCACAGAACTCAGGATAGCATTTTACTTACAATGAATTGTATTATTATTTTGTCGGTTCATTATTTTATGTTTATTTTATCTTATTTTAATAGAGATGGTGGGAGCCAGATGCAGTGGCCCACACCAGTAATCCCAGCACTTTGGGAGGCTGAGGCGGGCAGATCACTTGAGGTCAGGAGTCCAAGACCAGCCTGGCCAACCTGGTGAAACCCTGTCTCTCTCTCTCTCTCTCTTTTTTTTTTTTTTTTTTTGAGACAGAGTCTCACTCTTGTTGCCCAGTCTGGAGTGCAGTGGCACAATCTCGGCTCACTGCAACCTCCACCTCCCAGGTTCAAGCGATTCTCCTGCCTCAGCCTCCCAGGTAGCTGGGATTACAGGCATGTGCCACCACGACCTGCTAATACTGTATTTTTGGCAGAGACGGGGTTTCTCCATGTTGGTCAGGCTGGTCTCAAACTCCCGACCTTAGGTGATCTGCCCGGCTCAGCCTCTCAAAGTGCTGGGATTACAGGCATGAGCCACCGTGCTCGGCCTTTTTTTTTTTTTTTTTTTTTTTTTTGAGACAGAGTCTGGCTTTGTCACCCAGGCTGGAGTGCAGTGGTGTGATCTCAGCTCACTGCAACCTCCACCTCCTGGGTTCAATCGATTCTCCTGTCTCAGCCTCTCAAGTAGCTGGGATTATAGGCACACACCACCATGCCTGGCTAATTTTTGTATTTTTAGTAGAGACGGGGTTTCACCATGTTGGGCAGACTGGTCTCAAACTCCTGGGCCAAGTAATCTGCCCACCTCAGCCTCCCAAAGTTCTGGGATTACAGGCGTGAGCCACTGCACCGGGCTCCATTTTATCTTCTGTCTCTACAATTATTTATTTGTTTGTTTGTTTGTTTATTGAGACAGGGTCTCACTGTTGCTTAGGCTGGAGTGCAGTGGCAAAACTCTATCAAGGCGCACTGTGGCCTTGACCTCCCGGGACTCAGGTGATCCTCCCTCCTTCGCCTCCAGAGTAGCTGGGACTACAGGTACCCACCACCAAACCCAGCTAACTTTTATATTTTCTGTAGAGATGGGGTTTCACCATGTTGGCCAGGCTGGTCTCCAACTCCTGGGCTCAAGCTAACTAACCTCCTTGGCCTCACAAAGTGCTGGGATGACAGGCATAAACTACCACACCCGGATTTCCTTGTTACTCTAGGAGACATTCTGGAACTTGTACATCAGCCGCTGATTTCATTTTCAGTGCCATCAATTCTGCTTTTTGCTCTGTCCAATGAGGATCTTCCTTCCTTTCTTTTTTCTTTTCTTTTCTTTTTTTTTTTTCCGAGACCGAGTTTTGCTCTTGTTGCCCAGGCTGGAGTGCAATGGCTTGATCTCGGCTCACCGCAACCTCCGCCTCCCGGTTCAAGTGATTCTCCTGCCTCAGCCTCCCAAGTAGCTGGGATTACAAGTTACAGGAATTCTCACAAAAGTACAAGGAGAAATAGTCCTTATGAAGAAGGAAATTATAAAAAGGGAATAGACTGAAATGAACAAACAACAGGATGAACAAAAAAGGAAGCTGACTAATAATTCCTGAGCTTTTAAATCCTTACTGGGGCCAGGCGCAGTGGCTCACGCCCTTAATCCCAGGACTTTGGGAAGCTGAAGCGAGCAGATAGCTTGAGCCCAGGAGTTTGAAACCAGCCTAAGCAACATGGCAAAATCCCATCTCTATTAATTAAAAAAAAAAGAAGAAGAAGAAGAAGAGGGGAAGGGAGAACGGAAGGAAGATCGGCCGGGCGCAGTGGCTCACGCCTGTAATGCCAGCACTTTGGGAGGCCGAGGCAGGTGGATCACCTGAGGTCAGGAGTTTGAGAGGCCCGGCACAGTGGCTCATGCCTGTAATGCTAGCACTTTGGGAGGCCAAGGTGGGTGGATCACTTGAGGCCAGGAGTTCAAGACCAGCCTGTGCAATATGAGGAAACCCCGTCTCTACTGAAAATATAAAAATTAACCAGGCATGATGGTGCTCGCCTGTAGTCCCAGCTGCTCAGGAGGCTGAGACAGGAGAATTGCTTAAACTCAGGAGACGGAGTTTACAGTGAGCTCAGGTGGCACCACTGCACTCCAGCCTGGGCGACAGAGCAAGAACCTGTCTCAAAAAATAATAATAATAATAATTGTCTTTAGGATTCTTTGTCAACATTATTTGAGGTATGCTCTGCACATTTTTAAGGGGAAAATATTTTTACTTTTATTATTAAACATTTAAAAAGTTATGGAGAATAATGTAATGAATACCTGCATAAGTATAACCCAGTTTTATCAGATCTTAATATCTTCCCATACTTGTTTCTTTTTCTTCTTCTTCTTCTTTTTTTTTTAGTGGTTAAAAAATTACAAATATAGCCAGGCACCATGGCTCGGGCCTGTAATCCCAGCACTCTGGGAGGCCGAGGCGGGCAGATCACCTGAGGTCAGGAGTTTGAGACCAGCCTGACCAACATGGAGAAACCCCGGCTCTACTAAAAATACAAAAAATTAGCTGGGTGTGGTGGTGCGTGCCTGTAATCCCAGCTACTCGGGAGGCTGAGGCAGGAGAATCACTTGAACGCAGGAGGTGGATGTTGCAGCGAGCTGAGATCGTGCCATTGCACTCCAGCCTGGGCAACAGAGCAAGACTCCATCTCAAGAAAAAAAAATTACAAATATAGTTTGTAGTAACCATCCTCCAAATAGCCAGTCCCCAATGGCCCCCACTTTCTGGTATTCACATACCATGTAGTCTCCTCTACCCTGTAGCAGGGTTGGTCTGGGAGACTGATAGCCTATGGAAGAAGTAATATACACTTCCAAGATTAGGTTACAGAAAGACCGAACTCTTTTTTTAAAAAAAATTTTTTTATTTCCATAGGATATTGGGGAACAGCTGGTGTTTGGTTACGTGAATAAGTTCTTTAGTGGTGATTTGTGAAATTTTTGTGCACCCATCACCCAAGCAATATAGACTGCACCCAATTAATAGTCTTTTATCCCTCACCCCCTTCCCTTCCTTTCCCCTTGATTCCCCAAAGTCCATTGTGTCATTCTTATGCCTTTGCATCCTCCTAGCTTAGCTCCCATTTATGAGTGAGAACGTACGATGTTTGGTTTTCCATTCCTGAGTTACTTCGCTGAGAATAATAGTCTCCATAGACAGGGCTGGGTGGCTCATGCCTGTAATCCCAGCACTATGCGAGGCCGAGGTGGGTGGATCACCTGAGGTCGGGAGTTTGAGACCAGCCTGACCAACAGGGAGAAACCCCGTCTCTACTAAAAATACAAAATTAGCCAGGCATGGTGGCGCATGCCTGTAATCCCAGCTACTTGGGAGGCTGAGGCAGGAGAATCGCTTGAACCCGGGAGGCGGAGGTTGCGGTGAGCCAAGATCCCGCCATTGCACTCCAGCCTGGAGAACAAGAGTGAAACTACGTCTCAAAAAAAAAAAAAGAGAATAGAGAGCCATGCAGTCCAAGCGGGATTGTGAGCTGTGGTGTGAGAGGGTGAAGCCAGAGAACAAGGCGGCGCTGGAGGCGTGGGTCAGGCAGACAGGCATCGCCTGGTGCAGGTGAACGGGCAGAGGAAGTATGGCGGGCCACCCCCAGGCTGGGTGGGCAGCCCGCCGCCGGCTGGGTCAGAGGTGTTCATCGGGCGGCTGCCTCAGGAAGTGTATGAGCACCAGCTTATCCCGCTGTTCCAGCGCGTGGGCCGCCTCTACGAGTTCCGCCTGATGATGACCTTCAGCGGCCTGAACCGCGGCTTCGCATATGCCCGCTGCAGCTCGCGGCGCGGCGCGCAGGCCGCCATCGCCCGCTGCACAACCACCCGCTGCGGCCGTCCTGCCCGCTGCTCGTGTGCCGCAGCACCGGGAAGTGTGAGCTGAGCGTTGACTGCCTGCCGCCGAATCTGACCCGCACCGCGCTGCTGCCCGCGCTGCTGCCCGCGCTGCAGCCGCTGGGTCCCGGCCTGCAGGAGGCGCGGCTGCTGCCCAGCCCCGGACCTGCGCCCGGGCAGATCGCTGTGCTCAAATTCAGCTCGCACTGGACCGCTGCCATGGCCAAAAAGGCCCTGGAGGAAGGGCAGCCACACCTCTGTGGAGAGCAGGTGGCTGTGGAGTGGCTCAAGCCAGAACTGAAGCAGCGACTTCGCCAGCAGCTTGTGGGTCCCTCCTTGCGGTCCCCACAGCCAGAGGGCAGCCAGTTGGCCTTGGCAAGGGACAAGTTAGGGTCCCAAGGGGCTCGGGCTACCCTGCAGTTGCTGTGCCAACGAATGAAGCTGGGCAGCCCTGTGTTCCTCACCAAGTGTTTGGGCATAGGACCTGCTGGCTGGCACCGCTTCTGGTACCAGGTGGTGATTCCTGGGCATCCGGTGCCCTTCAGCGGCCTCATCTGGGTTGTGCTGACCCTAGATGGCCGGGATGGGCATGAGGTGGCCAAGGATGCTGTGTCTGTACGGCTGCTGCAGGCACTCAGTGAGTCTGGGGCCAATCTCCTGTGGTCTGCTGGGACTGAGGCAGGTAGCATGGTTAAACAGTGACTCCATTCTCTCTCCACAGGCAGCCCGAATGGGCATGCAGAGCCTGTGTCAGGCCCCAACCCAGCAGACCTGGGTGGCCACTATCTGACCCCCAAAGGTGGGGAGGGGCATGGGCCCAGGCCCATCAGCCTCCCTGCTGGGACAGGGACCTATGGCACCTGGGGGCAGCTTAGGTTTGGCTTAAGTTGTGGTGAGGGGCCTTGCCCTCCCCCTCCCAGCCCAGGGTCCAACCTGACCCAGTTATCTTCCATGGCCATTCCTTGTCCCACCCCCACCCGATCATACCTTCCCCCCTCTGCCACAGCTTAGCATGAATCTTCTTTATTGTCCTGATTTGTCCTCTTTGTTGGTTTTTATTTGTGGGGAAGGGCAGCTGAGCCAAAGGGGTCAGAAATTCTGCCCTTTGCCTCCACCACATGGCATTCTGGTTTTGGTTTCTGTATAGTTTTGGGTCTTTCTATGCTGGTTGTATTTATGTTAAACCCCTGGTTAGTTAAAAAAAAAAAAAAAAAAAAAAAAAAAAAAAAAAAAAAAAATAGCCCGGGTGCGGTGGCTCATGCCTGTAATCCCAGCACTTTGGGAGGCTGAGGTGGGCGGATCACGAGGTCAGGAGATCGAGACCATCCAGGCTAACATGGTGAAACCCGGCCTCTACTAAAAATACAAAAAAAAAATTAGCCGGGCATGGTGGCAGGCGCCTGTAGTCTCAGCTACTTGGGAGGCTGAGGCAGGAGAATGGTGTGAACCCAGGAGGCAGAGCTTGCAGTGAGCCAAGATTGCGCAACTGCACTCCAGCCTGGGTGACCAAGTGAGACTCTATCTCAAAAAAAAAAAAAAAAAAAAAAAACAAGAATAATAGTCTCCAATCCCGTCCAGGTTGCTGCAAATGCCATTAATTCATTCCTTTTTATGACTGAGTAGTATTCCACTGTATATCTATACCACAGTTTCTTTAGCCACTCATTGATTGATGGGCATTTGGGCTGGTTCCACATTTTTACAATTGTGAATAGTGCTACTATAAACATGTGTGTGCAAGAATCTTTTTTGGCCAGGAGCGGTGGCTCACGCCTGTAATCCCAGCACTTTGGGAGGCCAAGGTGGGCGGATCACAAGGTCAAGAGATCAAGACCATCCTGGCCAACATGGTGAAACCCCGTCTCTATTAAAAGTACAGAAATTAGCTGGGCATAGGGGCACACGCCTGTAATCCCAGCTACTTGGGAGGCTGAGGCAGGAGAATCACTTGAACCCGGGAGGCAGAGGTTGCAGTGAGCTGGGATCGTGCTGCTGCACTCCAGCCTGGCGACAGAGCGAGACTCCATCTCAAAAAAAAAAAAATCGTTTTCATATAATGACTTAGAAAGACTGAACTCTTACCTGGGCTGTGTGTGTTCTCTCTCTTTTTTAGTTCATTCACTCTAGCTATGTGGGGAGGACATTCAGGCAGTGTGTGGAGAAGTCCAGGTAGTAAGCCAATGAAGTCTTCAACCAATATTCAGTGAGGAACTACAGCCTGCCAACAACCAATGAGTGACCTTGAATGCATATTTTCTCCCGATTGAGTCTTCAGATAAGAGTGCAGCCCCAGGCCACTGCTTGACTGAAACATCCCAAGAGAACTGAGGAGAACCACCCAGCTAAGTCCCTCCCAGATTCCTGACCCACAGAAAGTGTGATATAATAAATGTTTTTTGTTTTAAGCTGCTAAATGTTGGGGATCATTTTTTTTTTTGACATGGGCCTCACTCTGTCGCCTAGGCTGGAGTGCAGTGGTATGATCATGGCTCATTGCAGCCTCAACCTCCAAGGCTCAAGGGATCCTCCCATCTCAGCCTCCCAAGTAGCTGGGATCACAGGTGTGTACCACCACACCTGACTTTGGTTTTTTTTTTTTTAAAGTAGAAACAAAGTCTTGCTTTGTTGTCCAGGCTGGTCTGGAACTCCTGGGTTCAAGTAATCCTCCGTCTTCAGGCTCCCAAAGTGCTGGTATTACAGGCATGAGCCACCATGCCTGGCCCAATTGTTAAATCTTTTTTAAATTTTATTATTTTTTTCTTTTTTGTTCAAAGTGTTAATTTTTTTTTTTTTTTTTTTTTTTTTGAGATAGAGTCTAACTCTGTTGCCTGGGCTAGAGTGCAGTGGCACGATCTCGGCTCACTGCAACCTCCGCCTCCCAGGTTTAGTTCAAGCAATTCTCCTGCCTCAGCCTCCTGAGTAACTGGGATTACAATCACGTGCCACCACACCCAGCTAATTTTTTGTATTTTTAGCAGAGACAGGGTTTTGCCATGTTGGCCAGTCTGGTCTTGAACTCCTGACCTCAGGTGATCCACCCTCCTCGGCCTCCCAAAGTGCTGGGATTACAGGTGTGAGCCACCATGCCCAGCCTAGTGTTAAATCTTTATAACAACATAAGTACGAGGTTGAGACTTATTACCCTGTTTTACAGATGAGTAACTGAGGCACAGAAAGGTTGAGTTACTTGGCCAAGGTTATACAACTAATAATTACAGGATACCAAAACCGCTAGCTTCTGCCAATGCTCTTAATATAAGGTTGAAAGAAAAAAGAAGAGAAAAGAGCCAATTAACATAAAACATAGCTGTTAGAAGCCTCCTTCTACAAATGGCCATGAAGTCTAAGTTGATAATCATAGCCGCCTTCTTCCACCACTTCTTCCAATCCCCTTTCGAAGGGTTCTGTGCCTCATAGGGACACTCAATACTTTATTCCATAAGACCTGACTTCTTGGTGGTCTTGTTTTTATTGGGTTGCTCTACTTTTCCATTAACCAGGTCTTAGGGTCAAGAGCCTGCTAAGATGTGTCCCCAGTGAATTTTTGGCTTTCAGACATAGCCTCCTTCCTCTACTAAGTAACAGAGCCATTTTCCTCTTGCTAATCATAGGTAAAGAGGCTAGTTCGGTGATGGTTTTAGTTAGCTCAGGCTGCTATTACATACTGGGTGGCTTAAACAACAGACATTGATTTCTCACAGTTCTGGAGGCTGGGAAGTCCCATATCAGGGTGATAGCATGATTGGGTGCTGGCAAGGGCTCTTTTCCTAGCTTGCAGATGGCTGCCTTCTTGCCATATCTTCACTTGGTGGACAAAGAGAAGAAAGGCTCTCTGGTCTCTTCTTTTTTTTTTTTCTTTTTGTTTTGAGACAGAGACTCTCAGATGCTCTCTCTGTCCAGGCTGGAGGCTGGAGTGCAATGACATGATCTGGGCTCACTGCAACCTCCACCTCCCGGGTTCAAGTGATTCTCCCACCTCAGCCTCCCAAGTAGCTGGGATTACAGACTTGCGCCACCACGCCCAGCTAATTTTTGTATTTTTAGTAGAGATGGCTTTTCACCGTATTGCCCAGGCTGGTCTCAAACGCCTGATCTCAAGTGATCCACCCACCTTGGCCTCCCAAAGTGCTGAGATTTCAGGGGTGAGCCACTAGCCAGACCACCTGGTCTTTTCTCCCAAAGTGCTGAGATTTCAGGGGTGAGCCACTAGCCAGACCACTTGGTCTTTTCTTTTAAGACACTCATCCCATCATGGGGCACTGTAAGCCTAATTACGTCCCAAAGACCCCACCTTCTAATACCATCACATGGAGGTGAGGGCTTCAACATAAGAATTTGGGGGCCGAGGCCGGGCGCGGTGGGTCACGCCTGTAATCCCAGCACTTTGGGAGGCCGAGGCGGGCAGATCGCGAGGTCAGGAGATCGAGACCATCCTGGCTAACACAGTGAAACCCCGTGTCCACTAAAAATACAAAAAATTAGCCAGGCGTGGTGGCGGGCGCCTGTAGTCCCAGCTACTCGGGAGGCTGAGGCAGGAGAATGGCGTGAACCCGGGAAGCAGAGCTTGCAGTGAGCCAAGATCATGCCACTGCACTCCAGCCTGGGTGACAGAGCGAGACTCCGTCTCAAAAAAAAAAAAAAAAAAAAAATTGGGGGGCTGGGCGCGGTGGCTCATGCCGGTAATCCCAGCACTTTGGGAGGCTGAAGTCAGCAGATCACCTGAGGTCGGGAGTTTGAGACCAGCCTGACCAACATGGAGAAACCCCATCTCTACTAAAAATACAAAATTAGCCGGGTGTGGTGGCGTATGCCTGTAATCCCAGCTAACTCGGGAGGCTGAGGCAGGAGAATCACTTGAACCTGGGAGGTGGAGGTTGCAGGGAGCAGAGATCGCGCCACTGCACTCTAGCCTGGGCAACAAGAGCAAAACTCCATCTCAAAAAAAAAAAAAAAAGAATTTGGGGAGGAGGCAAACACTTAGCCCATAATAGTAGCCGCCTTCCATCCTTATTGATTCAGCAGCATGAGGAACTTTAAATGGCCAGCTTCGGCTGGGCAAGGTGGCTCATGCTTGTAATCCAAGCACATTGGGAGGCCGAGGAAGGAAGATCACTTGAGCCCAGGAGTTCCAGAGCACTCTTGGGCAGCATACTTGCCCATAGTGTAAAAATTAGCTGGGCAGGGCTGGGCTTGATGGCTCACACCTATAATCCCAGCACTTTGGGAGGCCGAGGTGGGTGGATCGCCTGAAGTCAGGAGTTTGAGACCAGCCTGGCCAACATGGTGAAACCCCACCTCTACTAAAAATACAAAAATTAGCTGGGTATAGTGGCGTGCGCCTATAATCCCAGCTACTTGGGAGGCTAAGGCAGGAGAATCGCTTGAACCCAGGAGGCAGAGGTTGCAGTGAGCTGAGATCACACCACTGCACTCCAGCCTGGGTGACAGAGACTCTGTCAGAAAACAAAACAAAACAAAAAAACAGGCGCGGTGGCTTATGTCTGCAATCCCAGCGCTTTGGGAGGCTGAGGCAGGCGGATCACAAGGTCAGGAGTTGAGACCAGCCTGGCCAACATGGTGAAACCCCGCCTCTACTAAAAAAAAAAATTGCCAGGCGCGGTGGCACATGCCTGTAATCCCAGCTACTCCGGAGGCTGAGACAGGAGAATCGCTTCGACCCAGGAGGTGGAGGTTGCAGTGAGCCAAGACCGCGCCACTGCACTCTAGCCTGGGCAACAAAATGAGACTGCGTCTCAAAAAAAAAAAAAAAAAGAAAAGAAAAAAATTAGCTGGGCAAGGTGGCATGCGACTGTAGTACCAGCTACTCAGGAGGCTAAGGTAGGAGGATCTCTTGAGCCTGGGAGCCTGGGAAACAAGAGTGAGATTCTGTCTCAAAATAAATAAATAAATAAATAGATAGATAAATAAATAAATAAATACAATAAATGGCCAGCCTCGGCTTCCAGTTGAATAAAACCATAATAGTATTTCCTGATCTACACATTTCTTCCTTTGGCACTAGGACCTCTGGACCCACTGAGTCCCGGGTCCCTGGCAAGGAAAGCAAAAATTCTTCATGTGAATTATTAGGGGCCACAGTGGGAGGAGCCACTCCCATCTCCTCTCCTAGGTTCCTGGACTCATTCTAGCATGGTCTAAGTCTAGGAACGGCAGTGCTAGCAGAAGTCCCGCAGGCAAGGGAGGCAAATCCACACCCAGAACACGGGTCTGTCGTTGTGAGGATGAGGCACTGTCCTTACACCCCAGTCTGGTCCTACAAAAAAGGATGGCCTCTCAGGGTGCGACCTTCACCTTGGAGCAGCGCCCTCTGCTGGCCGCCTCTAAGACCTGTGGCCACTTGCATCCCCCTTCTAATCTTTCCCTACCTCTGTTGGTTCAAATCATCTCTCAGTTTATTAATCCTTGGAAAGAATTACATAGCAGTTATTCACAGCTTGTAAATTACAATAGAAAGGTTCCTTTCAAATGGTAGAGTTTCACTAAAGAGGAAATTGGGTTTATAAGAAAATGGAGGCAAAGAACTTAAGTTTTAAGAAAAAGCACTTCAAAACAGAAGGGCAAATGGAAAAGGGGGATATAAAACAAACCAATAAAAATACCATCTGAGGGTGTTACTGTCCAAAATTAAAGAATAAGATGCATCACTAAGCCCTTTGCACTCGTGTTGACCTCGTAAGTAAAAATTATTACTTAGAATAATAATAAGTGGTGCACACTACATTCCCTGTCCCTCTTCTAGACTTTTTTTTTTGTAGAAGAATCAGAAAACAATTTACTAACCTCCCTGTTTGATATTAAAAACTCAATAGGAAGGTTTTTAATATTTTCTGTCAGTACAAGTTGAACTTGATTGTGTCAACTGAAACCCTAGAGGTTTGTGTATCAGTAGAATGCAAGAACATTGTTAAAGTTGCTTACAATCTTTTTTGTTTTCCTTTCCGTTCCATTGTATCAATTTTTTGAGTAACTTTCAAATGGCTAGAAAATGGTCTTTTTGCTTTGCCCTTTTATAGCTGAAATAACCAGCTCCATTCTTTTCATGAGTAGTAAGTTGATATATTTATTTATCAGGTATCTTTCAGTTGTCACTAAATACTGTACTTTTCTTGTGTTGTATGGAAATTATAGTTCAATTATTCTAATGTGATGGAGTGCAACAAGTCATTGTAGAACTTTTCACCTGTTAATGTTGAAGTTATACCTCTGAACTTCTGCTGTGGATATCAAGGAAATAATAAAGCGAAAACCCTAAGACATTTGAAAAAAAAAAACCCAGCCTGGGAAACATGATGAAAACCCATCTCTACAAAAAATACAAAAATTAGCCGGGCATGGTGGCACACGCCTGTATTTCCAGCTACTTGGGAGGCTGAGGCGGGAGAATCACTTAAGCCCAGGAAGTGGAGGTTGCGGTGAACTGAGATTATGCCACTGCACTCCAACGTGGGTGACAGAGCAAGATCCTGTCTGAAAAAAAAAAATCAATGAATCAAAGAATGGTGAACCTAGTAAATACCTGATACTTTATTTATTTGGCTCAATGAAAATAAAAAAGAGAATTTTATGCAAAAATTTCAGGCAACTGAATTTTGCCAAATGATTCCATTTACTAAGGATTCCATCTTTGGTTCTAATGTAGTATATATTCCCTGTGGAGGAAATGGATTTCTCCAAATAACTGGATCCATAGTCATGTAATGCTAGTGGGGACAATCACCCCAGCTTAGATACCATCAAATGAATTCCAACATATGTGGGCTCTCCCATTATTTGTCTTCTCACCTGCCAGCCTGCCTCTCTTGGCAATGCTAGGATTCCAGAATCAGGCCCTAAGCTCAGCAAGGGCCTCCATGAGGGCCATATTACACCCTAAGACTCCCAGATGTCTATTTGGAACCACCTTTGACTTACTCCCTTATTTTGCCCTTGAAACTGCATGGGGACAAAGAAGAAATCATAAAAACAGGGATAATGGATATGGCCCTAAGTATTTTAATGTGGCCTATCAATAGTGTCGTCATACCATCCCTGTTTACCAAGCCTTTATGGCAATTTCTTCACCTTGATACTGTTGACATTTTTGGCTGGTCATCATTTTTTTATGGGGGAACTGTCCTGTGTGTTTTAAGACGTTAAGCAGGCCGGGTGAGGTGGCTCACACCTGTAATCCCAGCACTTTGGGAGGCTGAGGCGGGCTGATCACCTAAGGTTGGGAGTTTGAGACCAGCCTGACCAACATGGAGAAACCCCATCTCTACTAAAAATACAAAATTAGCCAGGCGTGATGGTGCATGCCCATAATCCCAGCTACTCGGGAGGCTGAGGCAGGAGAATCGCTTGAACCCGGGAGACAGAGGTTGCAGTGAGGCGAGATCGTGCCATTTCACTCCAGCCCGGGCAACAAGAGCAAAACTGTGTCTCAAAAAAAAAAAAAAAAAAGATGTTAAGCAGCGTCCTTGACCTCTGCCCAGATATTGCCAAATGTCACTTGGGGAGCAAAATTGGCCCAGTTGAGAACCACGGGACTAAGGTAAGCAGAATTATCAGGATAAAACAGACAATTCACCTCTATCATACCAGAGTTTTTTGTTTGTTTTTTGAGACAGGGTCTTGCTCTGTCACCCAGGCAGGAGTGTGGTAGTGTGATCATAGCTCACTGCAGCCTCAAACTCCTGGGCTCTCAGGAGGCTGAGAAGCAGTGAGTCACAATTGTGCCACTACAATCCAGCCTTGGCAACAGAGGGAGAACCTTTCTCAAACAAACAAGAGGAAGAAGAGGAAGAGGAAGAGGAAGAGAAGGAAGAGGAAGAGGAGAAAGGGGAAGGGAAGAGAAGGACAAGGAGAAGGAGAAGAAGAAGACTCTGGGGCTCAAGCCATCCTCCTGCCTGAGCCTCCCAAAGTACTGGGATTACAGGTGTGAGTCACCGAGCGTATTAGTCAGGGTTCTCTAGAGGGACAGAATTAATGGAATATATACAGGAGTTTATTAAGTATTAACTCACAGGATCACAAGGTCCCACAATAGGCCGTCTGCAGGCTGAGGAGCAAGGAGAGCCAGTCTGAGTTCCAAAACTGAAGAACTTGGAGTCCCATGTTGGAGGGTAAGAAGCATCCAGCACGGGAGGAAGATGTTGGCTGGGAGGCTAAGCCAGTCTCTCACATTTTTCTGCCTGCTTATATTCTAGCCTTGCTGGCAGCTGATTAGCTTGTGCCCACCCAGATTAAGGGTGGGTCTGCCTTTCTCAGCCCGCTGACTCAAATGTTAATCTCCTTTGGGAACACCCTCACGGACACACCCAAGATCAATATTTTGTATCCTTCAATCCAATCAAGTTGACACTCAGTATTAACCATCACACTGAGCCTGGCCAAAGCTGGACTACTTGTAAGCTTTTGTCTGGAACCTGATTTGGGAGCCAGTGGCCCGAGGACGATGAAAACTATCAGAGGTGGCTGGGCACAGTGGTTCATGCCTATAATCCCAGCACTTTGGGAGGCGGAGGTGGATGGATCACTTGAGGTCAGGAGTTTGAGACCAACCTGGCCAACATGGCAAAACCAGTCTTTACTAAATATACAAAAACTGGCCAGGCATGGTGGCTCACGCCTCTAATCCCAGCACTTTGGGAGGCCGAGGCAAGTGGATCGCCTGGGGTCAGGAGTTTGAGACGAACATGTTGAAACCCCATCTCTATTAAAAATATAAAGAACTAGTCGGGCATGGTGGCAGGCTCCTGTAGTCCCAGTTACTCGGGAGGCTGAGGCAGGAGAATTGCTTGAACCCGGGAGGTGGAGGTTGCAGTGAGCCGAGATCATGCCACTGCACTCCAGCCTGGGCAACAGAGCGAGACTCCATCTCAAAAACAAACAATCAGAGGCGCTGACTGCAGTGACAGCCATCTGGCTCTGACAGTTCCTGTGCTTCCAGCTTCTTGCTATTTCAGGGGCTCTGGTCTTGATTCTTGAAGGTTCCCAAATCTGGTCCTACAGCTCCCCACCTCCTGTCTCTTTAGTGGTTTAGTGGGCGCCCCCTCCCCTGTATCTTTCTAGTGAGTTTTAATGTGCTTTGCTTAGGTAGGGCTGGTTTGTTTCCATTGTTGGCAACAAGAAGGAATTGGTCAAGGAGTCTAAGAAGTTGTCTGGAGAACCAAGAAAAAGATTTCCTGGAAGCATAGAAAGAGTGCGTTTCCGGAAGAAAGATTCATCAAGAATTTCAAACATCAGGGCCAAGTCAAGCAGGACAAGGACTAAAAGGTGCTCCTTAAATTTGCCTATGAAGAGGCCACTGCTGGGGAGGAGTGTGTCAGGCGGCAGTGGAGGGAGGACAGCAAGTGTAAAGGAGACTCTGCAACCTCCACCTCCCAGCTTCAAGCACTTCTTGTGCCTCAGCCTCCTGAGTAGCTGAGATTACAGGTGTGTGCCACCACACCTGGCTAATTTGTGTATTTTTAGTAGAGATGGGGTTTCCACACAACTGGAATACTACTGAGCAATAAAAAGGAGTGAACAGTTGTCCCTCGGTGTCTGCAGGGGATTGGTTCCAGGACCCCCTGCCGACACCAAAGTCCACAGATGCTGAAGTCTTTTCTATGAAATGACATAATGTTTGTATATAGCCTCAGGTATACTTTAAATACCTAATACAGTGTAAGTGGTATGTAAATAATTATACTGTATTTTAAATTTTCTACTGTTTTTATTGTCTTATAGTTATTTTATATATTTCATTTTTTTCAAGTATTCTCCATCCATGTTCAGTTGAATCCATGGATGAGGAACCTGCAGATATGGAGGGCCAGCTGCAGTGATGGGTGCAGCAACATGGATGGCAGCATAATTTCAAAAAATAATATGATAAGTGAGGCCAGGTGAGGTGGCTCACACGTGTAATCCTAGCACTTTGGGAAGCCAAGGCGGGCGGATCACTTGAGGTCAGGACTTCGAAACCAGCCTGGCCAACATGGTGAAACCTCGTCTCTACTAACAATACAAAAATTAGCCAGGCGTGGTGGCATGTGCCTGTAATCCCAGCTACTCAGGAGGCTGAGGCAGGAGAATCACTTGAACCTGGGAGGTGGAGGTTGCAGGGAGTCTAGGTCATGCCGCTGCACTGCAGCCTGGGCAACAGTGAGACTCCATCTCAAAAAAGAAAAAATTATGCTAAGTGAAAGAAGTCAAATACAAGAGGCTACATGCTATATGATTTCATTTATAAGATATTCTGGAAAAGGCAAAACTATAGGAAATCAGATTAGTAGCTAACGGGCTGACGGTGGGAGGAGGTGATTGACTACAAAGGGACACGAGGGACCTTTTTGAGGCGACAGAAATGCTTTATATTGGGAATGTGGTGGTGGTTATGTAACTATACATTTGTCAAAACTCATCAAATTGTACACTTAAAAAGGGTGAATGTTAGTATATGAAAATTATATCTCAATAAACCTGACAAGAAAATAATAAAACAAACCTAAAAACGCAACAGGGTGAAAATAAGTCTAAGAAAAAAATAACTTACAGTTTTTCCAGTTCAACGGTCATCATGAGAATGTTCTTAAGTGTTGTAAGTGGGACTTGCGTTGTTCCCACGTCTCTGAAGAAGAAAGCCGAAACATTCATGATATGAACCCCAGTAAAAAATTCTGTACTTAAAAAGATAATTCAAGGACATGTGATTACTTCAATTTTGGCTTCCCTATAAAACAAGCCAGTTCAACAGTTTATTTGCCGCAAAATTCCAGAGAGCTCTTATTAAAGAAATTAAAGTTGATTTGCATCATCAAATTAATGATATTCAAGAGTAGGTCTTACACTGTTTATTTTTTTTTTTACCATTATCTTACTTCTCATTTTCATATTGCATTCACCCATCTTGATTATTTACTCTTTTCTTCCTTTTTAGAATAATGAACACCTTTTCCCCTTTGCTTTCTTGGTTAAGTAATATTCCTCCATGTGTCTACATGTTCCAAATCTATATGGGTTCTTCAACACTGTTCTCTTTCCCCTGCTGGCTATCTTGACCATTACACATCCTTTCCTTTGCCAATAATGTTTTTCAATAACTCAGTTAAAATTTAAATTATGACATTTTAGCCTAAATGCAAAATACTTAATCTTTGATGAAAAATTTAAAAAGAGTATAAATCATCTCATGACTCCCAAGAGTACTATAGTACTTACAGATATTTTAATGCCAGTAATTTAAAGAGATACGGATCTTCAACAGTTGTCAGAGGATTGCGATTGAGAATTCTGAAAAATGCAATGGAATTAAAATAACCCGCATTTTCAATGTGTGAAACTGCATAAGAAGTTTACATTCATTTTTTGGTATGGAACTTGTGGGTAAAAAAAAAAGTCATTTTCTGTTTTTACCTAATAAATCAACATTAGACTCCGTAAAGCATTATTCCTTTGGGAACTACCTAGATCTCTAGGAGATAAAGTAGAGGAGAGAAAGAGGGGGAAAAACAGGGAAAAAAAAGTGGATAGCAAAGAAACAATATGCCACAGAACTTTTCAGGTCGAAAACCCTAGAAGTGACTATGTTGGTAGGAAGCCCTGATTCTGTAGGAAACACTATTTCTAGTGTCCTCCATAATTCAAGTTGCTCATCTTTTTGTTTTGTTTTGTTTTGTTTTGAGACAGAGTCTTGCTCTGTAGCCCAGGCTGGAGAGCAATGGCTCCATCTCATCTCACTGCAAACTCCGCCTCCCAGGTTCAAGCGATTCTCCTGCCTCAGCCTCCTGAGTAGCTGGGATTACAGGTGCCTGCCACCACAACTAGCTAATTTTTGTATTTTTAGTAGAGACAGGGTTTCGCGATGTTGGCCAGGCTGGTCTCGAACTCCTGACCTCAGGTTATCCACCTGCCTCGGCCTCCCAAAGTGTTGGGATTATAGGTGTGAGCCACTGAATCTGACCGCTTGCCTTTTATCTTTATAAAGTTATTAAAATTTATGGTTTAATTTGCAAAGTTAAGAAAAAAAAACAGGACCAATTCTTTTGCTTTATAGCCAAAGAAAAAGGGATAAATCTAAGAGGAGGAACTGGTCAAAACCATACTCCCATCACATACTCCCACTTGTCTTCTTGTATGACATCATAGCCTTTGTTACATTGCATGTAATCACCTGTCTACTTGTCAGTCTCCTGGACTATCAGCTCCCTGAGGGCAGAGACCACATCTTATTGTCATTGTCATCCCTGTGCCTGGCATGATGTCTGAAATTTACCAGACATTTAATAAATGTTTATTGAATAAACAAATGACATTTTATTTGTATGTCAATAAAATGAATAAATTCTTTTTGATGCAAATTTTTATTCCAAAATGCTGGAATCAATTTTCTTTTTAATTCTTTAAAGTGAACAAGGAAAAGAAAAGAAACAGGAAGAAATAAAAGAAAATCTGCCTTTAGGTTAACCCAAGAATCATCACCATACTTTTGCAGAAATTATAAAAATAATAATTATTACAGTGAGTATCTATTGGGCTGCTAGGTATTTGTGATCAGCATTTCACATTTAATCCTCACAATGCCTTATGGGCTAGATATTATTATTGCCCTATTTTATAAATGAGGAAACTGAGGCACAGAGAGGTTACATAACATCCTACATCACCAAGCTATTAAGAAGCAAAGCTGTAATTTGAAGTCATGTGTTTTAATCTGTATGAAGAAAAAGGGTTTACTTTAACCTTATGGTTTTTTAATTTTTATTTTATTTCTCTTTCTTTCTTTCTTTTTCTTTCCTTCTTTCTTTCTATTTCCCTCCCTCCCTCCTTCTTTCCCTTTCTTCCTCCCTTCCCTCCCTCCCTCTCTTCCTTCCTTCCTGCCTCCCTCCCTCCCTCCCTCCCTTTTCTTTTCTTTTCTTTTTTTTTTTTTTGACAGGAAATGGCACTTTAATAGTTGGGGCCAGGGTGACAGGACCAAGATGGGGCTAGCCTGTGTCAGTCAGGAAGCCTCCCTCTCCTGCTGGGATAGGGCCTTGCGGCAGCTCCTCCTCCCCGCTGAGGTCCTAGGCCTGCCACAGGCTAGCATGCCAGTGAGGTCGGTGGCAGGAGCCACCCAGAAGCCCCGCAGATGACAGAGCTGAGAACAGGGACTTCACTTCCACGTGTTGCCATTTCCTCACTGGAAAGTCCTTGGGAGGTGGCTGGGCTCAGCCTGAGCTCAGGGCTCTTCGGTGGGTGTTGGGACAGGGGCAGGGCGGGCACTTGCAGGTGGCACAGGCTTCATCAAGGCAGGACATGGGCTTCATCAAGGCAGGAGCCAGAGCACCCGAGCCCTGGCAGGGGAGGTATGGCCCAGGATGGGGCAGGGCCGTGTGCTCCTGGAACGGACATCCTTCTCTGCCAGAGACCTGCTCCCCAAGCCCTGTCCCTCCCAATCCCCAGGCAGCCCACTCTGCCCTCCATAGATGAATCTAATCCCATATATTACAATAAACTGCATTTGCCTGTCCCCATTGCCCCACCCTCCCCTACCCTGAGCCAGCGGCCCCCACTTCCTCATCCCCTGGCGGTGGCAGGTGCCCCTCCTCAAGCAGTGCCACATCCTGTCAGCAGCCAGCTGTCCTGGCACTGGCCTGAGGGCCGGGGGACGCAGAGGGCGGGGCTGCGCGGCTACTCCAGGTAGATATCTTCTGTGGGGCAGGTGTACTCCACAAACTGCTTGTGAAACTGCTGGAATGCTCTCCCCACGGACTCTGCCAGGGCTTTGGTGGAGTCTTCAGACACAAAGACGTGGCAGGCAAACCGGTGGTCGGCGAGGTGCTTGGTGATGAACCCAAAGTACTTGTTGTTCTTTGGATGATATCCGCGGAAAGAGATGTTTTTTAACTGGAAAAAGTGGCTACATTTATTCCCCTTGGCCTCCTGGGAGTCATCGGCCTTGACACCTATCTTCACACCCCGCACGCTGATCTCCAGGACACAGCTGGAGGGCGGGTTAAAGTGCACGGTTAGCCGGCGGGTGGTGGCAATCTTTTGCATAGCGGCAGAGAGGACGACATCGCCCTTGTGATAGGGAACCTGGACTGAGCCCAGGAACTTCACCCGGAACTGGTCCACCCAGTCACTGTTTTTAGCCAGGGCTGCCATGTGCTCGGGCTCCTTGGTGACTTCGATGGCGTAATAGGCAGTAAAGAAGCCCCGGGCACCAGTGCGCATGTTGTAGGCCTCGTACCAGTAGTCTTCAGCCTGGAGCTCCACTAGCAGAGGGTCATCCACTTCCAGCTCAGGTTCGTCTTCGTGTCGAGGCACAAACCTGAATATGGTCCGGTGGGTCTGCTCCTGCTCCTCCCGGTTGATGATGCAGGAGAACAGCCCGAAGGACTCGGCACTGGAGGAGCGGGAGCGGCCACTCATGAAGATGTTCAGGAACTTCTTGGAGAAATGGACGTCGGGTTCGTCAGGCGTGGAGTCCTTGGAGAGGCAGGCAGGAGGCTGGGGCCGGGAGGCCTCCTCATATTCCTCTCCGATGGCTGACTCATAGGGCGAGGAGACGGAGACACAGTTGTCGTAGACGATGGCCGAGTCACTCTCGTCACTGTAGTCTCCGAAGCACGGCCGCAGGCTCACCAGCTCCAGCTGCGCGTGCTCATCTACCAGCAGCGTGGGCTGTTGGTGGAGGTGCCTCGATCTGTGGTGGGGGCGGGGCTGCTCTGGGGGGGCAGCTCATCGCTCAGGCAAATGGGTTCATGCGGTGGTGTCTGCTCCCCTGTCTTCAGGGGTGAGGATGATCGAGACACCCGATCCTGCCAACTGTACTTTTTGCCCAGAGAATTATTATTCAGTGTGTCCTGAGACAACTGCACCTGCGGAAAGAGGTTGAGCGTGGTGGGCCGCTTGGGCCGGTACGTGTCCCCGCTGCCCGGGCCCTGGCTCTGGCCTTGGCTCTGGCCCTGGCCGCGGGACGCCGGCTCCTGGCCGGACTCGGCCTTGGGCGGCCCCGCTCCCGGCCGCCGGGCCGCGCGCTCCTCGTCGTCGTCCTCCTCGTCGTCCTCGGCCCCGGGAGTGTCCCCCGTCGCGTCGATCAGGTCCATCTGCAGCATCTCGGCCTGCAACCGGCTCCCCGCGCCGCCGCCACCCGCAGAGCCCTCCCTTTTCTTTTCTTTTTTCTTTTCTTTTCTTCTTTCTTTCTTTATTCTCTTCATGTCCCTTCCTCCCTCCTTCTTTCCCTTTCTTCCATCCTTCCCTCCCTCCTTCCTTCCTCCCTCCTTTTCTTCTTTCTTTTTTCTTTCTTTCTTTTTTCTTTCTTTCCTTCATTTCCCTCCCTCCCTCCTTCTTTCCCTTTCTTCGTTCCTTCCTCCCTCCTTTTCTTCTTTCTTTCTTTCCTTCCTTCTTCTTTCTTTTCTTCCTCTCCCTCCCTTTCCCTTCTTCCCTCCTTCTTTTCCTTCCTTCCCTCCCCTTCCTTCTTTCTCTCTCTTTTTCTCTCTCTTTTCTGTCTTTCTCTCTTTTCGCCTTCCTTCCTTTTTTCCTTCCTTCCCTCCCTCCCTCCTCTTTCTCTCTCTCGCAAAAAAAGAGTAAGCAGACATAATATCAATATATTCATTTACCTCAAGGACTGAGAATAATGAATTTAGTTCATGCAACTATGATTCTTCTTGTCATTTATTCAAGAAACTTTGAGATTCATTCCCATTATAGCTAAACACTCTTGACACTGGGAATATAAAGATAAATAACTCACAGTCCCCACCCTCAAAGGTTTATAATAGAGTAGGAGAAGGGAAACAGTAAACAAAAGTTTGAAGTGTGATATAGTGAAATATATATATTTGGTCTTTGACCTCATTTCCTCGTATACACTTAGAATCTCCAAAGTGATATCTTCTTGTATGCAAACAAATTGACTGGTAGCTTCAGGATGGGGGCTGGCAGCAAAAGACCAAAGCAGGATTAGAGGGTTGGGACTTTTCTTCCCCACCCCCCAACCTCCCAGGAGGTGAGAGGAGCTGAAGATTAAGTTCAGGGACAGAAAAAGCTGCCCTTGAAAATTCAAGGCCTTGAAAATGCAGAATTAAGTTTGAATATGAAAGGGAATAATAGACCCAGTGCTTTGGGAGGCTGAAGCAGGAGGATCCTTTGAAACCAGGAGTTCAAGACCAGCCTGGGCAAGGTAGGGATGCCCTGTCTCTACAAAAAAAATAGAAAAATTAGCTGGGCATGGTGGCATATGCCTTTAATCCCAGCTACTTGAGAGGCTAAGGTGGGAGAATCATCTGAGCCCAGGGAGGTTGACGCTGCAGTGAGCCATGATTGCACCATTGCACTCCAGCCTGGGTGACAGACCCAGCACTTTGGGAAGCCAAGGCGGGTAGAACGCAAGGTCAGGAGTTCAAGACCAGCCTGGCCAAGATGGTGAAACCCCATCTCTACTAAAAATACAAAAACTAGCCAGGCGTGGTGGCAGGCGCCTGTAATCCCAGCTACTTGGGAGGCTGAGGCAGAGAATTGCTTGAACCCGGGAGGCAGAGGTTGCAGTGAGCCAAGATCATGCTGCTGCACTCCAGCCTGGGTGACAGAGTGAGACTTCGTCTCAAAAAAAAAAAAAAAAAGAATAGATTTCCTGTGACCAATTTCGATATTATTTATTTTTAGCCAAACTTATTGATCCAGAATGACCAGTTTAGATAAATCGTGGTCCTGGGATGGAACACAAAAAAGTGGAATTTTATTAGAAAAGGAGAAGGGGAATGGCTATTGAACATTGATGTTGTGTTCAATATAGTGAGGGTTTTTTATTTTGTTTTTTGAGACAGGGTCTCAGGGTCTTGCTCTGTCTCCCAGGCTGGAGTGCAGTGCAGTGGCATGATCATAACACTGTAGCCTTGAACTCTTCAGGCTCAAGTGACCTTCCCACCTCAGCCTCCTGAGTAGCCAGGACTACAGGCATGCACTGCCACACCTGGCTCATTTTTCAATTTTTTGTAGAGATGCGATCTCATTATGTTGACCCGGCTTGTCTCAAACTCCTGGGCTCAAGCAATCCTCCGACCTTAGCCTCCCAATGCACTGGGATTACAGGCACAAGCCACTACACCTGGCCTGAACTTTCTTATTCTAAGGATTTGCAGAGTTTCTGTTTAAGCCATTATCTTCAAATAATGGTTTTAATTTCTTTTTAATCTTTATGTAAAATACCTTATTTCTTTCTTTCTTTTTTTTTTTTTTTTAGATGGAATTTCACTCTTGTTGCCCAGGCTGGAGTGCAATGGCACGATCTTGGCTCACCACAACCTCCACCTCCCAGGTTCAAGCGATTCTCCTGCCTCAGCCTTCCGAGTAGCTGGGATTACAGGTATGTGCCACCACGACCTGCTAATATTGTATTTTTAGTGGAGATGGGGTTTCTCCATGTTGGTCAGGCTGGTCGCAAACTCCCAACCTCAGGTGATCCGTTCATCTTGGCCTCCCAAAGTGCTGGGATTACAGGCATGAGCCATCGTGCCCAGCCCTATTATTCTTTTTCAAAATTTTTTTAAAATTGCGATGGGATTTTGCCATGTTACCTAGGCTGGTCTCAAACTCCTGGGCTCAAGCAATCCTGCCACCTCTTTCTCCCGAAGTGTGGGATTACAGGTGTGAGCCAGCATGCTCGGCTCTTTATTTTATTTTATTTTATTTTATTTTATTTTATTTTATTTTATTTTATTTTATTTTATTTTATTTTTTGAGAGAGAGTCTTGCTCTGTCACCCAGGCTGGAGTGCAGTGGTGTGATCTCGGCTCACTGCAACCTCCACCTCCCAGGTTCAAGTGATTCTCCTGCCTCCCTCTCGAATACCTGGGATTACGGGTGCCCACCAGCACGCCTGGCGAATTTTTGTAGTTTTAGTAGAGATGTGGTTTCATCATGTTGACCAGGCTGGTCTTGAACTGCTGACCTCAGGTGATCTGCCCACCTTTGCCTCCCAACATGCTGGGAGGGTGTGAGCCACGGTGCCCAGCCTTTTATTTTTTATTTTTTATTTTTAATCTGTCTTGATTTTGCTTCCTTCCTAAACAGTTTTGGCTTCGTGATCACGTAAACCAAGAGTCACAAACTGAAATGCCATCAAGGGGCCAAGCAGGTAACAAAATTCAAGTCATACAGGTTCAATGTCTTAGTCACCCCAGGCTACAACAGAATATCATAGACTGGGTAGCCTAATAATACAGATCATTTTCTCAGGGTTCTAGAGGCTAGAAAGTCCAAGATCGAGATTCCCAAAGGGTTAAGTTTCTGGTGTTGATGCAGGGCAGGTAAGCCACAAAACTGGGGCTTAGACTGAGAGGGTTCTTGGCTTCACCCAGGAAATAATTCAAGGGCAAACCGAAGGTGTTAGAGGCCAACTTTTTTTTTTTTCGGGACAGGGTCTCACTCTGTCACCCAGGCTGGAGTGCAGTGGCTCACTGCAGACTCTGCCTCCTGGGTTCAAGTGATTCTCCCGCCTCAACCTCCTGAGTAGCTGGGAGTGCAGGTGTGCGCCAAAACACCCAACTAATTTTTTTGTATTTTTAGTAGAGATGGGGTTTCACCATGTTGACCAGGCTGGTCTCAAACTCCTGGCCTCAAATGATCCACCCGCCTCAGCCTCCTAGAGTGCTGGGATTACAGGCATTACCCACTGCACCTGGCCTAGATGCCAACTTTTATTGAAGCAGTGGCCTATAGCAACAGCAGAGGGACTGCTCCTTGCAGAGCAGGGCTACCCTGTAGGTAGTGTGACCAGAGTAGCAGCTCAGGGCAGTTCTGCAGTCATATTTACATTGACCTTTAATTATATGCAAATTAAGGGGCAGACTATACAGACGTTTCTAGAAAAAGGCTGATAACTTCTGGGTTGTCAAGTTGTTGCCATTGAAAGGGGTGGTAGGCTGAGCACAGTGGCTCATGCCTGTAATTCCAGCACTTTGGGAGGCCAAGGCAGGTGGATCATGAGGTCAAAAGTTCAAGACCAGCCTGGCCAAGATGGTGAAACACTGTCTCTACTAAAAATACGAAAATCAGTTTGGCGCGGTGGCAGGCGCCTTTAATCCCAGCTACTCGGGAGGCTGAGGCAGGAGAATTGCTTGAACCTGGGGGGTGGAGCTTGCAGGGAGCCAAGACTGTGCCACTGCACTCCAGCCTGGGCGACAGAGTGAGACTCCGTCTCAAAAAAAAAAAAAAAAAAAAGGCGGTGGGGTGGTAACTCTGGGTTCTGCCATGGAAATGGTAAACTGACATGGCGCACTGGTGAGCGTGTCTTATGGAAAGCTGCTTTCATCCTGTCCCTGTTTCAGCTAGTCATCAATTTGGTCTGGTGTCCAAGCCCCATCTCTGGAGTCCAGTTCCACCTCCTACCTCAGCGTGGGCTTTATTACCTGGCTTGCCTTCTTGAAGTAGCTTCATGTGGCAGAGAGAAAGCTAGGGAGCTCTCTGGGTTCTCGTCTCATAAAGACACTAATTCTATTAGATCAGTGCCCAGCTTTATGACCTCATTTGACCTTAATTACTTCCCATAAATCCCCCTTTTTTTTTTTTTGAGACAGAGTCTTACTCTGTCACCCTGGCTGGAGTGCAGTGGCATGCTCTCGACTCACTGCAACCTCTGCCTCCCAGGTTCAAGCAATTCTCCTTCCTCAGCCTCCTGAGTAGCTGGGACGAGAGGTGCGCACCACCATGCCTGGCTAATTTTCGTTTATTTTTTTTTTGAGATGGAGTCTTGCTCTGTCGCCCAGGCTGGAGTGCAGTGGTGTGATCTCGGCTCACTGCAACCTCTGTCTCCCGGGTTCAAGTGATTCTCCTGCCTCAGCCTCCCAAGTAGCTGGGACTACAGGCGTGTGCCACGACACCTGGCTAATTTTTTTTTTTTTTTTGTATTTTTAGTAGAGATGGGGTTTCACTGTGTTAGCCAGGATGGTCTTGATCTCCTGACCTCGTGATCTGCCCGCCTCGGCCTCCCAAAGTGGTGAGATTACAGGTGTGAGCCACTGCACCCCGCCAAGTTTTTATATTTTTAGTAGAGATGTTTTTAGTAGAGATGGGGTTTCACCATATTGGCCAGGCTGGTCTTGAACACCTGACCTCAAATGGTCCACCCGCCTTGGCCTCCCAAAGTGCTGTGATTACAGGCTTGAGCCATCGCATCCAGCCCCACAGTTAATACTTAATGATGAAAGACTGTAAGTTTTTCTCCTAAGATCAGGAAGAAGACAAGGATATTCACTCTTGCCACCTCTATTCAACATTATACTTAAATTTCTAGCCAGGAAATTAGCAAGAAAAAGAAATAAAAGCCACACAAATTAGAAAGGAAGAAATAAAACCATATGTATTTGCATATGACATGATCTTGTATGTAGGAAATTCTAAGGAATCCACAAAACCGTTAGAACAAGTAAACAAATTCAGCAAAGTTGCAGGTGTAAGAGTGATATAAAAAAAATTGGCCTGGTGCAGTGGCTCATGCCTGTAATCCCAGCACTTTGGGAGGCCTAGGTGGGCAGATCATGAGGTCAGGAGTTCGAGACTAACCTGACCAACATGGTGAAAACCCATCTCTACTAAAAATACAAAAATTAGCTGGGGGTTGTGGCACGCACCTGTAATCACAGCTATTCGGGAGACTGAGGCAAGAGAATCGCTTGAACCCAGGAGGCAGAGGTTGCAGTGAGCCGAGATCACACCACTGCACTCCAGCCTGGGTAACAGAGCGAGACTGGCTCAAAAAAAAAAAAAAAAAGTAAATAAATAAATAAATTGTATTTCTATACAGTAACAATTAGCAAGCTGAAAATGAAACTAAGAAAATTCATTTACAATATCGTTTACAAACACACACTTAGGAATAAATTTGACCAAAGTGCTAGACCTTTTTCTTATTTATTTATCTTTTGGTTCCTAAAGTATCCACACCAAACACAAAATAAAGCAAAATCTTTTTTTTTTTTTTTTTTTTTTTTTGAGACGGAGTCTCACTCTTTTGCCCAGGCTGGACTGCAGTGGCGCTATCTTGGCTCACTGCAAGCTCCGCCACCCGGGTTCACACCATTCTCCTGCCTCAGCCTCCCGAGTAGCTGGGACTACAGGAGCCTGCCACCGCGCCTGGCTAATTTTTTGTATTTTTAGTAGAGACGGGGTTCCACCGTGTTAGCCAGGATGGTCTCGATCTCCTGACCTGGTGATCTGCCTGCCTGGGCCTCCCAAAGTGCTGGGATTACAGGCATGAGCCACCGTGCCCGGCCACAAAATCTTAATAGTGATAAATTAATTTTGCAAAGTTGGAGGATACAAGATCAACGTACAAAAATCAGTTGTTTATTTATTTTTTAAGAGACAAGACCGCTCCTCTCTCCGGTCCGTGCCTCCAAGATGACAAAGAAAAGAAGGAACAATGGTCGTGCCAAAAAGGGCCGCGGCCACGTGCAGCCTATTCGCTGCACTAACTGTGCCCGATGCGTGCCCAAGGACAAGGCCATTAAGAAATTCGTCATTCGAAACATAGTGGAGGCCGCAGCAGTCAGGGACATTTCTGAAGTGAGCGTCTTCGATGCCTATGTGCTTCCCAAACTGTATGTGAAGCTACATTACTGTGTGAGTTGTGCAATTCACAGCAAAGTAGTCAGGAATCGATCTCGTGAAGCCCGCAAGGACCGAACACCCCCACCCCGATTTAGACCTGCGGGTGCTGCCCCAGGTCCCCCACCAAAGCCCATGTAAGGAGCTGAGTTCTTAAAGACTGAAGACAGGCTATTCTCTGGAGAAAAATAAAATGGAAATTGTACTTAAAAAAAAAAAAAAAAAAGAGACAAGACCGCACTATGTTGCCGAGGCTAGAATGCAGTGATCATTTACGGGCACAATTATAATGCACTATAGCCTCAAACATGGCCGCAAGCAATCCTCCTGACTCAGCCTCCCAAGTAGCTGGTACTACAGGTGGTGCACCACTACACCTGGCTCAGTTGAATTTCTATACACCAGAAATGAACAATCCAAAAATGAAATTAATAAAACAATTCCATTTGTAATGGCACCAAAAAAAAACTTAGGAATAAATTTAACCAAGGAAGTGCAAACTACAAAACATTATTGAAAGAAATTAAACTTAAATACATGAAAAGACATTGTGTGTTCATGGATTGAAAGACTTACTACTCTTCACATAGCAATGCTTCCCAAATTGATCTACAGACTCAACACAATCTCTATCAAAATCCCAACTACCTTTTTTGCAAAAATGGACAAGCTGATTCTAAAATTCACATTAAATTGTAAGGAACTTCAAATAGACAAAACAATCTTGAAAAATAAGAACAAAATTGGAAGACTCACGCTTCTTGATTCAAAATCTAATTCAAAGTACCAGTAGTTGAGCCCCTGGGCACTGGCATAAGGACTGACATATAGATCAATGGAATAGAATTGAAAGTCCAGAAATGAGTGCCCACATTACGATCAACTGATTTTTTTTCTTTTTTGAGACAGGGTCTCACTCTGTCACCCAAGCTGGAGTGCAGTGATCAAGGCTCACTGCAGCCTCCGTCTCCCGATCCCCCTGCCTCAGCCTCCTAAGTCACTGGGACCACAGGTATGTGCCACCACGCCCAGCTAATCTTTTTTTTTTTTTTTTGAGACAGAGTTTCGTTCTTGTTGCCCAGGCTGGAGTGCAATGGCGCAATCTCGGCTCACCACAACCTCCACCTTCTGGGTTCAAGCGATTCTTCTGCCTCAGCCTCCCTAGTAGCTGGGATTACAGGCATGAGTCACCACACCAGACTAATTTTGTATTTTTAGCAGAAATGGGGTTTCTCCATGTTGGTCAGGCTGGTCTCGAACTTCTGACCTCAGGTGATCCACCTGCATTGGCCTCCCAAAGTGCTGGGATTACAGGCGTGAGCCACCATGTCTGGCTTGCCCAGCTAATCTTTTTAATTATTATTTTTAGAAATGGAGTGTGCCTATATTGCCCAGGCGGGTTTTGAACTTCTGGGGCTCAAATGGTCTTCTTGCCTTGGCCTCCCAAAATACTGGGATTACAGGTGTGAACCATGGTGCCCAGCCAAGGTCAACTGATTTTTAACAAATATGCCAAGACAATTCAATGAGAGAAAGTGTAGGAAAAAAAGTCTTTTCAAACAATGGTCCTGGGACAACTGGATACCCACACACAATAGAATGAAGTTGAACCCTCACCTCATATTATCTATAAAAATTAACTCAAAATATAACAAAGCCTTTGTTTATAAAACATTTGTTAGACTGAAAAGTAGAAAACTCTTTTTTTTGTTTTTAGATGGAGTCTTGCTCTGTTGCTCTGTTGCCAGGCTGGAGTGCAGTGGCATGATCTCAGCTCACTGCAACCTCCACCTCCTGGGTTCAAGCCATTCTCCTGCCTCAGCCTCTGGAGTAGCTGGGACTACAGGTGCGTGCCACCACGCCCAACTAATTTTTTTTTTTTTTGAGACGGAGTTTTGCTCTTGTTGCCCAGGCTGGAGTGCAATGGCACGATCTTGGCTCACCGCAACCTCTGCCTCCTGGGTTCAAGCGATTCTCCTGCCTCAGCTCCCAAGTAGCTGAGATTACAGGCATGCGCCACCATGCCCCGCTAATTTTTTTGTATTTTTAGTAGAGACGGGGTTTCTGCATGTTGATCAGGCTGGCCTCGAACTCCCCACCACAGGTGATCCACCCACCTTGGCCTCCCAAAGTGCTGGGATTACAGGCATGAGCCACCGTGCCCGGCCCAGTTTTTTGTATTTTTTTAATAGAGACGGTGTTTCACCATGTTGGCCTTAGAGGAAAACATAGACGTACATCTTTATGACCTTTGGATTAGCAAGTTTTCTTAGATATGACACAAGTGTTTAACACAGAGCTCCCATATGACCCAGTAATTCCATTCCTAGGTATATATGCAAGAGAAACGAAACAGAAAAACTTAAAACACACACACATATGGCGAAACCCTATCTCTACTAAAAATACAAAAATTTTGCTGGTGTGGTGGCTCATGCATGTAATCCCAGCACTTTGGCAGGCTGAAGAAGGTGGATCATTTGAGGTCAGGAGTTTGAGATCAGCCTGGACAACATGGTGAAACCCCATCTCTACTAAAAAATACAAAAATTAGCTGGGTGTGGTGGCACACGCTTGTAATCCCAGCTACTTGGGAGGCTGAGGCAGGAGAATCTCTTGAACCCAGGAGGTGGAGCTTGCAGTGAGCCGAGATCACACCACTGCACTCCATCCTGGGCAACAGAGACTCTATCTCAAAAAAAAAAAAAAAAAAGAAAGAAAAATTAGCCGGGCATGGTGACAGGTGCCTGTAATCCCAGCTACTTGGGAGATTGAGGTGGGAGGATCAGCTGAACCTGGGAAGCAGAGGTTGCAGCCAGCCAGGATTGTGCCACTGCACTCCAGCCTGGGCAACAGAGTGAGACTCCGTCTCAAAAAATAAAAATAAAAATAATACACACACACATATACACATACACCTCTTTATTTCTTCAGCGAGACCTGAAGATATATATCCATAACATAAGAACAGGATGCTATAAAAAATGAACAATAAGAAAGCAAGAAAAACTATCATAAATTAGAAATATGATAGCCAAGGCTGGGTGCAGTGGCTCACACCTGTAATCTCAGCACCTTGGGAGGCTGAGGCGTGTGGATCACTTGAGGCCAGGAGTTTGAGACCAACCTGGCCAATATGGTGAAACCCCGTCTCTACTGAAAATACAAAAATAAGCTGGGCATGGTGGCCCACGCCTGCAATCCCAGCTACTCAGGAGGCTGAGGCAGGAGAATCACTTGAACCCAGGAGGCGGAGGTTGCAGTGAGCTGAGATCAAGCCACCGCATTCCAACCTGGGTGACAGAGTGAGAACCTGTCTCAAAAAAAAATAAATAAATAAAAGCCAAAATTAAAAATTCAATACAAAATTTGAAGGTTGAAGAAATCTCCTAGAGTGTAGTATTTAAATTCTTTTTCTTTTGAGACAAGGTCTTGCTCTGTCTCCCAAGCTGCTGTGCCGTGGCGCCATTCTAGCTTACTGCAAGCCTCAAACTCCTGGCCTCAAGCAAGTCTCATATCTCAACCTCTGAAAGTGCTGGATTATAGGCATGAGCCACTGCAGCTGGCCAGAATGTAGAATTTAAAAGGTGTTGAAAAATATAAAAAATAAGAAAATTGGAGGATTGAGGCTGGTTGAAGGCAGAGGCAGGAGAATAGCTTGAGCCCAGGAGCTTGAGTATAGCCTGGGAAACACAGAAAGCCCATCTCTATATTAAAAAAAAAAATTCTTTTTTTTTTTTTTTTTTTTTTTTTTTTAAGAGAGAGTCTTGCTCTGTCACCCAGGCTGGAGTGCAGTGGTGCGATCTTGGCTCACTGCAACCTCCACCTTCCGGGCTCAAGCAATTCTTATGCCTCAGCCTCCCATGTAGCTGAGATTATAGGTGTGTGCCACCACACCCGGCTAATTTTTGTATTTTTAGTAGAGACAGGGTGGGGGAGTGTTGGGGGAGATGGGGCATGGCAGGGAGGGGATGGCGGGTTTTACCATGTTGGCCAGGCTGGTCTTGAGCTCCTGGCTTCAGGTGATCCTCCCACCTCAGCCTCTAAAAGTGGGATTACAGACATAAGCCACTGCGCCCAGCATTTTTTTTTTTTTTTTTAGACAGTGTTGCTGTGTTGCCCAGGCTGGAGTGCAGTGGCACAATCTCGGCTCACTGCAACGTCTGCCTCCTGGGCTCCAGCGATTGTCGTGCCTCAGCCCCCCAAGTAGCTGGGATTACAGGTGCACACCATCATGCCTGGCTAACTGTATTTTTAGTAGAGATGGGGTTTCACCATGTTGGCCAGGCTGCTCTCAAACTCCTGGCTTCAAGCAATTCACCTGCCTCAGCCTCCCACAGTGCTGGGATTACAGGCCTGAGCCACTGCACCAAGCCCCAGCTCCAGATTGTGAGTTTCAGAGCCAGGCTAGATAGGATTCAGACTCAGAACTGTGAGATTTCTGCTGCTCAGGCTGTTAACCAGTGACTCATGGTTTTTTTTTTTTCAGGCAGAGTTTTACTCTTGTTGCCCAGGCTGGAGTGCGATGGCTCGATCCCAGCTCATTGCAACCTCCGCCTCCCAGGTTCAAGTGATTCTCCTGCCTCAGCCTCCCAAGTAGCTGGGATTACAGGTGCCCGCCACCATGCCCAGCTAATTTTTGAATTTTTAGTAGAGACGGGGTTTCACCATGTTGGCCAGGCTGGTCTCGAGCTCCTGACTTCGTGATCTGCCCACCTCGGCCTCCCAAAGTGCTGGAATTACAAGCGTGAGCCACCGCGCCCTGCCTGACTTGTGGTCTTTTGAGATTATTTCTGATGTCCCATAGACATTTCAAAAGCAAAATGTCAAAAGCTACACTTGCCTCTCAAACCTTCATTCTCTCTGTGTGATAGGCACCCTCCTTCCCATCTTCCTTCGCTTCCATGGGTCACTCAAAGCTGAAGACCTGCAAGCCATCTCAGGATCCTGTCCTGTATCCCATCAACACTCATCACACCCTCTCAATTCTGGCTCCTAAATTCCCCTTGGATTTGGCCTCTCTTCCCCGTTCCCCACTGGCATTTTTTTTATTTCAGGTCTTTATGATTTCTTGCCTGGGTTTCTGCAGCAGCCTCCTAACTGCTCTCCCTGACTCCAGTCTTGCCCTCTCTGTTTCATTTTTCATATTGCACACAGGGTGATTTTTCTAAAATATAAATGTGACCACATCTCTTGCAGGCTTAAAACCTCTCAAAGGTTCTTCACCCCCTCAAGGCTGCAGCACACACCTCCCAGCACAGCTCTGCAAGTTGACCCCGCCCTTCTTCTCCATCGGTGGTTCTCAGAGTGTAGCCCTAAGAGCAGCAGCACTCTGACCCGCTCCATCAAGATCTCTAGGCTTGGAGCTTGCGAGACTATGTAAACAAGGCCAGTTTTTTGTTCGTTTGTTTGTTTTTTGGAGACAGAGTCTCGCTGTGTCACCCAGGCTGGAGTGCAGTGGCTTGATCTTGGCTTACTCCATCTCCACCTCCCAGGTTGAAGTGATTCTCCCGCCTCAACCTCCTGAGCAGCTGGGACTATAGGTGTGCACCACCACACCCAGCTAATTTTTGCATTTTTAGTAGAAATGGGGTTTCAGGCCGGGCGCGGTGGCTCACGCCTGTAATCCTAGCACTTTGGGAGGCCAAGGCGGACGGATCACGAGGTCAGGAGATCGAGACCATCCTGGCTAACATGGTGAAACCCCGTCTCTACTAAAAATACAAAAAATTTAGCCGGGCATGGTAGCGGGTGCCTGTAGTCCCAGCTACTCGGGAGGCTGAGGTAGGAGAATGGCGTGAACCCAGGAGGCGGAGCTTGCAGTGAGCCGAGATCACGCCACTGCACTCCAGCCTGGACGACAGCGAGACTCTGTCTCAAAAAAAAAAAAAAAAAAAAAAAAAAGAAAGAAAAAGAAAAAAAAAAGAAATGGGGTTTCACCACATTGGCCAGGCTAGTTTCGAACTCCTGACCTCAAGCGATCCACCCGCCTTGACCTCCCAAAGTGCTTGGATTACCGGTGTGAGTCACTGTGCCCAGCCAACAAGGCCAGTTTTTATGCACATTTAAGTTTGAGAACCACATTGCAGTTAATCTCATCTGGTTTCCTTTCTTGAACTCCATGCTTTAGCCTCATTGAACCATCAGTTTCTGGAAAATGGTATATTATCCCTCACCTTCTATAACTTGCACATGCTATTCTCTGCCCTTATCCCATGGCAATGGCTTTGTCTGCTTTTATCCATATTCCCCACCTCTGTGGAAACTGGAAGGCAGGGTCACCACCTTATTCATCTTTACATCTTTAGGGTCTTGGACCTGACATACAGTAGGTGCTCAATAACTATTTTATTTCTCTCTCTCTCTCTTTTTTTTTTAGAGAAGGGGTCTCACTCTGTCACCTAGGCTGGAGTGCAGTGGCTCAATCATGGCTCACCTCCCCCTCAACCTCCTGGGCTCAAGCAATCCTCCTGCCTCAGCCTCCCAAGTAGCTGAGACTACAGGCACTCACCACCATGGCCAGCTAATTTTTAATTTTTTTGTAGAGATGGGGGTCTTGTTATGTTGCCCTGGCTGGTCTCCAAATATTGGCCTTAAGTGATCCTTCCACCTCAGCCTCCCAAAAGCGCCACTGCACTACAGCCTGGGCGACAGAGTAAGATTCCATCTCAAAAAATAAAAATAAAGATAATACACACACACATATACACATACACCTCTTTATTTCTTCAGCGAGACCTGAAGATATATATGCATAATATAAGAACAGGATGCTATAAAAAGTGAACAATAAGAAAACAAGGAAAACTATTATAAATTAGAAATATGATAACCAAGGCTGGGTGCGGTGGCTCACGCCTGTAATCTATTACAGGCGTGAGCCAGTGAGCCTGGCCATTCAATAACTATTTTCTTAATGAACATTGAGGGTGAGATGAGCAGAAACGTAACTGCTAAAAGCAGGCAACATTCAGCTACCAGGATTTATGAGGGAGAACACAGTAAACTGTGCTATTACTTAGGAATACCTAGAGTCAATGTACATTTATTTTCATTTTACTCTAGCCCCACTGGTGATCTCTGCCCAGTAATCTAACTAAATTGATGACAGTGGGAATAAAAGGAAATCATAGATATGTATTATTGTAAAGGAAAAGAAATGCAAATGAATGGGTACAGGGACAGTCTGTACAATTGAAGATCTCATCTCTTCATATATATATATATATTTTTTTTCTTTTTTTTTTCAAGACAGGATCTTAGCACCTACTATTTGCAAGACTCCCCCTATGTTAACCTTTACAGCAATTCTCGGATGGATGTTTTATTATTGAGAGAACTGAGAGACAGAGGTCATTAAATATTTGTCCAAGATCCTACAGCTTCAACATGGTAAATCCACTGCTATTGGAACTTCCTGTTAAGTGAGTTCCATGGCCCCAAACTGCATTCCCACCCATGTTGCTCACAGATTGGTCACAATGTGGCTCACAGTCATAGGCACAGGTGAATGGAACAACCATTATTTTCGATAATGATTCTGGGGTATCATCTTTGACTCAAAAACGCAAACTGTTATTATTATCTATGCAGTCTACAGCCCTCTGCTCTACCAGCTGAGCTATCGAAGAGTGCACAAGCTGTTATTATATCACAAGATTTTTTTTTTCAGACAGGGTCTTATTCTGCGGCCCAGGCTGAAGTGAAGTGGCTCGATGGTAGCTCACTGCAGCCTTGAACTCCTGGGGTCAAGCGATCCTCCTACCTCAGCCTCCCAAGTAGCCGAAACTACAGGCAGGCACCACTATGCCTGGCTGACTTTTGTATTTTTTGTAGAGACGGGGTTTCGCCATGTTGCCAGGCTAATCTGCAACTCCTGGGCTCAAGCAGTCTGCCCACTTCACCCTCCCAAAGTGCTGGGATTTCAGGCTAGAGCCACCATGCCCAGCCCACAAGATCTAAACGCTACTGTTGAAGCAAAAAGACTTGAAGACAGAATTTGCCCTCCTAATATAAGCCCATGGTAACCTGAACCTCCTTCACCCTAACTCTCATCACAGTGTATTGTGATTACTTATTGAGGATGAAATTTGATTTTCCTTTTTGATGTTACTTCTCCAGCACAGTACCTGGTATGTGGAAGGCACTCAAACTAGGGCCAACCTGGTGCCAGCTAACCTGGGACTAGTGCAAGCTCCTGAAATTCACCTGGTCAAGGGACACATGTTCACAGGATCTCCTGGGGTTGTGTCACCCAAAAAAAAAAAAAAAAAAAAATTTCACCTGGTGTCTCTAGTCACCATGATTTTCTCTAAAATGCCACACAGAATTCTATGTATGGAATTTTTTTCTTTTCTTTTTTCTTTTTCTTTTTCTTTTTTTTTTTTTTTGAGACAGTCTGTCGCCAGTCTGGAGTGCAGTGGCGTGATCTCGGCTCACTGCAGTCTCCTCCTCCCGGGTTCAAGCGGTTCTCCTGCCTCAGCCTCCCGAGTAGCTAGGACTACAGGTCCGTGCCACCACGCCCAGCTAATTTTTGTATTTTTAGTGGAGATGGGGTTTCACCATGTTGGCAAGGATGGTCTAGATCTCTTGACCTTGTGATCTGCCCGCCTCAGCCTCCCAAAGTGCTGGGATTACAGGCGTGAGCCACCGCGCCCGGCCAAAATTTTTTAAAAATAAGGAAAGTTCAAGTTTACTTTAGATACCATAGTTCAGGATTTAAACTCCTGTCCTTACTTTGGAATGTCATTTTAGATACTTATGTGATTGACTGAGGAAAAAGACATTGTAACTGATCTTATCCCCTTTAAAAAAAAAAACCAGCTAACAATTATTCATTTAGTCTTCTGTACATTGTGTGAAATAAAATATAGAAGACTAGGGGACAGTTTCTGCCCTCAAGGAGCTTATGTGGTTTTTTTCGTGCGTTTTTTTGTTGTTGTTGTTTTGTTTTTTTTGTTGTTGTTGTTTTGACAGGTTCTTACACTGTCACCCAGGCTGAAATGCAGTGGTGAGATCTCGGCTGACTGCAACCTCTGCCTCCCAGGCTCAAGTGACCCTCACCTCAGTCTCCTGAGTAGCTGGGACTACAGGCATGCACCATCATGCCCAGCTAATTTGTGTGTGTGTGTTTTTGTAGAGACGAGGTCTCGCCATGTTGCCCAGGCTGGTCTCGAACTCCTGGCTTCAAGTGATTCACCTGCCTCAGCCTCTCAAAGTGCTGCGATTACAGTCATGAGCCACCTCACCCCGCCAGTCAGGCTCTTAAAAAATCCATCATACAGGCCGGGCGCCATGGCTCATGCCTGTAATCCCAGCACTTGGGAGGCCAAGTCGGGCGGATCACGAGGTCAGGAGATTGAGACCATCCTGGCTAACACGGTGAAACCCCGTATGTACTAAAAATAACAAAAAATTAGTCAGGCATGCTGGCGGACGCCTGTAGTCCCAGCTACTCAGGAGGCTGAGGCAGGAGAATGGCGTGAACCCGGAAGGCGGAGCTTGCAGTGAGCTGAGATAGTGCCACTGCACTCCAGCCTGGGAGACAGAGCGAGACTGTGTCTCAAAAAAAAGAAAAAAGAAAAAAAAATCCATCATATGTATTCACTAATTTAATCTTCACAACAACTCTAAAGGGTAGGAACTATTTTTTTTTTTTTTGCCCCATTTTACAGATATGAAATGAGAGGCTGTGTTGAAGGTGTTTTCTGGGGTTGATTTAAATAGAATTAATAAACTCAGAAAAAAGATTCTTAATCGATAAAGGTGTTTTTTTTTTGTTTTTGTTTTTTTTTTTTTTTTTGAGTCGGAGTCTCACTCTGTCGTCCAGGCTGGAGTGCAGTGGCGTGATATCGGCTCACTGGAACCTCTGACTCCCTGGTTCAAGCAATTCTCCTGCCTCAGCCTCCCGAGTAGCTGGGATTACAGGCATGCGCCACCATGCCCGTGGTTTCACCATGTTGGCCAGGATGGTCTTGATCTCCTGACCTTGTGATCCGCCCACCTTGGCCTCCCATAATGCTGGGATTACAGGCGTGAGCCACCGTGCCCGGCCTTGGCTTTCATTCTTATTGTCCCATGGTTACCAGAGCCTAAAGAGGTAAAGAGGTAGGACCTATGAGGCTCTCACAGTTTGTTTTTTTTTTTGTTTTTGTTTTTTTTTTTTTTTTGAAACAGGGTCTCACTCTGTCGCCCAGGCTGGAGTGCAGTGGCGCGATCTTGGCTCACTGCAGCCTCCGCCTCCCGGTTCAAGCAATTCTCCCACCTCAGCCTTTCCAGTAGCTGGGATTACAGAGGCGCGCCACCACGCTTGGCTAATTTTTTTTTTGCATTTCTATTAGAGATCGGGTTTCACCATGCTGCGCAGGCTGGTCTCGAACTCCTGACCTCAGGTGATCCACCCGCCTTGGCCTCCCAAAGTGCTGGGATTACAGGTGTGAGCCACCGTGCCCGGCCTCTCTCATAGTTTTATTATTCTATTTTCCACAGACCCTTCCTCCCTTAATTTTCATGCCTCTTTAATATTGTTTCTTTTACCTCACTGACCTTCTTTTTCGTCCTCCTACCTTTTACTGTGGGTGTCTTATTACCCTTCTTTGGGAGTTTATCCTTTAGCATGTCATAGATCACTATCTTTAGGCAGAGGACACTGCATCTTCTCTAGTCCTGATTGTCTACCCTCTCTCAAGTTCCATAACTTCAGTTGCCTTGGGACACCTTCACTGGGTTTTACAAAACCCTGTTACCGGGAACTGAACATATTAAAAGCTAAGATTCCTCCCCAAATCTGTATGTTGCGCCAATTTTCCTGCCCAATTATCTTGTCTGTCCCCTGGTTTTGCGACCTTATTTAAACATTTAAATCCTTTTCTTTAAATTGGAATCTTGATGAATGGTGCAAAAATCAATGGATACAAATGATATGCCGAGATATGTAAGTCTTCCGCCCACTGGTTCCCTAGGCACTCAGTTCCTCTCCCAGGAGGTAACCACTGTTGCCAGCTCTTAGAGTGATTTTTGATTCCTTCTTCTACCGGCTCTATCTCAAGTCCTTCCCTGTCTGTGAGATGTGTGCCCTTTCCTTTCCAGGCCCTAGTGAACTGATATCTGGTTGAGTTTATATATAAACATTTTTATGTGTATATTTTATATACATATATAACATCTCTCCCTATGGCCTTCCGGCCTGGAGTTTTCATCACGTCGCTTCCTGGATGAAAGAACCTCGAGGGGTGAGGGGCAGGGGTTGGGGGTGATGGAGAAGAGAACCTAAAGGGGACTTAGGTAGGGCGTTCAGAGTGGCCAACTGGCGTGACGCTCTGTCAGGATTCCTATTCCTATTCCTCCCACCTCAGGCCCCCTTCTAGTCCTCTCAGCCAAAAGCCTCTCGTTTCCAAGGGCCGAGACAGAGGCAGAGACAACGAGATACACAGAAACAGAGACGCCAAGGCACCAGCATCCCTCTCCCCCTTCTGTCCCGCCCCATCGCTCTGACGGACACCATTGCTCAGCCAATGGCGCTCACGATGTGCCCCTGAAGGGCCAATGGGCGCCAGAGGAGGGTGGAAGATTCCCCGCCCCCACTTCTAGGCTTGGTTGAACCGTGCAGGTAGGTCCGGGGCTGGGGGAGCTGCCTTTGGCACTGGTGCCCCTGGGGGTGGGGGCACGAGTGGGCCAGGGTGATGGTGAGGTAGAGGAGGTGTCCCTGACCCGACGAGCTCGAGGGAGCGGCCCGGCTGGGAGGCGGGGGGCCGCGGGGCCCGGGGAGCGGGCGCCGCCGAGGGCCCTGGAAGCGGCGGGGCTGGGGGAGAGGGGACGCGTGTGTGGGGCACGGGGACCCCCGCCCAGCGCCCACTCGTAGGCCTGGGACGCCGGCTGCCGGCCGACTGGCCTGAGGGCCTGGCTGCCCGGGGGGCGGGCCGGGGCCGCGGCCGGGGGCGCGGAGCGGAGCTCGGGGCGCCAGGCCGAGCCGAGGTGGGACGGACCGACGCGGAGAGGAAGGGAAGCCGCATCCCGCGGGGCGCCCCTCCTGAAGCGAGCCGGGCAGCGGCCGCGGGCGCCCCTGCCCTGAGCCCACCCCGCGCTCTGCCCTCCCTAACAATGGGAATGGGGCAGAAGGAGGCGCCCCACTGCGGGGAGGTGAGGGGTGGGTTTGGGACTGGGGTCCGCGGTGGGGGGAGGTGCGATCTCGGGCTCTCGCCTCTCCGCTCCCTCTGGCTCTGGAGTTGGGGGCCCCTGTGGGGCTCTGAAGTCCGCCTGAGACTTGGGTCAAGAGTCAAACTGTCGCCCCCCGCTCCTCCCCCAAAATCCGGTGAGCGGTAAGGAAAGTGATGCCAAGTCTTCGAAGCCTCAGTGACAAACGCATAGCAAGAACACATCCACTCCAGAGGTGTTTATTTTTTATTTTTATTTAAAAAGGGGTACTTTTCGACATTTATTTTTAAGAAGTGGGTGCTGTTATTTTTGTCCCTACGCGGGCAAGCCTCCATTTTAAGCGAAGCAGTAACTGGTTAAGCTGGAATTGTATACAGGCCCAGGACTTGAACGAGGATCCTACCAGAGGTCATTTAGTCCATCCTCCTGCCTCCAGGCAAATTTACCTTCCTCCCACCCTCAAAATTAAGTTGCTCGGTCTGCTTTTAACGATCTCTGGGGAAGAAGGGTCCTTTATTTGTTTCTAGTACTTCAGTCAAGAATAGGTTTTACTTTTCATGTGGAATTGACTCTGAAACTTAAGCATAATCTTGGGACAGTCGGGATGATTAGAGAGGTTTTACTTTACTAAATATAATTAAATGTGGCAAGGGTCTTTCTTTAGACGGTTAGTTAACAAATCACGTTTAGTGTTTATGAAGTACCCTGGAAAATTACTTTATTCTCTCTGGGATTTTGGCTAATTGTTTGATAAGCAATTTTACATTATCTAAAATACGTGTTACATATTTATTTCTCTTTTTATGTAAAGTATGTTTCTACACACATATGTATGGAGACACACATTTGCCCTTTTCTAAAGGGGACTGTATTTTCTATACTTTTTTAGTGCGATGAGGCAAATAGTACTTCAAAATCCCTGCCCAGGTAGCTTAAACTATTTGCATTGTCTTGATTATTTTTTAGTCTAAATGAAAATCCTCTCTTTCAGATACCTTCTCGAAACAAAAGATTTTCCTACCTGCTTATACTTGGTAACCGAGGGAATTACTAAGACTTCTTGCTCATTTCTGAGTATTGTCTTTATATCCTGACACTATGAATGCTACTTGGATGCCTCTTAAGGTAAGATGTGTTATTTTTTCATTACCAGCCTCATTTTATTCATTTTTCTTTAGAATTGGGAATATTGTAGTTTTTGAATTTGCTATTCTTCACTTCCTTTACCTGCCATTTCTCTTGCCTCTTGTGTTTGCTTCCTAGGATTGATTGGCTATATCTTACTTTGTATCTCTACTGTTCTTTGATTATCGGTGTGAATGTTTTAATGAAGTTCTCAAATTAACTTCCATTATAATGAAAGGCAGTGATCTTTTTAACTTTAAATTATGGCAACTTACATAGTTGTAAAATTATGTTCCGGTCTTAGGATGGGTTGGCAATTCAAACATCTAGGTCCACTTTTCAAACAGGTACTTTAGAGTCATAGGTACTAGGGTGTGTCCCACTCTTGCAAATCAGTAGCTGATTCATGTGTTACAAAAGATGTGTCATTAACCATTTGTTTACTCTGAAACTTCATATAGTATATTAGGGCATTCTAAGACCTGCTGGTTTACACGTATGACTCTTTCAGAGTCCTCCTGCTGCACCCCAGTCCTTTGTGTGACATTTCATACTATTTTTCTCAGCAGGTAGCACTTACACCAAGTTTTATTTCACAGGGTAAACCTCATTTGGACAGTGTGGACAGATGACCTTTAGATGAAAAAGCTCCCATTGATGTGGTTCTCCAGTCTCTTTGGCTCCTCTAATCTCTTGTACATAGATGGCCAAAGAACTCTCCATTAGGACTAAGCAAAGGGCAGAGCTTAAGACTTAAGTAGGTGGCTTCTTTGATTTTCTTGTGACTAAAAATACATTAAAAAAAAATTAAATAAAAACAAACAGAAAAGACGTAAGGAGGGGATGGGAGGAAGGACAGAGAAGGATAAGGAGTCTTGGAAACCCTCCACCAGCTTCGCCTTTCTTCAGAGTAGGATACTAGCTTAGTTAAGATTGTTGGGTGCTAATCTGCTCTGTGGACTTCCAGACTGATGCAGAGGAGAAATCAGACAATAGTGCAGTGTGTGTAACCTAAATATCTGGACTTGTGGGAAATCGTAGGTCATGTAGGCTGAGTTCTCATCTTCATTTATGTTTCAGCTGCTATTGCTGGATAAGAGTGCTTATATTAATATACAGGAAGCCAAAGTGACACAGTTTTTCCAGCATTCTCCCTGAAAGAGTTGGAGGGGTTGCATGGGGAATGCAACCAGAAGTTCTGAACCCGTTAAGAATCAGAGGACCTGTGTAAGAGTGTTTCGACTTAGCAAGTGTTGAGCACCAGTGTTGGTGGCCTCTGTCCTCTTTAGGAAGCAGGCAAGGGGATTGAGATCAATACATTGGATTTCATTTTATAGTTTCCTAGGTTTTAACGAATGTATTTGGTACACAAAGCCCTACTTTTAAAGCTATTTCCAGTGTTTAAGGTTTTACCTCTAAATCTCTCTGAACCTGGGTTGTAATACAGTAACCTCAGAAGTTCTACTAGAGGTCTCTGGCATGGCAGGAATAGAGAAAGGAAATCAGCTCCATATCGTGAGTTACCACCTGTTACTACTTAAGAATGCAGTTAGGTGGTTGCCTTAATATTATGTTCCTTACCAATCCTTTGCTCAGTGGGAAACATCTTCTAAGCGTAAACCAATTTTTGGGGGTAATGTTTTCTTCCTATTTTTATTACTTAGAAACCTTAAAAATTACAGTGTTCGTCTGGTCAGAAAAAAAGGTCCTTTTTGCGGGGAGGATAGCATTGAGTTTGTGGGCTGGAAAATAAAAGTGGGGAGAGGGAACTTTATTCTCTTTTTCATTGGTGAATATCCTTAAAACATTTCTAAGATGTAGTTTCAGATTGGAGCTACCTAATTTAAGTAAAAAGAAATGATAGGTTAATTAAAGTGCATATTTTGGAGCCCAAATGTTTATTTTATATAGATCTTATATTTTGTTTCCAATTATCTTATTGTAGAATGAACTCTGTCGTTCTGTCAGGCATTGCGTAAATGTTAGACTGAGTATGTGCTTGTTTCCATGCGTATAGAAAATAGCGTCACACTCACTCAGTCTTCACAAATGAAAATGCCAGAGGAGGCAAGTAACAAGGAAGAATAACTCCAAACCAAAACTCCTCAATTTAAGGCACTCTCGTTAATTAGAAGTTCTCATGGAAATTATTATTTATCCCTTTTTCTCTGTGTTAGGGGTCTGTACCTTTTTAAAGCCTGAATATTTCTAGCCACGACTAAGCAATGTCAGTGATGTTACTAGGGTCTAGTTGTCAGGGTTAGGACTAAGGAGTGGGTGAGATGGGAGAGGAATAGGGAAAGGAAGGAGAATTGAGTGAGTCGGAGAAAAGAGTGAAATGAAGATGAGGAGGAGAGAAAAGATACAGGGTCTTTAGTGTGTAGCATGGAGCCATCATCAGTTGTCTCAGGTAGTTCTTAGGGCTGCTGGATGCCTTGTGTGCTAGACTGAACTATGGTGAAATGAAGTAAAAACTGTTCTTGACAAGCAAAACGAGAGAATTAAAACATAATTTAATATGATATAGAAAGATCTGCAAGGCAGACAGTTAAGTGATGAAAGCAAGATGCAGAACAGTATGTATGATTTGATACCCTTTGTGTTTTTTGGAAAAAAAAAAACAGGAGAAAAAGATAATTTGCATTGGTGTATGTATGCAAAAAAAAAAAAAAAAAGATCTTTAGGGCTGGGCATGGTGGCTCACACGTGTAATCCCAGCACTTTGGGAGTCCAAGGTGGGTGGATTACCTGAGGTCAGAAGTCTGAGACCAGCCTGGCCAATATGGTGAAACCCCGTCTCTACTGAAAATATAAAAACTAGCTGGGGCGTGGTGGCACACACCTGTAATCCCAGCTACTCGGGAGGCTGAGGCAGGAGAATTGCTTGAGCCCGGGAGACGGAGCTTGCAGTGAGCTGAGATCACGCCGCTGTCCTTCAGCCTGGCTGACCAAGCGAGACTCTGTCTCAAACAACAGCAACAACACAAACCTTTAGAAGAATAAATAAGAAAATGGTGGCACTGGTTACCTGTTAGGTCTAGGAATTGTTCAGGTAGAGGACAGAGTAGGAAGGAGACTTCTCATTGCATTATATCTTTTTACACTTTCTGATGTTTGTATCAGATTTTAAAAATTAAATAGAAAATTGAAAATTTTAGCTGGGCGCAGTGGCTCACGCCTGTAATCCCAGCACTTTGGGAGGCCGAGGAGGGCGGATCATGAGGTCAGGAGATCGAGACCATCCTGGCTAACACAGTGAAACCCCGTCTCTACTAAAAATACAAAAAAATAGCTGGGCGTGGTGGCAGGGGCCTGTAGTCCCAGCTACTTGGGAGGCTGAGGCAGGAGAATGGCGTGAACCCGGGAGGCGGAGTTTACAGTGAGCCGAGATCGCGCCACTGCACTCCAGTCTGGGCGACAGAGGGAGACTCCGTCTCAAAAAAAAAAAAAAAAAAATTTTAAAGAACAGCATCTCAATCCTTCCTTTTCTTCTCTTTCTGTGTCTGGAAGTCAGAGAAATGGCAAGGGTTCTAACTGAGAGAATAGTTTTTTTGTTTTTGTTTTTGTTTTTTTGAGACGGAGTCTCACTCTGTCACCCAGGCTAGAGTGCAGTGGTGCAATCTCGGCTCACTGCAAACTGTGCCTCCTGGGTTCGTGTCATTCTCCTGCCTCAGCCTCCCGAGTAGCTGGGACCACAGGCGCCCGCCACCACGCCCGGCTAATTTTTTGTATTTTTAGTAGAGACGGAGTTTCACCGTGTTAGCCAGGATGGTCTCGATCTCCTGACCTCATGATCCGCCCAACTAGGCCTCCCAAAGTGCTGGGATTACAGGCGTGGGCCACCGTGCCCAGCCGAGAGAATAGTTCTTGAACAGTGGTTGAGGGGATACACATGCAAAAGGGCCCATAATCTAGGACATGTGTTCTCTTGGGATCTTCAAGAATTTTGAATTTATAGATGTATATTTCTAGTATTGAACTGCAAAGTCAGGCATTAAAAAATTTAACTTGGCCAGACGCGATGGCTCACGCCTGTAATCCTAGCACTTTAGGAGGCTGAACAGGCAGATCGCTGGAGCACACGAGTTTGAGAACAGCCTGGGCGACATGGCAAAACCCCATCTCTACTAAAAATACAAAAGAAAATTAGCCAGGCATGGTGGTGTGCACCTGTAGTTGCAGCTACTTGAGAGGCTGAGGTGGGAGGATGGCTCGAGCCTGGGAGGTGGAGGTTGCAGTGAACTGTGATTGCGCCCCTGCAGTCCAGCCTGGGTGATAGAGCCAGACCTTGTCTCTTGTCTCATTAAAGAAAAAAAAAAATTAACTTGTTCTTAAAGTTTTAGTAAAAACAGGTTTTCATTGTATATCCCCTTAAGTTAGCAATTAGATATAATCTCAGCATTCTTCTTCTTTTTTTTTTTTTTTTATGAAACAGAGTCTCGCTTTGTTGTCCAGGTGATCTTGGCTCACTGCAACCTCCACTTCCTGGGTTCAAGTGATTCTCCTGCCTCAGCCTCCCGAGTAGCTGGGATTACAGGCGCCTGTCACCATGGCCAGCTAATTTTTTTTTTATTTTTAGAGAGATGGGGTTTCACCAGCTTGGCCAGGCTGGTCTTAAACTCCTGACCTCAGGTGATCCACCCGCCTCGGCCTCCCAAAGTGCTGGGATTACAAGCATGAGCCACCGTGCCCGGCCTAATCTCAGCACTCTTAACCGTGTGACTTTGGGCGATTTCTTAATCTCTTAATTTCTTAATCTCTCTGAGATTCAGGTTCCTCCTTCATACTGGAAATAATAACACTTACTTCAGAGGACTTTTGTATTATATCTGTAAAGGACATAGGGCAGTGTTTGGCTCAGTGGACTACTACTTATCGTAATTACTAATTTTTTTTTTTTTTTGAGATGGAGTCTTGCTGTGTCGCCCAGGCTGGAGTTCAGTGGCACGATCTCGGCTCACTGCAACCTGCGTCTCCTGAGTTCAAGCAATTCTCCTGCCTCAGCCTCTCAAGTAGCTGGGATTACAGGCGCATGCCAGCATGCCCGGCTTGTTTTTCTATTTTTAGTAGAGACGGGGTTTCACTATGTTGGCCAGGCTGGTCTCAAACTCCTGGCCTCAAGTGATCCACCCGCCGTGGCCTCCCAAAGTGCTGGGATTACAGGCGTGAGCCACCACGCTAGCTCTTATTGTAATTACTGTTAATAATAGCTCCTCATAGCCTAGTGGTGAGAGAGAGGGCTCTGGCTATGTGATATTGGGTAAGCTCATTAACCTCTTAGAACCTCGGCATCCACACCGTAAAAAGGGTGTAATGATAGTACCTAGATCCTAGAGTGGACTTTATAAGGATTAAATGAGTTTATTCACGCAGAGTGTTTAGAACAGTACCTGGTAGGTACTTAGTAAACCTGAGCTGCGAATTTTCTTATGACATCTGTTTGCTAAGGCTGCTGCCACAGAGTGACATATGCTGAGTGGCTTAAATAACAGAAATTTATTGTCTCACTGTTCTGGAGGCTAGAAATCTAAGGGCAGAGGCATGCTTTCTCTGAAGCTACTGGGACAGGATCTGTTTCAAGCCTCTCTTCTAGCTTCTGGTGGCAGCATAACTCCAGTCCTTATGTAGAGTTCTCCCTGTGTATATTTCTTTTGTTTTTTTAGACAAAGTCTTGCTCTGTTGCCCAGGCTGGAGTGCAGTGGCATAATATCGGTTCACTGCAACCTCTGCCTCTCAGGTTCAGGTGATTCTCCTTCCTTAGCCTCCTAAGTAGCTGGGATTACAGGCACGTGTCACCATGCCCAGGTAATTTTTTGTATTTTTTGTAGAAACAGGGTTTCACCATGTTGCCCAGGCCGGTCTTGAACTCCTGACCTCAGGTGATCTGCCTGCCTCGGCCTCCCAAAGTGCTGGGATTACAGGCATGAGCCACAGCACCCAGCCTAAATTTTGTATTTTTTGTAGAGACAGGGCTGCACCTTGTTGCCCAGGCTGGTCTCAAACTCCTGACCTTAAGTGATCTGCCCACCTCAGCCTCCCAAAGTGCTGGGATTACAGGCGTGAGCCACTGCGCCCAGCCTCCCTGTGTGTATTTCTTTGTGTCCACAATTTCCCCTTTTTTATAAGGACAAGTCATAATGGGATTAGAGTCCTCCCTGATGACCTCATTTTAACTTTATGACCTCTTTGGAGATCTTATCTCTTTCTTTTTTTTCAGAGTCTCTCTTTGTTGCCCAGGCTGGAGTACAGTGGGGTGATCTCAGCTCACTGCAACCTCCTCCTCCTAGGTTCAAGTGATTCTTCTGCCTTAGCCTTCCAAGTAGCTGGAGTTACAGGTGCTCGCCACCATGCCTAGCTAATTTTTACATTTTTGGTAGAGATGGGGTTTCTCCACATTGGCCAGGCTGGTCTCGAACTCCTGACCTCAAGTGGTCCACCCACCTCGGCCTCTTAAAGTGCTGAGATTGCAGGCGTGAGCCACCGCACCTGGTCTGAAGATCCCATCTCTAAGATCACATTCTGAGGTACTGAATGTTAGGAGTACTACATATCTCTTTTTTTTTTTTTTTTGAGATAGGGTCTCCCTTTGTCATTCAGGCTGGAGTGCAGTGGCACTTGGATCACTGCAACCTCCAGCCCCCCATCCTCCCGTATACTCTAAATCAGTGGTCCCCAACCTTTTTGGCACCAGGGACTAGTTTCGTGAAATATAATTTTTCCACAGAGCCGGGGGCCGGAGAGGGGGATCAGGGATAGTTTTGGGATGATTCAGCACATTGCATTTACTGTGCACTTTATTTCTATTATTATTACGTTATAATATATAATGAAATAATTATACAAACTCACTGTAATGTAGAATCAGTGGGAGCCTGAGCTTGTTTTGCTGCAACTAGATGGTTCCATCTGGGGGTGATGGGAGACAGTGACAGATCATCAGGCATTAGATTCTCATAGGAGCACGCAGTGTAGATCCCTCACGTGCAGTTCACAGTAGGGTTCACCCTCCTATGAGAATCTAATGCTGCAGCTGATCTGACAGGAGGTGGAGCTCAGTTGGTAATGTGAGCCATGGGGATGGGACGCGGCTGTAAATACCGATGAGGCTTCTCTCACTCACCTGCTGCTCACCTCCTGCTGTGCAGCCCCATTCCTAACAGGCCCAGTTCTTAAGAGTACTGGTCTGTGCCCCAAGGGTTGGGGACCCCTGCTTTAAATCACCTCTAGATTACTTATAATGCTGAATACAACATAAATGCTGTATAAATAGTTGTGAAACGCTATTGTTCATGGAATAATGACAAGAAAAAAGTCTGTACATGTTCAGCACAGATGTAGTTTTTTTTTTTTTCCTGAATAATTTCTATCTGTGGTTGGTTGAATCCATGGATATGGAACCCATGGATGTGGAGGGCCAATTCTATAGTAACAAGTCACTGTCTCATTCCTGTCCCTTAACCATTCGGTTCCCCTCGCATAGACAACTTTTTTTTTTTTTTTTGAGACAGAGTTTTGCTCTTGTTGCCCAGGCTGGAGTGCAATGGCTCGATCTCGGCTCACTGTGACCCCTGCCTCCTGGGTTCAAGCGATTCTCCTGCCTCAGCCTCCTGAGTAGCTGGGACTACAGGTGTGTGCTACCATGCCCAGCTCATTTTTGTATTTTTACTAGAGATGGGGTTTCACCATGTTGGCCAGGCTGGTCTCAAACTCCTGACCTCAGGTGATTTGCCCACTTCGGCCTCCCAAAGTTCTGGGATTATAGGCATGAGCCACCATGCCTGGCTGACAAACATTTTTATTTCTTATATATCTGTCCAGACATATTTTATGTATATACTGGCAGCTCTATATACATATATTCCCATTAAAAAACACATTAGTAGTATACTATTCATGTGTAAATATACTTTTTTTTTTTTGAGATGGAGTTTCACTCTTGTTGCCCAGGCTGGAGTGCAATGGTGCGATCTCGGCTCACTGCAACCTCTGCCTCCCAGGTTCAAGCGATTCTCCTGCTTCAGCCTCCCGAGTAGCTGGGATTACAGGCGTGTGCCACCACGCCCAGCTAATTTTGTATTTTTAGTAGAGATGGGGTTTCTCCATGTTGGTCAGGCTGGTCTTGAACTCCCGACCTCAGGTGATCCACCCGCCTCGGCCTCCCAAAGTGCTGGGATTACAGGCATGAGCCACTGCGCCCGGCTGTAAATATGCTTTTTGTAGGTTCTCTTAGTTCAGATGTAGGACCAGTCTGATGTTAGGTTCTTAGGTAAGGACCTATATAAAGATAGTATAAAATGGTACCTAATATTACAAAGCTTTTTTAGGAATGGCAAAGGGATAATATGGCAGCTTCCTCCCTGTCAGTTCTGCATTGGTGACTAAGGATCTCAAATTTCTGGATAATCTGGCTTGCTTAGTTACGACGAGAGACCAGAACTTGCTGATAGCATATGAAATCTTCGGGGGAGTTTTGAATGTTTTTCATTTTTTAATCTGATATGATGTAGCAGACATGACATTGACTCACATGCAAGCCCCAAACATGCCGAAGCTGCGGGAGCTCTCTATCAGCCATAGTAGGCTGCTCTGTTGCCGTTGGTTCAGGCAGCTGTTGAGTGGGCCTGGGAGGCACGGAGGGAAAGGGAAGAGGGCCGGCACTGGTTTACTCTCCTAGACATAGTCGTGAAATCTCATGGTCAAAGGAAACCAAGAAGTCATCTTATCCTGCTACTATTTTCCTTCCAGGGTCTCTTCTGCAGGGTCCCCATGAATTGTGGCTGAAGTTGTGCACAAACAAGTATCTCCAGTGACAGGAGTGCCTTCTGAGGCAGCCATTGCATCTTCATCTGCTGACACTCTGCTAGGCTGACTTCTGTAGTTTTCACCACTGATCTTCAGTCCACCTCACAGAGCTCTATAAAACGCTTAAATCCTCTTTACATCATAGACTTTCAGCTACTTGAAGATAGCCATCAGCCGCTACGTGACTCTTTTCTCCAGGTAAAATCTCCAATTATAGCAGCTGTTCTTCATATGGCCTAGTGTCTAATGCCTTTGCTCTCCTGATCATTTTTTGAATTTTTTCAGTTTGCCCATGTCTCAGAGTGTGGGATCCAGCACTGCCCATATAACGTTCCCAGGATGTTCTGACTGATGTAGAGTAAGCCTGGTATCACCCATGTCCTAGGAACTGAGACCCCGTCACTACTGGTGATGCAGCCTAGGATCAAACTGTTCTTTTGGCAGCCACTTCACATTTTTGTGTTAAGGGCTTACTCTTAGCCAAACACAAATTTTGTTTTGTTTTGTTTTTTTTTTTTCCTAGACAGGTTCTCACTCTGTCACCTAAGCTGGAGTGCAGTGGCACCATCTCAGCTCACTGCAACTGCTGCCTCCCGGGTTCAAGCAATTCTTTTACCTCAGCCTCCCAAGTAGCTGGGATCACAGGTACGCGTCACCACGCCTGGCTAATTTTTGTATTTTTAGTAGAGATGGGGTTTTGCCAAGTTGGCCTGGCTGGTTTCGAACCCCTGACCTCAAGTCATCTGCCCACCTTGGCTTCCTGAAGTGCTGGGATTACAGGCCTGAGCCACCACACCTGGCTGACAGATTGTTGTTATCATTAATGTCACATGAACTACTGCCAAAGGCGTCTCCCCTTCTTGTGCTTGGAGGGTGTGTTGGATGCCACCTGTGCCCCTCCCTGGAGATGCTTTTGGCCCCACAGCTTCCTCCAGCCAATGTAGCAGTGACTGGGTCTGTGCAGGTTTTGGTCACCTTCACTCAGGTGTGATGGGGTGGTGCCTTTCTTTGGCCTGCCCCAGGTATCTTTTACTTTTTGGGATGTATTTGATGCTATAGTATGGAATGCTGCAGAGACTTCCGGCACCAGCCCCTGGAGTTGGACTTTATTTCACAGGTTGAGGGCACCATCCTCCACAAGAATCCCCAACTTCAGCCACCAGCTGGCAACAGGTTTGGGGGTCCTCAGCCCACCCTCACTTCTGGCCAGATGGCTACAAATTTGGCGATTTCCACTACCCCCTCAGGTTTGATCACTTGTCAGAATGATTCACAGAATTCAGGGACATGCTATGCTTACAACTACAGTTTTATTAATTGATCAATAAAGCAAAAGGATATAAATGAACCAGTCAAAGGGAAAGACACATAGATCTGGGAGGACACCAAACGCAAAGCTTTCATTGTTCTCTCCCCGTGGAGTCAGGGGCTGTTACCTTTCCAGCACATCGATGCGTGACAATGTATAGAGTATTGCCAACCAGGGACGTGCTCCTGAGCTTCAGTATTTGTCATTTTTATTGGGGCTTCCTTGCATAGGTACGATTGATTGAATCATTGGCCATGTGACTCAAACTTTAGCACCCTCATTTCCCCAGAGGTGATCTTGTTAGCATCCACTATCTAGGGGCCCACTCTGAGTCACCTTGTTAGCATCAACTTAGAGGTGTGGGCCCGCTATGATAACAAAGATACTGCTGATCGGGCGCGGTGGCTCACGCCTGTAATCCCAGCACTTTGGGAGGCCGAGGCGGGCGGATCACAAGGTCAGGAGATCGAAACCATCCTGGCTAACATGGTGAAACCTTGTCTCTACTGAAAATACAAAAAATTAGCCGGGTACGGTAGCGGGCGCCTGTAGTCCCAGCTGCTCGGGAGGCTGAGGCAGGAGAATGGCGCAAACCCGAGAGGCGGAGCTTGCAGTGAGCCAAGATCGCGCCACTGCACTCCAGCCTGGCGGACAGAGCCAGACTCCGTCTCAAAAAAAAAAAAAAAAAAAAAAAAAAAAGATACTGCTATCACTCTGAAAAGTCCAAGGGTTTAGAGGCTACCTTCTAGAAACTGGGGACAAAGACCAGCCAAATTTATTACTATAAGATGCCCATAGGAATCTCTTGGTGTTCATACCAATGTGACCCAGAAGTATGGGTGGCCTAACACCTGTTGAGTTGTTCTTGAGCAACAGGGAATGGGTACTGAAGGATACTTGTTTCCTCTTTTGTCCTCTGGGTGGACAGTTCTGACAGGCATTTGATATGGCTTCTTAGAATGTCCAACAACGGTGAGCAGTGGTCCCATAGTGGGGGCCCAGCTTGATAACTCGTCCTTCTATTGTCTGTCCCTCCTGCCCTGTTTTACTCCCTCAGCCCCTCATTCCTGATCTCTGGGATCACTTCCCAAAGAACGTACCTGCACTTAAGCTTTTGTCTCAAGTTTTGCTTTAGAGGGCTAGCCCTAGAATGCTTTTATTATACTAAACTTTACATGTTTTAAAAAACAATGTTTTGGCCAGGGGCAGTGTCTCACGCCTATAATCCGAGCACTTTGGGAGGCTAAGGCAGGCGGATCACCTGAGGTCAGGAGTTCGAGACCAGCCTGACCAATATGGTGAAACCTCGTCTCTACTAAAAATACAAAAATAAGCAGGGTGTGATGGTGTGCCTATATTCGCAGCTAATCGGGAGGCTGAGACAGGAGAATTGCTTGAACCCAGGAGGTGGAGGTTGCAGTGAGCCGAGGTCACGCCACTGCATTCCAGCCTGGGCTGCAGCAAGACTCCATCTCAAAATAAATAAATAAATTAATTAAAAAAAAGTTTTTTTCCCTGACGTGGAAATTAAGTGATTAGAAAACGAGACTAACTTTTTCAGGATATATTCTTGTTGTTAATATGGTGCAGGGCTGTGATGCTTCTGCAAAATGTAAGTTGAGTGTATAGCAGGCCTCCTAACTCTAGAGATGATGTATCCTTCCGTATCGATTGCCTTTGTGAAGTCACACACATAAGCAGGGAGAAGTCGTGAAGATACATAAACAGCTGCATTTTCCAGGCTCCGATCACTAACATGCTCGTGATTTCTTTCTAGGTCTGATTTTTATGGTTGACAGTAATGACAGAGAGCAGATTGATGAGGCCTGGGAAGTGCTAACTTACTTGTTAGAGGACGATGAGCTCAGAAATGCAGTTTTATTGGTATTTGCCAATAAACAAGTATGTTGTTATTGGCTTTCTGAATGCTGGAACTGAAATTTACTGCCAAATGTCTCACTTGTAAATACAGACATTTAAATGAGATGTCTGCCTCCCTCTCTCCAGTACCAACCATAATATCTCCCACCATCTCCTTGCTAGAATGTCTTTTTTTTTATTGAGACAGAGTCTCACTCTGTTGCCCAGGCTGGAGTACAGTGGTGTGATCTCAGCTCACTGTGACCTCCACCTCCCGGGTTCAAGTGATTCTCCTGCCCCAGCCTCCCAAGTAACTGGGATTACAGGCATGCGCCGCCATGCCCACCTAATTTTTGTATTTTTAATAGAGACTGGGTTTCACCATGTTGGCCAGGCTGGTCTGGAACTCCTGACTTCAAGTGATCTGCCCACCTCGACCTCCCAAATTGCTAGGATTACAGGTGTGAGCCACTGAGCATCTACTAAGTTCCAGACTTGGTTTTAGGCTTAAACCAAGACAGATAAAGTCCTTGTGTTCTTGGAGTTTACGTTGCTAGTGGGAAGAGAGTCAACCAATAAATAACATGAAATGTGCCAGGTGTGGTGGCTCATGCCTGTACTCCCTACACTTTGGGAGGCTGAAGCGGGGGGAATCACTTGAGCCCAGGAGTTCAAGACCAGCCTGGGCAACATAGTGAAACCCCATCTCTACAAAAAAGTACAAACATTAGCTGGATGTGGTAGCATGCACCTGTGGTCCCAGCTATTCAGGAGGCTGAGGTGGGAGGATCACTTAAGCCTGGAAGTTCGGGGTTGCAGTGAGATGAGATTATTCCATTACGCTCCATCCTGGGCTACAGAGTAAAATAAATAATAATACGTGTCAAATGGTTTTTAAGTGTTGTGGAAGAAGCAAAAGCATAGTAAAGGGGCAGGGCGGGTGTGGGAAAGACTGGGAATGCCTCTCTGATGAGATGACATCTGAGCGGAGACCAGAAGGCTGGGAGGAAGGGAGCCACACGATTCTAGGAACAGCATGGCAGCCAGTGCAGCTGGAACAGAATGAGCAGGGGAGAGAGAGAGGAGATGAGATTGAATCATATAGGGCCTGTTTTGGAGGAGGAAAAGGGCTTGTACATAAATGTAAAACAGTAAAAGAAACATGGGAGGAAGACCAAGCGTAGAACTATCCAGCCTCAGGACTCTGAGCTAAACTAAGCATGAAAAAGAAGGTAGAAAGAACCACGTGGAATTGTACCAGTCTGAGATGACCACCGTCACATTCTGACATCCTTCCTTCACTTTCTCTTCCATGAGTGCATTCATTATGTAATTGTGATCATACTGTTGTGACAATGTTGCATCCTGTTTTATCACTTTAGATTTATCAAAATCATTGTCTCTTGTTTTCCAACTCTTTGTAGACCTGATTTTAAACGGTGGATGGATCATCATTTGTACAACCGTTACTCTCACTGTTCAGGTTCAATGTCAGTCCAGAGTTTGCACTAGTGAACATATGACTATTAAAGAAAGAAAATGACTCTGGAGGGTGTGTGTGTGTATGTGTGTGTGATTTTTTTGTTTTGTTTTGTTTTGAGACAGGGTCTTACTCTGTCGCCCAGGCTGGAGTGGAGTGGTGCGATCACAGTTCACTGCAGCCTCGAACTCCTGGGCTCAAGTGATCCTTCTTCCTCAGCCTCCCAAGTAGCTGGGACTGCAGGCACGTGCCACCATGCCCAGCTAATTTTTTAATTTTTTTGTAGAGCTGAGATCTTGCTATGTTGCCCAGGCTGGTCTCAAACACCTGTGCTCAAGCTGTCCTCCCACCTCAGCCCTGCAAAGTGCTGGGATTATAGGTATAAGCTACCGTGCTTGGTGCCTCTGTTGTTTTCAATGATAAAAACAGAATGTTCTCATGGTATAAATACGCATACAGTTGAGAATATTCAAGTGAAATATTCTAGTGCTACTATTCATTGTTAAATTTATTCTTTCTCTTTCCAGAGGTCCAACTTTCTCTGCCTGTGTAAACAATTGTATGATTATGTTCTTTCACTTAGTATATCTTGGAAGTCCTTCCATATCAGTACATCTACAGCTACTTTAATTAATTAATTAATTTATTTATTTATTTATTGAGATGGAGTTTCACTCTCGTTGTCCAGGCTGGAGTGCAATGGCGCTACCTTGGCTCACCGCAACTTCCGCCTCCTGGGCTCAAGCAATTCTCCTGCCTCAGCCTCCCGAGTAGCTGGGATTACAGGCATGCGCCACCACTCCTGGCTAATTTTGTATTTTTAGTAGAGACGGGGTTTCTCCATGTTGGTCAGGCTGGTATAGAACTACCAACCTCAGGTGATCCGACCACCTCGGCCTCTCAAAGTGCTGGGATTACAGGTGTGAGCCACCGTGTCCAGCCTTACTTTGTTCTTTAATGCTGATTTATTCAAATTTAGTTTGAGCTTATTCTGTGCCAAGCACATTTCAAGGCACTTGGGATACATCAGAGGACGAGATAGACCAAGATTCCTGCCCTTGTAAAGCTTGCATTCTAGTTAGGGGAGACAGATAGATAGTCAATAATAAATATACTTAAATAAGTAAATGTCGTGATATAGTAATGTATGGTGAGTGCCATATTGAAAAGATGGAACAGACCACTTCGTTGAGGTCTCCGGTCCAGGAGGCTTTGTGGACCATAAGGACTCTGACTCGTATCCTGAGAGAGGGGGAGCTGTTGCAGTTTTGATAGAAGAATGATTCAATCTGATTCACCGATGGCTGGGTTGAGAATAGGCTTCACGGGAGCAAGAGCAGAGAAGTAGGGAGGACAGTTAGGAAGTTATTTCAGTCATCCAGGTGAGAAGCGATGTGGTGTCAGATCACGGCGACAGCTGTGGAGTTAGTAAGTGGTCAGATTCTGGATAAATTTTGATAGTGGAACCGTTAGGAGTTCCTGACAGATTGGCTGTGACATTGAGAGTAAAAAAGTAAGGATAATTTCAAGCTTTTTGGCCTGAGCAACTGGAAGGTTGGAGTTGCCATCAACAGAGAAGACTGTGGGTTTGGGCACGTTTAACAGGGAAGAGCATATTTCGCTATATGGATACAACAGTATACATTGACTTTTGAATGTTCTTTTTCAAGGATCTCCCTAATACTATGAACGCGGCAGAGATAACGGACAAGCTCGGCCTCCATTCCCTCCGCTACAGAAACTGGCACATTCAGGCTACTTGTGCCACTACTGGACATGGGCTTTACGAAGGCCTGAACTGGCTCGCCAACCAGTTCCAGAACCAGAACTGATCAGAAGGATCTATTCTTTGTGCCTTGTGGCCACATCAGCTAGCCTCTGCTGTGTGCACGTGTACGTGTGTGCTGGGAGTGGAGGCAGCTTTCTCACAGTGCCTTATCCATGCCGTAAGAAAAGCAGTGTTACATTTTAAGAAACCCAGTGTTAAGTTTTAAACACCACCTTCCATTTCAGTAGCTTTGATGATCATTTTTGCAATTGATGGAGAAGTCCAGAGGGCTTGCTGGTGCTCGAAGGCCAGAGCGGGCTTCATGGAGGCGAGTTGGAGCGGGGACTGAGTTCAGCTGTTGCAATCCTGGTCTGGCGTCTGGAGTCCTGTTAGTCTTTGGCATCCTTTCGTAAAAAGGAAGGAATTGTCATTCTTTTTTTTTTTTAAACCATATTTTTACTGTACCTTTTCATGTTTATTTATTTTTTATTAAAAAAATTTTTTTTGAAACAGCCTCCCACTCTGTCGCCCAAGCTGGAGTGCAGTGGTGCGATCTCAGCTCACTGCAACCTCCGTCTCTCGGGCTCAAGCAATCCTCCCACCTCAGCCCCCTGAGTAGCTGAGACTATGGGTGTGCACCACCACACCTGGCTAATTTTTGTATTTTTTGTGGAGACAGGGTCTTGCCATGTTGCCCAGGCTGGTCTGTAACTCCTGAGCTCAAGGGATCCACCCACCTCAGCCTTCCAAAATGCTGGGATTACAGGCATGAGCCACTGCGCTACCGAGAAATCGTCATTCTTTACCACCACTGCTGCAGCTAGCAGCTCACTCTTCAGTGCTTTAAGCAAATGATCCTCAGGAAAGAAAAGGTATTTGCTTATTGCAGGTGCAAAGAGGCTCAGATTGGAACTTTTCCCTGAAACTTTATTGTAGCCCAGAGTTCCTGATGTAAGACGCTTTATTTAAAGACATCCGTGAGCTTTTTCACTGGCATATCAATACTTCATAACACTAGGAAGGTATCCAGCCTTTTCCTTATGCTAGTTCCTTCCCTTATTTGCCAGATGGGGACCCTGTGGGGAGGTGACCCAGTGTGAGGCCAAAGCTCTTTCCCAGAGCCCCACAGGCCAGTGGAGGGTCGTGTTTGTGCTCTGGGCATCACCGTCTTGGGTCTCGGTCCCCTGCGACTGCAGCTGCTACATCCCTCCCTGCTCTGAGATAAATGTTCTTCCCATGAAGCAGACGGTTCACTTTTGGGATGGCGCTGTCCCCAGGTTTGGCTGTCTCAGTCCAGATGATGTTTGGTTAGTTTCCATTCCCAGAACCACAAGCCTTTGAGTTCTGAAAGTTTGTGACAGAATCAAGAGGCTAATTTGGGAGATGTGAGATTCCCAGCCCACCTGGTATTGCCCTCGAGTTAGTGGTAAATTTTGCTATGGAAAATATCTCTTGTCAAGACCAAGCTCCGGCGCATTGCCTCCCTCTTTTGGATGGCCATGGCATCTCATGAACCACTTGGAAATGTGTTTTATGTTGTTCTCCAAATATTAATAAAAATATCCCGGAGAGGAGGTTCACTAAGTAGCCTAGAGCTCGTTTGTCCAGACAATTGTTGGCCATATTAGTACCTAAGCACTTCTATTTAAACTTTTTCTTCTTTTTTTTTTTCTTTTTGAGACGGAGTCTTGCTCTATCACCCTGGCTAGAGTACAGTGGCGTGATCTTGGCTCACAGCAACCTCTGCCTCCCGGGTTCAAGCGATTCTCCTGCCTCAGCCTCCTGAGTAGCTGGGACTATAGGCGCCCGCCACCACGCCCAGCTAAATTTTGTATTTTTAGTAGAGACAGGGTTTCATCATGTTGGCCAGGCTCGTCTTTAATTCCTGACCTCAAGTGATTCACCTGCCTCGGCCTCCCAAAGTGCTGGGATTATAGGCGTGAGCCACCACGCCTGGCCTATTTAACCTTCTAAAACTACTTTTTCAAGAAATATTTATTCGAATTATAGAAGATTGGCCAGGCACAGTGGCTCATGCCTGTAATCCCAGCACTTTGGGAGGCCAAGGTGGGAGAGTCGCTTGAGCCCAGAGTTTGAGATCAGCCTGGGCAACATGGCAAGAACCTGTCCCAAATTTAATATAATAAATTTTAAATAAAATTTTAAAAATAAAATTAAGTAAAAAATTATACAGGAGGGCCATGTCAGGTGAATTTTAACTGAAGCAAACCTTATTTATTCATAACAATGAAGTTTATATTACTAGGAAAAAATTTCATTCCATGATAAATGTGTGGTATCATGTTTTTCTTCAAAATATTGAATTTAAAGAATGTTCATTGCAATACTGGCAACTAAGTCCAGATTTGCTTTTTAACCATGGAGTAATTTCTGAGAAATATTTGTTTTGTTTTGTTTTATTTTATTTTATTTTATTTTATTTTATTTTATTTTATTTTATTTTATTTTATTTTTTTGAAACAGAGTCTTGCTCTTGTTGCCCAGGCTGGAGTGCAATGGTGTGATCTCTGCCTCCTGGGTTCAAGCGATTCTCCTGCCTCAAGCTCCTGAGTAGCTGGGATTACAGGCGCCCTCCACCACGCCCGGCGAATTTTTGTATCTTTAGTAGAGACAGGGTTTCACCACGTTGGCCAGGTTGGTCTTGAACTCCTGACCTCATGATCCGCCTGCCTCGGCCTCCCAAAGTGTTGGGATTACAGGTGTGAGCCACCGCACCCGGCCTCTGAGAAATATTTAGATTGTACGCCTCAAATGGGCAGGGACTGTGTCTTACACTTTTGTATTTATGCTACAGCTTACCTAATACAGTGCCAGGCCTCGTTAAACACTTATTGATTGCTCAGACGATAAAGAACTTGCTTTGGAAGGAGGAGAGGATAGTCATGTGCTTCTGAATGTATTGAACTTCTTGAAATCTCTTTCCTCATCAATTTTAGCAGAGTTTCTATTGAAACTCCTAGGGTGTGTTTATGGAAGACAAACTGAGATGTGCTGTCCCAGCCTTAGGCCCTGGCAGTACGCCTTGCCTTTTCACGGCACACCCACTACAGCCTTTCCCACACTGTGACACTGGAGCTGGTGAGTCAGAGTAAGTATAAGTGGGGAGCACTTTTCAGTACAGTAGTTTTAAGGAAAGACTTGGGTCTCTGAAAGCCATGTTTGCATCCCTGCCATGTCCCTCACTGGCTGCTAGCCTCAGGCCACTGACTCTTAGCCTCTGTATCTCGGAGCCTCAGTTTGCTTAACTGTTAAATGGGGATACTGATACCTGCCTCATAGAGTTATGAGGATTAAGTGTCTCCTACCTTTGAATGTCTTGCTCCGGTGTTTCCTTGGAGATATCTTGTCCAAGTATGAACAGCAGTGCTGGCCACAAACTCATCAGCATTATTATTATTATTATTATCATTATCATTATTATTATTATTATTATTGAGACAGAGTTTCACTCTGTCACCCAGGCTGGAGTGCAGTGGCACAATCTCAGCTCACTGCAACCTCTGCCTCCTGGGTTCAAGCGATTCTCGTGCCTCAGCTGCCCGAGTAGCTGGGATTACAGGCGTGCACCACCACATCTGGCTAATTTTTGTATGAGTAGTAGAGACGGGGATGCACTGTGTTGGCCAGGCTGGCCTTGAACTCCTGACCTCAAGCGATCTGCCCGCCTTGGCCTCCCAAAGTGCTGAGATTACAGGCGTGAATCACTGCGCCTGGCCACTTTTAAAACATTTCTATCACCCTGAAAAGAAACCCTGTACCCTTTAGCAGTCACTCCTCATTTCCCCTGTCCTCCGCAGCACTGGGCAACCACTAACCACTGACCTACTTCCTGTCTCTAGATCTGGTGGAGATGCTTTTTAAACTTTTTTTTACTACCCTGTGGTCCCTGAGGAGCATTACACTGAGAAGTTTTCTCCTATTTTGTCTTTCATTCTCCACATCCTCTTTTGTTCTAGTGCATGGCATGGGAAGCCCTCTCTAGGAGGATGCTGTGGCCACACAAGCGCTGGACGAACCGCTGGAGTAGGTGACTTCCAAGGTGTCCTGATGTAGTAGCTATTAGACAAGCTCCTGCATTTGGCCAGTAATTAGCATGCTGCTGCACATTGCCACTAGGTGGTGCTGCTGCTCCATTCCCAAGTAACCCACATGCATCCCTGGCTGGGGTCAGCCTTGGGGTTTCCCAAGTGTAGAGGAATCCATCTCTGTGCCTGTGGTAATGGCTGGACACCAGGAGAGACCCAGAAAACAGGGATATCCTAGAAGAGAAAGGCAAAATAAGCACTCAGAGCAGAGGACATTTGAGTGTCAATAATGAAGGTGGCAGCAGTAATCATGGCTATCATTTACTAAAAATAGTGGATATTGGCCAGACATGGTGGCTCACACCTGTAATCCCAGCATTTTGGGAGACCAAGGTGGGTGGATCACTTGAGGTCAGCAGTTCGAGACCAGCCCGGCCAACATGGTGAAACTATCTACTAAAAATACAAAAATTAGCCAGGTGTGGTGGTGCACGCCTGTAGTCCCAGCTACTCGGGAGGCTGAGGAAGGAGAATCACTTGAACCTGGGAGGTGGAGGCTGTAGTGAGCTGAGATCGCATCACTGCACTCCAGCCTGGACAACAGAGCAAGACTGTCTCAAAAAAAAAAAGTAGATACTGTGCTAGTCACTTGATACACATCATCTCTGATCTTTGCACTGAGCGAGGCATGTGTATTATGTCTGCATTACAAAAGGGGAAAAATTAAGGTTCAAGAAGATAAAGTCACCAGGCATGGTGGCGCATGCCTGTGATCGCAGCACTTTAAGAGGCTGAGACAGGCGGATTGGTTGAATCCAGGAGTTCAAGACCAGCCTGGGCAACATAGTGAGACCTCATCTCTACAAAAAAAATAAAATTAGCTGGGTGTGGTGGTGTGTGCCTGTAGTCACAGCTCCTCGGGAGGCTGATGTGGAAGGATCACTTGAGCCCGGGAGATAGAGGCTGCAGTGAGATGAGACTGAGCCATTGCACTCAGCCTAGGCAACAGAGTGAGACCCTGTCTCAAAACAAAACAGAAATAACAAAAAATAAGGTGACTTGCTGGAGGCCACATGGCTGTGAGCCAAATACAGGTCTGGGTTATCAGGGCTCACATACTTCTAAGTACACCCTACTGCCTTGGAATCTGCTGAAGACCAAGCCCCTGCCCCCAAGCCATGGCAAAGAAGGAGGGAAGGAAGCAAAGGTGCCCAGCGGGGACAACTCGGGGAGGGGCGAGGTGCCCAGGGCCCAGGAAGGCCAAGCAGCATGTGGCAGGGCAGCATCAGGTGACTCCCAAGAAGGAATGAGGAGAGGATGTGAGGAAAGAGCCACAGCACAGAGGCCTGCTGTTAGGTCAGCGGAGACCACGGCCCATGGGACCTGGATCTACCCTTGATGCTAACAATGTTCTTTGGGGAAAAAATCTATAATCACAAAGTTTCTGCAACTGGACTGTAGTCATGGTTGCAGAACTGTATAGATTTACTAGGAACCATCAAATTGTTCACTTACAATGGGTAAATTGTACAGTACATAGGTTATCCCTCAGTAAAGCTGTATGAAATTTATAGTCATGAAACTAATAGTGACAAACGAGCTGGGTAAGTAGGTCTCAGCTGTTCTGTAGGCACTTTGAGAAGAGGAAGAGTAGCATCTCGGTTTTAATAAAAGAAAGCCTGGCCCATGGCGTCCAGCTTCTGCTTGAATACTTTCAGTGCCCGGGAGCTCAGTATCTCAAAGCAGCCCACTCCTGTTTAAGAGAACTCTAAACCTTAGAATGTTGAAATACATCATTATTATTCTAGTACTGCTGTGAAAAATAAATGTCTTTGTTTTGCCACATAACATTTCTCTGAGAGCTTGAGGACAGTTATTGCATTTTCCCAAGTCATTTTTATCTCAGACAGAATTCCCTGATGACCTGTAGGTTTTTTGTTTTTTTGTCTTGTTTTGTGTGTGTGTGTGTGTGTGTGTGTGTGTGTGTGTGTGTGTGTGTGTGTGTTTGTTTTGGAGATGGAGTCTCTGTCGCCCAGGCTGGAGTGCAGTAGCATGATCTTGGCTCACTGCAGCCTCCACATTCCGAGTTCAAGCAATTCTCCTGCCTCAGCCTCCCAAATAGCTGGGATTACAGGCGTGAGCCGCCACACCTGGCTAATTTTTGTATTTTTAGTAGAGATGGAGTTTCACCACATTGGCCAGGCTAGTCTCGAACTCCTGGTTTCAGGTGATCCGCCCTCCTCGGCCTCCCAAAGTGCTGAAATTACAGGTGTGAGCCATTGTACTTGGCTCTCCTTGTGTTTTTTACAGGACAAGATTTCCAGCCTCTCCCATTCTCCCATTCTCCTGGTAGCTCTCCAGGAGCTACCCCTTTGATCTGTCCACATCCTTCTTAAAATGTGGGGACCCATGGGGAACCTGAGATTCTGCAGATGCCAGCCCAGTGCTGTGTGGTTAACAATTTGGATCCTAGCATTAAGACCCCGGGTTCAAATCCTTGCTCCACTGTAGGCCAGCTGTGTGACCATGGTTAAAAACATCTACCTTACTGAGCTCTAATGTCATCATCTAAGTTATTGTGAGGATTGTACTGACCCACACTTTCTATCTGCCCAATCCCTTGAGGTGGGCTCAACCTGGGTTGGCAATGGTTGGGCAAGGGAGAGCGATCAAAACAGCAAACTGTCACACTGCTGATAAGCCAAGCAGAGACACAGCCACCATTAGGAGAAGGGGCTCTTCCATCTCTATCTATCAGGCTTTTCTCTCATGGAGCTGTAACCCCTGGTAAAGGAGGTGAGGAACTTGCTGGGGGGAGCACACAAACACCTGCTGATGTGCCTGACTTGGATACCCAGGAAGTTGCTGGCTTTCTCTTCCTTTCCCCAACATTTTTATTTGTTTGTTTGAGGCAGAGTCTTGCTCTGTCACCCAGCCTGGAGTGCAAAGGCGTGATCTTGGCTGAGTGCAATGGCATGATCTTGGCTCACTGCAACCTCCGCCTCCTGAGTTCAAGTGATTCTCCTGCCTCAGCCTCCTGAGTATTTGGGACTACAGGCGTGCGCCACCTCACCCGGCTAATTTTTGTATATTTAGTAGAGATGGGGTTTTGTCATGTTGGCCAGGCTGGTCTCGAACTCCTGACCTCAGGGGATCCACCCGCCTCGGCCTCCCAAAGGGTTGGGATTACAGGCATGAGCCACTGCGCCTGGCTGGCATTTTTTTTTTTCAACATAGTCTCCTCTTGATCTCATCCTTTGTCCACTGCACAAACCCCTCCCCAAAACGATCCCCAAGGAGGGGGGCTCCCGAACTAGATCATCCTAGGGTAGGCCTACCCGGTTCAATCTTAGCCGGGTCTATGGTGCCATCTGATTGAAATCTAACTTGACTCTCTTCTCACTGACCTCTTCGGGGTCCCAGGGGTGTAAACATCCTGCAGCCTTCCGCCAGCCTTGTCTCTTCAATGTTCCCCTCCATTCATGACTCTCCTCACTGTATTTCTACTAACTTACTCTTACATACAAAACAGATCTTTCCCCCTTCCTGTACATCAGATATCATTTTGGATCGATACTACACCCAAGGCTGGGTGTGGTGGCTCATGCCTGTAATCCCAGCACTTTGGGAGGCTGAGGCAGGCAGATTACTTGAGGTCAGGAGTTTGAGACCAGCCTGGCCAACATGGTGAAACCCCATCGCTACTAAAAATACAAACTTAGCCAGGCATGGTGGCGCGCGCCTGTAGTCCCAGCTACTTGGGAGGCTGAGAAATGAGAATCACTTGAACCCAGGAGGTGGAGGCTACAGTGAGCCAAGACTTCACCACTGCACTCCAGCCTGGGCAACAGAGGAAGACCTTGTCTCAAAAAAAAAGAAAAAAGAAAAAGAAAGCAGACTACACCCCCGGGTACTTACATAAATGAGATCATTTCTGTAAACACAGCGCAGTAGCAGCATCTAGTATAATAAGCACTCAATAAATACGAGCTATTATTGCTGAGGCAATGCATATTGGGGCTCTTTTTCTCCATCCTCTTGTGTAGCCTAAGTTTGCAGCTGTGTTTGGCAGCCGCCTCATACTAATGAAGCACACTGGGCTTGGGATCATTTCAGACCTGCAGATCTCTTTTGCATGAAATGCAATGGGGCCGGGGCTCCCTCTTCTGCATTTGTGCACCTGCTTTTAAGAACATAATGAATGATTGGCATTTGTCTCTTTTCATTTCATCTAGGCTTTGGCCCATCATCCTAACCTGTTGGCTTCATTTTGAATTTTGGATTTTGTTATTGAATGCATCAGATCTCCCTCCAAGCTTTGCTTCCTATAAATTTGATACCCATGACTCATAAGTCATCATCTGAGTCATGATAAAAAATACTGAATAAGGCTGGGCACGGTGGCTTACACCTGTAATCCCAGCACTTTGGGAGGCCAAGGCAGGTGATCACTTGAGGTCAGGAGTTGGAGACCAGCCTGGCCAACATGGTGAAACCCCATCTCTACCCAAAATACAAAAATTAGCTGGGTGTGGTGGCACCCACCTGTAGTCCCAGCTGCCTGGGAGGCTGAGGCATGCAAATTGCTTGACTTTGGAAGGTGGAGGTTATACTGAGCTAAGATGGCACCACTGCACTCCAGCCTGGGTGACAGAGGAAGTCTCTGTCTGTCTGTCTGTCTCTCTCTCTCCATATATATATATAAAATTAGATGGGGACATACCATCAGAAACTTCCCTCCAGCTTGATTCATTTGTGTAACAGTAACAGATATTTACTAAGCACCTATAATGTGCTCTGTAGTGGACACTGTTCCATTCATTAGATGTGGATGTTCAGCCATCTATGTAACTTGGCTAATCATACTTTAAATCTAGCCCTTATTTCTCCATCTTATCCACCAGGAATCCTGAAAGATTCTATCAAGTGCTTTGCTAAAATTAAGTATACAATATGCGTAGCAATGCCTTCATGTACCAATCCCTCAGCAATGGAAATAAGGTTAATTTGACTAATTACTCCTAGTAAGCCGCTTTGACCACTGGTAACATCTGCCATCTTTTATAAGCCTATCTGATTGCAGATCAACCTCAGACATACCCATCTGTAGTTTCTGGAATCCACCTTCTCTCTCTCACAAACCTGGGCGACATTTGCTCATCTCTAATTTTTCTCCACCCTTCTCAGCTTCCTGACTTCTCAATATTTACAGTAGGAGTTTGCAATCACACAGTAAAGGTCTTGGATATATTTAGTTGGAGTTAAGAGCGTTGGGCTCCCATAAAGCAGTAGGGCTCTCCTTGAGTTTAGTTTATATATATTTAGTTGGAGTTAAGAGTGTTGGGCTCCCATAAAGCAGAAGGGTTCTCCTTGAGTGCTGCATCATCTGTCTTAGATCCCGATTTCCCCATAATCATGTTTATTATCCTTTCCAGGTTGAAGATTATTCTCTCTTCTAAAGAAAATAGAAGAATATTAGGAGAAAAGACACTTGAAAATGTTCACTCTTTTATTCACATTACATCATCTGTCTTGAATAATGGGTCTATCTCTTTCCTGTTGCTCTGGCCCTGAAAAAAAAATTAGCTTTTTAAGGCTGCTTTTGTTACGTGTGCATTTTCTTGTAATCCTGTCATTCTGGGATTTAATAATAATAGTATTAATACCACCTACCATTTGTTGGTTACTTACTGTGTTTTAGGCACTGTGCTAAACGCCTTCCATGTATTCATCTCATTAGTAAACATTTCTGAAACTATTCTTACAATTTGTCCTTTAGTTTTTCTTGTTCTTGTCCTCTTAAAATCTGAGCTTAGCCATGAGCTCTCAGTGAAGCTGCTTGTATTTCTTTAAAAACCCTCTTTGCTTCCTCCAAGTGGAGTGGGTTGTACTTCTGAGGTCAGGACAAACTGGGCACCGGAGGAGTTCAGCCTTCCGAGGCTGCAGGAGGGGTGGGTCCCCTGAGGCGAGCAAGATGATGTAAGGCCTTGACTTGGGGTAACAGACAGCCACAGATGGGAAGAGAGAAGCCAACATTTAACCACGGAAGGATGTGAAGGGCGGAGAGGTGGGTTGAGCACTGGGCCCCGGGTGCGGGAGGTGGGAAAAGGTCCAAAGGTGAAACCTGGGAAGCCTGGGCTTGGGTCTGGAAGTGGAGAGAAGGAAGTCGTTCCAGGGGGAGCTGTGAGCAATGTGAACCCATCATTTCTGTTTTCACCAGCGAGGGTGAGAATTGAGTCCACAGGAGTGGCTCCCTCCTCTGCTTCCTCGACCTGCAGAGGGCTAAGTGGGGCAACGAGCAGGGTAAAACTTTTCAAGATGCTCTGCTCTTAGCAGAATGAGCTGTTCTGACCATTTCCCAAGAGCCAAATTTCCTCATCAGTCCTGAATGTTGCCTCTGTGCTATGATTTGCATTAAAAAAAAAGATACAGTCTCCCCACTGTGTTGTCAAATCTGAAATAAGGGACTGTGTTTTTGCAAAATTCTCTTCCAAGGCCAAGCACAGGGTCAATGTTCAGCAAATATTTGGTGAGTTAATGAATGAAATGAAAGCACTCTCCTTATGCTCCTTGGCTGAGTGATGTGGAGAAGAGTTCCAGAACAATATAATTTAGTTTCTTTCTCCTTTTAACCGAGCCTAGAAATTCTCCACAAGGCATATGCAAATACCCCAGACATGTATTTTTCCAGGCGTGTGTTTTATGTGCAAATACTCCTGCATATATATGATTTTATTTTACTTTTTGAGACAAGGTTCATTGTCCAGGCATTGTCTAATGCACCAGTGCATTGGTGCCATCTCGGCTCACTGCAGGCTTGACTTTCCGAGCTCAGGTGGTCCTCCCACCTCAGCCTCCCAAGTAGCTGGGATGACAGGTGCACACCACCATGCCCAGCTAATTTTTTGTATTTTTAGTAGAGGTGGGGTTTCACTATGTTGTCCAGGCTGGTCTTGAACTCCTGGGCTCTAGCAATCTGCCCACCTTGGCCTCCTAAAGTGCTGGGATTACAGGCATGAGCTTCTGCTCATATACGTTACTTGTTCATCTGACTGAAGACCCCAAAAGAGACCAGCACCCCAAAGAAGCATGTATTTCTCTTTGGAACCAGAAGCAAACATCCTTCTGTTTGCTTGGGATGCATGGGATGAGCATGCAGTAGGTGTTTAATAAATACTTGTTGACTAATTAGGGGGCATAAATATGTAAAAGTGGTAAATTAGCAAGAAAGAGCTGCAGTGTAGATAATCAAATAACAAAGTTGTCTAGGACAAGAGAATCTATCTCTGAGGGCTCTGTGTAGGAGGAGAGGTGGTGTTGGCTAGTGAGGCAGATCTGCCTTCTAATTAGGCTCCAATCAGGATAGTATTGCAATTAGCTCAGGATATTATAGCAGTTAGCTTCTATTCTTGGAACAAATTCCTGGGAGATTTAAGTTGGGTGGTAAAAGAAGGTTGTCCCAGGAATAAATTTGCTGTGAACCGCTTTGGAGTGACTACTTCATATGTGCCTAATTGAACCGCCAATGTAAACCTGATTGGATTGTTTCCTTCTTTATCAGCGACACTTAAACATGAGCTCAGGAATTTGGACAGCCACTTAACAACAGAACACAGCTCGGGAAATTGCAGATTTCAAATTTCAGAAAAGTCGATGAATTTAGACAACTTGAGTGTCTTCTTTGTGTTAGGGTAGACAGGCTTTGGCCTCCAAGATCTGGCTGACAAGTGCTTGCTGCTGAGACAGGCACTGAAAAGAGTAAAAAATATAATGTCTTCAATTATCTTCCCAGTTATTGAGACACTTAAAAACTCCACCCCAGCCCACCCTGACAGTCTCCTGTAAGGAGCTCAATTTTCTCTGTGTCAACCTGATGACAGACCCAGGAGGATGTTGTGTCTGGGAATGTTTGCTCTTCCTGGCTGGGGTGAATAGGGCTTGGCAGCAGAGACAGTGCGAACAGAACCAAGCCACGAATCCTGGCTCTCAGTCCATCCAGCCAGCAGCTTTTCGCTTCATCCTTCACCCTCCACACTTCTTCTCTTTCTTCTGCATCAGGAGAGGCAGATGTAGAGCCCAGAGTTTTTTGTCAAAGAGCCTGAGTTGGAATCCTGCCTGGCACCATCGCTGGGGGGTGACTGGCTTTCTGAGGCCCAGTTTCATCATCTGTAAAATGGGCATGATAATATCTGCCCAAATCATTTCAGGAGGTTGGTTGTTGAGAAGAGGTGGTGCCTGTACGACTGCCCTAAGCTTGAAAGGACAGCAATCGGTGCCGGCTTTGTAGCTCACAACCTTTACCTTAAATGCTGACCATCACAGGGTCTTGGGACAGGCCCTAGGACCAGCCCCCCCACCCTTGCTGGTGCAGGGCTTCCCTGCAGATGGCGCTGTGCCTGGAGAATGCAGCCAGCAGTAAATCAGGGCAGCTTGATTAAACATGTCCAAGTCTAGTCAAGCCAGACTAGATGTGGGCGTGTTTGGCACTATAGGTGGATCCAGTCTGGATTTCCTTTACCTGCATGTCCTGGGTGTGTATCCCTCACAAAAGTTCCCCCCGCCATCACATTCACACCTCACCAAATTAAGCCACCCAGCCCCCACTTGGCCCCCTAGGAACCACTGCAGCAGGCAGTGTGTTTAATCCCTGTGAAGCATTTTAGCATTAGATGAAGATGACGCCTTGGGCTCCCATCCGCCTGTGACAGAGGCTGCCAGCTCCACTCTTGGAAACACCCTTGTTCTGACTTAGTTTCCTATCCAAGATGAAGGTAGGCAGACTGAAAAAGCCAATGCTAAAAGAAAGAAGACCCCAAGACCCCTGTATGAAGCTTAGAAGGCAAAGGCCTGTCTTCACAGAGCCAGCTAAAGAGCTAGGCTTTGGCGCCACCACATCCTGTTTGGAATCCAAGCTCCACCGTTTAGCATTTGTGTGACCAGGGGCTTGTTAAGGAAGGCCCCAAGGCTCCCTTCCCTGCGTATAAAAAGAAGAGATGGTACCTGCTTTATAGGATGCAGTGGTGAGGGTTCAATGAGAAGAGGCTTGCAATAGGCTTGGTATAGTGCCTGGCACATGGGGATATTCAAATAGTGCTGACTATTAGATCAGGAGCAGACATTGGGGTAGGAGGTATCAGCCCGGGGAGGAGACGACAAGGAGAGTTAGGGAGGGAAGGACGTGCCAGGGAAGAGACGGTGGGCTCTGCAGAGGAAGGCTTCTTGGTACCTCTTGAAAGCTGCTGTGGGAACACACCTTTACTCTGCTGACATTTTCAGACAGCCGTGCTGGCAGGGATCTGGGCACCTGGCAAAGCGAGCTGACCATCTGGCCGGCTGTTTCTGCAACAAAAAGAGATGGTGTCAAAGGTTTTGGGAGCTGGGCTCCTTTGACCCACAGTTGGCACCGGAGGCCAAATAAGTCCTCCTGGAGACCATCACCTTCTCATCAGCAATCTTCCAGCCAGCACACTGCAGCGGCCAGGGAGTGCAGGATTGTCTCCAGGAAGCCAGTGCCAAGGCCAGAGGCCCAGAGCCTGCACTGAGCAAATCGCCAGGGAGTAGTGACAGCCCTTCCTTCCTGGTCAGTGCTCTTGTCCCATGGGGCTACTATCTCCTCTGGATCCTATGAAGACTGCTCCCTGCCACGGCCATGATTACGTGTCACACTGCATGGTTAGAAGGGCAGGTTCTGAGGCCAGGCTGCCTGGGTTCATGCATTAGCTGTGTGGCCTTGGGCAAGTTACTTAGCCACATTTTGCCTCAGTTTTCTGGACTACAAAATGGAGTTGTGAGAGTTCACCAAGTTCATGCTTATAAGGAGATGGCAGCAGTGCCTGGCATTTAAAAAGTGCCCCACAGGTGTTATCTGGGGCTGTTGTCATCTCTGTGGCCAATTGTGCATCGGTTCCAGGTCTTGGGGTCATGTCTGTGTGCTTGGTGCCCTAGGTGCCCCAATATCTAGTCTCTTTTTCTCCCATTAAAAAATCAATCTCACTTCTCTGTCTCCCTATCTTTCTCCCTTTCATCTTCCCTTTCTTAGCACATTATTTATTCAACTAACACGGATGAAGTGCCTGCCCTGTGCCAGGCGCTGGGGAGGGGGAGGATGGGGGGCTACAGAGATGGAATAAACAGTGAGCCCTGCACAGGACCCTCCGAGTGCCCACAGCTAGGCAGAACAGCAGTTAGTCCATGCTGATGCAGGATTCATCATCGTCACGGGGGAGCCAGAATCTGGAGACACCCAGGCCCTGAAGACGGAGCCTGCCCAGCCCCCACCGAAAAGAGAGCTGCTATTGGCCTCAGCATCCAGGAAGAGCCGGGTGATTCAGCGGGATGGAGATCCTCCTTCCCAAGACAAGATGGGGGCAGCAGAGGTGAGATTCTGGCTGGGAGTGAATGGGTCTGCTGGCTGACAGCTTGGCTGTCACATTCGAAAGCTTATCCGTGGACAGTGCCCCTCTGCCCTGCTAATGACAGGGATGTCACTCACAGGTCTCCCCTGGATTGTGCAGAACCAGACATTGCTGCCTTTGCCTAGGCAGGGTAATAGATATCATGAGGGCTTGGGAAGCTTCGGGGGGAAAGTTAGGCTATCTGCCCACCCCTCAATCATGCCACGCATCCCCAGAGTCACACAGAAATGTTCTTACACACCTCTGTGCCTTGGCATGGCTGCTCCCTCTGCCCAGCCTGCCCTCCCCTGGATCGGGCCTTCTCCATCTGAGCGTCCCACATGTCCCCAAGCCTCAGTCCCCAGGAAGCTCTGGGAGCCTGCAGTGCTCCAGGATCACGGGAGTCCCTACCTCCCACCAGTGGCCCTGATGCCTTGGACATGCTTTTACTACCACACTGTCACACTGGGTGGTCATTATTTGTTTAGGTGTCTGTTCTCCTTACCCTAGACCTTGAGTTCTTGAGGCCAAGAACAGCCAAGTCTCAGCTTTCTCTGCAGGACCGAGCACATAGTGGCACTCCGCAAATGCGTGCTGAGGAATGGATTGTCATTACTGATGTCATCATCCACCCCTGCACAAGTCTTGACACGGAGCAGCCTCCCACCCCTGCTGGAAGCCTGGCTTAAAGTGACCAACCTGCTTTAGTGAAGGGTTGGGGTTTGGAAGGCCCGCTGGATACAAGGATCTAGAATGAGGAGGTCTTTTCCTATTGAGGACCAAAGCTCTCAACTCTTTTTTCCTAATAAACTAGGAGAGACCAGTTTGGAATTGTCTCTAAATGTACAGGATGAGTTTGAGTTTAGGGGTAGCGGAGCCTCTTGTTCCCAACTGAAGGCACTCACGAAACCTGAACTGCACCCACTTGGAGGAAAGTGAGACGGGGCTTCCCAGTGAGAACCCAGGGAGATGCGTCAAAGGCTACAGAGGGAACAAACAAACAAGCAATTTAGTTTAGATTTTTTAATGCAGAAATGAAGTGTTCCGCTTGTTTGCTTTTAAAATGGAGAACAGAGAACATAAAATGACTTCACAAATGAAGGAAGTAATTAGAAAAAATTCCTCCAGTTCTATGTGATGGCCAGTAAAGGAAGAGAGAACACAGAAAAGATAGAACGGGAAGGGCAGATGGGAAGGAAGGAGAGTATGACACAGAGATGATGACGCAAAGAGAGAGAGTGAAGAAGAGATGAACATGGAACCATCCCTCCACACACACACATTTTGATCTTATGGAAAACCTGCTTTGTAAAATTAAAGTTTGTCTTTTGTTGTTTTTACACTGTAAGAGAGCGATTTGAATACATTTATTGTTTTCTGACTTCTAGAATAAGAAGTTGCCAGGGAGAAGTCCAATGCCATTCTTAGTCTTGATCTTTTTTTATAATCTTTTATTTTGCTCTGTGGAAAATTTTAAGTGTTTTTTTTTTTTGAGATGGAGTCTCACTCTGTCACCCAGGCTGGAGTCCAGTGGTGCGATCTCTGCTGACTGCAACTTCCGCCTCTCAGGTTCAAGCAATTCTTGTGCCTCAGCCTCCCAAGTAGCTGGGATTACAGGCATGTGCCACCACGGCCAGCTAATTTTTGTATTTTTAACAGAGATGGGGTTTCACCATGTTGGCCAGGCTGGTTTTGAACTCCTGACCTCAAGTGTTCCGCTTGCCTTGGCCTCCCAAACTGCTAGGATTACAGGCGTAAGCCACTATGCCTGGCCTAAATTTTAAGATTTTACCTTCATATACATCACTATGAAATTAGCGTGGGCCTTTTTTCATTCATTGTATTGGGTGCACAATGGGCTCGTAAACTCTGCAGATGCAGGTCATTCAGTCCTAGGAAGTGATTTTGTATTATTTCTTTGATAATGGACTCTCCTCCATTTCTTCTACTCCCTATTCCTTTTGCTGGGCCTCCTAGATGGATCTTCTGCTTTTCTATTTTCTCTCTGATTTTCCATACCTTTATTTTTTTTCCTCTTCCAGGTAGATTTCCTTGACCTTATCTTCCAAATCTTCTACTGACTATTTTATTTATGGGATCAAATTTTCAGTACTTTGCACTGTTTTTCTGATTATTCTTTTTTTTAAAAAAAGTTTTATTGGAGGTACACTTTACATACTCTAAAATTCACTCATTTTAAGTGTCTAATTCAATGATTTTTAGTAAATTTACAGAGGTCTGTAACCATCACCACAATCCAGTTTAAATTATTCTTTTGTGTATAGTTGTTTGTTTTGGTATCATGGGTGAAATGTCTCCTCTTATCTTTGTGTGTGTGTGTGTGTGTGTGTGTGTGTGTATGTGTATGTGTGAGACAGAGTCTCACTCTGTTGCCCAGGCTGGAGTGCAGTGGCTCAACCTTGGCTCACTGCAACCTCCACCTCCCAGGTTCAAGCACTTCTCCTGCCTCAGCCTCCCAAGTAGCTAGGATTACAGGTGCCCGTGGCTACGCTCGACTAATTTTTTGTATTAGTAGAGATGAGGTTTCACCATGTTGGCCAGGCTGGTCTCGAACTCCTGACCTCAAGTGATCCACCCACCTCAGCCTCCCAAAGTGCTGGTATTATAGGCATGAGCCACTGTGCCCGGCCATCCTCCACCTGTTACAATGCAGCCAAAAGGCCCTCACTAAATGCTGTCCCCTAATTTCAGACTTCCCAGCCTCTGGAACTGTGAACCAAATAAACTTCTATTGTTTATAAATTACCCAACCCCTGGCATTCTGTTATAACAGCAAAAAATGGACCAAGACAAGGTGATATCTATCCTTGCAGATCCCTAAAAAAAGAGTTCCTGGGAGTTGATGGATCTTTAATACCTGCTTGAGGGACAAACCAGATACTCTTTTGAGAGCCCATCTAATTCTGGGATTCTACCCTCAAGTGGGTCGAGGGGCTCAGAGTTTGCAAAGCTAGAGAGCATCAGGACCAGGGACAGATCCAGGTTTTGTGAAACCTGAAGCTTATACAATTTTCGGTGCTTTGTATAAGAAAAATAATGCAAAATTATGGATGTCAAATTAGATACGGGGCCTAGGAAGGGGCTCGTAAACTCTGCAGTAGTGGGCCTTAAGCATAAGCTTATTAGCCTCCCAATAAAGCCTCCTCTGTCTAGGACAGAACCATATTCCTTTGGAGCCAGTAGATGTCAATGTGTTTTCCCCCAACAGACTTGGTCTTCCAGATTCTACATCTCCCTCATGATTTCCCCCACCCCCCAAATTTCTAACTCAGCAAAAGCTTATTGAATGCCCACTGTGTGCAAGGCATTGGGTTGGGCCACTTCATTACTTGCCTCTGTGGCAGGACTGAGATTATCACCCACCCAGGGAGAAGCACATCTGACTCAAGATGCCCCTGAGTCTGTGCAGGTACCATCAAGGCAGAGGAAGAGTAGGATGGGCACAGAAAACCAGATGGGAAGCAGGGCCACATCTGCTCTAAGGACACAGGTGGTCTCCTGAGGACATCAGGCCCCTGTGCTCAGAGGAGAAATCCATGCTGCCCTCTGTCTCACTTCTAAAAGGAATTGTTGCCGCAGAAACTGCACAGAGACCTCAGAAACCTGAGTTGGAGTGGAAGGCTCAGCTGTTTTCCTGCTGCCCCTTTGTCAGATACATCACCCCTCTTGTGGGACTGGAGTCAAATGTCATCACTCAGAGTCAGCAGCCCTGCACTTGGTCTGGAGCCCCGCTGCCAGCCCTGTCCCCACAGTTGTCCCCGGCCCTGTCTGGGCCTTTTTGAGCTGATTGAACTACAGCATCTAGAAAACTCCAGGCCAATTCTAGGTTCTGTCTACAATCTCTGAGTGTTTTCTTTTCTCTTGGAATGTTTAACCAGCAGAAAAGCACACGCCAGCAGTGGTTTCTGAGGCCCTCTTCACCTTGCCAGATGACCAGGCCTTGCCAGGGACCCACTGGGTCTCTGTCATCTCCCCGAGCCTTTTTCCTCATCTGTAAAACTGAGACGAGAACCCCTATGAAGGGCTAGTTTTATGACTGTGGTCAAGGTCAACCTGGGTCTGGGTGTGGGAAGGGGTTACTGATATCTCACAGTCTATCTTCTGGTCTAGCTGCACAGGTGATAGCCACAGGTCCCCACCAGTTAGATGTAGTGTTGGAGATAATCAGGCAGGTCAGGGCCCTCGGATGCCCCAAATTTGCTTTATGGTTTATGACATTCTCCCTTGGTTTGTACTGACAATGCTGGCTGGGAAGGAATAAAAACAGCCAAACTTCTTAAGGTGATTTGCCAGAGAATTTTTATTTGGATACACACTGTACTGAACACAGACCTGAAAATGCATTTTAAAAGGCTTTCTAATGAAGCGAATACAAAACAACTCACACATTAGACAAACCTCTGTGGTATAGCCATACTGGGGAGAGCAGAGGCTTTCTCAGAGAAGGTGGGCCAAGGAAGAGGTGGGGGAGATGTGAGGATGGCCCAAGAAGGTTTAGGGAGGGATGGTTTGGGCTCCCCTCTGAAGTTCACTGTGACCCCTATGTCCACCCAGAGAGCTCAGTGCCCTATCTCTGTTATTTATACTAGTTGCTTCCCAAGCTTCCTGGGCTTTTCTCTAATTTGGGGTGCAATTTAGAGGCCCCACTGATGAACTTTAAAATCCATTGATATTGGGCCAGGTGTGGTAGCTCACACCTGTAACCTCAGCACTTTGGCAGGCAAAGGTGGGAGGATTGCTTGAGGCTAAGAGTTCAAGACCAGCCTGGGCAACATAGTGAGACCCCCATCTCTACAAAAATTTTTTAAATAAATTAGCCAGGCATAGTGGCCTGAGCCTGTAGTCCCAGCTACTTGAGAGGCTGAGGCAGGAGGATCGATTGAGCCCAGGAATTTGAGGCCACAGTGAGCCAAGATTATGCTACTGCACTCCAGCCTGGGCAACAGAGGGAGAACCTGTCTCAAGAAAAGAAAATCCGTTGATATTATATGCAAAACTTTATGGGTGTGAAAAAAATCTTATGTGGCCGGGTTTAGAATTCTTTTCTGGGAAGGGGGCCTGAGCTTTTACCTGCTCTCCAGTGGGTTCAGCACCCACCATGGAAACCATCATGGTAGACCATGCTAAGGCAGGAAAAGGTGGGCCAGCACATGATTCCAGCAGGGCCACTGCAAGAGTGGGGAATGCAGACCACCTCCAGTTTCGGGGTGGGCTGGGTACCCAAAGGAAGATGGAGACTCAAGCCCCAGGATGTCGTTTCCCTCACAAGGTCCATCCCCATGCTACCTGGACAGTAGTCAAGACCCTTCTACGGATGATCCCATTCAAAGCACCTGTTTGGCACCCCTGATGAACCTGGCACTTGTGGGGAACATGAGGAAGGTCAGACATGACCCTTGTCAGCCTGTATGGCGCTCCTAGTCTAGGGGGCTGGGGAAACAGGCACCCAGAGAAATTACAGGGTGTGTGGAGTGTGCTACACATGAAGGTAAAATAACCGGGCAGCACGGAGGGAAAAGTTAGCTCAGCTCATTCGGGAAGCTGGAAGCCACCCATGGACCTTAGAGTGAAACACCAGCCACCCATGGGCCTTAGCATGAAACACCAGGCTGTGTGACTTCTGAGGACCTCAGTTTCCTTATTAGTACCATATGGCAGTAACTATTTATGGAGTTGGGAGAGTCACATGAAGTCATGTCCACACAGTGCATCCATGGATTGGACCTTCAAGCGGAATTTACCTTGTGGAAAGATCTAGAAGGACACCAAAAGCAGCAAGGGCAACATGGATAGAGGCATGGCTCGGCAGGGCACTTTGTGCCGACTCAGCGATGGGTCCATGCTGTGACTTGGAGAGACTCACTTTTGATGGTCCAGCAGCGTTCAGGTTCAATGACTCAGCAATTCTTGATTCAATGATGTGGTCATTTGAAGATTTGTGGGTACCGGCGATTAAGTAAGCAGAGTGTTTATAAATCTAGGCTGCTGATAATCATAATAATAATCGCTGCTAAAAATGATTGAGAGCTTACTATGTGCCAGGCTGCGCACAGCATTTACGGATTAACTCACGGAATCATTAGGTCACGCTAATGGAAGGGACTTGGGTAATCCCTTTGCCAAGGAGCCACCTGTCACCTTTAGTTTCAGTTTATTCCTCCCCCTCCCATTCTTACTCAGGCCTCCCCACCCTTACCTCCCCATAAGTCATGACCCTCTCCTAAAAGTCCTAGAAGTTCAGAGCCAGAAGGGACTTGGGAGATCCCTAGTCCAGTTCCTTTTTATTTTTATTTTTTTTGAGACAGGTCTCACTCTCCTGTCCAGGCTGGAGTGCAGTGATGGGGTGATCACAGCTCACTGAAGCCTTGACCTCCTGGGCCCAAGTGATCCTCCCACCTCAGCCTTCCAAGTAGCTGGGACTACAGTTGCATGCCACCACACCCAGCTATTTTTTTTTATTTTTATAGAGACAGGGTCTCACTATGTTTCCCAGGCTGGTCTCAAATTCCTGGGCTCAAGCAATCCTCCCGCCATGGCCTCCCAAAGTGCTGGGATTACAGGCATGAGCCACCACACCTGGCCTCAGCTCCTCATTTTATACAGGAGGAAATTAAGCCCACAAAAGGAAGGGACTTGCTTTTCTAGAGTACAGAGAAAGGGCCTCTGAGCACCTGTGTAGGTGCTTGGTGAATCCAGCCAGGAGGCCTGATTATCCTTCATTGACTATCCATGTGATCTTGGGTGAGGTTCAGAGTAACAGTCAAGCCAGTGCTCAGCTGGGTGTGTCCACACCTCCCTGGTACTCACATGCACTCCGCTCTTCTTCTGGCTGTCAAGTCCCTAGATGACCCAGGCCACCTCGTTTTCCCTCAGGTCAAGCAGCTGAGGTGGGGGTTCAGGCCTCTCCAGGGCTGTAGCTCAGGCCTCAGGAGGTGCAGGAGACACCTGGGAGGTTCAGAGAGGCACAGTAACTTTAGATGTGTGCAGGTGGCCAGAAATAGCCACTGAGCAGTGCTATGGCCCTGCCCAGGTCAGTACCGTGGCCAGCCTGGGAAGCTAAATCTTCAAGACTAGCTTAGTTAGGATTGCAGTCTGGTTTCCCCAAATCCTTCAAACCCAGAGCCATCCCAGGCTGGAGTGCAGTAGCATAATCATAGTAGCCTGAGCTGTCTTCCTCTGTCTAATCCCTTGACTGTATTCCAATGTCTTCAACCCTGAGATAGACTTACTGATGCCCCTGAACTTGTACCTTCTCCCCTTCTCTGTCCCTCACGCCTGCCTGGCCCCATCACGGTCCTTTGCCCTTCCCAATTGAGCCTCAGCTCTTGCCTGGCTTCACAGGGGTCTCCTCCCTGACGCCTGTTCTCACTTCACAGCCACCTGTAAGTCGACCCTGCCTTAATCTTCCACCAGCAGAATTTGTGTGGGAAAATAGACATAACATAAAATTTACCATTTACCTTTTTAATCATTTTTTTGTTTGTTTTTGTTTTTTGTTTTGTTTTTGAGACTGAGTCTCACTCTGCTGCCCGGGCTGGAGTGCAGTGGCACAATTTTGGCTCACTGCAACCTCTGCCTCCTGGGTTTAAGTCATTCTCCTGCCTCAGCCTCCCGAGGAGCTGGGAATACAGGCATGCGCCACCATACCCGGCTAATTTTTGTATTTTTAGTAGAGACGGGGTTTTGTCATGTTGGCTAGGCTGGTCTCGAACCCTGACCTGAAGCAATCCTTCTGCCTCAGCCTCCCAAAGTGCTGGGATTACAGGCGTAAGCCACCGCACATGGCCCATTTTAATCATTTTTAAGGGGATAATTTAGGGGCATCAATCACATTCAGGATGTTGTACAATCATCACCACTATCTATTTCTAAAACTTTTTCATTGCCCCAAACAGAAACTCTGAACCAATTAAGCAACATCTCCACATCCCCCACACCACCCAACCCCTAGTAACCTCTAATCAATGTTTCTGTCCTGCTAATTTGCCTATTCTAGGTACCTCATATAAGTGAAATATTTGTCCCTCTATATTTGGCTTCTTTCACTTAGCACAATGTCAAGGTTCATCCATGTTGTAGCATGTGTCAGAACATCATTCCTTTTTATGGCTGAATAATATTCCATTGTCTATATACACTTTGTTTATCCATTCATTTACTGATAACACTGGGTAGTTTCCATCTTTTGACTATCATGAATAATGCTGCTGTGAATATTTGTGTACAAGTATCTTGTTTGAGTTCCTGCTTTCTTTCTTTCTTTTTTTTTTTCTGAGACAGAGTCTTGCTGTTGTCACCAAGGCTGGAGTGCAGTGGCAAGATCTCAGCTGACAGCAACCTCTGCCTCCCAGCTTCAAGCAATTCTCCTGCCTCGGCCTCCCAGGTAGCTGGGATTATGGGCATTTGCCACTATGCCTGGCTTACGCCTGGCTAATTTTGGTATTTTTAGTAGAGATGGGGTTTCACCATGTTAGTCAGGCTGGTCTCAAACTCCTGACCTCAGGTGATCCACCTGCCTTGGTCTCCCAAAGTGCTGGGATTACAGGCATGAGCCACCGCGCCCAGTCTTGGGTTCCTGCTTTCGATTCCTTTGGGTACATACCTAGGAGTGGAATGGCTGGATCAAATGATAATTCTATGTTTAGCTTTTTAAGGAACCACCAAACTGCTTTCCCCAGTGAGAGCACCATTTTACATTCTCACCAGCAACATGTATGGGTTCTGATTTCTCCATCCTGAACAACTCTTGTTATTTTTGAAACAGGTTTCTTTCCTTTTCTTTCTTTCTTGTTGTTATTGAGAAGGAGTTTCGCTCTTGTTGCCCAGGCTGGAGTGCAATGGCACGATCTCCACTCCTCACAACCTCTGCCTCCCTGGTTCAAGCGATTCTCCTGCCTCGGCCTCCCGAGTAGCTGGGGGATTACAGGCATGCGCCACCATGCCCGGCTAATTTTGTATTTTTATTAGAGACGGGGTTTCTCCATGTTGGTCAGGTTGGTCTTGAACTCCCGACCTCAGGTAATTTGCCTGTCTCAGCCTCCCAAAGTGCTGGGATTACAGGCATGAGCCACGGCACCCAGCCGAAACAGGTTTCTTATTCTTTCTAGCAACAGCCCCCTCTGGGTCATCTTCAGGAGGTTTCTGTTCTCTTTAGAACTCGACCTCAAATGGTCCCATCACATCCCAAGTCTCCTTAGCCCAACTGCTGCTGCAGTAGCCCAGGAAGTGGGGTGCTGAGATGAAGGTCCACATCAGCAGGTCTAGGGTGGGGCCCTGGAACTGGCATTTCTAACAACTTTCCAGCAGGTGCTGATGCTGCTGGTCTGGGGATCACTGGAGAACCAAGGCTTGAAGGCATCACATTTTATATTTTGCTCTAGGAGGTTTCTGCTTAGTTCTTTCCCTTCCACATTTGCATAAAACAGAAGCCCCGCAACTCAAGATCTTGTTAGGCTCCGGGGAGGAAGACAGGGAAGGGATTCCTTCCCTTCCTCAATTCCCAGACTCTCTGTCCTGCTCCGTCTGGAATATGAGTGTCCCCTGTTCTGTCTCTGCAAACAAGTCAGGGCCTTTGCTGGGGCCAACAGCGGCACAAGAATTAAAGTTCCAAGTTAGCTTTGGATCAGCTTCAATCGACTTTTCACTCTGGAGCTGTTCTAGGTGAGGCATTGGCATTTTATTCAGTGTGTTAAATGGCTGACAGGCGTTGAGTCTGGTGAAAGATTGCCCTGAAATACCTCCCCCAAGGCCTGGTGTGGGAAAAAAACAATGAAAGCCTGGCCTCTCCTCTGGAGCAGAGAGCCTTTCATCCAGGCCCCAGAGCCGTCCACTGAAGCTCTGTCCAAGGTAGCCAGTCACAGGGTCCTCTGCTTCAGAGCTCCCAACTCTGGCTCCCTCTGACCCGCCCCTTTCTCTTTCCCCCAAACTCTAGCTTTGGAGACCTTTGCCTACTGTTGGCCTCTGGTTTTGGCAAACAGTTTCCAACATCTCAGATTTCCCCATTTTGCATACAAATCACTTCCCTTCTGTGGGCCTCAGTTTCCCCATTGTTCAAATTAAAGAAACGACGAGAGCAATGATTTTGTAACCATGTTCCACAGAGCTCGAGGATTCGCTGAAGGCCAAGGTATACCCCGAGTTCGCCACCTCTGCTTTATTAGAGTGGCCTCGTTTGTATTTGATATCTGAAAGTTCTATGTAAACATCTCATTTGGAAGACAAAGTTCTGCTGGGAAAAAGTAGTTTGAAAATCAACAGCCGAGATGATCTTGAACATTTTCCCCTCTGGTTTCATCTTCTATATTCTATAGTTCTTTGACCATTACATCTTTTCCAAGTCCCAGCCTGCATGTGACACCAGTCTTGAATTTTCCTTGAGCTTCGGGAACTCAATGCTCAGGAACACGTGTTTCTTCCATGACAGGGATAGGGAAGTGGCCGGCTGGCTGAGTGGTGACTGCTGCAGCCCTCTGGCCAGTCTAGGAGGGCATGGCACCTCAAGCAAGGTGGAGTGGGGCTGAGTAGGGGAAGGAGGTTGCAGTGGTCACTACGAGCCTTCCCGGGTGTGTTTGTGTGTGTGTTTTCCACTTGGAAGACGCCACTCGCGAAGGAGTAGGAACCCGTTTCACAGTTCCCGTGACAGTCCTGTGTGAAACACCAGTGAACTCCCAGGCCCAGTGGAGGGTGAGAAGGGAGGTCAAGTGGGAGCCACCCACAAGGATGTTTTCTGGCTATCAAATTGGCCTCATGGGCCTGAAGTTGACACGCATCAGCACGATGAATGAGCCTGTAATACCTGATCATCAGGACAGAAGCAAGCGTACCTGGGATGCTTCTCTGGGAGCCAGAAGGGTGGTAGGAAGAGGGTAAAATATGCTGAGTTGAAAGAGCTGAGGCTGTTTCTTCTGGAGAAGAGCAGGCAGAAGGCTAGGGTGGGTAGATGGGGGACTATCTATTTATCAGGCTCAGGTACACGTATCCTTATTGCAGGAAATGTGATGTACAGGCTTCTGGATTTATGGTGAGGGAGAGGCAGGACTCTAAATCATTTTGCAGACCCTGAAGCCCTGACTGGAGGCTTCTCAGGCTGGAATACATTACGTGGTGGGAGCTCCTCCAGTGATGCACCATCAATTGTGGCACCGTGGCTACTCCAGAGGCACTGGAAATATTCAAAGGGAGGAAGGAAGATGGGAACTGTGCAATGGCATTGTATGTGTAAAGGGAGTGCCCAGGCGCCTGGGGTGAGGGTGAAGCTCCCACTGGAGTTCCCATAGTTCTAGCTGTGCTCTGGCACTTAGCTCTGTAAATCTGCCCAAAGACCCTGACAATGGAGTAGAAAGGGCTTTGCAGTCAGACGAATTTGGGCTTGAATCCTAGCTCTACCGATTGGCAGCTAGATGACCTTGAGCAACTTATTTGAAAACTCCTAAATCTGTTTCCTTAGCTGTAAAGTAGGAATAATACCCAAGGATGTCACTGTTTGTTTTTCATCCACAAGCCAATCTCCCTTTCTCCTTTGATTTTGTTTAGATGAAACATTAGGGAAGAAGGGCCTCTCCTGCAGCTTCAGCAAGATAAACTGCAATTGGTCGGATCTAAGCATAATCATGTCATTTTCTTTTAGCTATTGATTGGTTTAGGAGAGGGCATGTGACCTAATTTTAACCAATGAGATTTTTCTTTCTGATTATGTCAAAGAGTCCTACTGTCATCTTCCTACCATAATGTGGTTGGGTGAGGATGTGATGCTTGGAGCTGTGGCAGCCATTCTGCAACCATGAGGTGATAAGCCTAAGAAAGAAAAGAAAACACAGCAAGGATGGTGATGCAGAAAAATAGAAAGAAGCTGGGTCCTTGAGCATTTTGCTGAGCTGTGGAACTGTAATAGGTTCATTGCTCAATGTGCGAGGCAAGTCAATATGCTGAGACACTAGGTTGCAGCAGAGAAAGAAGTTTAATCATAGGGTTGCTGGATGAAGAGAAGGGAAGGAACTTCAAATTTATCTCCCTGAGGAGTTTGGGGCTAGGGTTTTTAAAGGATTTTGGAGTGGGCCAAACTGTGGAGATCATTGATTGGCTGAAGAGTACAGGGTGAAGTCATGGGACAGGGAGATGAAGAAGCTGAATTCTCTTACTGATCCCATTCCTCTGTGAAAAACATCCGAAGTGATCCTTAAACAAAAGCCTTATGATTTTTTTTTGGAGGGGCTGTTAACAGCTTTATTGAGACATATACTACACATACCATACAATTCACCCACTTAAAGTATTCCTAGTATCTTCACAGAGTTGTGCAAACTTCACTACAACCAATTTTAGAATATTTTCTTCACCTCAAAAAGAAACTCTCTATGCTTTTGCTATCACTCCCCAACCCCCTACATCCCCAAGCTTTAAGCAACTATTAATCCACTTTTTCTCTCTATGGATATACCTATTTTGGGCATTTCACATAAGGAATCTAATATATAGTATTTATGACTGGCTTCTTTTACTTAGCATAATGTTTTCAAGGTTTATCCATGTTATAGTGTGTATCACTACTTTATTCATTTTTATGGCTGAATATTATTTCATTGTATGGATACGCTACATAAAATTTTAGGATTTGGCCAGGCGCGGTGGCTCACACCTGTAATCACAGCACTTTGGGAAGCTGAGGGGGGTGGCTCATTTGATGTCAGGAGTGTGAGACCAGCCTGGCCAACATGGTGAAACCCTGTCTCTACTAAAAATACAAAAATTAGCCAGGTGTGGTGGGGGGCGCCTGTAATCACAGCTGCTTGGGACACTGAGTCAGAAGAATTGCTTGAACTCGGGAGGTGGAGGTTGCAGTGAACCGAGATTGTGCCACTGCACTCCAGCCTGGCGACAAGAGTGAAACTCTGTTTCAAAAAAAAAAAAAAAAAAAAAAGCTTTAGGATTCTGATGTCAGAGACCCTGTCTGTAGGAGCAATGGGGATGCAAACAGTCAGGATCTAGCACTACCCGACCTTTAGCAACAAGGAAATGGGCCAAAGTGCAGCCTGATTAGTGCTGAATTCTAACTATATTTCTGTCCAGAACCTGGCATGCAACCCTTGTCAACCCTCTGGGGGCAGTGTCAGTTGCTGCATGGACTCTGGGATTGTGTGTGTCTCCAGACTTCTTATCTGAGAGTGAAGAATCTTTATTCCATATGACATTGGCAATTGGGTATTCTATTACCTGCACCTAAAGCATTCCTCCCTGTAGTACAGCAATCTCACAGGGTTGTTGTGAGCATTAAATAAGATAACAAATATGCAAAAATTCCAAGCCTAGAACTTGGTTTAGTGTAGGTGTTCAATACATGCTAATTTCTTCCCTCTCCTCTATTTTAATCTCTTAACTTTAGATTTTTTTTTCTACTCTACCAATCTCACAAGATTGTGCTAAAAAACAAATGAGATCATTGTTATTTATTGCCACAATAATGCTGTATAACAAATAGCCACAAAACCTGAGTGGCATACCACAATAAACATTTCTTTAGCCCACAAACGGGAGACACTGTTAACTTGGGTAACAAAGGGGCGGATGCACAGGCCTGTGAATCTACTAAAAGCCATTGAATTAAATGGGTGAATTTTATGGTATGTGAATTACATCTCAACAAAGCAGCTAAAAAGAAAAAAGGAGGATGATTGCAGAGTAGGGAGAGGAGGGAAGAATTACTAGGTGGTGGTGATACCATCCATTTCCTATAAGGCTGCTGGGGCCCCACCATGCAGGACCATTCACAACCCTGCTTGTTAAGGTTTTCTCTGCCATCCTTGAAAATAATCACTGGTTGCATAACGGACGCTGTGGGGAAAGATTCTGCTGACAGCAATTCACTCTGTGGCTGACTTTGCTGGAGCACAAGCCCCCCTATCCCACAGGCCCAGACAGGAGCTGGGATCTCAGTGCATACAAGGAAGTAGAGGCACCAGATGAGAGATGGGAGCATCATCCCAGGGCTGCCTCCTTGGCCAGAAGGTGGCATTAAGGGCTTCTGTCCTGCTGTGTATTTGGAGAGGCAGAGGCATGTGGGAAAGGGAGAAAACGTTAGCGTGTAACAGCGACGAAGGGGCTGGAGCATGGGACCTACAGGGAAGGATGAAATGAACCGGGGTTATGAGCTAGAGAAGAGCAGCAGGAGGGGCAGCTTCACAACTATCTTCAGGAAACAGTTGGGTTATTAACCCTGCAAGGGGTTATTAACCCCTGTATTAACCCCTGCGAGGGGGCCATGACAGGCTGCTCTCCAGTCTCTTTGAACTTGAGTCTGTAGGAAGCAAAGTTGCTTTCACAGGAAACTGGCAACTGCCTGCAGCATCTGAGCAAGTGCATAGGTCCCTGGTCCATGTGGACATGAGGTTCCCCCTTCCTGTGGAACATTCCCACCCCCACTGAAAAGCAGCCACAGACAGCATGTAAATGAATGGGCACGGCTGTGTTCTAATAACACTTTATTTATAAAAACAGGCCCAGTGAGTGTAGACTCCTGGAGAAAGACAGAACTGGGAGGGCCTCAGAGACCAGTGATTTCTAGTCCTGCCCGCATAGTAAAGTCACCTGAGAAACTTTCAAACACTACTCATATCTGGGCCCCATGTAGAAAGTCAATTTCGTCAACTTTCTGGGGGCCAGACCTGAGCATGGGCATTTATTCAAGTTCCCCAGGTGGTTCTGACATGCAGTCTGGGGTTAAGAGCCACTGCCCCAATCCAACTGCATCATTTTATACATCAGGAAACTGAAGCCCGGAGACAGCCAGCAGGTCTACGTTCTCACAGTCAGTCTGATTTAAGGGACTCCTCCAAAGCGGCAAAGTGCCATTTGGGTCAGATCTCTGACCTGAGCTGCCTCTCGGGGCTGTCATCTTTCTCTCCTCCTGACAGGTGGATTTTCCCATGTAAACTTTAGATCGGCTGATCTAGGAACTAAAATGAAAATGGGGCACCCTGAGGGCCCACTGGGGAACAGAGTTTGGGAGGGAACATGGAGGGCAGTTTTTTGTAAAGGTAGGTTTTAGAGAGAAACAACTCAATTTACTAGCTTTGTGTGACATGGGCAGGTTACCTAATCCAAGACTTTGTTTCTCCATTTATAGAATAGGGCTGATCATAATGTCTGCCTTGTGAGGGTGTTGTAAGGATTAGAAGGGATTATCCATGTAAAATGTTTAGCATTGTTCCTGGCACACAACCAGTGCTAATAAACAGCAGCATTTACAAGTATTTTTATTTTATCTTGGTATTAGATCCATTGCTGTGGGTGCACTTAGCAAAGTCAGAAGCAGGAATCCAGCTGGAAGGTAGAGGGCAGTCCAGGCATGGGCAATGGCCAAAGAAAGGCCATGAGGTGGGGGTGAGCAAGCTGTGATGAGACCCAGCTCTGGGGACCCATTCAAATGTCACCAAACCTGCCTGTGTCCAGACTGCCACCTGGAACCTGCTCCTCCTCTCCCCCAGCTCCTGAGCTTCTGTTCCGCTGTGGTCAGGGTCTTTACTGCACCCTGCTGGATTGGGGAAACTGCCCCTGGTGAGGGCAGGTGTGCCCTGTGTGTTGGTAGCCTCCAAGGGGCCTTGTACCTTGTGTGGCACACAATAGGCGTAGCCAGTCAGGCTGAAAAGGAAGCAGCTTCTAATAAACATTAAAATAAGAGAGGCACAGCAGGGAAAAGCCGTGGCAGGATGGCCAAGGAGCTTCTGTTTGATGCCATGGATGGGAAGCAAGAAGCTGTACTTGGCTGGAGCTCCCCACATACCCCTAAGGGATCCCGTGCTGCTCTGACCCAGGGCCATTTGCTCTGGGAAGAGAGTGCCTTGGTCCTGGGCTGGGACAGGAAGTCTTCCCTGACCATCACTGTCACATCCTTCCATGTGCTCTGCCTGTGGCAGCCCCTCCTCCAGAACTTGCAATCCACCCCGTCCTCACTACTAAGGCCGGGCCCAAGGTGTCTGAGCCCACCGCAGCCACCCTACCTGACACCTGGGCAGCCTTCCCATAGACCAGGGAGCGGGGGAGGAGGGAACAGACCAGTGGGCCTGGAAGGGGACTGGATAGTTGATTTGGGGTCCACCCAATTAGGCTCCAGGTGACTGTAACTGCATTCAGAATCCTGATGCCACCCCACCCAGCTGTACTAACATAGCAGCTTCATGTTCACAGGTGCTTTACTATGACTTGCCTCACTCCAGCTTCTCAAGCCATGCTCTTAACCTCTGATTCCTTTCTCAGGGTTCAGAGCTCTTTTTCAGGTGGGTCACGTGGGGGAAAAGGTTGATTTTTCAGCTGGTGCTGATGTGCCCTAGCCTACCATGCCTGACTGACCCCATTGAGATAAAGGGGACAGAAGACCCCCTGTCTCCTGGCTCCCCAAGACTTGCCTGGAGATTGGGGTGTCATGGGGAATGGCACAGAGAGCACACTAGGTGTTTTTTCTCCAGGCTTGCAAACCCAGCCTGAGGAGGCACCCCATTATCTTAGCTTCAAGGATTGTCCTTCTCCTCCAAGGACCCTCTCCCTGGGCCAGTGTCCCTTCCTCCTTAGTCCCACCAGGGTGGGGAGGCTGCAGAATCCATCTGGAGACAGAGAGCGTGGGATTGATGTGCTGTTTTTAGTTCCGTGGGAGAACTCACAACAAGGGGTTGTAATTTCTCTGCAATTTCCCTCCTTGATGAGGCATCTGTTGGCATGCTGTGAGGAAATTCTCATTGGAGCAGACAGGGCATGTCTATGGAGCCACTTGCATGGGTGTGACAAGGCCTCATCACTGTTTCTGCCTCTCAGAGGTCCTGGGCTTTGCTCTGAATCAGAGGAGCTCTGAATCTGGGGCCCATCCTCCTTCTCTACCTCTGTCCTCCTCCTCTACCACCTTCTCTGCCTCCCTCTCTGGCTGACTCACGTGTGGCCTCCAGCTGTCTCTGCCATGGGTGGCACCTGCCTGTGCCTCGGTCACCTCTTGTTTCTTGCACTGTCCGAGCCTGATGGTCCCCTCAATGGTGACCTCTGAGCTCCAGCACATCCACAAGCTCAGCTGATACTTTCACCCATACCATGTCCTGGAGCTCCAGGGATGAACAGGGAGCCCCCTCTCCACCCACTCACCCTCAGGTAGCTGAGTGCGTGGGTGGGAGGGAAGGCAAGACACTAACGTGAGATGCCTGTGCTTATGGTACAATGCACAGTGGAGTTTGGGAGCTCAAAGAGGGAAACCCTCATCTCTTGGAAGCACAGTGATTGGCAGAGCTGGAGGTCAGACAATTGGAGTTTTGCCCCAGGCCAGCCAAATACACAGGCTATGACATTTGGGGGAAATGATTAGATGTGTGATGGGGAATGTTACACTTACAGGATAGGACATGCTCTCCCATGCAGCAAGTACTTGGCAGGAATGGTTATTTACAATAGGAAGCTCCCAGGCAGTGCACATAATACTATCCTGCTCCTCACTGTCTCCCCAGCCACAACCAGGCACTCCCAAGCTGATGTGAGGACACCTTTATCATCCTTGTCCTGGGCATCAAGGTTGCCAGTTATAGTTCTGGTGGCTCAGGGTGCACCAGGGAGCAGGTGATGCTTTGCCTGAGTCTTGACGGGTGGGCAGGGGTTTGCCAGGCCGGTGAGGGGATGGAGTGCAGGGAGTTCCAGGTAGGAGATGGAGGTGGGCATCATATTCGGAAGAATATACATGGTTTGACCTGGCGAGGGCTTGAGGGTAAAAGGGCAGGAGATGTCCTCAAATGCTGGGTGGAGCCAAACCCTGAAGGCCTTGAATGTCACACTGAGAGGTCATGGCTTTTCACCTCCAGGCCTTTGCTCATCATAGACTGTGCCCCCTCAGGAGCAGGACAAGCAAGGTGCAAAATTTACGGAGACACTCACTCTCAGCCGCACCAGTGCACGCCGGCACCTGATAATGACTGCCTCTTACTTTGCATCCTAGGTCCCCTTCCTAGGTCACCCTACACACAGCCCTGCTTAGGAGGGAGGTCACTTTCTATTCATCTTTGAGCTTGGGGCCTGAAACAGTGCCCAACCAGAGTAGAAGAGCAAGAAATGCATATAGAATTAATGAACAAATGAATGAACAAATGTTGTTCTCTCTGTCTGGAACATGTTTACCTTCCTCTTGGCCAGTCAAGGTGTGTCATTTTTATTTTTTTCAGCTTACCTCTTCCCTGCAGCCCCTCCAGGCAATGCTGTCCTGAGTCCTCAGCTCTTATGTTGTATATATGTCCTATTTCCCAGCTGGGTGGTGTTCTTCTGTCTGGAAAAGGACATAGACACGGCAGGTGCCCTGTAACATCTGGGCATCATTGAATGTATCCCAGGCCCTTGGGTGGGAAATATCAGCCACTGCTGCTGCTGCTGCTGCTGTGAGTTTTGGTTTCCCTCCCTCCACTTCCTTCCCTCTCCTTCATGGGGCTAGACTCAGAGAAGGCTCCTGGAGGTGGTTGCTCCGAACTGCCCCTCCATAGATACAACGCATTTGCTCAGTTCGAGTTCCTGATTCCCCGCTTTGGATGGCTCCCAGCCAGCTGATGCTCATGCAGTCTGGAAGGCTCCAGAGGTCTTCTGACTTGCCCACACCCCCCATCCTCTGGATGGCACTCCTCATCAGGTATGAAACCCATGGGGTCTTGGCTAAAAAAACGAGGTTAAACACAACCACTCCTGGGCTGCAGAAACTCCGCGGATAATCAATGATGTTCCCCAGAAGGGGTCAAGACATTCACATTTTTTTGTCCAGTAGAGAATCTGTTTCAATCAGGAAGCTACTCTTGCTGTCCAGAAAAGTGGGTCAGTCCCCTCCCATGCTCACCTCGTGAGAACAGGGAGGACAGGCACAGGGCATCACGAGGGTAGCATAATTACAGAGTGCCCAGGTCAGGGCGCTGAGCCTGTACATCAAGAAGGAGGCCATGCCCTGGCATCCATCAGAACCTGGCATCCTGCATACTACATCTCAGAGGGCAAAAACCTCCTTGGGAATGCTGTTGCTAAAGAACCAGTGCTCAGGTGAACTTGAAGCAACTGCAGACAGAGAATGAGCAACAAAGGGCTTAGAGACAGTGCCAAACCCCAAACCTCCTGTGCAGCACAAAGACCTTGGGGCCCCCTGAGGAGGTCCAAGCTCCCCCAAATAAGGAACAAACTCCAATTCAATCAGGGAAAGAGCCGGGCATCCTCTTAGCCATTCCTGATAATAGGTTTTTTACTAGCTGTGTGCTTGTTAATTATGCCTGAGTTGCGAGAAAGTTTAAGGCATTGGTAACGAGCTCTGCCATTTACTAGCTCTGTTCCCTCAGGCAAGTTATCTAGCCTTGCTGGACCTTAGTTTCTCCATCTGTAAAACGGAGATAATTCTATCTACCCTCAAAAGGTCTAATGATTCAATAAGTCCTTAGAAAGTCTGGTACATCATGGATACTATTAAGTATTGCCTGATAAGGATAATCAAAATATTTTCCATATAGTTTAATTACATTGAGCTCTCATTTTGAGTCTGTGAGGGCTAAGTCATTAAAACATCAATCATTTGTACTTTTCATAAAGTCCAAGTTCAAGAACATGTGTAGGTATTACAGCTACCTGAGCCAGGGGGCCGAACCTGACTTCCGAGAGCCAAGATTCTGACGCCCAGGAGGGCAGAACTAGGTAAGCAGCATCCCCTCCTTCCTGGATCCTATTCTTTTAAGGTCCATCCCTGCCAGGTTGGCTTCAAGTCACACAGACACAGCCCACCTTGGCTTTTTCGACCAGGCTGAAGGCAGCCCTAGTGTGTATGGAGTTGGTTCCTTCCGGTGGGTTCGTGGTCTCACCAACTTCAAGAATGGAGCCGCGGACCTTCGCATGAGTGTTACAGCTCTTAAAGATGGCACGGACCCAAAGAGCCAGCAGCAGCAAGATTTATTGTGAAAAGCGAAAGAACAAACCTTCAACAAAGCTTCCACAGCATGGAACAGGGACCCAGGAGGTTGCCTGCTGGCTGAGGTTGGGTGGGCTTAGGGGGTGGCTAGCTTTATTCCCTGATTGTCCCCTCCCATGTTCTGTTTCTGTCCTATCAGAGTGCCCTTTTTTCAATCCTCCCCGCAATTGGCTACTTTTAGAATCCTGCTGATTGGTGCATTTTACAGAGCGTTGATTGGCTCGTTTTACAGAGCGCTGATTGGTGCGTTTTTCTTTTTTGAGATGGAGTCTTGCTCTGTCGCCCAAGCTGGAGTGCAGTGGCGCAATCTCGGCTCACTGCAAGCTCCGCCCACCGGGTTCAGGCCATTCTCCTGCCTCAGCTTCCCAAGTAGCTGGGACTACAGGCGCCCGCCACCACACCCGGCTAATTTTTTGTATTTTTAGTAGAGATGGGGTTTCACCGTGTTAGCCAGGATGGTCTCGATCTCCTGACCTCGTGATCCGCCCGCCTTGGCCTCCCAAAGTGCTGGGATTACAGGCGTAAGCCACCACGCCCAGCCGATTGGTGCATTTTACAATCCTCTTGTCAGACAGGAAAGTTCCCCAAGTCCCCACTCTACCCAGGAAGTCCAGCTGGCCTCACCTCCAACTAGACTCGGCCATGGGGACCCTGCTTCACCGTTCTGAGTGTCTGCTTCTCTTGGCAATGGCAGAGAAGTTTATCTCCCCTGCTGTGGGGCAGTGGCAAAGTGGAAAGGAGAAAAGTTCAGTATCTGGCAGGAATGTGTTTCTTTAACATTTCTCTGTGCGAGAATGGGAAGAGTGGCACTGGGATGGGTTTTCTGCCATCACTGCTCAGGGCCTAAGAGCCAGGGTGGAGTAGCCCCCTTGCCCTGCTGAACTCGTGAAGGTGAGAATACCATAGGCAGCCCTTGGAGGGTAGGGGAGGGAATGAATAGGGTGGTTTGAAGAAAACTGATCTTGGCTCTGCTGACCCTCGCCTGGGCCAGGCAGCTCCCTAAGGGCATTGTATTATAACTGTTGGTAGAGGGGCTGCAAGATTGTGGGAGCATCCCCACAACCGGGTTGTGCCCAGAAAGTGTTCCCGCCCCTGCCCTTTTTTTTTTGAGACTGGGTTTTCTTATGTTGACCAGGCTGGTCTCGAACTCCTGAGTTCAAGCAATCCTCCTGCCTCAGCCTCTCGAGTAGCTGGGACCACAAGCACGCGCCACCACGCCCAGCTTTCCCACCCTCTTCTTCATCATTTTGCTTTCCTGGCCACAGAAGCAGAGGCTTTTGTGCCTGGCATCTCACCCCTTGGCCCTCTTCCAACCCCAGCTCCAGCAGCTGCCCCTCACTGTGCCTTTTCGGCTCAGTCCTTGCACAGGTGCAACCTGGAATGGCAATGGCGGGAGGAGGAAGTGGGAGGCAAGAGGAGGGGGATAGGTGCTTCAGCCTCCCGGCCTTCAGGGAGTCGATTCTGATGTGTACTCCACACCGCTTCAGGCCCACTTAAGAACCACCTCATTAACCCTCCTCACCCCCTGATTGCTTCACATGGTTGCCTCCCCGGTTAACCACCTGCATCCAAGTTGTCTCTGGCCCTGCTTCCTGGGAGCTGCACGCTCAGATCGCACGTGACTGCCATCCCCGTGAAGGTGATTGGCCAAAAGATAGAGTGTGTCCCCAAGCAGGGCCAATCAGAATCCTCCCCTGGGCAAACACGAGCTGCTCACGTGTAGGCACTGCGTAGGCTGCAGGTGGTGCCCAGCACGTGGAAGCGGCGGGATCTGGGATGTGAGAGAGAGGGCGAGACCCCTGCGAAAGAAGAGACAAGCAGACGTGAGAGACTAGGGGAGCGTCTTGGGGTTTTGAGCACCTGAGGCTCTGGTTGCTTCCTTGGGTCTATGAGTCCCAGCTTTCCCAGCCACATGAGGTCTAACTTTCCTGGAGCTGGGGTGAACTGGCTCTGTTACTCAACTGAGAGAGACCAGGCTAAGAGGATGTTTCTGTCTTCCCTCAGGAACGAGGGGTCCCTGAGGGAAAGGACTGGGGCTCCTTCATCTCTGTGATCCTAGTGCAGTGTCTGAAGGCATCAGGTACGTCATGATGAATGAATGAGTGAATGAATGAGTGAATGAGTGAGTGAATGAATGAATGAAGAAAGGAGCGAACGAGAGAGTGGGTACATTGTGGATATCTTTTGCTGTTCTTCCTCCCTGCCATCACTGGGCCTACCTTCAACAGTCTCTTTTCCTATGAAATAGAAACAAGATAATTAGGCTTTAGATGGTGAAGTATTGCAGAGTAAAAAAACTTGAGTAAATGATTCAGGTCCCTTGTATAGGAGAAAAGGTGGGGCAAAGGAAAGATGGAAACCGAAGGCACCTAGTGATGCACACTCTTGATACATTACTTTAAAAATTTTTGACAACCCCACGGAGTAGGCATTATCCCTGTCTTACAACTGTGTAAACTGAGGCACAGGGTGGTCAAGTACTTTGCCTGAGGTTTTACAGATAGTAATCAGTAGACCCGGGGTTTGATTTAAGCCGTTCTCATAGGTGTTAGGTGGTATCTTGTAGCTTTAATTTGTATTTTCCTAATGTCTAATATTGTTGGGCATCTTCTATGTCCTTATTTGCCATCTTGTTTAGTTCATACTTGTTCAAATTTTTTGTCCATTAAAAAAATTGGTTGTTTACTGGTTGTTTATTGGCTTGCTATTGAGTTTTGAGAGCGTTTTTTTTTTAATTTTCTGGATACTAGCCCTTTATCAGATATACGTTTTGCAGATAGTTTCTTTTTTTTATATTTTTTTAAATTATACTTTAAGTTCTAGGGTACATGTGCACAATGTGCAGGTTTGTTATGTACGTATACATGTGCCATGTTGGTGTGCTGCACCCATTAACTCGTCATTTACATTAGGTATATCTCCTAATGCTATCCATCCCCCCTCCCCCGACCCCATGACAGGCCCCGGTGTGTGATGTTCCCCACCCTGTGTCCAAGTGTTCTCATTGTTCAGTTCCCACCTATGAGTGAGAACATGCTGTGTTTGGTTTTCTGTCCTTGCGATAGTTTGCTGAGAATGATGGTTTCCAACTTCATCCATGTCCCTACAAAGGACATGAACTCATCCTTTTTTATGGCTGCATAGTATTCCATGGTGTATATGTGCCACATTTTCTTAATCCAGTCTATCATTGATGGACATTTGGGTTGGTTCCAAGTATTTGCTATTGTGTATAGTGCCACAATAAACATACGTGTGCATGTGTCTTTATAGTAGCATGATTTATAATCTTTGTGTATATACCCAGTAATGGGATTGCTGGGTCAAATGGTATCTCTAGTTTTTGCAGATAGTTTCTATCAGCCTATAGCCTGTCTTCATTTTCTTAATGGTATGTCTTGAAGAGCAGAGTTTTTTTTATCTTGATATAGTACAGCTTATCCATTTTTACTTTTATGCTTGGTCCTTTTTGTGCCCTGGACCTGGAATCTAAACCCAGATCTGTGAATGTCAAAGTCCTTCTTCTTATTACATCTCACGTAGTGTTGCCTCAAAGTCTATTCTAAGGCCAGTGCCAGGCACCATGAGAGTCACCCAAGGAGCTTGCTTACAACTGTGGAGAATCTGCTTCTATGGGCCTGGGTAGACCTGGGAACCTGCATATTTTATAAACTCTCCAGGTGACTGGGTGATCAGCCAGGTGTGGAAGGGGCTCTAATGCAGGGACCCTGACACCCCTGAGCCTTTAGACCTGGTGGCTTCTTGGCCTCTTTTCTCCTCTCCTCTCCTCTTCTTTTTCTCTCTCTCTCTCTCTCTTTTTTTTTTTTTTTTTTTTTTTTTGGTGGAGTCTTACGCTGTCACTTAGGCTGGAGTGCAGTGGCACAATCTTGGCTCACTACAACCTCCACCTCCTGGGTTCAAATGATTCTCCTGCCTCAGCCTCCCGAGTAGCTGGGATTATAGGTGCGCGCCACCATGCCTAGCTAATTTTTGTATTTTTAGTAGAGACAGGGCTTCACCATGTTGGCCAGGCTGGTCTCGAACTCCTGACCTCAGGTGATCAACCCGCCTCGGCCTCCCAAAGTGCTGGGATTACAGGCATGAGCCACCACACCTGGCCTTCTTGGCCTCTTTCTAGCTGCCTCCTGTAAAGTGCTGGTGATGGTGACATTTCTAGGTCTGTTTCTTATGTGTCCCTTCCCCTGCCTTCCTCCCCAGCTCCTTAACACAGTATTTGACATTCAGCAGATGATGAAGACATGCTTTTAAACCAAGCGACCCACTCTCTACCAGTAGAGGCGAGTGGCAACCTCACTCCACAGCTGGCACTAAGCGAGCCAAGTAGAAACCATATAATTACTGACCTTGGTTTAGAGTGCTCTCCTTTAGTTCCTTCCCTCCCCAGCCGTGGGCGGCCACTTAAGCCGGTTGCCTCACCCTCTAGCCCAGCCAGAGGCTTCCACACCTAGAGAAACTGTTATTTTAAAGTAGCTCCAAGATTGGCTCACGGAGTTGAAAAGGACACTTGTGTAAGTGAACAGCTATGGCAGCCTCCAAATAAAAGAAAACTGGATTAATTTGGAACAGGGGATGGGAGTGGGGAAACGAAGTGTGTTTTGGCTTAGGAGCAAAACAAGCATCTAGAGGTTTAGCAACTTTCTCTGGCATGTCAGATTGTGACATGTCATAGGGTCAGAAGTGAATGCTGTAGGGTGACAAAGATGGTCACCTGCTTTCCCCCAGCCAACTGGGACTTCTTGGGGAACAGAAATGATTTCCTTCCCCCACCCTCAAAGGGAGCAGCAATAAGAAAACTAAGATCTATTGCCAGGGTTTTATATTTTATTTAATCCTTCCAATAACCCATAGGGTCAATATTATTCACATTTTTCACATGGGCAAACTGAGGCTCAAGAGGTTATAAGGATAGCCAGGATATGCTGGAGCCAGGATTAGGAATGTAGCAGAGGCTGAGCCATGTAATAAAGAGGCCTCAAAATACACTGCTTTAAAGAATGTTGACAGTTATTTCTTCCTCATAAAACATCTCCAGGTCAGTAGGAAAGCTCTGCTCCAGGCAGTCACTCAGGGACTCAGGATCCTGCTATCTGTGGCTTCACAGGTTTCTGGAATTGGGGTCAGCAATCTTTTTCTGTAAAGAGCTCGATTGTATTTTAGACCATGCAAGGCACGTGGTCTCTGTCCTGACTACTCAACTCTTGTATTGTGACAGTAGACATAGACAATATGTAAATCAGTGGGCATGGCTGTGTTTTAGTAAAACTTTATTTACAAAACAGGCTGGATTTTTGGTTCAAGGGCTGTAGTTTGTTGATCACCATCCTAGGAGGGTGGTTCTCAAAGTATACTCCCAGGGAACTAGCAGTATCAGGGTCATTTGGAAACAGAAGTACAGCTTTTGCGGTGAGTGCCAAGGCCCTACTGAATTAGAAACTCTGGGGTTGGGACCCAGTGATGTGTGTTTTAACAAGTCCTCCAGGTGATTCGTATGCATGCTGCGGTTTAAGCATCATCACTGTTATGGGGTCCTACCTCTCAGCCCTGGCTGCATCTGAGCATCACCTGGAGAGTTTTAAAAACTCCTAATGCCTGGGCCATATCTCAGGGCCATTACCTTGGACTCTCTAGGGGTGGAACCAGAACTTTTAAAGCTGCCTGCTGATTCCAGAGTATTGCAAAGCACTGGCCTAGAGCGGCGTTATCACTGGTGTGGTTAAAGCTGGCTTGCCACCTGGCTTCCAACCACACCTGCTTCTCCAAGGTGGGGCACCCAGTGCTCCCTGAGATCTGGGTTTTGGTTTTTTCCTTTGTCCTATCCCCCAACCCCCTGGCACCCTGGCTCCTTCCTAGAAACTCTCTATGGGGCTTTGTGATTAGGGAGGACCTCAGTTCAAGTTTGTCAACTAACCGATCTCTGGTTAGGAGTGTTGCAATACGGGGTTGGGGGGATGACCTGTGCGGGTGAAGGAGTGTGGAATGGAAACAAACCAGGAGAGGAAGGAGGGAGGGGACAGAGCAGGAGGAGGACTTGGATGTAGAAGCACCTGGCACAGTGGCATGTCACCAAGATTCAGTGAAGGCCAGTTCCCTTCCCCGCCTTTTCCTCCCCAGCTCCATCCAGCACCTGGTAGGTGCACAGCCTTCTGGAGGGAAGGGAATGCTATAGGGTGACAAAGAGCAGTCCCTGGGTGCTGCCAAGCCTTCCTTTATACAGTGAGCACTTAGCGTTGACAGTGTGCCTGGTAGTACAGTTGTCCCCCAGTATCTGTGGGAGATTTGTTCCAGGACCCCCATGAATACCAAGATTCTCAGGTGCTCAGATCCTTTAGTATTCTAAATGCTTTATATGAATTAATGCATTAAATCCTCACAGCAACCGGGAGGGTAGGCACTGTAATTACCTCCATTTTACAGATGGGGAGCTGAGGCTTTAAGAAGTTAGGTGACCTGCACATGGTTACACAGGTGGTAAGTGGTTGAGCCAGGAGTCAATTCAGGAAGTTTGGCTCCAGAGCTAAGCTCTGCTGTCTTCTCTTCATAACTGCAATGGTGGCCTTTTTTTTTTTTTTTTTTTTTTTTTTGAGACGGAGTTTTGCTCTTGTTGCCCAGGCTGGAGTGCAATGGTGCAATCTTGGCTCACCACTACCTCTGCCTCCCGGGTTCAAGCGATTCTCTTGCCTCAGCCTTCCAAATAGCTGAGATTACAGGCATGCGCCACCACGCCTGGCTAATTTTTTTTTTTTTTTAGCAGAGACGAGGGTTCTCTGTGTTGGTCAGGCTGGTCTCGAACTCCCGACCTCAGGTGATCCACCCTCCTTGGCCTCCCAAAGTGCAGGAATTACAGGCGTGAGCCACTGCGCCTGGGCCCGTGGTGGTATTTTTATTCCCATTTTACAGATGAAGAAACTGGGGCCATGCAACTTGCTCAAGATCACAGAGCCAGGAGGTGGTAGAGGCAGGACTCGAACCCAGATCTCCCTGCCAGCAAAGCCCTTGGATTTGCCAGCTTGCCCCACAGCCTGCATCAGGTTCCCCTCCCTTCTTCCCTCCATCTGTCCACCCAGCTTATTCTGGGTTTGCACGTGTGGGGCTGACTCATAGGGAGCAGGAGAGCCCATCCTCTGGAGTGAGAAGGCAGATTTTATTTCTGTTCAGAGCATCTTGGGCTGGTGCTGGGAGAGCTGCCAAGCCCAGCTGACACATTTTCTTCTGCCAAGGCTACTGAGTGGGTGGGCAGCCCCGGGGGGCTCTAGAGGGCCCCAAGACACCAACTCCTCAGATGTGTCTCAGCACCTAGGGGAAAGATGGGGATACCTGCTTCCTCTGCCTTAACTGCCATCTCTTTCCCTAAGGGAGTTTCCTGGGGCTAAAATTCCAGTTGCTAAAATCTTCCTCATTTCTCTGCTCTGGTCCAAAGCTGAAAGGAACCCCAAGAAGCCATTTGTTCAAGGCTTTTGCTTTTAGGCAATCAAGGTAGTCCTGGTTGTTCCCATTTTACAGATCACAGAAGCCAGCTGTGGTTCTCACTGGCTTGTCCTCCTTCCCGTTAGCCCTATGATACTTCCCAAATGTCCTTTTTCCTATCAGATCATTTCTCCTATCAAATGAGCATAAGAATCCCAGGGCACTTGCTAACTTTCTGGATCACCTGTCCGCTGCTGTAAAAAATTAGGAAGCAGTCGGTTAGAGCTGGGGCCCTTTACCAGATGCAGTGGCTAATGCCTGTAATCTCAGCACTTTGGGAGGCTGAGGCAGGTGGATCACCTGAGATCAGGAGTTGAAGACCAGCATGGCCAACATGGTGAAACCCCATCTCTACTAAAAATACAAAAATTAGCTGGGCGTGGTGGTGGGCGCCTGTAATCCCAGCTACTCGGGAGGTTGAACCTGGGAGGCAGAGGTTGCAGTGAGCCGAGATTGCACCACTGCACTCCAGCCTGGGTGACAGAGTGACACTCCATCTCAAAAAAACAAACAAAAAAGAGCTGGGGCCCTTTAACAAGCACTGCAGGTGACTCTCATCATCTGGGATAATGGGAAATACTGGCACACAGAGACCTCCCAATGGGTGCCAGGATTCTCCCCCACTTAAGGTTCAAACCCCGACTGACTGTCTTAGCTGTGCCCCAAATTGTTACAACTGCCCCCCGCCTCTTGGATGAGTCTTGTGGGTTTGCCGGCTCATTCCCCTCCAAGCCCAACTCAGGCCATTAGAATGGGGCTGCAGGATGGTGTGGTGTGCCTGCATCCCCCACCCCACCCACCCCTGCCCCTGGCCAGTCCTGCCTTATCCTCCAGGGGCTGTTTGCTGAGGATCATGGAGACCTTGGCAGTGTCCTCAGATCTATGGCTATCTTAGCCTCACTTCAGCCAGACACGCCAACACTCAGGGCTCCCCATTTGCCAAGGGTCCCTAGCCCATTTGTTTCTGTTCTATGTAAGAAAAGCCAAAAGTCACTGGAGAGGACATTTGTTTCAAGTTGTGGTGGTTTCATAATATGTCTAAAAATTCGTTGAGCCTCCTTCCTGAAGTGGCAGAGCCTAATTTTCCTCTCCTTGAGTGTGGGTGGACTCAGTGACTTCCTTCTAATGCAGAAAGTAGAAACAAGAATATGTGACTTCTGAGACTAGGTAATGAAAGGCACCATGGCTTCCTTCTCTTTCCTGGATTACTCACTGCAAGGGAAAGCCAGCTGCCATGTTGTGAGGACACTCAAGCAACCCAGTGGAGAGATGGTGAGAAACTGAAGCCTCCTGCCAATAGCTAGCAAAGAAACGAGGCCTTTTGCCAAGAGCTGTGGGAATAAGCCATCTTGGAAGCCGAACCACCATCCCCAGTCAAGCCTTCGGAGAACTGCAGCCCAGGCCAATGTTTTGTCTGCAACCTCATTAGAGACCCTAAGCCAGAACCACCCAGCCAAGCTGCTGCTGAATCTCTGATTCACAGAAGCTGTGAGATACTAAACGTTTGTTGTTTTAAGCTACTAAGTTGTGGGTCATTTTTTAAATGCAATGATGGGAAACTAATACACAAGTCAGGAGCCACAGCCTTCATCGACAAGCTGAGTGGGTAGGTGAGAGGACTGAGGCAGGCGTGGTACCCAAAGACCTGGACAGAGAACCAGCATTTGTCAGGATGGAGTGCAGTGCTTGGATGTGTGTCCTTCCATTTACTGTTAGTGCTATTACCCCTGTTGTCCATGTCAGGAAACTGGGGCTCAGATAGGTCAGGTCATGTGACCAAGGTTGCAGAGCTCATCGGTGGCACAGCCAGGATTTGAGCCCAGTCTGTCTGCTCTGGTCCATACTTTCCCACTCTTGATGCTGTCTTGATGATCTCAGTGATTTTTGGGCAAGACCCACCGCTTTTGGGGCTTGCATAGAACTTGAGCCGACTGCATGCATATTGATGAGAAGGTTGAACCTGGTGCTCTCTGGCCCTGGATTCTCTAAGTAAGGTGTGTGAACCCTGCTCTCATAGCCTTTGCCCTGTAGGGTGCCCCAGGGTAGGTCAGCTCTGTCTGCTAAAGATCTAGTGAGCCAAGGATGAGGATGTGACAGCTTGGCTTTAAGAGCCTCTGTGCAAACGTGTAGCTTCCTTCAGCAATACCATCTCCTGATTCTCCCTCACAGACATGTGTGCCCAGGTCTGTTTGCAATGACACCAACATCACCCCTGCCCTTGGCCTTGCCCCTCTCTTCACCTCCGTCCTGATTCCTGCTCTGTAGCCACACAGATGCCAACAGCTGGCACTTGTCCAAGAAACATGTGCTCAAGGTCAGGTGCAGTGGCTCATGCCTGTAATCCTAGCTTTTTGGGAAGCTGAGGAGGGAGGATTGCTTGAGGCCAGGAGTTCAAGACCAGCCTGGGCAACATGAGGGTCCTTGTCTCTACTAAAAAAAAAAAAAAAAAAAAACTGCGCATAGTGCCATGCCTATGGTCCTGGCTACTTGGGAGGCTGAGGCAGGAGGATTGCTTGACTTAAAGAGATTGAGGCTACTATGAACCATAATCATGCCACTACACTTCAGCCTGGGTAACAGAGCGAGACCCTGTCTCAAAAAAAAAAAAAAAAAAAAAACAAAACACAGAAAAAGAAACGTGCTTGGGGTAATGCATGTTGACTCCATCTTGTCACCCAGAGCTCAGCAGGAGGCACCTTCCTGGGAGAGTCAGATCAGGAGCGCACAGGGCTGGACACAAGCACCTGGGGCAGCCTCGGGAAGCTACTGCTCAGCGGCATCAGAAGATCCTGCCCCTCTCCCGGGGCCTGGGGCATTGCACTTGGCATCTGAAGCCCTTCCTCCACACCCCCTTCTGCAGGTGGGGGCAGAGCCCACTCTGGGATGCCTCCCTCTCCACAGCTCCATGCTTTGATGGGACACTCCCCTGCCACCTCTCTCCCAACCACAGCTTCTACCATAGCCATGGCCAACAGCCTCCATTAGCCTGTGCTTGCAGGACAGTCGAGGGGCTGCCTGGAGCCTCCTGCAACTCCACCCTCATCCTGCTCCACCCTCTCCCTGAAGAACCTCCACAGGCTCCTTGGTCCTGTTTGTGAGGAACCTGGCCCCTCATCCTGCTATTCAAGGTCCTCCAAGCTCTTTCCTGGGCCCTACACCGCACCATCCCTTTTCACAGCAGCCTCTTCCTAAGTGGTTTGAATTTTGGGTCCCCAGGCCTCCTCGAGCTGAAACCCCGTCTGTAGACACCCTGACTCCCCTCCACCCACCTCCCACACTAGAAGTAGAGGAAAGGCAGATGGATGGGGTGTCTGCCCAGCCTGAGGGGCAAGGTGTGGGGACAGGCAGGGAGGGCAGGCCCCAGGATGGACAGATGGACAAGGCATCCGGCTCTCCCTTTTCCTGAATGGCCATGGGAGGAATGAGGTTGCCACCCCATGCCTCTCACAGAGATGCTGTGAGTGTGAATGAGAACAGCTTGTGAGGGGTTCTGACAGGCATAGCCTGGTGCGGAGACCTTTTGTAACCTTCCGGACCTGGCATTGAACCAGAGGACGGATCATGTGACCCATGTTGCTCGGCCCTTTTAGCCTTCCCGGCTCATGGCTCACATCCCAAATACCCTCACGCTCTGCAGGCGCTCTTAACCTGGGGAGGGGTATGGATTTGTTTGAGGGTAGGAGATGCATTGCCTGTCTTAAATCTACAGCTGTATGCACAAATACTTTTTTATTTTTTTCTGGAGTGTTTGCCGCTTTTCAAAGGTTTTGTGAACCATAAAATGGTCTAACTAACTTGGTACCAGCTTTCCAGTCTAGGCCCACCTGGATGTTTACTCCCAGCAAATCTGGTTTCCAAGCTTAAGGGCTGTCAGCATCCATCCTGATGAAGCACTCGCCTCTTCACTTTGAAATTCTAACACCTAACCTGCTTCAGGGAGATCTGAGATCAGATCGGCACAGTGGGTACATCCTCTATCCTTCTCCTCCTAGGCTGACCTCAGTTTCCCTGCATCCAAATGGATCAGTGTCGGGTTACAGCTACACTCCAGGCTACTGGCAATGTTCCCAGTGACAGGTAAATCTCCATCCCATGCAAACATCTTGCATCTGAGCAGCCCCTTTCCAAAGATGTTTTCTTTTGTTTCAAACACGAGGGCTTCTGCCTTGTGCAGGAGTTTTAGTGTGTTTCCCAGAACAGAACTCAGCCTCCTAACCTTAAGTATAAATAGGGTTGTTCACAAGCTAATGACTCTGATCATGGCAAGATGACTTCTATCTTGATCTCACCTAAATTCCTCCTCAATCCGTCTTTAACCTGAGGTCTGAAAGCTGACCACAGCATGTTCACAAAAGCTAAGCAGCAAAGAGAAATGGCTTCCCCAAAGACTGTCCTATCCCAGTACAACTTTGTCTTCTTATTATTATTATTTTAGATGGAGTCTCGCTCTGTCACCCAGGCTGGAGTGCAGTGGCGCAATCTCAGCTCATTGCAACCTCCTCCTCCCGGGTTCAAGTAATTCTCCTGTCTCGGCCTCCTGAGTAGCTGGGATTACAGGTACCCACCACCACGCCCTGCTAATTTTTTGTATTTTTAGTAGAGACGGGGTTTCACCATGTTGGCCACACTGGTCTCGAACTCCTGACCTTGCGATGTGCCCGCCTCGGCCTCCCAAAGTGCTGGGATTACAGGCATGAGCCACTGCACCCAGCCATTTTTTTTTTCACATGTAATAAGTTCCTGAAAATGTCTAAGAATATAAATGTATCAAAGTTAGATAATAATCTTACACTATGCAAGAAGGAGGAGAGCCTGGCGGTTAAGAATGTGGACAGTGACCTACCTACACGGGCATATATCTGCCACTTCCTAGGTGTGTGGCTGAGACCTCTCTGTGCCTCAGTTTTCTGAAAGACGAAATGATTATAGAAACCACCTTCTAGGGTTCTTGTGCAAATTAAGTAATATATATATAAAGCGCTCAGAACAGGGTCGTATGCACTGAATATGTTAATAATTATTATTCTATGTTTTAAGGTGGATTCTATACTCAGCTAAAAATAATGACAACTCCCTAATTATATTTTGCTTCTAAGAACATGATCACTTATAATTTATTTCTAAGGCCTTATTTTCTGGCTGAGTGCAGTAGCTCAAGCCTGTAATCTCAGCACTTTGGGAGGCTGAGGTGGGAGGATTGCTTGAGCCCAGAAGTTTGAGACCAGCCTGGGCAAAATAGTGAGACCGCCATCTCTACAAAAAAAAAAAGTAAAAAGTTAGCCAGGTGTGGTGGCACAAGCCTGTAAGTCCCAGCTACTTGGGAGGCTGAGGTAGAAGATCACTGGAACCCAGGAGGTCAAGGCTGCGTAGGCCATGATCATGTCACATCACTCCAGCCTGGGTGACAGTGAGACCCTAAAAAAGAACAACTATTTTACCCCTCACACATGAATCCAGTCAACCAACTTGAGTTAAATGAACACTGGGCTAAAATGAAAACAACTTTCATTTTTTATTTTTATTTTTAATTAATTAATTAATTAATTTTTTGAGACAGTCTTGCTGTATTGGCCAGGCTGGAGTGCAGTGGCACGATCTCAGCTCACTGCAGCCTCTGCCTCTCAGGTTCAAGAGAATCTCCTGCCTCGGCCTCCCAAGTAACTGAGGCCACAGGTGTGCCACCATGCCCAGTTAATTTTTGCATTTTTTAGTAAAAGCCAGATTTTGCCATGTTGGCCCGGCTGGTCTCAAAACTCCTGACCTGAGGTGATCCTCCCGCCTCAGCATCCCAAAGTGCTGGGATTACAGGCATGAGCCACTGCGCCTGGCCTCATTTTAATTTTAATTATATTAACTTTGTGAGACCCTTTCTTGTTTATTACCTAGTACCTATACTTTAAATTTCCCATTTTTGCTCATTTTTACTATCAATAAACACAACAACATATTCAAACAATTGCATCAACAGGCTATACAATATGAGCCAAGTGGAATAGAGATACTTCAAAAATGGGGCTGCTGGCTGGTAGTTTATGTCACCTCATGACATCCCAACATATTTGCCAGTGGATGTGAAAAAGTCCAGATTTGGTGAAGAAAAATCAATTTAGGAATGTCAAAGTCCAAACCTATAACAGTGGTGATGGTTCAAAAGCCAAAAATCCTTGAGGCTGGGACGTATGTCTGGGTTCATGTTAATGATCTTGTTGGAAGAGCAATTTGTTACCATGAAGTAGGAGACAGATAGTCTTCACTTTGATAACAGACCCATTCCAAGACAGCTGGCTATAAAGAAACTATTCATAGTGTGAGTAACATTTTTTTTAAAATTCCATTATAAAACTAAGACGGTCTTCTAAAGGAAAATGGAGAGCTTTGAAAAGTTTTGGTGGATAGGGCCAGGTCTTTGTCATGCTGGGATTATGGTGAGAGAGATTTGAAAGCACTTTTAGTAATTGCTGTTCCTTCCTGTAGCTGAAGCTTCAAGGGGAGCTTCTTTTCTTTTTTCTTTTTTTTTAAACACAAGTTTCCACTTTTATTAGTTTTATATAATGATGCACCAAGGTTCGTCTTGGGCCTCAGAATTTAGCTAACGTATGTGTTTTCTTTTCTTTCTTTTTTTTTAAATTTTATTATTATTATACTTTAAGTTCTAGGGTACATGTGCACAACGTGCAGGTTTGTTACACATGTATACATGTGCCACGTTGGTGTGCTGCACCCATTAACTCGTCATTTAGCATTAGGTATATCTCCTAATGCTATCCTTCCCCACTCCCCCTACCCCACAACAGTCCCCGGTGTGTGATGTTCCCCTTCCTGGTCCGTGTGTTCTCATTGTTCAATTCCCACCTGTGAGTGAGAACATGCGGTGTATGGTTTTTTTGTCCTTGCGATAGTTTGCCGAGAATGATGGTTTCCAGCTTCTGGAATTACGGTGAAATTTACGGCAGACTGCCTAAGTTTACAAGGAGCAACAGATACTCCAGGCTACCTCCTCAGTGTGGCCTGATCCCTCCCCCTTTTATTCTCCTAGAGAGTGTCTCACATTATAGCTGATAACACTCACTAATGTCTCCATTTCTTTTTTCTTTTCTTTTCGTTTTTTGAAGACAGGTTTGTTTTGTTGCCTAGGCTGGAGTGCAATGGTGCAGTCATGGCTTATTGCAGCTGTAATCTCACAGGCTCAAATGATCCTCTAGCCTCAGTCTCCCAAGTACTTGGGACTGCAGGCATGAGCCACCAGGCCCAGCTAATTTATTTTTATTTTCATTTTTGTGGAGACAGGGTCCCTCTATGTTGTCCAGGTTGGTCTCCATCTCCTGGGATCAAGCAGTCCTCCTGCCTTGGCCTCCCAAAGTGTTAGGATTACAGGCGTGAGCCCCCGCACCTGGCCTTCAGTTCTTTTTCACCACATTTCATTGTGTCCTTTTGCGATTGGGGTTTAGATAGCTAGAGGTGGAGTTCTTTACTTTCCTGACAGTTAGGGTTTATGCAGTCTTGGTATGCTCCCTTCTTTGATGGCTACATTCTGGAAGCTAGGGAAGACGCGTGTAAGCCTGAGCAGTATGTCTGGCACTGAAACATCAAGAGAGCCCTGATGCCACCCGAGGCCTTCACATGTTGACGAGATGGCTATGTATACACAAGGGCTCCTGCGGCGGGCGGAGTGGGGGATGCCATCACCAGATAGAACTTCATAAGACAAAACATCAAATTCCTTCCTTCCCCTCTCTTAGTAATGGTCCGCCCTATTTAATCCTGGGATGTGAGTTCTTTTGGTGATGGGGGTTTGCTGAATTGATAGGGAATGGTGCCAGTGGTTATGTCCGAGTGGCATTGAACCATAGAAACATTTCTGAATGTTTCTTCTATTTCTATCCCCTAATCTTTTCATGCCACTAGGCATGTGAGGCCAACATGGCCTTCTAAGCTTCTACAGTCAGCCTGGCTGCCACTGTCCCTGCATGATTTTGGCGACTCTAAGGAAGTCCCAGAGACCAAGGAGAGTCCAGTCTTGTGGTCCTGGCCAGAACTGAAATTTCACCATTGACTTTGTCATCGTGCTGTGTGCTTCTCCAAACCACAAGGGTTCCTCCTGCTTCCGGGGGCCTCAGCTCTATCCTTGCAGCTCTCGTGAGCCTCAAGTTCTCATGCAGTTTTCAGATTAGGTGGTTCCAGGAACTCACACCTATCTCCTTTCTCCTGTGCCATTGTCAGAGATGACAGCAGATCATGTTCCACAGTGGGAATGGCCAGTTAACATATGCAACGCTTCCCTTTGAAAGCACCTTAAGTGGAGAATTCTAGAAAATAAACCAGGCTGGGCATGATGGCTCATGCCTATAATCCCAGCACTTTGGGAGGCCGAGGTGAGAGGCTCACGAGGTCAGGAGTTTGAGACCAGCCTGACCAACATGGTGAAACCCTGTCTCTACTAAGAATACAAAAATTAGCTGGGCATGGCGGCACACACCTGAAATCCCAGCTACTCAGGAGGCTGAGGCCGGAGAATTGCTAGAACCCGGGAGGCGAAAGTTGCAGTGAGCTGAGATCATACCACTGCACTCCAGTCTGGGTGACAGCAAGACTCCATCTCAAAAAAAAAAAAAAAAAAAAAAAAGAGAAAAAAAAGAAAACTTGCCCACTTTCATCAATCTTGGAAGCTCAGACCTTAGTAAAATTTATTTATTTCAAAGAAGGTACAATAAAATTGTTCAAGCCCACTTGGAAATCCATTGTAAGAGGTGCTGGCATTTTGAAAAATCATTTTGCTGATTGCGAGAGTAATACATGCTCATTGCAAATAATTAAGAAAATACAAAAAGGTACATAGAAATAAAATCTCCCAAGATGTTACCTCTCAGAAATAACCATTATTAGCATTTAATGTGCCACTCCTTTTTCTGTGCACAGCAATTTATAAAATTACATGGTACTTTATCTACAATTTTTCATCTTGCTTTTTTCACCTTAAACAACCAGAACATTCTTCCATGTCATCGTCTACTTTTCAAAAACACCGTTTTAATGACTACATAATATTTCATTGTCTGGTTGTACCAGGATTTATTTAGCCAGTTCTCTATTTGCAGGCTTCTAGGAGGTTTCTTATTTTTCATTATTATAAATGATGCTGCAGTGAATATTCTTGTCCAGGAAATCTTTATCTGAGTTTCTGATAATTTCCTTAGAAGAGATTCCAAGAAGGGAAATTGTGGAGTCTCAATTCTGCTGGGTGTTACCTGTCTCCTATGGATGCTCAGAAAGGCGGAGTGGCTCCTGTTACCCTGAGTGGGTAGCATTTCCTGCCACTAAGGCCTCCTAAAGGCCTAGACCACACAATTTTTATTCCTGCTGGGGAGAGATGGAAAAGGGGCCCCTGAGCCTCCCCAGACAGATCCCAGCTACTCACCTGAACCTGCTCCGTACAAAGCAGAGCATCCCCCTGCAGGACTCATTTCATAATTAACTTAGAGACTAAAGCATATTTAATTAACCATGGAAACCCTCCCAGCCATCTGCCTCTGTTTTTATTTTGAGGAAAATGGCAGATTTTTTTTTTTTTCCTTAACTCCCTCTTTTTGGGGATGGAGCTCATTTCCAGCATCTTGGTTCTTGTATAGAGCTGGGTCCTCTCCCCTGCTGATGGCCACTCCAGAGTGTCAGAGTCAGGGGTTAGCTTGAGGTGGGAGGCTGGGTGAGAGCTTGCACAAGGGCCTGGGCTTGGCCTCTAAGGCCAAGTCCCTGCCTGGGGTGAGCTCAGCCAGGCAAAGATGGCACCCATGCACTACAGTGTGGACCTTCAAGGACCTAGCCTCAGACTCTTGGCTGCTGTCCTAAACTTACAGGGCTGCAGAGAGGGGCAGAGCTCAGAGAAAGAAGCCAACACTCTCATTCCACAGGTGAGGAAACTGAGGCCCAGACAGGCTCCAGGTCAAGCCTGAGCACAGAGATTTTCAGGCCCCTTGTTTGCTTCTTTGTTGTAGCCTCAAAGGAGTGGGGACGGCTTTGATTTCACTGCACTCCAAGGTCAGGGGATTTAAACGGAGTTCTGGGGGCTGTAACAGCCCACAATGTTGGAGCACTTTGAAATGTGCAAAATGCGTTTGCAGATCACATCTCGCTGAATACTCAACCCAGGCTCCAGAGACTCCGGGGTCACGTGACATGCATATAGTCACACAGCTGGTGAGTGTTGAGGCTGCGATGGAAACGAGAAGTGCTTTGGTCTGAATTCCCAATGTAGCAGAATGGCTTTTGTTCTCACAGTATTCGTCAGAGGCCCTGGACTGGGAACTCATAGCGGAAAGGCCTGAAGGAATATTAGTCCAGTTATTTCTAGTGACATCACCTCCTCCAGGAACCTTTCCTGGGCTATCGCCCCAGGCTGAGTTGGGAGGGAGGGCTGGATCTCTGACCTTTTATCAACCCCCACACACCACAGCATTATACCCTAGGGCGCAATACTTCATGCTATACTCCAGGTTCTAGCAAAGGGTCTGGCTTATACTAGTTGATCAGTAAGTGGTATTGAATTGAATGAGATCAAATGTGGACGCCGGTGTAATTGCTTCAGCGCCTCACTTTTCCTTCCCTCAGGAGGTCATCTGAGAGCTCTCTCGGGGTGGATGTCACATGTGCTTTGGGATGGTCCCCAAGGGCTGCCATATGGACCCATCTATGTGCCAGGCTGGCCATGTGCCCCGGATCCTGGAGCTGTCAGAAGGGCTGGAGATCTGGCTCACAGACCCCGGCCAGGTAGCATCACCTTTAATAGATGTGTGGCCAGGCCTGGCAGGGGACTGGGGACATCTGCCACCCCGTGCTTTTAGTAAATCATGCCCACCCTCTGAGACTCATTTGCTCCTCTATCAGATGAAGGCAATTTGATTGGACCCTTCCAGCCCTGATGATCCATGTCCTATGACTTTATAATGTCCCCAGGCAGGGGCCAGGAGTGGCAGAGAACCAATCCTCCCTCCCAAATCAGTTTTGGGGGTTAGTCCAGGAAAGCTTTCTGGAAGAGGAGATCTTAGAAATAACTGGACTAATGTTCCATTGGACCTTTCCTCTGTGAGTTCCCAGTTCAGGACCTCTGATAGGGACCAGGGCAAAAAGACGGAGAGTCAACTCCAGCCAGAAGTCAGAAAGCTGGAGCTGCTAACCAAGCTAAAATGTATCCTGCATAGAAAAGACAGTAAAGTACCAGGTTTCCTGGAGCCACTTTAATGTTCCTGCCAGGCTGAAAATCTCTCTCCTTTTAAGATATAAAAGATTTGCTCCCTGACACTCATCTTCAATCATTTTCTGTCTCTCTTCAGCCACTACAGCCTGCATTGAAGGCGAGGGAATCCACGGTGATGAATTAGGCATCTGTAGATATTTCTCCAGAGCTGCATCTGTTAAACCCAAAGCAGGTCTTGGCTCCACTGAAATCAAATTCAACATGAAAAGCCCTCAATGTGGAGCCCTGGGGCACCCCCAGCCCAGAGCCACGCTGCAGCCTCCCCCTCATCCCCGCTCCGTGGCACATCGCACATCACCTGGGCCACCTATTCTGTAAATTACTGTAAAATTCTAGTAGAGAACTTATCTTTTTTCCTATCAAGAGAATGACCTACAGAATGAAAAAATAATTCAATGGAGGAAGATGAAAGTAAAATGCAGCTTCATTCAGGGAGCTTTTGGGAGAGAAAAATAGAAAATGCCTCTGTCATTTGCTTTTAAAAATCAAGAATGGGGAGCATGTAACTCTCTCCAGTAAATACAACTAGTAATACAAATGCTCTTTAGTTGTATGCTGTGGCCGGTTCTTGGAGAGAGGCTGAAGGGGAAGGAGGAGGAAGGGGCTCAAGAAGTAGGGCAGGGGGAGAGAAGCAGCCAGAAACAGGTGACTAGAAAGAAGGAAAAAAAAATCAAAACTCCGTAAAAGAGAGGGCATGAATGACAGTCACAAGCAAAGCAACACAAAAATACAGACAAAGAGAAGCATGCACACATCACAGCCCAGCCACTTGATAGGAGAGAGACGGAGATGGGGAGGCTAGAGGAAGAGAAGCAGACACAGAGAGGGACATGGGAGGGAGACAGGCGAAGACGGGCTCAGCAAGCAATACAGCTATTTAAAAACAACCAACACTACAATCGAGGCTTGTTTTTGTTTTTAAAGAAGCAAACATTATCAGAATTATGTTTTCCCAGCATTACTTTTTAATGTGTTTGCATTCCTGTCCAACTTTGAGAAGCTCAGGCATTCTTAAAAATCCATTCTCCTCATTTGCCACCCAGAGAACTCCTCGTTAACAGTTCCCGGCAAGGAGATCTCACACCTCGTGCTGTAACCTTTTCAGATGATGCCGCTGAAAACCTTAAAGTACTGTTGTGTTTTCACAGTGCTGTTGTGTTTTCACGTGGTCACACCTCTCTGTGCAGCTCTATGGGTGCCTTTTGCTCAACCCCATCCCGCCTTTGCAGAGACCACAGATTCAGAATCGAGGATGATCCAGCCAGGGCCAGAGCTGACCATTCCATGCTGCTTGGTGACAAGGTTTGCTGAGCAAATAAGTAATGAAAATAAGATGACAGCGGATGTGTAGAATGAATGAAAAGAAGGAGTGCCAGGCCCTCCAGCCGCATCATACCCAGTAAAAGCTTCCCAAACCTGCCAAGCATTCTCGCACCTCGCTGCCAGAAACTCCTCTTTCCTCCCCTGCCTCTGCTGTGGGAAACCCTTCCCACCCATCGTTCATCAATCAATTCATTGTATTAAGCATCTCCTCTGGGAATTTTTTTCCAACCCTCCTCCTCCCTGGGGGTTAATTGTTCTTTCATTTGGCTTCCTGTCTTGCTACCTCTGCCGTAGGTCTTAGCATATTTCATTAGAGCAAGATTTCTCAACCTTGCCCTGTTATTTTGGGCCAGATACTGCTTTGTTGGAGGGCAGGGAGGGCTGTCCTATGCACTGCAGCTTTAGCAGCATCCCTCTCCTCTGCCCACTGGATGCCAGCAGCCCCACTCCCCTGGTCGTAACTACCAAAACAATCTCCAGCCATTGCCAGATATCCCTCAAATCACACCCAAAGACACCAAGTGAGAGCAGTTGTTGGGGGTGTCAGCCTCAGAGACAGTGTGGCCTCTGGAGTCTCAGTGTTAGAACAGTGGATGGCATAGAGGAAGCACCTGGATTCTGTAGAAGAAGAATCCGGATGCTTGGACTCTGCCCGTGGGTGGGTAGATAATGAACTGGCCAGTTGCACACGAGCCATGTTGATCGTTGAAACAGGAGTGTTGGTGCATTAGGTCCAAAAGCAAATCCACCAGTCTATTGAATGATGTGTGGGAGACACAAGGAATAAGAAAGAAAGCATCTCTGTTTAAGGCTTTTGTGATCTAGTTCATCAGAAAAGGCCTGCAGCCACGGGACGCTGATGTAAGAATAACGGGCAGTTTGTAATGAGTTCTGAAGCAGTGCAGGTTCCTCTACATGGGTTTAGGTATTTAGAAAAGGGGAAGCCAGGGTGGGCTACTTTTCCTGTGGAGGGCCTAGGGGGCTCCATGGAACTTGACCAGGGCCTTTAAAGATGGGATGGACTTGAGGTTGGGGGGTGAGTGTGGTGTGGCTTACAGCAGAAAGTGTTTACTCCACGGGGCAGATCCAGCCAGGCCCATAAGTTGGGTCTTGATGCTAGGAGGCCAAGTCTCTTCAAATATGTCCTGAACAGCCTGCAGCAGGGTCGCCTGGGGTTGCTGGTCATAAATGCAGATTCCTGAACCCCCCAGGCTTAGTGACTTGCTATCCCTGGGGTGGGCCCAGGACCCTATTCTGTTTTTTTCACATGCACCGCCACCCAGCTGATTCTGATGCTCTGTGAAGTTTGAGACCCATTTCCTTGTGGTTGGTGGGGAGTGATTGAACAGTCCTGGTAATAAACTTGGCCTTCCATTGTGTGTAGCCTGTAGGGTTGACTTGGTCCAGCAGAGCAGTTAAGTACACAGGTTGTAGTGCCAGGCTGCCAGGGTGCAAATCTTGGTCCTGTCATTTCTAGCTGTGCAACCTTGGGCCAGTCACTTGAAATCTCTGTGCCTCAAACTTTTCATCCATAATATGGGGTTAACAAGTCCCTACCTCACAAGATATTTGGGAAAATTAAGTCAAACATATAAATGCTTAGCATGGAGCCTGGCAGATAGTAAACACTCACTCATAAATATAAGTCATCACCATCATCATTATTTTAGCATTTGAGGCTTGCAAAGAGTTTGACAAAGCTGAAGTCTCCTTTATTAAAAATGTGGTCTGTCATCCATGGCCCTCCTCTGCTCCCCTCAGCTTGCCTCTAGTTCCTCCAAAACCTGAAGTTTAATTGCCTGAGCCCTTCTCCAGGAGGAAGATGGACCCTGAGGTGCTCTGAGTGGAGGAGCAGTGTTGGGACGAACAAGGGAGTGTCCCTGGCAGTGTCAGGCCCCTCCCAGTCTTTGGCTCGGAGAGGAAACACTTCTTGCCTCCCCAGCCCTGGGATGGACATATTGGAGGCCCAGAACATCCTTTTGCCACTACCAGATGGCCGTGCCACTCCTCAGCAAGTCTCTCCCAGAGGGAGGCCTGAGCCAGGGCAGAAAAGAGGGAAGAGCAGAAAACAGCTCCGTCTGTGGCAGATGCCATACCCCAGTCTTCTGGTTTTTTGTTTTGTTTTTATATATTTATTTATTTTTTTTTTGAGACAGGGACTCACTCCGTCTCCCAGGCTGGAGTGCAGTGGCACGAACTCGGCTCACTGCAACTTCTGCCTCCCAGGTTCAAGTGATTCTCTCACCTCAGCCTCTTGAGTAGCTGGGACTACAGATGTGCACCACCATGCCTGGCTAATTTTTGTATTTTTAGTACAGATAGGATTTCACCATGTTGTCCAGGCTGGTCTCAAACTCCTGACCTCAAGTGACCCACCCGCCTCGGCCTCCCAAAGTGCTGGGATTACAGGCATGAGCCACCACACCCGGCCCATATCCCAGCCTTCTAAGAGTATAATGTGGTGTTCAAAACCTGGCACACATGCCTTCCTTAGAGTCTTACAATGACCCCAGGAAGTGGGTGGGGAGGCCTTGCCCACCCATTTACAAAAATAACAGCTTTTTGGAGATAAAATTTACATACCATAAAATTCATCCTTTTGAAGTATACAATTCAATGGCTTATAGTATATTCACGGAGTTGTGCAGCCGTCTCCTCTAGCCAATTTTAGAACATTTCATCACCCCCTAAAAAGAACATTTTAATCACTCCCATTTCCCCCTCCTTCCAGCCCTTGACAACCACAAATGTCTTCTCTGTCTCTATGGATTTGCCCACTCTGGACATTTCATATACAAATGGATTCATGCAATATGTGGACATTTGTGTCTGGATTCCTTCACTCAGCACAGTGTTTTCAAGGTTCATACATGTCGTACCATGTGTCGGTATTTTTGTTCCTTTTCTTTTTAGTACTTTATTCCTTTTTATGGTTAAGTAATACTCTGTTGTATGGACATATGACATTTTGTTTATCCATGCATCTGTTGATGGACATTTGGGTTCTTTAAACTTTTTGGCTATTATGGATAATGCTGCTATGAACATTCACATACAAGTTTTTATATGGATGTACATTTTCATTTGTCTTGGGTATAAACCTAGGAGTGGAATTGCTGAGTCATAAGGTAACTCTATGTTTAAACTTTTGAGGAATCACCAGATTGATTTCCATGGTGGCTGCACCATTTATAATCTCAAAAAAAGGGCATAAGCATTCCTGTTTTTTCCATGTTCTTGCCAATACTTATTACAGGTTGAGCACCCCTAATCCAAAAATCCCAAATCCCAAATGCTCTAAAATCTGAAACTTTTTGAGTGTTGACATGATGCCATCAGTGGGAAACTCCCATGTGACCGCCTGCAGTCAAAACACCGTCAAAACCTTGTTTTATGCACAAGATTATTTAAAATACTGTGGAAAATCACCTTCAGACTATTTGTATTAGGTGTGTATGAAACATAAATAAATTTCATGTTTAAACTTGGGTCCCATCCCCAAGATATCTCTTTATATATATGCAAATTTTCCAAAATCTGAAAATTTTTGGTCCCAACATTTCATGTAAGGGGTACTCAACCTGTATCTGTCCTTTTGATTACAGCCGTCCTATTGGGTGTGAATTGGTATGTCATTGTAGGTTCACTCCTTATAGATGAGGAAATTAAGGCTCAAGAGGCAAAGCAACTTGGCCAAGTACACTCAGATAGCCAGGGGCAAAGCCAGAATTCAAACCAGACACATCTCACTTCAACATCCATTTTCTTTTTTTCCTCTTACATCAGGCAGCCCTCCAGCTGAATGATTTTTGTCTGTGCCTGGCCCAGTCCCTGAGTCCAAAGTGGTTTTTAGGATTCAAATCGGTTACAGGACCGGGCCATGGTCTGCCCACCTGAAGCTGACCACCTGGTCACTGTTCACTCTCCCAGCCAGTCTGCCGGCCAAAGTCCATTGAACGCCTACTGTGTGCCGAGCTCAGGAGCTGTAAGTAGATTAAGGATGGCACAGAGCCCACTCTCAAAAATGGACTGATTGCTTTTAATGTGTCTCATCAAATGAAAGATGAAATTTTAGACTCTAGATTTACACGGTGCCAGAAAAGTGCAGAAAGCTGACCTGGGAGGAGAAGTGAAAAAGAAGAATGGCAAGGGACCCCTGGCTGGAGAGTTGAAGGGCGATGGCCTGAGCCAGTTTCAGAAAGATTTGGTGCCAATGCTGAGGGCCATGGCCAGGAAGAAGAGGACCACGTTAGAGAGGTAGGTTGGAACTGCTTTCAGGGATGGGGTTTAACAAGAAACTGAGGAGCAATTAAGAGGGAAAAATAAAGGAGTCAGAAGGAGGAGGGGAGAAAGAACAAGGGCTAATCTGTGTAATTATACAAATATACAGCTTCCATTTAGCAGGCCTCTCTGAGGGGCAGGATCTGTGCTGAGCGCTTTGCATACCCTGCAAGGTACATTGTTAATATTCTTATTTTATAGACAGGAAACTGAGGCTCAGAGATATTAAGTGCTTTCGCCAAGGAATACAGTTGGTAACATTCAATCAGACTTTAAATCCTATTCTCTTAACCACTCGAACGTCTACTGAGTGAGTAACCAAGGGATGCTTATGAGGGAACGTGCCGTCAGGGGTGCTGGAAATAGGAACCAGGCTCAGCTTTCCCTCTGGAAGGCTGGTATTTTTGGAAATAGAAATGCTTTGGAGCTAATGGTTTTTCCTGTAATGGTTTCAGCCTGTTTGGGGTTTTCACGCTTCAGTTTACAGTCTGAGCCACTGGTGTGTACTCATTTATTCCTTTTTACAGGAAAAAAAAAACCCCAATGAATTTTTAATCAAATTGAGCTTGACTATTTGACCAGTGAATCAGAACGTCTTCCAAGTCTTAGGAAGGAGGTGGAAGTGAAGATGGAAAATGTATACCCATCTCTCTTCAAGAAGGTAGAGTGAGGGAGGCCCCTCCTGGGGGTTCTGGGACAAAAGGAGTGGAAATTAATCCCACAGGCTGTCTGCAGCAGGATCACCAAGCGCTCTAGGTCATTGCGTCTCTCAGGGGATAGCAACTGGTCAAGATTCTGCTGGTACATCAAACATTCAGCTGCATGATGATGGTCTAGACCAGGGCAGCACATTTTTCTATAAAGAGCCAGATAATTGTAGGCTTTGCAGGACACCTATGGTCCCCATCACACATTCGTGTCTTCCTCCTTCCCCTTCCTCATTTCCTTCTCTTTCCTCTTCTTCCAGAAGCATTTAAAAATGCAAAAAAAAAAAATTAAAAAAATTCTTAGCTGGAGGGCTATACAGAAAACAGACTATGGGTCAGATTTGCCTGATGGCCATAATTGGCCAACCCCTGGTCGAGATATCTTTTGGAAACTAACTTGGATGAATTGCTTAACTTTCTGGAGCATTATATAATGTATCTATTGAACACCTACTGTACACATAGCTTCATACCAGTTGCAATAGAAAGAACACAAAGATAAATGAATGAAGAAGCTTTGCTGTAGCTGCTGTGGGTGTAATGTAGGGGAAAAAGCAGCAGACCTAGAGCCAGAAGACTTGGATACCAAGCCTACTTCAGTCCCTGAAGAGCCTGCAGAGCCACATCTGTAAATGGGGAAAATAATGCATCCTTTGCCTGATTAAATAAGCTCAGGAGTAAAGTCATTTTGAAAAGCACTACATAATAGGAGCTATATTTAGAGAGTTGAGGTTACACATGCCTATGAATAGTTGACTCACAATATAAAGACTGTATAAAGCTATGATGTCAGAGGTGTTAAGAGAGAAAAGAGATTGACACACTGTCATATAGGACTCCCTATGCCAGGTACTCTCACCTGTGTTAGCCTGTGAGTGATTTAGGCAGTGTACCCATTAGAATTGGGTTTGGCTGCTTCCTACAGGAAGCCCAAAGTAAAAATGGTCTAACCAAGACAAAAATATAACTCTTAGCCTGGGCAATAAAGTGAGACCTTGTCACTATTTTTAAAAATTTTAAAAATAGGCATGGTAGTGCACACCTGTGGTCCCAGCTACTCAGTAGGCTGAGGCAGGAAGATGGCCTGAATCCAGGAGTTCAAGGCCACAGTGAGCTTATAATTGTGCCACTGCACTCCAGCCTGGGTGACAGAGTGAGACTCTGTCTCAAAAAAGAAAGAAAGAGAGAAAGAGAGAGAGGGAGAGAGAGAGGGAGGGAGGGGAGGGGGAGGGGAGGGGAGGGAAAGGGATGCTGTCATTTGAAGTGGAGGTTTGCAGTCCAGAACGTGGAGAGCATCCCCACAGTGTCAGGAACCCAGGGTCCTTCTCCTTTGCTCCATTATCCTTGCATGTAACTCCCATTCAACAAAGACATCTCATAGGCCAAAATGGCTGCTTGACCTCCAGCCATTACATCTGCATTCCAGGCATGTGAAAGGAGGAAGGAACAAAGAAGAAAGGGCTAAAGGACATATGCTAGGAGCCTTTCACAAAAATGTACTGGAAGCTGGCTCCAAATACTGCTCCTTATATCTAATTTGCTATACTTAGCAACAAAAGAGACTGTGAAAACCAGTCTTTATTGTGGGTGGCCATGTGCCCAGGTAAAACTACAAGGTTTTGTTTTTAAAGAGGAGGATAATCAACCCTGGGATAAGCAACTAGCTATGGCTATCATAGGTAACAAGTTCATAGAAAGACAAAGTCAGGGAAGGCTTTATTAAGAGAGTGAGACAGCATGGCTTGAGGAAATGAGTTGGAGGTCTGGAGGGAGATAGTGGGCAAACTAGCCTAGTCTAGACTACTCTTGTAGAGGAGGTTTCAGGTTTTAATGCTGGAAAAGATACTAATTAAAATAATACTATAACCAGTTGGGTACCCTACCACCTTGGGTGATGCACCACCCCTTGATGACTTTGTAACTCCTCAGAAGCTCCTCCCCTCCTCCCCCTCCTCTTCCCCTTCCTTCAATATGTCACCCACACAGCCTTCTGCTAGGGCTGCCACTTCCCAGGAGGTGGTCCTCAGGTCTTCCTGAGTGGGTCCCTCAATGCAGCTCAAGCCCATCCACCTTCCCCTGCATCTCCCAGTCCTTGGAGAGACTTGTATCTTTGCTGCACTAAACTCTACAAGTGAGGATTGTTTCCTGCTCAGTACTCTCTTTCTCTCAGCTGCAGACACAGGCTGCTCCAGTTCTCTTGACTTGAGACTCTTTGGGAGGTGACTGGTTGGGCCCTAGTTTCTGTGTTCTCCCAGCTCTGCGGGTTGCAGGTCAGGTTCTTCCCTATATCTCTCATTCCAGCTCCATGACGGCATCCGGCCAGTGGAACACCCACAGTTAGCTTGGGGAGATGGAGATGGGGAGGCCCTGGGTCATCCCAGGCCTCACTACTAGCTGAGAAGTCTAAAAATCCCCACCTCCCTCTAATCACCTCGATGAACCTCTAGCCTTCTCTTTGGCATGGGCTAAGGTGTAATGGGGCAGGGGATGCAGAACCAGTGAGGGACCATTCTCAGCAAGTCCCAACTGGATGGTCTGGCATCTCCCTTCACAGTGTGTGGGCAATTCACACCTGAAGTTCTCAGCCTTGGGACCTCAGAGGAGATTCTAAAACAACAGGGCAAGCCCCTGGTGAATGTCCTCTTAAATATATTCCATTTATTGACTTCTAACTATGTGTCAGGCACAACTAACCCACTAGCAATGAAGTCTTTACAGGTAAAGAGACTGATGATGGTGGAAAGGCAGGTGAGGACTGGACGATTCCAGAAAGAAGTCATGAGAAATGAGGCCAGGAAAGAGAGGTGGAGGCAGATGGCAGAGGCTTTAGTGTGGGACTGAGAAGCTCTGACCTTCTCCTGTAAGTGCAGGGAACCATCGAAGGATTCTAAGCATATGTGACGTGGTCTCAGTTGTGGTTTTGGAAACTTTATCTCCAAGTAGAGTGTGGGAAGGATTGGAAAGAGAGGGCCAAATGTCTTTCCATTAGAGCGTGAGTCCTGGGAAGCAGTGGAGGGGGACTGGGTATGGGGAAAAGAATGAGGAGGAAGAGGAAGGAAGATATAGGGGAAGAGAGGAAGGAGAGGGGACAAGAGAAGGAAAGGGGAAGAAGAAGGGGGAGGAAGAAAGCGAGGAGATTTGATTTCTCTCTTCCTCTCTTTCCTCTCCTCTCCTCTCCTCTTTTTTTCTTTTCTTCTCTTTTTTTTTTTTTTGAGACAGAGTTTCACTCTATCGCCCAGGCTGGAAAGCAATGGTGTGATCTCAGCTCACTGCAACCTCTGCCTCCTGGGTTCAAGCAATTCTCCTGCCTCAGCCTCCTGAGTAGCTGGGACTACAGGCATGCACTACCATACCCAGCTTTTTTTTTTTTTTTTTGTATTTTTCATAGAGACAGGGTTTCACCATTTTGGCCAGGCTGGTCTTGAACTCCTGACCTCAGGTGATCCGCCCACCTTGGCCTCCCAAAGTGCTAAGATTACAGGCATAAGCCACTGCGCCCAGCCTGGTCCCCCTATTTCATTTGCTCAACAGAAACATACAATTTGTGAGCACCCATCACATGTGAGAGGGGCTTGGACAAACAAGGTGGACCATCATGGTCCTTGTGAGAGCTCATAACGAGGAAGGGAAGAGGGAAGAGGATGCCAATTGATGTGTACAGGGTCCTCTGGAGCTGACAAATGGCCTTGACAAATACTATCTCCCTCCATCCCCGCACCCGTTCTGTAAAATAAGCAGGACAGACATGCTTATGCTCATTTCATAAATGAGAGAACTCAGCACTGGTTAACTTACTCAGGGTTCTACAGCTGGGAGAAGGCGGAGCTGGGATTCAAATCCAGTGCTGTTTCTGCTACATCAAGTACACACAGGAAAGGTACCCAGAGCTCAAGGGGAAGGTAGAATTTGGCAGAGTGATTAAGGGCTGGATTCCGGAGTCCGACTGTCTGGCTCCAAAGCCTGTCTCCATCTCGCTGTGTGTGAACCGTAGATGAGTTTCTTAACTCTCTATGCTTTAGCCCCTTCACCTGTAACATGTGAAGAATGGTGCCCACCTCCTAGGGTTGCATGAGGCTCACATGAGCTATAGTTCAGGCCTGGCCCAAAGTAAGCACTCTGAAAGGGATTCTGCCATTACCATTACATTTTGAGGTGGGTGGGTACAGGGAGGTGGTCCAGGCAGAAGCAATGAGCCATCTCAAGGGGAAGTGCAGGGACCCAGGCCACTGTCAGGACCTCCTTTCTGGGCCCAGACCCCCTAGATGCCCTGGACCTAGTCTTTTGCTTCCTCTCCTGTATCCTTGCCCATCGTCCTCTTCCTCTCCCTTTCTTTGTTCCATCCATTTTCCCTTTCTTCCCTGCTGATCCTTGCTCAGTTCTGTTGAGCCCTGGAGGCTGAAGACTGTGCTAACACTTCCCCACCACCCCCATGTGACTATGGGCCAAGAACCAGCCTTCCAAATTGCTTTGACATCCACCGAGGAGCATGTTCCAGGAATATCAGCTGTTCAGCAGGTCTGCTAAAGGGCATGGTCAGAGCACCTGGCTTTTCCTGTGGGGAGAGGCTTCTGCAGGCAAACGCCTCTCCCTCCTCACTGCCCCTTAGTCTGCATGGTCTCTTTTTTATTAAAGGAGACGGGGAGAGAGGCTGAGAGAGAGGGAGGGAAATATTAGAAATATTGTCACAACCTGCTCCCCGGCTTCACAGAAGGTAATCAGGAAAGAGACGAGAAGAGAACTGGGCTCTGTGGTTATCACAGCTATTAGTAGGAGATTATTTGTTCATCAGCCTGTAAAAAGTTCCCAGCTTTGGCAAAGGTAATTACCAGCCTAGGTGGCTGGGCCAGGTCGGGACATGGGGGGAGGTGAAGCTGTCATTTCCAATTCACCAGCCTCCATTTGCTGTTTGGTCAAGAGGTTCAAATGAAAAGGTTAATTAAGAATCAGAGGATTTGCTCATCAGGTTAAGTCATGTATACACAGCACAAAGGGCATGTCTATACATGATAACTGCTTTTAAAGAAACCAATTCAATTCAGCATGCATTTGTTGACACACTCACCTCCCCCCCCCCAACACACTTACAACCTCTCGGGGTTAGGTGTGTGCTAGCCTCTTTGTTTGTTACAGGGGATATGATAGCCGGTGAGGTATGGGTGCTTGCTTGGGATATATGGCTCCCTCTGCAATGGAGATCAGCCCACAAATGTGGGGGCTCCAGTCAAACTAGCTACTTGCCTACTGTGTGTCCCTTGGGCAAATAACTCTCTGTCTTGGAGGAGGTTAGAGTAGATCTGCAATTCCTAGTCATAATAGTCTGCGGATTGGGGAAAAGGAGATGCAATAGAACCATTTTGGACAACTTTTAAAAATATACTCCCTACAGGAATTCTGATAGTTGCCCTTCTCCCAATTTCATCCAAGTCTCTTGGAACATGTAGTGGATGCTGTAGAATGTCAACCTGGTCCCTCCTTCAGGATTGAGGTCCTCACTTCTCCAGTTGTAGCTAGGAGTATTGATAGATGATGTCTCTCAGCTAGGTCCCTCTCTAGGAATTGCCTCAGCCAAGGAGAGCCAAGGTCACTTCCTTGGGGCAGCCTGCATCAAACTGTGGATGTGGGGGTGTAAATACCCATTCCTTTTGCTTCAGGACAGGACAACTTAGAAGGCCATCCTAGCTCCAGAACTCCCGGTAGGCTTGGCTGGGACCCTTCATCCCAGCTCAGTTTCTCTCTCTGCCTAATCCCATTTCCTTCCCTCTCCTCCACACCCCCTTCCCTCTCCTCCCCACTCCCCACCCCAAGTTGTTGATGCCAAAAGCAACCTCAATAAATTTCCTGCATGAAAATATCCATTTCAGAGTCTGTTTCCCAGGAAACCCAACCCAAGGCAGCACACACAAAAAATTGAGACTCACCAGATCCAATGATCGGCAGGAGCCGTTCATCCATTCAGCAAACGAGTGTTTGGCACCTATGTTAACTCTAGCCCTAGAAGACGTCCTGGGTGAGGAAAGATTCCAAGTGGGCCTCAAAGAGTGGGCAGAGTGTGGAAGGAGGAGGAGAGGCAATGAATTTAGTGGAATCATTGTGTGTTTTGGAGTGCACACATGGAGTGACCAACTAGATGTCTGAAATTATCCTGGAGTGCCGAATTACTAATTCCAGCTCTGGAGTGACCCTATCTGACCTTTAGTGGGTGCAGGATTATTGCCTGTGGAAAATTCTGTCTTGCTTCTGCCATGTGTTATGTCCCAATGGCAACCTGTCCTCACACCCTACCTTTAAAGAGGTGATCTGTCTCCATCTCACAGCCAACATCAACAAGGGAAAGCTCCTACCTCCATGGTATTATTTGCAGCCTTTGTTCTGAACCTATCAATTGCTTCACCCTCTTGGAATCTTCTCTGAATTGTCCCTGAGGCCTCAGCTGCCAGCCTCTTGCCCTACCCCCTGACCAGGGCCTTGCAGGCTCTCCTTGACCCTGATGACTGATGTTTCCCTCCCAACCCTCAGCCTTTGACTCCCCACTCATTTATAATCCAGACACATTCTTCATCACATCTGTCTTCTGCCATGCCAGGGGTCTCCCCAGCCCAGCCTGTCCCAGGCTTTACCTCAGCACTGCCCCAGATGGTCAGGTGCTCTGCTGGCCTATAAGCCCTGTGACCTCAGACTGACTGTGTAGTGTTTAGAGGGGGATCTGGAGCTCTAAAAGGAGTTGGGGATTGTGACTATGACTGGGGCACATGACTGAGATGGTCCTCTTATTCTAATAACAGCAGGAAATGCTGTTAGGTCACCTCCTTTCCAGGGTTCTGCATCTTTACTCCCACCTGGCATAGTTTGGCTTCTGGCTTCCAGTCCAGTATCCCCAGGAAACAGGCAGACTTGAGCAGAGCTGAATCCTCAGTGAGGCACTGGAGACTTTGTCTTAAAGGAAATCAGGAAGGAGAGACACAAAATAGAAAACAGCCTGGGAAGAAGGGGTTCTGTCCATGGTTCTGAAAAAACAATCCCAGGAATACTGTGATTACTTGCTGACCTTCCACCTGAGGCTCAGCGCTCAGCTGTACATTGTGAGGAGCCCAAAGGACATGGGATCCCAGTTCCTGCCATAAAAGGTCCTTTAGGCAAGTTGGACACAATAAAACACCTACATGAGAACACACAGGAATAATTCTGAGCAGTCCAAATAATGATGGGTCTCAGAAAACTGCACATAGGAGAGTTCTGGCTGCCTTGATAAAGGGGACCTTGAGGCAAACCCCATTTTAGGCTCTAGGCCCTTTGAAGAAAAAACCACTTTGTAATGAAATGTTCTTTCTTTAGTCACCATACCATTCCCTGCAGTATTTAAAACCTAAAGGTCTTGGATATAAAACTAGTTTATCTAAATGCAGCAGTGCAGCAGTTTAAATTTAGGTGCTAATGCTATGTTTGAAATGTAAGCATACCATTGGCTTTTAGTTATGTCTTTAAAAAAGGATTGGTGAGTCATTTTTGTCTGGGTGCCCCAGCTCCAGGCCATATGGCCACGGTCTCTCAACCCTTGCTTGTCATAGTCACACAGAGCTGACCCTATAAGCAAGAGGCTCCAGAGCCTCACTTTCCAGGGCAGCCTGAGGCCCTGGGACATGTACACAGCAGCGTGTCTGCCACACCCACTGCTGATGGGAGTGCGCTCCCTCCCCAGGCGCTGCTCTGCCCTCAGCATTGTGAGGATCTTAGTATGCAGAGACAACGCATGGCCTCCCTGCTCTGCTCCCAGCAGGTGCCCTCCCTTGCCTTGCATGAGGAAAGGCTGCAACTTTGAGCTCCCTCTTTAGCTAGGGAGCCTCCCTTGCCTCCCTCACTGGGTCTCGGGAGGAAAGAGCTTGCGTACATCTTCATCCAGCCTCTGTATCTTTGTGGAGGTCTTCTCATTCACAGACAAAAGGAACTGCTTTAGGTCTATCTTCGGAATTGGAAAAATTAATATTCATAAGACAAATACCCTGATCCCTGACTAACCTGATGTCTGAGGGGCAGATCACACATCTATTGACCTCAGTTTCTCCTTTAAAACAAGAGGAGCTGACTGGATGATCAAACAGGTTTCTGCTGATTCATCCTAACAGTCTCTGAATCAGAAGGAGTGGGATGAGTCCTTCTTTACCTTAGATAAATATGTACCCTATCCATCCACCCCACTCCCTGAAGTCTTACCTCCCTGAGAGCCAATACTCAGGGAATTCTGTGTCCATGAGAACACTTCTTTTTTTTCTCTCATCTGGGACTGTTGCTCTCTATTCCATTTGATTTCCTACCTATGGAACTGGGGTAGAAAACATGGATCCTATAGGAACCCTTCACTTATCTCTCCTGAGACCTTCACTAGAGCCAGCCTCTCTTTTGAGCTCTGCTTTAATTTCTTCTAACTACCAAGAGGAAGGGCAGAGGGCATGTCCTGCTCCACAGCCTCACCACCTTGGGAAGATAAAAAAAAGAGAGAGAAGAAAGAGTCGATTTTCACTCTTCCAGACAAATCCCTCATTTCAAAGCCTTCAGGAAAAAACTGGGTGATCCCAGGAGGAGGCTGGCACACAGGGAAGGGTGTGGGAAAAAGACATAAACCTCAATTCAGTGGGTGGTAAAGATTACCCAAGAAGGTTTCTCAGAGAAGCTATCAGAACAGGCATTGAATGAGGATCTGTAGAGATATAGGGAGAAGACAGAGGCATACCTTGTAAAGACAGAAGCAGTAATTGGCAAGTCACTTGTATTTGGGGAGCGGGAGAGTTCCAGTGGGCTCCAGCGGGCTGCGGGAAGAGAGTGAGATGCATTTGGCGAGATGCAGGATTGTGGGGCGGGCAAATGATGAGGGCCTTGCATGCTGGAGTCTATTTTCTGCAATAGGAACAAGAAGGACGTTGATCCTGATGCCGGGTCTCTGTGGGTTGGGTGTTTGTCCTGGGACTCCCAAACTTGGGGAGAATGTAGGGCTCAGACATAAGTTTGTGTAAGTGTGTGAACATGCATGGGAAATGCAATGGATACAGAGTTTCATTTGAGCCATTCTGGCTTGGCCCAAATTTATTTTAATTTGGTCAAGAGTATGAAATCCACATTACTAGTCATTGGTAACTCAAGCCGAGGCTCCAGTGACTGTCAGGCTGCGTGATTGCTTCCCTGCAAGGACAAAGGAGAATGAAGCTTACATGCTTGGTAAATATTGGGTTGGGGAAGAGAAATGGATGTTTTTTCTTTTCAGTCCGTCGATTTTGTTATTCTCAATTGCTGTCCCAGTGGACCCACATGCTCCACACATCCCTGAATATTCCCTCACATCTGGCACGACTTGGGACAGGAGCGGAAATGCTGGGAGGGGTATCTGGAGAAGAGTCTGGAATGCTTCTTGGAGGTTCAGCCACGTTTGAATGTGCAGCAGGACTGCCCCAGCCACTCAGGGCCAGTCGTCTCTCACTCTTGCCTCCAGTCCCATTTTCTGCCCTACTTTCCAAATGTGATAGTTGCTTTTAGTAGAAATCCACAAGCATTTGCCTTCAGGGCCTCCAAGAGCTCCCCTTCCAGTCTCCCACTGGCTCCCCCTCCACCTGCAGCAACACAGGAGCCAAACCTGGGATTTACCACTGCTGCCCCATCTGCATCAGGGGCCAGTCTTGGGACCTGCAGGAAGGGTGGGGAAAGTATGTTGGGCCTGTTGACATAAGTGAGTCACTGTGAGTGGGAGCAGATGACAGGGAGAGTATGACTCAGTGAAGGGAATACAATGTGGGTGAACACAAGGGGTTTGCAAATTTTTACCTGCCCAAGGGAATGTGGAAACTCAGGGGACTTGGAGCAGGCCCAGCTGGTGCTTACTGATGCCATGTTGGCCCAATGGTGCTGCTGTTTTCAGGTTCTCTCTGGGTAACCAATACGTATGTGGTAGTCTTCCTGAACTTGTCTCTTCTGCATTCTTTGGTGACTCCTTGTATCTTGACCCCTTTAGTCCTTCTTTGCCAGGGAGGGTGGTGAACAGAGGCCTCAAGGAATCCTCAGCCAGTGTCCCAGCTACTGGGTCCACATCCATCAGAGGAGCATGGAGCTGGGACCAGTGTCCTGATCTGAGTTTCAGAACAGAGTCTGCCATAGGGAAAGGCTCTTAAGCATCTGACTTAGTCACTGAACATTGTGATGCTCTGCATAGGTCTCTCTTTTTGGAATATGGGAAGAGGGACAGTATCCTAGATGCTAAGGGCTGCTGCCTTCCTTCTTTGGCCAGCAGCTTGTTGGGAGCAGGAGAGTAAAGTCGTCCAAGCTATACAAGGAAGAAGAGCAGGGGAACGCTGCCATAAGCCTCATGACACTGACAGCCACCTGCCTCAGGGCCTTTGCACATGCTCTCCCCCTTCCCTTCACATGGAAGGCTCCTCCCCATACACCTGCATGGCCAGTGTCCTCACCTCCTTTAGATCTTTGTTCAGATGTCACATTTTTGGTGAGGCTTCCCTGACCACAGTATTTAAAATGCCACCCTACCCACAGCATTTTCCGTCTTCCTTTCCTGCCTTATTTTTTCCCCGTATGCCTTCTCACCAACTAATATACTGTTACTCATTTACTATGTTTATTTTATACCTCCTCCTATTAGAATGCAGGCTTCATGAGGATAGGCATTCAGTCTGTTTTGTTCATTGCAGTATCTCCAATCCCTAGAACAGTGCCTGGCACAAAGAAGGTTCCCATTAATCTTAGTTGAAGATTTAGTGAATTGACCAAGAATATTCTGAGTGCTAGTAGGAAAGGTTATATGCCCAGGCAGGGGTTACCCACTGCAGAGGATGGAGTGGACAAAGAAAGGCTCAGACTGGGATTCAGGGGAGCTGGGTGCAAGCCCCAGCCCTGGCCCTCTCCAGCAGCAAAGTGGAGATAAGCCAGCCCACTCTGCATCCTCTGGGTAATGGAAGTATCATCACTTTGTAAATTATAAAGAGTGGCCTGCATGGCCCTCATCCTGACTCCACTGTGGTGTATGGGCTGACCCTGAGTTGCAGTGTGATCAGATGGGGTTGGGGTTAGTAGAGAAGGTTTTGTGGAGGAAGTGCGTCTTGGGATGGGCTCTAGATATGCAGGGAACCGCACTGGCAAAGGCCCAGAGGAACAAGGAGTTTGGGGTGGGAGACAGGCAGGGCCTCTGTGGAGATTGTTCTGATGCTAATTCAGAGGCACCAGGGACTAGGGAAGCTTCTGCCTTTCGTGGCCACAATTCTCAGGCTAGTTGCCCGGGTGTGAGCTATAGTCTGCTCAAGCCGTGCTTGTTACAGGGAACTGCGACCCACTGCGCTGCCTTGAGTGAAGGGGTGTTGCTGATTGTCAAAGATGACAAACAGGCAGCCTCAAGGCCGTGGAATGGGCTTTTGGAGGCTGGAGCTGGATGAGCAGGGAGCCCTTCTCCTGGGCCCCGTCAGCCTACTCACTTTTCATAAGGTCCAACTTAGCGGCCACTGTCTTTTCCCCCTGTTTGGTTTCAGTCTCCATTCCTGACTATGGATTTCTATGTGTCTCAATGTTCTCAAAAGAGAAAGCATTTCTAATGCCCTTGAATCAGCCTATGGATGGGAGAGTCACTTGCTCACCTCTCATCCATCTCCTGTAGCCTAGAGGGGACAAAGTCGCATGGTACATGACGGGAGGGCTTCCCTCTTCAGTGCCAGGAGAAAGGAGTATTGATCTAGGAAGGCAGTTGGGCAGGGAAGGCCAAATGGCTAGGACTTAGGCACAAGTCCTAAGACCATCCTGCAGACCAGGGCTCCCAGTGTGGATTCAGGGAGAAAAATAAAAGGGCTGTTTCCACAGTGACCCTGCCTGAACTTTAAGTTGTATCTTATTATTTTTTTAAATTTCTTTTTCTCTTTTCCCCCCTCATTCTTGCTGTCATCTTATAAGCTTTATCTTTGTGGTCTCTTCACTCCAGCCCGACTCACCCACTCACCAGTGCCTACTTCTGCTCATGTCCTCTCCCTGGCCAACTCATTTCCATTGATTCAAATCCTATCCATCCTTCCAAGCTCAGCTCTGCCCCATCTCCTGCCGGGGTACTGCCTTGATCACTCCAGCCCTTCCATCTCCCCCCCTCTCTTCCTCTCATTCTTATGTCTCTTCCTGGTTATTTTCAGCTTCCCTGACCCTTCATGTAAACTGTCTGGTGATAGATGGCCTTTGTAGGGTCGTCTTGTATTGCCACTTATTTCTGGTAATTTTTCATGCCTTGCTTTCCAATTGGTCAACAGGACAAACATCACACACCCCCTCAGGTCTTTCCTGGGCACATAAAGATCCTTGTAGACATGCACAGCCATTTGCCTTTGGGGCAAGAAGGCTTTAACCACCATCAGGTCAAATCTGAGAGTTGAGGAAACAGAAGTCTAGAGAAGAGGAGTATTTTGCCCCAAATCACATAGTCAAGGTCAGCGTGGAATTCAGGTCTCTTGGCTCTTTACCCAGGCAAGAACTATGAGAAGCAGCTTTGGCTGTGAAGTTGGTACCATAGTGTTGCAAAGTACACCAGAGCCAAGGTGGCCAGTGGCAGTCGGGGAGGTCTCATGCATCAGAGAGTGAGTGGCTGCCCACCTGGGTGGATGCATCCCCTGCCTCCTTGCAGGGTCCCAGAGCCTCATATTCTGCCAGGAGCCATCTGTTCCTTTGGAAACTGCCATTTCCTCCACTCAGTTTCCTCTTTTAAAATGCAAACTCCTAAGAGATGGGCTCAAGGGCACAGGCTGGCAGGGAACTCTGTCTGGGTCCCCCTTGGAAGGAGAGGGGGAGTGGTGGCAGAGGAGCCTTACAACTTCACCGTGTCCACTGCCAAAGTGCGCATTTCCTGATTGGCAGGTGGACCAAATAAAAGCCAGCCCAGGGATCTGGGGAGAATAAATCTCAATGAAATGTTTTTTATCAGGGTTCTGCTGCTCTACAAGGAAGATGTGCAGGTTAAGCTGGACAAATAGCAGGCTGAGTGCGGCTGGGCTTTTCCCAGTCTCCAGGGAGGACTCAGGATTGAGCTGCAGGGCCTGGTGATCATCCCAGCCTCAAGGCAAGGGCACAGCTGCGATCCTGCTTGATCTCACCCTGCTTTGTCTGCTTCCTGTGGAGAGCTCCCGCCTTGAGAGTGGGAAGGAATGTGTGATCATCCCCATTGTACAGAAGGGAAGAGTGAGACCCACAGTGACTAAGTGAGTACAGAGAGAATGAGGAAGCAGAAAAGGAATTGGATTGGGGTCTGGGCTTCTGGTCCAGGCTCCACCCTAACCTGCTGTGTGATTTTGTCCAAACCTTTTATCTTTTCTGGGTTTCTTCACTCGAGTGTGAACTTTGGACCAGATCAGTGACTTCCAGATCACTTTTCCTAACCACAATGGGCACATGTTAGCCCTTTCCATGGGCCCGGGCCACTTCCAGGACCCCTATAGGGGCTGTAATGTAAACCCTTATTCCTTTTCCAGAAAGATCATCAGAACAGAGAACCCTGAGAATTGCATTGCAGGGATACCCTTGCCTCTGTTCTAATTTATATAACAAATTCCAAAGCCTTTGCACTCAGTGTTTGGGAATGAATGACCTACAGGGCACCTGGGTCACTGTCTTGAGAATCTTTAGCTTTCCTGGGTTCCTCACTGAGGTGCTAAGATGCCAGGATCCTGGGCATCTGAGTGTACCCTGAGGTCTGGTCTCATCCACTGAGGCAGGAGGCAGAGCTGGGCAAGCCTGGGTGTCCAGCCTCCATGCCCCTCACTGATCAGGGGTCACTGTGGCCCCTCACTCTACCTGCCGCACCTTTCCCAGCAGATGGTAGCTGGGAAAGCAAGTCAAATGCCTGTTTCCTCCGGTGGACTTGGGCAGATCATGCTCTGAGCGCTCCCCAGCCCTTTTCCCTGGATCTCTGAGCTGGCTTTCTCCAAATCTCCACCTCCCTTTCTCTGCGTCTCCGGTGAATACTGCCACACAGGGAACCTGCTTTACCAAGCCTTACTTGAGTCTTGAGATGCTAATAGATCCCCTGGGAATGGCAGGCTGGAGTGGAACCTGGCACGGGGAAGACAGACTGCGCCAGCTCCCACCAGAGCACGGAGCACTGCAGCTCTGGCACCACTGAGACCCCTGATCAAGGCCATTTCTACCTCTAGGTGGACAAGCCAGGCTCAGGGGCACTGCTGGATTGCCCTGTGGGGGCCTCTAGGCAGCACAAAGGGCCTCCCTGCTGAGCTCAGGCTGGGAATTCTTCTTGCCCTAGGCCCAAACCAGCACTGATTTCAGTCTGAATGTGGTGGCTGCAGTGCAGGGCCCACGGTTCTGATGGAACCTAAAGTCAGAGGAAGAAGGAAGAAAATGACCACTGATTAGTACCTGAGGAGGACAGTGACCTCTTCAGGGATCATCTCATTCATTCCTTACCTCCCAACGGCACTGTGCTGCAGGCAGTACTATTCTATTTACAGGCACAGAGACTGCAACTTGGGGAGGCCAAGCAGTTGGCCCAGGGTCACACAGCCGGCCAGAGGCAGAGCAGGGATTCTGCCAGGCCTATTGCTCTTCCCACTTCACCATATCAGGGGCCTAAACCACAGTAAAGAAAGCCAGGAATTGGAACCCCATTGGTTGGTGGCCCTGTTTCTTCCTTCCTTTGCCCGGGGTGGGTGACGATGCTCTTTCTGCACCACTGCACAACTTGTCATCCCTTCTAAGATCCCAGCCAGGGCAATGCCTACTGTTCAAGAAAGAGAACCCTCATCTCCCACCAGCAGAAATCAATAATTTATGAAATACTGCTTTAGCCAGAGCAGAGAGTGATATATTATAATGCTTCTTAAAATCCAATATTAACAAGTTTTCTAAAGGGTGAAAATATTTGAATTAGGGGAAATGAATGTTTTACAAGCCAGCAGGGGAGCCATCCCCTGAGATGGGCAGGGGGATGGCCGGGGAGGTGGGAGAGCATTGGACTGGGGCTGGGTCAACTGTCCTGAGGCTTTAAGCCAGAAGCCACCATAACTCAAAAGGGATGTGCCCTGGGCAGAGTGGGTGCAGAATCGCATTCCGCAAAGGGTCCCAAAGGGCGTTTATGCTAGATGCCTGCTGGGCAATGGCCAGGGGTGTTGAAGTCTAAGACTATTGTGGTCTTTAAATTCTGCCTATTGGGACCTGACCCTTTAGAGCAGCTGGTCCTCCAGGCCTTTCTGCCCAGGGGGCTGCAGGCAGGATCACCCTCTGTGCTCAACTATGTTATTGTTCAGCAAATATTTACTGTCCCCTCCTCACTGGGCAGCTTGAGTGGACTGCCTGATGATCCTACAGACCTTGGCTTGGGCTGATGGAATGTGGAGGGCAGGCATATGACTAAGGGCTCCTCCAAGCAGAGGCCTTGAGTGAGTTCACGTGGAAAGCTGGGGCTGTTGGGCTCCAGTCCTGCACTCTGAGAAGAGGCTGTGCCCCAAGGAAGTCACTGTTCCTCACACCTGGATCTGGGATGAGACACCCATGGGGCCAAGCCAGAAGCAGTCACCACAGTCAACCTGCAGGCTCATGAGCTCATTGGTGTAAGACACTGAGATGTAGAGTTGTTTGTCATAAGGCATCGTCACAGAAAAGTCAGCACACCCTCCCCTCCCCACCACCTCCATGCCCTGTTGGAAAAGCATCTCCTGGCCGCTTATCCAGGCACTTTGTTGTCAAATTCATGCCCTTTGAAGGGTACCTGCTTCCCTGCCAGACATGCTCCCCGCAAGGAGAGCAGAACAAGCTCTCCAACTTCTTCCATTGTGAAAGCCCATTTATAGCATCAAATGTTGTCTCTGCCCCCTAAGGTTCAGTGGCTATATTTTTGTAGCCATTGATTGGGACTAGGTGTGGGGAGGAGCACAGTGAGAATAAGCAACTATGAATCAGTTACCCTTTAAAATTGATTATGCTTTAATGTATATTTTATCCAACAGAACAACAGTTTACAAATATTTGAAAAGCAGTATATGAACATAAAAGGGGTAGTGTTTATTCCCTCACTGCTGCTTACCCCTCAGATTCATGGACTCCTTGCAATCTGAGACTCATAGGGACTGCGGAAAGAGAGTGAATTTTGTTGTGAGATCGATTACTTCCCAGCCACTTCAACTGCCTGGATCTCAGTTTCTTCTTCGTAAAATAAGCACATCTCTGCTGCAGGGTTTTCTGAAGTATTAAGGCGAGCACAGGAATGGTAATATACATGGCAGACATGGGATATACTCAACAATCACATCTTTTTAATTTTGTCTCTGCTGTTTATTCCGCCCTGTGACCTTGGGCCAGATTTGGAGATGACTCTCAGCCTTAGTTCCTTCCTCTGCAAAATGAGGAGCATCATACCTATCTCAGGGGAGACCCAGAGTCCTGAACGAGAATGCACCTGGAGCACAGTCAGTGCTGAAATAATTTTCTCCATCCTTTCTTCTGTGCCAGCCCCTCCTGTCTTCCATGGCCACATGCAAGGCACAGCTTCTCCAAACAGCCTTCCCAAGGCCCCCACTCCACTCAGGAGTCTCCTTTAGGACAAAGCTCCTCTCCAGAAGTGCATTCGTCACAAGCTAAACACCCAACAGCTGATATCAGTAACAGAGGACCGAATCGCAGATTAATTAAAGATCCTGTTTACTCGCCTGCCTCCACCGTGTCATGTGCTCCTTCAACCTACAGCCCTGCACCTTAATTGAAGACTGTGCAACAGTTAGGGACAGGCTGGACTTCTCAGACTTCTGCCAGTTTCACACTTGCTTGCATTACCCGGGACAGGCCGAGCCAGCCTGTCCACACCTGGTGGTTTAAAGTGTGGCCAGGCTCTCACCTAAGCCACTTGATTAGTCTTCACAGTGGAATTAGAAATAGAATCCCACCAAATCAGGGCAAAACAAGGCAGGAAGAGTATTTGGTGAAAGCAGGGACCACACCTTTTTTTAAATTTTTTTTCCAAGCACCAATCTTGTATTTTTCTTGCCAATAACTAGGCCACAGTGACCTCCTGCTTCAGTCTCCTGGGGCCAGGACAGGTACTCCTCACCTCTGAGCCCTTGACTGTATCCTCTTGCCTCAGACTTTGCTCTCTGCTCTGAGGACAGTGGCAGGATAGTAATATGAGTAATAGTTAGGGCCGGCTGAGCACTCAGTGAGGCACTTAAAGGCAGTTCTACGTGTGGTGGTGAAGAGCACCAGTTCTGAAAAGAAGTTGGGCAAGGCATGGCAGCTCGTGCTTGTAATCCCAGCATTTTGGGAGGCCAAGGCTGGAGGATTGCTTGAGCTCAGGAGTTTGAGACCAGTCTGGGCAACATGATGAGACCCCCATCTCTGAAAAAAAAAAAAAAGTAGCCAGGCATGGTGGTATTCGACTGTGGTCCCAGCTACTTGGAAGTCTGAGGTGGGAAGATTGCTTGAACCCGGGAGATCAAGGCTGCAGTGAGCTCTGTTAGCAACACTGTACTCCAGCCTGGGTGACAGAGAGAGACCCAGTTAAAAAAAAAAAAGAGAGAGAAGATGTACAAATGGCCAAAAAGTACATGCAAAAATGCTCTCAACATCACTAATCATCAGGGAAATGCAAATGAAAACTGCTGTGAGATATCACCTCACACCTGTTAGAATGGCTATTATCAAAAAGATGAAAGTTAACAAGTGCTGGAGAGGGTGTGGAGAAAAGTGAACCCAGGTAAACTGTTGGTGGGAATGTAAATTAGTACAGCCATTATGTAAAACAGTATGGAAGTTCCTCAAAAAATTAAAAATAGAACTCTCATATTACCCAGCAACCCCACTACTGGGTATATCCAAAGGAAATCAAATTAGTATGGCAGAGGTATTTACACTACCATATTTATTGCAGCACTGTTCACAATAGCCAAGATATGGAATCAACCCAAGCATCTATCCATGAATGACTGGATAAAGAAAATGTGCCTTATAGACACACTGGAACATTATACAGCCTTTTAAAAGAAGGAAATCGTGTCATTGGCAACAACATGGATAAACGTTATGTTAAGTGAAATAAACCAGGCACGGAAAGAAAATGCTGCATGATCACACTTACATGTGGAATCAAAAAACGCTAAACTCATAGAAGTAGAGAGTCGAATAGTTGTTACCAGGGACTGGCCAGGGGAGGGGGCCAGGTGCAGAGAGGTTGAGGAGATATTCGTCAAAGAATACAAAATTTCTGTAGATACGAGGAATAAATTCAAGAGATGTATTGTACCACTCGGTGATTATAGTTAATAACCATGTATTGCATTCTTGAAAATTGCTGAAAGTAGATTTTGAGTGTTCTTACCACAAAAAAGGATAAGTATGTAAAGTAATGCATATGTCGATTAGCTTAATTTAGCCATTCCACATTGTATACATATTTCAAACAACATATTTTATGAAGTAAATGCGTACACTCTTTATCTATTAGAAATATAAATTAAGAAAAAAAAAAGAAAAAGCATACCAGTTCTGATTTTGGGTCTGGTCTCTGGCTGTGTGACCCTGAACACATGACCTAATCTCTCTAAGTCTCAGTTAGGAAACTCATCAGTAAACCAGGGCTGTCACAGCACCAGCTGGCAGGGCTGTCATGGGGACTAAAGGAAGAAATGCTTGTAGAGTGATCGGTGCAGTGACTGGCGCATATGAAGAACCCAGTAAATATTAGACATCATTATATTTTGATAAGATGACTTCTGCCAGTGACCCTGTGGAATAGCTGATCTTATCCCCTGTTACAAGTGAGGAAACACAGACTGGGGAAGTTAAGTAACTTGCCCAAGGTCACACGGCAAATAAGAGGCACCGAGCCCAGCTTTCTGTGCTCACGACCATAGGAAGACACTCTGCAAATGAAGAGATAAATGCCTGCCTGGATGTCCACCACGGAGCCCTATCTGTGTTAGGACATTCTTGCATTTCCATAAAGAAATACCTGAAAAAGAAAAAACAAACAAAAAACCCCAAACAACAAAGTTTAAAAAAAGAAAAAGAAATAGGGAAAAAAGTAAAAAATGAAATACCTGGGGCTGGTTAATCTATAGAGAAAAGAGGCTTAATTGGCTCATGGTTCCACGGGCTGTACAGGAAGGATGGTGCCGGCATCTGCTCAGCTTCTGGGACGCCTCAGGAAGCTTCCAGTCATGGCAGAAGGCAAAGGGGCAGCTGGCATATTACATAGCCAGAGCAGGGGCAAGGGGCAGGGGAGATGCCACACACTTTTAAACAACCAGATCTTGAGAGAACTCAGTCACCATCACAAGGACAGCACCAAGACATTCATGAGGGATCCACTCCCATGACCCAAACACCTCTCAGCCGGCCCCACCTCCAACACTGGGGATTGCATTTCAATATGAGATTTGGAGAGAACAAACATTCAACCTATAGCACCGTCTCGTGCCTACTGCCTTAAGTGAGTGGCAGAGAGTGGACTGAGGCCTTGGGGAAAGCAGTGAAAAGACTGGGATCAGAGCCACACCCCTCAGGGTTGGCGACCTGCTCTGAGCTTCACTGACTTTAGGACTTTGCAGCCTGAGTTCCCTTGTCTGCACAGTGGGTATGAATGATGCCTACCTGTGGTAAGGATTATGTGAACGCTGGGTGCAAAGCAACACAGCACCATTGTGCAGCAATGTATATGTGGCACATAGTAGATGCTCAAGAAATGTGAACTCCTCTTTCTTCTCCCCTTAAGGTTTTGAAGTTAGGGGGTCCCTCAGTCACCCCAACACCACCCAGGCTGCCTCCTACTCTTCTGAAATGCCAGCCCATCAATCCTGGGCACTTCTGTGGGGCCTTTGGTCTGTGTTCAGCCATCCTGCAGCACAGGCTTGACTGTGGGTGACACTCTGCCAGCTCTTTTCTAGTTCTCTGGGTGACCTTGGTGAATCACTTCTTTTCTATGGGACTCAGTTTCCCTACCTGCCCATATGTGGCTTGCCCTGGTTCAAGACCCCAGACAGCACCTCTTGGATAGGCTACATCAGCATCATCTGGAAAAATATTTAAAATGCTGAATCCTTGACCCCACTTTCTGGAGGCTCTGCTTCAGTGGATGGGATGGGCCCTGGGAGCCTGTATTTTTAATGTTTGGGAACCATCAGCCTGGTCTCTCAGCTTCCCCGCAGTTCCTGTAGGCTGCTCTTCCAAGTGAGGACCATGCGGCTTGCCTTTGTGTGCTCCCCTCCCTTGAGTGGCATGCTGCACCCCAGCCTGAGCTAGGTGGTCCCAGCAAGGGATTAGGGAATGCCGATGGGAAGGAGGAATGACTTTCCAAGCCCAACAGGAATCTTGCCAGATGCCTCGGGACAATCATAAGCTCCATGGGACCTGTTCCCATTTTCTACTAGTGATGTGGCACTTCTCAGCTGGGAAAATGCACACTGATGTGGGTGGGTTTCCTTCTCCTTTTGCCCCCAGACCTGCCTCCACACACACGGGTGTGAGCATACACACACACACTAACATTCACACACACACCAAGGAATCTGATCTGAGGGATTGTCCTGGCCTTGGCCTTGTCTGCTCTTTGAAACAGCCGGATGTATGGAAGTTGCTGAGGGGTGGGGTGGGAGGAGGGGGCAGCTTAACTGTCTCATTTGTTTCAGTGGCTGTGGCTTCATCTACCCGCCAGCGGATGTTGGAGGGGGTCTCTTCCAGAGGGTAGTGGTGAAGCCCAGGAAGGTTCCAGGAACTCCCTCCATGGGAAATGCATGCTTTGTTTGTTTGTTTGTTTTGTTTGTTTGTTTTTAGAAGGAGTCTCACTCTGTCGCACAGGCTGGAGAGCAGTGGCGTGATCTCGGCTCACTGCAACCTCAGCTTCCCAGGTTCAAGCGATTCTCCTGCCTCAGCCTCCCAAGTAGCTGAGACTACAGGCAAGAGCCACCACACCCGGCTAATTTTTGTATTTTTAATAGAGATGGGGTTTTACCATGTTGGCCAGGCTGGTCTCGAACTCCTGACCTCAAGTGATCCGCCCGCCTCGGCCTCCCGAAGTGCTGAAATTATAGGCCACTGTGCCTGGCCGGTTTTTTTTCGAGAGTGGTGGGGATGGATCATCAGAGTGGGCTTTGAAATGAGGCCAGCAGCAAAGAATCAACAAGAAATGAGGATCCACCGTGCCAGGAAAGCTCAGGGAGACTGCAGGAAGAACTGGGTTTTGTTGCTTTTAAATGATTTCATTTGTTAGAACAAAATCTAAAACCTACAAAAGGGTATCCTGTGGAAAGTGTCCTTTTCTTTCCAGACACACAGCCCCACCCCACATTAGCCACCGTTCCACTTTCTCACAGATCCTTTCAGAGACAGCCTGTGTCGATAAATGCATATGTGTGAAAATTACTTTTATTTTCCTGGAACAGGTAACACAGTTACACACCATGCATATACTTTGTGGGTTTTTTTTTTTTTTTTTGGCTCCTTGATTTTTTCACTTATCCTGAAGATCTTTCAGCACACAGAGAGAGTTGCAACAGTTTTTATTTATTTATTTATTTAGAGACAGGGTCTCACCCTGTTGCCCAGGCTGGAGTGCAATGGCGCGATCTCGGCTCACTGCAATCTCCGCCTCCTGGGCTCACACGATCCTCCTGCTTCAGTTTCCTGAGTAGCTGGGACTACAGGCATGAGCCACCATACCCAGCTAATTTTTGTATATATATATATATATATATATATATATATATATTTTTTTTTTTTTTTGTAGAGATGGGGTTTTGCCATGTTGCTCAGGTTGGTCTCAAACTCCTGAGCTCAAGCGATCTGTCCATCTCGGCCTCCCAAAGTGCTGGGATTACAGGCGTGAGCCATTGCACCTAGCCTAGTAGCCACAGTTTTTAAACAGTTGCTTATATTCTATTTTACAGATAATTCATTTAGTCAATTCCTCCCTTAGCCATTTATCTTGTTTTTCAAGAGATGCTTCAATACAACAGCCCTGCATATACACCCTTTTACATTTAATCTGTGGGATAAATAACTAGGAGGAGAATTTCTGGGTCAGAGGGCATATACATGTTTAATTCTGATAGAGCCAACTTACCTTCTTCAGAGATTGTACTAATTTACACTCTCACCAGCAATGTATGAGGATATGTTACTTTGCTGATTTGACAGGTGAAAAAACACTATCCCCTTGTAGCATAATTTGCATTTCTTTTATGAGTGAGGTTGAACGTTTTTTCATCTGTTTAAAAACCACTAGTTCTTCTTTGTGAACTCTTCTTCTCCTTCTCCTCCTTCTCCTTCTCCTCATTCTCCTCTTCCTTCTCCTCCTCCTCCTCTGCCTCCTTCTTCTTTTTTGCTTCTTGTGAGGTTTTTCCTTTTTTTTTTTTTTTTTTAAGACAGGGTCTCACTCTATTGCCCAGGCTGGAGCGCAGTGGCATGATCTCAGCTCACTGCAACCTCTGCCTCCCAGGCTCAAGCAATCCTCCCACCTCAGCCTCCTGAGTAGCTGGGACTACAGGCAGTGCCACCAAACCTGGCTAATTTTTGTATTTTTTGTAGAGACAGGGTTTTGCCATGTTGCCCAGGCTGGTCTCAGACTCCTAGGCTCAAGCAATCCACCCACCTTGGCCTCCCAAAGTGCTAGGATTATAGGCATGAGCCACCATACCACACTGTGAACTGTTCTTATGGCTCTGGAGGAATCTTTATATATATACATATATATATATATATATATATATATATATAAAAAACTAAACCCTTTCCCTGTTCAAAGAGATGCCAGTTTGTTGTTTGCTTATGATATTTTTCCCCTGGAGGAAATATGACTTTTATATAGTCAAATTTGTCAACTTTTTCTTTATGCCTTCTAGGTTTTGTACCCTATTTTTTAAAGGTCTTTCCATCTCCATTTAATTTTTAAAATCTCTCGGTAGTATTTTTATGACTCATTTATATATTTAAGACTTTAAAGCATCTGAGATTTAGATAAGGTACAATGTTTGGGCAAGTGCTTCGTATGTTTTCAAGTATTTTTTCTTTAATGCCAATTAGTTACGAAATTCAGCCCCATAAAAATTCTTTGGGCATGCAAATGAGATTGCATTTGCTCTAGTTTTTGGGTAAAGAGAGGCTTTTTTTAGAGCAACTTTGTTTTCCAGATAACTACTGAGTTGTTCAATTTTTAAAATACGTAATCCATCGTATCCCCAGTGATTTGAAACACAATCTTTACCACATACCAGATTGGTGTTTCTTTCTGGTTTCATTCTATACTTTTTTTTTCTGTTCCATTGATCTATCTACTCGTGTTGTTTTAATTGCCATTTCTTTATACTGTTTTAAATATCTGGTAGGTCTGGGCCCCCTCACTATTCTTTTTTAGAATATGCCTATTCTTGCTTGGTTATTTTTCTCTATAAACTTTAGAATGGGCTTTACTAATTCCAAAAAGGAAGAACCGGTACAGCTGGTGTGGGTGAGCAGGGGATGCCACCTGCCTCCTCTGGTCCTGGTATGCAGAGTCCAGCAGAAAGAATGATGTCATGCTGCACAGTTACAGGTGGCTCAGGAATGTTCTCCTTTCTCTCCTGCTTAATCAAGGAGGGCTTCAGTGGAAAAGGCAGAGAGGGGAAGAAGAAGCAAGAGAAAAAGGAGAGGTGGAAGAGAATTTTGAAGCAAGGAAGAAGAGGCTTCCTGGCAGAAAGGACTGAAGACACTCTGGGGGAGAAGAGACAGAGAGAGATGAAGCATCAGAAATCAAGGCTGCAGGGTGGGTTCCTTGCGGAGATTGGAAAATGGTGGGTGGGAGAGGAGGTGGAGGCCAGCTGGAAGGCTTGAGCCTAGGCAGGTTGGGGGTGGCCTGGAACTGATGGAAGATGTGGTTAGAGGGAGTCAGTCTGCCTCTGAGTCATGCGCATAGGACTTCAGTTAGCAAGCTGCCCTGGCTGAGTGGAAGACAGACAGAAATGGAATGAAAGCCAGAAACTCCAACTGTCTTCTCAGGCTGGCCACCAGAGGTGCAGTCTCATGTTCCTTCTGGTTACAAATGATCCCTACCTCCCAGGAAACCACAGTGTGGGGTTTTGAATAGACTGCTGTGCATTTACTCATGGAGAGGAGTCGGAAGCTAATTTTGAGAGTGTATGAAGTAGTTTTACATCCTGGGCTACAACAGAAGCATATCCTGGCACAGGGGTGTTGTGGCTGTGTTTCATTAGGAGCTGTAATTCTCCAGACCAAAGAAAGTGGCAGGGAGCTCAGCCCTGGGAACAGTGGGCACAGAGTCAGGGGATGCCCAGGATAGGGGCGATGCTGGCACTGCGGAAGGAAGCTAGGCCTGCAGGAGCCCGAGTTTGGGCCACATTCAGCCTTGTCAGGGTTGCAAGAAAGGGTGGATGATGAGTGCACGGGCAAAAATGGGCCTGCGGGTTCTCTGTCAAGAGCTTCACTCGCTTCCAGCTAGAGCCCCTGGCAAATGACTTCTCACACCAGGAAGACACCCCTGTGGGAAGACACTCCCAGACCCAGCAGGCCCACGTGCTCCGCAAACGGACCCTGTGCCACAGTTTTTCTCTGCTGCAGTGCCCGGCTTCAGAGCCCCCGTACAGGGTGGCTGGGAAGACCTCTTCCCTGTGCCCCCGCTCAAGCTGGCTCTTCTCTCTGCTGTCTTCTGGGCTGGGCTGACCGGGAAACAGGATCCTGCTTTGCCTGCCCTATTGGCCTAAAAACGTTTCCTTCCTCTGCAATTAGAATCATGGAATATCACCGGATCCAATTCCCTCTGAAATTTCTCCCTGAAATTTCAAAGCTCAGAAAGGGCACCCGAGGGTCCCACAGCCACACAAAGTTCTAGGTGTGACCTGCGTCAAAGAACCAAATTTCAACAAGTTGAGTTTAGTAAGTTTAATAATAAGGCCCAATGACACTGTCATCTAATTGACTTTTATTAGGGATTTATGAATCAGGCAGTATTCCATCTAGGAAATGTCTAAAAAGGTGCTCCACCCCATTGGCAGAACAGTTGTTTGAGATTTGTTGTTGTTGTTTTGCTTTGTTTTGAGACAGGGCCTCACTCTGTCACCCAAGATGAAGTGCAGTGGCACAATTATGCCTCACTACAGCAGCCTCGAACTCCTGGGCTCAAGTGATCCTCCCACCTCAGCCTCCTGAGTAGCTGAGACTATAGGCGCACATCACCATGCCCAGCCAATTTTAAATTTTTTTCTTTTGTAGAGCCAGGGTCTCACTACATTACCTAGGCTAGTCTCAAACTCCTGGCTTCAAGCAATCTTCCTGCCTTGGCTTCTCAACGTGCTGGGATTACAGGCATGAGCCACTGCACCTGGCCAAGGACAGTTGGTTTTTGTATGGTAACTTGAGCAGGAACAAGAAAACAGCATAGTACAAAAAAGAAGATTGGTTAACATTAGGTTACTTCAGGTTACTTTCCTCGTAAGCGTTAATGCAGAGGAGACTTTCTTCAGCCAACTAAAACTGGCCTGTTTGGGGATTTGGCTACCATCTCTCTCCTGATTTCTTGGAAGGTCAGATCTCATAAGTAAACAACTTAGGTTTCGGTTTGGTTGTGTAACCTTAGCATGAGTGACTCCATTTTGGGTTGAGCTATTAGAGCCTAGTGCAGGAGCTTAGTCCAAATCAATGCCCTCCCATACATTTTATTTAACACCAGAATCCAGGTCATTGGCTTCTAGCCATTGGTCTGTCACCTAATCTGGGTCTCCTCCTGTGTACCACAGGGCACATTCAGTATCCCACCAGGGTGTGGAAGTCGTCTTCCTTCCAGAGAGTCAGGAAACCTTGCTTTTAATGAGCTCAGGGGCCAGCATCTTGAGGGCCTGCGTTTATTTTCAGTTAGAGCGGATGGAATGTTGTTTGTGGTTTGCTTTTTTAATACAAAATGGGCTGTGGAAATGAAGCTGCCTATACAACTCTGTAGGGAGCTGGCCGGCTTTAGCAGAAAATGTTCTTGCCGGGGACCCGAGACTTAAGCTCTATCTGGAAGTTCCTTCCCTGCTCTTGGCCTCAATTTCCATTCTGTAGATGGAGAAGGTTGGATTGAGGAGTGTCTGAAGGCCCTTCTGGCTCTGACTTGCTTTGCTTTTGTGAAAGGGCTATAAGGCCCTTGTCACCGTCCCCAGCACCACAGTGGAGACGGGGTGAGACCCTCCAACGTCTTTTCCCACAGATGGAGTTGGCATGATTTGTATGAAGCACTCTCAGGCCTCCCCAGGGGGGCCACTCCTGTGCCTTCTGCTCAGCAGGTCTTCATGGGGTGGGGCTGACAGTCTACTCTCCTGGCACTTCACACACAGCTCATCTTTAGAAGGAAAGTGGCTTTAGACAGTCTCCCTGGGACCCAGCCTGAGGCCACTGTCCAGCAGGGGGAGAGACAGCCCAGAGATGGAAGCAGCCGGGAGAGCAAAACACTCCTCACCACCAGGCTGGCCCAGCTGGGCTCTTCCTGGACCAGCCCTGCCCTCCATCGTCCGTGTAGCGGTGGAGCCCCCAGTAAAAGCACTTGCTTTCAAAGTGCCTCAGAGGGAAAAATACAACACTTCACGACATTAGAAACGTGAGAATGGTCACAAGTACATGAAAGCCGTGATGTAAGTCGTGAAATAAAAGTCCAAGTTCTATATGTGTTGAAATAGTATTTAAAAAAGAAAAAACCAGCCAGGCGTGGTGGCTCACACCTGTAATCCCAGCCCTTTGGGAGGCAGAGGCAGGAGGATCGCTTGAACCCAGGAGTTCAAGACCAGCCTGGGCAGCATGTGAGACCCCATCTCTACAACAAAATTTAAAAATCAGCCAGGCGTGGTGGCGTGCACATGTGGTCCCAGCTGTTCAGGAGGTTGAAGTGGGAGAATTGCTTGAGCCTGGGAGTTCCAGGCTGCAGTAAGCCATGATTGTGCCACTGCACTCCAGCCTGGGTGACAGAGTGAAAACTGTCTCATGAAAAAATAAAAAGGAAAAAACCAAATTAGGAAAAACTGTAACCCTGCAGCAGCGTAACACAGGTGACAATGACACTTCTATTACATCACCTGTGACAGACCCCTTATCCTGCATGGATTTTGGTTCATGCCAGTGTGTTGTAGAGTTTTGCATCTGACTCCCTCTCAGTAATCAGCTGGGGATTTTCCTTGGTGTATTAGTTAGTATAAGCCAGGCTGTTGTCACAAACCACCTAACAAAAACTCAGAAGATAGAAGTTGAATTCTCTTTCCTCTAATCAGGTGGATATTTCAAGTCAGTGGGTGACTTCACTCACACAGAAGAACAGGGATCCAGATTCCTTCTGTGGTGTGGCTCTGTTGACCCCTAGTTTAGGTGTCCATGGAGGCATACCCGCTGTCTTAGGGCTTATCTTAGTCCATTCATGCTGCTGTACAAAAATACCTTAGACTGGGTAGCTTATAAACAACAGAAATTTATTGCTCACAGTTCTAGAAGCTGGGAAGTTCAAGATCAAGGTGGCAGCAGATTCGGTGCCTGGTAAGGTCTCACTCTCCGCCTCATAGATGGCACCTTCTCGCTGGCTTTGCATGGTGGAATGGTGGAAGAAGGGAACAAGCTCCCTTGGGCCTCTTTTATAAGGGCATTAATTCCTTAAAAAAGGTGGAGCCCTCATCACCTAATCGTCTTCCAAAGTCCCCAACTCTTAATACTATTGTATTGGGGATCAGGTATCAACACAATTCTGGGGAAACATGAACATTCAGGCCAGGGTTCCAGCCTGGAAGTGAGCACCCTCTTTGCTCACATTCTGTTGATGAGAACTTAGGGCTGTGGTCACATCTAACTGCCACGGAGGCTGACTAATGTGGTTCTTAGCCAGGTTCGCACGTGCTCAAATCCAACTGTATTACTGAGGAAGAAAGAGAATATATAATTTGATAGATTACCAGCAGTCTCTGTAGCTTTGAAAACTATGTCAACCCAAAAGTTTGTATTTTTCCTCTGCCAGTCCCTTCTTGTGACAATGTCTTTTTAGCAGCATTTCTCCACTATTTACCATCTCTCCCTCACTCTTCTTTCCCCTCCTTCTTTCTTTCCCTCAACACACCCCTCACTCTCACTGTTTTACCTCTTCCCTCACTGAGTACAGAATCCCTAGGATAAACAGGATGGAGTTTCCAAGTTCCATGGGTCAGGACACACCAGACTGGGTTATGGATAAGGACAATGGTATACATTCCTGCCTTCTTTGCCTACACTAGCCCATGAGCACTTCACCCATGCTAAGCCATCTTCAGCCCAAATGGCCCTTGAGCATGCATTTGAAAAACAGGTGGAAGATAAAACAAGAAGCATGCATTGGTTTTGCAGGTGGAAGACCTAGATTTCATGTCCTGCTAGTTACTAATTGTGTGGTCCTGAGTAGGTCTCCTCACTTCTGCTCTGAGTATCTCTTCATTGAAAAAATGGAGCAAATGCAATTTCACCTGCAAACCCCAGAGTTTTTATGAGGCTGAAGCAGGATAATGTTTGGCAAGAGCTTTTTATATTTTCAAGTATTTTTCTTTAATTTAAGCATATTTATTTTATAGTCTGAATTTTATAATTTCAATAGCTGAGGTCTTCTGAAGGTCTAATTCTGCTGTTTGTTTTATCTGCTGATTTTTCACTCAAGGTGGTTTATTTTATCGTGTACCTTGTAATTGTAGGTTGTGAGCTCATATTCACAACCTCTCTCTGTGAGAATCCTGTTAAGTATGACTTAAAAGCGTCAGCTTCAGGGCTGGGCGTAGTGGCTCATGCCTGTAATCCCAGCACTTTGGGAGGCTGAGATGGGCAGATCACTTGAGGTCAGGAGTTTGAGACCAGCCTGGGTAATATGGTGAAACCCCATCTCTACCAAACATACAAAAAAAATTAGCCAGGAGTGGTGGCACATGCCTGTAGTCCCAGCTACTTGGGAGGCTGAGGCAGAAGGATTGCTTGAGCCTGGGAGAAGGAGGTTGCAGTGAGCTGAGATCATGCCAGTGCATTCCAGCCTGGGCTACAGAGCCACTCTGTCTTAAAAAAAAAAAAAAAAGTGTCAGCTTCAAAGAGGATTAACATTAACACTCCTGAGTGCTACCAACCTGATCCCACTTTGTAAGTAAATTTCTCAGTTTGGAGTTTTCCAAATCACATATGCAGTCTACCTTAAAACCCCAACCCTCAGAGGAGAAGAGCCTATGATTCTATGATTCCAAATTCTCAGTGAAGGCTGGTTTTTTTCAACTCAGAGCCCAGATCAAGACAGACATATTTCCTTCAGTCCCTCTTTGCTGATGAGTCTACTTTTCCCTCCAAATGTAACCTTTCAAGGATCTAGATTTTATGCTGTGGTCTCACTTCCACCTTCTCACATTGCTTGAGTCCCCATGTGGACTTTAAAATTCAAGACTCTGTGAAGTAACTGAGCTAATGCCTCAAGGGGAGCTTTCACCCTCAGTGTCATCTTAGCATTCTTACTTCCTGTTCTCTTCTCATTTGGGACCCCTGAAGATTGCCATCATTTTCCTGTGAGTTTAGCGCTCACAAGAAGGGTGTTTGTTGTATTTTGTCCAGCATTTCTAGGCGTTGTGCAGTGGGAGGGCTTCTCAGGATGGCCAATGGACTCTGAAATCTCACTGTCTTTCATGTGTTCTTTAATTCCTTTTTCTAATTTTTCCCTTTTCCTCTCTTGTCCTTCCTGTCTCTTGCTCCTTCTCTCCACATTTATCTGCCGGATCTCAGCTGCTGGCACTGTGTGTTCTCAGGGGATACTCTGTCAGGTGTTTTTCAAGGCTCCTGGCTGACCCTCCCCAGCTTCTCCCTTTGGTTCTCTAGCTCCAGACCCCTAACATGGCCACTAAACACCCCCAGCAGGCACCCCACTGCCCCAGATCTGTGCCGTTGGGCTTTATCTTCCGTGCAAACTTGTCAGCATCCCTTTTTATTCATCCAGAGCTCTTCATTCCATCACTATTCAACTTGTCAAAATGTGCTCAGCCAGGAACAAGTTTAGGTCAGAGATTTTAATAATCTCTTCAGAGCTTTCCTCTTTTGAATCATTGTGAATATTATGCATCAGAAAAACTCCAGATTTTGAGCCTCAGACTGGGAGGCACAATTAGGTGCTCAGAGAGGCCAGAATTTGGCCAACTTCTCATTCCCCAAATGGACTCAAGGAATATGAGAGAATTCTGAATGAGAGAGCAGGCAAAATTACCCAAGAGGGAATGAGGCTCTTTGGCTCTAATTTGAGGGTCATTTTTCTTCTTGCTGGCACTTCTCTTCCCCCTGGATTGGGCCCCAAGACCATTCAAGCAGGCTTCTAAGAAGGATTCACTGAAGTGATTTCCCTAGAGGATTGACAGGGACTTTGAAATGTGCTGCCTCTTTTAGAGACTTTGCCTGGTAAGAGGAGGCAAAACCTTAAACCAAAAGGACAAGGAAAAGGAAAGTCAAACATTGGGGACCGGGGGCCTCCTTCCCAAGGCTACTAGAAGGCTGCCTCTGGATACTCCAGTGTAGAGGCACTGTGACCCCCGCCCACTTCCTCTGCAGTGTCTCATCTGATGCTCATGACCACCCTGTTGACATCATGTAGCTCATGTTTTGTGGGAAACAGGCTGAGCAAGGCAACAGAGGTCCTGTATTGGCTAAGTGCTGAGCCTCATTTAGACTCCAAGCCGGACTTTGAGAAAACCTGTTGATATGGTCAGGCTTTCTGTGCGCACTCAAATCTCATCTTGAATTGTAATCCCCGCATGTGGAGGGAGGGACTTGTAATCCCCACATGTCAAGGGAGGGAGGTGATTGGATCATGGGGGGGTTTCCCCCATGCTATTCTCACAATAGTGAGTTCTCAGGAGATCATATGGTTTTATAAGTGTTTGACAGTCCCTCCTACATGTGCTTTCTTCTCTCTCTTGCCACCGTGTGAAGGTCTTTGCTTCCCCTTCCCCTTTTGCCATGATTGTAAGTTTCCTGAGGCCTCCCCAGCCATGTGGAACTGTGAGTCAATTAAACCTCTTTCCTTTGTAAATTACCTAGTCTTGGATATTTCTTTATAGCCAAGTGAAAATGGACTAATACATCTGTCCTCTACCTACCATGCCCAGTCCTCTCCAGGATGCCACAAGATGGGTTGGAAGGCCGATTACTGCAATTGTCCAGGAAAGAGCTGACATCTGTACATCACACTCCAAGAGGCAGCAGACACAGGGGTGAAGCCCAAGGGCTCTAGAGCCAGACAGGCCAAGTTCAAATTCCAACTGTACCACTGAACTAGCTGAGCAACATTGGGTGATGCTTTACTCCAACCACCACTCCTAGCCTTTCCTCCCCGGCAGCCCGTGGAGACTAAAACACCAACCAAATCATTTCACTCCTCTGGTCTCAACTTTCCAACAGCTTCTCATCACTTCTAGAATAAAATCCAAGTGCCTCCTCAAAGCCTTCCAGGCCTACAGCAGAGGCAGCCAGTGCTCACCAAACTCTACATTCTCCTCTTTGTCCCAGGCTCCCTGCTGTGCCACATTTCTCTGCTTCTTTGCGTGGGTGGGGTGATGGTGGATGCGGAGACTTATGCCTTATTCTTGTCAATGGAGTGTGAGTGGAGGTGACATGTGTTAACCCAGGTCGAAGTGGTTGAGAGCAGTGTGCCTTCTCCACACTTTCCCCACATGCCAGCTGGATGGACATCCAGTGAGGACCCTGAGGAAATGGCAGAGTCACACAGTGGAAGATGCCTGGATCCCCAAGTATGCGAAACAGAACTCCTGTACCTGTCTTGTGACAACACTAACTGAACTACTACACAAGCAAAAATTGATTCTTTATTGTGTCACGTCACTGAAACTTGGGTTTTTTTTTTTTTTTTACAGCAGCTGGCTTATCCTAACACGAGGCCCTACATCAGTCGACCTCAGTCCAAACCCATGCCTGCTCACCCTCTCCCTCACTGTGCCCCACCACACCACCTTCTCGTAGCTCCTCAGACTCCAAGCTCATTCCCATCTAGTGCCTTGGCCAGGCCGTGTTCCCTCCTCCTGGAATGCTCTTCCACAAAGCTTTACATGATGTTTTTTCTCAGTTTTGCCAGATTTCTGGTCAAATTTTATCTCCTCAGAGGGAGAAGCCCCGACTCCCCTTTTAGGCAGGCCCACCCTCACCAGGCATCACCTTCCCTGTGCTATTTTTCTCCAGAGCAGTTATCAATGACTTACCAGTCTATCAGAAATATGTCTTTGTTAAAATATTTATTATATAGCTCTTCCCTGTGTCTGTCTATCCTGGTGTCTAGAAGAGTGACTGGCACATAGTAAGTCCTCAATAAATATTCTCTGAGTGGATCAATGATCACTGTTTTCTCTGCATCTTTATCCATTTCTCTCTCCTTTTTCTCCTCTGTAAGTTGAGTGTTGTATGCTGAAGACAAAAGGGGATAATGCAGGTTAGTGTGGAACATCCTGGCACAACAGATGTCTGGGAACTGCAGATTCTGTCCTATGTAGGGATAGCTCCACAAGAAAGCCCAGGCTAGTGTCCATGGGTTGCCTGCACCAGAGCCCAGGAGGGTGGTTTAAGCAGGAAGGTTCTTGTTGCTGCCCTCCCAAGAGAGGGAGTGGGGCTGAGCCAGCTGTGGAGCTTGGGGCTGGCTGCCAGCTGCTGAGGTTGACAGCCACATGGAACTTCACCAGGGCAGGTAATTGAACTAGTGGAGTGGGCTGACCAAGAGGAGGGGAGCGTTCCCAGCATTGGGGTGATGAGCCATGGAATTGGCATTGGAGTGGCTGTAGTCACAAGTGGAAGGAATTCATCTGCTGGCACATCCAGCCTGCAGGGAGAGGACCCAGGGGCGCCTGCACTTGTGGCCTGGAGGGAGATGGACAACTTCTGGGGTGCCCTCTGGTTGTTGGAGATGGAGGGCATTGAAGGAGGAGGGGATGGCACATGCGAAGGCATGGAGTTGTGAAATGAGTGCTTGGCAGTTAGAATGGTGAAGTGAGGTAGTGCTGGTGGCCCTAGGATGTAGGTGGAATCAGGACTTGACCCCAGAAAAGCCACATGTGGGGAAAGGGTGAGCGCTGGGCTAGGAGCCAGGAGACCTGACTTTCCACTCCCAGGTCTACCATGATCCATGTATCCTTGAGCTCAAGTGTATCCATGATCCTGCTCAGGTGTTTCACTGCATGACACACAGATGAGGAAACTGAGGCACAGAGAAAGTGATACACAGTTGCATAGTCACTTTCTCTGTGCCTCAGTTACCTCATCTGTCAAACTGATGATAGTTCCCCTCACATGGGGGTGAGGAGAAGAAGAATAAAAAGTGGATGCCTATGCAATTTTCTCCTCACAATGTTTTCAGTTATTATGACTGAGAGGTGGCCAGGAGGAGCTGAGGAATTCCCCTAGGACTTGTGTGTTGGGAGGGCCAAGGGCCAACTGGAAGTGACTGTTGCTGAGAAGAGAGTGGGAGAAAACAGCAGGAGGAAAGCCAACGTGGAGAGGTGGGGGAAGGGAGGAGCTGGAAGCAGTTCCAGCAGGAGACCAAATGTGGGCAGTGGCAGGAGTGTTGATGTTTCCTGGCAGGTGCAGTCCAGTTACTTTCTATGCCTGCAGTGTGCAAGTGGATTGGGTCCTTGTGCTTGTCCGTGGACCAAGCACAAACATTCTGGTTGCATCTCCATCTAGGTACACGGTAGGATTGCATCCTCCATGCTTTTGAAGTTCTGCCTGCCCATGTGACTTGCTTTAACAAATGATGTGAGTGGAAGTGATACATGTCACTTCTGGGTGGAAGGTTGAAAAGCTCGTGCCTGATTCACCTTTGAGGCTGATTCTGTCAGTGTCCCTTGGACCCTCCCTGCTGAATTCTACCTGCCAGTGTCTGCATCTCTGTGCCTGAGGGATTTCTCCAGGCCCAAAAAAGACAGCTCAGCCTACATGCACTACCAGCCAGAAGTGCAGGGGAATTACACATTATCACCTTCATCAGCTCTCAGTCAGTGACTCTGGGGAATTGAGACACAAATACCCAGGCTCCCTCGCTCCATGCTGCAGGTGGGATCACTCTGCAGTATGTGCTCCTCACTCTTTCCCTGGGGTATCCCACGGGATTAAGTTCATTCACCCACAGAGGTACCTGGCTTCATATGCATCTTGCATTAGCTGCTTTCCCTTCCCAGTTGCACTTTTCTACTTGATACCAGTGTTTCCTGCACCTCCCAAATAAACGATTGCGCTCACACTGTTGTTTCTGGATCAGCCATGTTCCTCTTTCCTGCTGTCATGACAGTCCGTTGGCCAACCAACTGGCAATGTCCCTGGGGGTGGCTACTCTGTCATTCCAGGCCTTGGGGTAAGGATGAGTAAAAGCTGGTGGACTTATCATGGGCAGGTGGCATGAGTCAGAAACCCATTGAAATTTGGGGGCTGCTTGTTACTACAGCCCAACCTCACCCACCCTGACTGATACAGCCCCTGGCTTCTCACCAAACACCAAAATGATGCATCTAATTTAAGGCATCTTATGAGAAGGAAGGAAGGAAGGAAGGAGGGAAAGGAAGGAAGGAAGGAAGGAAGGAGACAGAAGAGACAGAGCACATTTGTGAGTGTGCATGTGTGTGTGCACACTGGGGCAGAATGGAAGGGAAGAGAGGGACAAGTTTGAAGGGAAGACTGGGACAGGAAAAGAGGTGCCCAAGAACCCACTAGAGAGGAGACTTAGAAAGGATAAAAGAACAAGAGGCCCAGATATACAGTGAGAAGAATCCCAGGTCACACAGCAAGTCAGGGGTTGAATTAAGCCTAGGACTTGGGCTTCCCAACTTCCAATCTAGCGCTCTTTCCTCTGAGCTCACTTCCTCCAGAAGGCCCATGGCTGGAATGTCCCTTCTTTCAAGCTCCCTGGGATTGTAGAAAGAAGCACACAGCCCATGGTTCATGGGACCCTAATTACCTCTAGCTACCACCTTGTTCTCACATCTGGATGACAGAGGCACATCTGTATCACACTGGGCTACAGGCTGGCCTCTGAAGGGTCCATGGGAATGAAAGTTAAGGTTCTTTTGCTTGAAAGCAACACAGATCAACTTTAGCCAGCTCAAGCCACAAGAGGGGATGAACTGGAGAGTGTATTAGGCCATTCTTTGTGTTGCTATAAATAAATACCTGAGGCTGAGTAATTTATAAAGAAAAGAGGTTTGGTTGACTTGTGGTTCTTCTGGCTGTACAAACATAGCCCCAGCATCTGTTCAGCTTCTGGGGAGGCCTCAGGGAACTTTCATTCATGGCAGAAAGCAAAGCAGAAGTAGGCACATCATAGGGCAAAAGCAGGAGCAAGAGGGAGAGTGGATTGTAGGGTGTGCCACACATTCAAACAACCAGATCTAATGAGCACTCACTCACTGTCACAAGGACAATACCAGGCCATGAGCAATCTGCCCCCATGACCCAAATACCTCTCACCAGACCCCACCTTCAACATTGGGAATTACAATTCAACATGAGATTTGGCAGGGCCATATATTCAAACTATATCAGGGAGAGACTATGGCTTTTAGCTAACAACATAGGCCTTGGGAGGAAGAGTAACAGAAGCAGCTCTGGAAACCATGGTGCTCTTGTTTGCTCACTGTACAGATAAAACCAATCCACTGAGATAGCAGTACCGCAGTAGAGAAAGAGTTTAATAATCACAGGGCTAGTTAAGTGGAAGGATGGGAGTTTATTACTCAAATCAGCCTCCCCAAAAGCTCAAAGGTTAGGGTTTTTCAAAGATAGTTTGGCAGTCAAGGGGCTAGGGAATGGGGGATGCTGATTGGTTGGGCCAGGGATGAAATTACAGAGGGTTGAAGCTGTCTTCTTGTGTTGAGTCAGTTCCTGGGTGGAAGTCACAGAAGCAGTTGAAGTAGTTCCTTGGTATGAGTTATGGGCCCAGGTGAAGTCAGTCTGTTACTAGAATGCAAAAGTCCGAAAAATATCTCAAAGACCAATCTTTCATTTTTACAATAGTGATGTCATCTATCAGAGCAATTGGGGAATTTACAAATATTGTGATCTCTGGAGCAGTAAATGATTACAGAAATTCAAGCTAGGGAACAATGGCTGGTTATCATTTAACTACACCTGCATCTTAGCAGAATTCAGGCCTCTCCTATGATCCTAATCTTGTGGACTTTCATTAGTCTTACAAAGGCAGTTTTGTTTTTTTTGTTTTTTGAGACGACGTTTTGCTCTGTTGCCCAGGCTAGAGTGCAGTGGCACTATCTCGGCTCACTACAACTTCTGCCTCCTGGGTTCAAGTGATTCTTCTGCCTCAGCCTCTGGAGTAGCTAGAATTACAGGCATGCACCACCATGTCCAGCTAATTTTTGTATTTTTAGCAGAGACAAGGTTTCACCATGTTGGCCAGGCTAGTCTGGAACTCCTGACCTCAAGTAATCCATCTGCCTCGGCCTCCCAAAGTGCTGGGATTACAGGCGTGAGCCGCCATACACAGCCTTACAGAGGCAGTTTTGGTCATCAAGCAAGAAGGGGGTTAGTTTTGGGAAGGGATTGTTATCATCTCTGTTTTAAAGTTAACAAAGGCAGTTAGCTTGTGAAGTTGGAGTCAGTTAGCTTAGATTTCTCTCGCTGATGCACTTTTTGTAAAGGTGGTTTCACCCTGTGCCCATGGACCTTCCTTCCAGGGGTCACCATTTATGCCTCTCACCTGCTATGTCTCTCAGGTTAAAAGTTCACATTCCTAGGAGAAAAGAATCTGACTGGCAAGCTTCAGTCAGATGCTCTTTGGTCCAGTGAGCTAAGCCCCGGGGTTTTAGCTGGGACCCATGGTTGAGGATGGCCAGTTCCTGGAGAATGGGAGAGGGCACTGTGTGTGAGGCAGACAATGGGGAGTCATGTTTGTGAATGGAGTCTTCTGCCAGTGACTCATATCTCCTCTCAGAAGGTCCTCCTCTTCCTTTTTCCAGACAGCAGGGTTTTCTGTCACTTGATTCAACCCTTACTGAGGCTCTAATTGATGTCTCACAGGTACCGGCCTCTGTGGAGGATTCTGAGATGAAGACAGTCCTCACACCCCTGTGAAGACGAGTGAGTTCACCAAGCACAGCCACGCAAGGTTGAGGGGCCTGGAGCCCTGGGAGAGCCTGGCTGTGGGGGGGTCTGTCGCTGCCAGCTCTGCCTCTTGGTCTCTCCACCCAGACGGGAGATGATCAGGACTGACCAAACTGAGCCACCCAACACAGTCTCATGTGGACAGGGAAGGCTTCAGCTTTGCCAAGAATTCCAGAGCTGGATTTTATTGACTCATCATACTTGAGATTATGTCAGTGGAGTCCTTTCTGGAGAGGGAGGCCTGCCCTTTGACCTAGCTGTAGAATTGCCCCAGCATTCCCTTAGCTCAATCCCTCCCCTGACCCCCACCCCCTTGGGACTCTCTGTGGCTGTCTCTAGGCCAAAATATCCTCCCACTGTTCAGGAGGGGCCTGGCCACAGACTCTGTTGTTATTTTCACTCCTGTTCTTATAACAATCCCTGTGGAAGGAAAGAAAAATGTCACCTAGATAAAGACAAAAAGCATAAAAAAGAAAAAAGAAAAAAAAAGAGTGACATTTGGAAAAGTTTAGACAGGAATGGCCTGGCCGGGGCTGAAATTGGGAGGAGGGAGAAGGTCAGAGGCTGGGGGATTAGGGACATCTGAGGGCTGACTTGGAGACAGGGGACTCTGGGTTTCTCTTTCATAAGGACCAAAGGCTGCTCATATATGCTAAGCACCTTTCATTCATTGTCTCACCAACAACCATAGGAGGCAGTTACTATTATTAACTCAGATAGAAATAGGGAAACTGAGGTTCAGGGAGGTTAAGTAATTTCCCAGGGTCTCATATTCAGCCTGGACACCGTCTCATATCTGGCTCTAAATAGTAGCCTCTAAGGCTCATTGGATTGGCACTTGCCTCCCAGGACCCCTGTGGTTATGAGATTCAGAGTCCTGAGATGTCTGAGCTGGTCAAAAGCTTTGGGTAATCTTTAAATAAGCAGCTGTGCCTTGCTAAGAGAATGGGAGGCTCCTGGAGAATAGGGTGGCCAACTAGAAAGAAACTAGCTTGGAAGTAAGAAATGACTGGGTCCCATACCAAGCCTGCCTCTTACTACCATGTTACCTCGAACAACTGACTTTACTTGTGTGAGCCTCAGTTTTCTCCTCTGAAAAATGGACTAATAACATTTACACTGGAGTGTGCTATCCAGTGCAGCTCAGGTGCTCCATAAGTGAAAAGATGGTTCCTACCTTATTGCTTCCTTGGGATCTTCTTCCCCAGCACGTAGGCTTTCAGAGCCTCAGTACCATCTCTGATGACTTTTTTGCCAGGGCTCATCAGATGGGGTAGAACTTTCTGATCAGGAACCCACAGCGCACACACACACACAAGTCTCCCCTCATCCTGCGTACAGAGCCAGCTTTGCTCGGGCTTCTGGGAAAGGGGAGTATGGGGATTACTTATTGACTCCAGTATCCAAACCACTGGCTGGACAAGAATGCAGCCAGCCTCAGGAATGACTTAAACCAGGGACTCTGGGGCCACCAGGCCTCCCTCCTACTGCCTGGTTCTCTAGGTGTCAGCTCCCTGCTTAGATAGCTTCTCCCGTGCTGCTGGTCCAAGGCCTAATACTCTCAGTTTCATCACAGTAGACAAAACTCCAATTCCAGTTACAACCAACCAACCAACCAATAGGAGAAGACTCCAATTGGCTAGGCTTGAATTACCCATCACCTTCTCAACCAATTATTGAAACTCAGAGGTAGAAAGGTATTATGATTGGTCAGGGCTGGATCAGGTGATCACACCCAGGCTAATAATTGTTCCAAAATGGCCACTTTACATTTAGATCGCCTAACTAGAATGGGAATGCACAGTGCTTTGCAGAAAACAGTGGTGAAAGTTCATGACTGGCCCGGGCAACTGATATGGTTAGGCTTTGTGTCCCCACCCAAATCTCATCTTGAATTATAATCTCCATAATCCCCACATGTGGAGGGAGAGACCAGGTGGAGATAATTGAATCATGGGGGCAATTCCCCCATGCTGTTCTCGTGATAGTGAGTGAGCTCTCACAAGATCTGATGGTTTTATAAGGGCCTCTTCCCACTTCGCTTGGCACTTCTCCTTCCTGCTGCCTTGTGAAGAAGGTGCCTTGCTTCTCCTTCACCTTCCACCATGATTGTAAGTTTGCCGAGGCTTCCCCAGCTGTGCAGAACCATGAGTCAATTAAACCTCTTTCCTTCATAAATTACCCAGTCTTGGGCAGTTCTTTATAGCGGTATGAAAACAGACTAATACAGCAACATAGTGAGATGTCATCTCTAACAAATTTAATTAATTTTTAAAGTGGTGAAACGTCCTAGGCAAATGAATAAATATCTTTTACCTTTCAAATCTCAATTCTCTTTCTTTCTAATCATTCCCATCCAATCCTGGAGCACTACACTACTGATATCTTCATTCTGCCATTTCCTGTCCCCTACCCTGGTGCTTAAATCTCTCCACTCTACCTATTGGGCACAGCTGGCCTGATGAATCAACCCAGCCTGCAGGCCTGATGGATTTTCAGAGTTCAAGGAAGTTCTTCCTTTTCCAACCATCTTAAATGTCTTCCTACCTCTGCCTGCTGTATCAGCAATTTCACTATTGGTGGTTCATTTTTTAGCTTACTATGACTTGTTCCCATTAAAATGCACATCCCTTTGTGAGTATGCACTCACTGTCTGAACAATTATTTATGATTAGTATTAGTGCTTTATCAGCTTTTTTACATTTTGGTAGGGGAAAGGAGGAGAGACTACAGAGGGCTTACTCGTGTTGGAGGGAGGAAGAGAGGCTGTAGAACGTGGAAGCCAATTCTCCTGATTCAATGAGTCTGTTTCAGGTAAGTCCAGGTGATTGTCGGGAAGCCATGGCCATTCTTATTTTATCTTGGAGAAGCAGCAGCGTTTTATCTTTTTTCTCTCTTCAAAGTTTAAATTTTCTTACCTAAAATTTTAAATTTTGAGATAATTGGGGAATCCTCTACTCAGTTTCCCATGATAGCAACTTGCAAAACTATAATATTACAACCAAGATATTGATGTTAACACAGTCAGGATACAGAACGTTTCTATCACCATGAGGATCTTCATGTTGCCCTTTTATAGCCATATCTACTTCCCTCCCATCCCTATCTTCTCCTTAACTGATGGCAACCACTGATCTGTTATCCATTTCCATAATGTTGTCATTTCCAGAATGTTATATAAATGGAATCATATGTAACTTTGGGGGATTGGCTTTTCTCACTCAGCATAATTCTCTGGAGATTCATCCAGGTTGTTTTGTGTATCAGTAGTTCTTTCTGACTGTATTAATCCATTCTCACACTGCTATAAAGCTACTACCCGAGACTGGGTAATTTATAAACAAATGAGGTTTAATTGACTCACAGTTCCACATGGCTGGGGAGGCCTCAGGAAACTTACAATCTTGGCAGAAGGGGGAGCAGGCACATATTACACGGCAGCAGGTGAGAGACAGTGAGCAAGTGCAGGGAAAACTGTCTTATAAAACCATTAGATCTCGTGAGAACTCACTATCATGAGAGAAGCATAGGGGAAACTGTCCCCGTGATCCAATCACCTCCTACCAGTTCTCTTCCTCAATACCTCGGGATTACAATTTAAGATGAAATTTGGATGGGGACACAAAGCCTAACAGTGTCACTGAGTATTAGATCATGGTAGGATATACCCCAGTTTATTTAATCATTTCTGTGTTGAAGGACAAGTGGATCATTTTCAGTCTGGGGCTAATACAAATAAATAAAGCATCTATAAACATTTATATACAAGTCTTCATTTCTCTGGGATAAATGCCCAGAAGTACAATTGCTGGGTTGTACAGTAGTTGTATGTTTAGTTTTTGAAAGAAACTGCCAAACTGTTTTCCACGGTGCCTGTACCATTTTACATTCCCACAGCAATGTATGAGTGACTCAGTTTCTCTGAATCCTTGTCAGCATTTAGTATTATCACTGTTTTATGTTAGCCATCCTGATAGGTACATAGTGATTCTCATTGTGATTGTAACTTGCATTCCCTTAATGATGAACAATGAGCATCTTTTTATGTGCTATTTGCCATATGATGTCTTCTTTGGTGAAATATGTCTTTATGTCTCTTACCTATTTTCTAATTGGATTGTTCGTTTTCTGACTGCTGAGTTTTGAGTGTTCTTTATATATTCTACATACTAGTTCTTTGTTGGATATATGGTTTGCAAATATTTTTCCCAGTATGTAGCTTTTTTTCATCTTTTTAATGCTTTTTAATGGGCCTTTCACAAAACAGAAGCTTTTGTGATGAAGTCCAATTTATTAATTTTTCCTTTTATGGGTGATGCTTTGGGTGTTGAACCTAAGAACTCTTTGCATAGACCTACATCCTGAAGACTTCCTCCTGTTTTTTCAGAAGTTTTATAGTTTTATGTTCTACATTTAAGTTAATGATCCATTTTGAGTTAATTTTAGTATAAGGCGTAAGACTTAGAGGCTTTTTTTTTTTTTAGCACCATTTGTTGAAAAGGCTATTTTCCTCCATTGAATTAGTTTTGTACGTTTGTCAAAAATTAGTTGGGCATATTTGTGTGGGTCTATTTCTGGTTTCTCCATTCTGTTCCATTGATGTATATCTCTCTGCCAATAACATACAGTCTTGTAAGTTATCTTGTATCTTGTATGCCAGTAACATTCAGTCTTACTGTAGCTATACAGTGATTACTGTAGCTTGATATGAGATGGACTGATTCCTCCCAATTTATTCTTTTTTTTTTCCAAAATTGCTATTCCTATGGTTTGGATGTTTGTCTCATCTAAATCTCATGTTGAAATTTAATTCTCAATGTTGGAGGTGGGGCCTAATGGGTGTTTTGGTCATAGGGGTGGATCTCTCATGAATAGATTAATGGCCTTCTCTGGAGTGAGTGAGTTCTCATTCAATTAATTCCTGTGAGAGCTGGTTGTTAAAAGAGCCTAGCACACCCTCCTTTTCCTCCTCTCTCTCACAATGCCATCTCTGCACACTCTGGCTCCCTTTTGCCTTCTGCTATGAGCAGAAGTAGCCTGAGGCCCTCGTCGGATGCAGATGCCTAATCTTGAACTTGTAGCCATGAGAATCATGAGCCAAATAAACCATTTTTCTTTAAAAATTACCCAGCCTCTAGTATTTCTTTATAGCAACACAAAACAGACTAAGATAGCTATTCTAGTTCCTTTGTCTTTCCACATAAATTTTAGAGTAATATTGTGTATAGCTATAAAAACTTTTGCAAGATTTTAAAAGGAATTGCATTAAACTCATATATCCTTTTGCGGAGTAAGTCAACATCTTTACTATGTTGAATCTTTCAATCCATGAACATAAAACATCTCTCCATTTATTTAGCTGTTCTTTGACTTGTTTCATCTTCTTTTTGTAGTTTTCAGCATACAAATCCTGTAGATTTACACTTAAGTATCTCTTCTTTTTCTTTTTGTAGTTGCACATGGTATTGTATTTTTAATTTTGATATCCAGGTGTTCATTTCTAGTACATAGGAATACAACAGATTTTTGTATGTTTATCTCGTATTCTGTGACCTTGCTGAATTCACTTATTAGTACTAATATTTTGTATATCCCTTGGGAACTTCTACAAAAGCAATCATGTTATTTTCAAATAGGAACAGTTTTTATTTCTTCCTTTTTAATCTGTATGCCTTTTAATTTCTTGCCTTATTGCACTGGCTAAAACTTTCACAGCACTATGTCATATAAAAGTGGTGACAGCAGACATTTTTGCTTTGTTTTCATCTAAGGCAAAAGCATTCAGTCTTTCACCATTAAGTATAATGTTAGCTGTAGGGTTCTCATTGATGCTTTTCATCAAGTTGAGAAAGTTCTATTCCAATTTTTCTTTGAATTTTATAATGGATGAGTATTGAATTGTTGTTTAATGGGTGTTGACTTTTCAGCATCAATTGATATAATCATGTTAATGTGGTGGACAACTGGTAAATGGATAAACAAACTGAGCAGCCATTTATACATTGTATGGATGTACCAGTTTATTTATCCATTTACCAGCTGAAGGACATTTGGGGAGTTCCCTGTTTTTGGTGATTATAAATGAAGTCTGTATAAACATTCACAAACAGGTCTTTGTATGTACATGGTTTTCGTTTCCCTTGGGAAACGAAATGCTACTCAAATACCTATGAGTAGCATTGCTAATTTGTATGGTGAGTACATGTTCAACTTTATAAGAAACTGCCAAATTGTTTTCAAAACTGTGCGTCATTTTGCATTACCAAGCAATGTGTGCGAGTTCCAGCTTTGTTCAGCTGGTACTTGATATTGTACCTCAGACTTTCAGAGCCCTTCTTTCTATCTCTGCTGTCTCCCCTTCCTGAGTGCCAGAGAAGAGTGGGTATAGTCACAATAGCAATTTTCCAGAAGCAGAAGGGCTGGCTCTCATAATTCCCCTGCACACTACGAACTTCAGAACTGCAGTTTTTGGGAAGGTGTGACAAGTGTGTTGAGCAGAATCAGGACAAGGGCCAAGGCAGAAGGAGTAGTGGGGGCACAGGGTTGGCAGTGAAGGGTCCAAGTGGCAGCAGTCCACAGTGGCAGGACCTGGAACACTTCGTCTGCTCAGGGCTTGTTGGTAGTGGGAAAGGATCACTTGGGGCCCAGGAGGGGGTCCTGCTGCCTCAGCACCCTCCCTCTGCCCTCCTAAGGTTTCCAGCCATTTCTAACAGAGGAAACTGCAATCTCTTGAGATTCCTGCAGGCCCCAGGGAGGGGGAGAGTTGCCTGAGAACCAGAGGCCTGGCTTGGGGCCCAGTTATGTGACACCTGAATCTTGGGGAGAGTGGCTGTGGGACCAGGCCCCTGGGGCCTCCTGGGACAGTTGGGAACAGGGAGGGGCAGCTCAGGTTTCCTCACTGCTTGGTGTGTGACCTGGGCTCCACCCAGGCAGCAGAATAATGCCAGGCCTTAGCCCCTGCGGTGTAACACCTTTCATCAAGAAATTGCTGTCCCGCTCCTGTTCCACAGGGACTGCTCTGGCCTGGACTTTGGGTCCTGTGGCCTAGAAGTAAAGGGACCAGATCTTAGTCAGGTCTCAGGACAGAAGCCGAGCCAGTCAAATCTGGAGGAGGTGCGTGAGGTGTATGTGTGTATCTGCGGGGTGGGGAGAGGTGTCATGTGGGGACCAGGAGCTGCCCAATATTCAGTTTCAGTTGATTAGCTGTGTGGCCTTGGACAAGTAATTTAGCCTTTTTAGGCCTGGGTTTGCCTGTTTTTGACTTAAAGGTTTGGACTAGATGGGTGATTTCTCAATTGCATTGAATGTCAGCATTACCTGGGACTTGTTTTTATAAACTACAGATCCCTGAGCTCCACCACAAACCTATTGAATCAGCATCTGTGGGCCTGGGGTCCTGGCTTCTGGCTGTGTAACAGGCTCCAGCCGGTTTTTATATGGCCAGTGTGTCACTGATATCTCCAGACCCACTTACCTAAAAGTTCACCAAGTCCAGCAGCCTAGGGCAACCTCTGGTGGAAGACAGAAAGGCAGGTCCAGGAAGGAGGGAGGAGCCAGAGAAGGGGAGCCAATCAGGGGTCAGAAAGATGGGGGGAGGAACCTGAGAAAGGGAGCCAATCAGTGGCCAGGAAGGTGAGAGGAGGAGCCACTCAGTGGCCTGAAAGGAGGAAGAGGAGCCCGAGAGGGAGAACCAATCAGGAAAAGAGGATGCGGCAGGCTGGGATTCTTCTTGCAAGGGAAACTGAAGCTTTAGTCTGGGCAGGCAGCGAGCTGGACTGGTATCAGAGGAAAAGAAGTCTCTACTTTGGCTGCTTCTGTTTGAGTGTGTCTCCCAGCACCATAAGGCAGGTAGAGAGGGCATCACCTTTGTGGTTCAGGAGAAGGGTTAGCACATCCCTTGTCTGTTTGGAGGCTCAAAGTGGGTCTAGGAGAAACTATATCTGCCTAGAGGGAAAACATATCCTGCAAACCCTAAATAGCCATGGGGAATAAATAGCACTTGGGCCCCGGCCATTCCACCCCCTCTGTGTCTGACTCAGCTTGGAGGACAAAAGAGTCCCCATCTGCTGCTTACTGGCTTTGCGTGTGTGAGCAAGTCACTCAACCTTTCTGACTCTGTTGCCTCCTCTATAAAATGGGAATAATAATTATACCTGCCCTACCCCCACAAGGCATCGCTCTGGGCATCACCTAAGACAAGGGAGGCGATGGTGCTCCATCAACTGCAGCATGCTGTGCAATCCATTGGGGCTAGGCACTACCAGAACCCCAGGGAGGAAGGGATGGATGGACAACCCTCCCTTGTCCCACAGTTGGAGCATCTGTGCTTAAAAGAAAACCACTCGAGTGATTATCTTTTATAAATTGTTAGATGGTCACAGATAATCTTCCCTCTGACAACCCACCTCAGTTTCAGAGGCAACAGGTACTATATGAATTTGGTGTGATCCTTTCACACTTAAAATTTTTTTTTCACATATATGCGTGGGCTCATGGGAAATATATATTGTGTGTCAGCACGTGTGTGTGTATGTGTGGCTTGTTTTACACAGAGGGTGGCGCAGTTACATATCACACAGCAAAATGCCTTTTTTAAACTCAAGGTTGTATGTTTGAGATCTAATTAGGTCATTTCTTTTATCTGCCATGTACTGTTCTACCTTGAGTCTCTCTCACATGGCATCTGTTTTGCCTGATGTTAAAATTGTTATGGCGCTAAATCATGTCTTTTCTTACCCCTGGCACAGCCAGATGGGCTGCCTTTGGTTGCAAGCCCAGCAGAGTCAGAAAGAAACTAAGGCTGTCAAGGAAACCTAAGGGTAGGTCTTCAACTCTGGGCCCGGAAGGAGCATCACCTCCACCTGGCCTTGTCTGGTTCATTTACAGCCTGCAGGAAGGAGAGACGGGGAGACGGGGAGATGGGAGAAGGAGGGAGAGAGAGAGAGAGAGAATGTGAATATGAGAACACTGCCCTGCTCCAAGCTCACCTCGCACCTTTGTCTGGGGAAAGTGGAATGGGAAGAAGCAGGTGGCATCCCCATCATCCCAAGGTGCCCTGCTGCCAACAAGACCTTGGGTGTCCATCCTTCTAGTGCAGTAGCACCACCACCGCCACCCCCTTCAGGTGAAGGTTGCTAACTTTGAAATCAGGATGGGCTACATAATTTGCAGAGCCCAGTGCACATAAAAATGCAGGGCACTTCTTCAAGAAATATTAAGAATGCATTAGGCCAAAGGCAGACTCCTTCTAAGCATGTGGCTCTGCCTGACTGCACAGGTGGCATTCCCATGAAGCTGGTCCTGCCTGAAACTATCCTCTAAGGGAGTCCTGTTAAGGTGTGGGAGAAAGTGCGCAAAGCTCTGCAAAGGGAAATAGCTGTCATTTTGGAAGCCATCAGGATCTTTTAGTGCAGTCAAGCTGAACCATGGAGGTCATGATGACTAACAGTTCCAGACAGGTTGAAAAGCTCTGATTTGTCCCCTCTAGGGTGGGAACTAAGGACTGGAGAGGCTGCAGAGCCAGCAGATAACTCAGAAGGCCAGGGTACAAATCCTCCCTCTGTCCCTGAGGAGCTGAATGACCATGAGTTTGTTGCTTAGCTTCTCTGTGCCTCAGTTTCCTTATTAAGATAAGGTGCCCTCTTCATAGGATTGCTTGGAAGATTAACCCTAAAACTATGGAGAAGCTGAGGACATTTCCTGGCATATAATGTTCGATAATCTGGGCTGATGTTAGATATCCTTTCTGTGAGCTTTGGTTTCTTTCCTAGGATAATATAATGGGGAAAGGTAGAAGGTAAAGATGGATCTAGAGTCAGGAGTTCTGGGTTCTCTGCTACTAACCACCTGCTTACCAAGGCAGGTCACTGTCCCCTTAAGAGTCTCACTTCTAAAATTTAAGGGAGGGGGTGAGGTATGACTTTCCTTCCAGCTTTATAATTCTGTTTCCAAGGAATTCCACCTGTTCCTCTCATTGGTTTATCCCAGTGTACCCAGTGTATTAGTCTGCTTTCATGCTGCTGATAAAGAAATACCCGAGACCGGGCAATTTACAAAAGAAAGAGGTTTAATTGGACTTACAGTTCTATGTGGCTGGGGAAGCCTCACAATCATTGTGGAAGGCAAGGAGGAGCAAGTCACATCTTACGTGGATGGTGGCAGACAAACAGAGTGAGCTTATGCAGGCAAACTCCCATGTTTTAAAACCATCAGATCTCATGAGAGTCATTCACTATCATGAGAACAGCACAGGAAAGTCCCGCCCCCATAATTCAATCACCTCCCACCGGGTTCCTCCCATGACACGTGGGAATTGTGGGAGTTACAATTCAAGATGAGATTTGGGTGGGGACACAGCCAAACCATATCACCCGACATTTATTTTCTCTGAGGTTTAAGAAATTTCTCCTCTTATCTGACTGCAAATCTTTCTCATTAGTTAAAGTCCACTTCTTTTCCTGCCCTTTGTGTGAAAACAACTGGTTGGTGACCCATTTTACAGACTCAGAAACTGAGGCACATTGAGAACCATCTGCTCTCCAGGTGGAACAACCCCAGTCCCTTTAATATGCCCTTGCGTTGGCCCTTCACTGCACTGTGACCTCTGCCCACTGCACATCCCAGGAATGTCCACCACTCCTGCATTTAGAGACCCACACAGGTCACTCCTGCCAGCCAGGCACAGGGCTCGGCCCCTCAGATCTGTCTAATATTCTCAGTGCCTGTAGGGAAGCAGATCTTGTTACATATCTTGTTTTCCAGCTAGAGAAGCGGGCTCCTGGAGCCCAGACTGAGGGTGGAGTGAGGTTCCTGTAGGTAACTTGTGAGACCCCCTAATGCTGTGAGGCAGAGCCCCAGACCCTGCGACCCTGTGGGGGTCAGCCTTTCCTGGAGAAAAGCTTTCTCCCAGCACTTACCAAGCCTCTCTCCCTGCAGCTGGCATGAGGGATGTTGCTCCTCTGCCAAACCCACACTCTGGGGTGAACACAGCTCTGGGCATGCCAGCTGCTGCCCTGGCCCCTTTACTGCCACTCAGGAAGACACACGTGAGTGCCATTCAGTGCCAGTGTCCTTGTCAGGGGGCAAGCCTCAAACCTGTCCCCTTCCTACCAGGCCCCTGATCAGCTCCAGCACTAGCACAATGCAGAATCAATATCTATTTGGGGGGATTATTGAATGTCCATCTCCTCCACTAAAATAAACTCTTTGGGTGGTGTGTTGGGGCGGGGGCATGACTTGTTCACGGAAATATGCCCAGAGTCTAACACACTTCCTGGCACAAGGAGGTGCTCAGTACACATTCAATGTGTGAGCACATGGATCTGCTGTGATTTATTTATTTTTTAAACTTTATTTATTTATTTGTATTTTGAGACAGGGTCTCACTCTGCCACCCAGGCAGAAGTGCAGTGGCACAATCATGGCTCACTGCAGCCTCAACCTCCTGGGCTCAAGAGATCCTCCCACCTCAGCCTCCCAAGGTAGCTGAGACCACAGGTATGTGCCACCACGCCCAGCTAATTTTTGACTTTTTGTAGAGACGGAGCCTAGGCTGGTCTTGAACTCTTGGGCTCAAGTGCTTCTTCTGCCTTGGCTTCCCAAAGTGTTGGGATTACAGGTGTGAGCCACCATGCCTGGCCCCACTGTGATTTATTGAAAGTCAACCTCTGGCCCAGGCATGGTGGCTCATGACTGTAATCCTAGCACTTTGGGAGGCCGAGGTGGGTGGATAACCTGAGGTCAGGAGTTTGAAACCAGCCTGGCCAACATGGTGAAACCCTGTCACCACAAAAAATACAAAAATTAGCTGGGTGTGGTGGTGCACACCTGGAATCTAAGCTACTAGGGAGGCTGAAGCTGGAGAATCACTTGAGCCCGGGAGGCGGAGGTTGCAGTGAGCTGAGATTGCATCATCGCACTCCAGCCTGGGCAACAAAGTGAGACTCTCTCAAAAAAAAAAAGAGGAAGAAGAAGAAGAAAGTCAGCATCTGGCAGATACTGGCCCTTTACTTTATTAGCAAATTCCTAGAGGCCCATCTTTCACGGGATTACTACACAGGGGTGCTGATTTAGAAAAGTGCTATTTTATGTGTTATGCTCTGAGGGTTCATTCATGCAGGCAGTGTGTAATGAGCACTCGCTACATGCCAGGCCCTGAGGACAGAGCAGTAAAGGAGCCGATGTCCTTGCCTGCATGGAGGTCCCATCCAAGTGAGGAGACAGTTAAAATGCAAACACAGCTGCACGATATTGTCAGGTGATGCTTTGTGCTGAGAAGGATGAAGTGGCAGGGGGGATGGAGAGAGTGGGGTGGGTGGGGTGCTATTTCAGATTGAAGGGTCAGCGAGGTCCTGCAGAAGAGCTTCAATTTAAATGGAAGCCACCACTGAGAACGAATAGGGGGGATTTGGGGCATCCCAGGTGAGGAGTGGGATTCAGAAAGAAGAATTCCTTGACATCCCAGGCTCCTTGGTGAGCCAGTGGGGACACATTCTGCTTGTCATCAAAGTGAATTACAAACTCATCCAGCTCAGAGCCTCTGCCAGAGCCATCTGGGCTGCAGTGGCCTCTTTCAAAGAAAAGAGTTCGCCAACAAGAAAGCGGCACGGCATCCTGATGAGGACTGGGGCTTTAGAGTTCTAGGCAGAAACGTGTTGAAATCCCAGCTCAGGCATGATTGAGGTTCATGTCTTAATCCCTGAGAGCTTTGGTTTCTTTATATGTAGTCGGGAATGATAACAGTGCCTCTCCCAGAGGGTTGTTGTAAGTCTTCAAAGAAACAGCCTGTGTAAAGTGCTGAGCACAGATAAACAGTGGCCTTTACTGCCATTGTCATTCTCTTGGCTCCCAGTGGGGTTCTTTGCTTCTCTTTCATTCATTCCACAATAACTGAGCACCTACTCATTGTCAGGCTCTAGATGCTAGGGTACCCAGAGGAGGAACACCTAAGCTATCCAAATGTGAGCCAGAGAGTGCACCCATCCAAGAGGCAGGGCCCTGGGCATGCATTCCTGCCATTCCAGCTGTGTGAACTTGGCCATGTGGTTTCATCGCCCTGGGCCTCAGCTTTCCCCACTGCAAATAGAGGGCTCAGCTTGCCAATCACTGGGTGATTCTCCTGCTGAGCTCCTGGGCTGAGGCTGGGGCACAACTGTGGAGGGAGCATCTGTAGCCCCAGGTGACCTGAGCCTCAGAGAAAGCTAGCCTGCCTGGCCCGGAGGCTCTGCTGGGAGTGGGGTGGGAAGAAGCCCATGTGCTCGGAAATGGGCCAGGGTCAGTGCTGGGGCCTGTCGCCCCCAAGGACCCTCCCACATCAACCAGAGCTCCTCATGGGGAGGCAGAGGGTACAGCCGCTGAACGTGCCTTCCCAGGAGAAGCTTGAAGTGTACTCAGGATTTTGGCAGGAATCGGGGTTCTGAGGGGTCGTAAGAGGGGCCGCTAGGGACAGGGCTCCAGAGAGGCCTGATGAAGGTGGAGACAGAGGAAGAGGATATCTAGGAGAAGGGGTTTGTCCTATTTCCTCCCAAGTGCCACTTGCACTTCTAGTGCTGGGAGTCATTCATTATACAGATGATTATACAGTCATTCATTATACAGATGGCTGGGGCCACCACACTTCTTCTTTCCTTGCCCTTCTCCTCCTTTCCTACCCCTCACCCTGGGAGTGCCTTGGACCCTGGGATGACCCATTCTAATTTCTTCTCCTTCCACTTACCTATGCTGGCCGGGTACGGTGGCTCACACCTGTAATCCCAGCACTTTGGGAGGCTGAGGTGGGCAGATCACCTGAGATCAGGAGTTCAAGACCAGCCTGGCCAACATGGCAAAACCCCGTCACTACTAAAAATACAAAAATTAGCCTGGCGTGGTGGCAGGCACCTGTAATCTCAGCTATTTGGGAGGCTGAGGCAGGAGAACTGCTTAAACCTGGGAGGTGGAGGTTGCACTGAGCCAAGATTGTGCCACTGCACTCCAGCCTGGGTGACAGAGTGAGACTCCGTCTCCAAAAAAATCCAAAACCGAAACAACAACAACCAAAAAAAAAACAAAAAAAAAACTTACCTATGCTGTGTACCTGCCTCTCTGTGCTATGGGAAACTAAGCCCTAAATAATCTAAATAATTCATTTTATTCAAAAAGCTTTTTTTTTTTTCCTTAGAGACAGGGTCTTAGTCACCCAGGCTGGAGTGAAGTGGCATGATCATAGGTCATTGCAGCCTCCAACTCCTAAGCTCAACCAATCCTCCTGCCTCGGCCTCCCAAGTAGCTGAAACTACAGGCAAGTGTTGCCATGCCCAGCTAATTTTTAAAAATTTTTTGTAGGAACTGTTGACCAGGCTGGTCTCAAACTTTTGGCCTCGACCACTCCTCCCACCTTGGTTTTCCAAAGTGCTGGGATTATAGGCATGAGCCACCACACTTGGCCTCAAAAAGCATTTAATGAGTTCTGTTTAAGGGACTCTTTGGGTGTGATATAGTAAACAAAACAAAGAATCCATATCCTTGTGGAGCTTGCATTTCAGAAAGTGAGTGGACAATAGCAGCTTAACGCAGCACTTCTCCAACCTAGAGGTGCATATGGGATCACTTGGGCATCTTGTTAAAATGCACATTCTCATTCAGGAGATCAGGGATGGGCCTGAGATTCCAACAAATGATGCCTAATGTTGCTAGGCCATAGTTTGAGTGGCAAGGGGTTTTATGTGTTATCCCTCCTGAGATAGCAATGACATGTTCGAAGGAATGGCTCTCTAATATGGAACCCTAGGGAGGTGTTGGTGGAGGTGGCTGGGTATTGAGGACACTGGGGACTCTGGACTGGTCTCCTGGGTGGCTGCCTGCCTTTCTGTGGAGAAGGCTGGCTCAGCTTTCCAGCCCTGGCTTCTTAGCTCCCCACTGTTCCTCCTCAGCCAGGCTGTGGGTGGGAACATCTGGAAGGGATCCCCCGGAACTGGGGGAATTTCCAGGCACATGAGGCTCTGTCAACCCAACCAGGAACATCCGCCCCTGCCATCTGCTCCAGACGTCATTGCAGAGTCTGTGTGAGAGGAACCCGACAGTTTCCAGCTCCTCCAAGGAGTGTCTGTCCGTGTCTCTGGGTCCTGCCCTGGGCATGTGAGGGGCCTGCCTCTGCTACTGCTGGGGGAGTCTGTTGGGGGCCTAAGTTCCCAAGTGCAAGTCCTGCGTTTTATCTGCTGGGAGATGAGGTGTCTCCAAATTCCACAGATGCCCTGGGGTTCTTCCCTAGGACGATGAAGGAGGGAGAAGCTGCCCTGGTTGTTGAGAAGCCTCAGCCCAGAATTTTCTCACCCTCATGAGGCAAATTTGTCCAACACACGCTGTGCTCTGCCCTGTGCAACATCTCAGTAATAAATGCCCAGTTTTGTGCACTGATGGCCTGTGCACCGGAGGCTTTACAGCTTGGCCTCACTTGATCTGCATGGAAACTGTGAAACTGCTCTTACTCTCACCTCCATACCGATAAGGATGAAGCAGCTCAGAAAAGTCAGGTTACCTATAGGAAGTAGCAGAGCCAGGATTTGAACCCAAAGTCACTGGATACCAAAGCCCAGTGTTAACTCTTCAGTTACATTGGCTCCTTACATATCCTCTAAGAGCAGGTGCTAGCTAAGAGCAGGACTGGATGGGACTCATCCAGCTGAAAGTCTTGCTTCTTCAAACTCCAAGACTTCTCCTGGAGCTTCTCCTCCAGCCCTGTGGGAAGCTCCCGGTCCACGGTTTGGGGTGGTTGTGCCCAGCCCTGTTCATCACATGCAGCTGCATAAGTCTGGGCAGCCTCTCCCTGTTAATGAGAGCAACGAATGACTCTCATCAAGTCTGGGAGTTACTCAGCACCAGAGACGGGTCTCTGGATGTGACTTCCTTCTTAAGAGCAAATGCAAACAGTGGAATGCCTAATCTCAAAGCAAGAGGCCTGGGTGCTCGCTTGGGAACTCCCAGGGGACTCCTGAGAGCAGCTGGCCCAGTCATGGGACGGTGGGGTGGGACAGCCAGGGCTTGGGGTCTGCTCTCTAAGGGAGCCGAGGCTGCAGCAGCTGTCCTCTCCATCCCCTAGCTCCACCGGGATAATTGACGGGGAGAGTATCACCTGATGTTAAAGCCCAGTGTTTATTCCTCTGTTACGTTTCATTCTCTCTGCCACCATCTCTCAATCCAGCCTCTTAGCATGGGTGCCCCTAGCCCAGGAGCCCTATGCTGAGCTGGCAGGTGGGTTAACGAGTCTTAATGTATAGAACTTGTGCCAACCACAGTGTCGTAGACCCCGCAGGCCTCTAAAGGCCTGTCTGCCTCCCTACCCCTATCATGGGTCAGGCCGGAACTGCAGGACTCAGCAGGCACCATGGTGGCTTGGTCTGTGCCCGTCCTACCCTCTTTGTCTGCTGTGCCCTCAGCTTTAAACCTGAGCCGGGCAGTTGTGACAAGGGAAGAGGGCTCCTTAACCACGATTTGCCAAGAGATGAAGGGCCCCTGAGGAAAGGCTTTTATTTCTGTATTTCAGTTTCACAGCTTGGGGAGATGGGAGATAGCTCATGTTCCCCTGAGGCTGCAAAAGTTCTATGACAGCCAGTCAGTGAGGCTGTTCCCGGTAATGGGAGGAGAGACATTGTCATTGAAGGGGCTGTGCCATCTCGCCTCTGGGGGAGGATGGGCAGCAGCCCCGCTAGGACACGGGGCAGGGGACGGAATCTCAGCATGTCCAAAAGCAGGTCCAGGCAGTAGACTCGCTGTGTGCCTGGACCAGTGAGGCACTTCTCTGGGCCTCAGATCCCAGTGGGAGGAAGGAGGGAATAATGTCAGAAGTACAGAGAGTTGGTGAGAGAAGAGAGGCTGGGGAGATATCTGCAGGATGGAAGGGAGAAGGACAGGGAACTGGGAAGCAGCTAGCAGGCAAGGACTGAACAGGCCATGGTGTGCTGTCCCGGAGGCTGAAGGACCTCTCTCCATTGGCCCCATACTGCCTCCTGCTCCTGCCTCCTGGCACAGATGCCCCTGCTCTGGGAGACTGTGCAGAGAGAGCAGGTGGGTAAACAAGTCCTTATGTGTAGAATTTGTGCCAGCCACAGTGCCATAGACCCCACAGGCCTCCAGAGGCCTGCCTGCCTCCCTGCCCCACCCTACAGTGGGGGCCAATCTGCTTACATCTGTAGGATCCGCCTACCTCAATCCTGTTTCCAGATGGAGGGTATTTCTGGGGGTTGGTAGATTCTGTATCCAGTCACCTGTTATCTTCTTAGTTCTTTGAAACCCAACCTTCACCTTGGTCCCAGTTCCAGTCTTGGGTTTGGATCCCAGCTCTACAGCCGTCTACGTCTACACCTACCTTCTGCCGTGAGCCCCAAGTCCCTCTTTTTTTGAAATGATCATAGTAGTAGTGCCTCTCTCTTAGGGATCTTTGAGGATTAAATGAGATAACTGGAGCTCCCAGCAAAATACCCAGACATAGGGGTTCCATGATGGCTAGATCACTTCTCCCTCACCCCTCTCAATTAGCCTCTTTGGGTTGCGCTTGTTTCCAGAGGCCTGGGCCAGACAGTTAATAGTTAGGGTGTGTGGAGTGACTGCCCACTGCTGCCTTCAGCAGTAAAGGCGAGGGGAGGAACAAGAGCTGTCATTTATTGGACACTTTCAGAGGGCCAGACCATTGGCATGCAAGCATCATCATCCTCACACCAACCCTGTAAGGAGGATTTTATGAGCCCCTTTTTAGAGAAGAGCAGACAGAAGCCCAGGCTTCTTGAATACCCTGCCTGGATCCCATAGCCAGTGAGTGGTGGAGACTGAATTCAGATCCAGCCCCCATTCCCAAGCCGGCTGGGCCCTTGCCACTGTCCCACTCAGTAAGACACAGTGACACTCAGGGGCTGGGTGGCCAAAGGCCACCGGTACCAGGTGAAGAGCACCTATTCTGGAGGCAAAGTCCTCAAATTATCAAAGCTAGGGCAGCAAAGCATGCTCAGATGAACACAGAAACCCAGAGGGGGACAAGGCAAATTATTCCAGGGACCCAAGACCTGCAGGGACGGAAGACTGGTGGGTGGAGACCCAGGTACAGCAGCACCCACAGGACACGGTGCTCCCTGTAGTGCAGGGAAACGCTGGAGAAGCCAGGCCAGCGTGCCCGGGAATGCGGAGGGAGAGGGCCTGTGCTCCTCCTTCTGAGAAACACATGGTTTCCCCAATCTAACAGTGGCCAAAAGGAAAAACTATGTACTCTACAAAATCCACAGTATACACACGACCCGCCAACATTTCAACATCATCTCTCCGAGAGATCTCTCCCAGAATCCCGCGAAAGAGCCAGGCAACACGCACACTTGCCCAAGGTCAAAGACACTATTCCAGGTATGAATTTTATGGGTAACCAGATGACACTTGAAGCGGCTCAGAAGTTGGCGTGAGAAAAGTCCCCAGTTGTTATTACTTACTGCGGCCTGGGAGGAAGAAAGGATTCTTTGTAGAGCAATGAAAAGGACCCAGATAGAGGCAAGCCCCTGCCCTCCTGAGCAGAAATCGTCTTTTCCATCAACAGTTTGTGCTCTGCACCGCCCAGCCTCATTGTTCTGTGGCATTCCGCCGGGGGCAAGAACACATTGGGATGCCTCGCCTTCTCAGCACACCGCTGCCTGGATTTCTGTGCAAGGACTTGAATGTAGATTTATCCTAGTCGTCATTATTTAGAAATATTTTGACAAAGTAGTTTATTTAAAGGTACTATGAGTCCCCTCCCTGTTTTTTGCTGTTTATCTTTTCTTTTAAATTTTCTCCCAGAAACAGTGTAATCCTCTAACACAGTTTGCATTGTAAGGCCAGGACAACAACACTGAAATGCAGCGGTGGGGGCCGGGTAGACACATAGGGCACATATCCCCAAGAGAGGCATAAATCCAGGTGGCCGCCAGCACCGAGGGCTCCAAGGCCTGCCATGGCCACAGCCCCTGGGGTATGCTCCTCTCCATCCTCCACCTCCATCTGGGCCAGCACCTGGGCTCTGGTGGTGAGGTGCTAGGACCTCTTTCCACTCCAGAGGGCCAGGGACCAGGATACTCAATAAGGATGTGTTGAGGAGCTGGGGGTATCTGGTGCAGAAGACCAATGAGTCCAGTCGAGGAGCGCTGATTCAGGAAACAAAACACCCAAAATGTCAAAGCCAGGACAGCAAGGCGTAAAAGAGACCGTCTCGACCTTGAAGGGTTTACATTTCCAGCTAAGTAGGTGAGACAAGCATTCTGACATGTTACTGAGGCTGCGGCCTCCATGCAGAAGGCAGTGACAGTGACAGGAAGGTTGTCAGGTTGACTAACATGGGAGAGGGGGTAAAACACACAGCTGCTGCCCTCAGGTGAGTGGCAGCTGGCGGGGGGTGGCATGATCCCAGCATGGCTGCCTTCCATTCTCTCCTTTTCAGTGTCACTTGTCACTCCTCCCGTTGAGGGGTGGAATCTGTGCCTCCCCTCTGCTTGAATCAGGGCTTCTCCCTAGTGATTTGCGCAACCTATAAAATGTGGCGGAAGTGATGTTCAGGATTTCTAAGGCAACGTCCTAAGAACCTTGCAGCTTCTGCCTGGAACTCTAGAGACTCTTGGCACCCAGAGACCTCCATGCAGTGAGGAAGCCCAAGGTGGCCACGAGGAGAGACTGTAGGGGGAAGAGGGTGGAGACCTGTCTGGCCCCCCATTCCTGTTCCCAGCCATTTGAGCCATCCGAGCTTCAGCCATAAACATCCAGGGGCAGAGAGGAGCCATTCCCTCTGTGCCCTGTCCAGGTTCCTGATCCACAGAATCGTGAGACATGATAAAAGCAAAGTATTGTTTTAAGGCACTGAGATTGGGGTTATGTGTGCCATACATACATCCACAGATAACCAGAACTGGATGAGGGGACATATGCCAGGGCCAGGGACTCTGTTGACCCAACCCTTTCTCCTTGAGACCACACCTGCCCTCTCTGGCCCCAGACTCCTCCACCATGGCCTCCCTAAGTGCTGACACTCCCATCCCTGGGACCAATCCCAATGCCTGGGCACTTCCATCCCTGGGACCAATCCCAATGCCTGGGCACTTCCCCTTTGAACCCCAATTTGAGAGCAGATTTGCTGCTGAGGTTGGGGGGGAACTAGGGGAACCCCGGGATGGGACAAAGATTCTGGGTAACCACCTCTGGGGCAGGTGTGGGGAAACTGGCCGGGGCAAGGAAGTGGCTGCACAGGGGAAGGAGTGAGCCGTGTGCGCATGGATGGGGGAAGGAGTGAGCCGTGTGTGCTCGTGGCTGTGTGCCTTCCTCCATGGAAGAGCTCCCTCGTGCCTCTCTTCCAGAACTCAGGTCCAGCGTTTCCAGCCACCTGCTGGACTCTCCTCAGAACCTCCCACAGGCCCCCCAAATCCAGCACATCTCAAACCAGAACCTGCTCTAAACCCACCCCCAAGGCAATTCCCTGTCATTCCCTATTTCTGCCAAGGGTGCTGAAGTCACCAGGGCCCATCCAGGTGTGGGCAGCCAACCCTCTAGTGGAGCTGGAGCAGCAATACCTTGCCCACATGGCAGGTGGAGATAGGGGGACCTGTGGGTAGGGACTGAGGTGGGAAGAGTTGTGGCGAAGGAGGTGGGCAGAGCCTGGCCAAGCTCATAGGCAGCCCTAGGATTCCTCCCGGAGAGGTAAGGGGCTTTGGGCTGTGTCCTGGGGGCTGGAGATACCCACAGGAGGCTAACAATAGCTCATCCAGCCTCAGCATCCTCTCTGCCTCTTTGCCACCCCCTTTTGCTCCTGGAGCAGCCATAGGGAAACCCTGCAGCTTCCAGCTCTGCAGGGCCCTCATTCCCCTCCTTCCCCTTCCACTCCACCCATCGCCCGCCCCCACCTCCCCTAAGCCCAGCCTCCTACCACCCCCACACCCATTTGACCCTTTCTCTTCCCCCCTTCCCCTCAAGGCTGCCGACCCGCTGCCCACTGTGGGAGCCAGCTGCCGCCTGTGGCTGGGGACACTGGGAAGGGGGCTGGTGCCACTGGGGAACTACACTTTTAATTTGATTTGCATTAACCTAGATTTTAAAACTGATAATCAATTCGGTTATTGAAAAACTTTTAGGCTGGGTGTGGTAGCCTAAAAGGTGGGAGGATTGCTTGAGGCCAGGAGTTTGAGACCAGCCTGGACAACATAGCATGATCTCATTCCTACAAAAAATAAAAAAATGAGCCAGGCATGGTGGTGCACGCATGTAGTCCCAGCTACTTGGGAGGCTGAGGTGGGAGGATCGCTTGAGACCAGGAGTTTGAGTCTGCAGTGAGCCATGATTTTGCCACTGCACTCTAGCCTGGGTGATAGAGCAAGAACCTGTCTCAAACAACAACAACAAAAACCCTTTTAAATATGTTTGGAACAACTTGGGTATGTGAACCTACCTTTTCGACTGTAAATTTAACAAAATCTAACTGCAGATCTAGCTTATCCAGTGAAATCCTTGTGTGTGAATTAGCGCCCCCATGGTTGCCATATGTATAAAAGAAAGCAAAAAAAAAAGAATAACATTCTCATTAATAATTTTTATTGATTACATGTTGAAACGATCATATTTAGGATCTATTGAGCTAATACAATGAGCAAAAATATATCTTAAAATTGATTTCATCTGTTTTCTGTTTACTTTTCAATGTGGCTACTGGAAAATTTAAAATTATATACACGGCTGGAGTTCTGTTTCTATCGGACGGCACTTCTTTAGAGCGTGGATCTGCACTCAATCAACAATTCAGCCCTGTGCTGTCCCTGGCTAACCCTTTCCCACCTCCGCCACTTCCTCAGGCTCAATCGCAGCTGCCTTGGGCTCATGTATGGCTGATACCTGGGTGCTGACCTTGGTATAACACACACATGTTTGCAAATACATGTGTGTATTTGTGTGTCATGTGCACGCCTGTCTCTATCCACATGCTCATGTGTACACATCTGCATCCAGACATTATCCTGTTCTCTGCGTGTGAGCACACTCGAGCCAGCCCTTGCTGGACCAGGTGTGCACAGGCAGCATCTGAATGGGAGCCGGGTGCCCATGGGGAGTTGACATGGGGACAGGGCCTCGGGCATAAAGCCTTGGGGCCAGTCATTCATCCCCAGGGGAGGCTGGAACAGACAGTGTTTCCTTGGCAAGTTGATGAGAATGTCATGTAGGACAGAACCCACAGCCGCCCTGAAATCAAGATCGATGACAGCTGCCTTCCCATCCCTTACTGATGAGGCCCATCATTCTATCACGGGAGAGAAAATTAAATTGGTCTGGCAGAGTTTCCTGTTCCTAAAGCCAATTTGGTCGCCGCTGTGTAGTGTGTTATACACTTCTGGGTGGCATCTAATCATTTTGTTTATTCATAAATTTCCAAGGTATGGTCTGCAGAGCTAACCACACCACAGGAAATCAGGAGGAGGTACTTGCTCCTCTTCTAAAGATAGGAGGCAGCCTATCCATCCACCATCTGCCCAGCCACCCAGCCATGTATCCATTCATCCATTGGGTCATACAGTTTTTCAACCTGTATATACAGAGCGCCTCCTCCATGCTGGGCAGCGTGTCAAATAGAAAGAACCATGGGATGAGATTAGATTCCAGCACCCACCCCTGGGCAGGTCTCTGGCTTCTCCAGGCCTCAGTTTCTCTCTGTTAATGAGGGAGTTGGACCACAGAGCTCAAGGCCCCTCCTAGCTCTGGCACTTCAGGGCCTGGGGCTGATTTTCCAGGCAGAGAGAGAGGCCCCCTCCCAGACTCCAGGGGCTGCTTGGGGTCAAGAAGGGAACCGAAGAGGACCCCAGGACCATGGGCATCACTAACTCCCACGGCTGAGGTCCCGACTGACAGGAATGGGGTGGCCCTGGAATTTAGAGGAAAAGCTCCCTCGTGCCTCCTTCCCAGAACCCCAATTTGAGAGCAGATTTGAGTTGGCTCAAGTGGGTGTTTGTGGGATTGGTTATGTCTCAGAGATTTGGGGGATCAGGCCAATCAGCAGACTCTGAAATTCGTATTTTGGAGGCTGTGTCTTAGAGTCCCCCACCCTCCAGGGCCGGAGGGTCTCTGGAAGCTCTTTCTGGTTCCTCTCCATCTCCATGGCCAGCATCCGTGTTTGGGCAGTTCCCAGGCTCCCTGCCTTCTTATACCAATAAGCATTCACCACTTGTGGACTTGTCCCGCACTGCCTCCCCAGCCTCCCTGCCACCCTGGACCTGGCCTCATTTCTGGGTCTGCTTCTCCGTGTGCCCATACTGGCTGGGGAGCCCACTCCTGGGCTCTGGCCATCTCATTCAACTGGCAATCCCAGGTCCCCAGGACCAATGAATTCCAGGCCCTCTCAGAAACCTTTTGCCGCAAACCTGGTGATTGGTGGGGAGTAACGGAGCTGTGTTGATCTAGTTACCAAGAGCTCTAAATTACTACCATCAAAATCAGACACAGCAAAAGCTTGCTCAGATCCCTGTCTGGTAACATCAGTCTTCATAATGAAGGTGCCTGATTGCAGGCTGTCTTGGCTGTCGGTGGGTGGAAGCAGAGGGACAGGGATGGGGAGAGGGGAGAGGCTTTGTTTCTGAGCTTCACGGCTTTGATCTGCCAGCGAAGAGCAATTTCCTCCGACTTCTCGTCCAACATTCAACCCCCTGCCAGCAAACCCACAAACACAACCCGGGAGGATGATGGCATGGGGAGCATCTCTGAATTCAGGGAAAGGATGGGAGGAAAAGAAGGTGTTGAGAGTGTCTACACTCACCTCCCCAAAAATCCCTCTCTCCACCTGACCTCCTCGCCTCTGTAATGTAGACCATGAATGGACTCTGTTTCAGTCCTGATATCTGCTGCATCCTCTGAGCCTAACTCAGGGCCAGGCATAGAGTAGTTCCATACATATTGTTGAACAGATGGATTTCTAGCTCTAGGATCACTCTAAGAAGATTCCTGGGCCAGGTGCAGTGGCTCACACCTGTAATCCCAGCACTTTGGGAGGCCAAGGCGGGCAGATCACGAGGTCAGGAGATCGAGACCATCCTGGCTAAAACGGTAAAACCCTGTCTCTACTAAAAATACAAAAAATTAGCCAGGCGTGGTGGCAGGTGCCTGTAGTCCCAGCTACTTGGGAGGCTGAGGCAGGTGAATGGCGTGAACCCAGGAGGTGGAGCTTGCAGTGAGCCGAGATTGTGCCACTGTACTCCAGCCTGGGCAACAGAGCAAGACTCAGTCTCAAAAAAAAAAAAAAAAAAGAAAAGAAAAGAAAAAGAAGATTCCTGGTAGTGATCCAATGCAGGAATGGCTGATGGTATCATTTCTTCATTTAATAAACATTTCTTAGGCAGCTCTTAGGTTCCTGGCACTGTGCCAGGCCAAGGACTGAGATGACTAGAAAATCAAATTGTTCAATAGGAGGCATCGAGCTCCTGCTCCACACCAGGCACTGAGATGAACAGGACAGATATTCCTACCTCCATAGAGCTCACACGTTCCTCTCCATGGGAGACAGACAATAAGCAGGTAAATAGATAAATAAGCAAGATGGTTCTGGATTGTGAAGGTGCTATGAAGGAAATACACAGGGTGCTGTGATGAAGAGCAGTTGGGCAGCTTCCTTTGGACAGGGGCAATGCAGGGAGGGCTCTCTAGGACCTGAAGAGTAAAGAGAAAGAGCCAGGAACCAGGAGAGAGCACAGCAAGTGCAAAGGCCCCAGGGCCGGGAACAGCTCCGTAGGTTTGAGGAACGGAAAGGAGGCCAGTGAAGCAGGTGTATAAGATCGAGCGTGAAGCGGTGCTAGCGGAGGTTGGTTAAGTCACTGTCCTCCAGTGGTGATGGCAGACCAGGGAACTATCAGAGCAGAAAGGCCAGTGCTGCCGTGGAAGTGGAATGTGCAGGGAAGCCCGGAACTCAGCCCAGAGGAGGCAACATTGGCGCTGAGACCTAAGACTGCGTGGAATATCTCTTAGGCCCAGCATGGCTTTCCTTCTTGCCATCACTTTGGACATTGCTCCAGGGACTGACTTCCTCTCCCTCCCAGCCAGGAGCAGGGCTCTGGGGCAGTGCCAGCTGGACCCTGCTCCAGCCCAGAGGGACTCCTCCATACGACTTCCCTGCGCTGAAGTTTCTGTCAACCTCTGCTGCTGCTGCAGACAGCTACTGGTTGGCGGTGGCTGGAGTACTCAGGGTAAGCGCTTGTGGCAGATGTTGCTGCGGTGGGGTAATGGCACTAACACGGCGAGTCCCTTTATTTCATCTCCCTGGTCTCCCTGGACCTTTAACTATCACTGAGCCCAGCATCTAGCAAATAGCCTCATTGCTGTCTTTTATCTAGCTGGCTTTCAACTTGAGACACTCTAAGGGCCTTGCCTGATAGCAGCACCAGGACCATCAGAACTACAGTCCTCAGAGTGGGCTGTTCCAGGCGTTTGAGTAATAATAATAATAATTATTATTGCTATAATAATATATACAATTATAATATCTATATATAATATTTACATAAATTATTATTGATATGATAATTATTGATGTAATAATTATTGATATTTTTGATGTAATAATTATTGATGTAATTACTGATATTAATATTGGTGTAATAATAATTATTATTGATATAATAACTGCAACATCAGCTCCCTATTTATTAGGGTCTGGGCATGCCAGACACTGTGCTAAAAAGTTTCTATGCATCATTTTATGTAATTCTCACTACCACATTATAAGGCAGGTATTGGTATGAGGCTCGGAGAGGTTAAGTAACTTGGCCAAGGTTTCACAGCAAACAAGTGCTGGAATTGACGTTAGAGCTAGGGCTGTTCAGGTCCACAGACTCCTTCCTCCGTATTCTAGTGGTTCCCGGTGTCGGGCTGACTGCAGTGGAATCAGCAGGGGAACTGTTTGGAAAGTAAGATTTCCATCCTGGCTAACACGGTGAAACCCCGTCTCTACTAAAAATACAAAAAAATAGCTGGGTATGGTGGCACCCGCCTGTAATCCCAGCTACTAGGGAGGCTGAGGCAGGAGAATCGCTTGAACCCAGGAGGAGGAGGTTACGGTGAGCCAAGACCATGCCACTGCACTCCAGCCTGGGTGACAGAGCAAGACTCTGTCTCAAAAAACAAACAAACAAAAACAACAAAAATTGGTTGGGGGTGGTGGCTTGTGCCTATAGTCCCAGCTACTTGGGAGGCTGAGGTGGAGGGATTGCTTGAGCCTAGGAGGTCAAGGCTGCAGCCTGGGCAGTGGAGTAAGACCCTATTTCAAAAAAATACAAAGCGTTCTGGAGGTGGTTGCACAACAATGCGAATGTACTTGACGCTACTGAACTATACGCTTGAAAATGGTTAAGCTGGTGAATTGTGTGTTATCCTAATAAATTTTTAAAAATTGTTTAAAAAGGAAGAGGAAAACTAAGTGTTAAATTGTGTGGGGATGGTAGACATTGGTAGTTCCCCAGTATTCATTCTCCCCCCTTTTTATTTACTTACTTTTAGAGATTGCTATGTTACCCGGGCTGATCTCAAACTCCTGGCCTCAAGCAATCCTCCTGCCTCAGCCCCGAAGTAGCTGGGATTGCAGGCATGAGCCACTGTACCCAGCTTTCCCCTTTTAGCTGAGTACATGGCTGCCCAGGTTAGACACTACATTTCCCAACATCCTTTGCAGGTAGGTATGGCCATATGGCTAAGTTCTGACCAATGGCTATAAGTGGTAAGGTCCTGTGAAAGCCTCCAGAACCTTCCTTAAGCGACAGTGTCTGTCTATTCCTCCATTGGCTGCCAGGAGCATGGGTGCTGCCATTTTGGATCATGAAGTTGGAGTCACACTTGGCAGAGCAATAAGATGTGAGATCCTAAAGTTGACACACCCTATTATCTCTTAATTACCTGCTGGGACGCATGAAAGAGAAACAAACTGTGATCTCCTTCAAGCCACACTATTTTGATTTTCTATTATGTGTACTTAAACATAATCCTAATGAATACAGAGGGGTAGAATGAATGCTACTGGGGTTTCGAGAAACAGAAAGGACCAGGAGGGTTGGAACATTCAAAGAAGGCTGTATGGCTAAGGTTGGCCCTGAGCTGTCCTGATGGATGCTGTGCTGCAAGATGAATGAGGCATGGCCCATGTCTTTGAGGGGCTCAGGGTCTAGTGGGAGAAACACAGGTAGACAAGTATCTATAGCCAGGGCCATTGCAATTAGCTGACATATGGGCAGCCCTTGGCATCCACCAGGCTGATTACATGGCTCATATTTATTTTTATGTTATGTTATGTTACGTTACGTTACGTTACGTTACGTTACGTTACGTTACGTTACGTTATGTTATTTTTTGAGATGGAGTCTCACTCTGTCACCCAGGCTGGAGTACAGTGGCGCGATCTCTGCTCACTGCAAGCTCCGCCTCCAAGGTTCGAGCAGTTCTCCTGCCTCAGCCTCGCGAGTAGCTGGGACTACAGGAGCCCGCTACCATACCCAGCTAATTTTCTTTATATTTTTAGTAGAGACGGGACTTCACCATGTTAGCCAGATGGTCTCGATCTCCTGACCTCGTGATCTGCCCACCTCAGCCTCCCAAAGTGCTGGGATTACAGGTGTGAGCCACTGTGCCCAGCCTTTATTTTTATTTTTTTGTGACGGAGTTTCACTCTTGTTGCCCAGGCTGGAGTGCAATGGCGCAATCTTGGCTCACTACAACCTCCGTCTCCTGGATTCAAGCAATTCTCCTGCCTCAGCCTCCCAAGTAGCTGGGATTTCAGGCATGTGCCACCACACCCAGCTAATTTTGTATTTTTAGTAGAGATGGGGTTTCCCCATGTTGGTCAGGCTGGTCTCGAACTCCAGACCTCAGGTGATCCGTCTGCCTGGGCCTCCCAAAGTGCTTGGATTACAAGTGTGAGCCACCGCACCAGCTCATGCCTCAGCCACATCACTGGCAGAGTGTCAAGGGACGCAACAGGAAATTCATGCTAAGTTGTCGAGTTCTGGAAAGCTCTGTGCAGGAAGTGATGTTTTTCTGAGCCTTGAAGAAGGCATGATGGGGAGGGGCATTCCAGGGCAGAGGCACACAAGAGGCAACAGCGTGAGGGTAGTCTGGTGAGGCTGGGCCGGCGGTGGCTCATGCCTATAATCTCAGCACTTTGGGAGGCCAAGGCGGGTGGATCACCTGAGGCCGGGAGTTCGAGACCAGCCTGGACAACATGGCAAAACCCCATCTCTACTAAAAATACAAAAATTAGCCAGGCATGGTAGCATGCACTTGTAGTCCCACCTACTCAGGAGGCTGAGGCAGGAGAATCACTTGAACCCAGGAGGCGGACATTGCAGTGAGCCGAGATTACACCACTGCACTTCAGCCTCGGTGACAGAGCGAGACTCTGTCTCAAAAAGAAAAAGTGTGGTGCGAGAGACCTGGCAAAGCAGAACAGTCCATCCCTGCACAAGCGGTTTGGGCCTTGTTTACAGGAAGCCATCACACGGACCTGAGAGTGTTCTTGATTAAAAGGAGACTATACCTGGGATGATGGATCTTTCAGATACATGATTATTTAATTTTTTTTTTAAAGGCCAAATTCTTCCTGGGAAGAAAGAATCAGCAAGGTGCAGAGGAGGCAGGTGAGGTCCTGCCTAGATCGTTAGAAGTCAATGGCTCCATCGGCATGGCAGGGGAGAGGTCTGCAAAAAGGCCTTTAAAAAAGAAAAATTGCAAATGGTTTGCAAATGTTTATGGATAGGTCCAGAACCATGAATTTTGACAACTAAAGGATTTCCAGAGAGGCTGAGGGAAAAGCCAGAATTGAGTTAAGCAGAGATTTATAACAGTTTTTATTGGATGGAAGGTCCCCATCTGTACTCAGAGATCTGGGTTACATTAAATATCACTTCCAATGAGATCTTGTCTTAAATTTAATGGGCAAAAGAGAGGAGTTAGATAAGTGTTTGTATCATTATTTTAACAAGTCTCTGCTTTATGAGAAAAAAAAATCTGTTTAAGAATAGCAATGGGTAAATTGTCACAGTTCAGTTACCTGTTCCTGAAGAATCGACTCTCCCCTGGCTCAGGCTCTGTGGTGGTAGCTACTTGATTTACAGACAGGTGGCCAGAGAGAAACTAGCCAGCCCCTCTAGGGCACTGTCCCACCTTGCCAATTCCACCCCTGTTTCCAGAACAGAACGTGGGTAGGATGAGGACCAGTGCGAAGGAGAGGGAGGAGGCACGTGTGAGTGAGGGGGCATCTGACTGGGGAGAAGGGCTGTTCTGCAAAGTGGTGGGTATCAACGGCCTTTCATCCTCCTCCCTTGCCCCTGGGGGAGACTTAGATTCTGCAAAATGCTTTTTTCTTTTTTTTTTTAATTAAACTGTTATCACAACTTCCTATGGAGTAGGCAAAGGCATCCACAAAGTGGTATTATCCCAGTTTGCAAGAAAGGTAAGCATCAGACAGGTGATGTGGCTTCCCCAGGTCTAATAGCTGCCAGGCAGTGAAGGAAAGGCCCCAGCACCAGGAAGGGGAAGGTGGGTAACCCAAGGGAAGCCTGGAGTCCATGCAGACGTCCCAGCAGAGGCATGGCCGAGGGAAGAAGCCTCTGCTCCCACTCAGGGGGGCTCATGGGAGCGAAGAAGTGGCAGAGACTGAAGTCTGAAGACCTCCGCTCTGCCTTTCTGGCCCCTGTGTCTTTTTCATGCCTGCTCACCCACCCACAGTGCCCTCCTCCCCCCGGGGGGAGGGGCCGCCCCTTCCTCCCAGGGGCTGTGCCCAATACTAAACAATTTCTGCCCAGGTTCCTGTCTCCACAGGCATCCATTGTCATTATTCTTTTTTTAAAAAAATCGGAATGGATTTTATTAAGAGAAAATCAATACACACAACATAACCTGCAGCAGATAAAGCAGATAAGCTTTCAATGCACAGTCTCGGTGCCTTTTCCCAGGTGTTCCTTCCACTCCCTTAGCCAGAAGCCTTTGTCCGTGGGCATCTGATGAGCCACTTCTGGGAAGCCAGCCTCCCTGCTCCTCTTACCAGCAGCTTTGTTCAGCAGCCCCTTCCCACCTCCCGTCTCGGCTCTGTGCTCCATCCTGGTGGCTAGCCCCAGACCCAGCCAGACCAGCCGCCTGTAGACTCACTCTTGTCTTTGGCCTCAGGTCAAGGGCCTCCCCAGCAGGCCAGCCCATTGCCGCCTCCCTCCATCACTACATCAGTGTCACTCCTCCAAGAAGCAGGCACTTTGGGGTCAATAGCCTCTGGTCTCCATTCATTCCTGTGTGACCTTGGACCCATTGCATAACCTCTCTGAGCCTCACGTTCCTCATAGGTAATAATCTAGACAATAACACTCCTTTCCCTGCATTTTGGGACCAAGGAAATTACCTGGTATACGCAGCAGGCCTAATCTGTGCTCGGCACATAGTAAGCACATGGTGGTGTTTAACTTCCTTCTCGGGGTCCACCTGTGTCCCTGCTCCTTCATTCCATCTTTCTGAGCACTGAATTGCCAGAAGGCTTATCCTCAGAACAGAGCAGCCTACCCCTGTCTGCTCTCCTTGGTGTACCAAGTGCAGTGGGCATCAAGCTCCCCATGAAAGTCCTTGTGCCGAGTCCCCTTAGGAGGGACAGAGCTGGAATTTGGATGTAATGAGCACTCAGAGCATGCCAATGAGAGACAGGGACCAGAAAGTTAGAGAAGGTGAGGGGGAGAAGGAATGAATAAAGGGAGAAGAAAGAAAGAAATCATGGGGGCAGGAAGGAAAGGAAAAAATCTTTTTTTTTTTTCTTTTAAGAGACAAGGTCTCACTATGTTGCCCAGGCTGGTCTCCAACTCCTGGGCTCAAGTGATCCTCCCACCTTGGCCTCCCAAAGTGTTAGGATTACAGGCGTGAGCCACCACGCCTGGCCGGAAGGAATCTTTCATTAGCAACAGACATCTTGTTAATTATACAGTGACTGGTACAGAGGAGGGACTCAAGGCCCTTAGTAGTAACAGATGATGGATGGATGGATGGATGGATGGATGGATGGATGGATGGATGGATGAATGGATGGGTATATGGCTAAATGGAGGGAAAGAAGACAGGGAGGAAAGGAAGGAAGAGGGAAGAGGGAGGGAGGGAGAAAAGGTGGAGGTAGTCTGTGTTCTCCCGGTCTGGGCTCCTCTTCCTGTCCAGCTCTGCTCTGCCTTGAGGGGAGATGGGGCTTCCAGGTAAGAGCCGCTCTGAGGAGTCCTGCAGCAAGGACACCTATTTGATTTTGACTCACTGCTTCCCAAACCTCTACCATCATGTAACTTTTTCTTTTTTTAATTAAGAGCACTTACTTTGCATCTTGAAGATACTAAAGTTTTGTACAGTGCAGTTTAAAAATGTTGCTGTGGACTAGAGAATAGAATATTCACACTGGAAGATTGAAGGGGTCATTGAGGTCTCTCTTGAAAACTCCTACTCACCCTTTGAAGCCCACTTCAAATGCCCTTGGCACTGAGTGGTGTTTCCCTACTTTTCCCCCAGGGAGAATTAACTAGTATCTTTATCTGTGCCTCCATGACCCTTATACACCACTTTATTCTGTTTCCTTCACATGGAGTTGGCTGGTTGTGCCCATCCCTGCCAGACAGAAAACTCTTTGAGGGCAGGAATTATGTGCTGCTCAACTGTTTCCCTAGCATCTGGCATGTAATAGGTCCTCAAAACACATTTATCAGCTGAATTAGTCCAAGATCTTTATTTTATAAAGAAGTAAACTAAGACCTAGGCAGCCACCAGGCCTGGCCCCAGGGTTCACCAGCGAAGCTTGGCAGTGGTGTGTGCCAGCCTAGGTTCCAGCTCCCTGACCCTGAGCTGGCTGCCACAATTGCTGGGTTTTCTCTCAGCATTTCCGTTAACAGTCAAGTAAAGAAAGGACTCAGGTGGGGATAAACTGTAGCTAATACCTCACCTTGGTTAAGCAGATGTCAGGGTGGCCATTTCTGTTCCTACATTAACACCACATTTATGTTACTGGCAGCTGCAGGTTTGCTTTAAGGGCTAATAGGCCCTAACTAGGGTCCTGCCCTGAGCCTAGTTGCATAGAGGATTGTGCTTTCTCTTATTCTTCTGTGTCTCTGACTGCTAGTGCCCTAGTGAGGACAGTAGCCCTCAGTTCAATAAGCGGACTGCTAGTGCCCTAGTGAGGGCAGTAGCCCTCAGTTAAATAAGCTGACTGCTAGTTCCCTAGTGAGGACAGTAGCCCTCAGTTAAATAAGGTAGGTGGAGGGATAGCATCTTGAAGATGAGAGGAGGCCACAGAGAACCTAGTCAGCAAGGAGGCCAGGGCTGACCCCTAAAGGACCCACTTCTCCCAAGTCTTCCTCATGGGCCTTGGGGAGGGGGAGCCTGGAGCTCTGAACCAACCTGGTGGGGACAGGGTGGGGAAAGCAGATGTAGGGAGCTGGAAGAGGGTCCTGGGGCCCCGAGGGCCAACACCACCCCTAGACCTGCTTCTGCCCACCTGCAGAGCCTTCGCCCCAGCCTGGGTTGGTTCCTAGCATCTATGTCTGTGCCCCCAGTGAGTGTGGCCTTGTCTCTACATGGAGTTCACATGCAGGGTGTGGCTTCTGGGGGACAAGGGCGGAATCTTATGTTCGATCGGTTAAACAATTCTGGAGGGGGCATGTTTTGTGTGATGCCTGGAGGGTGGGTGGTGACGGGCACAAAGGTTGTGCCACAGGTAGTTTCCTTTTAGGGCGTTTAGGGTCTTGTGACCCTAGATGTGCCTCTCTACCTTCCCCAGGGCTTAGCAGCTAGGAGGGACCCTGCAGGGGCAGAGTGATTGGTGCCAGCCTGGGGCGGGGCTGTGGGGTGGGCAGCCCCCTTCACAGGCTGTCCATGCACTGGGGTGAGATGGGGCCCAGGGAGGGGTGTGGGGGGAAGGATGATCAGATTTTCCCAATGTGAAGGTGTGGGGCAACAGGGATCCCTATGTTTCTAGAGGAGGGGATGGCAGATGTCACCAGTGCCCTACCCTCGTGCCCTCCACTGGGATGACTCTGAGCTGGGGGTCCCACATGCCTCCCTGAGCTCCTCAATGGGATTAAGGTCCAGTCATCAGGCTTTCCTCCCTCCCCTGCCCGCCTTCCCCACCTCCCTACTGGGACCTCCTGGGATTACCTCCCAAATAAACAACCTGCCCTTGAATCTTTTTCACAGGTCCTGCTTCTGGGGAAACTCAAGACAGTATAAATTGGTGCAATCTATTTGGAGAAAGATTCAGCAATAAGTATCAAAATTATAAATGTACGTGTTCACGGGCCAGCAGCTCCACTTCTGGGAATTTATGCCATAAATATAACCTTTCATATGCCATATGATCTATGAATGAAGTTATTTATGGCAGCACTACTTTTAAGAGCCAAAGATTGAAAACACCTAAATGCCCATCGCTGGGGATGAGTTCGGCAGATCAGGGTTCATTCAACTGGCGGAATATTATGCAATCATTAAAAAGGAATGGAGGGGGCTACTCTTTATGGACTGATTTGGAACAATCTCCAAGATAAATTGCTAAGTGGGAAAAAAAGCAAGGTATAGAAGAGCACGTTTGTATAAAACAAAAAGAATATATAGCCGTAATTGCTTATTTATTGGATCGACGATCTCTGCAAATCTACCAAGAAACTGATAACCTTGGAGCCTGTGGAGAGAGGAATTAGGTGGCTGGGAGTGGGGAAGGGAGGGAGATTTTCAGGATATTTCCTATGCACCTTTTGATTTTTGCATCATGTGCAAGTTTGCATTATCTATTTAAAATGTAGTCTATGCAACTAAAAAAAATTATGAAGAATAATCATATACCTGGGTGCCTGCTATAATGATCAGTCCAATTTTAGCTTGTCTCGGGAAAGTTGAACCCATGGCTGGCAGCATTCAACCTTCTCTTTCTCATTTACCACTCCCATAAGGTGGTTCTGCATCATTACTCCAGGGTTTCTAAATAAGGAAAGTAGGCCTGAGTCCAGCCTTCCCCCAAGATGCTGAGAGTCCAAGCCGTCCTTCCCCTATCCCCTACCTGAGACATCAGAAGCTTCTTAAATAGTCCTGACTATTTAAGGGAAGAAGGACAGTTGCAGCCCTTCCTTTCTCGAGTGATTTGAAATGCAGACCACGGTTTTTGGAGAGGAGGAGATGAGGCAGGAGGCTGGAAGAAATGACCTTTTCACATCAGCTCTTCCTGGGTAGGTACCTATATTCCAGGGGCCTGGCGCAGTACCTGGCGCGTTTGTTGGCTGGCTGGCTGAGTGTCTTTTTGTCCCAGAATTCCAGGCATGCAGGAACAAGGGGAAAGATGACCCCTCCTTCCAGTTCCTGGGGTCCTAGTCAATAATGGTTGGTGAGCAGAGCTCTGAAGTTGGACACATTCGGGTAAAAATCCCAGCTGTAGGCTCCTTACTGCTATGAGACCTTAGGTGAATATCTACCCAAGCCTCAGTTTCCTCATCTACGCAATGGAGACAGAGGCCCCCTTTGCAAAGGATTAAATAAGGTTGCATCGGGGTGCTGCACAGTGTGCCCAGCACATAGTAGGCTTTGCTAGGTGTCTGCATATCTCTCCCCCTCCCTTGGCAGAAGGATGACCACTGCCACTGCTGAGACCAGACACTGTCCCCTCCTTGCCACCCTTGACTTGAGGGTGGAAGGAGGACCACCCTCAAGTCAAGGAGGTCCTCCTTCCATCTAACTGAAAACTCTCCGCTGTTACCCAGGCCGGTGCCCTCCTATGCTACTGTCATGCACAAGAGAAAAAGCTCTCAGCTTGTTCCCACTGAGCCTCTTCCAGATCTGAAGCCCCAAGGAAAGTCAAGGTTGAGTCCTGTGGGCCCAACAATGGGCAGCCCCAGGCCCTCTCTCTTTGCTTCCAATCCAGTCTCATCACTTTTCTCCTCTCTGCCCCCTCCTGGGCAGAGCGACTCTTGGTGCAAGGTCAGCTGTGAGCTGTCCAGGGTCCCTGGGCACACTCCTGCTCCTTCTCTGCCCCATTTCCTTCCCCTGCACCCAGGGAGTTGGGAAATAGCTCAGATTCCGATGACAAGGAGACTGGGCCCTAGGCAGAGCAGTGGCTGACAAGTTGCATGTTACAATAAATCCCCACAATTAGACCCTGCAAACAACACCGCTGCTGTCGCATCCCTAATATACAGCAGGGAGTCGGCTCAGTGTTCCTGGCAACCAATTCTTGAACTAAAAATAGTTGGCTGTGGCTTCACCTTTCCCTCCTCAGCATCCAGTCTCCATAGGTGCCAGGGAGGGAATGACCCTGGTGTCCAGGTCCTGCCCTGGTGCTGGAGGGCAGAGCATCAAGGGTTAACCCAGCCTTCACTAATGTGACTGTCAAGGAATTGCCCGCAGGGTAGGGAGTGGGGGTCTTCTGTGGGGGACGGGAGCCGGCCTGAGCTGTTTTAAAGCAAGTAAGGCTTTTTGAGTAGGCAGCCACCTCCTGAGGCCTCCCAATACCACCTCTTCAGCACCCTCTCGCATCCCCACCCGTCCAGCAGCAGCACAAAGGGGCCCGAAGGTGCAGCATTAGGGAATCTAATGGCCTGAGGAATAAGTTCTCGCCCACTGTGACTCCTTGGGCCAGTCACATCTCTGGATTTCGGCTGCCTCATCTGCAAACGAAGGATTCAATAAGTTGATCTGTTTCTGTCTAGATCCTCAGGCATGGTGAGCCTCACAATGGCAAGTACTCTGTCCCAAGTATGCTCACATGCGTCAAAGTCTCTGAAATGCTGACACGTGGGTGTGCAACCCCCCTCGCAGAGCAGTGGTCAGCACGTACAGAGAAGCAGCCCAGCCCTATGTCAGACCCTCTGCCTTAGAACCACTTGCCAATAATAAATCACCCACCACCCCTATGAAACAGGTGGTTCATGAAGTCTTGTCAATCAGTCATACCTTAGTCTAGAAGTCCTTTCCTGGGAGACAGGGGGAAGCATGGAGTCTGGGGTTCCTCCTGGGGCTGTTGGGATATCAAAAGCCTTACCTGGCTTCCCACCATCCCTGTGGAAATCCCCCAAGTGGAAGCCATGGGCCGCCACAAGACGTGGCCCAAGCCCAGCTTTCCAATCTCAGAACGTCATCCCCTGTCCTGGGGTCCTAGGACTCCTCACTGTTCCCCAAACAGACGGAGCACAGTCCCACCTCCCGGCCTTTGCTCACAATGGTGCCTCCACCTGGAATGCTGTTGCCCCTTCTCCCCTCTATCTCTCTCCCCTCTGTCCCCTACATTTCTATGTTGGTAGAAATCCTGCTCATCTTTTAAAGTACAAATGGACCGGGTGCAGTGGCTCACACCTGTAATCTCAGCACTCTGGGAGGCCGAGGCAGGCGGATCGCAAGGTCAGGAGATTGAGACCATCCTGGCTAACACGGTGAAACCCCATTTCTACTAAAAATACAAAAAATTAGCCAGGTGTGGTGGTGGGTGCCTGTAGTCCCAGCTACTCCGGAGGCTGAGGCAGGAGAATGGCGTGAACCTGGTAGGTGGAGCTTGCAGTGAGCCGAGATGGCGCCACTGCCCTCCAGCCTGGGCGACAGAGCGAGACTCCGTCTCAAAAAAAAAAAAAAAAGAAAAAAGAAAAAAAAGAAAGTACAAGTGCCACCAACTCTTTGATGAAGTTTTCCCTATCCCGTGGCTAGAATGAGCCCCTCAGTGTCCCTCTTCTAACAGCATTTGAAACGATGTAGTTTTGGAACCAGAAGAATCTTAGGGACCATGTACAACAGCGTTTCCCAAGATATTTTGACTGTGACTCATCATAAGAAATCCACTCTGTTGTGACCCAGCACACACACACACACACACAGAGACACACAAGTGCATAAAACACATGTGCATATACATATAGTCCACACTCAACCATAGACACAAATAGACACACGTACACATACATGCAGGTACCTGTGGAAACATGTACACAGAGATGTGCAGCCAAAAGAAGTTTTTTTGTTTCTTTTTGTTTGTTTGTTTGTTTGTTTGTTTTTGAGACAGGGCCTCACTCTGTCACCCAGGCTGGAGTGCAGTGGCACAATCTCAACTCACTGCAGCCTCAATCTCCTGAGCTCAAGCGATCCTCCTGCTTGAGCTCTCAAGTAGCTCGGACTACAGGCATGCACCACCATGACTGGCTAATTTTTATATTTTTGCAGAGATGGGATTTCACAACATTACCCAGGCTGGTCTTGAACTCCTGAGCTCAAGCGATCTGCCCACCTCGACCTTCCAAACTGCTCTGGGGTTGCAGGCGTGAGCCACCGTGTCAGCCCAATAAGTTTCTTTGTGTAATACTCACCTCTATTGTGTGCCGTGTTCTGATGCAGTTGCTTAAAGTTTTTTTCTTTCTTCGAATGTTGGTTCTGACACTAAATTTATCTCCCCATCCTGTAATGGGTTGCAAACTGCAGTTTGGAAAATACTGAACAAGTTCGACCCCTTATTTGCAGATAGAAGTACCAAGGTCCAGAGGGAGGAAGGGACTGGATCAAGGTCATGCAGCCAGTTGGTGGCCAGACTCGGACCACAGTCCAGTGTCCTTGATTCACAGCAGCGACCTTTCCTTTGTCACAGAGCCGCTGATGCTATAGCTATTCCTGCAAGGTTGCAGCTCCACAAGTGAAAGGACCTTGTCCCCAGCACCCCCCACCCTGCCCCAAGGGCCTTGTCTATAGTAGGTGCCCAATAAACGGCTCCATTGGACTGACTGCACAATGATGCAAAAGTGGTTTGGAAGTCAATGAGGTCTCTGCTGGAGTGAGGGGTTAATACATTCAGCTGCTGCGGCCTGGAGACGAGGTCAGCTTTAGCTCATTAGTGGGGCTGGGCTTTCCCAGGGCTTAGGAATTCTGCAATTCACAGTGGAGCAGAAATCCTGCTGCTGAGCTGAGGGGGAGGGGCAGAGACAGGGAGGAAGGGAGGCTGGAAGAGAGGTGGAGATCGATCAGCAGGGAGGGGACGTTTTGGGGAAGGAAGGTGGTCAGGGTGGCTGTGATGGTGACAGCGGGTGGCAGGATATGACAGGATATGAGGGGTCTGCAGCTCATTGAAAATCTGAACAAGCTCCAAAGAGGATGGAACTCAGTCTCCCCCCAGCTCCTCCTGTCTTCCTCTGAGAAGTGGCAGGGGAGGTCGGCGAGGCAAAGTGCTGATGAGCACAGAGAAATGAGGGGCGGCGGAGATGCAGAAATGAGTAATTTCCACACAGCTCTGCTTAATATCAGAGTCTGCGCTGCTCAGAGATGGCCAAGGAGCCACTTGAGGCCTCTACAGCCCCCTCCTTCCTGCGACACTCCCCCCTTCCACCCATCAGAGCTCAGGACACTCATCTGTTAATGAGACGGGCAGCTGTTTCCCCACACCCATCCTCGGATGGAGCTGGCAGGCACGGACTCCTCAGGGGCTGGGGGTGCTAAGCCATCCCCTGTGGCCGCCCCTCTGCTTCCCAATGAGGGGTGTGATTGGCACAGATCACAGAGAAAGGAGACAAGCAGGGTAGCCTGGCAGGAGCAGAGTCCTGGCCATTGGTTTACTCATTCATTTGGTGAGTATCCATTAAGCTCCTGCTGTGTGCCGGGCCCAGTGTGAGGTGTGCAGGAGTGTAGCTGTGAACAAGACTGTTGAGAATGTAGCAGAGAAAACGGGCTTTAGACCTTGCTTTGAGCAAGGGAGAGGCCCACAGGAGGCACTGGTGAAGGCTTCCTAGAGGGAGTGAGGTTTAAGGCAAAATTTCCAAAGAAGTTGAGGAGCCTGGAGTCCAGGTGAGGAGTTGAGATGGGACGGGTGGCTGAGGAGGCCCCTCATATATGTGGTTTGGTGGGGCCTCCTCAGCCCCGTGTCTGGGCCTCAGCTTTGCAGCATGGGGAGCTCTGTTGTTTCAGTCGCCTTTAATGGGAATTCGACTCACAATAAACACACCTTCCAAAGACTGAGTCGTACATCAAAATGTCAATTCATTTTTTTTAATGGAAATATATTTGACAAGCTAAACCTTATCAGCAGCCTGCTTCAGGATCAGAAATCCAGAGTGTGAGCCTCAATGCCACATCACACCAACTAGGAAACTCTGGGCAAACCTTTCATCTTCTATGAGCTTCAGTTTCCTCATCTGAAAATAGGGTTAATCATAGGACTTACCTAGGGGCATGAGGAGGATAAAGTGAGCTATTTTGTGTCAAAGTGCTTCATCTCTATAGAAGGACTATACACAAGCTGGTGAGTTCATAAATTTGCATTTATTTATTTATTTTTATTTATTTACCATTTTGAGACAGGGTCTCACTCCGTCACCCAGGCTGGAGTGCAGTGGCATGATCTTGGCTCACTGCAGCCTTGATCTCTCAGGCTCAAGCAATCCTCTGACCTCAGCCTCCCAAGTAGCTGGGACCACAGATGTGCACCCCCATGACTGGATACTTTTTTTTTTTTTTTAAGACAGAGTCTTACCATATTGCCCAGGCTGGTCTGAAACTCCTGTGTTCAAGTGATCTGCCCGCCTCAGCTTCCCAAAGTGCTGGGACTACAGGCATGAGCCACCACGCCCAGCCTACATTTATTTTCTTGGTAGATGATGAATGTGCATGGTACAAATTCCAAAGGTACCAAAGGACATAAGTTGACCAGTGAGTCTCCTCCCTGGTCCTCACCCTGCCTCAATCATTAGCTACCCAGTTCCCCTCTTTGGAAGCAACCCAAATTATCAGTCTTTGTGTATAACTTTTTTTCTAAAAAGACTCTTTCATATTACAATAATAACGTGTGGTATAAAAAAAATCCAAAGGGAATAAAATGAACACCTTTTATTCCTTCCAGGCTCCCACCCCAGAGGTAACTGTGGGGCAGTCTCTCGTTTAAAGGATAACTATTATTGCTAGTCCTGGATGTACCTCTCAGGGGCAGTCTACTCAGGAGACCAGGTTATAAATGAGAACATGCTGGATTTGCCAGGAAATGGGAAGAAATGATGTCAGGTTCCCAGGGGATATTTTTATCAACTTAGTGAGAGGTGAAGCCAGCTGGACTTCCTAATTCTAGTGAGGACTTGGAGAACTTTTCTGTCTTATAAGAGGTTTGTAAAATGCACCAATCAGTGCTCTGTAAAAATGCACCAATCGGTGCTCTGTAGCTAGCTAGAGGTTTGTAAAATGCACCAATCCGTGCTCTGTAAAAATGCACCAATCAGTGCTATGTAGCTAGCTAGAGGTTTGTAAAATGGACCAATCAGCATTCTGTAAAATGGACCAATCAGCAGGACATGGGTGGGGACAAATAAGGGAATAAAAGCTGGTCACCTCCCCCCTGCCCCCCATCCCTCCCCCCAACCAGCCAGTAGTGGCAACCAGCTCGGGTCTCCTTCCACGCTGTGGAAGCTTCCTTCTTTCACTCTTCCGCTCTTCACGATAAATCTTGCTGCTGCTCACTATTTTTGGGTCTGTGCCACCGTTAAGAGCTGTAACACTCACCGCGAAGGTCCACAGCTTCATTCTTGAAGTCAGCGGCACCACAAACCCACTGGAAGGAAAAAACTCTGGACACATTAGGGCCAAGGAATGAATGGCCCCTGGTCACTCTAGAAAGATTTACCATCCATCCAGTCCTTCTGGTGGGGCCCTCTACAGGGTGCTGTGGAGAACACAAAGATGAATGAGAGAAGCATGCGTCTTTCATCTTTTATTAGTAGGACAAAGGACTTAGGTCCGTGGATTCATCCAAGTCTGAAAGGGACAGGAGAGGTCCCCTAATTACCTCTCAGCACCACTGCTATTTCACAGACCAGGAAACCGAGATCCAGAAGACATGATGTGCCCAAGGCCACACAGCAAGGGGATGGCTGGGTCAGGTCTGGCAGGCAGATTTGGGGATACAACCCTAAAAAAGGTGGGAGCTGATGCATGAGAGTGGGGGGCCTGGAGTGTGTGACAATCCAGAAGAGAAGGAAGGAAGGGTACTCCAGGCAGAGCTTGAGGAAAAGCCCCAGAGCAGGGGGCTTGGGAGTGCACAGGATTCACTCTGACTCCCAGCAGGAGGACCCGGAGCAAGGCTGGGAAGGAGGGGTGGACAGAGGTTCTGTTCCAGCCAGGGAGAGTCACCGTAGGAATACAGCAGCCAGAGGCTCAGGGCCCCCAGTGCTGTTAAACTCCAGAGAACATGTTCCTTCTGCAGCCTGCATGGACGCACCTCTGGAGTCTGCACCACACCACTCCCCCTCTGTATAGTTGGCACAGCTGGAGAAGCATGGCCAGAGCTTCACCTTCACTGCTTTTCTTCCTTGAGCCTCTCTGCCTCCTGCCTCTTTCACCCCATAACAGCATCCTTCCCGTGAGGGGAGACTCCCAGGTCTCCTCTGTGACAACCCTATCAATAAGTCCTCCACCTGCATTTCCTCCACGGGGATCTCTGCTAATTTATTTGGGGTGACTCCCATCCTACCTTCACCCCCTTGCCTTGGGACTGTCCCATCAGGCCCCCTGGGGTGGCCTCCCCATCCCTCCAGTTTGCTGGAATCACAGGCAAGGAAAGCCTCATCATGCACTAGCATTTGCAAACTCAGCTCCCAAGCAGCCTGCAGTCGCCAAGGTCTTAGCGGGAAGCGATGGCCCAAGCCCACTAGTATCTGGATAATTTGAGAAGGTCTTGTTACGGGGACTATTTACAAATATGTGCACAAGGTGGGGAGACCTCAAGGGGACATGCAACATCTTGAGGCCAGTGGGAACTCAGCTGTGACCATTGTTAGGTCCAAAAGAAAAAGGGGAGGGAGGGGTTACCACACCCGGTAGAAGAGCCATGGAGAGAGGCTGCCACGGGAGCCGCAAGGACCTCAGTCAAGGGACACAGCCAGCCCATGGCCAACCCACAGGGAGAGAGTTGGAGGGATAAGTACCCAACCTCACCCTCCTTGCTCCAGCCTGGGCTTCCTATTGGCTGAGCCCAGCCAGAGTGGGAAGGTGACGGAGACCTTAGACAGCCCTGAGCACAGAGCAGATGGGGAGGGTGAAGGGCGGATGTGGAGGGGAATGGGAGATCCCCAGCATAGCCACCTACTTCCTTCACCATGGACTGACGCCCATCCTCCCTCCTGTCCTCACGAGTTCTACCAGGCTGTATGCAGCTAATGAATCCCCGTCTCCCAGGTAACACCTCCTTTCCCTCCCCTCCTCGCCACATGACTTAGGAGCCCTCTGTGCTCCTCCTGCAGCTGGTCTGCAGGTGGGAACCATAACCTAAGCCATTATCACCCCCTTGCCCCAACCCCAGGGGAACAGAACCATCTAGCCAGGCTCAGACCAGTCCTCTCATGAAGGAGGGACTCGGGAAGGGGTGGGCATGAGGCCTTCCTCTTCTGGAATGAGCTGCTGCTGTGTAGCCAGTGGGCTGATCCCTGGTCAGCACTTCCCTGGCTCAGGCATGCCTGGAAGGTGCTGGCCCCCATCCAGCTGAGCCACTGGGGCCTGGCCAGATGGCAGGCAGCAATGCCAAAGCTGGCTCTAAGCCACAGGCCTGGCTGTGAAAACTGAGCAACGGGTGGCCCAAGGGAGGCAGATGCCCTCAGCCACCTAGGGCAGAGCCCCAGGTGGCCCAGCCCCATCCTGCTGTGGCTCACCAGACTTAGACTGCAGGTCCACTGAGTCTGGCAGGGGCCCTGGGGCAGCAGCCATGCCCTGGGAAGGCAATGTGGTACAGAGCCAGGGAGGCTGAGAGCTGGGAGCCCGGGCTCGGCTCTGCGCTGCCCCCACACACATGGTCTTTGGAAAATTGCTTCCTCTTCTGAGCAGAACCTTTCTCCCAAATTGAGATCTCCTATAGAACCCCACTATATAAAACTGGTTGAAACAGAGGTGCACCCCACAGCCCCCTCCCTGGGCTCCCCTTCACCACCCCCTCCCTGCACCCAACCTTCAGCACCGGTCCTAAGGCATCTTTTTGGAATCTTGGGTTCCACAGAAAACGGTTTGGACACCATGGTCTGCGTGCTCCCTGAGTGGTCCCAGGCAGCTCCCACAGGCTGTAAGATTTTTAAATGCATATAAAAATAGGCAAAATGTTATAAACTCCCCATGTACCCATCACTTGGATTCCACAATTAACAACTCACAGCCAATCTTATTTCATCAATATCCTCACCTGCTTCCTCCTTTCCCATAGTATTCAGCAAATTCTGGACATCATGTCATTTCATCTATAAATATTTCAGTCTGTATCTCTAAAAGATAATGACTCATTTTAAATATATAACCACAATGTCATCATTACACCTTTAAAAATTAACAACCATTCCTGAAATCATCAAATATCTAAGCAGAGTTCATATTTCCAATTGTCTGTTTATAGGTTTTTGGTTGTTTTTTAAAATCTGTTAAAAGAGTCAGAGTCCAAATGTCCACATAACATATTGCGGCTGGTTGATATGTCTCTTTGGTCTCTCTTTGTCTTGCTCTGGGAGTTAGAAGTGGCCACTGAAGGTCAGGGTGGCCATTTGCATGGGCTTCCTCGGGGGCAGTGAAGACACTCCCAAGAGCCTGGAGGGGAGATTTGTCCTGCCCTGACCCCTTTGTAAGGCCAGAGGGAAAAGGAGAGGAGGGAAGGAGTGAAGGGCTGGGTGAGGCTGCCGCTGCGTCTTCCCACCAGGAGGCTGTAGCTGCCTGACTGGGGTTGGGTGTGGGGCTGTTCCCATCCAGGACTGGGTGGCCTTGAACCCCAGAAAAGGGGGGTGCCTCACTGTAGTGAGCAGGACTCAGAAGAGGATGGTGCTCAGAGAGTGCGCTGCCCTGGAGGCAGGAGCCTGGGGCCTAAGCCGCTGGTAAAAATGACCATTAACCAAAAACATTTTGTTTGGCATCTGCTGAGATATGACTTTGCCAGAGGCTGGGACTGCAGTGACGGCTGGAAAGCAGTCTCTGCCCTCTGGGAGCTTGAAGCACTTGGAATCAGCTAAGCACATACCTTGTGTATTTAACCTCTAGATTTCAATATACCTATCTGTAAAATGGAAAAATAGTACCTCATCTATTAGAGCAGCTGGTTTCTACCAAAGCCCTTTCTAGCTCTAAAGTGGGATTTTATGAAGAGGGAAAAAAGGGACAACCTATACCTATAGTAGAGATGAGGGGAGGGCAGGGTGAGGAACATCCACACTGAAAGCCCAGAGTCTCAAGTCCTGGCTTGCCTGACTACCAGCTGATGCTCCACCATGGCTATCACCCCAGTGCCTTCCCATGGCCCCAGTGCTCCAGAAATGATGGAGTTCAGGAAATGCAGAGTGGTGGACCCTAGCCTCTTCAGACAGGATGGGTCTGGATCACAACCTCACGGAGGAGCCGCATTTCTGCTGTCCATGGTGCCACACTGTTGACAAGGCCAGGATTCCTCAACCTCAGCACATGGGTATTTTGGGCCAGATAATTCTGTGTTGTGAGGGCTGTCTTGTGCACTGCAGGATGTTTAGCTGGACCACAGCCTCTACCCACCAAATGCCAGTAGCACTCCTTCAGCTATGACAACCCAAAATGTCTTTGGATATTGTGAAACGTCCCCCCTGGAGAGAGCCACTGGTCTGGGCTGGAGGGACGCAACTTCTCTGTAAAGATAAGTGGATGTGTGCAGGTCCTTTCCACGCTGATCTTCTGGCTGACATCTATGATGTGTTTTCACTTCCAAGACGCCTTCTCATTCGCCCAACTCTTCTTATTTCAAACCTCACCTTTAAAAAGTGTTTTTTTGTTTTCTCGTTTGTTTGTTTTTTGAGACAGAGTCTTGCTCTGTCACCCAGGCTGGAGTGCAGTGGCACAATCTCAGCTCACTGCAGCCTCCGCCTCCTGGGTTCACGCCATTCTCCTGCCTCAGCCTCCCAAGTAGCTGGGACTACAGGCGCCCGCCACCACATCAGCTAATTTTTTGTATTTTTAGTAGAGACGGGGTTTCACCATGTTAGCCAGGATGGTCTCAATCTCTTGACCTCATGATCCGCCCGCCTTGGCCGCCCAAAGTGCTGGGATTACAGGTATAAGTCACTACACCCAGCCAAAAAGTGTTCTTAAAAAAAAAAAAAAAAAGCAACAAACTTCAATGGCCCTCTTGGCCACACTTAATAAATGCAAAATATGGTAATTGTGCCCAGGGTAAGTTCTCTTGCCCTTGAGTGGTACAGAGTCAGACTTGGAGGGAGGAGGAGGAGCCCTCTGTGGCCCTCACCTGTTGTCACTGCCAACCTCTGTCCCATGGCTTGTCTCCACTCCCCCCTTTAGCCCATCCACTGGGGAAAGCAAAAAGGGAAGACTAACCCCAGAGCATCATTTTCCTGGAGCTGGAGCCTCCTATAGGTGATACCCCAGCTCACCAGAGGGCTAGGCTCAGGTCACCTCTCCATGGTACACTGGAAAATATCTGGAGTGGGAGTTGGGGACGTGAGGTTCCGATCCTGTCTGTGCGGAAGCCAGCTGTGTGACCTTGGGCTCAGAGGTACTGACCTCTGAACTCAGCCTTCTCATCGGTAAAGTGAGGCTGTTAATACCTCCTTCATGGAGTTATTAAAAGAATTAAATGGGAAAATGTTTGTGAAGGAACTACATAGTGCAAATTGCAAGACAAATCTTAATTATTATTATTATCTGTTGTTCTAAGTGAGAGAATGAAGAACATCACACCCCTTATCCAAAGGCCTGGAAAACCCACAGCCCCTCCCCTGCAACCCCCCAGCCTCATCCCATCTCCTGTTCCCATCAGACCAGCCCCCTCCCCTGCAGCCTCCCAGCCTCATCCCATCTCCTGTTCCCAGCTGACCAGCCCCCTCCCCTGCAGCCCCCCAGCATCATCCCATCTCCTGTTCCCATCAGACCAGCCCCCTCCCCTGCCCTATACTTGTTCCTTGGGCTCTGTCTCTAAGCGACCCTCCCACCTTGAAAGTCTCCCTCTCTCACATGTCCATACCCACTTCCTTCAATACCCAGCTCCCAACCCACCTCTTCCAGAAAAATCTTTCCTCTGACAAAGGGGGTGAGCTCAAAGCCAGATCACCTCTTTCCCCAACTGAATTACCTATTGTGACCTCCACAACCCCATGCCAAACTAAGCACAGTGCCAGGCAGATCTAGGTGAATAGTAACAATGACAATGACGATCATTCATAATATTGAATAATAAAAATAACAAACATTTGAAGCATTTATTATGTGCTAGGCACTGCGCTAAGCACTTTACGTATTTTAATTCCTCTATCAAATGCCGGTTGGCCACATGGGATTAAACACCTGCCTCTGCCTCCAAACCCCAGCACAAGCATCACCTCCTTGGTAGAGTCTTCCCCATTGGTCTCAGGCAGAATTAATATTCCTGCCTCCACACCCGCAGTGCCTGGTCTATTGTTGACCTAATTTCACTAGCTCTTAATTATTTATCAAAGTGGCTGCTTCCCATTCCAGCCTGTGAACATCTTGAGGGCCAGGACCCTGTTATATTTATCTTTATTAGCTTCAGTGTCCAACAGTGACTGGTACCTAGTTGCTCCTCATTAAATGTTTGTTGAATGAATGCACAGATGAATGGAGTAATTAATACAATATCCCCCCATGTTCATGGGATTTTAAAGAGGCCACTTTCCTAGCCTCATGCTTCACAAACATTCCAGACCAGTGCTACTCCAAGCATGATCTACAGACCGGCACCTGTCTGCAAACTGTGTTGCCAGTTTATGACCTGGTAAGTGCAGAAATTGAGCATAAGCATTTAGACTTTTTTTTTTTTTTTTTGGAGTGAGAGTTTTGCTCTTGTCACCCAGGCTGGTGTGCAATGGCGTGATCTCAGCGCACTACAACCTACGCCTCCTGGGTTCAAGCGATTCTCCTGCCTCAGCCTCCCAAGTAGCTGGGATTACAGGCATGCGCCACCATGCCCAGCTAATTTTATATTTTTAGTAGAGATGGGGTTTCTCCATGTTGGTCAGGCTGGTCTCGAACTCCCAACCTCAGGTGATCTGCCTGCCTGGGCCTCCCAAAGTGCTGGGATTATAGGCGTGAGCCATGGCACCCGACCCATGGCTCATATTTAATCTCCACAACTATTGCTATCATCCTATTTTTCAGGGGGAACTGAGGCTTATTGAAGTTAAGCAACTCCCCAAGGTCCTAGAGAGCAGTGGTAGGGCAGAGGTGGTGACCCAAGCACTTTGATCCACAGCTCACGCCTCAGCCACATCACTGGCAGAGAGTCAAGGGACTCAACAGAAACATTCATGCTAACTTCTCGGGTTCTGGAAAGCTCTATGCAGGAGGTGATGTTTGTTCTGAGCCTTGAAGAAGGCATAATGGGGAGGGGCATTCCAAGGCAGAGGCACACAAGAGGCAACCGCGTGAGGGGAGTCTGGTGAGGTTGGGCCGGGTGCGGTGGCTGGTTTCAAACTCCTGACTTCAGGTGATCCACCCGCCTCAGCCTCCCAAAGTGCTGGGATTACAGGTGTGAGCCACTGCACCTAGCTACATTTTGACATTTTTAAGCCATTAGACAGAATAGTTTTATGTCCATTTGATGTGCTAGTGTTTAAAACAGGGCTTTCATTTTGTCTTTTTTTCTTTCTTTCTTTCTTTCTTTTTTTCTTTTTTTTTTGACTGAGTCTCACTCTTTTGCCCAGGCTGGAGTGCTGTGGCAGGATCTGGGTTCACTGCAACCTCCTCCTCCCAGGTTCCAGCGATTCTCCTGCCTCAGCCTCCCAAGTAGCTGGGATTACAGGCTCGTGCCACCACGCCCGGCTAATTTTTGTATTTTTAGTAGGGATAGGGTTTCACCATGTTGGCCAGGCTAGTCTCAAACTCCTGACCTCAAGTGATCCACCTGCCTTGGCCTCCCAAAGTACTGGGATTACAGGCAATGAGCCACCACATCTGGCCTTTTATTGCATTTTTCTAATAATTCATTCCTGCAGTGTTTTGCAATCGCATTGGCCTGTGACAGATTAGAAATTTTAAAATACAGAACCAGTTCTTTGCCACAGTTGTCTGAGAAGTATGGTTCCAGACCAGCAACCTCCCGGGGATGGTTAAGCCAGTGGAACCCCACAGGTAGGAGGTGCCTATTCAGCCCTGCCTCCCTGGGTCTCACCCATCATTACATCAAATCTGTCTCTCCTACTGTTGGGAAGGACATGTGATTGTCTTTTATTCCTGTTTGGAATCCTCACATTTCTCCTGTCTTCCAAATCTGGCAGATTAAATGAATGAAAGCTGATTCTGCTGCTGGCTGGACAGGAAGGGGTGAGAAGGCAAGGGAGGGATGGGATGAGAAGAGAGTTTGGAAAAGGCCATCCTGGGAAAAGAATGCTGGAATGGAGTAGGAGCCTATCCTGAGGAGGGTGTGCAGAGGCTGCTCTGGCTGGGGCTGAGGGAAGGAAGGGTGTAGGAGGGAGGGACAGGGCAGACACTAGCACCTTCACCAAGCCCAGCAGATGAGAGCCAGGCCCTTGAAGGTGAAAGGAAGTAGTTTCAGGACAAATGAAAGGGGATACTGAACCTTTTTACAGAAGGAATGTTAAACGCCAAACTTTCATAACCCCCCTGAGGCTGCCAAGGCCAAAACTATAAATAAGTAGGTCGAGGAATTAGGCAGAAGCCTCCTCCCCTGACCTGTCCGTCAGCGGGATGTGGTGGGGTGGAGGTTAAGTCAGTGAAATCAACACAGACAGGATGAAATGAGCTATCTGTAGACGCCACTTCAGAAAGCGAGAAGGTCTGACTCCTGGGCAAAAAAGTCAGGAAGAGCAAGACTTGATTGCAGTCCAATCAATGGCATTAGCATATTTAAAGATCATGTCAAGGGGAGGATAATGGGGCTCAGAGAGGCAAAATTTGATGGTGTTTATTAAGCAGAGAGAAACACAGAAGCTGGAGCCGTCTAGTCCTTAGAGAGTGTGCTCCAAGGTGGGACCAGGGAGGGAGCAAGGCCTTGGCTGGGCCTGGGCAAAGCTACCAGAGGACCAACCGGCTTCCTCTCCTCTGATTCCACAGCCTACTGCTGCTGGTGAATTTCTGATCAAGAATTCTGCTCCCCACAAAGAACTGCCTAGAGGGTGGGACCAAGCCGCCCCTCACACTTGAGCATCCAGTCCACTCCATCGTGATGATGATGATGATGATAGTATTGGTGACTACAGCTAACCCTCATTAAGCTCTCACTATGTGCCAGGCTCCGTTCCAAGCTCTTTACAAATACCAACTCCTTCAAACTCCCCAACCACCCTCAGAAGTAGCGTTTCTACCCCGATTTTATAGATGAGAAAATTGAGGCATTGTTAAATAACTCTCCAAGTTTATACAGCTTGTAAGTGGAAAAGCCAAGATTCAAACTCAGGCCATCTGACTCCAGAACCTGCACGACATCAGACTGCCCCGCACTTAACTGTTGTTGGTAACAGTTAGTTGTCCATCTGCTTAGCATGTCCATCCCTTCTGGGGTTGGCTGGGGCAAGTCAGGGCCCAACTCGGCACAGCCAGCTCCGGAGCACTAACCTAATGGGGGTTTTGCAAGACTCGGGACTGTGTGCTTCACCTGGAAAGTGCCAGGTGTGTGGATAAGCCATGTGAGCAGCTGGCTTCCTGGGCAATGCCCCTCCCCACTTCAGTGTCCCAGGCCCCTTTAGGGCCCAGCCCTCCAGGCACTGTGAGCTGGGAATGAGGTGAAGGAGGACTAGGCTTACCCTCTGTGTGCCTCCATTTTCTCACCAGTAAACTGTGTGTGTTGGATCTTACGATCTTCTAAAATAACTCCAGCTCCAAATGAAGGCCAGTGGACCCATGAACACGCTGGCTCTTGCCCAGTGTGCTGAGAAGAGGGCAGGAGGGAGGAGTAGGGTGGGCACGGCAGGGCACAGGGTGCAGGGCAGGTGGGTTCAGTTTGATTTCAAAGCCGACTGCCCGCCGCCCCAGGTGCTCTGGTGTACCCAATAGGGGCTGCATTGGCCAGGCGGCCTAGGCTCTGCGGGTGGAGTGAAGATTTCTCTACCTCCCAGTTTCTCCCTTTTCAGCTCTGGTAGGAGAGAGGAAGAGTGAAGAGGAAGTCAAAAGTTCTGTTCATCTGGAAGGGCTGGGAGTTGCTTCCTGGGATGGGGAGCTCCGAAGCCAATTCAGAAGACGGCCCCGGGGTCTGGCGGGGAGGCCCACCGCTGCCCAGAGGGCTCGGCCGGCCGGGAGGGGGCGCTGTGTCCTCCCCACGCCCTGCCCGCGGGCTCCTAGCAGCGTTCGCCGCGCTGCAACGCAATGCGCGCCCGGCTTTCCCCTGGGCAGCGTTCAGTGCCCGCTTGTCCTGCAGGGCACCGCCGTCTCCCTTTCATCCTGGGGCTCCCAGGTCCAAAGGGTTCCCAGATCCAGCCTCTTGCCTGAACCAAAGTGGCCAGGCACTCAGTTTGTAAGATGAACAAATGAAGGAAAGAAGGAACGAATGAATAAGGGCTCATCTTGCAGAGCGTTCGCGTCTCAGCGCGCACCAGGCACATCAGTGCCAAAGGTGCTGGGGGTCGGGCCCAGCGCCCGGCGCGGCTGGAATGGGGGCGGCGAGGAGCTCCTCTTAGCCAGCCGCAGGGCGGGAACTGCCCAAACGCAGGTCGCAGCCTCACTGGGTTCCGCGGCGGCTCCGCTCAGTAGGGACCGCCCTGTTCCCTAGCCCCCAATAGCCTCGCCCTCATAAATTCACCTGAGCACCCTGGCCCAAGTCACCCCAGATCCCTGGGACTTCCCAGGCCCCGACCTCGGCCGGGCGGGAGGCTGATCCTTTACCGCGGCCCCCTTCCCCCATTCCCGGCTTCTCCCCGGGCTGCGGCGGCCGCCACTGCTGCCAGCGCGCCCCGAGGACTGCCGCAAACCCCGGGCGCAGGGAAAGGGGATCCTGGCGGCGGGACACAGAGAGCGGGCCGGGGGAAGGGGAGGGAACGGAGGAGGCGAGGAGGAGCTGGGAGGGAGCCGAGGGGCGAGGCGCGGAGGAGGGACCGAAGGGGAGCGGAGGGGAGAGGGAGGGGGAGGAAGGGGAGGGGACGAGCTGGGCGAGGGGGCGGGGAGCCGAGGCGAGGAGCGGCGCGGACCGTGGGGGAGGTGGCGGGGGCGAGGCCGGCAAGAGGCGGCCGCGGGCCGGGCTGCGTCGGGAAACGGCGGCCAGACTTCCCCGGGAAGGGGCGAGCGAGAGCCGGGCCGGGCCGGGCCGGGCCGCGGGGCCGGGAAGCGCCGAGCCGGGCATCTCCTCACCAGGCAGCGACCGAGGAGCCCGGCCGCCCACCCCGTGCCGCCCGAGCCCGCAGCCGCCCGCCGGTCCCTCTGGGATGTCCGTAGGACCCGGGCATTCAGGACGGTAGCCGAGCGAGCCCGAGGATGGGAGGGCACCCGCAGCTCCGTCTCGTCAAGGTAACAGCCCGCCGGCCATCCCTCGAGCGCTGGCGCCCCCGGCCCCTGGCGGACGCGGGACGGGGCTGGGCTGTGGGTGTGATGGGGGCGGGGGCGCTGGGAGAGCCGTGCTTAGGTCGGGGAAGGCTGGGCTCCGGGGCAGCCTAACTCTCTGGACCTTTGGAGCCAGGGTTGGGTAGGCAGGGGGAGACTCAGGTGAGAAAAGAAATCGTGGCGAAGCCGCCGGGATGTTGGCGGAGGAGGGGGTCCGCCCACCCGGGTAGCCGGCTCCGCGCCAAGAATCGCTCTAGGCTCTCGGGCAGACGCCTAGGGGAGGGGAGGTTCCACCTCCCACGCCCTTCCTGCAGACCTCGGCCCCGGGACTGGAGACTCTGAAGCGGGGTTCCCACCTCGCCCCAGCGCCCCCAAACAGCTCCCCGACTCCGCACGCCCCCGCCCTAGTCTTGGGAGCGCGTCCTGCCCCTTCCCCTCCGCGGCGAGCTGCGAGTCCGGAGAGATGAATGCCGCCCGCGCCTGCGAGCCCTTGATCAATATCGCAGTCTCGGGGGAGGAGACGGTGCCTCTGGCGGCAGTTCCTGTTCCCCGACCGCGGCTGGGAGCGCGACGCTCGTTCTCCGAGCCTGGGCACCCGCGATCCCCGCGCTGCGCGGCCGACCCTGCGACGCGGATCGGGCGCTGGAGTTTAGGAAAGTAGCCAGACCGCACGTCCAGCGTCTGCCCGCTGAAGTTCGTGGGCGGTGGGGGCGGCCCGCGGGTTGTGTGAGCCAGGGAAGGGCCGGGAGGCCGGCAGTCCGGCCCGCCGCTCGTGTCAGGCGTCACTTGCAGCCCCAAGCGCTTTCCAGAGCGTTTTGGTTTTGCAGGGTATAGGCGCGCCCGCTGCAGCCGGCCGGAGAGGCGGGTGGGCCTCTGCGCTGCTGCCGGGACACCCCGCTTCGCGCCAGTCTGGGCATCGCCTCACCCGGGGCTCGGGACTCCGCAGGGTCCGCTCCAGCCACAAACATAGACACCAGCTTGACCCGGCTCAGGGCATTCAGAGCGATTACATTCAAGAGACTTCGGTGGATTTGGGGGAGGGGTGCGGATTGGCGGAATTTCATTTTTCCATCAGTTATTAAACCAACTGTACGTATACCGGCTTACCAAGTGGTTTGAGTTAAACCACCAAGATTTTTAAATGCAGCAGCTGCTGCTTCCTTAGTTGAGACGTTACAAGTTACTGAGATTTTTCTCTAATCCTGCCCCTCCCCAAATATTTATAAATTGATTCTTAAAATGATCAAGGGTTGGTCTTACTGAACCCACATCCCCTCCCCCATCCGTTACCTGAGGGCTAGGGATGAACTCAGATTATTTTCTGGGCGTTCGAGGAGACAGACAGGTGAGGAAGGTAGAAGAAAAACATCCAGAGAGGTCGAGTAGTTGGCACTGAATGGGAATAGTTTCCAAAAGGCTCGCGTGTACCGAAGCCTGGTCTAAATGCACAAACCAGTTAGACCAAATTCAGTCTTTTAAATGGATTCAAAGAACTGAACTGCGGGTGTTTTCTTTTCTTTTTTTTTTTTTTTCAGGTTTACGCGGAAATAGATCAATGTTCTTTTTCTGGCCTTTCATAGAATTGTGTGCAAATCTCTGTTTAGAATGATCATGTTTTCCTTAAAAAAGTCTTTTTATTTCCTTTGTTCCTACTAGATGGTGGGGTGTTTGCCCTTTATGCCTGGCCTAATAAACTCAGTAGGCATTCAATAAATTCCAGATGAATGTGGGGCAGTGAGTGAATGGCCAGCGAATGCTGGTTTCAAACGTTGGTTACAATTAAATAGTTGCTTTTCTTCTTTTATTTATGTAGCATGTACAATTCACTGGGCATTATTCTACCTGCTTTGCAAATATTAAGTCATTTAGTCCTCCTAACAGCCCTAGGAAGTAGGAATTATTCCTGAGACACAGAGAGGCTAAGTAACTGGTTCAAGGTCACACAGCCAGTGAGTAGTGAAGTCAGAATTCAAACCCAGACACTCTGATAAAAGGCTTTGTTTTGTTTGCTTTTACCAGAAAATATCCTTTTTTTTTTTTTTTTTTTTCAAGACAGGGTCCCACTCTGTCGCCCAGGTTGGAGTGTAATGGTGTGATCATGGCTCACTGAAGCCTCAACCTCCCTAGGCTCTGGTGATCCTCCCACCCCAGCCTCCAGAATAGCTGGGACCACAGGCATGCACCACCACACCCAGCTAATCTTTGTATTTTTTGTAGAGATGGGGTTTCCCCATATTGCCCTGGCTGGTCTCGAACTCCTGGGCTCAAGCGATCAGCCAGCCTCGGCCTCCCAAAGTGCTAGGATTACAGGCATGAGCCACCATGCCCGGCCATTACCAGAAAATATTCGAAGCCACCTAAATCTCACTCTAGAGCTCAGCCAGATGAGAGCTCAGGTAGTTTTGTCAGCATGAGAGTACAAATCTAGGGGATTTAGGGTTAATCCCAAATCCAGCTCCATCCCCAACAAGTCAGCCAGTGTTGGGAAAGGGTCCACTCTGGGGCCTATATTGTGGGCCTCACACTATAACAGTTACAGAGTCCTGGGGGAAAATGTGTGTGAATGGGGAGAGACAGGGTGTGTGAAAGTGTGTGTGTGAGTGGGGAGAGACGATGTGTGTACAAGTGGCCATGAGTCAGGAGAAGACAGACAAGACATTGTCTCTATCCCCAGGGAGGGGCAGGGGCCTGAGCACCTCGGAGTCAGCCACACACCCACTGCATCTCCTCGTAGGGAGATGGAGTGTGGCTGTAAACATGGGTCCCAGTGTCTGTGAGGGGTGCAGAAGGCAAGGCCTCTGGATGGATTCTAACAGGAGAGTGAGCTCCCAGGAGGGAGCTGGCTATTGTTATTCTTATATAAGCCAATTTAGCAGCAATAGGCAAAGTTTGAAAACCAGAATGGAAAATGATTGCAACCTCACTCTTTTAATCTGGCTACTGTATAATTCATTTAAAAAATAACCCCCACAGGTCCCCTTCTCAAGCACCTGTCTGGGCACAGCTGTGGCCATTGGGCAGCCCTCTCCTCAGTGTCACAGCCCAAGTCTGTTTCACGTTACTCCCGAGGCTCTGCAGGAGACTGTCAATGTCTGCATGTTGCCTGTGAGTGAATGGACTTTGCCATCCCTATATCGGTGCATATCTGGGCCATTTCCAAGTTGTTTCTTTGATTAAACGATATAGAGCCAGGTTTTCGAGGGGAGCGTTGGCAAGAGGCATGAGGAACGCGAAACAGTGAGCCCAGGGTGGGCCAGTGGGCTGCTGTGGCGTGCGGGACTGCTGGCCTGGCCACAGACTGGGGGCAAAGACAGGGAGGGGCCAAAAGCCAGGCCAAGCCCCTTGGATTTGAAATGACCAGCCATAGAGAGGAGTGTGTAGATTATGGAAAAGTTGAACACTCACCCAGAGCCAGTGAGGACGAGCTCAAGTGGAAAATCCATTTCTCACCCTCTCTAACATTTGGCTCCTCAAAAGCATCAACCTCCAGGTTCAGCCACACATAAGGAGTTTGGGGGTCAAGGTGCCACCACCCCAAGTGCCCGTGTGGCCTAGAAGGAAGCAGTTAGGTGCCGGGCTGATAATTTCAGCAGCTATTGAAGGGGAAAGACCATCAGCCTGGGAGTCAGTGAACCTGACTCTGATCCCAGCTCTGCCTCCAATCAGCTGTGTGATGACAGGTAGGTCACCTTCCCTCTCTGAGCCACAGTTTATCTGTCTGTAAACAGGGGTATTGGACTGGATTCTCTGTTATCTCTCATGTCTCTGTGAAAGGTCTGTGTTTTCAAATACTCCTTAGGGACATGACCTCACATAGAAAGAGGGGGGTGCCACGAACTGGATTCCCAGCACTCCCCCTTCCCAGCTCTGCTCAAGCTGAGGGACCTTGGAACATGGTACTTGGACCTAAGTACTCTCTCTGGGCTTCAGTGTCCCCAGCTATAAAATGGGGGAAATGCCTAACTCAGGAGGTTGAGGTAAGGACAAAAGGAATTAATACATGGAAAGTGCCTGGAACAGTGCCTGGCACAGTCTGCTTTCAGAAAAAGCTGCAAGGTGGCTACTCTCAGCAGATATAAGTTAATGCAGGAACAGCAACTAGCAGCTCTTGGACATGCAATATATTATATATTTTTTGCATCTTTTACCCTTCACGGCACTGAGCCTCACAATCCGTTGCACAGAGTAGGTGTTTAACAAATGTTTGTCGACTTCATGGATGAGTTTATTGTTGCTTCTTCCATTTGGTATTGTACAATTGGAAAGAACCCGTTTCTGTTCCCACCAGATGCAGATGTCAGGTCGAAACAGAAGGCTGAGAGATGCTTAAACCACCCTAGCAGAAAAGCCATCTCTGATGCAGAAAGGACTAGAACTCCCCCTTAAGCCCACTGTGGTTATTAAAAAAGAGAAAACAACACACAACCAGTGCAGCACCCCAGTGATCTGGAGAATCCCTTGAGGGTAGAGCCTCAGCCAGTGAAACTCCAGCGCTTTTGCCGTGTCTGGAGGAGGGCAGGTCACTAACAGTGATCTGGGCCGTTTCTTCCTCAGTGAAAAGAGGGAGTAGGGTGATCTCTCCCAGCTCTGATTCTACCCTAACTGCTCACGGTATCAACCAAAGAAGGGTGAGCCCATTTTGAACGTAAGGCCAGGTCGAGATTTCAGCTGCAGTTTTAATAGTCAAACAATGAATTTGTTAACTACAAATCATTCTTGTCTACCTAAATTCAGGGAGGTCCCTGTCAGCAGAGTCCCTAGGAATTTTTTTTTTTTTTTTGGAGACAGGGTCTCACTCTGTTGCCCAGGCTGGAGTGCAGTGGTGTGAACACAGCTCACTGCAGCGTCAACCTTGTGGGCTCAAGTGATCCTCCCACCTCAGCCTCCCAAGTAGCTGGGACTATAGGTGTGCATCACCACACCTAGCTAATTTTAAATTTTTTTGTAGAAACGGTCTTGCCGTATTGCCCAGGCTGGTCTCGAATTCTCAAACTCCTGGGCTCAAGCGATCCTCCCACCTCAGCCTCCCAAAGTGTAGGGTTACAGGCGTAAGCCACAGTGCCCAGCCTTCATCCTTTTAAAATGCTTGTCTTTGGACTTGTTGCTCTAGGCCAGCCATCCCTTACCCCACCCAGTGTGGCAGTCAACATCTTCTTGTATGGGTGGGAACAGCAGATGAAGCAAATGTGGGCTTGAATCCTTACTCTGCCCTGAAGCTGTGGGCAAGTCACCTCTTCATCTGTCTAAAGCGGGGGAAATAATACCTGCTTTATGGCATAATCATAATGACCATGAGATGCCAGGTGTGAAATTATGCACAGTTGCACAGTGTCTGGCACACAGTAAGTGCATAATAAATATTAGCTATAGTAGTCACTTAATAAATCTTACCAACTTCCTCAGTCTAAGAAAGGCCATCAAAAGGAGAAGTGGTGAGGGGATGGGGGTAGAGGAAGGGTATTTGGCGTATAGAATCTCTTCCTGCGTCAGAGCACTTTTCACAGTCCCTGGGGAAAAGGGATCAGCTACCAGCCATCAGCTGAGCTTGAAGGTCATAGACAGACCTGAACATCTGGGATATGGAAAAACCTGACAGTAAAAGTAGATATGTAGGGAGGATAATACGAAATGATTCACTCACTGATGCAAACAATCATTTTGAAAATAACTAGCTGGATTCTATTAGACAACAGATTCTTAATCACTTGTTTTCTGAGTATGTGGTATCCGCTTCCACAAAATTGAATGGATGGCAGGAAGGGAGGGAGGCAGACTTCATGAAACAGGCATGTCAGAATCTGGCTTTGGAAGACGGGTTCCCCTTCACGTAGAACTGCGGATTCAAATGCTTTAGCCAAACATGTTCTTTGGCAACTGTCCACCCAGCAGCCATAAAACTGTTTCTGGGACAAATGAAGATGTTTGCGGCTGTTCTTTCTGCCCTATAAGCACAGGCAATTTGTCCATCTCACCCGCCTGGCACTGTTGGGCCCAGAGAGAAGCCTCAGCGAGGTGCTTTGAGATGGGATTTGTGGGGTGTGCATCTGCCCCCCTCCGCATGTCAGCTGGTTTCCAAGCCCCAGCCAGTCTGGTTGGGAGCCAGTGCGCCTAGGTCAGAGCCCAGAAAAACTGGCTAGACTGGTCCAGTCACTTCGTGGCTGCAGAACCAGGGAGGCAGGGCTTGTTCTAGACTGACCGCTATACTTTAGAGTCTACCCACTGGAGTTTTAAGAGGTAGTGGGGGCTATCAGGAAGCACAGTGAGAATCTTAGTTGAACCTTTGAGTGCTGGGATGTCAGGGGCTTTAGGAGAATTGGGACAATATATTGGTCATCATCCCTGGTCAGTACCAAAGCCCACAGAGCTGAAAGGCACCTGCCCAGGGTGAAAGGCTGGGACAAGTGATGGCCGCAGCATTGCCATTTCCAGTGGGGAGTGCCCTCCCTCTGTGATCCATCCACCTCTCCCTCCCTGTTTTCCCAGCCTCTTTGGCAAGGTGTGTGAAGGGCTCATTTCTAGAAAGCCCTTCCTAGCTCAGCAGAGGCCAGAGGTACCAGGCTGGGTGGGGAGCCTGTGCACAGAGACAGGGAAAAGGAGTGTGGCTGGGGGACAAGGGGCTGGGCTGGGTGGGCTGGAAAAGCAAACCGGGTCCAGGCGGGGTTTTACCCTGGGGAAAGGGCTTTAGGAGAGTCCAGGGCCATCTGAGGCACAGTCCTTACAGGTCCAGGCCCCCTGCACTGGGGACCCAACTGCACTCAGAGCACGGGCCTGGCAGGGTGCCCAAGGGCTCGCTCAGGGTGGATGATTTCACTCTTACGGAAGATGCGGAGACAGACAGACAGTGAGAGAAGCAAAAGGGGAGGGAGAAGAAAAAGACCTGCCTGCCTGCCTTGGTCATTCTTGCTTTTAACTTTCTCCCTAGCATCCAAGAGAGCCTATGCCCGGGTTCTGAGGCCAGCGGTGGCATCTCCTGGAAACTTCCTCTCTGTTTCTCACAAGAATTCCTCCACCCATCCCTATCCTGGTGCCTGGGTGCCCGAAGCCGTCCTCAGCTGTTAGGAGAGCCTTCGGCGCAGAGATGCCCCAGATGAGCTCCCGCCATGATCCCTTCCACCACCCCCAGGGCTGCTCCTCCTCCCCAGAAGCAGGGTGCAGAAGGGACAGGATCTGTTGCCTCTGTGGGCCTGTGTGTTTCTCAGTGGGCATTTTTTTCTCTCTCTCTCTTTCTCTCTCTCTCTCTCACACACACACACACACACACACACACACACACACGCTGGTACCCTGGCGAGTGAGCTACTTTGCAGTGTTTGTAACACCCGCACCTGCCACCTCCCTCAGAAGCCACTGTGTGGTCACCACCTCTCCTCTGAGCATAGCCAGACCTGTACGGCAGGTGTGCAATGCCACCTCAAGGCCAGGGTTAGAGGCTGACTTCCAGAGGAGCAGCTGGGCACCTGGGGACCACGGGCTTAGCTGGGTGAGTGACTAGCAGGTTAGACAGCCTCCCCGGCATCCCTCAGCTGCCCGTGCCTGGCTGGGAGCCCGAGAGACTCAGCCACTCCTTCATCTTCCCAGACGGGTAGGGCAAGGCTGGTCCTTGGAGGGAGGCTGGTCCTTGCGTCCTGGGCTTGGTCTTGGTCTAAGCCACGCCCTTCCCCTTCCTCTTTCTGCCAACTCTGCTCCTGTCCCTTGCCTACGCCTCCCAGGTTCTTTTAAGCAGGTACACTGTTTACTGGCCAGGTGCGCCATTTACTGAGCTGCTGTTGCACTAAGGCCCACACAAGTGACCCCATTGAGTCCTCCCATCCCCTTCTAGAGGGGAAAGAACCTGATGCTCCCCTAATCTCTTGCTCCTCACTCCTGGCCCTCTGCCTGAGTCGCACTGTTCTCCTTCCTCCCCTGCCAACCCCTACCCAGCAGAATATACATATATGACACTTCTCTTACAGGAGCTTCTGCCCCCAAGTCTTTCTGTGCCAATCTTCATCTGTCATGTCCACCAAAGTCTTCCTGAACTGGCCCCACCTCCTCCTCCAGGAAGCCCTCCAGTCTAAATCTGTCTCTCACTGGTTGTTCCTTTGTTCTCACCTCATCCCGTCCCCTGGTGTGAGCCTCTAGCTCATCGTGGATCCTGGGCTGTCCCACAACATGGGGTCTTACAGCTCTTTGATGTATCCCCCCACAGGGGGCTCAAAAACACCTACTAACCAGATTCCACATGGACCCCTGGTGACCCACATCTAACCTGAGCCCTTGTTCCCACCGTAGACTATGAGCTCTGCCTAGACCAGAAAGATTCCCTTACAAAACAAAACAAAACAAAAAAATAACAAAACCTCTGTGTGCCCAGAACTTAGTCCAGAACTGTGCACACAGTAGGTGCACAGTAGATGCTGAACTAAATGGAGGGTCTCTCCCTGCTCCCACTCCCCAATGAACGTCTGTCTGAGTGTGGAAGTGCTATGGCGACAGAAGACACAAGTGGCAAGCCAGACAGATAGGTCCCTCTCTGCCTCCGCGTGTGGATTTGTGACTCAACGGCTTATCAAGGGCTACGCGGCAGCGCGGCTTAGTAACATTAAAAGATTCCAGCACTGCCCTGTGTTCCGCCTCCGGTCCCCATAGCACTGGGGGCGTTGTCCACGTGCACGCAAGGGCAGCATGTTGCTTCATGAGCGGTTCTGGACAGGGATGGTGGGAGATGTTGCTAGAGGGAATTGTGGCCCTGGGCTTAGAAACAAAGGGGCAAGAAGGTCTCAGAAGCTGGGGCCTCCAGAGAGCAGGGTCAGGGCACTCTAGCCTCCAAATGGGGACTGGGGAGGCGGCCTAGGTGGCATCCTGGGGTTCCCTCCCTGGTGCTGTCCTGGTTCTGCTGGTCATGAGGCAGGAGTAGCCAGGCAAGGCAGGGGCGCCAAGAGCACTGGCATTCCTGGTACCTTCGTGAGATCCCGTCCGTTGGCATCCCACCCCTCCAGCTCCCTGTGAGTCGGTGTGGGGGTGCAGCCTGGGGCGTCTTTTCTCTCCTGATGGCTGGGGCCTCATGGCCTGACTGTGGAAGCTGCTGCAAGGCTGTGAAATGCAGGGCAGGGGGGCCTAGGAGTGGTGGGGCTCACATGCACCCTGGAGGAAGGACCACTGTCCCTAAAGCTGACAGGGCAGGAGACCTGAGGTTGGAGCTGACTCAGCCACTTCTTGGATGGGTGACCTTAGGCAAATCACATGACCTCTCTGGACCCTTGTGTCCTCTTTACTGGACCGACCACAATGCAGAATGAAAGAGGAAATGCCTGTGCTGCTGCAAGGGGCCTGCTCCCACCAAAGGCCAGTGAGACCTGCTGTTTTCATGGGTGGGAGTCCCACCCCAGGACTCCCCTCAGAACTAAGCCCAACTATCACTCAAGACCCGCCTCCTCCATGAGGCCTTCCCTGGTGAGCCAGGCATCACACTCTGTCCTCCAGCCAAAGCAGGGCTCTCAAACCAGCTGTGGGGAAGGACCACATGGATTTTTCCAATCCATGGCCAACTGGCGTGTGGTCCTGCTGTGTAGCCTGCACCACGTGATTCACCTGGCAAGTCTGACAGCATCTGAATTGGTCTAGACCCTGTTTGACGAGATGAGTCTTGACTGCATGCTCGGATGTCACCGCAGGGATGGATTCACATGAAATGCTTACTCTCCAGTTTTGTACTTCTCAAGTTGTAGACCAGGAACCAATTGTTGGTAGGTTGGCAAACTTGACCAGTCGGACCAGTCCTCACCACCCTTTGAATAGCACGGGCCTAAAGCCCTCCTTTGGGGCCAGAATTCACTGCCTGGCCCAGATCTCTGGTTCACCCTTCACACAGCCTGCCCCTCCTGCCATGCTTCTTGCACTTGTGTGTCTCCATTGCATGGATGTGAGTGATGTAGTGGCTCTTTCTGGCAGCCAAGGCTGGGCGACGGAAGAAGGAAGAACCCTTGTCCAGGAGGAGGAAACTCTTTGGTTTACTCAGACCCCTTATCCAGTGGCGGGTTCTGAGCAGGCCCCTTCCCCCTCCTTGTCACACTCATCAATCTGCACTTGGTGACAAGGTGAGCTGAGGACCCATGATCAGTGGTCGCAGCCCCTAGTGGGGCAAGGGCAGCCTTGCTCTGTGTGGGTTCCCCAAAGCTCACAGGACTTAGCCCCATGCTGTTCTACCCCTTGTCCCCGCACTCATCCAAGGTAAAGGAATCCCACTTCTCCAGGGCCCAGGGCCCAGGACCCAGCTCTGCCTCCTGCCTCTGAGGTGCCGGCCCTGGAGAGGCTCTGGTGGAGCCTCAGCTGGGTGAGCTCAGCTCGCTGACTCTGGGAAGAGGCTGCTGTTCAAGCTCTTTCTGGGCTGCCTCATTCCTCAACTTTGGCTGCATCAGCAGGCAGACCTTCCTGCATCTCCTGTGCACCCCCTGCAGGAGGAGATCTGGAGGAGCTGACCCAGCAGGGCCAGGACAGAGTGAGTCAGGGGAAGGAGTTCCCATCTGCCCAGCTGGCCAGGAAAGGTCGTTTCCACCAGTCCGCTGCCTTCAGACTGAGGCCAGGAGGTGGGAGACTGACTGATCCAAGGTCGCACAGGGCATTCACCAAGAAGAGTGCAATCCAGGTCCTCTTCCTGCCTTGAAGGTGCCTCTCTCTTGTAATCCCACACTCTTCCCAAGGTCCACTCTACAGCCACCTTCCTCCCCTGCCCCGCCCCCATAATGGGCAGGCAGGCAAGTGTCTTCAAAGCTGGGATGGAGCATTGAAACCCTCCAACCCAGGGCTTCCCAACCTCAGCACTATTGACATTTGGGGCCAGATAATCCTTCACTGTGGGGGCTGGCCTGTGCATTTTAGGATGTTTATCAGCATTCCTGGCCTTTACCCATTAAATGCCAGTCGCACCTCCCCCTTCCTGATTATAGCAACCAAGAATATCTTCAGACATCACCAAACGTCCCCCGGGAGGCAAAATGGCCTCCAGGTGAGAATCTCTGAGCTGGCTGAGTTATCCTCACTTCTGTTGATGCTTCAGAATCACTGGAACGCATTTAAAAAACATAAGGGTCCCTGGGCTCCCCACAGGCCTATTGAACCCCAATTTTGGGGGTGAGTTGTGAGAAATGGGATTTTCTGTCTCCCAGGTCAGGTGTCAAGCACTGTCTGGAAATTCTGATTTTGTCTAAGTCACTGCCTTTACAAGCAAAGAATCAGAGGACGGGGCCGTTGCTTGTTTTATGTCTGGTTAGTCCTTATTTCTGCCCTAAATATTCCCTGTTCGGTGGGGTTTGGCGGTCCAGCAGCCCTCTTTAAACTGACCTTTGGCCTTAGAAGGCAGTCGTTTTTTCCAGGAAAAACAGCCCCAAAGCCTTTAGCATTTTTAAATAAAGTAGAACCTAATTTTCAGCCACCAGTTTCACTCTTCCTTTCTGGCCCTCTTTAAATCCCTTTTAAAACGCAGCTCCATAAAGGACATCTTTTCTCTGCCGACACCGAAATCCCCCTCACTTTACACTTGTCAGAGAGCGGCTGAGCCGAGAGCACAGCTGATAGTGTCACCTGCGTAGCTGGTGTCTCTGCGGCTGTCCCCACACCTCGGCTGTGCCTCCCACCCACTCAGGGACAGTTTCCCAGTGTCTGGGAGCCACTCACAGCTAACAGCTCCCAGGGGCAGGCACTGGATCAGAACCCTGGGCTGGGCTCCCCTCTTCTGTGAGAGCCAAACAGAGCCCTTCCTGAGTCCCATCCATTGGCAGGGTCCTACTGTTGTCCGCCCCCTCGTTCCCACTGCCAGCTCTGGGGGAGCTGGGCTGCAGCCAGGAGCCAGAGTTTGAAAGGCAAAGGAAACCTGTACCTATGTGTCTTTTGGAGGATCCAGGCTTGTGATGAGGAAGAGGAGGGAAGGGAAGGCAGGCAGGGCAGGCAGGGAAACAGGCTGTGCTGCCCAGGGGCAGGAGCATGGCTCCAATCCCAGTCCCTCCAGTTACTGCAGTCAAAACCCTGGGTAAGTTACTGTCTCCGGGTGCACCAGTCTCTCGTTTGAACAGTGGGGAGATAGTAAAGGCTCTGACTTGCAGGGGTCGAGAAGGATTAAATGAAGAAATTCACAGGGCCTGGCACTGTGCAAGCCTTCAGTAAAGGCTGAAGAAAGAAAGAAGGAAGAAAGAAAGGAAGGAAAGAAGGGAGGGAGGAAAATGGAAGCCAGGGAAGACTGAGAAAGGTAGGGTGGTTAAGACAGGGAGAGAGCAAGATGGGGAGGAGAGAGGCAGGAGGCCGAGAAGGCACGGGCTACAAGAACATATCCATGAGTCAATTTGAGAGCAAATCATACAAAGACGGGGAGCAAGTGAATGCATGAGAGGCAGAAATGAAGGGAAGACAAGGAGGATGGGAGCTACGCTCCGGGCACCCCCTGCCCCCATGCTTAGCAAATCCATATCATTGACCTGGATGTACACTCCATTCCTGTAGGTGACCACTGCTGGCTTCTGGGAAAGAGTGGAGCTGGAAAGTGGGGTACATGCCCTGAGTGGGCAGGGGGCTGGGCAAGGGGCACTTCTGGGAAGAAAAGCCAAGTCAGGAAGGAAGAACGTGCAAAGTTGAGTAACAGAGTGGTGACCATTTGTGCGGCCTGCGCACCTAGTCCCATGCTGTTTTTTCTTTTTCTTTCTTTCTTTTTTTTTTTTTTTTTTTTTTTCTGAGACGGAGTCTCGCTGTGTCACCCAGGCTGGAGTGCAGTGGCACGATCTCGGCTCACTGCAAGCTCCGCCTCCCGGGTTCATGCCATTCTCCTGCCTCAGCCTCCCGAGGAGCTGGGACTACAGGCGCCCGCCACCACGCCCAGCTAGTTTTTTGTATTTTTAGTAGAGACGGGGTTTCACTGTGGTCTCAATCTCCTGACCTCATGATCCGCCCACCTCGGCCTCCCAAAGTGCTGGGATTACAGGCATGAGCCACCACGCCCGGCCCCATGCAGTTTTATATGCACCATATTGTTGAATCTCTCCAGGAGCTTTGGGATGTGAATATTTTATCCCTATCAGCCCCATTTACAGATGGGGAAAATGAGGCTTGGAGAAGTTCGGTGATTCTCCCAAGGTCACACAGGTAGGAGGGGGCAGATAAAAGATTCCAACAAGCATCTCTCCAGCCCCAAGTTTAGAGATTTGAATTTCTACTCTCCTGTACATCCTGGAGCCAGGGCATATTCAGACCTGGAAAGGAATGTAGAGAACACAGTGACCTCCCCATTTTACAGATGAGGTAACTGAGGTGGGGAGGTGACTTCTCTACCATCACGGAGCAAGTTCAGCAGAGTCAGCCCTGTGCTTCCCACCCAGAGTGCTTTTTCCTCTAGCACATCCTTCTGGAGTCCAAGGTGCGGGGCTATGGCGGGAGCAAGGAGAGGAGAGGGAGCTCCTGCTGAGCAGGAGGAATAGAGAGGAAAATGAGAAAAAGGAAACAGCCCCCTACAATCTCCTGCTGGGAATCATCATGAGACCCCATGGTCAGAGGGGGCAGAAAGTGAAAACCCATCTGTTCACTTATTCATTCAGTCATTTATTCATTCAACAAACATGTTGGGGCCTGCTCTGTATCGGGCCCCACTGAGGATACAAAAATAGCCAAACACGGGCTGGGCAGGGTGGCTCACGCCTGTAATCCCAGCACTTTGGGAGGCCGAGGTAGGTGGATCATCTGAGGTCAGGAGTTCGAGACCAGCATGGCCAACATGGCGAAACCCCATCTCTAATAAAAATATAAAAATTAGCCAGGTGTGATGGTGGGTGCCTGTAATCCCAGCTACTCAGGAGGCTGAGGCATGAGAATCTCTTTAACCCAGGAGGTAGAGGTTGCAGTGAGCCAAGATCGCGCCACTGCACTCCAGCCTGGGCGACAAGGCGAGACTCCGTCTCGGGAAAAAAAAAAAAAAAAAGCCAAACACAGGCCTTGCCTGCAGGGAGCTTACAACTCAAGCTTATAACAGTACATCTGGAACCTTGGAGGGGCGTGTGTGACTCTGGAGCTGGGGTCTCATGGCCCTTGCTGCCCTGGGGTGGGAGAGGCAGGTGACCCACTATTTCTAGCCCTGCTGCAAGGTTTTCTTAGGGGAGTAGAGGCGTGAAGTAGCAGGGAGGGCGGGCGGGGGCACCCTGAGCCGGGGCCCCAGGGAGAAAGGCCGGGGGCGGGGAACACCCAGGCTTCCCCCCTCCCTTAACTGTAGGCAGGAGATTTTCCTTTCCATTTTTTCTTCTCTGTACAACAGCAATTTAAGTTAATTAAATGTAACAATAAATTATTTCTCGCCTGCCTGGAATAATCTTTCAGTGCTCACCCACTTTGAGGGGAAGCACTGGCTCTTTGCCTTGAGATGGGAACTGGTTGTGGCTGTCACAGAAAGAGGCTGTGGGAGGAGGGCCAGGCCCGAGGCGGGATGGGGAGAAGCCTGGGCAGTCAAGAGGGCTGAGAAAGGACCCCTGGCATCTCTGTCCTCTGTGCCTAGTCTAGTTTTACTCTGGCTGGTCTCCACCTGTGGGTGGATGAGAAAAAGGTGCCCCATGAGGGTGCCCCTCTGCTGGTACACATCTTGCAAGTCTATCCCCCACTGACCCCTCCACTTGGCACTTCTGTAGCAAGAAATTCTGCAGAAACCACACAATTGCGTGTGGGGCCTGCCCTGCTCTTGTATTCAATTAGTCCGTAACTACAGATATATCCCCCGTAGGTACAGAGACGTTTCTGAAGAGTTGATTGCACTGACGCTTTATTTCTGCAAACCAGATCCCAGTATTTAAATGCAACGGCGGACCCAGCTTTTTACAGAAATCTTCATTTATGACCTCATTTCTTTTTCGCGTTTAGATTTTCTTCTCTTGCCTTTGCTTAAAATAGGCTCCACCTGAACACAGTGCAAAGCAAAGCAGAGTCAGAAGGGTCGGATATTGGGATTGTGGAGCCTGCAGGACCCCAGGACCCAGGACCTTGGCCAGCAGATGGAAAGTGTGGGCTGGGGCCCTTGCCTCTGGGGTCACCAGGTACATCTTCGATCTTGGCCACACTGGAGAGTCAAGGGCTTCTCTGGGCCCCGAGTCAGGGTCCGCCAGAGTCTCCCAGGCCAGGGAAGGCAACAAGGCCTGGTTTCACTCTGACCTGCTGAACCGCCTCCGTGGAACAGGTGACTGTCGGCTGTCTCGCTGGGATGATGAGGGTGACAAGCTGGGATAATTCACTGCTCAGGAACCTGCCATGGTGCTCCAGGCCGACTGGATCCATCTCAACCCAGTGTCTGAGGCCCTCCGCAGGCAGCCTGCCACACCCCTACAAGCTCAGGACCCTCCCCTTGCCGGGAAGGCCCTCTCCCTCCCTCTGACAGCCACGTCCACTCTGCCCCGACCTCCAGCTCACCTCCTCCAGGAAGCCTGCCCTCATGGCCATGGTGCTGACCCCATCTGAAACTCCATGGTCCCCCTGCCCTCAGTCTGTGCCTCATCTTGCCATCGTCATGTATGTGTGTGTCTGTCTGTCCTTCCCCATCTCTTCTGAGTTCCTTTCCTTTTTTCCAAATCATGTACTTAGTCCTGGACTCTTTGAATGAAGGATCCCAGACCACCAAGGGGGTTGGAGACACCACTCAATCCAGTGGATTTCAAACCTAAAAAGCAACTTACCTTTTAAATGGAAAAACTCCTTCCCAAAGCAAGGCTTCCTGAGAAGGCAGAAGGACCTGGCGGAAGATGAGGAGAGGCCAGGTCCAGCCTGCGGGGCCTCCCCCAGGGCCCGGAAGGGACATCAGGAAAGCTGCTCCAGGCCAGCCCTCTGCAGTGGAGGTGCATTCTGGGGCCCAGAACAGCCAAGCTGGGCTGATGACCCTGCCGATGCTTGTAGGGACTTTATATTGCAGATGCAGGTCTCCTGGTTCCCCACAAATGGTCCATCTCCCAGTGAAGTGGGTAAGAAAGACCACATTGCCCCCACTTCACAGATGAGGATGTTGAGTCTCAGAGGAGTCAGGTGACTCACCGAAAGCCACACAGCCAGTGACAGGACTGCCTTGGGGCTCAGCAGAAGGGCGAGGGACCGTGTTGAAGGATGGCTGTCCAGCTGTGGCTCTGCCGAAGGCCAGTGCGGTCCCTGACCCCTGGGGGCTCTGGGGACTCTCCCAAGCTGAGCATCAGTGCTAGCTGTGAAAGGAGAGAGAAAACAGGCTCCCTTTTCCCTGTTCCCCAGGAACTTGTAGGAACCAGGCCTGAGATGCCTCAGCTGCCTCCAGGCCACCCCTCCCTCCCTCCAGTGGCCTTCAGGACCCTCCCCAAAAGGTTAATTACCGAATCATCACATCAAAGGAAATTGCACTTTTGTGCCTTAAAGACCAAACTGAGCTTCAACAACACGGTTATTTATGGTCTCTGATAAGCATTTTCTGGGTGTGATTAACCTTTGTACCAAAATCACACTGGGAATTGGGATGGCAGCTTCATTCCAGCCCCATTCTGTGCTGGCCCTGGGGGTGGGGGTGTGGGTAGCAGCTGCTGCAGGCTGGAGCAGGCCATGTCAGAACCTGGCCCTCCACCCCCTCCACAGGCTCCTGCACCACCTTCCTCCCCACTGCCCATCCCTTCTTCCAAGGCGCTGTCTTGACCTGCGCCTGGCCAGCCAGAAGGCGCGACTGTCTTCATGGTTCATCTCCTTGAAAGACAGCAGGAGCACCTGCTTACTGAATCCCAGCTCCTAAAAACAGTTATGTGACATTGGGTACATCAACTACCCCAGACTTAAAATGGGAGCATGATACCCGCCCAGTCTGCTTTCCCTTCCATCCCAGGGACCCACTAGATCTTTGGAAAATCCTTTTACGCGATGCTATAATTGAGCCGCACGCACCCTTGGCCTCAGACTTTAACCTTGAAGGTTTGGCTCTTTGGTGAGTGGAGAGATTTGTAGCTCAGCTGCAAGTTTTATTTGGAGCCTTGGGGCTGCCAGGCTGTGCACGGAAGTGAGGCATTAGCCAGTGAGTGAACCTCGTGCTCTGCCAGCTTCAGCTTCAGTGCCGTTTTGATTTTCTCTACTAGTTGGAAGATAGTAAATCACATGAAGTCTTGAAAACTTGGTTCTGAAAGGAGCGCCAGTGGCTGGGACTGGTGATGGAGTGGAGGAGCAAGAGGCATCTGAGAAAGGCCAAAAGCACTTTGGTTTGATTTCAGAGAAGATGACATGTTCAGTTCACCCCATTTACCATATGCTTCGACTGTAGTTCCCACTGTTTCAGGGTGCTAGTTGTTGGTGAGAAGTGGAGGAAGCCAAGAACCCTCCCCGGGAAAATGGTTTTCATCACGCACACCAACTGCATTTATTTGCAAATCTTCACACTGCCCGCTCCCCAGGTTAAGAATTCTCCGTGTTTTTTTTTTTGTTTGTTTTGTTTTTTGTTGTTTTAGCCCAGCATGGTGGCTCACTCCTGTAATCCCAGCACTTTGGGAGGCCGAGGCGGGCTGATCACTTGAAGTCAGGAGTTTGAGACCAGCCTGGCCAACAGGGTGAAACCTCATCTCTACTGAAAACACAAAACTTAGCTGGGCATGGTGGTGCAGGCCTGTAATCCCAGCTACTTGGGAGGCTGAGGCAGGAGAATTGCTTGAACCCAGGAGACAGAGGTTGGAGTGAGCGGAGATCGCACCACTGCACTCTAGCCTGGGCGACAGAGCAAGACTGTCTCAAAAAACAAACAAACAAAAAAATTCTCCATTTTAAGGGCAAACAAACAACATCCTTGAAACTTTGGGGGCCTGTTCCTGCCAGTGCAGTAATTGCCTATTGATGGAGATAGAAAACCACAGTGGAGCTTGAAGAGGAGATCAGCGGATGGTGAAGAGGAGATCAGCGGATGGTGGGAGGAAAAATGCAGGAAATCTCTGGACTTTTCATGGAAGTATGATTCAGGAATAAGGCAGAAGCCCTCACAAACCTTCCACAGAGCAAGAGGTGGCACAGGCACAGATTCTGCTACAGAGCAGACCTTTCCAGAGAGGAAAGGTTGGTTTGGGAATTTTAAGAAGCATTTTTCTTTGCATAACGCAACACCAGTCCTCTGTGTTTAGAAAATGCCTGTGTGAACCATCACATTCAAGAGAGGGACACAAGTGTCAGGGTTCTAGGCAGCCAAGGGAAGACTAGCCCTTTGCCTGGAATTTGGCTTCATTTTCTGACGAATCAAGATTTGCTCTGCTCCTCTGTGCACGCCAGGACATTAAGATGCGAGAATAAGAACTTATAGCCTGTATATTTGCCATCTAATTAGTGTCTTGGGTCCTAAGTGCTTTGTGCCGAGGTGGTTTTCGTGCACTTAGGCTGGTCTAAGTGCTCTACTTGTGAGCCTCACGGGCACAGGGTCCAGTGAGTGTACAGAGTGCACTGGGAAAAGGGGTACATTGGAGGGAGAACTGAGCTGCTTTGCTTTGGAGAGTTGGGCAGGTACTACTAAGCAGACGGGCCCTGGAACTGGCCTCTGAAGAATGCAGAGTTGACCAGGTGACCAGGGGTGGGGGGTGGCACAGACTGCATGGGCAGAGGGTTGCAGACATGAGAAGGATCCCAGATACTGGGAGATAATAAGTAATTGGATGGAAATAGAACGTGATGTGCCTTCAAGGTGGGGGATATGAAAGACCGGAGCACGAAGCACAGCTTAAGGATTAGATGGATAAGTGGAATGTCAGGCAATGGGGCTGATATTGTCAAATAGGATGCCTCCAGTTTCTTTTCTTTCTTTTTTATTTATTTTATTTATTTATTTATTTTGAGATGGAATCTTGCTCTGTTGCCCAGGCTGGAGTGCAATGGCGTGATCTCGGCTCACTGCAACCTCCACCTCCTGGGTTCAAGCAATTCTCCTGCCTCAGCCTCCTGAGTAGCTGGGATTACAGGCATGCCACCATGCCCAGCTAATTTTTGTATTTTTAGTAGAGATGGGGGTTTCACCCTATTGGCCAGGCTGGTCTCAAACTCCCGACCTCAGGTGATCCGCCTGCCTTGGCCTCCCAAAGTGCTGGGATTACAGGCGTGAGCCACTGCACCTGGCCAGTGTCTCCAGTTTCTTTAATTTGCCTGTGGCTGAGCTGGCTCTGGGAGCCCTAGTTTGAGAGAGAGAGTGCGTGTGTGTGTGTGTGTGTGTGCGCGCGCGCGCGTGCGCGTGTGTGCATGTGTGTGTGTTGGGAGGTGGCGTGGGCAGATGTGGGGTGGGAAACGAGGAGTGATGATTTCTAGTCCCCTTCTAGAAGGGGCCTCTGGCCCTAGCATCTGAACTGCCCCTCTCCGGGGACAGAGCCGAGCCTGGGTCCTTGCTGATTGCTGAGCGGGCAGTGCAGCTTTGTCATGAGGACACTTTGCTTTCTGCTTAGCTGGCAAGAGCCACCGGCTGGCCTGGTGGCCTCCTCCTCTCTCTACTTCTGCATTTTCACTTGGAAAATGAGGGTAAAGATATTTCTCCATCTCTCTGGAGACTGTGAAGTTTAATTACTGATTAATAAAGTGTTGGAAGTTCCTTGAGGCCAGAGAGATGAATGGGTTTGTTATCATCACTCCTGAGTCCCAGGCGCGAGTTGGCTAACCCCAGTGCCATCTTGCTGAGTGTCCCGTGTGCAGAGCACAGGATGGGGGTGTGAGGCTGGGGTTATGCTTCAGAACCTGGAGCTTGGTCCAGGGCAGAGAGACCCCTATGAGAGTATCAGCAAGGGAATGGAGTGAACAAAACCACTACAAACTCAGGCACTACCGACTCGGGGGACCATGTGGGTGAGTCATGGGTAGTGGGGACCAGGCTCTGATGAGGAGTGGGCACTCTTCCCCTGGACCTTGGAATGTGGGTGGGAGAGAGGGGAGCAGAGTCTGCCTTCATCATCGGGACAGGACTGGGAGGGAGTGGGTACCGTGAAAGGGGGTGGCCCTGGTGGGGTGGGGTGAGATAAGGGAGAACATTCCCGGCAGGTGAACATGGAAAAGGCAGGTCAGTTTGCTTCTAAGGACAGGGAGAAGGTCCTGAGATCCGAAAAGGGTGAGTGGAGAGGAGTCCAGGGAAGAGAGGATGGACACCCCTGAAGGATATGGGGCAGGCAGGGAAGGAGGGATGGCGTCTGGCTTGGGAAGATGGCGCATGAGTGGGGCCCGACTGGAGTGAAGCAAGTGAGGCATTTCCTCAAACCTCAGTAATCGCAATAGATAATTTTTTTTTTTTTGAGATAGAGTATTACTCTATCGCCCAGGCTGGAGTGCAGTGGCGTGATCTCGGCTCACTACAACCTCAACCTCCCGGGTTCATGCAATTCTCCTGCCTCAGCCTCCCGAATAGCTGGGATTACAGGTGCCTGCCACCATACCTGGCTAATTTTTGTATTTTTAGTAGAGACGGGGCTTCACCATGTTGGCCAGGCTGGTCTTGAACTGCTGACCTCGTGATCTGGCCTCCCAAAGTGCTGGGATTACAGGCATGAGCCACTGCACCCGGCCATGATAGATAATATTTTAATATCATTACTGACTTTTTCCCTTTTTGCCCCAAGCTCCAACATGGCCCAGCACTGTTACTGAGCCTATCTTTCCTTTAAAAAGTTTTTGATATTTTGCTCATCATGGATTTTTTGGCGTTAATCTTTATTTTAAAAAAATAATTATGTTAAAATATTCCGTATCTTGACGACTAAGATTTTCGATGCTCCCTTCACTTTTGCACTCACCACGTGGAGTCCCGGCCCCTTGTGAGAAGGCTGCGTGCTGCCTGGGCTGGCCACCGACCTGCTTCTAGCCTACACCCTAGAAGTCTTTGCTCACCAAGGGACTTGACAAGCCCCTACCTCTCTCCCGATCTTATTTTCCTGCTGTGAAATCCCAAGCTGGCTTCCAGAGCTAAGGGTCTGTGTCTGAGGCTCTGTAGTGAAATTTGCAGTTGGTACAGAAATGGGCTGGGGCTGAGACACCTGGCCATGGGGTTGGGGGCCTCAGAAGGAGCAGACCCCAAGAAGAAACAGCAGAGAAGTGATGAAGAGAGCAGCCTCCCATGAGGCCTCTTGGGCTTCAGGCTCACCACCCTGTCTGGGAACTCTGCTGGTGGCCGGGCACCCAGCTCCCCACAGCCAGAGGGGAGGACCGGTTACAATGCTCCCCTCTCCCTGCCCCTCACTCATGCTTCTTAACCCCTTTTGAATCAAATCCCAGGGGAAACAGCCACCTCTCCTCCAACAACTAAATAAAAACCACTAAGTTCAGATCAGTTAACATATCCTTCTTGAGTGCCTATTGTATACCAGAAACACAATGTCATTCATTCATTTCTTCAGCAAAATTGAGTGCAATGAACAAAATCCCTGCCCCTACAGAGCATGCAGGGCTATTTAAAGGACTTCAATATACATACATCATGTAAGCTTAAAGGGGGTGGGACAGTTAGACCCATTTTTACAGGTGAGGACACTGAGGCACACAGAGGTCAAGTCCCCTGCCCATGGCAACACAGCGTAACGGGGGGCTGGACACTCGGCCTCTCTCTTGACTCTAACCCTGTCGGGAGGGGGGTAATGCGATGGTTGTGTGGGTGGGTTTAGTTGAAGAAGGGGCAGCCCTCCAGGTATAGGGCCTATGCCACTCCCTTCCCAACTGGGCTAAAATTCTGGAATCAGAGTGACACGGAGCCTTCAGGGAGGTTAAAGGGCAAAGGTCTGCCCTAGAATAGGGTGTCCATCTTTCCAGACACATTTATCCCTTACCTCTCTGTGCCTCAGTTTCCTCATCTGCAAATAGGCACAGCCACACCAACCCCAGGGAAAATTTAGTGTCACGGCAGATGTACAAGAGCTTGATAAATGGTGAGGCACAATTTGTGATGACGGATAATTAGGCAGGCGGGGATGAGGGCCCAGGAAACTGTTCACAAAACAAGAGGCCAGCTCTGGAGGAAGGGAGGGAAGTGGGTGCACGCATGGGGATGTCAGCGGCCATGGTGGTCAGCGGGCCGGTGGGAGGGTGTGTGTGTGTGTGCACATGCACACGTGTATATGGTGGGACACCGTTGGACCATGTTCAGGATTCCATGGGGATGGAGGTGGCTTCCTCTGGCCGCACTCAGCCCCTAGGGGTAAAATTCGCCTCTTCCCTAGGAGCCTGGGCTCCTGATCCTGTCAGCTTCCCTGCCAGGCCCCTCCAAGAGCAGGGCAACTCCAGACCCTCCAGGCAGAGAGGACCCAGAAGGAGGAGAGAGGAGATGAGGGGCGGGTGTCTGGGAAGCGACTGGATGTGTGACAGGGTGGGAGGGGAGGCAGGCAGGTGCAGTGTCACCCCTGCAGTTTTCCTGGGTGATGGAGCAACATGCTCATGGCTCATGGCACCTGCCTAATGTGTCCTTCGCCTCCTGTGCCTGCAGGCCCTTCTCCTTCTGGGGCTGAACCCCGTCTCTGCCTCCCTCCAGGACCAGCACTGCGAGAGCCTGTCCCTGGCCAGCAACATCTCAGGTGAGTCCCCTCAACCCCCTCCTGCAAGATTCCTGGTCACCACAATGCCCCCTACCCCAGGTATCCCAGAGCCTGCACACAGAACCATGCCCTAAGGCAGGATTTGCAGAGTCATTTCCTCTCCAGGGCTCCAAGCAATTCTTCACATCTCCACCGAGCACCGTGTTGAGAAGGATCCTGAGGTTGGGTGTAAGGTTGGTGGGGAAGAGCTGCAGTTGGTTAGTAGCACCTGCCGTGGGCACAGGAGTTTGCAGCAAGGATTCTGAGTAGTTATCTTCCCTGCTTTAGGGTGGGCACAGGGGAGGGCATCCCAGCCCTTGCTGCTGAGTTGTGACTCGGGGAGGCATCAAGGGACGGAGGAAAGGCTGCCACAGTCTGTGGCTAAAAATGCCCAGAGTGTAATACTCCACGGTGCTAACCCGTGCCAGGCACTGATCAAGGACTGGAGCTGTATTAACCCAATTTGCACAATGTCCCTCTGAAGTAGGTGCTGTTGCCCCCATTTTACACATAAGAAAACTGAGGCACAGAGAACTAGTAAGCGCCAGAGCCCTGAGTGGAGCACGGGCAGCCCAGCTTCTGGTTGTGGTCTCCAGCGCCGTGCTCTGTATCTCTCCAATAGAAAAGACAGCATAGCTGCAAATATTATTAATATCTGTGTCACTTTACCATTTACAGAGTGCTTTTGCATAATCATCTCGTTTCATCCTCACAAGAGTGTAAAGCCGAACGTTTGTACAGTTGAGGAAACTGAGGCATGGGAGAGTTACATAACCCCCATGGCACCATGCAGCCAGTACATGGCAGTGACTGGGACCCAAATCTAGATGTTTGGGCTGCCTAGGGCATGTCTTTTAAAACTTTGGGTGTGGTCCTGGGCATGGCTGCTGCTGGGCAAAAATGGAGAGGGTCCCTGCACCTGAGTGTCTTTGGAAGGCTTGTGGACCTTCTATTTAAGTCTTCAAGCCTCTCCTTGATTCACACCAACTCTTTCATGAAGCACCTACTACACAGCAGGCCCCACGCAGGGCACTGGGGGAAACAAGGGGGCTCACAGGCTAGTCTGGGCATCGAATCCACAAATGCATGTGCGATGAGGCAGAGTGGAAGACGCATGCTTGCAAAGAAACAGACGCAAGTGTCTGCAGGCGGGCAGGAGGCCTTCATTTCTGAAGGTGGCTCTGTGGGAACAGGAGGCCTCCACATCTCATGGTAGCTGCTTCCTGGCCAGCTGTTCCTTCACTAGGGAGAGCCTGGGGGCAGAGGAACAAGCCCTGGACTTGGAGAAGGCACACTGGGTCCCTGTGCTGGCTCACAGAAGGTGCCTGGTCATGTCCCGGCTAGGGGTGGGTACTGGTAGCCACAGGGATGAGCATACCCTCAACCCCTCTTGAACCTCACCTTGCCCAAGTGTAGAGGGATAGGGGGGCTGTTACCTGCCCCAAGGATCTCTTATGAGATTCAATGTACTAAGTTTTATGGCAATATTTCACAAACTGTAAACTGTAGAGTGTCATGCCAGTACTAGGTTTGGTTTGGTTTGGTTTGGTTTGGTTTGGTTTGGTTTTAGAGATGGGATCTCACTCTATCACCTAGGCTGAAGTGCAGTGGCACAATCATAGTTTAGTGCAGCCTCGATCTTCTGATCTCAAGGAATCCTCCTCTCTCAGCCTCCTGAGAAGCTAGGACTACGTGCACACCACCATACCTGGCCTAATTTTTAAAATTGTTTTGTAAAGACAGGGTCTCAGTTGCCCAGGCTGGAGTGCAGTGGCACAATCATAGCTCACTGCAGCCCAGATCTGGGCTCAGGTGATCCTCCTGTCTCAGCCTCAGCAGGCTTTTAAAAGGCTTACTGTATAGCTGGAATGAAGGGAAGGTACTTGCCAGTAATTGCTCATAATGATGGAGGGAGCAGGGAGGCTAAGCAGGGGTGGTGCAAATCCAGGGAGGCTTCCTGAAGGAGGAATTTTCAAGGTGAATATTAAGAGACACTGTTAGTGTGAACTGGCAGAAGAGAGCCAGTGCTGTGAGCTACAGCAGGAGGTGAGCAAGGACCAGTAGGTGGGTTTGGCGGAAGGACCAGGAAGAAGTGAGGAGGGAGGAGTGGGAAACTGAGAAGGTGCTAGGAGCCCAGAGCATCTGGCTGCAAAGTTGATTAAGCTGTGCTTGGGGAATGGGGAAGTAAGTTCTTGAGCATGAGTCTGGAGTTCTAGGAGAGAGAGATGGGGAGGGAGGAGAGCTGCTCAGAGGCTGGGCCTGAGAGGAAAGGCCCTATCCCCAGCTCCCCCATGCTCTGGGGCCAGGTTAGGCTCTATCAACTTGTTCGTTATGCTCAGGAGGAGAGACATCCCTGAGCCCACAGAGGTGTCACCTGTCCTTGGAGCCAGCAGGCCATGATGAATAGTGTTCATTCCCTAGTGATTTGTACTCTGTGCCCGTGCCCCCAGCCCAGCCCAGCCTGCCTGGCTGCATGGCACGCGATCCATCACCCTCCACGATGGCCTCTGATAATGGGCCATTTGTCTTCTGACTCGTAGACCTACCCAGACCGACGGGCACTGGTAGAGACAGATGGTGAGGGTGGGGCGGAGGGGCGAGACAGATGGATGGGCGTCTGGCCGGGGCGGCTGGCACCGAGCCAGGGCCTTTGGGGGGCCTTTTACGTGCCTCATGCCAGGAACTGGGAGAGAGTGGGTCCCCAGGGCTGAGGCCTATCATGTGGCAGACCACAGACTTGGCGACTCATAAAATCATGGCATGAGTATGACAATGCCAGGAGGTAATAGAATCATTTACTAATGACATCACAGACAAATAGAATCTGAGTTGACAATTACCTGGGTTCATCAGTTCTCATCTCTGGTCTTAAGGTAGTGAATGATAATTAATAATAGCTAGGCCAGGCACGGTGGCTCACGCCTGTAATCCCAGCGCTTTGGGAGGCCGAGGCGGTCGGATCACTTGAGGTCAGGTGTTCGAGACCAGCCTGGCCAACATGGTGAAACCCCGTCTCCACTAAAAATAAAAATAAAAAATTAGCCGGGCTTGGTGGTGGGCGCCTATAATCCCAGCTACTCAGGAGGCTGAGGCATGAGAATCGCTTGAGCCTCAGAGGCCGAGGTTGCAGTGAGCCCAGATCACGCCACTGCACTCCAATCTGGGCGACAGAGCGAGACTCTGTCTCAAATAATAATAATAATAATAATAGCTAATGTTTATTTAGTGTCCACTGTGTGTTGGACGCCATTCCAAGTGCTTTAATCTCATTCAATCATTACAATACTGTAGTCAGGAATATTTTTATCCACATGTTACAGTAGAGGAACCTAAGGCTCAGAGAAGTTAAACGAGTTGCCCAAACACACTAAGCAGTTACTAAGCAGTGGCTGCAAGATATGAACCATGTGGGCCTGACTTCAGATTTTGCCACCAGCACTGCGTTATGCGGCCACTCAGAGCCAGGGTGCCCAGGGCCCGGTGTAGTCAGCCGTCTAGGGGTGCAGGGCCACCCCTGCAGTTTTCCGTACCCACACTAGGTTTGCACACGGCCCCATATTCTCCTCCATGCCTCCCGTATGCCTGGCACTGTACTAGCTGCTGGGAAGGCAAAAGTGAAGAGCCCACAGACCCGCAGGACAGGAGGGCCATCCACTTGTCCTGATGGATCACACACCCTACAGAGGCAGCTTTCTTCTCTGCCCAGCCAAACAGAAGGCAGCTCAGCCATGAGGTGGCCGAGCAAAGACCAGGTTTCTGCCACCCTCTCCATGCCAGGGGACCCAGGCAGAGGCCCTGCCCATTCATCCCACAGCACATTCCTCTGACTGGGCAAGAACGTGTGTTTCACAGGCTGCCCTTGGGCCACCTGGCTGCTCCCCCTCTGGACAGCCTGGGCTGAGTCCCCCTCCTGGGTTTAAGCCAAATAGGGGGAAGGGCTTCCCAGCCTCAGGGCTGCTGCCAAGTGCCCACCTCCAGAAGCCGCTGATGGGAGACCCGACGTAACTGGGACAGAGCCAGGTTCCAGCTTCCTCTGAAGTTATCTACCATGGGCGGATCTGCCAAGCACACGTGGACCCTGAGCCTGATGGGAGGCAAACTGTGTAACCTACCTGGGGGAAGAAGCCAGTGCCTGATTGTGCACAGCACTAAATAGGCCACCTTCAAAGGGCTCTTACCTGTTCACTAAAGCAGCCCTCCCAGGACCCTGACCCCGCAGGGTTTCTTCCCTGGCAGGTGGGAGCCCTCCACACCTCTCCTCTGCTCTCCCTTTGCAGGGATTTGAGGCAGTCTGACCAGAATGCGGGCCCCACGCATTTGTTCTGTGCATGTATGGGGAAGGAGGAAGATATAGGACCGGTTTTTGCATTACTTTAGTCCACTTGACTCCAGCAGCTCACCCCCAACCTAAAGGCCTGTGGTGACGTGCGCTGGTGAGTGGGTTGGTTCTACTCCCACATCCCCAACCAGGAAAGACCCTGAAGGCGTCTACCTGCCCCGTGAATGAGGGAGTGAGCCACAGAGTGATAGGAACGTTGACACCTCAGACACACCAAGCACACACCTGCTCCGGGGGTCCTTGTACTTGCAGTTGCCTCTGCTGAGAACACTTTCCCCGCAGGTTTTCTCCCTCACTTCCTTTAGGTATCTGCTTAAATGGTAGTACTTTAGAAGCCACCACACTAAAAGAGCACCTTGGTCAGCCTTTATCTCTTTGCACTGCTTAGTTTTTCTCCATAGTATTTCTCACTGGTTAACAGAAATGTGTGTGTGTGTTTGCTGCCTCTCCACTAGAATGTAAGCACCATGAGGACAGGGCATTTATTTGATTCATTATTATATCCCAAGCCCCTTGAACATTTCTTAGGTAGTCAGTAAATAACAGCTGTCTCTTGGTATCCATGGGGCACTGGTTCCAGAACTCCCCATGGATATCAAAATGCAGGGATGCCCAAGTCACTGATATAAAATGGAGTAGTATTTGCATATAACCTATGCACATCCTCCTGTATACTTTAAATCATCTCTAGATTATTTCTAATACCTACTACAATGTAAATGTTATATAAATATAAATAGCTGTTATACTGTACTGTTTAGGGAATAATTTCAAGAAAAAAGTCTGTACGTGTTCAGTACACTTTTCCCCAAAACCTATGGATATGGAGAAACAATTGTACTTGTTAAATAAAGAGCAAAGTCACTATTCCTTAATTTACCAGGAGAGGCACTGTGGGACAGGGAGCTGTCAGGAGGCGTTGGCACCTAACAGCACCTCTGCCTTTGTGCAGCTGGTTGGTAAATTGGCTTGGCTATTTGCAAGGTTGGATTACTCTGGTCCAAATTCCTCCTCATCCCAGGACTATGACGGCTGACTAGGAAAATACCTCCACCTGCCAGGAGAGCAGAAGAGGTCAGGCTTTTGTGGCACTGGAACTGGAGGGAGGGGACATTGGCCCAAGAATCAGAAGGTCCTTGAGGTCCTTATAGCCATCAAGCTGAGTGACACAGAAACTGACTTCCTGCCTTCTCCCCTTCCCAGCTAGGGGATGGACACCCTCTCTGTCCCCAGCACCTGTGAAATGATCTTTCTCTCTGCCTCCTTCTCCTGACTTCCCGCCTGCCTCTCTCTATTTCTTCCTTAGTGTCTTCTTCTCCATCTTTTTTCCTCTGTCTCCCCACCTCTCTCCTGGCCCACTTGGCCTCCCACCTCCCTCCCTCTCCGCCTGTTTTCTCCTCCTCATTGTAGTCGGGTGGCTTAAGTGAGTGGCATGAATTAAGTCGTGCAAAGCGCCTTTCACAGTGCCTGGTTTATATTATAGTAGTGTCCAACAAATGATCCCCCTCAAGTCCTATACACAATTTCCCTTCTGAGGCCTTGTCCCTACAGGGTCCCAGGGACCCCCCACTCTCCTCCTCCCTGGACTCGGTGTCCGCAGGACGCAGGATGGCGATCTGAAATCCTTGTGGGGATTTCAGACACAGAGACACTAAGGCCCAGAGAGGGCAGGACCCCGAGGCCTTATGGGAAGGCACCGAGCCCACAAGGCAGTCCCAGGCCGGGAAGTCCAGTGGACAGTGCCAACTGGCCAGGAGCGTGGCGCCTGAGGCCCTGTCCTGCTGCCTCCTCCCTGCCCTTGTCCTCTAGGTCCCCTCCCTTCTAACTCCACTCCGCGGCTGAGGCCCTTGTGCCTTTGGCCACGCCCCCCCAACCCCCCCACCCCAAGCCCCTGACCCAGCAGGAGTGCTGACCTTTCACTCGGGGATGGGGGAACTTTGTCTCCTCGCCCCTTTTCATTTGGCTTCTCCTCCCCGTTCTTGCAGCCTCTCTCTCCCTTTCTTCCCGTCTCACACAGACTTTCAATTCCTTCCAGGATTTTCTGGGCTCTTAATGTAAAGGTTGCCACTGATGCTGTGTCACCAGCGCCCCCTCTGTGCATCCTTAGGAGCTGCGGGGGCCAGGAGGGAGGGGGAGGCGCGGCGCTGCTGGGGAACTGGAGTCGCAGCTCTGCGATCGAGGGGCAGCTGCCCAGATCAGGGCCAGCTGTGCAGCTGTGGGCAGCACCCTGAGCTGGCATCAAAAGATGAGCATTGAAAATCCACTCCCGTCTCAGTATCTTTGGTTACTGATTGTCTTGGAATAAGCCATTTGGCCACTTTGGCCTCAGTTTTCTTATCTGTAAAACAAGAGAGAATTAGCACCCATGGTGGCATAGTAGGTGGCTGGGAACCATACCACAGAGGAGAGGCAAATGGCTTCTGACCTGCCCACCCCTTGAAGGTCTCCACGTCCCTGGCCAGCTGTGGACGGGGTCAGGCCTTTGGTTAGAGCCCTTAGAGCTCCCAGCAGTGGCCGGTGCAGGTCCTCTAGGCCAGAAGGCCTATCCTCAGTGGCTGGCCTCTGCCTCGGCTCTGGCCTCGTCCTCGCTGTGGCTGGTGCCCAGTCCTTTCCTGCCCTCCGTGCCTTGCGAAAGCAAGGCGCAAGAAGACTGGCCGGGGAAGGGAAGAAGGAAGGGCAGGGGCCACACTGATGGAGAGGGTGTGTTCCGTGTGTTCATTCCAGACGCTGCCACATGGAACATTACATTTGAGCCTAGCTCCCTAGATACTGTGGATGAATGAGTGAGGAGTGAATGAGCAAGCTACTGAGGAAGGTACAATGGTGCCATCAAATGAGATGGCATATGTCATGTGTGCCTGGCACACAGTCAGCCCTCAACAAACGCTGCTCCCTTCCTGCTGCCCCCTTAACTGTCCCTCACCCCCTGTGACTGACTCACAATGTGGCGTAATGGAAAGAGCACTAGATTTAGAGTCCAAAATACCTGCCTATGAGTCTTGGTTCTTTCACCCATTGACCCATGACCTTGGAAAAGTCACCTAACTTCCCTGGGCCTCAATTTCTTCATCTGTAGAAAGGAAATAATCACATTGCCAGATGTGTGAAGATCAAACGAAATAGATGAAGAGCTTTGAAACAGCAGGGCATGGCCTCTATACGATCCTCCCCTCCCCGCGGCCACATGCCCCCAGCTCTCCCCCCAAGTCCCTGTCCCCGGGCTCAACACTGTCAGCAGGATCCAGGACAGGTTAAAATCCCAGCCTGGTACGCCGTTGCCTCGGATGGCCCTGCTTCCTCACTCCACTGCTTCCACTGCCACTCCGTGATAACATTCACAGAGACTCCGCTGTGGCACAGCACCTGGGCTTGGCCCACTCCAGCCGCCTGGCCCGCAGTCACCTCGTGTCCATTAAGCCCCAATCCAGATTTCTTTCTCTTTCAATTAAGCCACTTGGCCTGAAGGCCTCTGCCCCTTGAGTCCTGATTTGCACAAATGCCCTATGAATAGCTTTGATTAGAAAGAAAAACCAGCATTTGGTACAAGTGCTGCTCGGCACTGCCCTGAGTCCAGCAGAGAAAGGGAGCCAATTTAACCCAGTGCTGTTTCCTGAGAGACTGGGGACAAGCTAATTTGGGGAGGAGATGGCAGGCAGCCCCAGCCAGGGCTTGGCAGCTGCTAAGGCCTCGGCCCAGGCCTGAAGAGGCTGCCCCCACCCGCGCTGGTTCATGGTTCCTGGCCCTCCGTGGCTTGTCTGTCCACTCTTGTGCCAATTCTAGGTTATTAACCTGGGGACACTGGGGCTCAAAAGGACTGGTGTGCCAGCCTCACTCAGAGGGAGGCACTAAAAGGCAGAGAAAGAAGGGGCAGCCTCAGGGGGGTGCCAGGACTGTGCCAGCCCCCACCCTTTGGAGGCCATATCCACCCTCCCCTCCTGAAGTGTCACTGGGCCTCAACTCTGCCCCAACATCCTCTCTCTCGCGCATGCTCTCTCTCTCTCCTCCAAAAAGCAAATATTTGGAAGGGGACTTTGACATCTTCTTTCTAGTTCAGATGTTTATATCTCTTTGAGTCACAGACCCCTTTGAGAATCTAATGAAAGCCGTGGGCCCATTTCCCCATTAAAATGCATGTATACACCAATATTTTCATTACATTCAGGGTCTCTGCGAACTGTTGAAGTTTCCAGTGGGCTGAGATTAAGAATTTCTGATCTGGTTCAACCACTTGATTTTATTATAGATGAAGACAAGACACTAAGGCCCAGAGAGGGCAAGTGACTTGCCTATGATCTCACAGCAAATTAGTGGCACAGCCCATTCTGAAGCAGTGGGCCCAGACTCCCTTTCCACTCCCCCAGATGGTGTCTCCCTCCCTTTCCTCTCCATAGCTCACTTCTCCATCAGTCCTGTCCTAGGGCCCTGCACAGAACAAAGTACACACGACGTATGGTCAGTAAGTGTGGTTAACAGGCCAGCCGGAAGAAGGAACAGGCCAGCCGGAAGGAGGGCCAACTTCATTTAGCTGGTTCTTCCCTGCAGGGCCAGGGTAGATGTGGTTTGATTGCAGAGACGTGAGGGGCTAGATCAATGATTGGATGGGTCTGTTCCAGGGTGTTCCTGTGATGTCTCAGAGCTCCAGGCTGTCACCATGCGAGGGACCAAGAGAAGTGTCCTTAGGCTACAGAGCAGGGGACCAGAAGCATGCCCAGGCTTCCTCTAAATGCCAGGACCTTAGCTTTTAACACCACCTCCAGCCATCTCTCTTCCTCCTCTGCTCTGGAACCCATGCTGGCTCCCTAGTACCATAGCATCAGATTCAGATTTCTTCCCCTTGTGTCTTCTTTGCATAGGATGAGCTCATTTCTGCACTGGTCATTGTTGTCATCCTGTCCCTAGTTGGTGTGAGTGGGAACGAGTGGGGAGGTGGGCAGGACTCTGGAATGTCCTCTGCTGGGCCTTGGCCGGATATCTTGCTGTGCCTTACCAGCCGTCTCTGCCCCCAGGACTGCAGTGCAACGCATCCGTGGACCTCATTGGCACCTGCTGGCCCCGCAGCCCTGCGGGGCAGCTAGTGGTTCGGCCCTGCCCTGCCTTTTTCTATGGTGTCCGCTACAATACCACAAGTAAGGAAGAAGTGGAGGGTGGACCATCTGCTGGGAGGTGGGACAGGATGGGGAGAGCTTGGAGGTGGGGGAAGGAAGAATGACGATGACAATAACAGTAATACCTCTTGTGGGGATCGCCCCTGTTTTCCAAAGGTCAGCGCTGTATTCTCCCGGGTGCCCTGTGCTCATTACTCGTGATTCTCACAATACCCTTGCAAGACACTATCATGCCTCCTATAACTAAGGCCCCTGGGGCTCAGGGAGGTTAGGGAACTTGCCCCATTGGCAGCTGGTAAGGGGTGAAGCTGGAATTTGCATCCACGTCTGTCTGGCACTTTCTTCTGCCATTAAACTTCAGGTTAGTCTGTTTGAGCCTACTGTAATACCATGAAGCAGGGCAGGAATCATCAGAGCCCCAGCTGTGTGGATAAGAACCTTGAGTCGAGAGGTTCTGAGGCCTACCCCGGGCCCTCCAGCCAGGAGGCAGGGGACCCAGAGTTTCAGATGCACAGGCACAGGCTCAACTTGCATCCTGGATTTGTAGGTGGAGTGGGGACAGGACGGGGTTGACCCAGGGTCCATCGGATACTTGATCCTCATGTAAACACCTGGCTCCCTGGAGGCCCGAAACCCCCAGAGCCGGGCTTTGCAGCTCCCTGCTATTCCGCCTGCCACTCTCGGAATTAATTTGCTCTCCCCTGTCAATGAGTCAGGTCCCTGCTTATCAAGAGAGCAACAGCTGTGGGCCAGGAGCCCTAACCTACCTGAGGGGAGGCTGGGGGCCTGATCCCTGCAATTGGGGCCTCCTGTGTGCACCCTTGGGTCCTTGTGGTCTTGAACTCAGAGTCCCAAGAGGGCACAGGGGTGAGCCCAGACACCATGTAGTTTACTCCAAGACTCACTGTGTGACCTCCCAGCACATTGTTGCCCCTCATCTGGCCCTCAGCCCCTCATCTGAGGATGGAGAGGGCTGGATGGCTTGGCTTCTAAGATGTCTTCCAGCTCAAAACTCCCAGATTCCTTCTCCTGCCCCTCTTTCCTCTACCAGATGGATTTGGGGGGTTAAGGTTGGGGGCTAGAGCAGAGGAGTAGGAAGACCCAGCCAGAAAGTGACTCCCCAGGGAGTGACTTGGGAGGCCAGGGCAGGGCAGGAGGCTGGGGCAGCCAGATCTAGCAGCCTCGTGTGTCTGTACCATGTCCTGGCCATGGGAGGGACTCGGGAGAGGGAGAAGACACACTGGGGAGGGGCTTGGGGGCCAAGGGGAGGAAGTGCAGAAAGGAAGAAGGGCCTCTTGGCCAGGTCAGTCCAAGGGGTGCACAGTTGGCCAGCCCCCAATATAGTCAGGCCCATTTTGTAATAAGGAAATTGAGGCACAGAGAGGCTAATAACCTATCGGAGGTCGCAGAGCCTGGAGGCAGGGTCACAGCCCAGGGACGATAACTCTCACGATGCTGGGGGCTGAGTCCTTCTGGAGCCCCTAGGAAGGAGGCAGCATCTGCACATCAGAGGAGCTTCCAGGAGGAGGCACCAGTTCCTGTCATGTCCACTTCCAGAGTGATCCTCGTGTCTGGCCCTACCTGCCCCCACTCCCCAGCGCCACTGCCCAGCCTCAGGTTTCAGATCTGAGTTGGTCACTCCTTCACTTGGAATCCACTCTTGTGTGGCCTCCGTGGTCAGGCTGCTGGGTGGGGCCGGCCAGGCTGTCTGTGGTCATGGCCCTGTCGCCTTTTGCAGCCAGCCCTGGCCACCCCCCATGAGTTCCCTCTACTCCCGTTGCAAAGGGTTACTTGACATGCTCCAGATAAACATTTTCAGCCCTCAATGCCTGGGCACACACTTCACTTGCTGGCCCTGCCTGAAGTGGCAGCCAGGAGTCCTAAGTTCTCATTCCAGCTGCATCTGCAGCTGGTTAAGTAGCCCTTGGCACAGACCTTCTGTGGGCCTCAGTTTCTACACCTGCAGAATGGGTGGGAGGATTGAGTGTGGTGCTCTCTAGGCTCCCCCGCGCTTCCCTCTGTGATCCCAGGAAAGGAGCTGGGGTGATGGCCTCTCGACATGGGGTCAGTCTGTGAGGGCAGGGCTGGAAGACCCCTTTCCAGGTGTCTCCAGCGCCAGATGAGGTGGAGCACGCCCGTGCAGTCAGTCACAAGTGGGTACCCAGAGCTGCACCTCATCATTAAGCACTAATTAATCCATTTACTGATGAGTTGCTGCCAGGACTTCTAGGCCTTCTCCCTAATGCCCTCCCTCCTGCTGCATCTGATCTTCAAAGGGATGGGAAGCATTTCCAAAAATATCCATTTTCCCGTGATTCTTTGGGAGGACTGCTCAGCTCAGCAATTAAAGACAAGGAGGTCGCATCCTCCCTGGCAACGGCTCCCTGCTTGTTGGGCCTGCTTTCTTTCGGATCACCTCCTTTCTCCCCATCAAAGCCTGCTCCCTCTGGGTGACCCAGCCTCTGATGGGACTCCTGACTCTCCCCCACATGTCAAGGGGGGCAAGGGTGTTGAGCAAAGGGGCTCCTCCCACAATATCCACCGGTACCCTTTGATGGGGACAAGGGACACGCTCTGAGTCTCACGTAAGGTTATATAAATAGAGCTCCAAGACAATAATAATAAAAATAACAGCCAACATCACATCCCAGGTACAGTTCCAAGCACCTTGTGCATGTTAACTAAAAATACTCAACTCTTGATGTAGGAGCCGCTATTCAGATGCTCTCACTTACAGAGGAGGAAGCTGACAGGTTTCGGGATTCGCCCAAGGTCACACAGCTAGTGGAAGGTAGTGCCAGGATTTGACGCTAGGCTGTCTGGGTCCAGGGGCCACGCTCTTAGCACTACTCCATGCTGCCTCTTAACTCAAGAACCACCCCACCCCATCCCACCACCCCCGGGCCCCTTCCAGCCGGATCTCTGTCCCAAAGCCCCATCCCTGGAGGTATTTCAGAGCAGCCTCTGGTCCCGGGACTTCCCAGCCATGGCAGAGACACTGGGTTCTCCTGGTTCCTCGTCTCACCCTCCCCTCAGACCTCCATGAAAACCCACTGGGTGAGCCTCAGCCCTCCGGTAACTCATCCCTCATTTGGCAATTAGAATCAGCAGCCTCTTCACCAACTCTGCCCAAGGGCCTGAGGCTCCCTGAGACTGCGGTCCACTGACATGGAAGAGCTTTAAAAATCCATTTAGCCGGGTCTCCCACTGGCCAGCTGTAGCTGAGCAGCTCCTCAGCAGGGGGACCAGGGAGGGGAATGGAGGGGAGTAGAGCGAGAGAGGAGAGGCCACATCTACTTTTCAGCCCTGGAGGCCGGGACGGGCTCCCTATCATCACCTTCTTGTCCTGATGCTGCCAGCAGAGGCAGCTCCCAGGCTGGATGGTCCCTTGGGGATCAGCCAGTCCAGCCCCTCCTTTTATAAATGAGAAGGGGTCCCCAGAGGTCAGTCATGCAGCACGGCAGCAGCTCAGCTGGTCCCAGGGCCCCAGCCTCTAGATCCTCACAGGGTTCTGCCCCTTGGGGCTCCAGACTCAAGGACTGGGACTCCGGCAGCTTTCCCAGCCCTGTTCCAGCCCCAAGGGCCACTGGGAGCCACAGGAAGGCCTACAGTGAGGGAGGCTCCAGGTGAGATACTCAGGGCTTCATTTCTCTGCCAGGCAGTTCTGCCTGAAGTCAGAGCCAGAATTAACTCAAGGAAGCATGTTTAGAGCTACTGATGCCAGAGCCGGGTACAGGGTGGGGTGGGGCAACCTCTGCCAGCAGAGAAGATGAGATGGAATTTAGAACTCACGCTGTCCCTTCCCAGCTAGGTTTTAGGACCCTGGAGCTCAAGCCTGGTAGGCATGAAGGAGGGTAAGGGGAACACGTTGGGCAGCTCTGCCCATCCCAGGGCCCTAAAGCCAGGCATCAATTCAGCTCACAGGGCCCCTCCCCATCTCCTTAGAAGGTGACAGGTTCTGGGCCACAGTCCAGGCCGGTGGCTGCACAAACCTCCATATGTCCCTGGGCCACTCTCCTGCCTTCCTCCTTGAGTGACATGGGCCAGGCTAGGAGCAGCTGTGACAGACCTGAGTGATGACATCTCCCCACACACGCCTGTCACCTGTCATTTTCTGTCCAAGAGACCTCCATCATGGATGTTCCCCCCACCCACAGACCACGACCTTCCAACACAGGCCCGCTATGGGGAAGTGCCACCATGGGACCTTCCCCAAGATCTGCCCCATGAACTCTGAGCCCCCATGTGCAGCACAGCCAGTGAGGACCTCCCACGGCAGCCTCTGTGAGATGGCTCTACCACAAGAAGCCCTGTCATGCCACCTGCCACGCGAGCTGTCACCGCATACCCTTCCACCGTGTCATGCCCAGCCTCGTGAAAATTGACTCATGAGGTCTCACCATTTTTTTGCTGTCTTGCAAGACCCCTGAAAAGATTTCTCAGAAGAGCACCTACCTGTCATCTGCCACCACATAATGACTTGCAAAGGAACAGCCCAGGGAGCTGGTCAAGCCTGTCCACGGGCTAGTCCTGTGGGCATGATCATGCCAGCTTGAGTGGGCAGAGCCGGGGGAGCCACCAACCCCTGCTGGAGGCCAATGGGCAGAAAGAGGCAGGAAGATGGGGGTGGTAAGGAAGCCCCTCTCCCCAGCTTCACTACACAACCCCCAGCCAGCAGGTGCCTGTACTGGCCATCTACAGATCCATCTACGCATCCATCTGGGCCAGGATGGTCAGGCAGGGGCCGGGGCTGCCCCGCCATCACTGCCTCTCTCTTCCTTTTCCAGACAATGGCTACCGGGAGTGCCTGGCCAATGGCAGCTGGGCCGCCCGCGTGAATTACTCCGAGTGCCAGGAGATCCTCAATGAGGAGGTGAGGCTGAGCCGAACAAGGCTGCCCATATGGAGGGGAGTCCAGGGTCCCCAGCAGAGTTTTGTGCCTGCTACTTGGAGCCAGGGAGCCAGAGGCTAATGTCAAGGCCCTGCTCTAGTGAAGCTGACTGGGGAGCTGGAGCTGTCAACTTGGAAATGGCCCATGAGCAGGCGCCCTCGAGGGCAGGCTGGACCAATGGGGCACTGGGCAGGCTCTGATGGTGATGAGATGGGTCCTTGTTCCTTCCTTCCTTCTCCCTGTGCTCATCGGGCAGCCGCTTGCACTGGGCATGGGACTGTCCTGGGGGTGCAAAGGGAGACCAGACTCGGTCACAGGAGTCCCACCCTTTTCCACCACACATGCCTGAGAGATACATCCAGTTCCAGCCACAGGGCTGTATGGGAACCAGGGACGGGATGGAGGTAGCAATGCAGTTTGAAAAAGCCCTTGGAAAGCCTTTTAAAATGTTAAATGTTTTTGAGCAGATATTGCTTACACAGAACTCAGAAGGTACAAATGGGAATACAATGTCCCCTCCCACCCCGTCCCCAGCCACTGGATTCCCTCCCAGAGGCAACCATTTTGCCAATTTCATAAGTGTCCTTCCAGACACATTCTCCGCATACACGAGTAATTTTGTATACGTATTCTTTTTTGTTTTTACCTGAATGTTGCATGTTATACACACTGTCTACACCTTGCTTTTTTCATATAATCATCTATCTTAGAGATGGTTCCATATCAGTACATAAAGAGCATCTTCATTCTTTTTGCATTTGCATAATATCACAAAATGTACCATAATTTATTTAAACCAGTCTTTATTCTCAGTCTTTAGTTATTACAAACGGTGCTGCAATGAATAATCTTTGAAGGGTGATATTTGGCAGAGGCACAAATATATCTATCCTGGAGCTGCTGCTGCCCTCAGTCTCTCCCACCCTGTCTCCTTTCCCACCCGACGCTTTCTCCCTTGGTGTTGAGGAAGACGGGGGTCAAAGGGCAGAAGGGGGGACACCCCAGGCTGTCCGAGGGCCAGGGATTCTGATTGTGGAAGAGAGAGACTGACCTAAGCAGTCCCAAGAATCCCGTCGCCTAAAGATCAGAGCTGGAAGGGACCGTGGAGACTCTCCTTCCCATCTTGAGGTTCCCAGACTTGCCTGGTTATAAGAATCGTCCAGAGGCAGATCTCCTGAGGTCAGGAGTTCAAGACCAGCCTGTCCAACATGGTGAAACCCCATCTCTACTAAAAATACAAAATTAGCCGGGTGTGGTGGGATTACACCTGTAATCCCAGCTACACGGGAGGCTGAGGCAGGAGAATCGCTTGAAACCAGGAGGCGGAGGTTGCAGTGAGCCGAGATTGTGCCATTGCACTCCAGCCTGGGCAAAAAGAGCGAAATTCCATTAAAAAAAAAAAAGTGGGGCCAAGTGCGGTGGCTCACGCCTGTAATCCCAGCACTTTGGGAGGACGAGGCAGGCAGATCACGAGGTCAGGAGATCGAGACCATCCTGGCCAACATGGTGAAACCTCATCTCTGCTAAAAATACAAAAATTAGCCGAGCATGGTGGCGCATCCCTGTAATCGCAGCTACTCAGGAGGCTGAGGCAGGAGAATCACTTGAACCGGGGAGGCGGAGGTTGCAGTGAGCCCAGATCGCGCCACAGCACTCCAGCCTGGCGACAGAGCAAGACTCTGTCTCAAAAAAAAAAAAAAAAATGGAATCTCCCAGAGCACTTGTCCAAATACAGGTCCCAGGGCCACACCCAACACCTAAGAAATCACACTGTCCAAGGAGGACCTGGGAATCTGTGTCTTTCATGAGTGCCCCAGGGGAGCCTTCTGATGGGGCAAAAGTGAGAAACTCTAATCTAGTGCGACCCGTTCACATTACAGATGGGGAGACTGGGGCCCAGAAAAGGGGAATGATTCACACAAGGTCACGTGGCTCTGAGACATTCCTTTTTTTTTTTTTTTTTTTTTTTTGAGACAGAGTCTTCCTCTGTCGCCGGGCTGGAGTGCTGTGGCGCGATGTCGGCTCATTGCAACCTCCACCTCCCTGGTTCAAGTGATTCTCCTGCCTCAGCCTCCTGAGTAGCTGCGATTACAGGAATGCACCACCATGCTGGGCTAATTTTTGTATTTTTGGCAGTTAAGTCAGAGCCCGGAACCCAGGGCTTTGGAGCCCAGGCTCTGGAGCACAGGCTCTGCAGCCCAGGCTCTGCTTTGCCCACTGCCAGGTATCTGGCGTGAAACAAAGTTAACGGAGAAAGAATCACTTTCCTTCACCTGTAGCTCCCACCCCGGCCTGGCAAGCTTTGGTTAGCCCCACCCCTGGCTTCCTGGCCTCAAGTCACTGAGCTAATGCGGGGCTCTGCTGTCTCCTTCCGGAAGCTGCAGCTAGGTCAATGCCTAGCTTAAAAGACTCACGGGTTCTTCCACGGTGCTGCTCTGGCAGGGCGAGGGGCTGCCTGGCATCTCAGATCCCACAGGCCAGACCTTTGGGTGGCACTCAAGGCTGGGGTGGGTTGGTCAGGCTCCCTGATGATCTGATCTGAGCAGGGAAAGCCCTCAGCTTGCTAAGCCCCCACACAGAGAGCCCACCTGGGAAGTCCTGGGATTGGGAGGAGGGCTCCTCCTGGACTGGGGGAAGGAGGTGGGGTTCCAGGTTAGGAGACTTAGTTGGGCCAGAGGAGATGGCCTTGGCCTTGGCTGGTGGGGCGGGAGTGGGCAAGACCGTTCAGGGATGTGGGGAGCCCGTAGCCTGGCACACAGTAGAGGAGGTGGGAGGAAAGGAAACAGGGCTGGTGCTCAGAGGAGCGGGTCAGTGCTGTCAGTGACTCAGGACCACACGCCATTGCAGAGAGGGATGGTGTCCAGGAGGCACAGCTAAGCCATGAGGTCAGGCTGCAGGCCGCACTGTCTGTCCCAGCTTCACGCCCTGCACTCAACCCTCCTGAGGGTCAGCGCGGGGTCTTCGTGGTTCACCTGTCTCTCCTGCTCTATTGCAAGCCCCTTCTTTTCAGTTGGCTGATGGGGACACTCGGCAGCCCCCATTTTCCCCAGCACCCTTCAAAGGCCTAAGGGCAGTAGGTTAGCCACCCTCAGCCTGCCCTGCAACACCCAACCCTGCCAGGACAGGGGTCTCTACCTCTGTCCACCAGCAGGGTTAGGACAAGGAAGAGGATCGGGAGCCCGGTCTCATCAGCCCCCTCTTTGCATTGCAGTGGGAATAGCACGGACCTTAGGGTTTGGGTTTCAACGGGAACCTGCTGCATGACCTTGAGGAGGCAACTTAACCTCACCAAGTTCCCAAAAATGGTGGCCAGGAATTCAGATCTCTGCCTTCTGGGGATGGAAGGGTGGTGTTGGCCTGTCTTGGCCTATGGGAGACGTTCCATTCACCTGCTGCCCCCTGTCTCTCATCTCCCCTGTGAGGTCAGGGGAGGTTGTAGTGTACACCTGGGGGAGTGACCCGCCCCACCCCCCAGCCCATCCGTGCCTGGCTCTGCCATCTCTTTCCTCTGCAGCCCCTGCTGGCCTGGTGCCTAGCACTCTGGGTAATCGATTAGTTTAATTAGTGAAAATGCCATTCCCTTCTGCCAGCCCCCAGCCTCGCCAGACCCCTCCCAGAACTGCAGAGGAAAGTATCCAATTAATTGAGTGGTAGGTTTCTCAGCTCTGGGCCTGGGCTAAGCTCTAATTAAGCTCCAGCACCCTGGGGTATCGCAGATGATGGATTCGCAGAAGTCTGCCTGTGAAATGGGACTTGCGAGGGCACCTCAAGGCCAGGCACCCCAGGAGATCTGCCCGCAGCCAGCACCACCAGGGGACAGGCCCCCAACTGTTGCATGCATGGCTGGCCGGGGGATGGCACTGAGCCCCCAGCACCACCCCTACACCTGCTGCCTGTATCAGCACCCTCTCCTCCACCCACCACCTCCCGCTACTACTGTTCACTCCCTTCCCCACCGTCCAGCCTTCCCCCACCCGCCCAACACTTGCACACACTCTATCCCCTTTCCCCACGTTCTGTTGCGCACAGGAGCCTGGGACTCAGGCACAGCCTGGGAGAGCACACCGTGGTGGGACATGAAACGGATTCTGGGGGTCTGGTTTGTGGACCAAGGTTCACTGTTCACCGTGTGGGGAGAGGTGAGTGGTGGTTGGACCAGGGCTTCTGAACTGCAAAGGTGCTTTTTCCTAAAACCAAGCTCCGATTCCATGGGCCTGGCGTAGGGCATACATTCCACTTTCCTCAAGATCTCTGCGTGCTCCTCTGTGTGCTGTTGCTGGGCCGGGGGCCACCCTTTGAGGATCGAGGGGCTGGAGTGAGTGCCCACTGCAGGGTAAGAGGAGTAGCTCTGGAAGCCTCGGTGGAGAGGACGTGCCAGAATGGAGTGGGCACCAGTGGGGAGCTTGGAAGGGAGGTCTCATTGCCACCAACCCAGAGAGGCATCAGGACGGATCTGGCACTGCAGCGCCTGGGACAAGGTGGTGTCCTGCAGAGAGTCCAGTCAGAGTCAGCCAGGCACAAATTGCTTATTCAATTCAGATCACTGAGGGTACAGCGGAGTGGCCTCTGCCAAGTACCACGCTGTGCCACCCTCCTTAGGGCGGGGTGCCTGCTGGTCTTAGGTCTCCAGACTGGATGGAGATGGAGTGCTGGTCAGGGCCCCAGGGGTAGCTGTGCCCATTTGTCCTTCGGACATCCCAGCTGCTTTGCTGTTATCGTGGCCGTTGGTCGGGGTGTCACTGGCTGTCCCTGGGGGTGCTGCTGACTCTCCTCTCCAGGTATCACTGGCCACCTCTCAGGGTGTTCCTGGGTGCCTCTTAAGGCCTTGCTGTCTCTCTAAATAATGCTGGCCAGAACTCTGGTTGTTATTGGAAATGTCACAGTGTCACTGGCTTCTGTCTGGGTGTCGCAGGATGTATTTGTCTCAGGGTATCAGCAGCCATCCCTCAGGCTGTCTCTCCAGCTGTCTTCTCAGGTTGCATGATGCTGATGTGGCCGATGAGAGACAGGGCTTGAACCTGGCCCAGGCCCGACTGCTCAGGGAGGCACACTGAGACTTTGTCCCCCGGGAATGGTTTGGCCTGATTCTCCCTCAGGCTCTTGGAGGAAAGCCCTCTTGGGCGCTATTGTCCCAGCAGGAGGTCCCCCGAGGCTCCTGGGCCCAAAGTGGCGTGAGACCACCCCAGAGAGTGCCTCTGCTTTCAATTCCTGCTTGTCCCCCAAGAAATGTCGCAGGGGGCCGGACACGGTGGCTCACGCCTGTAATCCCAGCACTTTGGGAGGCCGACACAGGTGGATTGCCTGAGCTCAGGAGTTCGAGACCAGCCTGGGCAACATGGCAAAACCCCATCTCTACCAAAAAATACAAAATATTAGCTGGGCATGGTGGTGCATGCCTGTGATCCCAGCTACTCGGGAGGCTGAGGCAGGAGAATCACTTGAACCCAGGAAGCAGAGGCTGCAGTGAGCTGAGATCCTGCCACTGCACCACTCCAGACTGGGCGACAGAGTGAGACTCCATCCCTCCCCCACCCAAAAAAAGAAATGTCCCTGGGAAACAGGGAAAAGAGGGAGTTTAAAGCCAGGCAGACCCAGGTTCCAGATACCGGCTGCGTGGCGTGGCCAATTATTCAGTCTCTTCTACGGAAAGAACTGGGATGAGAGGAGCAGTCTCCAAGGGCAGCTGTGGGAAAGAAAAGCAGTAGCGTCTGCAGAGCTCCTGGCACAGTGCTCAGCATACAGCAGGTGCTTAACAGATAACTCCTCCCCACTCCAACCCCAAGGGCCTGGTACGGCCTGACTCGGGAGTGAGGCAGGGGCCCTGGAAGGCAGCACTGAAGGGTCTCCCTGTACACTGCGCTCCTCCCGCCCAGCCTGGGCCTGTGAACAAGGCCGGGGTGTTGTGCCATGCTCGGCTCCACACATGTTGTCATTACCCAGGGGCTTCTCAGCATGGATTTGTGGAAAATTTAATAAAAGGATATTAAATACCAGCTCCAGACAGCCTGTGATGTGTGCATATCTTCCAGAGCCTCCGGATTGGGGCATCTGCCGCCAGGCGCTCAGAGACCCTCCCCACTTGCACGGGTGATAGGTACCCTCTCCTCACTCCCCTCTCTGTCTCTCTCTCTCCTGCCTTCATTTACACCTCCCTGGATCCCAGTCCTTTGGAGGCTGGAGTTGCTAATGTAATTACCTGCCATGTTCCAGAAAGCCTCTGCCTGGAAACCAGCTCCAAGAACAGAGCTTCTGTAGCAGCCTCTGGAGAGGTTCCCCAATGAGGGTGCTCCTTCAGAAGGGCCTTGGTGGCCAGGCGGAACTGGGCATAGGGTCTTGGCTTCTCCTGGGATGCCTGGTGGATAGGGCTGGACTTGATCTCTGGTTTCAAGTGGGTTCTGTAATTCCAACAGGAAGGCCTATGGAGTAGCTCCTTGGTGGCCAGTAGCTCCTTGGTGGCTCTGAGAAGATGATGAGGGCCGTTGTGAGCTCACTGCTTCTCAGCACTTGCATGTCACCCACCTTTGTGCCTCATGATCATTCAGCCCCACCCTAGAGCCTAGAAACGGGGAGGAAGGGAGGTGCTGCCAGGGACCCCTCCCTTCTCAAAGTCACCTGCTTTTCAACACCCGTCTTTCCTTCCTTCACTCACACACTGCTTGGGAGTTTGACTGCGTGTCAAGCTCTTGGTTTCTAGGCCCTGCTTCTTGGGACCTATAAAAGTGTGGATGGGGGCTGTGCTCTTGGGCAGGAGTCTGCAGAGAGCTGGGCATGGGGACTGACCAGTCCCCTATTATGGGCTGGGGACCTGTTTGCAGCCTTCGTATCTTGCCAATCTACATGTGCAGGCAAGAGGTGGTTTTGGAGTTGCGCGACCTCCAGCGCGTCAGCATAACCTCTGTGCTGTTTTCCTACAAAATAAAGCCCAGATGCCTTTCCGGCTCCCCCCACGGGGTTGCCCTGATGGTTTAAGACGATAACAGATATGAAAATCCTCTGTAAACAGGAAGGCTTCACCACTCTTGGAACTCAAGATTGCTGTAAAGAGGAGGGCAGTGACCTCCATCAGTATATTAAATTCATTAAGAAATAAACCCGGGGAATGTGTTACAGTCCTGGGAGAGGATCCTGCTCACTCTGCACAGATCCCCTTGGGCCAGGGATGGGGAAGGCCCCGGAAAGTGAGTTATGGAGCCTAAGGAGACTTTTCTGTGGTTTCTGCTGATTCTGTGGATGCCAGAGCCCAGCAGCTGCCCGGCCCCTCCTTGCTCACAGGAGCAGGCGGCATTGCAGCAGGAGGGATTTAGGGGTGGCTGAGAAGGTGGTGACTCAGTTCAGAAATGGGTGGAGAAGAGAAATCCCGGGAGTTTGGTGTCTCTGCAGCTGAGAGGTCCACCTGGTGTTCTGACTGGGTGGCAGCATGGGTAGATGCGAGTGTGAGGGCGCACCTGTGAGCCGGCCACATGTGCTTGTGCATGCAGGGGCGGGGGGTCCATGTGGAGTGGGGAATCCCACGTGATGTGGAGATTCAGTTCGACACAACACGGAGCAGTGAACACAGCATGGGATTCAGGGACAAGCAGAGCCTCAAACTGGACGGCGTTGCTCTGCAGCGAGGCCTGACCCTCAGCAGATGCTCAGGAAGGGGGAGTGGCCCTTGAGATCATGACCCGCTCCATCCCAGCCACCCCTAGGCGATGTCCTCACAGAGCAGCTCCCATCCAGCAGAAGGCTCACCTCTGCCCCTCTCTCCTGCTCCAGAAAAAAAGCAAGGTGCACTACCATGTCGCAGTCATCATCAACTACCTGGGCCACTGTATCTCCCTGGTGGCCCTCCTGGTGGCCTTTGTCCTCTTTCTGCGGCTCAGGTGAGAAGACCCCAGCACTGCCTCCTCCTGTCCCCAGGCCCTAGAGCAGAAGCAGGGTGGAGAAGTGAGAGGAGCAGCTCTAGGTTGGGGTGGGGGTTGCTGGGAGAGGGTGGCAGGGGCTGGCTTATCTGAGAGTCTCAAGTCTCTGGGAACCTCTGGCAGAGCCGCTCTGCCCTCTCCCCAGTAGCTGCTGGAATGGTGGGGAGGGACAAAACTTGTCTTATGTCACCCATACCCAGGCCAGGCTGCACCCATTGGGGTGACCAGGCAGATGGAGCCCTGGAGGTGGGGGCTCCATGGAGTGGTGCCCCATTTCAGGTTCGAAGGTACCTGGGCCCCAGCACTACCGCCAAGGATGCAGGTGGCAGAGCCGGGGATGGGGATGGTTGGGATCAGGAGCCGAGCATCAGGGCTGGAGGCTGGGAGCAGGGCTGACCCCTGTGACTGTCCATCCTAGAATGGCAGGGAGTAGAAGGCACCCCCAGGGGAAGCGGGCATCGCCAGGAATCCAGCTGCCCTGGTCCATGGAGCACAGGCTCCATGGAGTGCCAGGCTCTGCCTGGGGCTTATGTCTGGGTGGGCTGCAGGCAGGAAGGGCTCCATGGGGCATTAGGAGAGCCTGGCTGTCACCTCCCTGTGTGACTTGGCCAGTCAGCCCCACCCTGTGCCTCAGTTTCCTCATCTACACATCTGGGCTGGGGTGATGGAGGTGGCCTACCCCTCATCCTCTCTCTCCTATCGCTCCCATCATCCACCCGCCCTGCTGCACCAGGAGCATCCGGTGCCTGCGAAACATCATCCACTGGAACCTCATCTCCGCCTTCATCCTGCGCAACGCCACCTGGTTCGTGGTCCAGCTAACCATGAGCCCCGAGGTCCACCAGAGCAACGTGGTACGTCCTGGCAGGGGAGCGGGGAGCAGGTCAGGCCAAACCCAGGTCAGAGGAGGGGCCCAGGTGGGCCTGCCCTGCAGAGGAGGAGCCCACAGAACAGGAGTGGGATCCCAGGGTATGCCCTGTCCTGCCCTGGGGAGGCCCAGGCCCAGGGTTTGGTGCCTCCCCTGTCCCCCATCATCATCTCTGGTTGGGGGTGGGGTGGCAGGGCTGGTGCAGGTTGGTGACAGCCGCCTACAACTACTTCCATGTGACCAACTTCTTCTGGATGTTCGGCGAGGGCTGCTACCTGCACACAGCCATCGTGCTCACCTACTCCACCGACCGGCTGCGCAAATGGATGTTCATCTGCATTGGCTGGGGTGAGCTGGGCAGCCACCTCCGCAGCCTGAGCAGTGGCGGCCGCCGGGCTGCCCTCTCCTCCAGACTCAGGCCAGCGGGCTGGGGGGCCTGAGGGATGGAGGTCGGGTTGGGGCGGTAAGGTGTGCACGATAGCCCTCTGCTCCTCTTGGGGGTGGGCGGCAGTAGAAGCACCTTGAAGGAGGTGTGTGAGTTTGAGATCCACCCTGAGTAACCTTAGACCCCCTGGAGCCTGGGCTGCACTGGGGTTCTCCAGGCCCACATCCTCCAGCCCCCGCTGAGGGCTCTGTGACAGCCCATCTCTCCCCCAGGTGTGCCCTTCCCCATCATTGTGGCCTGGGCCATTGGGAAGCTGTACTACGACAATGAGAAGTAAGTCATCTCCTTTCCCTTCCTGACCCCAAGGTTTAGGCTCCCAGCCCAGCTTGGTGACACTCCCCACGGGCATTGGCCATGCTGGCTTTTTCCCCTCAGGACCATGGTTTCTGCATCTATAAAGGGAGAGATCTGGGGGCTGGACTCATTCAGAGGGTCCCTGCCTGGCTCTGCCTGGGTGGGGCTGGACAAGCAGGACCCAGCCTCCTTTATCTGCCTTGAGCTTACACAGGAAGCAGCCTGGAGCCAGACTGCCCAGGTTCAGAATCGTGGCTCCATCTTTAAATAGCTGTGTGACCTTGGACAGATTACTGCAGTGTGCCTCAGTTTCCTCATCTGTAAAATGGACATGCTACTGCCTCAAAGGGCTGTTGTGGGGTGATATGAGTCCATCTATATTAAGCATTTACAATAGCTCCTGGCACATAGAGTAAATGCTATATAAATGTGTTCTATTAATATTAAGACATCTTAATAAAAGACTCCATGAATTTAATAGAAGTGGACCTAGATGATCTCAGAGGCTTCTTCCAGCGCTGAAGTTCTTTGGTTCCTTATGAAATGGACTCAGATGTTTCCAATCGTGCCTGGAAACTTGATTTCTGCTGCAGTGGAGCTCAACTTTGGCTCACATTAGAATCACCTGGAATGCTTGGAAAAGTACCAATGCCCAGGCTTCACCCTCAGAGAATCAGGCGTAATTGGTCTGGGGTGTGGTCTGGCACCCAGAATTCTTGAAAACTGCCCAGGTGATTCTAATGTGCAGCTCAGATTGAGAACCACTGAGAGAGAGCGGGGCAGAAAAGGTGGACATGGATGGCAGGGGAGCCCCAGGACCTTCTTTGCCAAACAAGTGTTCCCGGGAACCTATCTGACTGACGGACCTGGCGTCCAAGTGGCCTCCACCACAGTGACAAGCCCTCTCCTCCCCCATGGAGGGGAGGGGGCCTGCACGGCTTCATTGGGCTGAAAGAGGAGCCTGGAAGATTATCTTGCGTGTTTATGTGGTTGACTCCCTCCTGACTCCCTCCTGACTCAGGCTGGCTGAGGCCTTGGGAAGCCGAGGCAGGCGGATCACTTGAGGTCAGGAGTTTGAGACCAGCCTGGCTAACATGGTGAAACCCCGTATCTACTAAAAAAAAAACAAAAAAACAAAAAAAAAAACAAAAATTAGCTGGGTGTGGTGGTGCGCACCTGTAGTCCAGCTACTCGGGAAGGCTGAGGCAGGAGAATCTCTTGAACCCAGGAGGCAGAGGTTGCAGTGAGCCAAGATCGTGCCACTGCACTCCAGCCTGGGCAACAGAGTGAGACTCCATGAGTCTCAAAAAACAAAGCAAAACAAAAACTGTTTGGGCTAAAGGAGAAAGTGAGTCTGAGCGGCTCTGAAGCTCCACCTGGTGGTGAGAATTCAACACTGCAACAGAGAGGATCTGGGTGTGAGAAACCAGAAACGAACTTGCAGACCAGAGGCCCGAGGACTGGACCCGGCCCTCAGAAGCTGTGTGTGGCCAGCATGGTGTTTTCTGAAAACTCGATTTTGTAGCCAACCTTTAAAAAATCCAAAGGTTTCATTTACAAATCTCAATTTCTGGCTTATGAGATCTAGCCACTGGGGGTCTTCATACCCACGAGGACATAAGGGCTTCCAGTTTGTCTGGTCCCCACCCACTCCCCAGGCCTCCCTGGAGCTTGCTGGAGGGACACTCGGGAAAATGCAAAGCAATTACCTCCTGCAGCAGGTAGAACCTGTGCAAGTATTCCTCTCAAGGTTGTTCAGGCTGTGACTGGACAGATTCAGGCTGAGATTGCAAACTGCTGGGTGCCCACTGGGTGACAGGTGTGGTGCCACTCCCACCAGCAGCCCCCCAGAGGGCATGCTGGGCCTCAGCCACTGCCAGGGGACTATGAGGAGGAGCCGAGGATGCAGCCTCGTGTTGGGCCCATGCCCGTTCCCAGCCACTCAGTCTTTCCCACTGTCTACCTGCTGCCCCGGTGCTTGCTTCCAACTTTGCATCTCATCACAGAGGATGCTGTCCGTTCTGCAGATGGGACAATTGAGGCATGGCAGTGGGATCAAGTGACTTGACCTTCTGCCAGGGTTGGAATTGGGACATCTACCTCTTGGCCTCCAGCCCCAGTCCTGTCCTGGCCAAGCACTGTCCCTCCCCATGCCATCGAGGTGGACGCAGATGACCCTTCCTCCCCTTTCCTCTGTGGCCTTCTAGGTGTTGGTTTGGCAAAAGGCCTGGGGTGTACACCGACTACATCTACCAGGGCCCCATGATCCTGGTCCTGCTGGTAAGAACCTGGGTAGGGGCAGGAGACAGGGCCCAGTGGGGAGGGGCAATCAGTGCCAACCGTGGACAGAAAGGACCCCTCTACCTAGAGGTGGGGGCCACCCAAAGAGGGGGCATGGGTCAGAGATGTGCAGGTGCTCATGAGGAGGAGGGAGAACAGCAGGGGCACTGAGGCCAGAGCTGAGAAGCCTGGGTCCCAAGCCTCTTGCACACTCCGGCCCGCTGGTGTGCTCAAATTGCAGATCAATTTCATCTTCCTTTTCAACATCGTCCGCATCCTCATGACCAAGCTCCGGGCATCCACCACGTCTGAGACCATTCAGTACAGGTAACCGGGTACCACCTTCCTCAGGCCTCCCCCTGATGAAACCCCTGCTCCCCATGCCTCTCACGTGCCAGAGACCTGCCACTCCCTCCCCCGACCTGGCCCTCTTTGCCGAGCCAGCGGGCAGCCCGTCCTAGGGTGGGCTGTGACTCCGAGCCTCCCCACCCGCCCCACCCCAGGAAGGCTGTGAAAGCCACTCTGGTGCTGCTGCCCCTCCTGGGCATCACCTACATGCTGTTCTTCGTCAATCCCGGGGAGGATGAGGTCTCCCGGGTCGTCTTCATCTACTTCAACTCCTTCCTGGAATCCTTCCAGGTACAGCCCTGGAGGGACACATCAGCACCTCCTTGGGTGGGGATTCTGCCAAGCAGAGGCCTGGAGGGCAGGAGGCCAGGGAGAAGCAAGGGGCAGCCCAGAGGCTGGGTGGGCAACACCTGCAGCCGACCTTTGATGCCTCCTCTCTCCTCCCCAGGGCTTCTTTGTGTCTGTGTTCTACTGTTTCCTCAATAGTGAGGTGAGGACCTGGGGGCCCTGCAGCGGGGCTCAGGGCTGTGAGGCCTGTTGGGACTGGCGATTGTCTAGAGCCTTCTCCTCCCCTCCCAGGGCTGCCTCTCTCCCTCCCTGTTCCTAGGTCCCTAGGGGTATGCTGCTGGGAGCCCCAGGGTGGCCCCTCCCACCTGTCCACTCCCACAGTGACAGCCCCCTCCTTTGCTCTCAGAGGCCGCTGGCACCAGGCTGGAAGCCAGAGCTCCAGTATCTTTGATGAGCCTGTGAAAACCAGGAAGGGCTGAGCCCTGGGCAGGGGATACATGTGGGTTGAGGGCAGGGAGCCTTCATGGCAAAGGGCATATGGTGCCTTCGTGTGGGTTAGAAAAGGGTGCCCCTTCCCCAGGACATTTGAGAAACCTGTTCCGACAAATATGCAAAGCAGCCGTGTTAAGGCTGTGAGTGTCATCCCCTACTGAGGACTTCCATGTACTCAGCTGACCTGCACAGCTGCTTACCTGCACAGCTGCTCGTGGCGGCCCAGGGGAGGGAGGGGGTCCTGAGCCACAGGCTCAGATGTCGTGCTCCTCCCTGTGCCCACAGGTCCGTTCTGCCATCCGGAAGAGGTGGCACCGGTGGCAGGACAAGCACTCGATCCGTGCCCGAGTGGCCCGTGCCATGTCCATCCCCACCTCCCCAACCCGTGTCAGCTTTCACAGCATCAAGCAGTCCACAGCAGTCTGAGCTGGCAGGTCATGGAGCAGCCCCCAAACAGCTGTGGCTGGGGGGATGACGGCCAGGCTCCCTGACCACCCTGCCTGTGGAGGTGACCTGTTAGGTCTCATGCCCACTCCCCCAGGAGCAGCTGGCACTGACAGCCTGGGGGGGGCCGCTCTTCCCCTGCAGCCGTGCAGGACTCTAGCTCATGAGTGGAAAGTCACCTACAGGACTGGGCCGGGCCCAGGGCCTCTGGCTTCCCTGCCCAATCCTCCCTGGAGAAGGGACATGGGAATGAATTGAAATGGGGCGCTGGACACCTACAGCAGCACGCATGTCCCTCCAAGGCTGCCTTCTCCCAGAGCACAAGAAGGCCAGCCCACTGGGGCCTGGGGCTGCCCTCGGCAACCGTGGGGAGGCCATTTGCTGCCCTGGGGCATCATGGGCAACTCGTGACAGCCTCTGACTCACCACGATGATGCCTCTGGACCTCGGTGATGCCTTCCGACACCACTGGGAACCAAGGGCCCTCGCTCAGGAACCCTGGAGACAGAAGTCAGGTGTCATCATCAGACTTGCGGCCACAGCACTAGAGTCACCCCCCCAGGCCTCCAGAACCTCACTGGCACTGTGGCACTGCCACCAGCAATGCCCTGCCTTGCTGCCTTCACCCTGAACATTTACTACCCTGCAGGCCAGGCCAGCTTCCCCTCACTTAACCACCCCACACCAGTCACCTCCTGCTCCTTTTCCTCTTTTGTGAGAAGATGGGGGCTGGAGGGGGCAGAGTGGCCTGTGAGCAAGAGCCAGGGGTGTCCCAGTCCCAGCCTCTGGGGCAGAGCTTGTAGCCCTGGATGGCCTCTGGGGCAGGACCACTAGCTAAGCAAGCCAGGAGAAGACCCCTGCCCAAGTGGCTCTTGGGACAACGTGCTGCTTACACTCCAGGTGTGGACCGGCCGCAGCCCCCACTGACCTGCCCATGTCCAGAGGGACTGGACAGCCAGGGCAGGGCTTTGGGGGGCACTAGAAGATGAGGGTGTCGGCTGTGAGGCGGGTGGCTGGTATAAATAATATTTATCTTTTCAACCAGCATTTGTGAAGGCCTGGACTCCACAGGGGGCTGGATGGAGAGGGTGTCTCACAGAGGTGGGGGCTGCTTCCCAGCTTTCAGGGGCTGCTGTGTTGCTGAGAAACCTGACCCCACTCTCACCCTGGCAAGGATGGTGCCAGGAGAGCCCCTGAGGGCCGGGAGAGGGGTGAGGGCTTCGAGGAACAGGTGGGTCTGGCCAGGGCCCCCTTAGTTAGGGACAGCTTGTTGTGAGGAGGTGAATTAGAGGGAGAGGAGGGCCACGGTTAGGGATGCAGAGGAGGGACACCATGGGTCAGGGGAAGGAACAAAGGAGACGGGAGTGTGTCCCAGCCCCAGGCAGGAGCTGTGCTGAGGGGTGGGAAGCAGAATTAGGATGCTGGGCCACTGGACAGGCTGTGAATGCAGCTGTCTCCACTAGGGCCGCCACAAGAAGCCATCCCTGAGACCCTGAGGTTTCTTGTGCAAACTCGAGGGAAGGGGAGTACAGAGAGGGCAACAGGGAGTGAAGCCAGGCAAGGAAGGCAGGGGAAAGGTGGGGGCTAGAGGGGGACACGGTAGCCTGTGAGCAAGAGACAGGTATGCCCCAGCCCTGGCCAGTGCCGCTCTGAGGTGGGTGGCACACTCAGGCTCCCCTGGCTTGCTGGCTTCAGTGCCCCCAACTCCGGGCCAGAGCTTGTATAGCCCTGGGTGGCCTCTGGGGCAGGACTGACACTCCAACACTGTTGTGGGCGCCTGGAGCTCCCTTCCGCTGGGGAAGCCCTCCCTCATCCCACCCAACAGGTGAGGGAGCTGGGGTATTTATCCACCATCTCCCATCAGCTGCGGGTTGAGGGCTGCTCCCAGGGGGACATGAACTCTTCTGCATTCCCACATCAGGCTACAGAGGGCCAGAGAGAGTTCTCCGGCACAGTGATGTGCGGGTGGGTGGAAGCCAGTGTGTGCTGCATTGGAGGGGCAGGGGGTGTGGGTGGAACACCAGAACTGGACACAGGGCCCCACTGCAGCCCGGGCCTTGTCTCTGGGTCTCTCTAACCAGGGAGGAGAGCCCCGTGGGTGGGACGTGTGTATACACATGTGCACTTGTGCACCCAGGCGCACACAAGAGCTTGCAGTGTCAGGACACCAGGAACAGACAAAGGTGACACAGTGCCGAAAGCCCCGCAGCTCCTGCTGAGGGAGGGCACGTTTCGTTGGGGAGGGCCTGGGCCCGGGTGTAGCTAAGGATATCCTTGAAGGCCCTATGGGGTACTCTGCTCTGCCAATTCTCCAAGCTCTGTGCCCTGAAGTAGAGAGATGGGGTGGGGGACCCAGGGAGCACCGTGACAGAGGTAGGCTGGAGGCTTCCAGAGAAACATGGGGGATATTGTGGGGAGTGGGAAGAAGCCCAGTAAAGCGTCCTGGCTGCCTGGAGAGACTAGAAGTGACCTGAGTCTCTAATGGCCACAACGGAGACAGCTTTCCCAACTCTGCCTCTCACCCAGTGAAGGTGGAGAAGTGAGAAGGCGAGGCTTTCCCGAGACAATTCCAGTGGGGATGGGATGAGGGTCGCACCGCAGGGGTGGAGGAGCCGAGAGGGTGGGGGTGAGGGGAAGACAGGGAAGGGATGGTACAGACCAGGAAGTGTGGATAAGCCCAGCCAGGCCGCACCCCGCTTTCCTGAGTGGGCTTCCTGGCTGCTCTCACTGCCAGGCACCTTCTGGGCACCTACTGTGTGCTCAGCACTGTGCTAGGTCTTGGGTGAGAGATGAGCAGCCACCCAGGGGGGACCCCAGGGAGCCCCAAAAAACAAAGCTCAGAGCCTCTGGCTCTGGAAGGCCACCAAGAGGACAGCTCCAAGACAAGTCTGGGGGTCATCGGAGAAGCTGGAGGCGGAATCCCTGGGCAGGCAGATGGAGCCTGGGGCTCCCCTCCCATTGAGAGAATCTGAGGGCGGAGGGGCTGCTTCAGGGAACAGCCAGGAACATCTGAGCCTCAGAACCTGCAGCCCAGAGGCCCAGAGTTCTATCATCTCCCATGGCAGACATGCGCTCTGGGCTTCGTCGCAGAGAAGGCAGCCCTGAGACCAGGCATCTGGGCCATTCTGCTCAGGTTCAGCTTGGGGTGGTGAGGCCCCTGTGGGAGTGAGTGGGGTGTGATGAGCCGAAAAACACACATGCGACTACACAAAGTTGGGGGAGCCACTGGGGACCCTCCAAGCTGCAGTGGTGGGGGAAGGTCGCTGGAGGCCCTCCCAGACCCGGAAGACCTCATGCCTGGAAGAATTTCTCTCCACACCATGCCTAAAGGCTGTGGTCCCCTAATGCTACCCCCACCTGAGCCCATTTCTCCTTGACGTCCTCCTTCATGGGCACAGAACAGTAGTGGAGGAAAAGCCCCACTGTTTTTCCAGTTCAGGCCACCCCCTCCCCGTCCCTTAGTGTGACAGCACAGCCCCTGCCCAGAGGTCCTCAGCCTCCCCTCCAGGCCTCCTTCTCTAGCCCCCTGCTACTGATGGCTCAGCTCTCCTGGGACCAGGACTGGGTGGAGAGTCAGATGGGGAAAACCATGTGTTAGCAGATGAGGTGGGTTTGGAATCCATAGAATAATACCTTCATTGTGGGTATTGTAGATTACTTTGCCATCCACAAACATCCTTATAACATTTGTCTTTTTTTTTTTTTTTTTTTTTTTACTACGTGGGTAAATCTCTGTTCGGGGCTCTCAGCTCTGAAGGCTGTGAGACCCCTGATTTCCCACTTCACATCTCTATATTTGTGTGTGTGTGTCTTTATTTGTTTATTTTTATTATACTTTAAGTTCTAGGGTAATCCTCAACTAGCCCACAGAGGTAGTAACCCACCTGTTTTGCAGCCAGGGAAACTGAGGCCTGGCAGCTCCCCTAAGATTGAAGGTCTGGTTCCAAGTCTAAGGCTTTTTTCACCCCTCAGTGAACTGAAGGGGCTTGGGTTCTGGGAGGCCAGAACCAATGAAGAGCTCTGTGGCAAGAGGGCAGCAAGGAGGCCTCAGGGTCTCCGTGATCTGGGACGTGCCCCACGTGAAGATGGGACTTCCCCAAAGATGGCCCCACCAGTGTCCAGCCGCCGAGCAATGAGAGTTCTGTGGATCCAGCATCTCCTTCCCCAGCTTCCTGACATCCTCCACCCCCCAACTCCTTAAAATGATGCTTAATTTCAAACAATGCAGCCGGGGCCACCATCAGCCACAGTGGGCCCCCCTACACCCCAGCCAAGGAGTGTGCTGCTGGCCTCCAGCCCAGGGGTACCTCAGAGCCAGCTCATCCAAACTGCCAACTGACTTCCAGCTCAGCTGCCCACACTTGCTTCAAACCGAGGAGAATGCTTTCTACAATTTGCTAACAGCAACACTGATCATTATTGATTGTTTACCGGGCATCAGGTGCTGCTTAGCCCCTCACATGTTTATCTCATTGACTCTTTATACTGCCCTATGAGGCGGGGCTGTTATCCCCATTTAACAGATAAGGCAAATAAAACCCAGAGAGGTTAAGATACCTGCCTGATGGCACCCACGGATGGATGAAAAGCCAGGGAGGCCACACTAGGCCTCCGTGAAGCTTAACCCCTATGCAGTGGGAGTTCTTAGTAAGGCTGTCCTCCCAGCCCCACTGCCCCTTCCAATCCCCTCCCCAGGGAAATCCTTCCATCCCCAGTCTGTGGTCAAACAGCATTCAGAGATGAGCTAGCTGAAGGAATTGGAGCCTGCAGAGCGTGGGCCTCGGGCAGCCCACTCCCCAAATCTGGCCTCCAAGCCAGCTCCACCTGCCAGTCTCCCGTCCCCAGCCCCATCCCAGCTCTACCTCAGAGCATCACCTCCCACCCCTGCCCTCAGCTCACCAACACCTGCAGGTCCTGCTGGCGGACCAGGCTCAAGAGAGGCCTGGGCCATATATATTTATCAAAGCTCTCAGTGGCTTGGGAACACCAATGAGACTATTATTTGGAGATAAGGCCAGAGACCACCCTTGGCTGCCAGATAGCAGCCCTACCGGCTTCTGTCCCTCCAAGGGGTCCTTGACTGATCCCTGCTGCCCAGCCTCATTGCCCATTGGGCCAAGGCAGGTGGAGCAGAAGAAGGGGTGGTGGCCTCTTAGGTGCCTAAGGAGCCCAGGTTGGGGGCACGGCAGGCATCAGCTAGGGTGAGGGGGCATGGGGGCAGCAGCTGGTGGGCCTGCCTGGCTCATCCTCATCACAGGGGAAGGGGGAGGGAGTGGATGGCAATCCACTCTAGAACATGCAGCGGGGAAGCTGCTGGGCAGGGCAGCAAGGGCAGGTGAGGGGCCAGGTGAACTAGGCCCCTTCCCCACCCTTCCTGAGACCTGCTGCCTGGGGCCTGCTGGCCCTGCTGCCCTGTGTGTTGAAGATAAATGTTCCAGGTGCACCTAGGTCCTCAAGTAGAAGGCAGAGACACTACCCCAGCCTGCTCTGGGCAGCCACCCCGAGAGCCCAGGCCATAGCTGAGGGGGCAGTAGGGTGGGGGGAGGGAGGGGGAGTTGTGGGGAGCAAAGTCACAGATACAGGGGGTGCCCTCCAGGAAAGGAGTTGAATCTTGAGTGGGGGTGGGGAGGGTGGCGGGACTGAAGTCTTGGAGCAGGATTTCAGCCTGGCAGTGGGCCATGGCCCCAAGGGGCATCAGCCACTCATGTGAGGGCACTGACCAGTGCTCCGAGTGGCCACCAGAGGAATGATTCCAGGGCTGATGGATGGGGGTGGGCACAGGGATGGGGGACCTGGGGAAGCAGTGATCAAACATACCCACGAAAGCCTTCTGTGAGTGGGGTCCCAGGCAGAGTCTCGGAGGGAATGAGCCTTCTGCGAATTATCTGGGCCCTGGGCAACCAGTCCACGGGTAGATCTGGGAGAAGGGGCAGGAGCAAGCTCTGCTTGAGGTGTCTGTGCAGACCCCCAAATTGGGGCATGTGCTGGTGTGATGGAGTCCAGAAGAACTAAAATGAGACCTGTCCCGAGGAGAGAGCAGCTGGAGGGGACTGGAGTTGCTCCATTTCGTCTGGGTGCTGTGGCTCACACCTGTAATCCCAGCACTTTGGGAGGCCAAGGTGGGTGAATCACTTGAGGCCAGCCTGGCCAACATGGTGAAACCCTGTCTCTCCTAAAAATACGAAAATTAGCTGGGCATGGTGGTGGTGCATGCCTGTAATCCCAGCTACTCGGGAGGCTGAGGCAGGAGAATCACTTGAACCCGGGAGGTGGAGGTTGCAGTGAGCTGAGATTGTACCACTGCACTCCAGCCTGAGGGACAAGAGCGAAATTCCATCTCAAAAAAGAGTCCCATTTCAACCATGTTAGTGCACAATTCAGTGACTTTAAATACACAATGTCGTGCAACTGAAACCACTGAGATAGAAAAAGTTCCGGAACTTCTTCATCACCCCAGATGGAAATCCCATACCGACCAGTCACTCCTCATTCTCCCCTCCCCCAGCCCCTGCCCGCCACGAATCTGCTCTCTGCCTCTGTAGATCTGCCTGTTTTGGCTGTTTCACGTAAGTGGAATTAATCGTACAATATGTGTCCTTTTGTGTCTGGCGTCTTCATTTAGCATAATGTGTTTCCACTTAGCATAATGTGTTTCGGCTTAGCATAATGTTTTCAAGGTCCATCCACATGGTAGCAGGTATCAAAACGTCATTCCTTCTTATGGCTGAATGCTATTCCCTTGTGTGGAGAGACCGCAGTTTCTCCATTCATCAGTGGATGGACATATGGGTTCTCTCCACCTATTCCAAGTTATCATGAATAGTCCTGCTATGAGCATGCATGTACACGCTTTTGTTTGAAGGCCTGATTTCAATTCTTTGGGATATATATCCGGTAGTATAAGTGCTGGGTCATATGGTAACTCTGTTTAACTTATCTAGGAACCACCAAGCTGTTTCCTGCAGCGGCTGCACAATTTTCCATTCCCACCAGCAGTGTATGAGGGTCCCAACTTCCCTATATCCTCGACAAAGCTTGTGATTGTCTGGGTTTTGTGACAAAGTGGGTGTGCTGGTTCTTGTTTTTTAAAAGATCCACGACTCCCTGCGTGGAGAACAGGGCCCGGAGTGAGGGTCTAGGTTGCCCATTCGTTGCTGGGGGGCCAGAAAGGGTTTTACTGTCACAGCCCTCCTGTGGCCTACAGGCGAGCCTCCCTCTCCTAACCACCCTCCTGCCAACCTCCCCTTTGAAATGGGAGCACTCGGAAGGGACAGCTGGCAGCCTCCTCCCCTGGGCTCTGCCTGCTTCTCCTCACACCGGCTGGTGGTTTGTTTGCCAGTCACTTGTATTTGTTCCTGAACATGTTTCTGACAGTTCACTTGTCATTGTAATTACTGTCGTAATCTAACTAAATGTTATATTACTGATGAATCAGAAGTGCACTAACAAGGAGAGATGTTTCTTATGAAAATTCAGTCTAATGCTTTGAAGGATACTTTACAAATGAGTCACCAAAAATATTGGCAAATTAGGTGTGGGTGAGATGAGTGTAAATAACTGGGTGAGAGAGAATTGTCAGAATCTCAGATGGGTTCCACTTGCTGACCACTTCACATGGCCCTTTAAACTCACCCTCCACTTCAAAGAATCCACAGCTGATGTTGGAGATGATGTTTCATCCCTGTGGATTTCCCAAGGAAAGCAGTGTGGGACTGCAAGAGATGGACCCGTAATAGAAGGAGAGGCCTTGACAGGCACGGTGGCTCACGCCTGTAATCCCAGCACTTTGGGGGACCAAGGTGGCTGGATCACCTGAGGCCAGGAGTTTGAGACCAGCCTGGCTAACATGGTGAAACCCCATGTCTACTAAAAATACAAAAATTAGCCAGGTATGGTGGTGGGCGCCTATAATCTCAGCTACTTGGGAGGCTGAGGCAGGAGAATCGCTTGAACTTGGGAGGTGGAGGTTGCAGTGAGCCAAGATTGTGCCACTGCACTCCAGCCTGCCTAGGGGACAGAGTGAGACTCCATCTCAAAGAGAAAAGGAGAGTCCTTGAGAAAGATCAGTGATTGGCCAGGCACAGTGGCTTGTGCCTGTAATCTCAGCACCTCGGGAGGCCGAGGTGGGCGATTCACTTAAGGCCAGGAGTTCGAGACCAGCCTGGGCAAAATGGTGAGACACCATCTGTACTAAAATTACAAAAATTAGCTGGGCATGGTGGCACACACCCGTAATCCCAGCTACTCGGGAGGCTGGGTCGGGGGAGAATTGCTTGAAACCAGGAGGTGGAGTTTGCAGTGAGCTGAGATCGTGCCACTGCACTCCAGCCGAGCAACAGAGCAAGACCCTGTCTCAAAAAAAAAAAAAAAAAAAAAAATCAGCATGCTTACTCCTTAGAGGTTAAAATTACATGTGTGTTGTGGGGCTGCCCACAATTGTGCCCCCAAATAGGCATGTTGAAGTCCTAAACCCCAGTACCTGTTAATGCGACCTTATTTGGAAGTAGGGTGTTTGCAGACATAATCAAGTTAAGATGGTGTCATTAGGGTGGGCCCTAATCCATTATAACTATGTCTTTATAAAGAAGAGAAGAGACACAGAGACACACAGGGAGAATGCCATGTGACAACCTATGCAGAGACTGGAGTGACAGGCCAGGCCAGTGGGGAGAACATGAGGACAATGGAACCTGGACTGCCAAGCTCCAGCCCCCAAATCCCTCCCTTCTGGTTCCGGAGGCCCCAGGGTTACTCTCCCGCACACTAACTGCTTTGAAAACCTCATTCCTCAAATCCACTCCATCATGGGTGGCCTGAAGAAGCCTGGACAGGAGGTCCTGGGTGACCTGTGAGGGCATACACCACAGAGCTGGGTGCAAACCTGCAGAGCCAAAACCTGGGGCTCCTGGCTTCAAATCCACCTCTCACCAGTATTTGAGTTCTCTTTCCAGCGGAAAGTCTGCCCGGCCTCAGAGTTGCAGCCAGGAGAGTGGCTCAGAATCCAGCATGAAAACATTTGGAAGACATCAAGTTCCATTTAACCAGCACAAGAGCCCCAGCCTTCTTTGCTGTGTCAATGTGGGCTTCTCCAAGCCTCAGTTTTACTTATCCATGAAGTGGGTGTATTAAGGTAACGTTAAGTGGCTATAACAAAGAGACTCATGACAAATCAATGCCTTAAGGAAGATCATGTCTCTCTCTTGTAACAGTCCATAGTGCACATCCTGGGCTACTGTTCCACATGGAATCCAGGGACCTGGTTCCCTTCACTTTCTTCCTCTCCATTCCTTAGGACATTGTCCTCCTCGTCATAGACAGACACATCACAGGCCCGTCCTTGTTCTGACTCCTGAGAAAGGGAAAGAGAGGGTAAACCAGGAGCCCCACGGTCTGACAGCCTAAGCCCCTGATGTAAAGAGTTCACATCATTTTTGCTTAATTTCTCCTGGTCACCTGTCCGTTCCCAACTGTAAATGGAGTTGGAGGTGAATTCTGGTCATGTGCCTGGTAGAAATGGGGACCAACTTTGAGGGACAGCCTCAGGCTGTGCAGATATAATGACACCTCCTTGCAACCGTGCAATAGGTACAGCTAGGGTACCTGGCGCCTAGTAAGCCCTCGGTAAAAGTGCTCAATGTTACTGAGCTCAGAGCTCCAAGGGACCTTAGAAACTCTCTGGCCCAACGTCCTCATTTCTTTACAGCTAAAGAAACAGGCCTAGAGAGGAGTGACATTGGCCTGTGTTCCCCATGGGTAAGGAGAAAAGTTGGTTCAGAATCCTATCTGGCCTGCAAACCCCATGCTCACACCTTTTATTTCAAAGTACCTGGTCTAAACCCACTAGGGTCTGGGCAGAGAGCAGGGTCCATATGACCTCTCCCCTGGTCTCCCAGGGTTGGGGGGCATCATTCTAGAGGGACCCTGTGCCCCACAGCAGCGCCCTCGGCTGGGGACCACACAGCTTTATGACTAGGTAGGTGTGGCCCTGGTTTCCAGGACAGGTGGCCAGACTGCTCTGTGACAAAGGGCCACGCCTGCCCCTGGGAGGGGTATTGGGCTGCCGCCCGCAGATGTTGCAGTAGGAACTGAAGAAGATGGCGTGCCTGGGCTTCCTCCTCCCCGTGGGCTTCCTCCTCCTCATCAGCACCGTGGCCGGGGGAAAGTACGGCGTGGCCCACGTGGTGTCGGAGAATTGGAGCAAGGACTACTGTATCCTGTTCAGCTCCGACTACATCACCCTCCCCCGGGACCTGCACCACGCCCCACTCCTGCCCCTGTATGATGGCACCAAGGCACCCTGGTGCCCGGGTGAGGATTCCCCCCACCAGGCCCAGCTCCGCTCCCCCAGCCAGCGGCCCCTCCGCCAGACCACTGCCATGGTCATGAGGGGTAACTGCAGCTTCCACACGAAAGGCTGGCTGGCTCAGGGCCAAGGTGCCCACGGGCTGCTCATCGTGAGCCGGGTCAGTGACCAACAGTGCTCAGACACCACCCTGGCACCCCAGGATCCCCGCCAGCCCCTGGCAGACCTCACCATCCCTGTGGCTATGCTCCACTATGCTGACATGCTGGACATCCTCAGCCACACTCGTGGGGAGGCCGTCGTCCGCGTGGCCATGTACGCACCCCCAGAGCCCATCATCGACTACAACATGCTGGTCATCTTCATCCTGGCTGTGGGCACAGTGGCTGCAGGCGGCTACTGGGCCGGCCTGACCGAAGCCAACCGGCTACAGCGGCGCCGTGCCCGAAGAGGAGGGGGGCCTGGTGGTCACCATCAGCTGCAGGAAGCTGCAGCAGCTGAGGGAGCCCAGAAGGAAGATAATGAGGACATCCCAGTGGACTTCACGCCGGCCATGACAGGCGTGGTGGTCACCCTGTCCTGCTCGCTCATGCTGCTGCTCTACTTCTTCTATGACCACTTTGTCTATGTCACCATTGGGATCTTTGGCCTGGGTGCTGGCATTGGCCTCTACAGCTGCCTGTCACCCCTGGTGTGCCGCCTGTCCCTGCGGCAATACCAGAGGCCTCCGCACAGCCTCTGGGCCTCTCTGCCGCTGCCTCTGCTGCTGCTGGCGAGCCTGTGCACAACCGTGATCATCTTCTGGGTGGCCTACCGCAATGAGGACCGCTGGGCGTGGCTCCTGCAGGACACACTGGGCATTTCCTACTGCCTGTTCGTCCTGCACCGTGTGCGGCTGCCCACTCTCAAGAACTGCTCCTCCTTCCTGCTGGCCCTGCTGGCCTTTGATGTCTTCTTTGTCTTCGTCACCCCCTTCTTCACCAAAACCGGTGAGAGCATCATGGCGCAGGTTGCCTTGGGCCCTGCAGAGTCTTCAAGCCATGAGAGGCTGCCCATGGTACTCAAAGTGCCCCGGCTAAGAGTCTCCGCCTTGACCCTGTGCAGCCAGCCCTTCTCCATCCTTGGCTTCGGTGACATTGTGGTCCCCGGCTTCCTGGTTGCTTACTGTTGCCCCTTTGATGTGCAAGTCTGCTCCCGTCAGGTCTACTTCGTGGCCTGCACTGTGGCCTATGCTGTGGGCCTGCTGGTCACATTCATGGCCATGGTCCTCATGCAGATGGGCCAACCTGCCTTGCTCTACCTAGTGTCCAGCACCCTGCTCACCAGCCTGGCTGTGGCTGCCTGCCGCCAAGAGCTCAGCCTCTTCTGGACTGGCCAGGGCAGAGCTAAGATGTGTGGGCTCGGCTGTGCCCCTTCGGCTGGCTCTAGGCAGAAGCAGGAGGGCGCAGCAGACGCCCACACAGCCAGCACACTTGAGAGAGGCACCAGCCGAGGAGCAGGGGACTTAGACAGCAACCCTGGAGAAGACACCACTGAGATTGTCACCATATCTGAGAATGAAGCCACCAATCCAGAGGACCGCAGTGATAGCCCCGAGGGCTGGAGTGACGCCCACTTGGATCCTAATGAGCTGCCCTTCATCCCCCCTAGGGCCTCGGAGGAGCTGATGCCACTGATGCCAATGGCCATGCTGATCCCACTCATGCCCCTGATGCCCCGGCCCTCAGAGCTGGGCCACGTCCATGCCCAAGCCCAGGCCCACGAGACTGGCCTGCCCTGGGCGGGACTCCACAAGAGGAAGGGTTTGAAAGTAAGAAAGAGCATGTCGACCCAGGCTCCCTTGTGAACTGGAGGCCCTGGGACACACGCCTCTCAAAGGGCTGGTGGAACATTGCAGAGCAAAGCCATGCATGGCAACAAGAAATCAGGGCATCAAAGAGATTTCATATCTACCCAAGGAGTCTCTCTGTTTGTCGGGAGTGCAAGAGAGCAGCAACCACATAATAAGAGTGTGCAGGGCTCGAAGGGTCCTTAGGAGTAGGCACCACCCCCAAATAATGAAGGGGGGAAACTGAGGCTCCAAGAGGGCCTATGACTTGCACAAGTTCAAGCGGCAAGGTCGGGATTTGCATCCAGGGCTCACTGGGCAGCTACTCCCCTCTGCCTGCTTGCCCAACCCCTTCCCAATCCAGAGTGGCAGCTTCTTAGCCTGGCACACAGCCCCCATCCCATCCCTGCCACCCACCCTAGGCTCATTGCCCATCTTCTCTCCATGCTCAGGTCAAACAGAACTCTTTGTCCTCCCCACCCGCTCTCTCTGCGTATGCTGTTCCCTCCAGCTGGGATGCCCTTCCCTCTCCAGACAGAAACACTCCAGCCTGGCTCCCTGACTCACTAGAAGATTCCGAAGCATCCTTTACTCCTCAGCTCACATCCATTCTGCAAAACGTCTCTGTTCAAGAATCCCAGGCAGCAGCACCAAGCCCAGCAAGTTCCTGTATGCACCACCCATTCCATCTTCAGGCATTGAGTATGCCCCTACTATGTGCATCGCCATGTGGTGGGCACAGGGAAGGCCTCTGTCTAGCTGGGGGAGGGGGAGGGGTGGGCAGACAAGAAACAAACTTAGAATTGTCTCAAAGAGGTCGGGAGGGGTTGGAGAGGTTGGGCCCAGGGTGGAAGAATTCCGGAGACCAAGGCCTCCCTCACTGACTCTAAGTAATGTTCAAGCCTCGTTGGGTCTCTGTAGTCTCATCTGCAAAATGAGACTTATAATACCATTTCCATCTGGAGGCAGGGGCATGGACGAGATGACTTCCTAAGGACTCTACAGGCTTTTAGGCCATGTAGGGTGCTGATGTGTTGCTTAATCAGAGCAGACAAACTCTGGGGTGAGAAGGCTTCCTGGAGGAGGTGTTTTTGGAGGGGAGGAAAGTGTATCCCAAGAGGCGGTGTGGTTCAGTGGTTAGGGTTCTACAGCCAGGCTGCCTACCACAAATCCCAGCCCTACCACTGACTTGGAGTATCTCACTGAGCAAATGACTTATCCATTCAGTGCCTCTGTTTTCTTGTGTGTGAAATGGGATAATAGGACCTACCATCTGGTTCTTAGGAAGTTTGAACAAGTTGGCCTATGTCAGGTGATTGGCACAATGCCCTGCCTGTCCGAAGAGCCCCCTGCACGTGAGCTATGTTTATATTGCTCCCCTAGTGAAAGCCTCACAGACTCAAACCCAGCTCCTACAAGGCCTTGAGGTCCCAGCCCAACGGCCCTCTTCCACCCCTCCAAACCCCTACCGCCACAAGCACACGCCAGACCCACCACACCCCCCATGCTTTTTCCTCTTCTTGGAACTCTCTTTCTGCCCCTTCCTTACCACGCCCCGTGAACTTGGCCTGGCTGGCTGCTCCTCTTCGCAGCCTTTCCTAAAGCATCCCTGTCTCAATCACACGACCAGGCACCTTTAGTTTTCCGATCTTCCCCAGTAGAGGGCCAGCTTTGGAAGGGCAGGGGCCTTGCCCATCTTGTTCATCTGTGTAATTTCAGGGCTCAGAACAGCCCCTGGAGTGTTACCGGTGCTTGATGTATTTGCTGGAGGAATGAACGGATGGATGAATGAATGAATGAATGAGGAGTTGACCAGCCTGAACTGCAGAGGAGGGGATGCTATGAGGGAAGGCCCCACTGCCCAGGCCACCTCACAGGCTTCCTGCAGGACCTTGGTCAGTGTTGACGTGAGACTTGGCAGGCCTGGCTGGGCCCTGGAGTGGGGAGAGAGTCCCAGGGAGGCAGTGCAGGTGGTGGGCCTCTCAAAGCCCCGCTTGCCAGGGAAGAAGTGCAGCCTCTCGGTACACAGCAGCTGAAGGCCCGCTAGACAAGGGAAGCTTGGAGAACCCGGCCAGGCCACTGCGGAGGTGTTGGCAGCCCCTCCCACCGGAGCAGTGGCCATCTGGCCTGGACAGAGGGCCCTCCGCAGGCCCTGGCTCAGCCCCAGCCTGGGCAGCCTCCCTGCTGCTGGCCTGCGTCACGGGGCCTGCCGAGGGCAGCTGCACCCTCTGCCAGGCCCGATGGGAAGGGCTGGACAGAGCCGAGGCCTCCTGGGCTCCCTGGCCCCCACATCCCCCAAAGCAGGAGGTCAGGATAAAGGAACTTCTCTTTCCCAGAAATCCAGTCTGAGGGCTCTGAGGATGCAGGCCTGGAGCTCCGCAGGCCTGCAGGGAGGCCAATGCCTACCTCCAAGGAGAGGGGATTCAGGGAGGGTCTGGGTCGGGAGGCCTCCCCCTTCCCGGCATCCAGACCTGACGGGGAGGTGAGGGCCCACACGGCCTGGATCTGCTGCCTCCATCCCTCTTCCCCAACCCCCAGCTTGCTGCACTGTGCTTGGGCAGCAGAACTGAGGTGCTCACAGGGTCCCAAGGCCAGGCCTGGGGTGGACAGCAGCCCAGGGTGCAGTGGCATCACGGTGCCCAGGTAGCTCTCAGCTCTGCTTCTCACTGGGAAGTCGTTCTAGTCACCTAAGTTTCACCACCCCCTCCCCCTGCTGGTTCCCTAGTGTGGCCACAGCCAGGACTGACCAATGTCGGGGACCTCTATGAAGGACACCCCAGCTCCAGAGCTCCCGAGGGCTCACTGGGGCCCCAGCCAACCGGCCCCGAGGCCCAGCTTCATCCTCACCTTCCTGCAGACCTCACTCCCTCGCAAGCATCTCCCCTGAGACCACTGCCCAGCACCTCCCACCCAGCATGCTCCTGAGGTTCATTCCCAGGGATCCCAAGCTAAGACACAGGGACAGCTGCCTTCTACATGTGAACTGGAAAAACTATGTGAGTCCCCCCACACACCCCTACATCCTCCAAGCTCTTCTGCCCTGCTCAGGAAACAAGTGTGGAGACGGGGCTGGAGGCAGGTGATGGGCAGGACCTTTCTTCTTCCTCCCAAGAATACTCTGCAGCAACTCTGCCCATTTCACAGATGGGGCTGGGCAAGGACTCTGGGTCTAGAGGCAGCTTGAGGGTTTAGAAAGAGGCACCCAAGCACGGCTGCAGGTCAGAATCATTGGGGCACCTGCCAAAAATCTGGATTCCTGGCCCCACCGATTCTGAGTTGACAGGTCTGGGGTGGGACCAGGCATCAACCATTTTGAGGGACCCCCACCCCCACCCCAGGGTGAACACCTTTAGAGTTTGGCTTCAGCCTCTTGTCTTGGCTGGGCCAGGAGGAGGTGGGGAGGAGGGAGACCAAGGCTTCAAGGTGCCGGGGGCCCAAGGCAGGTCCTGCCTTCCATCCTGACATACACATTCAGCTGGGGGCCCTGCAGGCTCCCCTCCCTGAGCCCTGGGTACACCTGACCACACCCGGAGGCTCAACCTCCACCTTGCTCCCCTGGCCAATCCCGGTCTGGGGCAGGAGAAATTGAAGCAACTTTACCAACCAACAATCTTCACTTAACCGCCACATTTCTCAACCCCCACCCCACTCTCTAGCATGTCCTCTGAGGCAGACTTTGTCCTGTTTTGTTCATCATGCACTGGACCTGGCACATAGTAGGTGCTCAATAAAACATCTGTTGAATGAATTCACTGGCTGGATGAATGTCCCCCTTACTAGCTGTGTGACTTTGAGGATGCAAAAGTCTCCTTACCATAAAGTGGGCGTAATAACACCTCCTGCCCCAGGGGTTGTGGTAAGTAATAAGCCATATGGGTGAGGAGCTGAGCCCAGTGCCCGGCACAGAGTCAAGTCTCCTAGATCTTGCCCTGCTGCCCCTGCTGTGCCCTCTGATGGCCCAATGTCCCTACTCCTGCCCAGAGGCCTCCTCTTACTCTGCCAGTCCTCTTCCCAGAGGACAGGGCCAACTCCAGGTGTCCAGACCACGCTGCCACCTGCCAGCGGTGCCCAAAGCTGGAAGCCCCTGCCTGAATGCCAGAGGGACACAAGATACTGCGCATGGGCATATACACACACGCATGCACACACATTTGCATACATACATATACACATGGGCACATACCCATGCTGCACACTTCACACACCCCCACACCCCACACCTGCACACATATACACCCATGCGCACATCCACACACATACACCTGTACTGAACACATGCACATGCCCCGTGCACACCTGTGCACACCCAACACGTGCACACACACACACCTCTGGGCTCTGACCTGCTGCGTGTGGTTCCCTACAGATCCAGCCTTTCCCCACCAGGCCTTTCCTGGGCTTACAGGAGTGGGGGTGCTGATCCCTGGATTTCCCATCCCAAAGGACAGGGTGGTCAAGGTCCCTCCCTGCAGGCCTACCCCTTTCCTGGTGGGACAGATCCCCCTTCAAGACAGAACTCGCTGCCCAGCTGCTCTGAGGAGTGTGGTTCGAGGACAGCCTCCTGGGGGCACCTCAGCTTTCTAGCCCGGCTCACTCGTGCTCTTCAGGGGAGGGGGCACAAAGGGCCGGTTACTGGCTGAGCAAGACAGGGGCCCAGGCCCTGGCTGTCTCCACCCAGAGTGGTCTTTGCTTTGATCCCATGGGCTGGCAGGGGCAGCACAGGGCTGCATCCCAGGCTGCCGGCTCCCCGTGCTGCAAGCTGCTTCCTCCTGGCTCCACCACTAACCACCACAGCACCTGCTTCCTGGACAGCCTCACCTGTGATAGGTGAACCCTCAGATGAGACCAGGGCAGGAATAGCCTCCTCAAGGCCACCCCCAGGGCCCCAGGTGGCCCAGCCTCAGGGTCGAGCTGTTTTACACAGGCCAACTGGCATTTCTGTCTGTGACCTTGGTAATCCCAGCACCAGCTTTATGAGCATGGGCTTGGTTTTCTTTTGTTCATGAGAGGGTTTAGTACTGGAGCTTCTGGATTTCTGGGACAGTGGGGACCAGCAAGGACCTGTGAGATGATCTCATCCACAGATGAGGAAAGGAAAGCCCAGAGAGGGCCAGGACCTGCCCAAGGTCACACAGCAATGGGACAGCAGAAACGAAATGCAAGTCTGGTCTCCTGCCTCCCAGCCCAGCAGCTGGGACCAGCTCTCATCCTCAACAGCCCCTCCCTCCACACACCCTGGTCTCTGATTTTGTTCCTCTGAAATCACACCTCCCCCAGGAAAACTCTGGGTCTACCCACTCCTGTGCCCTGGGAGGTATAGCCCCACATTCTCCTTGAGAAGTATCTGTGTGTGTTGCTTGATAAAGGTTCAGCATCAATCCGCTTGCCAGCTAGAAGGAGAACACAGCTGGACTTTGAGACCTGGGTTCAAAGCCCCACATTGCTTTCTCTTGTCATGTGATGCTGGACAACAGAAGCCAGCCCTCTGAGCTTCAATTTTCTCATCTGTAAAATGGGCTGCTAAGACTCACCTAATGGTTCGTTGTAAGGATTAAATGAAGTGAAGTATGTGTATGAACAGCTAACACTGGCTAAGCACTTACAGCAGGGCAGATAAATGCATTATCTCATTACGTGTGACCCAGGTTTGGGGAAAAACTTTCCAGGACAGCACTTGACATACCCCCAAATGCCGTCTTCCCCAAATGAGCTCCCAGAAGTGGAGTCATCCTCTTCCCTTGGTCTCCCCTGCCCACGCTCACTGGGATGTGGTGTGTGGGTGGGTGCCTGGTGGTAAGCAGGGCACCACCGCAGAGCCAAGAAAAGGTTTCCCAAATTCCCCCACGTACTGGGTCCTGCAGTTTAACTGAACCACCAACGTTTTGCGCCTTTTTTCCTGCAACCCTGAACCTTGAATGCTACTGTGCTGCCACCTACTGGCCAGGAAGATAAGAGCAAGCAGGGGCTCATGGAATTTGGGGATAATTATAATCAGTAATGATATTTAAAATATGTTTAATAAACTAGCAATCAGCAGAGTTCTGAAGCCCCTATTGGGCTCAAGGTTAACGCTTTAGAATCTGGGTTGTTAGAAGGGTGAGGTGCCCTGGAGGAGGTTATTTTGATATTTTATTGAATGAAATAGCCCAAAACAGCATCACTGAATGTCCTTAATGCCTAAAGACGGTCCATGCCCTGACACTTACCCCACCCCATAGAATCAGACCACCATGAATAAGTGTCCTCAGGCCCCCCGGTTCCTGGACTATTTGTACGCAAGATGAGGAGACTCCCCATATGGCCCCTCCCCACCCCCACCCCCAGGTCCAGACCCAGTCCTTGCCCCTGGAACGGGACCTGGAAGGGAAGCAGACAGCTGGGGCTGCTGCTGAGAGAACCTTGGGCTGCTAAAATCTGAGACGTTCTGAGTTTTTGTTTTTGTTTTGGTTTGGCTTGGTTTGGTTTGTTTTTTGAGACAGGGTCTTGCTCTGTCACCAAGGCTGGTGTGCAGTGGCATGATCACAGCCCACTGCAGCCTCAACCTTCCAGGCTCAGGTGATCCTCCCACCTCAGCCTCCCCAGTAGCTGGAACTACAGGCATGCGCCACCATGCCCTGCTAATCTTTGTGTATTTTTTATAGAGATCGGGTTTTGCCATGTTGTCCAGACTGGTCTCCTAGGCTCAAACAATCCTCCCGCCTTGGCCTCCCAAAGTGTTGGGATTACAGGTGTGAGCCACTGAGCCTGACCTGAGACCTTGTTCTGAGAAATGCCTTTAAGTAGTATTCCCCAGGCTCCCAAAGATTTGAATGGCAGCAAAGATTGGTGGGGTTTGGGGGATTGCAGTGAGGTCTGAATAATGGTGTTGGCAGAGCCTCCAGTGATCATCCAGAACTGAGGACAGAGAGGGAAAGCAGCCTGCCCAACATCAGACAGCAGACCCAGTGACAAGCCCAAGGCAACCGAGAACCTGGAAACTAATGCAGAAACCCTTCGTAAACAGGAGACGCTTTCTGGTTTGCCTTTCAGAGGCTGCTTCATGAAGCCCCCAAATTCCCCCACGTACTGGGTCTTCTTAAAGCAGGAGGCCCCTGGGTCCAGAGAGAAAAGAACTCTGAGCAAAACCCTCAGTCCCTCGTCCAGCCTGGACCCAGGCTTGGCCCTGCCTGCAGTTCCTGACTTGACCCAGACACTGTAGTGAACTCAGGCAGGAGGGGCCACACCTGAGAACCCTCACCCATCACAGCCCAGGTTCTCTTCCCGGCTATCCCCCGGGACAGCCCCAGAGCATGAGCCAAGGGAGTCTGGCCTCCACCTACCTTGCTTAATCCTTAAAGCCAGTTGTGACACATTGAATAATGTCCTCCCCCAAAAATTTGGAACCTGTGATCATTACCTTCCATGAAAGGGAGCAAAGGAGAAAGGACTTTGCGGAAGTGACTAAGCGAAGGATCCTGAGATGGGGAGATAATCCTCTATCGTCCTAGCGGGCCCTAAACGCAAGCACATGGGCCCTTATGAGAGAGAGAGGGAGAGAGAGAGACAGAGGAGAAGCTGGGCGCAGTGGCTCACGCCTGTAATACCAGCACTTTGGAGCCCAAGGCAGGTGGATCAATTGAGGTCAGGAGTTTGAGACCAGACTGGCCAACACAGCGAAACCCTGTCTCTATTAAAAACACAAAAATTAGCCAGGCATGGTGGCGCATGTCTGTAATCCCAGCTATTTGGGAGGCTGAGGCAGGAGAGAAAGCTTGAATCCCAGAGGCGGAGGTTGCAGTGAGGGGAGATTGCACCACCGCACTCTGGCCTTGGTGACGGAGTGAGACTCCGTCTCAATAAAAAAAAAAGAGAGAGAGAGAGGACTGGGTGCAGTGGCTTATGCTTGTAATCCCAGCACTTTGGAAAGCCGAGGCAAGTGGATCACCTGAGGTCAGGAGTTCGAGACCAGCTTAGACAACATGGTGTAACCCTGTCTCTACTAAAAATACAAAAATTAACCGAGCATGGTGGTGGGTGCCTGTAATCCCAGCTGCTTGGGAGGCTGAGGTAGGAGAATTGCTTGAACCCGGGAGGTGGAGGTTGCAGCGAGCCGAGATTGCGCCACTGCACTCCAGCCTGGGCAACAGAGCGAAGCTCTGTCTCAAAAAAAAAAAAAAAAAAAGAGCTAGAGAGAGAGACAGAGGAGACAGCAGGATTACACACATGGAAGTGGAGAAGGCAATGTGGTGATGGAGACAGATTGGAGTGATGTGGCCACAAGCCAAGGACTGCCAGCAGCCAGCACGAGCTGGAAGGGGTAAGGAATGAATTCCCCCTAGAGCTTCCAGAGGGAACACAGCCCTGACCCCTTGATTTCAGCCCAATGATCCTGATTCCAGACTTCTGGCCCCCAGAGCCGTGAGAGGGTATATTTCTGTTGTTTGAAGCCATCAGGCGTGTGATCATCTATACAGCAGCCACAGACGTGAATCCACTGTTCAACAGACATCTGTGGCACAGGCTGCCCTTGCGCCCAGAGCTGTGCCTGAGAAGTAAATGGCTCACAGAGCAGACAAGATGAAGACATAACCCAACCACAAAAGCCCCCTGGCCCGCCGGGTATACTTTCCTGCAGGGGAAAGGTGGGCACAGGGGAGTCAGGGAAAGAGAGGCGAGAACTGGAGTCTTGGCTGCAACAGCCAGTGAGTGCATTCTCAGTTCAAGCCACTGCACTGGGCTCCAGGGACTTCTTTCCACTGTTATTGATTGCACTCTAGAGGAAAATTGGAAAGCACAGGAAAGTAGAAAAAAAAATCCACATTACTATAAGCTTTTGTTTTATTTCCATCCAGTCATTTGTTTTCCCCATGCATAAGGGTTTGGTTTTGTTTTTTTAATTGTGGTAAAATACACATAACAAAATTTATCAAAGTGTACAGCTCAGCAATATTATTGAATACACTTACAATGTTGTGCAACTAGCACCACCATCCATTTCCAGAACTCTTCATCTTGTCAAACGAAATTCCATACCCACAAACAATAACTCTCATGCCTTCCTCCCCAGCCTCTGGCAACCACCATTCTACTTCCTGTCTCTATGATTTTGACTACCCTAAGTGCCTCATATAAGTGGAATCACACAGAATTTGTCTTTTTGTGACTGACTCATTTCATTTAGCATAATGGCCTTAAGGCTCATCCATGTGGCAGCATACTGCAGGATTCCTTTCCTTTTTAAGGATGAGTAACATTCACTGTGTGTATGCAACACATTTTGCCTAGCCATTCATTCCTCTGTTGGTGGAAACTTGGGTTACTATAAACATTGGTGTGCAAATATTAGATAGTGCAAAATTTATTGCGGTTTTTGCCATTACTTTCAATATCTCTGAGGCCCTGTTTTTAGTTCTTTGGGTTATATACCCAGAAGTGCAATTTCTGAATCACATGGTAATTCTATGTTCAATTTTTTGTTTATTTATGTATGTATTTATTTATTTATGTATGTATTTATTTATTTATTGGGAATGGGGTCTTGCTGCATTGCTCAGGGTGGTCTGGAACTCCTGGGCTCAAGCAATCCTCCCTCAACCTCCCAAGTAGCGGGGATTACAGGCATGAGCCCCTGGCTTTATGGTGTTTGTTTGTTTGTTTGTTTGTTTGTTTGTTTGAGACAGGGTCTTGCTCAGTAATCCAGGCTGGAGTGCACTGGCACGATCACTGCTCACTGTAGCCTCGACTTCCTGGGCTCAAGCAATCCTCCCACTTCAGTCCCCCAAGTAGCTGGAACTACAGGTGCACACCACTAGGCATGGCTAATTTTTTTTTTTTTTTAGTGGAGATGCGGTCTCACTATGTTGCTCAGGCTGGTTGTGAGCTCCTGAGCTCAATCGATCCTCCTGCCTCAGCCTCTCAAAGTGCTGGGATTACAGGTGTAAGCCACGGTGCCCAGCCTCTGTTTAATTTTTTAAGAGATTGCCATACTGTTTCCATAGAGACTACAGCATTTTACATTCCCACCAATAGTGCACATGTGTTCCAATTTCTCTACATCTTCATCAATACCTATTTTCTGGTTTTGGGTTTTTGTTGTTGTTGTTTGTTTGTTTGTTTGTTTTGAGACAGAGTTTCGCTCTTGTCGCCCAGGTTAGAGTACAGTGGCACGATCTCGGCTCATGCAACTTCCACCTCCTGGGTCCAAGCCATTCTCCTGCCTCAGCCTCCCAAGTAGTTGTGGTTACAGGTGTGCACCACCACGCCTGGCTAATTTTTGTGTTTTAGTAGAGACAAGGTTTCACCATGTTGGCCAGGCTGGTCTCAAACTCCTGACCTCAGGTGATCCATCTCCCTCAGCCTCCCAAACTGCTGGGATTATAGGCATAAGCCACCATGTCCAGCCAATTTTCTGGGGTTTTTTTGTATTTTTTTTTGTTTTTTTTTTAATAGCAGTCTTCTTAATGGATATGAGGTAATATCTCATTATAGTTTTGATTGGCATTTTTCTAATGCGCATTTTTCCATGTGCTTATTGGCCATTTGTCTTTTTAAATGGAGAAATGTATTTTCAAAACCTTTGTCCATTTTTGAATCAGGTTGTTTGTCTTTTAGTTGTTGAGTTTTAGAAGTTCTCTGTATATTCTAAATATTAATCCTTTATCAGATATATAATTTGCAAATATTTTCCTCCATACTGTGGGTTGCCTTTTTACTCTGTTGATAGTGTCTTAGGATTAACAAAATTTTTTTAACTTTTATGAAGTCTAGTTTTTCTTTTTTATGAAGTCTGTTGTCTGTGCCTTTGATGTCATATCTAAGAAATCATTGCCAAATTCGATGTTGGTAAGCTTTTGCCTGATGTTTTCTTGTAAGAGTTCCATGCATAGGTTTATTATTTGTTCATTTCAGTCCCAAGATGTCATCTGTCACCCAGGCCATCTGAATCCTTGTTAAAGAAAAGGGCACAACTGTTCTTTGTCATGTCCATCCAGCTGCAGGACTTCTGATACCTCCCTACCATTTGTCAAACCAACCCCAACTCCTCAGCCTGGTGTTTAAGGCCATCTGCATCCAGCCTTCCCTCCTGACTGGCCTTCCCTCCACTGGCCCCTATACATCCTGTTCACATGGCTCTTCTCACACGCTCACCCTTGCTCCGTGCCTCTGCTCACCTGGAATGAGCTTCTTCCACCTTCCTCTAATTCCTATAAACAAGAATCCACTGAGACAGTCCACATTCCAGGGCCCCTGTGCTGGGCCCTGTCCAAGGTCCTGGAGATGAACATAAACAAGATGTGAGAGTGGCGGGAGAGGGTCACGGATGCATTCTCTTTAAGACTCTTTCGGCTTTGAAGAATAAGAAACTGCTCAAAGTAGCTTAAGCCAAAAGAGAAGCATATTTGAAGGGACACAGGAATTTCTCAGAACAGAAGGGCAAACAGCCCAGTCAGGGCTCATGGGAACTGGGAATTAGAAAGCTTTCTGCCTCGCCGAGCTTCATAATCTCTGGGCCTCCACTTCCTCTCCTCCCCTCCCTGGGCTGGCTGCCTCTGCTCACCCATTTTGCCCTTGTCTTGTCATGCCACTGGCCCCCAACTCCACGTCATTGCCTCTCAGCCCAGGGGTCACCAACAACAGGCAACGGTGTCTATGCAGCCACATTTCAGACTCTCTCGAGAGAATCTACCTGGCTTCCACGCTCTCTAGGGACCCTATTTGTTTGGCATCCTGTCACTGACTGTGGGTGAGCCCATGGGTCCCTGACTCAGGTGCCCACCCCAGGTCCAATCAGCTGTGGCTGGAGAGGGAGGGTGAGGAAGGCAGGGGCCACTGGATCACAAGGTTGTTCTTCCTGGAGATTGCTTCTCCCGGATCAGAGTCTGAATTTTATCAGGATCCCTGGGTGAATCATGGGCAGATTAAAGTGTAAGAAGCAGGCCGGGTGCAGTGGCTCAGCCCTGTAATCCCAGCACTTTGGGCCAAGGAAGGAGGATCACTTGAGGTCAGGAGTTCGAGACCAGCCTGGATAACGTGGCAAAACCCTGTCTCTACTAAAAATACAAAAATTAGCCAGGAGTGGTGGTGCGTGCCTGTAATCCCAGCTACTCAAAAGGCTGAGGCAGGAGAATCACTTGAACCCAGGAGGCAGAGGTTGTAGTAAGCCGAGATTGTGCCACTGCACTCTACCCTGGGCGACTGAGACTCTGTCTCAAAAAATAAATAAATAAGTGAAAACAAAAATAATAAAGTGTAAGAAGTGCAGCTGTGGAGCTGCGGTTCTCCGAGAGTGGTCCCTGATCCAGCAGCCTCTGCATCACTGGGCAACTTGTTAGAAATGCAGATTATGGGCCGGGTGCGGCGGCGCATGCCTGTAACCCCAGCACTTCCGGAGGGCGAGGCGGGTGGATCACCTGAGGTCAGGAGTTCAAGACCAGCCTGGCCAACATGGTGAAACCCCGTCTCTACTAAAAATACAAAAAATCAGCCTGGCGTGGTGGCATGTGCCTGTAATCCCAGCTACTCGGGAGGCTGAGGCAGGAGAATCACTTGAACCTGGGCGGCAGAGGTTACAGTGAGCCAAGATCACACCACTGCATTCCAGCCTTGGCAACAGAGTGACACTCTGTCTCAAAAACAAAAGAAACAAACAAACAAAAAAATGCAGATTATGAAGCCCTATCTTAGACCTGCTGAATCTGAAACTCTGGGGGTGGGGCCCAGTCCTTTGTTTTCACAGCCCTCCAGGTGACTCAGATGGGCACCAAAGTTTGAGAACTATTGCCCTAAAGCAAGGATTGGCAAGCTTTTCCTCTAAAGGGCTAGATGGTAAATACTTTAGACTTGGTGGCTTCAACTCTGCTGTCATAGCACCTAAGCAGCCATAACAATAGATAATAAAGAATAGGCACATGTGGCAGGCAGGATTCTCAGGCAAGTCTGGGCCCTTTTTGATTTTTGCTGCCATGTCTTGGCTGACCTCAGTTTCTGGACTTCTGGTTTCTGCTTGACTTGTCATCAAAGGACCTTTGTTCTCTCATGGATCTAACACTTGCTCTTCTTGTCTTTATTGGGAGCTCACCTCTCCAGTCTGCCCACAGCTCCCACATGGCTGCCTGGTGGCCAGCACAGCTCAGAAGCATGGGTGACAGGTAGGAAGTGTTGTAGGAACAACAGGTTTGTATGCCCACTGTGTGCTAACAGACCCAGTAACTGAGACAGCAGCGTTGACAGGGAGAAAGAGTTTAATGATCGCAGGGCACCAAGTGAGGAGATGGAGACCCTCAAATCCATCTCCCACAGTAGTTTTGGGTGAGGTCTCTGAGGGGATTGTGGAGGGTGAGCTAGTGAAGAACTGGGGTTGTTGACTGGTTGGATCCTTTCAAGAATCATGAGTTTCAGTGCCCTGGTTGGTTCCTACCTGCGTTCATGCCCCACGGTTGGTATAACAAATTTCCACAAACCAGGTGGCTTAAGACAACAGACATTTCTTTTCTCCCCATCTGGAGCACAGAAGTCTGAAGTTTAGGTGTGCCCAGCAGGGCTGTACTCCCCATAAAGGCTCTGGGAGGAGTCCTGTGTTTCCTCTCCCCACCTCTGGTGACTTTAGGCACTCCTTGGCTTGTGGCAACATCGCTCCAATTTCCACCTCCACTGATATGTGACCTCCTCCGCACCTTTGCGCATTTCAAATCTCCCCCTGCCTTTCTCTCATGGTGCACTTGTCACTGGATTTAGGGCCTGCCTGGAGATCCAGGATGATCTCATTTTGAAGCTCTTCACTAATTACATCTGCAGGACCCATTTTCCAAATAAGGTCACATCCACAGCTTCCTGTGGACATCTATTTGGTGGTTGAGGCACACTATTCAAACCCTTACACCACCCTCCCCATCAAACACACAGGACCAGACTAGGGACAATTGGTGTCTCCACTCCACCTCCATCCTAATCAGAACTACAAAGGACAAGGTTTCTGGTCATCCCCATACTACAGCCAGAGCCAGAAGAACATCTGAGAAATAAGGCATGGCCCCTCTTCTCCAGGAACCCATGGCTCAATGGAAGCAGAGCTGCCAAGAGGGGTGCCATATTTCTACCCCACTATGGCAGTGCCTACCCCTGCCCACTAGCTCCTTTCAGGTTCTGGAGCTATGCCCGGAGGATGAGATAACGCCCACGGGGAGCCAGAGCATCCTGGAGAGCATCCCATCCTGGATGGATGGGTCTTGCAGGGCGCCCAGTGATCCTGACACACACACAAACTCCCTTCTGCAGCTTCCGTTCTCCTAGTGCAGGAGATTTTACAGTTGCCAGGATGGCAGTTAGGAAGGGAACGAGCAGCCAAATGGCGCATTCTTGGGCCCCGCAGCCAGCATTCTGTGCTGCCCGTCTCAGTGCCAGGAGGATGAGACTTTCCAGAAAGCAAGCTATGTCCAGACAAGATCCATCCTGAACATTAGCTCAGCAACAATGAGGGAAATGAGGAGTAAGCAGGCCTGGCCTGCTGTGCTTCTCTGACAGATGCTGATAAGAATGGTCCAGCTGGGGACTGCTATACATGGGCCCAGGAAAGAGAGAAGCAGCTGAGAGTTAAGGAGAATTGAGGACAGAGCGTCATGGCAGGAATAAGTAAATAGGTTAGACTTGGGTTATCTTCCCAGATCTGCTACTAATTCGCTGTGCAAGCTTGGAAAGGTTCGAAAAGAACCCCTACCAATCGTTAGAAAAACAAATAATCCAACAGAGAAAATGATGGGCAAAGAATTTGAATAGGCATTTTACATAAAAAATACAGATGGTCCAAAAAATATGAAAAGATGTTCAATCTTCCTAGTCATTAAGGAAGTAAAATTTAAAATAACCAGAACACTAGTCAAAAAAGTAGTGACATCTGAATTAAGTCCATAGTTTAGTTAATAGCATTGTTCCAGTGTTAATTTCTCTGTTTTGGTCACTGTGTGTCCACAGTCGGTTCCTTCCAGTGGGTTCGTGGTCTTGCTGACTTCCAGAATGAAGCCTCGGACCCTCGCAGTGAGTGTTACAGCTCTTAAAGATGGCACGAACTCAAAGAATAAATGCAAGTTTTCCTGTGAAGACTGAAAAGCCAAAGAATAAACCTTCCACAGCGTTGAAGGGGACCCAAGCAGATTGCCGCTGCTGGCTGGGAGAGGCTGTGTTGGGTGGTGGGGATGGGGTTGGCCAGCTTTTATTCCGTTATTTGCCCCCGCCCATGTTCCATTTCTGTCCTATCAGAATGCCCTTTTTTCAATCCTCCCCGCGATTGGCTACTTTTAGGTTCCTGCTGATTGGTGTGTTTTAGAGAGCACTGATTGGTACATTTTACAGAGTGCTGATCGGTGCGTTTTACAGAGTGCTGACTGGTGCATTTTACAATCATCTTGCTAGCTACAGAGTGCTGATTGGTGCATTTTTACAGGGTGCTGATTGGTGCATTTTACAGTCCTCTTGCTAGCTACAGAGCGCTGATTGGTGCATTTTACAATCCTCTTGTAAGACAGAAAAGTTCTCCAAGTCCCCACTCACCCAGAAAGTCCAGCTGGCTTCACCTCTCAATTGTATTGTGGTTAGGTAAGATGCTCACATTAGGAAAAGCTGGAGAAACAGTCTGTGAGAACACTGTATCTTTATAACTTTCTGCAAGCCTAAACTTATTTCAAAATGAAAAGGTAGGCCACGCACGGTAGCTCACACCTGTAAAAATCCCAGCATTTCAGGAGGACATGGCAAGAGGATTGCTTGAGTCCAGGAGTTCAAGACCCAGCCTGGACAACATAGTGAGACCCCGTCTCTACTAAAAAAGAAAAGATAAACAACAATAACAGAAAACAACAAAGAAAACTGTTTACCCATCTGACACAAAGTTTTTTGGAGAGCACTTTGGCAGTTTGGATTACCATTTCACTGTGTGTGCCCCTTGACCCAGGAATTCCACAACTTGGTATTCACCCTCCACAAATCCTTGCACTTGTATTCAAAGAGATGTGGCCAAGGGTATTTGTGATAGCCAGGAGCAACCTAAATGACCACCAACAGGGAAAAGTTAAATGATACAGCGTAACTAACCATGAACTACTATGCAGCAGGTAGAAAGAATGCCATATGCTATGTGAGCAAAAATGCAAAGGTTTCCAAAGCAAAAAAGTAAGCTGCAAAACAATATATATGGTATGATCTTATGGATGTAAAGGAAAAGCACAAATAAAGCCATACATCTCTAAATGTATGTATACAAATGTACGTGCCCATCCAAAGTCAGGAAAGATCTCCCCAACATCCCATTAGCCAGAGTTCCCTCTGGAGAGGGCAGTGGGACTGGAGATTGGAATAGATAGGACAGGCGGAGGTCATGACAAAGACTCACTTTTTCTGTATTCTTCAAATTTTTAACAATAAGACTTTCATGTATTATTTGTGCAGTGTTTGTTGTTGTTGTTTTGGGTTTGTTTGTTTGTTTTTTTGTTTTTTGAGACAGGGTCTCGCTCTGTCGCCCACGCTGGAGTGCAGTGACGCAATCATGGCTCACTGCAGCCTCAATCTCCTGGGCTCAAGTGATCCTCCCACCTCAGCCTCCCGAGTAGCTGGGAGATGCGTGCCACTGCACCCAACTAATTTTTTTTGTAGAGACAGGGTTTCACTATGTTGTCCAGGTTGTATTTTTTTGTAGAGACGGGGTTTCACTATGTTGTCCAGGTTGATCTCAAACTCCTGAGCTCAAGCAATCTCCCCACCTCAGCCTCCTAAGGTGCTGGGATTACAGGTGTGAGCCACCAACAGGTGCTAACCTTCTCCGGCATGCAGTTTTCTTGTTTTTAAAATAGAGTTGGGGCAGGGCCCCCCGAGAGGCTGCTTCCAGCTCTGACTTTCTCTTTACCATGAAGCTGAGGTTGTGTCCTATTATGCCCTCTTTCCACACTCCCCCTCCCCACTCTGCAGCACACTGGTCCAACCAGCTGGCTTCTCTCTATTCCTCAAATTTTCCAGCTCATTCCTGACGTAGGGCCTTTGTCCTGTGGTCGTCTCCACTGGCAAGCTCTTCCCACAGCCTCAGATAGCTGGCTCCTTCTTACCGTGCATAGCTCAGCTTAAAGTTCACCTCTGCAGGGAGGCCTCCCTGACTGTGCAGAGTAACAACAAGGTGGGAGCGAAGGGCAGAGCTGGATCAGAAAGGGCCTGTGGACTAGAGTGAGGAGTTAGGGGTTCAGCCTCAGGAGGGTTTGAAATGCTCAAGGAGGAGGCTAGGAGATGAGGAGTGGGGCTGGGCTGCCTCTGCACATGATCAAAGCCAACACTCAGTCTAATCCAAATCTTGCTAGAGCATAGAACATAAGGTAGAATGAGTCTTTAAGCAACTGGGAGTCATCTCGAGGTAAACAGAATTCCAAGAGTAACGAAGGCCCAGAGTGAATTTATTTTGAGAGAGTTTCCTGTTGGAGTAGCAGACACTCTGCAGTAGTGTTTTTCTCTCTCCTGGGTGGGACTGCCCTGCCTATATGCACTTAAGGCATAGAGTTTCCTGTTCTTGCCGCTTCTCAGAGCCTTGCATTGAAACTCAAATGTATTCTCAGAAATTTCTCTCCACACAATGACATATCGCCTCTGTGCTTTTACTCTCTTTGTCTTTCTCTTTCTCTCAACCATTGTTTTCCACCCATCCTCTTTTTCCTAAACTTCTTAAGATTGTTGGCCATTTCCCTTTCTCCCTCCCCTCTCTAAGTTTCTGTGTGAGATCTGCCATCCTTTAACCATTCCTCTTCCCCGGGGTAGCCGGTTGTAGCTGATCCTGCCCACCCTTTCCGGTGGTCTCTCAGCCTGGCCACACCTTCCACGGCTGGGCCCCCCTCACCTGCTCACAGCTGGATTCCCCCAGGCTGAACCCCCAGACCAGCTTGCAGGGCTTCCTCTCTCTTCATTCTTCCCACAAGCCTAGCCAAGAGCTTAACACTCACCAGATGCAAATGGTTAAGTGCAACTCGCTTGGGAAGAGGGGGTGTTGTTGGTTCATAACGAACTGCAGAGGGCGAGGGGCAGGGAAAGCTCCAGCCATGACTCAAACCCCATCGGGCATCTCTCCCCTCCTGTTTCTGTTTCTCTCGGGTGGGCTTTCTCTGGAAGGCTAGAACCATGGACACTGCAGAGTGAGGGTTCATTCCTTCCCAGCTTGGCCATCTGAGAGTAGAGGAGCCTCTTCCTCCAGTTCCAACTAGAAAAATCCCAGGGGTCGGCCAAGCTTGGATCACAGGCTCACTTGCACAGCCAGAGGGATGGCCACCATAGTAGAAGACCCTGACCAGAACCACATAGGGGTATTTCTCCTAAAGACAAAGACATCTATGCTCTAGAAAGGGGAAAAGAGTCCCAGGCAGACAAAACAACAGGTGTCCACACTGCCCCATGTTCAGCCTGGGAACCCAAAAGTCTCAATCAATTTCGAAAGCTTATTTTGCCAAGGTTAAGGAAGCACCCATGACAGCCTCAGGAGGTCCTGACGACACATGCCCCAGGTGGTCGGGGCACAGCTTGCTTTTATACATTTTAGGGATACGTGAGACATCAATCAATATGTGTAAAATGTACATTGGTTCTGTCCGGAGAGGTGGGACAACTCGAAGCGGGGAGCCTTCCAGGTCATAGGTAGGTAATAGACAAACAGTTGCATTTTTTGGGGTCTTTGATCAGCCTTTCACCAAATACACAATTTACATATGAGAGGGGATAGAGGAATAGTCCCTTATGCCTTAATGTGGCTCAGTGAATCTGCATTTTTACGTAAACAATAGGGCAGAGGAAGCAATTGGATATGAGTTTGTCTTGGGTGAGCAAAAGAATGACTTTGAGTTCTGTCCTTTGTCCCATACCTGTGAAGATAAGCTATCAATTTACATTGCCAGGGTGAAATTCCACAGAACTGTTTTAGGGTAAAGATCTTGAGGCCCACAAGGAATTTCTTTGTGGACAAATTGTGAGGGGGGTATGGAGCTTTTTAAAAAAATCTTTGTAGCTATCTTACTTAGGAATTAAATGAGAGGCAGTTTGACTGACACACTTCCTGGCTTGACTTTTCCCTTTGGCTTAGTGATTTGGGGGTCCCGAGACTTAACTTTCCTTTCACAAGCCCACATGGCCTGGTCTTGGTGTGTGTGAAGACAGGCTTCTCGGCAGGCAGGTGAGCCCTTGGGAACACGAGCTGCTTCACTTCCCCACCCAGTTGCTGTCTTCAAGAGCAAGTGCTGGCTCCAACAGCCCCTCCTGCAAGGCATTCACTTCTAAGGCACCAGAACCCTTGGAGCTGCCAAGTCTGACTTTTGTCAGCAACAAACCCATCCGGGCGAAAGTCATTTTTTATTTTAAACTGTCAAATCTGGGGGCCGATTGTCTCAGAAATGCATCATTTGAATACAAAAGATGGGCTCACACTTCTCTCCAGGATGCTGCTTCTTGAAGAATCATAGTTATTTTTTAGAGCTAAGACCCTTAGAGGTCTTCTATTCCAACCCCCTCATTCTTACAAACAAGGCAATGGGCATAGAGAGGTTGAGCATTTTGCCCAGTTATACCAGATAGTAAGAAGCAAGGGCAATAAGGGAATCCAAAAGTACTAACTACTTAACTAATCCTAACTACTACGTAGTTAGTAAGTAGTTGGGCAATAAGGGAATCAACACTAGGGGTTTCCATCTGATATTTGCAAACCAGTTCAGAGAAAAACGTGGTAACAAACAATTCTCCTGGTAAAGTGTGCCTCACTTTTTTTTTACTATTTTTTTTTATTTTCGTAGAGACAATGTCTCACTATGTTGCCCAGGCTGGTCTCAAACTCCTGGGCTTAAGCAATCCTCCCACCTTGGCCTCCCAAAGTGTTGGGATTACAGACGTGAGCCACCACGACCAGCCTCACTTTTTTTTTAAGGCTTCAGATTTAAGCCATAGATACTTTTAAACTATATTAATATTAAATCTTAACTTTTCTCTCTTGTGAATTCATCTATAAAATGCTTCATCCTTGTATGTGATTGATCTTCAGTGGTCATGAATCCCAGCTTTACATTTCTCTGGCCATCACCACTACCTAGGGCATTTCGGGACCTGTAAATAAACACTTCAGGGCACCATGGGAATGACGGCTAAAGGAGTTCTTTGTAAAAGGTTCCCTTCAGCCACTGGTCACTCTACCTGGTTAATCTAGTTTGGAGTTTCACGCTTGTCTTCCTCAAAGAGGAATACACCCTTATATTTATAATCGTTCAGTATAATTTTTCTTCTTTAGTTGGTTCTTAATTTTGTTTTCATATTCCAAACCCAAAGTCACCAGCCCTAACTTGCAAGAGAAAGAAGTTACTGTGGATGAACAAGCAAAGCACGTGGGGCCCAAGATGCTATTGTTGGACACAAAAGCCCTTCTATGGCTTTGGGAGAGCCAATCCCCCATCACACAGCGCAGGAAGAAGGGCACTCACTGTGCTCACGCTCTGTGCAGCCCTCCTGAATTTGTAAACAACCCAAACGTTACACAAACAAGTTGTTGTTTTTCTTAGCTTGCTGGTGTTTTTAACTCAATAAAATGTCAATTAACTTCGTGAGCTTTCCTTTAACTCTATATAATCTTTGCGTTTGAATGGCTGCCAATCAAACGCAAAGATAGATGTTTTCTTTGAATATGGGCCAATTTCCGTGTATGCACCTTGTTGTCAGGATCAGCTAGATTATGGTGTAGTAACAATGTCGATATCTCAATGGCTTGACAAAAGTTTGGTTTCCGCTCATGCTACGTGTTCCGTGAGATCAGTGGGGAGCTCGGAGTTTCCACAGTTACCAGCAAACGGAGAGAATTCTGGAGGGCCTCGAACAGGCAAGCAAATGATCTAGCCCGGAAGTGATGTTTGTCACTTTCCTTCACATCTCATTGGTCTGAACTGGTCACATGACCCCAGGCAACCCCAGAGGGCCAGGAAATTCGGGCTCCTTGTGCTTGCCAGGAAAGGAGAGTGGCCCTGTTGAAACCGCCTGTGACTGAGACAGTGAAAGAAATTTGACCTAACCAACTCCATCTTGCTTCTAGCCTCCAAGTTGTCCTTGTTCATTCCTGGGCACAGGCTGAACTAACTTTGGGAGGAGATTATTATAGTTTATAGTTTAAAACAAAGACAATAACAGCACTTTCCCAGAAGAAATTTCCTTCTTGCCTGAGGACTAGACTGCCTTTGTAGGACTGACAAATTAGCCACAAGATTAGAAATTATGCTTTAGGAGTCATGCAGCTGAAAGCTACAAGATTCTGACCCTCCTTAAACTGCTCCTAAGATCAGTGTTTGAGACATTTTGCAGACCCTGCACTTGATGGATCAGCTGGCACCACACAGATCAATTAAATGGCTCATCTGATCTTGTGGCCCCCGCCCAGGAACTGACTCAGCACAAGAGGACAGCTTCAATTCCCTATTACTTCATCTCCTACCTAACCAATCAGCACTCCTGGCTCACTGGCTTCCGCCCCACCAAGTTGTCCTTAAAAACTCTAATCCCCAAAACCTCAGGAAGACTGAGTTGAGTAATAATAAAACTCTGGTCTCCCCCACAGCTGGCTCTGGGTGAATTACTCTCTCTCTATTGCAATTCCCCTGTCTTGAGAAATCAGCTCTGTTTAGTCAGCGGGCAAGGTGAACCCACTGGACGGTTACACTGTTGCTCAGCACAGAACTCAGTGTACCCACAACGCTGCACGCCAGAATCCCACCTTCATACCAGGTCCAGGTAACAGCATCTTTGAGGAGAGCCCAGAGCCGAAGCAATTAGTCAAAGGTTTAAGTACCAATTATGAGAGAGGCCCTGGACAGGACTGAGGAGTAAGGAATAGGTATTTAGACCAAAGTGATAGAGGTGCTATAGCATCTAATGGGTAGAGGCCAGGGGAACTGCTACACATCCTACAACACACAGGACACCCCCACAATAAGACTTACGTGTGGCTGGGCACAGAGACTCATGTGCGCAATCCCAGTGGTTTGGGAGGCCAAGGTGGCAGAATCACTTGAGGTCAGGCGTCTGAGACCAGCCTGGGCAACATAGCAAGAACCTTCTCTACAAAAGTAAAACTAAAAGTTTGGGCGCTGTGATTCACGCCTGTAATCCCAGCACTTTGGTAGGCCAAGGCAGGAGAATCACTTGAACTCAGAAGGCCGAGACCAGCTTGGGCAACATGGCAAAATCCTGTCTCTAAAAAAAATACAAAAAATTAGCGGGCATCGTAACACAAGCCTGTAGGCCCGGCTACTTGTGGGGCTGAGGCGGGAGGATCGCTTGAGCCTGGGAGGCCAGGCTGCAGTGAGTTGATATCGTACCACTGCACTCCAGCCTGGGTGACAAAGTGAGACCGTGTCTCAAAAAAATATAAAAAATAAAAAAATTAGCTAGGCATGGTGGTGCCCACCTGTAGTTCCAGCTACTCAAGAGGCTGAAACAGGAGGATCACTTTAGCCCAGGAGTTCAAGGCTGCAGTGAGCTATGATCACGCCACTGCGCTCCAGCCTGACCTACAGAGCAAGACTTTGTCTCTAAAAAATTTTTTTTAATTTAAAAAACAAAGATGCATGTGGTCTAAAATTGTGCCATGGTCCAGAAATTCTAGATCAGAGTAATGCAAAGTTCACATTTTGGGGGTCGGGGAAGCAAAACAAAAACAAAAATAAATCCCCAAAACACAACAAGCAAAAACATCTGCCTGGAGTTCCACCCCTGAGTGCTGGATTAGCGACCAGGCCACAGCTGCCCTTGTAAGAGGCACGCAGGAGGCCCATGAGGTGAGCTGCTGCAGGGCCTTGGGCACGGCCAGGGACCGGGTACAGGTTACACTGGCCTTTACTCTCCAAATGTCAGGAGCACTACCTCCCATCAGTGACAACTAAAAATGTCTCCAGACATTAACAAATGTCCCAGGGGCAAAATCTCCCCAGGTGAGAACTCTCCTCTAATAGAACTTCCAAGTTGGCCCCGCAGGCACTATTTTGGTGCAGAGGAACCCGTCAAGCTTGACTTTAAATCTGGCTCTGCCACTAAATCACCCAGGGCCTTTCCTCTTTGGGCCCCCGTTTCCCTGTCTGTAAAATGAGAGGATTGAACAGGGCAGTCCCTAGAGTCTGTTCAGAAGTTCTCAGACTGGGGCTTGGGTTCTTGCACTTTTCATTTTGTCACTGTTGATGTCATCACACACACACCCACGCACAGAGTGGAGTGAGGATTTCGGCTGCACAGCAGGATGGCCCAGATGATAGGAGGAGGCAGGGGGCGATCACTGGCTGGGAGGATGGCTGGGAAAAGAGGAGGAAGGGGAAAGGCACGCGAGGTCACAAATGCACCAAAAGGCATTTCCTGGCCTAGCCCTGTGCCTCCCTTCTAAAGAGCCATCACAGGACCTAAGGAATAAGAGACAGAGAGGGACTGGTAAAGGATTTTGGGAGGAGAAGTTAAGAGGATAAACAGCAAGCAGTATATACCCAGAAAAGTGCAATGTGCCCAAGAATAGGAGGGAAGTTTGTGGGGGGTGTGTGTGTGTGTGTTTGTGTGTGTGTGTGCTGTATCCTTGCTGTTGGCAAGAAGAATTGAACAGCTTCAATTCAGTTTGAATCAGCCTGTAGCTTAGGAAAAAGTCATTATCGAGGGATTATTGAGTTTGCTGATCTCTTACCGGCCTCTTGCCTCTTGTTCAGTTGTAATCAAAAGACAGGGGTGGGAGGGGGGAAAGGAAGAGATGCCCCCTGCTCCTTAACATTCACGTTTCCTTCTGGTCCATCTCAGAATGCAATAAAGTTTGACAGTAACCTTGAAAGGGAGTGAGTGTTATTTAATAAAAGGCTGTTCAGTCTAAACAATGATTCAGGACTTTTTGAAAGCCAGAAGAGACAGCCTGAATGCCCTTTTCCATGCTAGGTCCTCTAAAAAGGGTTTATGTATATCTTTTATTTGTCTTAGGTCTGTACCTGTTTCCCACCCCCGACCCCCACCTCCCCCCAACCCCCACTAACTGAACACTTTTCTGGGTTGCTAATAAACTGAGCTCCCAGGCTATGCTATGCTCCACAATAGCACCTGTTTCTCAGAAGTATTTCACCCGGCTGTTCTTTCATCCATCCAGTCTGTCAGCCATTCATCAGCTATTTTCAAAGAACCTACTGTGCATCCAGGGCTGTTGATATGGTTTGGCTTTGTGTCCCCACCCAAATCTCATCTCAAATTGTAATCCTTGTGTGTCGAGGGCAGGACCTGGTGGGAGGTGATTGGATCATGGGGATGGTTTCCCCCATGCTGTTCTCATGATAGTGAGGGCATTCTCACAATAGCTGATGGTTTTTAAAGTGTTTGGCAGTTCCACGGCCAGGCATGGTAGCTCACGTCTGTAATCCCAACACTTTGGGAGGCTGAGGCAGGTGGATCACCTGAGGTCAAGAGTTCGAGACCAGCCTGGCCAACACAGTGAAACTCCATCTCTACTAAAAACACAAAAATTAGCCAGGGGTGGTGACGCATGCCTGTAATCCCAGCTACTCAGGAGGCTGAGGCAGGAGAATCACTTGAATCTGGGAGGTGGAGGTTGCAGTGGGCTGAGATCACGCCACTGCATTCCAGCCTCAGTGACAAAGCAAGACTCTGTCTCAAAAAAAAAAAAAGTGTTTGACAGTTCTCCCTTTGCTGTCTCCTGCCACCATGGAAGACGTGCCTTGCTTCCCCTTTGCCTTTCACCATGATTTGAGTGTCCTAAGGCCTCTCCAGTCATGCAAACCTGTGAGTCAATTAAACCTCTTTTGTTTATAAATTACCCAGTCCCAGGTAGTATCTTTATAGCAGTGTGAGAATGGACTAATACAACTGTGTTATGGGTGGAGGGTACAATGGTGAGTAAAATACAGGCCAGGCATTCTGAGTCATCACACGAGAGTGGGCATAGGTATGTTCACAGGCGATCACACCCCAGCGTGGTGAGTGTGGTGAGTGGGACACCCACAGCAACTCCTGACCCTAAAAAGGGAGGGGAGGCCTCCATAGAAGGAGCCCCTGAGCTGAGCCTTGAAGGACACAGGGACTACTCAGGCAGAGATAAGAGAATGATCAGGGCTGTGAAAGACATGAAAGAGACTGGTGATTCATTGAACTGTGGAGAGCAAGATGTGTTAGCATAGTAGCCAGCAAAGTGGGGATGGTGAGGACTGAGACCAAGCTGGCCAACCGAGGCCACATCTGCCCTGTCAAGGGGCTCTGCTCTAGGGCTCTGTCCCTCGTTACCAAGCTATGGTCCATTTTAAGGATTTGCAGTGGCCATGTCCCACGAAGTTACCATGAACACTGAATGAATGAAAGCTGAACCGGGGCTCCTAGGGGAAATACAGCATTAGATTCCTGCCGGCCTCTGATAACATCATCATCAATTGATCAATACATAACCTTTTTATGTGCATTTCTGTTTTAAAATATTATTTAATATATGCTGTTCATTCATTAACATCAAACTCACAGCCAACAGCACCATAATTCATACCTGAATAAAGCTTATCTAATGCACATATTTTCTCTATAAGGCACATCACAGACTTCTTTTTTACTTTTTTCTTTCCTTTAGAAACAGGGTCTCACTTTGTTGCCCAGGCTGAAGTGCAGTGTAGCAATTATAGCTCATTGCAGCCTCAACCTCCTGGGCTCAATAGATCCTCCCATCTCAGCCTCCTGAGTAGCTGGGACTATAAGTGTAAGCCACTACACTCAGTTAATTAAAAAAATTTTTTTTGTAGAGACAGGGTCTCACTATGTTGTCCAGGCTAGCCTCTAACTCCTGGCCTCAAGTGATTCTCCTGTCTCGGCCTCCCAAAGCACTGGGATTACAGGTGTAAGCCACTAAGCCTGCCCCAATCGCAGCCTTCTTGAGCATAGAAACACTAGACAGCACTTCAGCACTGCATTGGAGGGCCATTTTAAACAGTGAAATTGGCCGGGCATGGTGGCTCACAGCTGTAATCCAGCACTTTGTGAGGCCGAGGTGGGCAGATCACCTGAGGCCAGGAGTTCGAGACCAACGTGGCCAACATGGTGAAACCCCATCTCTACTAAAAATACAAAAAAAAATAGCCAGGCATGGTGCCAGGCACCTGTAATCCCAGCTACTCAGGAGGCTGACGCAGAAGGATTGCTTGAACCCAGGAGGCGGAGGTTGCAGTGAGCCAAGATCGTGCCATTGCACTCCAGCCTGGGCAACAGAGTGAGATTCCATCAAAAAAAACAAAAACATAACAAAACAACAAAAAAAAAAAACAATGAAATCACCAATAAAAAGTACAAAAGTGAAATGCAAAAAATATGTGGCACTAAATAGACCATGAAAAGGACACTCATTACAGTATGAGAGCTGAACAAGAAGGCAGGGTGTTGCTTTGTTTGAGCTCAGCTGGGAACATGTCTCAGAGTAAGCAAAGTCTTTGCCACCCTGCACATGTCCATGAATAGCCACAAAAGTGCCCTGAGCCTTGATTTGGGGGTTACAAACCCATTTTTAGCAAGTAGAAAGATTAGCAAATATTAGAATTATGAATAATGAGGATCCAAACCATAAATATGAACCCCTAAATTCTCTGTACAGCCAATGACTACTATGTGCATGAGAATATTTTACTAGAATATTTTTACTCTCTCTACAGAGATTTCTCCTCTAATATAGAAGAAAGACATGAGTGAATTTAGGGATATCTATGGGTTGAAGGCTAAAGATATGGGAACTCATATACAGCCACACTACACTACAGCAGTGTCCAAACAGACACTGTGTCAGCCTAGAGACAGCCTGTCAGAGGGTGACTTACAGCTCATTTCCTGATGCGAGGCAAGCCAGACAAGAGCGAAACCTCAGAGCCCCCAGGGTTTCTCTGCTGTGTCAGCTGTCAGCACTGACACTCTCTGCGTTCATTCCTATGTGGAGGAGCGTCAGGAAGTCAGTGTGTCTTGGACCCACCAGTTGCAGACAGAAACGCAGCAGCCCACCCAGCAATGTGTTGAGAGAACAGTCTGGGCAGCCTGATGCTTCAGAATTTTCCAGAACAGAGTGATAAGTAAACTCCTGGAGCTGCTCAGGCCCAGGGATTCTTGTAGGGCAATTGTGTATTTGAAATGCCAGACATTGCGCTGACAGGTTTTATTTACTATTTTAAAGTACATATTAGAAATCATAAGTGTCAACGTATTTTTTTAAAAAAAGAAAAAAGTAGTATTTGAAAGCACAGTTTCCTGTATGGGGAAAAAAGGTATAGAACACAATTCCTTCAGAGTATAATCTCCAAGCTGATCTGCTGAACTCAGCAGGGACTTTCCTTTGTCATTGAAGTGTATAATTTATTGCTTAGAATTTCATTTTTAAAGGACGTATGCTACACACAATAGTTGAAAGTGATCATCTGAAGCTTCGCAGAGGGTATCTAACCCCCAATTTTTGTGGATTTCCCCAGTTATGTTTTAATTTTTTTTTTTTTTTGAGACAGATTCTCACTCTGTTGCTCAGGCTGGAGTGCAGTGGCATGATCCTGGCTCACTGCAGCCTCGACCTCCTGGACTCAGGTGATCCTCCCACTTCAGCCTCCTGAGTAGCTGGGACCACCATGCCCCCAAGTCCAGATAAGTCTTGTATTTTTTGCAGAGACAGGGTTTTGCCATGTTGCACAGGCTGGTCTCGAACTTCTGAGCTCAAGCTGTCTGCCATCTCAGGCTCCCAAAGTGCTGGGATTACAGGCGTGAGCCACCATGCCAATCTATTTTTTCATTTTTAATTTAAAACATAGACTACTTTTTAGAGCAATTTTAAGTTCTCAGCAAAATTGAGCAGAAAGTACAGAAAATCCCCGTATACCCTCTGCTCTATACAGCCTCCCGCACTATCGACATCCCCCACCAGAGTGGTACATTTCTTACAATCCATGAACCTACCTTGACATGTCATTATAACCCAAAGTCCATAGTTTATATTAGGGCTCACTCTTGCTGTTGTATACTCTATAGGTTTTGACAAATATACAATCACATGTATCCACGATTATACTAGCATACAGAACAGTCTCATTGCCCTAAAAATCCCCCGTGCTCTGCCTATCCATCCCTCCCTCCCTGCTAACCCCTGGCAGCCACTGATCTTTTTGCTGCCTCCATAGTTTTGCCTTTTCCAGAATTTCATATCGTTGAATCCTACAGTATGTAGCCTTTTCAGAGTAGTTATCCCCAAATTCTTGAAATCAATATAAATATTTATTTATTTTCTTATTTTTTGAGACAGAGTCTTGCTGTCATCCAGGCTGGAGTGCAGGCACTATCTCGGCTCACTCCAACCTCCGCCTCCCGGATTCAAGCGATTCTCCTGCCTCAGCCTCCCAAGTAGCTGGGATTACAGGCATGTACCACCACGCTTCGCTAATTTTTGTATTTTTAGAAGAGACAGGGTTTCACCATGTTCTCAGGCTGGTCTCGAACTCCTGACCTCAGGTGATCCACCCGCCTCGGCCTCCCAAAGTGCTAGGATTACAGGTGTGAGCCACCATGCCTAGCTAGACCAATATAAATTAATAGGCCGGGTGCGGTGGCTCAGCTTGTAATCCCAGGACTTTGGGAGGCCAAGGCGGGCGGCTCATGAGGTCAGGAGATTGAGACCATCCTGGCTAACATGGTGACACCCTGTCTCTACTAAAAAATACAAAACATTAGCTGGGCGTGGTGGCAGGCACCTGTAGTCCCAGCTACTTGGGAGGCTGAGGCAGGAGAATGGCGTGAACCCGGGAGGCGGAGCTTGCAGTGAGCTGAGATCGCGCCACTGCACTCCAGCCTGGACGACAGAGCAAGACTCCGTCTCAAAAAACCAACCAACAAACTATATATATATATAACTCACCTGCAAATCACTACATTGTAAGCAACTTAAGATCTTAGTCTTCATTGTATTCACGGTGTACAGGGACACTCAAACACCTGTTGAATGGATGGAAAGATGAATAGCCTGCCTCTCCGATTTCAAAAGAAAAACCAGAACACTAATCTAGTAACAGTGAGTGGTTGTACTTAGTATTACTTAGAAAAAGAGATGCTAATTCTTTTTATTCCGAATAAAGAACAGCTTGTAAAAAATGAAGCCCAAGCCAGGAACAGTGGCTTACGCCTGTAGTCCCAGCTACTTGGGAGTCTGAGGCAGGAGGATGGCTTGAACCCAGGAGTTCAAGACCAGCCTGGGCAACACAGTGAGAACCTGTCTCCACACACACACACAAATTATCTAGACATGGTGGTGCGCGCTTGTAGTCCCAGCTACTCGGATGGCTGAGTCGGGAGGATCGCTTGAACCCAGAACATCGAGGCTACAGTGAGGTCTGATCACAGTATTACACTTCAGCCTGGGTGACAGAGTGAGACCCTGTATCTAAATAAAATAAGTATCAATGCCAAACTATAGGTCATGAGATTTGACTCAGATCTTAATATTTTGGTAACTTTTAAATTTCCGATTATATCTTCCATAAAGTAGGATTTCACAACTGATAGCATGGTTTCTGTGAAAGGGATTTCTGCTCACCCTTTTCAAGTTTTGTATTTGGGGCACTCTTCAAATGATCTGTCATTCCGCTATGCCAGGATATCCAGAGTGTCTGCACAAAGCCAAATATGATGAGAAGATGAGCTCATGGATCGGTGATGCCTTGTCCCTATTTCTGGACCCCAGGATCATCCTTGCTTTTTTGACGATAGAGTCATGCTGCTGAGTCATAGGTAACTCAAACCCTCATCTGCAGTTACCTTCTTCTTGCTAGAACCCGGGAAACCTGGACAAGGGGCAGTTGTCACTGGCAGGATAATGGAGAGAAGGGCAGGTGGGAAGGAGGCATCCAGGAAATAGACACACAGAAAGGAACATGTGAGTCTAAACAATAATCAGTGAGAGGTAAGTCCAGGGAAATGAAAGCATGGATCTGCCTCACGTTATATAATTAAGATGTTGAAAATGTCCGCATAAACCAACTCACATTTCATTTGCAACAGGAGAACTGACACTTAGGGGAACCTGGTAATGGTTCATTTTGTAGAGTGAAGTATTTGTCTGTAATGTTAATACTCTCTTTCTAATTTAGCTGTATTTTATATTGATATTTCCCAATATTGGCTTTGAGAGAGGGCTGTCGTGTCTCATCAAAGCACCCTGTTTAGCAGACAATTAGGCAGAACAAATGCATGTTAGTCTGTCTAAATATGCCCTGAATTTGGTGTCTGAATTTACAATAGAAAATAAAGGAATGTTAGTCTTGAAGGCTGTCATCTGTTTCAGTAGAAAATGCCTTTTTATGAAAGTGTTTTCATGAAACTATTTCAAAGAGTAAGCTGCTCATGATAACTGGGAAGAATTACCAAGTATGATGGCCTCTTAGCATTATTGTGGCTGTTCCCCAATGTCCCCTTCTCCTCCTATAGCTGGTATTTAGCTGGACACAAGTCCCTGTAATAAAAATATATTTTCCAGCCTCGATGGCAACTTTGTGTGGTAATGTCTAAATTCTGGCCAATAGGATGTTAGCAAGGATGTCATATGTGACTTCCAGGAAATGTCCTTAAAGTAAAGTTGTTCTCTTCCTTCTTTCTGGGGGCTAGAATGCAGATGTGATGACTGGAGCTCAGGCAGCTGTTTTGGACTATGAGGCAGCATGCTAAGGATGGTAGAGAAACCATACAGCTGGATAAGAGCTCCCTGATGGTCTTGGAGCTTCTAAAACAGCCTTTGACTCCTACTTCTGGACTTCTATGTAAGAGAGAAATAAGAGAAATTGCTGTCCCTTAGCAATCATGGTTGGGCAAGGGAGTAGCAACCGGTGCCCAGGTAACAAACGTGTTCCTCCCTGCTGCACTGTATAATTGCAGCCCTACTTCCTGCTAATGACTAAAGTTAATTATCCCTTCCAAGATGGTAACTTTTCTTTTTGCCTGCTGATGTCTGGACATAAGGAAGCAGAAGGGCTCAGGCAGCAGCCACAGCTGATAGTTCAATAAAACTGTGCTGTGTCCCCTGGTGGAAGTTTTCCCTTTGGGAGACCAGGACCTCTAACCCTGAAGAGCTTAGAGTTGTAATGATGTGGCGGTAAATGCGGCCACTTCAGTTTTCACCCTTGGTTCCCAAACCCATGTATTTTTTCCTGTCGGGGTTTGTTTTCTATCGCTGCTGGAACCAATTAAAGACTGGGATACGTTCTAAGAAATGCTTCATTAGGTGATTTCTTCATGTGAGCGTCATAGAGTGCACTTACACAGCCTAGATGGCACTAGGTACTACTAAATGCCTGGGCTATATGGTATAGCCTTTTGCTCCTAGGCTACAAACCTGTACAGCATGTTACTGTACTGAGTACTGCAGCAACGGTAACACAATAGTAAGTATTTGTGTATCTAAATGTGTCTAAACATAGTAAATGTATAGTAAAAGCAGTATAAAATAGTATAAACGCAGCGGCTCATGCCAGTAATCCCAGCACTTTGGGAGGCCCAGCCAGGAAGATCACTTGAGCCCAGGAGTTCGAGATCAGCCTAGGCAACACAGCGAGACCTTGTCTCTACAAAAAATCAAAAATTAGCCAGGTATGGTGGCATGCACCTGCAATCCCAGCTACCCAGGAGGCTGAGGTAGGAGGATTGCTTGAGCCCAGGAGTTCAAGGTTGCAGTGAGCCATGATTGCACCACTGCACTCTACCCTGGCAGACAGAGTGAGACTCTATCTCAAAAAATAAAATAAAATAAAATAAAATAAAATAAAAAGTTGAAAAACAGTACCTCTGTTTAGGACACTTACCATGAATGGAACTTGTAGGACTGGAAGTTGCTCTGGGTGAGTCAGTGAGTGAGTGGTGAGTGAATGTAAAGGCCTAGGACATCACTGTACACTACTGTTGACTTTTTTTTTTTTTTGAGATGGAATTTCACTCTTCTTGCCCAGGCTGGAGTGCAATGGCAGGATCTTGGCTCACCGCAACCTCCGCCTCCCGGGTTCAAGAGATTCTCCTACCTCAGCTTCCCAAGTAGCTGGGATTACAGGCATGCACCACCACACCCAGATAATTTTTTGTATTTTTAGTAGAGATTGGGTTTCTCCATGGTGGTCAGGCTGGTCTTGAACTCCTGACCTCAGGTGACCCACCCGCCTCAGCCTCCCAAAGTGCTGGGATTACAGGTGTGAGCCACAGCTCCCAGCCTGCTATCAACTTTATAAACACTGTACATTTAGTCCACATTAAAGTTATTAAAATTATTTTTCTTCAACAATAAATTAAACTTAGCACACTGTAACTTGTTTTGCTTTATAAACTCTTAAATTTTTAAAACTTTTTGACTTTTGTAGTAACGTTTAGCTTAAAACACAAATACGTTTTCAGCTGTACAAAAATTCTTTCTTTATGTCCTTATCCTATAAGCTTTTTTCTATTTTGTTTTTTTTTACTTGTTACACTTTTCTTGGTAAAAACTAAGACATCAACACACATATTAGCCTAGTCCTACAAAGGGTCAAGGTCATCAGTATCACCACCATCTTCTACCTCCCCATCTTGTCCCACTGGAAGGTCTTCAGGGGCAGTAACATGCATGAAGCCGTCATCTCCTATTATAACAATGCCTTCTTCTGGAATCCCTCACGAAGGCCCTGCCTGAGGCTGTTTCACAGTTAACTTTTTTTTTTAATAAGTAGAAGAAGTACACTCTAGAATAATAATAAAAAATATAGTATAGTAAGTACCCAAACCAGTAACACAGTCGTTTATTATCATTATCCAATTTTTTTTTTCAAATGGAGTCTCACTCTGTTGCCCAGGTTGGAGTGCAATGGCGCGATCTCCACTCACTGCAACCTCCACCTCCCACGTTCAAGTGATTCTCCTGCCTCAGCCTCCTGAGTAGCTGCAATTGCAGGTGCCCGCTATCACGCCCGGCTAATTTTTGTATTTTTAGTAGAAACAGGGTTTCACCATGTTGGCCAGGGTGGTCTCAAACTCCTGACCTCAGGTGATCCACCCACCTTGGCCTCCCAGAGTGCTGGGATTACAGGTATGAGCCATTGCACCCAGCCATCATTATCCAATATTATGTACTGTACATAATTGTATGTGCTAGACTTTTATACAACAGCCAGCAAGTAGGTTTGCATACCGGCATCATCACAAACACAGGAGTAATGTATTGTGCTACAACATCATCACCGCTATGAAGTCACTAGGCAGTAGGGATTTTTCAGCTCCAGTGTAATCTTATGGGACTGCCGTCATAAATGCAGTCCATTGTGGTTGTCTGGTGTATGGCTGTGCTACAAACTCAGTGGCTTAAAACAATGCAAATATATCATCTTAGAGTTCTGTAGGTCAGAAGTCCAACAAAGACCTCACTAGGCTAAAATCAAGGTGTCGACAGGGAGGCTCTAGCAGAGGATCCTGCATCCTTTGTAAAGAATTTTTACCCTTGTAAAGAATTGATGGTTCGGCTGTGCCTTCCAAGCTGTGCTTGACCAATTCTCTCAGGGTAGCCGCTTCTAGATGGAGAAGCCTATGATATAACCAGTGGATCCCGTGGCTGTGGGTTCACTCCCACCCCTCCCCTGCTTCACCTCTTCCAGTTTCTAGAGTAGGTGGACTCCTTAGCACTTGGCCTCTTCCTCATCTTCAAAGCCAGCAACATCATGGCCGGGTGCTGTGGCTCACGCCTGTAATCCCAGCACTTTGGGAGACTGAGGCTGGTGGCTCACTTGAGGCCAGGAGTTTCAGACCAGCCTGGCCAACATGGCAAAACCCTGTCTCTACTAAAAGTACAAAAAAATAAATAAAATAAAATTAGCTGGGCGTGGTGGCACACGCCTGTGATCTCAGCTACTCGGGAGGCTGAGGCAGGAGAATCGCTTGAACCCAGGAGATGGAGGTTGCAGTGAGCTGAGATGTCGCTACTGCACTCCAGCCTGGGTGACAGAGGGAGACCCTGTCTCAAAAAAAAAAAAAAAAAAAAGCCAGCAACGTTACATCTCTCTGATCCTTCTTCCGTGTCACATCTCTCACTCTTACTGCAGCCAGGAAATTATTTCCACTTTTAAGGACTCTTGTGACTATACTGGGCTCACCTGGATAATCGGGGATCCACCCGTCATCTCAAGGTCCCTACTTTTCATCACATTTGCAAAGTTCCTTTTGCTATGTACACTAACACATTCACAGGTCCCACATGGTGAAACCCCGTTTCTACTAAAAACACAAAAATTAGTCAGGTGTGGTGGTGTGCACCTGCAGTCCCAGCTACTCGGGAGGCTGAGGCAGGAGAATTCCTTGAGCCCAGGAGGCGGAGGCTGCAGTGAGCCGAGATTGCGCCACTGCACTCCAGCCTGGGCAACAGAGCGAGACCCCATCTCAAAACAAACAAACAAACACACAAACACAAACAAACAAACAAAAACCACATTCACAGGTCCCAGGGACTTGGGCATGAACTTCTTTAGGGCCATTTTTCTACCACAAGGCTGTAAAAAGGTCTTTGATTCAAGGTCTGTCCTGCATCCTGGAGTACGTCTCCTACCCTTGTAAAGAATTGATGGTTCAGGTGTGCCTTCCAAACTCAGGGCAGCTGCTTCTAGATGGAGAAGCCTATGAATTAACTAGAGGATCCCGTGGCTGTGGGTTCAGTCCCACCCCTCCCCTGCTGTAAAGCATTTCCCTTGGTCTCATGTGACGCTATGTGGGACCCTGTACTGGAGAATCAAACACACTGTAAGCCCTCAGATAAGGATACTGGCTTAGGCACCGAAGGCAGGAAAGGCAAATCCGTACTCAGATCATGGGTCTACTCCTGTCAGAACAAATTACTGGGCCTTATGTGTGAAGGGACCCCAACAAAGTCAACCTGCCGGTTCGTCTTTTTGAGAAATGGTCCATTCTGAAGACTTAGCACTGGTCTCTGTTGCGGGAGGTTGGACATTTGGTGGCAGCGGTAGCCTTGGTACATGGGACCCATCCTGCACATAGCATCCATTTCTGTCACCACTGCTGCTTCATTCGTATGTCCATCAGGTCAGCATTGGGACGGCCCATGGCAGAGGCCAACTGGCATCCCCCACTCTCGTCCTCTTGTCTACTTGGTTGTCCACTGTCTCTTCCATAGTAGGTCATCTCTAGTGGGCATTAACACGTGGCACAAAGATCAAGCTTTGTGTGCTCTTTTTTTTTTTTTTTTTTTCTGGAGACAGAGTTGCTCTTTCGCCCAGGCTGGAGTGCAGTGACACGATCTTGGCTCACTGCAACCTCTGCCTCCCAGGTTCAAACCATTGTCCTGCCTCAGCCTCCCAAGTAGCTGGGATTATAGGCACGGGCCTCCACACCCAGCTAATTTTTGTATTTTTACTAGATACGAGGTTTCACCATGTTGGCCAGGCTGTTCTCGAACTCCTGACCTCAGGTGATCCACCTGCCTCGGCCTCCCAAAGTGCTGGGATTACAGGTACCAGCCACCAGGCCTGGCCCTTTGTGTACTCTTGCCTATGTCATCCACATGCCTCTGCCCAGATCTCCTTGTCTCCAGTCTTCTAATTGTTCCCTTTCCACATCTATGATCAGCTGGCCAGGCCATTCACCACTACCCAGAAGTTTGTATATATTCTCACCTTGAGCTCTGCTCTGTCCATACAAAATGGGTGAACAGCTACACCACCCAAATCCCTGCCCATTAGGAGGGTTTTGCCTTGCCACTCTCTTTCAAGGCCACCCTTGAGTGAGATTGTAGTACATTTCCTGTTGTTTTCAGCCTAAACCCACAAACCAAGCCAAGCCATTCACAAACCAAACTTGCTCTTTCCTCTTCCATCAGCTGGTCAGAAGGACCCCTCCTATAACCTTAGGTGTGTGTGGAGGGAGGGTGCTGGTGCAACTCCGGTGGGTGGCTTGGGGGCCTGAACAGACTGCACATGCAGCTTGCTTGTGGCCCAGGTCCTGTCCATGCTCAATCCCAGATGTACAACTTCCATCTAACAATGGATTGTTGCTGGGCTTGCCTAACCTTATAATTTAACTCATCTGATGTAACCCAGTTAATGAAGGGCAGTTCCAGGTGCAAGATCAGTTGGTATCCCACCATCAGGTGCTCCATTTCTACCAGGGCACAGCAGCGTGCCAGGAGTTGTTTTGCCAAAGGCATATGATCCTCCACTGCAGATGGCATGGCCTCGCTCCAGAACCCTGGGAGCCTGCACTGTGACTCTCCCACTGGGGCATGCTACAAGCTCTACACAGCATCTTCTTCATCATCATGCCTTTTGTACTATAGAGTCTGCTGGGTTGATGGCTCAATCGCAAGGCTACTTGCACTGCTGCCTGGACCTACTGCAGAGCCCTTTCCTGTTCTGGGCCCCAATTCAAGCTGACAGCCTTTCAGGTTATCTGGTTATTATTGGTCAAGTGGTATTCCCAGGTGTGGAATATGCTATCTCCAGAAGCCAAAGAGAATGTCTAAGTTTTGTGCTTCCTTCTTCATGGTGGGAAATACGAGATGCAATCATTTGATTTTGACTTTGGATGGACTGTCCTGACATGCTCCTGTCCACAGGACCCCTAAAATTGTTCCCGGTGTGCAGGCTCCTAAATATCTGTAGTATTCATCTCCCACCCTCTGGAGTGTGTGTAACCTACCAATGCCTTTAACATGCTAGCCACTTTTTGCTCCTTTGGCCCATTTAGCAGGATGTCATTCACATAACAGATCAAGGCCACGTTCTGCAAAATGTCCAGATGGCCCAGATCTCTTTGTATCATTCAGGGTCCAAAACAGGGACAGAAGCCACAGAGTAATTTGAACAGGAAAAGTTTAAGATAAAGAAGCAGTGATTCCAACAGAGGAGGAATTATAAGGGTGCTGGTGATCAGTGCACAGAGGTAGTCGGGGCATCAGGAGCCTGCTTGCACTGAGGCAGAGTAAGGACTGAGGTGTGCCATATCTGTATTAGGGGGGCCCCAGGAAGCAACCCTGCATTATACAGGTGAGCCAGTGCTGGAAGGTGGATGCACAGGAGGAGTCGGTGTGTCAGGAGCTTGATCCCTAGCAGAGCAGTGTAAATCCTGGGTGCATGTAACCTCATTGGGAGAGCCACAGTGAGCTGGGCACCTAGCTGGGGCCAATGCTGTGAGCTCACCAAGGACCCCACACTCTGCGTATGGAGCTGGGGCAGAGGCCCTCTCTCCTGTGCCTCTGGCAACCATACAGTAGAGGCAAGAAGAAGCAAAACCCAAGCATGACAGAAACAGCAAGAAAAGCCTTTTCTTTTCTTTTTCTTTTTTCTTTTTTTTTTTTTCTTTTTGAGATGGAGTCTCACTCTATTGCCCAGGCTGGAGTGCAGTGGTGTGATCTTGGCTCACTGCAAGCTCCACCTCCTGGATTCAAGTGATTCTCCTGCCTCAGCCTCCTGAGTAGCTGGGATTACAGGTGCATGCCACCATACCCAGCTAATTTTTGTATTTTTAGTAGAGACAAGGTTTCACCATGTTGGCCAGGCAGGTCTTGAACTCCTGACCTCAGGTGATCCACCTGCCTCAGCCTCCCAAAGTGCTAGGATTACAGGCATGAGCCACCACACCCAGCTGGAAAGCCTTTTCTTTCTGCTTTGTCGCTCTAGGGCATCTACAACAAAGCTTAACCTGATGCTCACCACAAGGGAGAAATGCTTAAAGTGTCTAGCTCCATTATCACAAAGCAGGTAATGCAGGGTGACTTGGAGATGAGAGTCAATACATTGAAAAACTGGCACAGACCAGACTGTGACAGACGGTGGGAAAGTTAATGTATGGGGGGGAGTTGTAAATGTATACTGTTGTCCATTCCATGTGAATGTGGACTATTTTGAATCCTCTTTTCAGATAGGAAGAGAAAAGAATGAATTCTCTAACAATGGCCACACACTATGTGTCTGAAACTGTTCATCTATTCTAGCAAAGATCTGGCATGGTAGGTGCAATGGCAGCTACTACTCCATTTACTTTGCAGTAGTCTAGTGTCATTCCATAGAATCCCTCTTCTCCTACATGAACCATACTAGAGACATGAAGGTAACTATTACCCTTGCATCCTTCAGTTCCCCAAGGGTGGCATTAACCTTCTCAACTCTTTCATCCCGGGATGCAATATTGTTTCTGATTTATTATGTTGACCTGGGTTGGAAGGGGACTGCTTGGAGGCTTCTCAACTACTATAGCTCTTACTCCACAAGCCAGCTCAGTGTGTATATAGGAGAGGATCACACACACTCCAAGAATTCATCCTTGGTTTCTTTTGATGGTGCAGGTTGAGCAGTCCCGTTTTCAGTCTCCCATCTCTCTTTGCCCTCAGGGACTCTGTGCTCTATTACCCACTTCCACAACTCTCTGTAGATCAGGCTCCTGGGCTGTCACTCCACCTGTAGATCACATCCGGGTCAAATATTTCTATCTCGATTTTTCATGTGGGAGATAATGACTGGATGGGGTCCGTGGACCCAGTGGACTCACTGTCAGCCAGACCTTGGCCGGGACTCAATTTATTACCAGGTCTCCAAATACTTCCTCTCTAACGAAGGCCATGATGATACTTCAGGCCTCTGGTTATCAATGCCAGCTCAGACACTGTGTCTTACAGTCCTCAGAATATTTGGGTATTCCTCTTTTCCCATTTGCCATGGTGCTGCACAGTCCTTCTTAATGAGGAGCCAGGCTTCTTTTCAATCAATTGGTTCTGGATCTGAAAACTACCTCAGGTCTGAAAACTGGGCAACGTGTGACTTTTTACTGGGGTGTCTGCCTTAGCTTCCTGATCATTCATCATGATTTATTCTAATGGTGCAGGTTGAGCAGTACCCTTTTGGGTCTCCCATCTCTTTTTGTTTTCTTTGTTTGTTTTTGTTTTTTTGTGAGACAGAGTCTTGCTCTGTCACCCAGGCTGGATTGCAGTGGCACAAGGTCGGCTCACTGCAACCTCCGCCTCCCAGGTTCAAATGATTCTCCTGCCTCAGCCTCGTGAGTAGCTGGCCCTTCAGGTGCCCGCCACCACGCCCGGCTAATTTTTGTATTTTTGGTAGAGATGGGGTTTCACCATATTGACTAGGCTGGTCTCAAACTCCTGACCTTGTGATCTGCCCACCTCAGCCTCCCAAAGTGCTGGTATTACAGGCATGAGCCACCGCGCCTGGCCTGGTCTCCCATCTCTTTTGCCCCCATGGACTCTGTGCTCTATCACCCACTTCCATAACTCTCTGTAGACCAGGCTCCTGGGCTGCCACTCCAACCTGGCCAGTTACTACAATCAGTGCACTTGCCTGGCTTCTGATGGTGCCCCAGTTGTGCCTCCTCAGGTAGTGGAAGGAATCACAAGAAGACTCCTGAAAGTATACTCACATAGGGCTTTCATAAAACTAAAGAAAATAATATAGCAGGATAAAGGCAAATACCAGGGAGCTGTCCGACATCCAGGCGCATCTTCCTTTCAGGTACATAGGATGTACTTGATCTTAGGATGATAAACCACCAAGATACATGCAAAATGCATTGGTCTCAGGGAAGTCACAATCTCATCTAAGATGGTTTTTAATATCCTTCTGGTCACATAGCCAAAACCAGCTTGCATGATCAGGCTCAACTAAGATAATCTAACAGAAACCAGGTGAAAATAATCAATCTGTACATTTTCACTTAACAATGGTGACAAGTTGGTACAGAATATCTGTAGTAGTTTTTGGACTCAGTACAGAACTACACTAATCAATGATTTGCAAATTCCATTCTGGATGGATCAAGACTCAGCACTATGGCTTCGGGATCCCCTAGAGATAAGCACAAGGTTGCAGCCAGGAAAAATGACCCCCATACCCACACAGATAGTTAAGGCCCAAACCACCTCTGTTGTTTTGGGTCCTATCATTCTCTCTGCTATCAGTAGGCCTTATTCTATAAGAACTTCTTCAATCCAGTATTGGCCTACAGAGACAGCTAAGTCTACATTTTATTTATTTATTTATTTATTTATTTATTTATTTATTTATTTACTTATGACACAGGTTCTTGCTCTTTCCCCCAGGCTGGAGTGCAGTAGGTGTGATCTTGGCTCATTGCAGCCTTGAACTTCCAGGCCCTGCCTCAGCCTCCCAGGTGGCTGGGACTACAGGTGTGTGCCACCAAGCCTGGTTAATTTTTGCATTTTTTTGCAGAAACGGGGTTTTGCCACATTGCCCAGGTTGGTCTCTCACTCCTGGGCTCTAGTGATCCTTCTGCCTTGGCCTCCCAAAGTATTGAGATTACAGGTGTGAGCCACCCTACCCGGCCTGAATTTTTTATTGATGCTGGTGTCCCCTCTCATCAGTACATTCTGATGTCCTCAGAATGGTTGTCCTCTGCGCCTCCCTATGGAACATTACCATCAGGTGGGTTTTCTGGACTTTTTGCAGTGTGTCTACTCCAGAAGGTTACTGCCCTTCCCCTTGTGACACCTTCCTCTACTGTCCACCAGGGCAATGATGGCATTTCTACCCCATTTACTACGGGCTTTATTTTTTATTTTTATTTATTTATTTATTTATTTTTTGAGACAACAGTCTCACTCTGTTGTCCAGGCTGTAGTGCAGTGGCACGATCTCAGCTCACTGCAACCTCCGCCTCCCAGGTTCAAGCAGTCCTTCTGCCTCAGTCCACCAGTAGCTGGGATTACAGGCATTTGCCACCATGCCCGGCTTGTTTTTGTATTTTTTTTTTTAGTAGAGACAGGGTTTCACCACGTTGGCCAGGCTGGTCTCAAACTCCTGACTTCAGGTGATCCACCTGCCTCAGCCTCCCAAAGTGCTGGGATTACAGATGTGAGCCACTGCACCCAGCAGGCCTTTATTTTTTTCATGCTTCTAAGAGTGAGTTCATAGAATCTCTGGGAGCCTTTGCTAGGATGTTAAATTGTGTATTATGGGATAGAATGCTCCCAAGTCAACACAGTCTCCCTCATCCAATCTCATGTTCTGGCCACCTTGATCAAGCACCCTCAGCATTCAGTCCACATGTCCTTCCCAGCTTCTTGCTGGTGTATGCTGGTTAGGTCTTGCAGCTACTTTGGGGTATAATCCCTTTTCTCCTTTATTAGGCCCATCATGTCCCTGAGTTATACTGTGACTTAACCCTAGTTTACATTTCATGGCCAGGAGGGGAGGTGGGTTCCTTCTTGACTGTGGGAAAAAGCCTTGGCATTTTCGAGTAGGAGCCAGGGAAGGGCACTTCTGCAGGCTCAGAGCATTCAAGAGAATCTAGAAATCGAAGATTTTCAGGGGCATCAACTCAGATGTCCCTGTTTCACATGTCAGGGTCCCATCCTTTCCCAACAAGGGCTCTGACCTTGATATAGCAGGCCTACCTTGCTTGGAAGCTGCATTCGTCCTTTCTCATGCTGCTAATAAAGACATACCAAAGATTGGGTAATTTATAAAGGAAAAAGGTTTAATTGACTCACAGTTCAGCATGTCTGGGGAAGTGTTAGGAAACTTACAATCATGGCAGAAGAGAAAGCAAACCATCCTTTCTCACGTGGTGACAGGAAGAGCAAAGCGGGGTAAGCCCCTTACAAAACCACCAGATCTCATGAGAACTCACTATCACGAGAACACCATGGAGGTAACTGCCCCCATGATTCAATTACCTCCCACCAGGTCCCTCCCACGACATGTGGGGATTATGGGAACTCCAACTCAAGATGAGATTTGGGTGGGGACACAGCCAAACCATATCAGAAGCTTAACCTTCTTTGGAGAATGATTATTCAGTTGAACCTAAGTTCAGTAGTCACCCAGTTATGCTGTCTTCAGCTACTATTTTCCATATGTTTCTCAAACGTCTGATATATCACACTGGCTATTGCACTTTCTTCCACCAGCATACCATCTCAATTTACCACTTTAACAATTGGACTGCCACTTTGTGTCAGGGACTATCTGTGCTCCAACTACTACAAGTGATAAGGTCCTCACTGACAGCCAGGGAGCAAGTGATCCAGCTCTAAAACTCACCTTATCATCTGCTTTCCTAGACCACTCCTAACAACCAACTATTCTGGGTTGAGTTCTCCAAGAGGCAGAGAGTTCAGGATACAGAATGTTGTTTTGTTTTTGTTGTTGTTGCTGTTGTTGTTTGTGTGTGTGTTTGGGCTTTTTTGAGACGGAGTCTCACTCTGTTGCCCAGGTTGAAGTGCAGTGGCATGATCTCAGCTCCCTGCAACCTCCACCTCCTGGGTTTAAGTGATTCCCCTGCCTCCACCTCCTGAGTAGCTGGGACTACAAGTGTGCGCCACCACACCCAGCTAATTTTTGTGTTTTTAGTAGAAACGGGGTTTTACCATGTTGGCTAGGCTGCTCCCAAACTCCTGACCTCAAGTGATCCACCTACCTCTGCCTCCCAAAGTGCTGGGATTACAGGCGTGAGCCACCACACCCAGCCCAGAATGTTTATTAGAATGCACAATTAATACCAGAGGCAGTGGGGAAGGAAGGAGGACTGAGCAGAGGAGGAAGTTGAGTTGTGATTCAACCCAACAGCTGCCTGGCTGGCATGGGGAGCTCTGGAGTTAAATAGGGCCATCAGACTTTCCCAGTGTGGGGCCAACATGACTGGGTCTTTATACCCCCACCTCTGTCAGTCACTCAACGTGGTCTCCCTGCAACAAGGTGACTCTTGCAGCCGAGACAATCCCTGAAGGGACAGAGGGCTGAAGCCTGTCGGCCAACAGCACTCCCAGTGGCTGGAACAAGTCCTTCCCTATAGGGGAATCTGGGCGGCACACCTCCATCTCCATGTCCATCACATACGATATCACAGACATTTAAATATTTTGATAACTGTACATAAGAGTTTCCTTTATAATCTTATAGATCTTATTTTATGCATTTGAAAATATTCTTCTGAGACAGGGCTTTTATCATATTGCCATAGGGTGCCACGATATAAAAAAGGTTAAATACTCTCTGATTCAGAAGTATCCAATGATGACTTCTCTCTCATGCATTTAATTGAAAATCTGGTTTTTCTCCTTCTCTGCTAGTTCTCTACCTCTCTCCCCACCTCCCACATCATAGCCTATTCACATATGTCTGAATCTCATGATAGACAAGTTCAGGTTCTTTTCCCAGGTTCTTTTTACCACACCCCCCCACCCCCACATAAAAAGTATATATGGCACAGCCTAGGTTCCACCCAAATCCTTTCTCCTCTTCTTCCTGGGCCCACAACTCTCCTACATACATTGGTATACCTTGCGCTTAGGGATGGCCATGTGACTAAGTTCTAACAGTGGAACATGATCAGATGCCACTTCCAGCCTCTAAGACAGCCAGTGTGTTTCCTCCATAAGCTCCTTCTCTTCCTCCCAACTGGAGACTCTAAATGATGACCCTGCCTCAAGCAAGCAAACAACAAGTCCCTCAGGGGTGGTGTAGGCTGCAAATGGAAGGAGCTTGAGTCCCAAACCTTCCACGGAGAAGGCTGGCTACCAACCTGGATCACTCACCCAAGACTGCTCGAAGAGTTGGTTTGAACCATTGTGTTTTGGGGTCTATTTATTACAACAGTTTAGCTTGCTTTGTGAATAGATTTAGTGGCAGAGCCTCCAAATTCTATAGATACATTGATCTCAGTCCTAACCGCATCTGGAACACCATTAAATAAAGGAATTGCAAACCCAGAGAAGGTAATGAATTTGTCTAAGGTCATACAAGATGGCTAGGATCAGGACCCAACTCTCCAGTTTTCTTTCTTCTCTGCTATTCTGCCTTCTGTGATCCTACATAAGTGGGCATGATTGTGTAACATATGCGGCCATGAGATTTCTCTTTCAGCAAGAGAAAGGGACAGGAAGAAAGAGAGGGAATGCATTTTCTTGGCCTGAATTAGTGTGAGCCATTAGTTACCTACATTGACTAAATTATCTGGAATGAACATTCAACTCTACATCACATATAGTTAAAATGACAGATCTGCTTAAGATTGTTTCTAGCATACATTATTTCAATTTAGGCAAATGTGACCATTCAGTGTGAGGGGACCATAGTGTCATTAGGTCCCTGTCAGTTCTCAATTATACTGTTATCTTAGAGGGGGAAAAATGTGAAATTTGAATGTAGACGAGTGTTGATTTGACTGCTACAGTTTATTTTACATATAGAAATAAAATAATGTGTAGCAAAAGCATTATTACAAAGATGATAATGAAATAACTAGTATTTATAATAGTATAATAGTATAGTATTTATAATAGTATGATAGTTTAATGACTATTTGTCAGATGTTGTGTAAGAAACTTTATACACACACACACACACACACACACACCTCATTTAATTCCTGTATCAATCAGGATACAGGACGCTGTGGTAACAACTCCTCAAATCTCGGTGGCTTGCACAACAAATGCTTATTTCTTTTTTTTTTTTTTTGACACCAAGTCTTGCTCTGTAACAGGCTGGAGTGCAGTGGTGCAATCTCGGCTCACTGCAGCCTCTGCCTCCTGGGTTCAAGCGATTCTCCTGCCTCAGCCTCTCGAGTAGCTGGGAACACAGGCACGCGCCACCACATCTGGCTAATTTTTGTGACTTTAGTAGAGATGGGATTTCACCACGTTGCTCAGGCTGGCCTTGAACTCCTGACCTCAAGCGATCCACCCACCTCAGCCTCCCAAAGTGCTGGGATTACAGGCATGAGCCACTGCGCCCAGCCCCAAATGTTTATTTCTTGTTCATGTGACATGTACTTCCTCGAGTTTTTCCATCCTGAGATCTAAGCTGAAGGAACAGCTCTCTGGAGCCACGCCATTCTGGTGGCGGAAAGGAAGAGTAAAAGTGGTAGAACCTTGCAATGCCTCTTGAAGCGCCTATTTGGAATGTCTACATCATGTAAATGGTAATGGACAAGTATGTATAATCCCCACACCAAAAAAAGGGGACACTATTGGGGACAATAACCACATTTCAATGCTGCAAGACGGATATTGACTGCACCCCCTTCCCACTTTCAGAAAGAAGAAGAGTAATTTTGCTGAACTCCTTCTAGAGACTGGAAATGTCCCTTCCAGTTGGGGTGATTAGGGAAGGCTTTGGTAAAATTTGAGCTAGAGTTTGAAGGTTAGGTAGACTACTGGTGGGTGAAGAAAGAACAAGGACCTTTGTAGGCAAAGGAAAACCTCAGAATTACAGAGGTGGAAAAAGAGTTCTAGTCAAGCCACTTCAGCTGGCTACAGAGTAGGTGGGAAAGAAAATGGGAGGACAAGGGCTCAGATGATGGGGGGTAGGGGCATTGGGGGGACACTTGAAAGCTAAACTAAGGGGTTGAACTTAATTTAGGAGGCAGTTAGAAGCTTTTACATATTTTTGAGCAAGAGATTGACATAATTAAAATGATCTGGGCCAGGTGTGGTGGCTCACACCTGTAATCCCGGCACTTTGGGAGGCTGAGGAGCTTGGGTCACCTGAGGTCAGGAGATCGAGACCAGCCTGGCCAACATAGTGAAATCCCGTCCTACTAAAAATACAAAAATTAGCCGGGAGTGGTGGCACATGCCTGTAATCCCAGTAGCTGGGAGGCTGAGACAGGAAAATTGCTTGAACCCGGGAAACAGAGGTTGCAGTGAGCCGAGATCGTGCCACTGCACTCCAGCCTGGGCAACAGAGCGAGACTCCATCTCAAAAAAACAAAACAAACACACACAAAAAAACAAAAATAAATAAATAAAATGATCACTTCTGAATACTGATCTAACCAGGGGTTGCAGGGTGGGCTGATATAGGGAGAAACTGGAGAGCAAGGAGATCACTAAGGTCCCTACATGTCCAGAACCAAGATAGAGGTCTTGAACTAGGATGGTGGCAGTTAGAACAACAACAACAAAAAGTCAATTCCAGGCTGAGTACAGTGGCTCATGCCTGTAATCCCAACGCTTTGGGAGGCTGAGGTGGGAGTTAGAAAGCAGCCTGGGCAACACTGCAAGACCTCCTCTCTAAAAAAAAAAAAAAAAAAAAAAAAGTTAGCCAGGTGTGGTGGTGCCCACCTGTAGTCCCAGCAACTCAGAAGGCTGAGGTGGGAAGATTGCTTGAGCCCCAGGAGTTCAAGCTTGCCGTGAGCTACGATTGTGCCACTGCACTCCAGCCTGAGCAAGACCTTGTCTCCAAAAAAAGGTCAATTCCACTGACTTTTCTAAGGTGTACACCATCAAGGGGCAGCTCCATCTCCAGGCCATTGGCTCATGAGACATTCTGTAGTCAGAAGGCTAGGTCAGATTGCTTTGAGCAAGCCCCCATGGTGGTTCTCACTCCTACTTCTTTGGGTATATGCCCCTCTGTTTAAAAATAAAGTTAATATGCATTTAAAAAAAAAAAGGAGAAAAAGGTCAGTTCCAGAAACTGTGTGAATAAAGCATTTTACTTGCTTTTTCTATTAATCTATAACATATGTTGATTTTTTAAAAAGAATATAAGAGCTATGCAAATTGGAGCTTCAAGACAACTTCCCATCTCCCTAGGAGGAGATGGCTGCCCTAAACCCCCCTACATAGAAATCATCCCACTGCTTGGGCTTAAACTTGATGTTGGGGAAATGAAAAATCCAAGCTAAGGCCGAAGCCTGGGGCCTGGGCGACCAGCAGAATGAGGACCACTGGTCAGTTTCAGGCTGAGGTGCGTCTTCCAGGGGACAATCTCTAGCTGGCCCTTAAACATTCAGACTTCAAGCTCTATTTACAGCATAAAGGTGTTTCAAAAGACGTGATACAAATAACTGCAAATGCTCTGCGATGTGTTAAGCACTGTTTGAAATTCGTCTAAGATTTTTTTTTCTGACGTAACGGTTAGATACATCATAGATTCACGTTTCTTTTTTTTTAAGTACAGTTCTACTGTATTGTAACTGAGTTAGCTTGCTTTAAGCCGATTTGTTAAGGAAAGGATTCACCTTGGTCAGTAACAAAAAAGGTGGGAAAAAAGCAAGGAGAAAGGAAGCAGCCTGGGGGAAAGAGACCTTAGCCAGGGGGGCGGTTTCGGGACTACGAAGGGTCGGGGCGGACGGACTCGAGGGCCGCCCACGTGGAAGGCCGCTCAGGACCTCTGTAGGAGAGGACACCGCCCCAGGCTGACTGAAAGTAAAGGGCAGCGGACCCAGCGGCGGAGCCACTGGCCTTGCCCCGACCCCGCATGGCCCGAAGGAGGACACCCACCCCCGCAACGAGACAAAGACTCCAACTACAGGAGGTGGAGAAAGCGCGTGCGCCACGGAACGCGCGTGCGCGCTGCGGTCAGCGCCGCGGCCTGAGGCGTAGCGGGAGGGGGACCGCGAAAGGGCAGCGCCGAGAGGAACGAGCCGGGAGACGCCGGACGGCCGAGCGGCAGGGCGCTCGCGCGCGCCCACTGGTGGCCGGAGGAGAAGGCTCCCGCGGAGGCCGCGCTGCCCGCCCCCTCCCCTGGGGAGGCTCGCGTTCCCGCTGCTCGCGCCTGCGCCGCCCGCCGGCCTCAGGAACGCGCCCTCTTCGCCGGCGCGCGCCCTCGCAGTCACCGCCACCCAACAGCTCCGGCACCAACAGCAGCGCCGCTGCCACCGCCCACCTTCTGCCGCCGCCACCACAGCCACCTTCTCCTCCTCCGCTGTCCTCTCCGTCCTCGCCTCTGTCGACTATCAGGTAAGCGCCGCGGCTCCGAAATCTGCCTCGCCGTCCGCCTCTGTGCACCCCTGCGCCGCCGCCCCTCGCCCTCCCTCTCCGCAGACTGGAGCTTCGTGCGCCGGGCATCGGTCGGGGCCACCGCAGGGCCCCTCCCTGCCTCCCCTGCTCGGGGGCTGGGGCCAGGGCGGCCTGGAAAGGGACCTGAGCAAGGGATGCACGCACGCGTGAGTGCGCGCGTGTGTGTGTGCTGGAGGGTCTTCACCACCAGATTCGCGCAGACCCCAGGTGGAGGCTGTGCCGGCAGGGTGGGGCGCGGCGGCGGTGACTTGGGGGAGGGGGCTGCCCTTCACTCTCGACTGCAGCCTTTTGCCGCAATGGGCGTGTGTGTGTGTGTGTGTGTGTGTGTGTGTGTGTGTGTGTGTGTGTGTGGAGGGGTCCGATAACGACCCCCGAAACCGAATCTGAAATCCGCTGTCCCTGCCGCTGTTCGCCATCAGCTCTAAGAAAGACGTGGATCGGGTTCTAGAAAAGATGACTCCCTGCACGCCCCTCTCTGCACCTCCCGAGCAGTGATTCCGACAGGGCCTTCACTGCCCCTGATTTTAGGCGGGGGCCGGCCCCCTCCCCTTTTCCTCCTTCAGAAACCCGTAGGGGACATTTGGGGGCTGGGAGAAATCGAGGAGATGGGGAGGGGTCCACGCGCTGTCACTTTAGTTGCCCTTCCCCCTGCGCACGCCTGGCACAGAGACGCGAGCAGCGCCGTGCCTGAGAACAGTGCGCGGATCCCACTGTGCACGCTCGCAAAGGCAGGGTTCACCTGGCCTGGCGATGTGGACGGACTCGGCGGCCGCTGGTCCCCGTTCGCGGGCACGCACAGCCGCAGCCATGCACGGATGGGCGCGGGGCTGCAGGTGCATCTCGGGGCGGATTTCTTTCTCAGCGCTCGGAGCGCAGGGCGCCCGGCGTGTGCGCTCCCTGCCGGAGGCGCGGGGCTGGCGCGCAGGGCTCGCCCCTCACTGCGGCAGTGGGTGTGGACCCTGGTGGGCGAGGAGGGGGGAGGATAGGCTGTGCCTCCTCCCACTCCCGCCCCCACCCCCCCTTTTTTTCCCCCTCGGAACGCGAGGTGCCATCTTTTTTCGGCGTGTCACGTCTTTACGGTGCCATGCCAAACCGGGTGGCCGGGCTTCATAGGACAGGGCGGGGCTTGGCATTAAAGGGAGGGGGACAATCAGCGCTGAAATCTTGGCGTTTTGCTGCTGCGGGCGTGAGCACTGGGGGCGTTCGCCCAGCACCTTCTTCGGGGGCTCTTTGCTTTGTCTGTAGAGGTTACGTGATCTGCGCTCCCAGCCCTGGTTTCTGGCTTTTATTCTGAGGGTGTTTAGTCGACCTCCCCCCTACGCCCATGCGCCTCTCTTTCCTTTTTCGCTCCTCATTTCCGAGCCCATTGTTGGATCTCGAGGCTTGCTGGGGTCGATGAACTCGAGTCAACCCCCCGACCCCCGGCACGCATGGAACGGGCGTGACCGCGCGCAGCCTCGTCTCGGAGTCTGCCGGCGCCGGGAAGCTTCTGAAGGGATGGGATTCGAGTCTCCGTGCGCGCTGCGGGCGGCGGCAGAGGGATCTTGCCCCTCCCTACACCCCAAGTGTCCTGAGGGCCACGCCACACCAGGTTGCCCAGCGAGGGACGCTGGCTACCCATCCGGGGATGGGTGGGGAGCCCTGGCGGGGCCTCTCCGGCTTTACGCCCTGTTGCTTCGCCTGGCCGGAGAATGTGAGGAAGGGGCATAAGGTTACTGGTGCTTCGGCCACACCCATCTTTCTGAGCCCACTGGACTGGGCGCAGAGGGGGGATTGCCATGGAAACCACAGGCGTCCGGAGAGGGGATCTTGGGGCTGGCCTCACCCCTTCCCTGCGGAGATTGGGGACCCTGGGGTAGGGGGAGCCGCGCCCAGTCGGCCTCCTGGAGGACACGGGAGGAAGCCCCGAACCCCCGCGCCTGAGGCTGTTTCTGATTGGCCCCTGGAGGCCGCAGACAAGCAGATAGGCGGCCCTGGGTGTATTTTTATTAATATTATGTCCGTACTGATTAATAGTATTTATCTTAAATAAATTTCACCCGTGTCCAAGTTCACCGCGCCCCCAAAACCGAGTCTGGGGCGGCAGGGGGAACTCCTGGCCAACGAATCCATGCCTCGCCCTCTTGTGATGAACCTGGTACGCACGGTTTTCTGGTTAATTCTATCGCTGAAAACTGGTGCGGGGGGCGCACTTCTGAGACGGAAGAGCATCTAGGAGCTGAATCCTCCACGCGGGTCCAGGTTAATCTGAATTTCTGGGGAATGGCTTGGCTGCCCGCCCGGGACCAGGCCGACCCTCCTTGACGGTGGCGTAGAGGGCTGGAGCCTGGGTACTGCGAGGCTCCTCGCATGGCTGGGCCCGCCGCTTGGGGTTGCAGAGCGGCTCAGGGATCGATTCAAGCATCGTCTCTCCTCCCTCGCCCCCAGACAGAGCTGGGCCCGGGGTTCCCCTTCCAGATGGAGCGAGGGTCTCGGGGTGGCCCCGGAAAAGGGGAGCCCGCGGCCACGGCTACGTATTGCCATCTCGCGAGCAGAGATGTCACCTCCTGCCTTTGGAGGAAAGGGAGCCCGGTGGGGATGAGCGCATTTAGCCCAATGCTGGGAACAAAGCGCACTCCGCGCTTCTGCGATTTCGCTCCATTTTGAAATGTGTTGGCGCTTTGGTGGGGCCGCTGCGGTGGGCAAGGCCGGGGGCGCTGTTAATGGAGGAACCTCAGGGGGACGGTCCTTCGTAGGAAACTCTATCCTGGCTCTGCGCGCGCTTTAAGGAAATGGCTTCGCTCCAGGACCTCGAGGGATGCAGCTTTTGCGCGGATGACGGTGGGGTGCTGAACCAGCCGGTGCGCCTCTGGAAATGTCTGGGCACGGATCCTGGGGCCATCGACGACTCCTCCCCATTCCCAGCAGGCGGGAGCTCTTACATTCCGAGCGAGTGACCCCTCTCACCCTCTGGCGCTCACACACCTGTAACTCCAAACCTCCGTCTCAGAATGGTCCAGGCTGGAAGGGATGATGGGGGCTCCGACAGCGACTGCCTAGCTCACCCCTCTGCGTGCTCAGGCTCCAGGCTCAGCAGGACCAATTTGAGTTCTATCTGATCCCCCTCGGCCCCTTAACTGACCCATCCTACAGGAGACAGGGAAATGTCTTTCCCACCGCGGTTGATTCTGGGGTGCCATTTTGTGTTTTGTGATGGCTGCTTATATTTACTGTATAAGCATTGTATTTACTGTATAAGCATTGTATTATAATTACTGTATAAGCATCTCCAAATCCTCCCTCTCCATAAACAAATTAATGGATAAACAGATAAGTGTATCCCCTGCCCCCACCCCTGCTACGCAGGTCCGGAGTGACTCTTGAAGCTCATACATTCCTTGGCCAAGTTTGCTTCTCTAACAGATGTTTATATAGCAATAACCTGGCTTGGCTCTTGGGTTCACCTTTGGACGATTTGGGGAAGGGGCTTGTTGGCTTTGCTGGGTTTTGGATGAGTGACAGTCCATGACTGTTCCTGCTGGAAGGGCGTGACTTTTAAGTGGTTTCTAATATCAGGCATTGCTCCTCCGACAGGAACAAAAGAAATGGATACTGCCCATAAATTGTTAGAAAACTTAGAATCGCTTTGATTGAGGAAAGGTTAGATTTATTCCGGTTGGAAAAAGTGGCCTTTCTATTAAACGTGCCCTTTGACCCTCATGCCCTTGGAGGTCGGTGCCAGCCTGGAGATGGGATAAGATTGTGGTTTTCCTTCTGCCTTTTTAACATCTGTTGTTACAGTCCATTTGTTGAAAATTTAAAGAAACTGTTTTATTCCACTTTCCCTCAGCATTTATGTGTGTGGTTTCAGTAGCTCTGTGGCTATATGTACGAACACGTGTTATTTTTCCAATTGGACATGTGATAATTTTCCAACTGGACCTTGCCTTCTACTGATGTATTTATTTAGCATCTTCCTTACTCCCTCCTTGAAAAAGAATCACTCAAAAACAAATAAAAACAGCCGTAGGGGCCTAATACAGTGCTAGACATACAAGAGGTATTCGGTCCATACCAAATGGATTTTATCCATGAAGGATAAATGGGGAAATACAGTGGGAAGCGGGTGGGAAACTGCGTTTGACTCTGCTCTTTCCTCCACCACCACTTTCCTCATCACCGTGTTCAGAGACCCCCAAAGCCCCCTCACACTCCCAGAAACACCCCCCTGGCCACTCCTAACTTGCCATGCCCAGGAGTTAGGTGCTTCCACTAGTGACATGGAGCTGGCGTTTGGGGGGCACCTCAGCAGGTGACGGGAAGAGAAGACCCCAGCCTCACCAGCTGGGCTGCAGCAGGGAGAGGAGTCCTCATGTTCCAGCAGGGACTCTCAGCTGTTTTCCTGTAAAACCATGGTTCTCAACTGGGGGCCACTGAGATGTCTAGAGAGATGTTTTTGTTTTCACAACTCGGGGAGGGTGCTACTGACATCTTGTGGGTAGAGGCCAGGAATGCTTTTAAACATCCTACAAGAAAGGCACAGGACAGTCTCCTACATCAAAATATGACCCAGCCCCAATGTCACCACTGCTGGGGTTGACACTGGCACTGCTATCTTAATTACATTCATTGAGTGTCTTTTAGGAGGCCCTATTCTAAGTGCTTGCTAAGATTATCTCATTTAATCCTCACAACACTTCCGCTATGTAGCAGGTGCTGTTATTATCTCCGTGATGGGGAAACTGAAGCACAGAGAGGGTTAGTAACTTGCTAAAGGTCACAGAGCCAGTGGGTGGTGGAGCTGGTTGCCTGACACTAGTTCCCTCCCCTCTCAGCCACATGTGGGTTTACTTGGCCATTGTGGACTAGTCTGGGAACCCAGATATGATCTATAACATTGACCCAGTGGAATATTGATTCCAAAACCACTGTCTCACAGATGAATTTTTACAAGAGTCTGTAATCGGAGCATGACCCAGAATAAGGTTAGGGAGATGTGGAGTTAAAGCTCTCAATTTCTTATCTGGCCCCGACACAGAGAGCAAGGCATTTCACTCTACATTGGTGCTCTGTTTATAAAACAAAGAGCAAATATCTCTTCCTAAGGTCCTTAAACCTCTTCCCCCAATCCAGGGTTTCTGGACTGCTCTGCCATATGACGGGGCAGCTGGTTTGATTGACCCAGGGAAGGCTGGAAATCAAGACTGGGGGATCAAGACGTAGATTCAGTGTGGCCAAGGTCAAGTCTCTGAGGTTTAGGGACATCAGATCCCCAGCTTAGGTTCTGTACCTCGGCAAGGTGAAAGCGTTGGCGCCCACTGATGAGGCCTGCTCTGAGATTGTGGGTGTGGGTTGAGTTGGGTGGGCATAGGCAAGTCCTCTTGTAAGAATCTTTTGGCAAAGATGGGCCTGGGAGGCTTTTCTCACTTCCTGGGGCCCAGGCTTTGCAATAAGTATTCCATTATACTGTGGTACCTTGGGGCTACCTGAGAATCCTCTGTCTCGCCCCTGTTGCCTTGCCAAAGAGTTTGCTGTCCAAGAATTCCTTTCCTGTCTCCAGGTGCCATGCTCCTGCCACCTCTGCCAGGTTCTCTGCCTGCCCAGATGGCTCCCAACTGAGTGTGAGGAGGAATTTGAGGCTGGCCCATAACAGGTTTTGAGCTTTCTGGGTTCTCCAGTTAGGAAACTTTCTGTAAGCATGCAGATAGAATGGGCTTCAGCAAAATATAAACTCGAACAACTTCCAGGTATAGTCCCTTAATTTTCTTTGCTTTTTTCATATTTCATCAGGCTCCATGCTGAGCCCAATCAGGGACCCGATAGAAATCCAAACACCATGTCAGCGAGTCCCCAAGAAATGCATTTTGTGCCAAGGCTATTCAAGGAAGGTTTGGGAGCAGCTCAAGGGCAGACACTGTTACCCTCCCCCAGGTCCCCAGTGTAGGGCAGTGTTCTGCATGTGGAGGCAGTTTGGCCTAATGGTTAAGGAGGTAGGCTCTGATCGGGCCTCCTGGGCACAAGTCCCAGCTCCCTGCTCACTGTGAGACCTAAGCCATATTGTTTAGCTGCTTGGAGAGTTTTTTGTCATCCACAACTTGGAGTATGATGGTACCTGTCTCACGGGTTGCCATGGGGTTCACACAAGCTAACCCGGTACTCACTAGGGCCAAGCACATAGTAACTGCTCAGTAAATGCCATCATCGGCAGCGTCCTGTGGATAAGTGCTTGTGATTGGCTGAATGACCAGAGGGGTCTAAAGATCCTGGTGATGGAATCAGTTGTACAGATAAATTGTTACACTGAGTAGGGATCAAGATAGGAAAAGTCGGCAACTACCCAGCTCCCCTGCACCAAACTGGGCAGAAGTGGATCCTCTGAAAATTGCACACACCCATGTTTAAATGTACACACAGAACTCTTGCCACAGGCAAGCAGAGATTTGTCATCTGCTGTCCCTGCCTCATCTTCTTCCTGAAATCCACTCCATGCCAGGAATAAACTGCGTGCTCTCCACCAGCCCAAACCGACCTGCCTTCCCGCCAGCCATCCCGGGCAGGGTGACCTGGCTTAGTACATCGGGTTCAGAGATCTTTCCAGTTTACTCGTTGAATAAAAAGTGAGGGCTGATCGAGAAAGTAATGGCAGTCAGGGAAGGCGAAGGAGGTAAAGAAGAGATTTTACAAATGAAGTAATTCAACAGAGTGCTGACATTGGTAAACTGGCAAACAGATTTCAGGGTGGTTGGTTGAGAGTAGAGTAGAAAAGGATTAAATAAAGCAAACTTGTGGTGTACTGAATCTTAGGAATTCCATGTATCCAATAAGTATAGTCATGTATGAATTAATAAATTCGGCCTAAGAAGCCTTCTTATCGCTTAAATCAAGACTGAGTAACAATATATCAGTTTTAAAAAGTCATTATATCAGAAAATCATTTAAATGATACACATAGATTTCCAAGATTTTACTTTAACCGAAACTATATAAATGTGAATTTGTTCACCCATCTTTTGACACAGGGCTCAGGTCTTCTCTTGGTGTCTGGATCAGCCAGTTGAAATTTCTTGTCTGTTTTGCCTATGCCACATTAATAATGCACTGTCTGGGTCCTCCGATTTCAGTTTGGATTTTGGGTTTACATTGTGGAGTCATCTGAATGCAGAATCCTTCAGGGATTTTACTTTTTTTTTTTTTTTCATGGTCTTTACCATCCCATTTGATAGTAAATATTACTCACCTTTATGAAGTCTTTCCAAAACATTCAACTAAATTTTCTTAAAATCATTGAATGATTTGAAGAGCTTATTCCTCAGCACTTTTACTCCATCAGCTTGCACCTTATTTTTTAATCTTTTTTTGAGACGGAGACTCGCTCTATCGCCCAGGCTTAAGTGCAATGGCGCAATCTTGGCTCACTGCGACCTCCACCTCCTGGGTTCAAGCAATTCCGCCTCAGCCTCCGCCGTAGCCGGGACTACAGGTACACACCATAATGCTCGGCTGATTTTTGTATTTTTGTAGAGATGGGGTATCGCCATGTTGGCCAGGCTGGTCCCGAACTTCTGACCCAAGTGATCCACCCACCTCGGCCTCCCAAAGTGCTGGGATTACAGGTGTGAGCCACCGCGCCCGGCCAGCTTGCACCTTATTTAGGATATGTGATTATTATAGCAAGTCTGGTGTACATACAAGATTTTGAATGGGCACAGATGACCTTTAGTTAGTGCTTGGCTGTGATAAGAGGCAGTCCTGACTGCAGATCAGGCTGTGTGGACCCCAGCCTTGCATGTTTACAGACCTTCATGTCTTATTCTTACAGGGTATCAGAAGAACACCTACTGGGGAAACTTATAAATTAGTAAAAGGTGGGTGTTCTCCCCGCCCATCTTCTGTCTGTCTGCCAGGACTAGCACAGCACTTTGAAGTCATTCACATAGAATCCCAACTTAAGAGGGTAAAATCCTCCTCAACAGACTGAAAATAAGTTTAAATTCCCTTTGCTATATTAACTCCCCTGAGGAAAGAGTCTTAGATCAATGTCCAACACTAAAAACAGTTTTAAATCAGCAAGTGAGAATTAAATCTGAAGCAATTGATAATAATGTTTCATTCATTCCTCTCCTTTGGCCCCGTCCACCCTACTGCTAAATCCAGGCATCAAAGAGAAGAGGGACATAATTATCTCTAGTCCCAGCTGCTGGTTTTCCTTCCAGCCTATGGCCCAGTTTTCTGTTTTACTGAGAAGGCTGGTGATGTTATCTTGGGATCTAAGTCTGCAGTTTCACCACAAAAAGTCCAGGGATGCACTTTCATGCTTGTGTCCTCCTCCCTGGGATAGCAAGGATATTAGAAGACCCCTGGCTCTGTAATTGCTTGTCATGTGCTCTACAGACGCCACAGAATGCCAAGAACGAAGTGCTGGGAAGGACCAATTCATGGAACCGTGGGACGGTGCTCCTCCCCCAGCGTAAAGGACAGCTCCTCCTCCTGAATTGGAGCCAGCGTTCTAAATCATGTGTCAACAGAGTTGTCCTGGATCGGATCCAGTTCTGCCATTGATTTGCAGGTCATTTCAGTGGTACCTGTTTCCAGTTGTTCTTAATTGAACAGTGGCACCAAACTATTGTCTTGCCTCATCCCCCTCCCATGGCCTGTCCCCCAGAAAGAGACTTCTTGGGTAATTAATCAGGGCAACATCAGGCAGTCTGGGCGCGGTGGCTCACGCCTGTAATCCCAGCACTTTGGGAGGCCGAGGCGGGCAGATCATGAGGTTAGGAGATTGAGACCATCCTGGCTTTGTGAAACCCCGTCTCTACTAAAAATACAAAAAATTAGCCGGGCGTGGTGGCGGGCGCCTGTAGTCCCAGCTACTCGAGAGGCTGAGGCAGGGGAATGGCATGAACCCGGGAGGTGGAGGTTGCAGTGAGCCGAGATCGCACCACTGCACTCTAGCCTGGGCGACAGAGCTAGACTTCTTCTCAAAAAAAAAAAAAAAAAAAAAAAGGAATATCTTTGGTTTTATATATATATATTTTATATATATTATATATTATATATATTTATATATTATATATATTTATATATATTATATATATTATATATTATATATTTATATATATTATATATTTATATATATTATATATTATATATTATATATTATATATATTATATATATTTATATACATTATATATATTATATATAATATATAATATATTATATATATTCATATATAATATATAATATATTATATATATTCATATATAATATATTCATATATAATATATAATATATTATATATATTCATATATAATATATATTATATATTATATATTATATATGTATATATAATATATTATATATTTTATATATTATATATATTATATATATTATATATTATATATATAATATATATAATATATAATATATATATTATTTATATTATATATATATTATATATTTTATATATATTATATATATTTTTTATATATTATATATATATTATATATATATACACATATATATATATAAATGAGGCCAGGCTCAGTGGCTCACACTTGTAATCCCAGCACTGTGGGAGGTTCACTTGAAGCCAGGAGTCTGAGACTAGCCTGGGCAACAAAACAAGATCCTGTCTCTACAAAAGGAAACTGTAAAAATTAGCTGGGCATGATGGCATGTGTCTGTAGCCCTAGCTACTTGGGAGGCTGAAGCAGGAGGATCGCTTGAGCCCAGGAGTTCAAGGCTACAGTGAGCTATGATTGTCCCATAGCACTCCAGCCTGGGTAACACAGCAAGGCCCTGTCTCTAAACTTTTGTTTTAATTCTATTTATATTTACATGTATTTAAATGTGAATATTCACTACCTATTTGTTGCATGCCTGCATTTTTTATACTGGGCTTGCCGAAAACCCGAACAGCTTTCTACTTTGACAATGTATCAGAATTTAAATCAGCAATATGTTAATAAGCCAAGCAAAGGTTATATATGCAAATAAAACTGTTGTCTATAACCTCCTGTTACACTGGGGCATAGCAAAAGTCATGGTGTAGTCGCATGTGAACCTGTCCCTTTCATAGCTGCTCATTGCCAGGAAACATCAGGAATAGCCATTTGGAAGAGTCATCAGCCCTCCCACCATCCGTTTTCTGTCTTGTCTTTTCCCTATGAGCAGGGGAAATTCCACGCTGGCCCCAATCCCCAGTGCAGCGGCTCAGCCTCTGCCTCTGCTGCTGGTCCCCATGAGGCCAGCTTAGAAACGGAGGATTTTGCAGAACATCCCTAAATCCGCTTGAATAATGAAGTGATCATTCATAAACTCACCTGAACCTTATTAAAACCTATTTAATATTTTTCCTGGATAATCCTATAGGGATAACTTGCCTCCTGGGCTTCTCTCCACCGGGTTCAGTTCTTCCTTTAGTGGTGAAGTTCCTCCCTTCTTAGCATCTCAACTGTGCCTGAGAAAAGGCCAGTGGCGGCTGCACTCTGTTCCCTGTGGAGTGTTAATAAAGACTGAATAAATTGAAATAAATCCCTTTCAATGTCATTAAGTGCTATAAATAATCATGAACCAATGTTCGATGGCTGATGAGAAATGCAAGAAAAAATTTTTAATCAGTAGGATTCATAAGTTGACAATCTGGGCCGAGTTAAAAAAAATAAAAATAAAAAGACTTTTAAAAAGATCTTATCGTTTGTTACCAGCAAGACTGAATTCCAGAAGCAAGCTACTCCCTCATTTGTGGGCCCCTGTTATCACTGGCTGCTTAGGGTTGCCAAGCCCTGAATTCATTTGTCAACTAAGAGATTTTTGGCCAAGATTAAGATTTCCCATGCCTCCATATTTCCATCTGAGAAATGGAGATTATACTGTCTTCCCCCTCAGAATGGATGATAATGTGGCCTCTCTTCTGTTCGCATAGTCATAGAACTGAAATAAAACAACTTAAGAGAATTCCTTTGAGCTTCTCAGAAGTGCTGCAGGGCTGGGGGATGCCTCCCAGGAGCCGCAGTCAGGTGCTGATCTGAAGTCTTTGGTGGGCTGACTTTAGCCTGACCTGAAATAGTATAGCTGCTGCCACCTGGCTCCCTTAGCGTCAGTCAGACAGTGCAGCTGGTTCCTAGGGGTGAGGGCTGAGCCAGCAGGGTCCGTGCCCAGGAGGGATGCATGGGTGGCCACAGCCCAGCCTGCACTGATCTTGTCTGTCCCCTTCTTTGGAAGGAAGGAGCCCCAAACCAGGGTGCAAGACAGTGGGTGGGGGTGCCTTGAGCATGACCTCAAGTGATTTCCAGCCCCTGCCAGTGCTGACTTCTCTGGGGAAGGGCTGGGACTTCCTTCTGGGCTCAAGTCACGACCCTTGGATGGAATTTCCTGGGAGCTTTTCTGTTTTTTCTGGAGTTTTCAGTTTTTTCCTAACCAGACAGGGACTTGGTACAGAATCTCATATTCTAATTATGCCTAGGAGCAGCCTCTCCCCACCACTCACAGTGTTTAGCATGTGACAGGAATCGATTAAGGCATGAGTGATTAAATTAAAGCCAGGCGTTGACTTGGATGGTGTAATATTCTGACATCTGTTTGGTGTCAAAGGCACGGGGCAGGCGCGTTAATTGAACTGCTTGCACCTGGCATTTGAATTGAGCCAGAGCGGGGCTAAAGTCAGTTTGCCTTCACCCTGTAAATGGAGGGTTTCTCCGGAGCGTGGATGGTGGGAGGTATTTCAGGGTGTATGCATAACCCCCACCCTGACAATGGCCCATCTCTTCTCCAGCGTGGCCAGGTTTGAGTGCCAGTCCTGGGTGTCCAGTGGCCCCATAGCCTTGCGTTTTAGTAAAATGCTGCCCCCATTACCACCTGGTCTGTGCACTTCGGTCACTGGAATTTGCCATCTTCCAGTCCCGAATGTGGCAAGCCATGGAGCCTTAAGCTCTTCTCCCTCCACATCCTGGAACAGACCCGCCAGTTTCTTCCAGGCATTGCCTCAGTTTGCCCCTCTCTTTCCAGTCACACTCTCACCAGCGATAAAATGATTTTAGACCTTATCATCTCACCCTCGGATCCTTATGGAAACAATAATGAGTTGTTCCCTGTTTCAATTCCAAAATTCATATCCAATCCGTTTTGCATGCCATTGCCAAATTCTTCCCAGAGCAACCCCGTCACCTGCCCTGGCCCTCTCCAAGTGTGGTCCTGCCATGGGCATCGCCTGCTAAGCCAAGCTGGCCTCGAGCTGCCTGCCCGGGTCCCCACACCTTGGCTCACCTCCCTGCCCAGTCCCGCCTCCTGCCAGCCTGCCCTGTGGCTCCTTCATAGATGCCGTGCTCTTTCTGCCCCTTGCTCACCCATGGCAGCCTTGCCCCTCTCTCCCTGCCCCACCCCCTATTTAAATCGACCTGACCTTCCTCAGTGTCCGTCCTCCCCGAAGCTTTCCCCAGCCTTGGCACTCAAGGTCCAGAGGCTACGCGTTTCCTCTCACCTGTGGCAGCGCCGTGCTCCCCAGTGCCTCACAGTTTCCTTCTTGCCCCCGCTTCCTGTGTAGGACTCATCTGCCCACAGGTTGCACGTCCTGTGAGGGCAAGGACTGTGTCTTATGTGACTTTCCTTCTCTAGTCACAGAGCTGGGCACATAGATAGCTCAAAACCCTCTTTATTAACACAGTTGGATGTTGAGAAATCAAACAGGCCAATGTCAAATGAGCTCTCCTTATTTAAATCAAGTCAGTTCTCCACCTCCTAGCACTCAGTTCCAGTACTCTATATACATGGAAATAATAAAAAACACATTTCCTTTGAAACATTCTATAATCGTTCCTTTGCCCTACTTCAGACCAACTTAACGCACTCCCCATTGGTCCAAATGAGTTTTGCTATACGAAGATGCTGATAATAATAGCAGCAGTGGATTATTCTGCTAAAACCATTGCCTCGTTAATCCTCAGTCCCGAGGTGGGGATTATTATCCTCATTTTGCAGAGAAGCAAACTGAGACTTAGAGATTTCACAGCTGGGGAGGGAGCCAGCTCATCCCTCTGTCCAGGCCCAAGCTCTCTCCCGCTTGCCTTCCTGCCTCTGCAACCTCAGAGCATCCCCCATCTGGTTCTACTGCCTGTGCTAGTCGTGCAGGAGCCAAAAGACACGTCTTTAGTGCTAAGGACTGGAGAAGCCATGCCCTCCAGCCTCTGTGAATGGGTCATATGTAACATGAGCCTGGAGAAATTATTTGAAACCAAAGGCAAGCCTCTAAACCAGGCTGCTGCTTCATGGCGCCGGTGACGGCAGAACCAAATTTAGTGCTGTGGGCAGGTCCACACTTATCAAATAGAGAAGCTCATTTTTCTTCTGGCTCACATCAAGCATGAAAAATGTTCACACATACCCCCCACACACACATGCTTTCCGGAGGGGCCCATGTGGCTAGAGGCTGGAAGATGTGGATGAGAGGAGCCTGGCAGGTAAGCCCAGGGAAGATGACATTCAGCTTCCCAGACAGCATCTACAGGGAGAAATTTAATTAAAAGTGGGGCGGTTTCCCTGAGCAAGGCAGACAAAGTCAGCCCTCTACTGTTAAGAAAAAGGGTCACAGTGAGAGGGGAGGTGAGGAGACTGAGTCTGTATTTTCTAGTCTGTTGGGCTACACTACCTGATCCCCCTTCCTCAAAAATCCACTTTACTTTCCCCATGTCTACACCAATGTGGTTCACACTCTGGGACCAGGAAAAGGGGGAGTGATGGGGAACAGAGAAGGGAGGAGCTCACACAGCTGAGGCTGGGGTTATGCATATCGAATTACTTAGAATTTGCAACCTCACAGGGTACTTTCATGGCGTTGAAATACACTTCCCACAGCCACCCTCCCTCTAACTAAAAGCAAGAGTCATTTCTCAGTTCTGGTCTTGCCTCCCACGTTCTCCTCCACATTTAAAAAAATCCACCAGCTACAAAGTGAAGATACCATATGTGATATCCCACCCTAGTTTCTGTTTTATCAGGGTTTGGAGCAGGTGGAGCAGGCAGAGGGATCATTTCAGCCTATAAATTGTATTAAGGGTGAGTACTGAGTCATTCTTCAAGAAAAGTTTTAGAAGCATCCAAAACTGAAGGGTGGAGCCACCTGGAGACAGTATCATCAGTCCTGGCCCTGAGCATGGCCTGCATAGGCCCCCGTGGATCCCAGCAGGAGCTGCAGAGTGCGGGCACCTTGGCACGCAGCCCTGAGTGCAAAATTAGGAGCTGGGCAGAGGGCATCTCTCTGTCGCCATTGGGCAGCCCAGGGCACACTGGTCATAGCCTTAGACCACGAACACCCTGTGCCCGGGGGACAGATGCAACCAGTGTGCCCTGGGCTGCCCAATGGCAACAGAGAGATCGACACCTGGACCCCATGTCACGGGGACTCCACTACTAAGGCTCCTAAGACTGCCACCTTCCAGTGGGATAAGCCCTGCCTCCTACTGGGCCCACAATGTGCAGAGAACACTTGGGACTACCTGGCTTTCTGGATACACAAATATTGATCCAATCTGGACTAATTAGAAGGTCAGTCCCAATAACAAATCGAAGTCAGCTGGGCGTGATGGCTCACTCCTATAATCCCAGCACTTTGGGAGGCTGAGGTGGGCAGATCATTTGAAGCCAGAAGTTCAAGACCAGCCTGGGCAACATAGCAAAACCCTGTCTCTACTAAAAATACAAATAATTAGGCTGGGTGTGGTGGCTCATGCCTGTAATCCCAACACTTTGGGAGGCTGAGGCAGGTGGTCACCTGAGGTCAGGAGTTTGAGACCAGCCTGGCCAACAGGGTGAAACCCCGTGTCTACTAAAAACATAAAAATTAGCCAAGCATGATGGCATGTGCCTATAATCCTGGCTACTAGGGAGGCTGAGACAGGAGAGAATCACTTGAATCCAGGAGGTGGTTGCAGTGAGCCGAGATGGTGCCACTGCACTCCAGCCTGGTTGACAGAGCAAGACTCTGTCTCAAAAAAAAAAAAAAAAAAAAAAAAAAAGCCATGCCTGGTGGAGCACTACGTGTAATCTCAGCTATTTGGGAGGCTGAGGCACGAGAATCACTTGAACCTGGGAGGCAGTGGTTGCAGTGAGCTGAGATCGCGCCACTGCACTCCAGCCTGGGCGACAGAGTGAGTGAGACTCCATTTCAAAAAAATAATAAATCTGAGTCACTTTAATATTGTTATTTGGATGTCAACCTCTAGGTGTTTGAGACAGGAGAGTGATATGGGGGCACTGGAAACACACAGGCACGGGGTGTCCTCACACTTGGGTAGCCCACACGATGTGATTTCAGGGTGCTGGGAGGTCCCCCCACTCCCCAAATTACTAACAAGTGGATAGTACTTTACAGTTTATATGATCTCATTTGATTCTTAACATGAGCCTGTGAGTGAAAAATTCCTTCCCCTCTTCTACAGATTAGGACGTTGAGATTCAGGGAGGTTCAGAGGGATTCAGAGAAGTCAAGTGGCACCTGGAGTCCCGTGGCTAATTTGAGGCCGGTAGGGGATTCGAACCCAGGATTTGTGCTTCTTACGCCTGGGCTTCTGCTCCCTGGGGCATGGTCTTCCCCCTAGCTTTCCCATTCACTGCTTTAGCCTAGGGGTCCTACCCTTTATTAAACTGCCAGTGCCTCACTGCTTTTCTCCCCCAAAGACAAAAAAAAAGTGTTTTTGCTTTTGTTTTGTTTTTCATGGGCAGAGACCTGGAATTTCAGCTTGAGAATTTGTGCCATATGATAAATAAATCAACAGATGGCTTTTTCCTTAAAAAAAAAAAAAAAACTAAGATGTATTTGCAGTGAGGCATAATTTGTACCAAAAAGTGCTCACCACACTGTAGTCATGGGGGCAGGAGGCAGCCGCGGGTGAAGGGAGAAATCTTGGAGTCCAGGCAGCCCCCTTCTGGGCTGAACTGGGGAGCTGGGGGTGCTGCCGGCCCTGCCAGGTTCTCCTAGGAGGCGGCAGCTCATATGGCTGTGGGAGGAGGCAGAGGGAGCCTCATATGCACCCACATTTCCAGGGATCTAGAAGACAGAAGGAGGAAAACCACCATCATGTTAAAGCAGACAGTTAGGTAACACATCCTGTAATACAAGTTATTTTTTCCACATCTAAAGGCTAAAAATAGTTGTTAGAATTTAAAGATAATTGGTAAATGAGTTTCTATCCTTCTAGTTTCACATCAAATGGAATCATGCTGCCTTCACATCACTAGTGCCCGTTATTTGTGTTTAATTTCCACAATGTTGTCTAATTCCACTCTTTGGGCTTCCCCAGGGATCCAGCCTCCCTCACTCGCCCATCGCAGGGAGATGCTTTATTCATCTTTGTGTCTTCTGTGCCGGGCATAGCACATGGCACAGAATAAGCACTCAGTAATTGATTCACGAGTGAATAAATGGATGAGTGGGTGAGTTCAATATTGACTACAAAAACCCTAAGGCCACACTGGTGAGTGGCTGCGCCTGTAGTCCCAGCTGCTGGGGAATCTGAGGCAGGAGGATCTCTTGAGCCCAGGAGTTTGAAACTAGCCTGGGCGATATAGCGAGAACCTGTCTCAAATGACAAAAACAGGGCCAGGTGCAGTGGCTCACGCCTGGAATCCCAGCACTTCAGGAGGCCAAGATGGGAGGATCACTTGAGGCCAGGAGTCCGAGACCAGCCTGGGCAACATAGGGAGACCCTGTCTCTACAAAAAATTTTTTAAAAATTAGCTGGGCATGGCGGTGTGCGCTTGTAGTCCCAGCTACTCAGGAGGCTGAGGCAGGAGGATCACTTGAGCCCAGGAAATTGAGGCTGCAGCGAGCCATGATGGCGCCACTGCACTGCAGCCTGGGCGTCAGAACGAGACCTGCTCTCAAAAAACAAACAAACAACAACAACAAAAAAGGCCTTTCTTAAAGAGACTTGAGAACAGAAAGGGGAACAGATACATAACTTATATATTTATTTGCTCATCTTTCCACCTTCCTGGAGGGTGGAGGGGAACAGGTCTGTATTTGGAGTTTTGAATGCTAAAAGTGGGAATACATGTACTGTTTGCCATGATCTGTTCAAAAGTTAAGCCAAATGCCTTAGATTCTCCTGAAAACTGGAATGCCACTGTAAACTATAAGCCCCACTTCAAAGATAAAAGATCTTGATGAACAGGGCTGGGTCTGTGGACTGGGCCTCTCCCCACCACACAAGGAAGGGTGGTGCCAGTTGAAGGAAAATCACTTAAATCCTTGCTGTCTCCTAATAGGTGTGGTCCCAGGTAGGGCTGTCAGAATTAGCAAATTAAAACACAGGGCATCTGTGAAAATTAGAATTTCAGATAACAACAAATAATTGGCATAGGCTGCATAATGTCCCTCAAAGATATCAGGTCCTAATCTCCAGAACCTGTAAATGTGATCTTATTTGGAAAAGGGGTCTTTGCAGATGTGGTTAAATTAAGGATTTTGAGATGGGGGGATTATCCTGTATTATCTAGGTAGGTCCTAAATGCAGTCACACTCATCCTTGTAAGAGGAAGGAAGAGAGAGATGGAAAACACAGAAGAGAAGACAATGTGGTGATGGAGGCAGAGATTGGAGTGAGGTGGCCACAAGCCAAGGACTGCTGGCAGCTACCAGCAGCCAGAAAAGGCCAGGAACCAGTTCTCTCTTGGAGCTCCAGAGGGAGTGTGGCCCTGCTGACACCTTAGCTTCAACCTAGTGATCCTGATTTTGGACTTTGGCCTTCAGAAGTGTGAGGGAATGAATATCTGTTGTTTTAAGCCACCAAGTTTCTGGTCATTTCCTACAGCAGCCACAGGAATCGAAAACAGTAAGTATGTCCCATGCAATGTTTGTGACACACACCAAAAATATTACTTGTTGTTCACCTGAAATTCAAATTTAACTGGGTCTCCTGTATTTTATTTGGCCAACCTAGTTCCCAGGCCCAAAGAAAGAGGCTTTTGAAATTTGCAAGAAAGCTGGTTGGAGCTGTCAGAAAGTGGACTTTGTAAACACAGTACCACCGAACCAATTTGAACTGTACTACCTCTAGACAAAAGAGAGGGCAGTCAGACAGTTGTTCGTGATTTCTTCTTTCAACAGTCATTTGAGCACTTACTACAAAACAGAAGCTATGTGTAAGGGTGGAGGCGTTAGCTGTTAATCAGGACCTCCAGGCTAAGTTTCTGTATTAGTCCGTTTTCACGCTGCTGATAAAGACATACCCGAGACTGGGGAATTTACAAAAGAAAGAGGTTTAATTGGACTTACAGTTCCAAGTGGCTGGGGAAGCCTCACAATCATGGCAGAAGGCAAGGAGGAGCAAGCCACATCTTACATGGATGGCAGCAGACAGACAGGGAGAGAGAGCTTGTGCAGGGGAACTCCTCTTTTTAAAACCATCAGATCTCATTAGACTTATTCACTATCAAGAGAACAGCACAGAAAAGACCTGCCCCCATGATTCAGTTACTTCCCACCAGATCCCTCCCACAACATGTGGGAATTCAAGATGAGATTTGTTACCATATCAGTTACCAACCCTTCCAGATAAATCACGTGAAATATCGCCATTAACAGAGTGAGCTCAGGTGGTTCTTCAGTGCATTTCTGATACCTGAACCTTCCCTGGGAATTTCACAGACCATCAGGCTCTCCACCCTTTGATGGCAGGATAGCAGGGCCCAGGTTCTGCAGGAGGAGATGTTACCACAGGCCTGAAAGGGAGGGAGGGGCAGATGCTACAGGAAGATGCTGGCTCTGGATTCGCTGGAGGAGCTTTCAAGGGAAGTAGATACACACTGTCTCCATCATTTCATGTCCATCACACTCTAAAATGCTTTGGACAAGAAGCAAATGTTAAAGACAAATGTGGCCCATTTTCCTGTACAAAGAGGGCTGCTCCCATGCCAGGCTATTGGCACTGGTGGGCATGAGGCTTCTCTGCTGCCCTGGCCGGGGGGTTCTCTCACTCACCATTGGCTCTCTGACACCTGGAGAGACACCACCCTTGGGCTTTCGTGATGCTCACAGAATCCACACTGTTGGAGCTTTAAGGAGCCTGGATCAACTGGAACAGGCAGGGAGTACTAGGACAGCCCAGCATTGCCCCAAAATATCCAGGCCTGATAAAAGAGAAAAACAGGTAGCTCACAGGAAAAGGATAAAAAAAGGAGGAGGGATTTAACATGAAAAGGTGCTTGATCTCCCTCATAATAAAAAAGACTGCTGATTCCATCCAGGCAAGTGACAGAAAAAAAAAATGTAATTTAAAAAGACTGCTGATAAAACCACAGCGAGACGCTGCTGCTCAGGGATCTGAGGGTGTGGGCAGCCAGGGTGTGGGCAGCCAGGGTGTGGGCAGCCAGGGTGTGGGCAGCCAGGGTGTGGGCAGCCAGGGTGTGGGCAGCCAGGCTGCCACGCATCATGGGTCGGAGAGGAAGACCACACCCCTGGAGCAGAGGGCGGCTGATCTGTCAGATGCCCTTTGACAGCACCTCAGCTTCCAAGAATTAACCCTTTCTATGTGAGCAGAGGCATCCATGGGGGGACACACTGGTGAATCATCTGTTATGTAGAAGTCTGGAAAACATCAGGATGGAACTTGTGAAATAAGTGTGGCCTCTGACGGAATGGAGCGGTCCGTCTGCACTGCTGCGGGTGCCCCTCAGATCCTGTGGGTCAGTGAGAAAAGCAGTGAGGAACAAGGCAGATACTGTGTACTGTCCTCTGCGTGCAAGGAAGGCCAGCGCATGCAACAGAGTCCACACAGACATAGCCTAACTCTGGAAGGAAGAATGAGAATGCAGTTTCAGTGGTGGCCTCTGGTGGGGAGAAACTGGGTGAAGGGAGATGTCATTTCCATTTCTCTACTATTAATTTTGTATTACCATGCTTAAATGTTACTTTTTACCTTTTTTTTTTTTTTGAGACAGGGTCTCTCTCTGTTGCCCAGGCAGGAGTGCAGTGGTACAATCATGGTTCACTGCAGCCTGAACCTCCCAGGCTCAAGCAATCCTCCCACCTCAGCCTCCTGAGTAGCTGGGACTATAGGCATGCATACCACCATGCCCAGCTATTTTTTTTAATCAAGATGGAGTTTTTCTGTGTTGCCCAGGCTGGTCTCAAACTCCTGGACTCAAGCAATCCTCCTGCCTCAGCCTCCCAAAGGGCTGAGATTAAAACGTGAGTCACCCTGCCCAGCCAATTGCTTTTTAAAAAAGATTAAATGCATGTATACGCTCAGGCATCAGCACACTTGGAAAGGATGAAAATATCCAGAAGAACGGTTCTTTTAAAAGGCTCCTCAAGTGATGCTGGCAGGCATGACGAATGTCCCTGGTCACAAAAGCTCTGATCTGGCCTAACCCTGTCATGTTAGAGACTGGAGTGCGTGTGTGTGCGTGCAAAGTGTGGGGGGATGGGGGTGAGTGTGTGTGGTGTGTAAGCATGAGTGTGTATGTGTGTGGTGTGGGGGTGTGTGCTGTGTGAGCGTGTGTGAGTCTGTGTGTGTAGTGTGTGTGTGAAGTATGTGGTGTGTATGTGTGACGTGAGGTGTGTGTGGTGTGTGAGTTGTGTATGGTGTGTGCATGAGCATGTGTGTGGGCATGTGATGTGTGTGTGGTGTGTGAGCATGTGTGAGTGTGTATGTTTGAGCATGTGTGGTGTGTTGTGATATGTGTGTGGTGTGTGAGCATGTGTGTGTGATGTGATATGTGTGTGGTGTGTGAGCATGTGTGTGTGATGTGTCTGTGTGTGGTGTGTGTGAGCATGTGTGTTGTGTGTGTGGTGCATGTGTGCGGCATGTGAGCGTGTGTGTGCATTGTGTCTGTGAGCATGTGTGAGTGTGTGTGTGTTCAGCATATATAAGGCATGTAACTGAACACAGCACTTTAGAGGGCTCTCCTGGAGTCAGAGGGGGTGGGTAGGAGGAGAAGGGAGGTGGGCTAGTGTGCTGAAGTATCTACTCCTTGTCATAGTCTGTGACAACCCAGACTAGCCCATGAGCCACCCTGTTCCCTGCATTTCCAATGAGACCTCGGTGGACATGTTCCCTGAGGTGAGGCTGACTGATGTCATTTGACGATCTTGATGCCAAATCCTTTTATATCAAAAACAACCAGAACACTCTCTTTTCTCTTAGTGCTTTCACCCAGATGACCACATTTCATCCTCCCAGCCACTCTGGGCCAGGTGGCACTGCTGGTTTGAAAGGGAGGTCTCCCCTGGAGTAACTTCCGTGGGCGGATTCACACCCTGCCCACAGTCCTGTCCCAGTCAGCCCACCATGGTGGTCTCCGGTTCCTCCAGAATTCCCGCTTTTCAGCTCATCCCCACATTCCCGGAGGGACTGAGAGCGCAGCCCCAGGGCCCTGCTCTTTGGGGGCCGTCTCTACACCCAGAGAAGCAGCAAGGCATTCCTAGGTTTCTCTTTCAGATGCAGAACTTCAGTGTTCAGAGATGTTCCCACTGGTCCTGAGAGGGCTCAGTTCAGCTTTAATGACTGCGCTGTTGCGTGTGCTCTGCAGAGGGCGGGTGGCCCAGCGTGGCTGACTGCAGTTTTCCTGACGTGGAGCCCGAGCCTGCCCCGCTGTTTATTAATTAAGGATCACTCTGCTTGCAGAACCCTGAACTCCCCAGAACTGTGAGGTGGGAGAACCCCGAGAGGCCACCTGGCCCCACTTCCCACCTGCTGCCCAAACCCCCTCTCTGCCTTCCTGACAGTCACCCCAACTCCCAGTGATCCCCATCAACCATCTGACAAGGGGACTGAGAGGGAAGAGAAAGGAGGGGCCCAAAGAGGAAGGTAAAACTGTCGGGAACAGCCCCCAAATGTGTGACAGCCTTCAGTGGAGTTGCCCACTTTCCCTTTTCTCCTCCCTGCAGGACCTCCCTTCTCCCCAGTCCTCCCCAACTTCTGAGGTTACATTGAGAAAAGTCTGCAGAGAGGTGCCAGCATCACAAGGTGTTAAGGACCACGAGTTTGGCATTTTAACAGATGCCAGAGCCACTTGAGAAATGTGGTAACTAAGCCCAGAGAGGTACAGTTAACCTCCCCAGAGTCACACAGCAGGTTCATGGCAAAGCTGGACTAGCACAGGTGTCCTTCCCCCGCAGATCCCCTTCTGTGCCCCACATCACCTCCCTCCAGTGTCTGGGCCACCTGGAGATGGGCCCTCAGACTCACCCGGCCAGAGGTGCCATCTCATGGGAGAGGTTTGGCCAGGAAGCATCGATATTTGAGATACCAAGAAATGAAGACTTGGCCTGTCAGATGACAGACTTCGGTCATGGGGACACGTGATCTGTTTTACACATGCGTCCCCTCAGCAGCAGCTTTCCAGAACATTCCCACTTTCTTCTGTAGTGAGAACTCTTTCCCTGCAGCCTCCTGCCCAACTCCTCCTTCAGTGTCTTTGCTTCAGTGTCTTTGATAAACCATTCTGCTTTGCAGAGTGCGAGCTCTGCCTTGCAGGGTTCACATCTGCCTGTGCTGAGTAACCAATGCTAAGGTCGAGTGGTCGGTCACCTCTCATAAGAGCTAGGGTTGTCTCATGCTGATGACTAGGACTTGCCCTCAAGGAGAAAAATAAATCAAAACAAAAGCAAAAACAGCAAACATGCATCTCTTAAAGAAGGCTCTGAGTCCAGGTAAATTTCCTTCCACTGAAGCAGCCAGGCTGAATTCGAATTATCTTTGCCCCTGCTTAAAAACTAATGCAAATTTTCCTAGAGAATATCCACTAATTCCTGGAGGGGGCATGGGCATTCCTGATGCCCATGAGAGGACCATTTGCTCTTCCCTCAGTGTGCTAAATAACAGAAGCGACATTTGTTGCTGGAAAGTATCAGTGAAGTTAATAAGGTTTTTCTTGCCCAGGGTGAGGGAACAGTTCCCAATGACAAATGCTGTATGGGAAGGGGCTGTAGAACTGCCAGCCCCTTTGGTCCATCCATAAAGTGAACTCTGTGGATCCTGGAGGATTCCAGCGTCTTTTTTTTTTTTAAGACAGAGCCTTGCTGTCACCCAGGCTGGAGTGCAGTGGCACGATCTCAGTTCACTGCAACCTCCGCCTCCCGGGTTCAAGCGATTCTCATGTCTCGGCCTCCCGAGCAGCAAGACTACAGGTGCGCACCACCATGCCCGACTAATTTTTGTATTATTAGTAGAGACGGGGGTTTCACTCTGTTGGCCAGGCTGGTCTCAAACTCCTGACCTCAGGTGATCCACCCGCCTCAGCCTCCCAAAGTGCTGGGATTACAGGCATGAGCCACCATGCCCAGCCAGCATCTTTCATTTTTCTGTCTGCTTTGGCCCTTTCCTCTCTCACTGTCTTCCTTTTCCATTTCCAAAGTCAGTCCATCTCACTATTAGCACAAAAACTGCTAGAGCGCTTGTCATTGGTCATCTCTCCCTGCACCTGGCTGGTCTGTTCTTGGCCACTGAAGCGTTTCCCCCAGCTGTTGCTTTAATCATTTTATTGTTATTATGCCTTACTTAAGAAATGGATATGAGATGCATTTACCTGTCTCTTCCTGCCACTCTGCAGAGCCAGTAAGATGTGGTGGAAAGGGCCCAGGCTTTGGAGGAGGGCTGGCTGGGGTTGGATCTTGGCTGCCCCCTACTAGCTGTGTGACCTTGGGTAAGTAGCTGGACCTCTCTGAGCCTGGTTCGGAATCATAGCACCTCTCTTTCAGGGCTGCTGTAAGGAATAGCAGTGGTGTGTATAAAGCAGAGCGCACAGCCAGCAACTGGCCCCTAGCCACACTGCTGAGCACCTACTGTGATAAGCTGCCATTGTGGTGTGTGAAGCAAAGGGGAAACATGCCTGCTGTGGTGAGCTTCCTGTAGGGCAGGTTGTAGAACCAGAGGTGGGTTCCAAGGTTACAAAGGGACTCTTAGTGTATTAGTCTGTTCTCACATTACTATAAAGACCTACCTGAGACTGGATCATTTATAAAGAAAAGAGGTTTAATTGGCTCACACTGGCTGGGTGCGGTGGCTCACGCCTGTAATCCCAGCATTTTGGGAGGCCAAGGCCGGCGGATCACTTGAGGTCAGGAATTTGAGACCAGCCTGGCCAACATGGTGAAACCCTGTCTCTTCTAAAATAAAATACAAAAATTAGCTGGCCATGGTGGTGTGCGCCTGGAATCCCAGCTACTCAGGAGGCTGAGGTGGAAGAATTGCTTGAGCCCGGGAGGTGGAGGTTGCAGTGAGCCAAGATCGCCCCACTGCACTCTAGCCTGGGCAGCAGACTGAGACTCTGTCTCAATAAAAAAAAAAAAAAGAAAAGAAAAAGAATTGCAAGAAATAAATTATTGTTTATGAGCTATATGGTCTGTGGTACCTTGTTGTGGGACTGGGAGTCTTGGCGTCTCCCTGACCCTGCCTGTTGCTGCAGCGCCGCTCAGCCCTGCCTGCTCCCTACCTGCCTCCCCTCGGCCTCTCCTGCCTCCACCGGGCCCCTGGTGCCTCCTCTAGAGACAGTCCTCCTGGGACCGATTGTGTTCTCACTTACACGAGGCATCCAGGACTACAGATAACCAGAGGAAGGGGCGCCCGCCCGCCTGCCCTCCTCCCTGGCATCCTCACGCTGCAGAGGTCAGAGCCTCATCCCAGCCCCTTACCTGCCCCTACTCTGTGGAGAACCGTGGTCAGTTCGCCAGGCCGGATCCACGAACGGCCTTGTGGAAGATGGTGAGCTCACACCCAGAGCTGGCTCCGATGACCCTGTCTCCTTTACATGTTGCTACCTTCCCCTCCCTACCTTCCCCCACTGCTGGGCGCAGAGTGGAGGCAGGTGAGGTTTAAAGCTCAGAAGGGCTTAAACGGGTTGGGGCGCAGTGGCTCATGCCTGTAATCCCGGCACTTTGGGAGGCCAAGGCAGAGGATCACTTGAGCCCAGGAGTTCGAGACCAACCTGAGCAACATAGTGAGACCGCGTCTCTACAAAAAATAAAATAAATAAAATTAGCTTTGCAGGGTGGCATGCACCTGCAGTCCCTGCTACTCAGAAGGCTGAGGTGGGAGGATCGCTTGTGCCCAGGAGTTTGAGGCTGCAGTGAGCTATGCTGGCACCACAGCACTCCAGCCTGAGTAACAGAATGAGATCCTGTCTCAAAACAAACAAACAAACAAACAAAAGAAGGCTTAAAGGGGGCTCCAGGTGGGCTTGGCAGCACAAAGCTATGAAGTTCTATCTTAGACACAAGCTCTGTTACTGGGCCTTTGCAGGCTGGCCTGGGTACCTGGCTGCCATAGACAGGGAACCTTCCAGATGAGCTGCAGGCGTGGAGCACAGGAGCCAGGGTGCTCTTCCTGGGCTCTGTCCACAGGCAGTACGTACACAGTCTTTGTACATGTCCGGCGGCTCTGGTGCCTATTTTTGTTTGTGTTTTTCTTTTGTTTGGGGGGATGGATTTGGTTTCCCCCGAGCCCTCTGTCCTCCTGTCACCTGGCTGGTGCTCGGCAATGTTGACCAGCTGCCTGGCTGGAGTTGGCAGTGGCTAAGGCTGTGACAGCTAACATGTTCCTGAGTCCTCTCATTTCTTCACCATAATGCCCTGTTGAGTTTGCAGATACTGTCTCTGTTTTTATCTCCCGGGGAAACTGAGGCTCAGAGTGGCTAGGCCACCTTCCCATGGTCCCTCAGCTCATGAGGGCCACACAGGGCATTGCGGTGGCCTTCTCCTCAGCCTTGACCCTCCGGCCCCAGCATTGCTGCCTCAAGGGGTCTCCTCTCCTGAGCCGTGCACCTTCTGCCTGGCAGCTCCAACTCTGTGGCTGTGTTCAGTGGCTCAGCACTGCCCCTTGACCCTCCCTGGCCTTCTGCGGATGCCAGACTGGAGCACTCTGACAAGGTCTGGGGTGGTTGTATGGGTCCTGTGACCTCTATACACCTCCCAGTGCCTGGGAATCCTGCAGATACACCCTCCTTAGCCGTCCCTAACCATAGAGGACATTTCTGAGGTCCCCGAGAGAGTGGGGCACCTCTGCAGGATCCAACTGCTGGGCCCAGGAAGGATAGCAGCAGCATGAGGGGTTCCATTAGCCACAAACTCACGGCATGGAACCTTCACCCACCTCGCCCCTCATCTGCTGTTTAGCACCTGGCACGCCGTGTATACTTACTGATTATTACATTTTAATGGCAAATTATAGTGGCAAATGTATGCATCTTTGCACAATTGTTGTACAGCATGATGAACAAGTCATTAATAGTAAAGAATAAATGTGAAAGTGAGAAAAATCTGACTGCCAAAGTTTTTACTCCTTCCTTCCCTCCCCAGACTTTTAAATGAAAGTTTAGGGATAATCCCTTAGTTGTCCTGCTAGTAGGACTTGCAATTAAAAGAATTGGGCCAAGAACACTTCTACGCTTCTCCTTTTAGGTTTGGGTGTAAATTCGGGGTATGTCTCACTGATGAAAGCCTGGTGCAGGGCAGACCGTGGGAAGCTTTCATTTCCGGAATGGACCATCAACATCCCTTGGAGAAGAATTCTCTTCTCCAGACCCAGACCTGGTGTCCTGGCACCCATTGGGCAAGTGGGTCCTAGAAGACAAACCTGGTCAGAGCCTGGAGGCTGCTTAGCATTCCCCACGCACACTAGCAGCTCGGAGAGCTCAGGAAGCCGCAGCCCCTCCTTGCCTCACCAGCCTGGGTCAGGACAGCATCCCCTGGAAGACACACAGGGCCTGGCCTCTGATTACCCAGCCTGGAGGGAAAGCTCAATCGAGCATCATGTCACCTGGTGCCCCCATGCAGGGTGGCACTGGTGAGACCCCCAAGCCAATGATACCACCTCACAGGAGTGCAGGCCCATTGTGGCCAGATCATCTTGACTTTTCAAGATAAATCAGAAATCGTATTTCCATGAGATATCCCTATTTGCAAGTGATGGTGACTAAATTAGAAGTTTTTGAATATTGTAACATGTTCCTAGGCTGTTTGTCTGGTTTAAACTCTATCTGGAGGAATTCAAGCTAGACTTCAGGAATAACTTCTTGAGGCAAGGATTTTGAGACCTTAGGGAAAGAAGGACGTCTTGGGGGTATTCTGACTGTTGTCCTCCTGGAAGGGAAGAACAGAGAACTAGAAGACTGCCCTTAGCGAAGTTCAAAGCACCTAAGCCCGGGACCCTCAGCAAGTGTTCTTGAGTCACAGATTCTCCCTGAGGCGCCTCTTTCTGGCTCCATAGAATGGCTGATTCTGTAACTCGGTGAGTTTGCTTTTTTTTTTTCCTCCGTCACCCAGGCTGGAGTGCAGTGAAGCTGGAGTGCCGTGGAGCGATCACTGCAACCTCTGTCTCCCAGGTTCAAGCAATTCTCCTTCCTCAGCCTCCCAAGTAGCTGGGATTACAAGCATGCACCACCACACCTGGCTAATTTTTGTGTTTTTAATAGAGACGGCCCGAAGTGCTAGGATTACAGGCATGAGCCACCGCGGCCAGCCATAACTCTGTGACTCTTGTTACAAAGGCCTTATATTTTGCTCTTTGAGGGTGGTTTTGGTTTGATGCCTGTTGGTTGCCATCTTTTAACTAGGGATGTTTTATCAAAATGCCCAGCCAAAGTGTCCAAACAAATTATACCTTAAAGTTTGAAAATGTCTGGCACTTCTAATTGAATGCCTATTGTGCCAGGCACTGGGCTGCTGAGGAACTGAGTCCCGTCCCTGCAGGCTAGCTAGAGAACACACACACACACACACAGAGTGGTCTTACAAGTCAGTTTTATATTCTACCTATATGCAATAAAGGTATTATTATGTTGAGGTGCCTTGATATAAAAATTTTTCTTAAAGGAGAGGATGCCTAAAACAGGCATTACCTGAAACCTCCTCTCTCCAGCATTGGTTGTCTTCTGTCATGACTCAGGGTTTTCACTGAGAATGGGATGGAAATGTGGTCTAAAGATAGGGCCAATGTTGGGACTGGATCCCCTCTGGGAAGTCAGACCAGGCTAGGGCAGGTCCTTGAAGCCATCAGGAAAAGCCTCTGGAGCCAGAAACAAAACAAAAAAAAAATGATGTTAACTAAACTCAGTCTCAAATCCTGAATTGGACTCAAGTCAAGCAAAATAATTAAAGGAGTTAGCAAAGGGCAAGTCAGAGAGACCGAGCAACACCAATGTCTTCCGGGAGCCCTGTGGCGAGTGACAGAGCCTGGACTCTGGAGTAGAACTCATCTTGTGTCTTCTTCTGCCACTCGTTAGCTGGGTGACCTTGAGCCAAGCCCCTTAACCTCTTGGACCCTATGTTCTTATCTCTAAGTAGGGGCTGGTAATATCTTCCCCTTTGAGGAATGCCCTCTAAGGGGTGTTGTGAAGATTTGGTAAGGTGGCAGGGGTAGGACTCCTGGCCAGAAACAGGCACATAATAAATGCTAAGTCTCTCCTTCTCTCCACCTGCTGGATGCTGTAGATACTAAGGATTTCAATGTGAATGAGACAAAACCCCTGCCTTCCAGGAGCCTTTGAGAATCAGAGAACTAGACCCATTTCCAGAACAAGGGGATGCAGGGTCTGGATAAAGTTTTGGGGATCAATAGAGCAGAGGGCTCCCAGAGGATCCCATAGGGTTGACTCCTAACTCAAGGGCATGAGACAACCCCCAGGAAGGGCACCCTGGAAGGGGTCCGGCTGTCCCTGATTTACTTGTGGGCACTGGGGGAATGCCCGGAGCCATCCAGCCCTCAGGGCTCTGTGTGATTCTGGGTTCCTCCCATAAAAGATAATCAGACTCTTTCACGTTAATGTCTTTCTCCACCTCATTGCACATCATGCAGCTATTCATTGACTCAGCAAGTATCAGCTTTGCATGCGACCTTGGCCTACCCACTTTAGCTTTTAGTAATAGCTCCCTTCTTGAATAATACAACCAGTGGGGAAACAGAACCTAACTCTTACCTCTGGGAGGCTTATTTGCTTTGAGAACATATGTCCTGCAGTTTTGTTCATATGGCAGTGAAGTTTCGTGCACACACTCTAGAGCCAGGCAGCCTGGGTTCAAAGCGCAGCTCTGCCAGGTCCTAACTGCATGAATTTGGGCAAGTCACTCAACCTCTCCATGCCTGAGTTTCCTCATCTGTAAGATTGGAGCAATGGTAATACCTGCTTTTTAGGGTTGAGAAGAGAATTAAATGAATTAAGATGGGTAAAGTGCTTAGAGTGGAGCTTTGCAAGTAGTAAGTGCTATGTAAGTGTTTGATTTAAAATGAAAGACCCTTAAATACATTCTTTGTTCATTTCACAAGCCCTTCATTTCACAACCTTACATTTCACAACCAAGCTCTGTCTCCCCTGGAATCCAGCCATAACTCTGCTCACAAGTGTGAGACAGGCCCCAGCAGAGCTGCACGAAGAGGAGAGAAGGCAGCCCCCCCAGACTCCCAACCCCCTGTCCAAGATGGCAAAACCAGAACACAGCCTCTGTACCACCCCAGCAGGTGTTCAGAATCTGCAATCTCCAAAGCCCACTTCAATTGTAAGTGTAGAGCCACGTGCGCTTTAAGTCACCTGTCACTCTGGAGGCTCTTTTGCTCAGTTCCTCACCATTAGCAGGGATGACAGGGAGTGCAGGAGTGCGGTCGACTCCCAGATATTGGAGAGCGCTGGGCTAGCTGCCCATTCTCCCGGCCTCCACTCCTCTTTGCTGTCCAGCCATCACTTGCTCTTTGAAGGCAAACAAAACAGAAAACAGTGCCAAAAGTATGGGAAGAAAGCCAGCTTCTCCCCTGGGGTGCCTGTGATGCCATGCCCACCCTCCCTGACCACGCAGCCCCTGGGGACCCTCAGGGCCCCAAGCCCCCATTTCCATCACATGCGTACACCCATGTGTGTCCATAGCCGCCCATCTCAGTCAATAAGGCTGCTCCTGCCCACTTGGAATCGTGGTGACAACCAGGAGTGGCTTATGGGAACTATCCCAATGGCCTGACAGCATGTCCGCTGCAAACCGCTGAGGTGGGACACTGCCCTCATGTCTAGCTGATCAGCAAGAGGCGCAGTTGCTTTCTTAGGTAACATTGCTGCTGTGTCCTGGCCATTGCTGGGGGGTGGCACTTAATCTACACCAGATTTTTCCCTCCTGTATCTTCCGAGCTGCTTGGATCTTGGTGCTGAATTAGGTTGGACTTTGTCTTGTGGGGAAGGGAGGACTATAGACCCTCAACGTAAGCAATGGTCAGACTATTCTAAGAAAACTCGCCGAATTAAAGCATGAGGTAAATTTAGTTCTGACTTCTGTCCACCCCACTGCTACTGTCCCCTTTTATCCCATGATCCCTTGCTTTTCTTTTCCTCCTCTCTCCCTATCTCTTGTGTTTGACGCATGATAGGAATTCAGAAATATATGTTTGTGGATTTGTTTATTCACGTAGCAAGCCATTTCTTGAGTGCCTACCATGGGCCAGGTAGAATGGGTGGCCCCGGGCTGCAGTGGTTTCTTCAGCCCCTCTCCTGGGTTTACACTGTGCAAGACGGTTTGTGATGGGTCCTCCCATCGAGGACCACACTCTTCTTTCTCTGTGCCCCTTGGTCCTCAGTCTCTGACCCCACTTCAAAGGCAGCATTCACTCAGGGAAGCTCCCATACAATGCTAGTCAGAGTAAAAGTTTGGACAAATTGCCAGGAAGCAGCTTGTCAGTATGCATAAACAGCCTTTAAAATATTACTACTCTTTGACCCAGAATTTCACTTCTAGGAATCTGTCCTAAGGAAGTAGTCACATGCAAAAGATTTATGTACCAAGATGTTCATCAAAGTGTTGTTTATAACAGGAAGTCTCAGAAGCTGGCTAAATATCCAACCTCTGGAAATGGTTAGATAGAATAGTATGTAGCCATTAGAAAATTATGTCTATGGGGTTTAAAATGTCATGGGAAAACACTTCTGACATAAAAGAGCATGAGAACTGTATATTTAGCATAATCTTAACTATGTTTTAGAATGCACAGGAAAAAAGAAATGTACAAACATATTCATAGTGATGTCTCTGGTGGTAGGATTATGATCAGTAAGTACTTCTGTCTCTTCATATTTTCCTGTATTTGATAATACATGCATATGTTGTTTTTAAAATAAGAAAAATTTTAAGTTTAAAATTGGAGCTGAAAAGTGTTTTTAGGTCAGGCGAGGTGGCTCACACCTGTAATAGCACCACTTTGGGAGGCTGAGGCAGTCAGATCACTTGAGCCCAGGAGTTCGAGACCAGCCTGGCCAACATGGAGAAACCCCATCTCTACTAAAAATAAAAAAATTAGCCATGTGTGGTGGCGCACATCTGTAATCCCAGCTACTTGGGAGGCTGAGGCATGAGAATTGCTTGAACCCAGGAGGTGGAGGTTGCAGTGAGCCAAGATCGTGCCACTGCACTCTAGTCTGGGCAACAGAGTAAGACTCTATGTCAAAGAAAAAAAAAAAGAAAAGTCTTTTTAAACAGTAGCAGACATAACTAAATATAATCCTTACTAAGCTGTCGGTCAAATTTTTATTTATATATTTATTTTATTCATTTATTATTTTTAGACAGGGTCTCACTCTGTTGCCCAGGCTGGAGTACAGTGGCGTGATCATGGCTCTCTTCAAACTTGACCTCCCGGGCTCAAGTGATCCTCCCATCTTAGCCTCCCAAGTAGATGGGACCACAGGTGCATACCACCACACCTGGCTAATTTTTTTTATTTTTTATTTTTAGAGATGGTGTTTACTATGTTGCCCAGGCTGGTCTCAAACTCCTGGGCTCAAGCTATCCTCCCACCTCGGCCTCCCGAAGTGCTGGGGTTACCAGCATGAGCCACTGTACCCAGCCCTCAAATTTTTAAAAATCTATAAGAGACATTATTGGACAATTAGAGAAATTCACATATGGACTTATAATAGTATCAGAGTGTGTGGTGTGATGGTTCCGGAGGGAATGGACTTTTTCTTTGGAGACAGGCTTTTCTATGCCCACCCTTTTATCTTGCTAACTTATCATCATCCAGGTTCCAGCAGAAACATTACTTCCCCCAGGAAATTTCTTAAGGGTGCAGTATCATGATGTCTGCAGCAAATTCTCAAATAGCTCAGGAAAAAAGTACGTGTGTGGTATGAGTGTGTGTATGTATGTGTGTATATATATACACATATATATACATATATGTGTATATATATACACACACATACACATATATATACACACACACATACATACATGTATTTTTATATAATTATATATGCAGAGAGTGCAAATGTTGCCAAGTTAAAGATTGGTGAGTCTAGGTGAAGGGAATGTGGTATTTATTGTATTATTTGTGCAACTTTTCTTAAGTTTGAAAATTTTCAAAACAAAAAATTGGAGGAAGAAGGCATGCCAGTCTACCCCAAGCCCTCCATTGGAATGCTGAAAATCTAAACAATGTGATTTGGCAATTTCATTTCTTTTCTGTTGTGGGCCAGTAGTCCTTAGATGTTGGGGAAGGGGGTAGTCGCTGAGGTGTGGTTGACTTAGGATGGAAGAAGCAGAAGTCAAGACTCCCAGGGTCAAAGTGGTTTGCTCTGCTGACCCAAGTGTGGGAGGCCCAGAGTCAGCGTTTCAGGTGTGCTAATTCAGCATGGTTCTATTCACGGCCAAAGTCCACCCTGGGCACCTCTCTGGCAGCAATCTTGGGTGACTCTACTAAGGCCAGGCCTCCATGACCCTATGTCTGGATCCCATATCTCCACCTCTCCCACTGTCTCAGGAACGGTGCTTAGCTTTTTCTTTTCCCTCTCCTGTCTTCTTTGCCAGCATGTAGAAAGTTTAAATAATTCCCCTCTTTACAACAAAACAAAACATACCCCCTTCAGTCAACCACCCTAGCTCTCTTCTCCTTTTCCCAGCCAGATTTTTTTAAAAGCATCCTAGGCCAGGCGCGGTGACTCACGCCTGTAATTCCAGCACTTTGGGAGGCCAAGGTGGGTGGATCACAAGGTCAGGAGATCGAGACCATCCTGGCTAACATGGTAAAACCCCATCTCTACTAAAAATACAAAAAAGTAGCCGGGCGTGGTGGCAGGTGCCTGTAGTCCCAGCAACTCGGGAGGCTGAGGCAGGAGAATGGCGTGAACCTGGTAGGCGGAGGTTGCAGTGAGCCGAGATGGCGCCACTACACTCCAGCCTGGGTGACAGAGTGAGACTCCATCTCAGGAAAAAAAAAAAAAAAAAAAAAAAGCATCCTCAGCACTTTGGCGACTCCATCTCCTCCCAACATGTCCCTGTTACTGGAATCCAGCCAGGACTCAGCCCCGATCTTTCTACTCTAACCAGTTGTCTCAGTTAACAAGGACAGGTTTATGCTGCAGTGACAAACAAGATCCCAAATTCTTGTGGCTTCACACATCTGGCACCACCTCATCTTCCAGCCTTAGGAGTCATCTTTTAGTTCCTTGAAAGCTCTTTACAGTTTTCTGTTGGGGCCTTGTCATATACTATTCCCCTGGAATGTTCTTTCCTATCCCCTCCCTTTCACCTTGCTAACTTGTGCCCATCCTTCAGGTCTCAGCAGAAACATCACTTCCTTGGGGAAGTTTTCTCCAACACCCACACTACACAGGTGTCCCATCTACACTCCTATGACTTTGTGGTACTTGTCTCACTTGATTTTCCACTGCCTTCCCCACAAGGCACCTGCACAAGGGCAAGGACCGTACCACTGTACCTATGTCACTCATTGCTGTGGTCACCTGCACTCTGGCTGCCTACCTTAACTACACATTAGAATCACCTGAGGAGCTTTTAAAGCCACAATGCAAGACTCCACCCTAGGCCAATTGGATCCAAATCCCTGGGGTAGGGCCAGACATCAGTGGAGTTATATATACATATATATATTTTGTTTGTTTGTTTGTTTGTTTTTTGAGACGGAGTTTTGCTCTGTCACCCAGGCTGGAGTGCAGTGGCGCGATCTCGGCTCACTGCAAGCTCCGCCTCTCGGGTTCACACCATTCTCCTGCCTCAGCCTCCTGAGTGGCTGGAACTACAAGTGCTCGCCACCACGCCCGGCTAATTTTTTTGTGTTTTTAGTAGAGACGGGGTTTCACCGTGTTAGCCAGGATGGTCTCGATCTCCTGACCTCATGATCTGCCTGCCTCATCAGCCTCCCAGAGTGCTGGGATTACAGGCATGAGCCACTGCACCCGGCCATCAGTGGATATATTTTTAAAGCACTGCAGAGAATTCTGTTGCATCAGCTTGAGAACCACTGATCTGCCTTGTGCTTCACATTTAAAACTTTTTTTTTAATGAATAAATAAACCCCAAAAAATTAATCTCCCTAAGCCTCCCTAGAAGATAGGATGGTAAGGATATTTTCCTAGGTAAAAATATGTTAATTTCATATTTCATGAAATTTCATGTTTCATTTCAATCAAGCTCTGTCACACACCTTACATGGGGCAAGCCCAGTGCCTGGGCAGGGTGTAATTATACTCATTACACAGGCAAGGAAAAGTCACATTAGGTGATGGAGCACAAATAGGCAGTTAATGGTTTCAGGGCTAGTTAGGATATGTTTGTCTTTCAATTGCAAGTAATAGAAGCCCAAAGAAATTGGTTATTTATATAATATAATTGATTGGTTCCCAAATTTGAAAAATTCAGGAATAGACCCAGCTTAGGTACAGCTGGATCCAGTCACTCAAACAATGTCACAAAGAACCCTTTGACAGGAATGTACCCTGTGTTGACTCTACTTTGCTCTGAGTAGTCTTTCCCCAGGTGATGATAAAAATGGCCGTCATCGCCAGGCTTGTGTCCTGTTTAGTAGGAATATACAAGAAGAGCTCAGTAAATGCTGGCCCCACCACTAAGCAAAAACAAAACTTTTGTTGTTGTTATTGTTGTTTTAAATAACAGCTTAGACCTTTCTTCTTTCCTTGTTATTCTCTTTCATCTGTAATCCAGTTTTCTACTTCTGAAGTATAGAATGTTCTGATGATTTATTCTTCATTACCCACAACTTGCACATGTTTATTTAAAAATGCCAGGATTGCCTGGCCGTTGTGTGCTGTTAACCTTTGTTTGCTGTTAGTGGATCCCTGAAGTTCAGGCTCCCAGGGGAGCAGATAATGGGTATCCAGTTCCTGCAATATCCACCCTCTGGCAAGCCAAGTTCCTTCCTGGGTAAGGTTTTGCCTACCTGCATTCCTAGGGAAGTTTCTGGGCCTGACCACCAAGCCAGCTCTGAGAAGGGGTGCATAAGCCCCACCATGCTTTGGCTCTGTCCCTATAGAATATTTTATGTTGTTACTGAAAACTAAAGGAAGATGGGTGTGGTGGCTCATGCCTGTAATCCCAGCACTTTGGGAGGCCAAGACAGATTGATCACTCGATGCCAGGAGTTCAAGACCAGCCTGGCCAACATGGTGAAACCTTGTCTCTACAAAAACAAAACAAAACAAAAATTAGCCGGGTATGGTGGCATGCACCTGTGGTACCAGCTACTCAAGAGGCTGAGGCACAAGAATCTCTTGAACCTGGGAGGTAGAGGTTGCAGTGAGCCGAGATTGCACTACTGCATTCCAGCCTGGGTGACAGAGCAAGACTCTGTCTCCAAAAAAAGAAAAAGAAAAGGAAAGCTAAAGGAGAGAGACTAAAATGATATCAGGTTCCTGGAGAACAAACAGACATGATTTTGCTTCATGGCAGGACAGCCGGAAGAAGTGGGATTATATCCTCACATTACAAATAAGAAAACTGAGACTCAGAATGGTTAAGTCACTTGTCCCAGGCCACACAGCCAGTAAATTACAGAAACAGAATTTGAACCCAAATCTTCCAGCTCCAAAGCTTGTGTTCTTTTCACTACCTCCTGCTTAATTTTTTAATTTCTAAGATTAGACCCTTCATCTATCCATGACACCTGCCTGTCATCCCCCGAAAAAAGGTGAACGCCGTTCAGAAATTTTTCTAGCCTGAGCTCACTCCCAGTTCACTTATTTTTGCTTTGTCATGGCTGCCCAGTCCCCACTTGTAGACCAGGAATAGGTCATGGCTGCGGGGACTACACGCTGTCGCTGCTGCAAGGGCCGGCCTCTGTTTCCGGGGCTGAGTGGGGGCCAGACCTGCCAGGAGCACCATCTTCTGTGGGTCCTGCCTGGATGTCACATCCCGGCCCCAAGAAGTCACTGCAAACCTTCGTATTATTGAGCTTCACATCCTAGAATTTGCTGTCACTGTGGCTGCTGCATGAAGTTGTCCTGAGAGAAACGGGCATTGTCATTAACAGGGAAATTGATGGTCTGGGGGAAAAGTCATCCTCATTCTCTTGCAGATCTATGGGTGATTGAGACTGGCTGATGTTGAAGGGGTTTCTCAGCCATCGTGTGCCATGTTATGGAACAGTGGTGTAGCCAGCCATTTGACACCCAGCGCTGACCTTTGTTTAACAACCTCACCTATATATGACAAAATGATTGTCAGAAATAATCGTGTAATGAAATGACTGTAATAATGGCCAGAAAAGAAACGCAGATAGTAAAATGTTTCTCTTGTTGAACTCTGTACATATAATTGCACCAGGATTTTTTTCAAATAAAAAGTAAATATTATACTACAAAAAAGGGAAAAAGCACAAGCATTTATTAAATAGCTTTCTATATCTTTCTGAGTTTTGATCCTTTGATTGCAGACTGATGTAATATTTTATGTAAATCATTGCTTGGTTACTAAGTGAACTTTAAGAAAAGTGAGACGTCTGCAGAAGTTGCCCATAATTTAGCAGCTACTGTATTGTACCATTGATGTACGGCTTTATTTTCTTGATTAATTATTTAAACAATATAATTCACAATTTTAAAATAATAAATTTCCACTTAAAATGGTATTTAAACTCAGCAAAATATATCATCTATGAGTAAAATTTGTATTTACCAAGCAAAAATATTACAGTTTGTGGTTCACATGCTGTCTCACTGTTTTAAATTTTAAATACAAAAACTCCAAGTAGGCTGGGTGTGGTGGCTCACACCTGTAATCCCAGTACTTTGGGAGGCTGAGGCAGGCATATCGCTTGAGTTCAGGAGTTCAAGATTTGCCTGGGCAACATAGTGAGATCCTGTCTCTACTGAAAACAATTAGCTGGGTGTGGTGGCACATGCCTGCGGTCCCAGCTACTCAGGAGGCTGAGATAGGAGGATCACTTGAACCCTGGGGGACAGAGGTTGCAGTGAGGCAAGATTGCACCACTGCACTCCAGCCTGGGTGACAGATTGAGACCCTGTCTCAAAAAAAGAAAAAAAAAAAAAGAAACACAAAAACTCCAGGTGGTCGCACAGAATGACAGGACTGAAGTAACTTAGCTCCAATTTCTGTCTTCATAATCACTGTCCTACCATTGTCTGTGCTTAGAATCTACTTGCTTAATGCAGGAACATGTGTTCTCACAGAGATGGAAAATGCAAATGGCGCCAGAAGCAAGCTGGAAATTCTGAACCATTAAGAATTTACTCTCTGCCAGGCACGGTGGCTCACGCCTGTAATCCCAGGACTTTGGGAGGCTGAGGCAGGCAGATCATCTGAGGTCAGGAGTTCAAGACCAGCCTGGCCAACATGGTGAAACTTCATCTCTACAAAAATACAAAAATTAGCCAGGCATGATGGTGGGTGCCTGTAATCCCAGCTACTCGGGAGGCTGAGGCAGGAGAATCGCTTGAACCTGAGAGGTGGAGGTTGCAGTGAGCCGAGATCTATCTGCACCGTTGCACTTCAGCCTGGGAGACAGAGTAAGACTCCATCTCAAAAAAAAAAAAAAAAAAAAAGAACTTACTCTCAAAATAAATACGTGTGGCTGACTCCACATATGGTAGGGCCAACTGTGTAACTAGAAGTTCTCCAAATAACTTCTGTGGAGAAAAAAAAGTTTATTAAAGGTTAACTTTTTTAAAGTGCTAACTACAACCTTACTAACACTGAGATCGCACCAATTGTTTATAACTTAGACAGGGCCGGGTGCAGTGGCTCATGCCTATAATCCCAACACTTTGGGAGGCCGAGGCAGGTGGATCACTTGATGTCAGGAGTTCGAGACCAGCCTAACCAACATGATGAAACCCCATCTCTACTAAAAATACAAAAATTAGCCAGGCACGGTGGTACACGCCTGTAATCCCAGCTACTGGGGAGGGTGAGGCAGGAGAATCTGTTGAACCCAGGAGGCGGAGATTGCAGTGGGCCAAGATCGCGCCATTGCACTCTAGCCCCAGCAACAAGAGTGAAACTCTGTTTCAAAAAAACAAACAAACAAAAAAAACCTCTTAGACCAGGAAAATATTTTTTAAGGGAGGAGTATTTTATCACTGGCATTGTTTAGGATTGCAGGCACATGATGCTAATGAAAAGCAGACTAACTATTAGTTGGTTTTATTACTGTTTTTGAACTCTCTCTCTCCCTTTTTTTTTTTTTTTTTTTGAGACAGAGTCTCTCTCTCTGTCACCCAGGCTGGAGTGCAGTGACTGCAGTCTCAGCTCACTACATCCTCTGCCTCCTCAGTTCAAGTGATTCTCGTGCCTCAGCCTCCCGAGTAGCTGGGATTACAGGGCACCACACCAGGCTAAGTTTTTGTATTTTTAGTAGAGGCAGGGTTTCACCATGTTGCCCAGGCTGGTCTCAAACTCCTGGCCTCAAGCGATCTGCCCATCTTGACCTCCCAAAGTGTTGGGATTACAGGCGTGAGCCACCGTGCCTAGCCCTGTTTTTGAACTCTCTAGAGACAGTCCAGCCCCTTATTACTTGTCCTGAGGCAGCTGCTCCCTTCACCTGGCCCCCCACATTGTGTTCCGGACCCTTGTCCTGGTGGTGCTGAAGAATATCTCTGTCGATCCTTTGGGGACTGGGGAAACTGAGGCCCAGTGCCACACGATGCCATTTGTTCAGGGAAGATTAGGTCATCTGCTAGGTCCCCAGTCACTTGACCTTCTTCCCAGACAGGAAGAAGCTGCTCTGGGTCTCTCAGTGCTCCACGTGTCTTTGCACATTGAAATGTTTTCTGATTTTTTTTTTTTTTTTGCTGTTACATTTACTTTTAAAAAATAACAAGCAATAAAATGTTACATTTGAGAAGGTTGAAATGAGAATTGATTTGAGTTAAATTCTAGCAGATTTTTCTTAGAAGAATGATATCATCATCTCCAGCTACCTGCAATTGATCTACTCTGAATTAAGAAAGAGACTTCCATTTGTTGTTTATATTTTGCACTCTTGATGTGTTTCTTTAAATTATGGTCATGGGCCAGGTGTAGGAGCTCACACCTGTAATCCCAGCACCTTGGGACTCTGAGGAGGGAGGATCACTGGAGGCCAGGAGTTCGAGACCTCGTCTGTACAGTAAATTTTAAAAATTAGCCAGGCATGGTAGCATTCACCTGTAGTCTTAGCTACTTGGGAGGCTGAGATGGGAGGATTGCTTGAGCCAGAACTTTGAGGCTACAGTGAGTTATTTTCACGCCACTGCCCTCTAGCCTGGCTGACAGAGCAAGACCTGCCTCAAAAAAATAAGTAAAAAATAAATTAAATTTCAATCATTAGCAGTCGTTAGGATATTTAAATACAGTATGTTGAATCAAAGTTACGCATGTGTGTATTTTTTTTTCCAGAGAGTTGTTTATCCTGTGGGTTTTAATTTAACTTTAAAAAAATGTTGGCTGGACAGTTGCCCAAATGGTATCATCAGCCATTTGGTTGAGAACGTATGTCCTGCGGGCTCCTCTGTCACTGGAGTTTTGCTAGCTGACAGCCACTGGCTAGTTAGAGACTGCAGTCAGCACAGATGCAGGCGTGGACTTGCGCACGTAACCATGTCAATGCAAAGCCATCACTTCTTAAAAATTCTGAACCCTGCTGTCTGAGATGGTGGTGCAGCGGATAGAACTCTGCTCTAGGAGGCAGTAGCTAATTCCATGTCTTCTTTGCCCTTGACTAGCTGAGTGACTTTGCACATGGGGCTTGCCTCTCTGTTGCCTTGTCTGCAAAGTGGAATCATCTTTTCCTTGCTAGACAGAAGGTGGACCCTGGACCTATGGCCTTTTTGAGATTCCCCCCCCCTCTTAGAAGGACCTCTGATCCTACTGAGTTTAATACCCACGGGTTAATAATTGGGAAAAGCAAAGGAAGCGCTTCTGTTTAGATAATTATATGCATGTTTTTGTCTTTTTCTGGCTGGAAAGATATCCAAGCCACTGGGAAGGTCCGTGGCTACCCAGGGTAGCCCTCTCTGGGGAGGGCTGCTATATCCAAGAGCCCCTCACGAGAATTTGAAAATCGACCATGGTAGGGCCTGCTGACTTTTGACAGCTAATGGTGTGCTGAGAATTGTCCCTCCAAAGATGCCTTTCCATTCCCTCGGGAGAGTCTGGGCAGCCCCTACTGGGGGCTGGGATGCTGGCTCTTCCCTCAGCCTCCACCCCAACTGCTCTCTTCCCTCCTCCCCTCCCCAGCCCCCTAATTTCTCTCACAAGGCTTTGTTCTGCAGCAACCTTTCCTAATGCAGTCCTGGCCTCTTCGCAGCTTCATTACATAACCTTCCGTGGACTCCTGGTCCAAGGATCACCCCAGAAAGCCAGTCAGAGGTAGGCACGCAGCTGGGGTCCATTTACTTACCTTCCCCACCCCCTCGGAACTCAGAGGTGGTGCAGGAATTTGGACTCCAAGAATTAACAGCTCCACCACCATCACCAGAGCCAAAACTCAGGATGCATGCGCTTCATCTGCTGCTTATTTCCAGCTGAGAGCCAGTGGTGCCATGGTTCCTTAGGGAGCCGGTCCCCTGATGCTGGCTCCTGGCCCCAAATCTCTCTGATCCGGGCTCCTCCAGAATGTCTTGTCTCCACCATCGCCTTTGACCAATGGTGTCCCTTTGCCTGGTAATGTCCCCTTTGCCTGATGATTGCCCTGTCACTCCTCTCTTTAGCACAGAGGAGGCTGTTTCATCCCTTCAAGCCTGCCCTCCCTTCAAGTCTTAGCTCAAGTTCACTTTCTCCGCAGAGCCTTCTCCAATCTTCTTGACTACGTCTCCTCTCAGCTCCAGCAACCTCTGTCTCTGGCACTGATTCCTTACTTAGCTAAGAGAATCACAGACACTTGGGGCTCAGGACAATCTGCTTTCTCTCTTCTTACCCATGGCCTTGGACCGTGTGTACCTCTTTGTCTCCACTCCCAAACCCAACCCCCAGAGGGCAGAGAGCATGTTGTCTGTCCCTTTGCTCAGCATGAAGCCATGCGTGTGGTAGATCGGCAGAGTTCCATAACTTGTGTTGACCAAGGGGTCGCTTTGCTCTGAAATTACCCCTGTGTCCTTCAGTATTTGCACAGATAGCTTCCTGGCCAGACCGAATATATCCAAGGGCATGGCCCACCTCTGCTCCTGTTTCCAGGTCCCTGGTGGGGGTTAGTTCATGCCTTCCTCATAATCTGCCCACTGGCCTGGTCCTCAAGGTCTTCCCAACTGCTCAGCCAGAGTTGAGAAAATGGGTCGCTCCATCCTGTTTGTGTCGTTCTCTCCTTCCTGGCCCACTCTCCTGCCCACAGGTATCCAGGGGCTGCCTGTAGCATTAGAGGACATACATGCACATGCGTGGGCATGGGACACTCACGTAGCCTCCAAGCACAGCATCAATAATGCATTCTGTGCTTTATAGCATGGAAAGCTGCTCTAAACTTTATTACACAGTGGACATGTCTGAAGCAGCTCCCAAATCCACCCCTGAGTGTGTTGGAATTGGCGAGCCTATCACTTGGGAGTCTAGTTTTCTCTGTTCGTTAATAATAGATGCTTCCTGTGGCCCCAGCTTGGCAATTTTGATTTAAAGTGATCTTAACTGAAGAGACTAATGGACGGGTCTGAATTTGTGCCTTTTAAGCACAAAGTATTGCTCTTAATTAACTGGATTCTATCCTTTGAGCAGGCAGAGGCCTTCCCCCAATGGCGTCATTAACGATCCACATCTGGACATCTTCCAAAGCCTTCTTCTGTTTCAGGCCAACCGCAGGTGTGTTCCTGAACACCCAGGAGGCTATGAGAGCCACATATGCCTCCCAAATACACACAGCGTGCATGCCCAGGGACATAGAGCAGTGTGCAAAGTCCCATTCCATCTCTCTCCACCTGGGAGAGGATGGCTCTTCTGTCTGATTCATGGCTCAAAGTGGTAAAGGAGCTCCCCACTCCCCATCCCACGCCTACTCAGAGTCTGCAAATATGTATGCGATATGAGAGCTCGTCAGTTAGCTGTCTTCAGTGTGGCGCACATTTGAGGAGTCTGACTCCCCTCCAGCACAGGCCAATGTGCACTGCTCTCCTATCTTTGTACCCCCACTGTTGCACTGTGCAGAGGTTGGAGCCATAGAAGTACCAGAGCTGTGAAAGGAGAGGCCCCCTCTCACCTCTGCCCTGGTCTCCATCCCCACTTTCTCTAGGAAGCTAGTAGGTGCTGACAGGGGAGAGAAGGGAGGGGAGGGGTCCAGAAACAGTGGCTCATGCCTGCAATCCTAGCACTTTGGGAGGCTGAGGCAGGAGGATCATTTGAGGTCAGGAGTTTGAGACCAGCCTGGGCAATGTAGCAAGACCCTATCTCTACAAAAAGAAAAAATGTAATTAGCTGGGTGTGGTGGTGGGCACCTGTAGTCCTAGCTACTTGGGAGGATGAGGTGGGAGGATTGCTTGAGCCCAAGAGTTTGAGGTTACAGTAAGCTGTGATTGCACCACTGCACTCCAGCCTGGGCAACAGAGCTGAGACCCTATCTCAAAAAAAGAAAAAAAAAGAAATTAGAGAGAGAGAAAGAAAAGAAAAGAAAAAAAAAAAAGAAGGGAAGGGAAAGCCCAGAAGAGTGTGGGGAGAGGAGGCGGCCGTCATTCTGGGGCCCTCAGTGTGCACAACCAGATAACACATGCTCTGTGGGCTTTTGTACCATTTTGCTTGAGCATAAAGAAAGGAAGGCTGCCCCTAAATAGAAAGCACTCTGGAGGCAAACAAATCTGACTCCAATCCTGGCCCTGCCACTTTCCCAGCTGAGGACTTAGACAAGCACCCTAGCCTCTTGGACATTCTCAGAGCCATCTGCTGCAAGTGGGTGCTGCCATACCCACCTTACTGGGCAGGCTTGGGGGACCAAGGGTGGTAAATGGCTCAGTCTTTCATGATGCGGCCACACAGCAGGTGCGCCATCCAGGTCCATTTCTTTCCTTCCTTTCCCCCAAATCAAGTTGTCATTAAAGTACTAGTCCACATTAGTGAAATCAACTGTATTAGTTTTCTATTTGCTGCTATAATAAATCATCAGAAATTTAGTGGCTTAAACCAACACAAATGTATTACCTTACAGTTCTGGAGGCCAGAAGCCCTCCATAGGTGTCACTGGGCTGAAATCAAGGTTTTGGCAAGGTTGCGGTCCTTTCTGGAGGGTCCAGGAGAGAATCCATTTTCTTCCTTTTTCCAGCTTCTAAAGGTTTCATGCATTCCTTGGCTCATGATCTTCTATAGCTATAGTCAGAAAAATTTTCCATCAATCATCTTCAAAGCCAGCAATGGCGGGATGAGTCCTCACATCACCTTGCTCTGACACCAGTTCTCTGCCTCCCTCTTCCACATGTCAGGACCCTCGTGATTACTTTGGGCTCACTCTGATAATCTGGGATGATCTCTCTATTTTAGAGTCAGCTGACTGGGAACCTTAATTCCATCTACAACCCCAATTCCTCTTTGCCATGTACAGTAACATATTCACAGGTTCTGGGGATTAGGACGAGCCTGTCTCTGAAAGGCTACTTTACATGAAAATTCATTTTTTTAATTAAGATTTTTTTTTTCCTCTTGAGACAAGGTCTCACTCTATGGTTCAGGCTGGAGTGCAGTGGTATGATCACAGCTCACTGCAGCCTCGACGTCTCTGGGCTCAGGTGATCCTCCCACCTCAGCTTCCCTAGTAGCTGGAACTACAGGGGTCAGCCCCCATGCCCAGCTAATTTTTTTTTTTTTTTTTTTTTTTTGAGACAGAGTCTCACTCAGTCACCCAGGCTGGTGTGCAGTGGTGCAATCTCAGCTCACAGCAACCTCCGCCTCCTGGGTTCAAGTGATTCTTGTGCCTCAGCCTCCCAAGGAGCTGGGACTACAGGTGTGCACCACCACGCCCAACTAATTTTTGTATTTTTAGTAAAGATGGGGTTTCACCATGTTGGCCAGGCTGGTCTCAAACTCCTGATCTCAAGTGATCCACCAACCTCAGCCTCTCAAAGTGCTGGGATTACAGGTGTGAGCCAACATGCCCGGCCCCAGCTAATTTTTAAATATTTTTTTTGTAGAGATGGGGTTTTACCATTTTGTCTAGGCTGGTCTTGAACTCCTGGGCTCAAGCAAACCTCCCACCTTGGTCTCCCAAAGTGCTGGGATTACAGGCATGAGCCACTGCACTCGGCCTTAAGAGAAGATTTAATAATTAATACTTTACAACAAGATCTGGAAGAGGTGGGATGAGTAACTAAATGAGGATACAAGTAACCCGGGTCATATTTGCTAATACCCTTGGTCACATTGAACTTGATATCTTATCAGATTTTCCTAATCAGCTCCTTTAGCAGCAGTGTTGCAGCATCTTATCTCATTTTGTTTTTTGTTTTTTTGCCTAGCACATGCCTGTAAATCACTGGATTGAGGTGTTTAGATGTTTGTTGTCCTTTGGATGCTTCTTATAAATCCATATTTCATGGCTCCCTGGAAAGTGCTATGCAAATGATAAGCTGCAAGGATGGAAAGGAAATTGCAGTGCTCCTGAATTGTAAATGGGCTTTTACGAGGAGGTTTCTAATTACTCGCTCTTTCTCTTGAACTGAGGAGTTGAAGTGTAGGTGGCAGATCCATAACAGATAATCATGTGTGTGATGTGACTTCAGCCTGAGCGTCGAGGACCAAGTCACAGATCAGGAACAGCCACTCTCCAGTGTCCTTGGGGCTACGTCTGAGGAGAACCTGGGATGTCATATATGACCTGCACTGGCTGGGGGGCTCTCTTGACGTAACGTGTTCCCTCTGAGCATGTTACAGATTCTGACATTCTTATGTTCCTTCTGTGGAGAGACGTGTACTTAGTGACCTAACTCACTTTAGCATATTTTTGCTCATCGTTTGTGTAGCTTAAGGGAATCAGATAATTACCCCCTCCCCACTACTTTCGGAAGCACAAATGCAATGCCCTAGAATTGTACTGGGGACTCAAAAAGAAAAGAGAGTAGTAAAATCTATTAAAGGGGACAAAGACAGCCTATATACTACAAGCTTTCTATTTTTATGGCAGAGAATGCCATTTTCTAAGTAAACAGAGAACTGCATTTGACCTGCAATATCAAATGCATGGATTTGATGCTTTGGAAAGCAACTGTTTTCTGCGTTAATCTGGGTGTCTTCCGTGAAATGTCCTCCTGCCTTTGGCTTAAACACTAGCTTTGTCTACAGCCATTCCATCATGAACCTGCCCAATCTTGTCTGAATCCTGGTTTCACCACTGACAAGCTGTGTGTCCTTGGGCAAGTTACTTCACCTGTCTGTGCTTCAGAGTCCTCATCTGTGAGTTGGGGAATCTGGACAGAATCTACCCCATAGGGCGTAGTGAGGATGTGTTGAATTATCCCAAGTGGCTACACAGAGTAAGCACTCAAATGATGTCATCGTTGTCATGATTGCTGTTACCAGAGCCTAGAGTTCATTCTGATACTCGAGTCTGTGGCCCATCCAGCCCAGTTAAGGAATAGTTGGAGGAGTTGGGCATGTTCAGCTTGAAGAGGAGACGACAGGGGATATGGGATAGTTGAATCTGTGAAGGGCCCCCTGGGATGAAGAACTGGCATGTTCTGTGTGGCTCCAGGGCACTGAGCAGGACCCATTTGCCAAAGTCTCAGGGACACAGTTTCTAGCTATAGACAGAAAAATTTTCTGTCACTCAGAGGATGAAAATAGAATGAGCCCCCTTAAGAGGTAATGAGCTCCCTGTCATTGGAAGGATTCCAGAAGAGCTAGGTAACCACTTTAGGTGCTATCAAGGGGCTTTTTTCTTTAAAGTCCTTTCCAAAAGCTTCTGAGATTGCATAAACAATAGGAAGCCATCTTGGTGCTTTAACACAAACTCTCCCCAGTGATGAGGGTTGAGCCAAAGCCAGATTGGCAAGCAGAGAGGAGACTTGTGTACAAGGAGTTCCTCGGGTCAATTGCTTTTTCCTTGTTCTAGCCAGCCAGAGGGCTCCTGTTGGAAAACAGGAGACCGGAGAGGCTGAGGCCTGACCAAACCAGCCTCTGCAGGCCAGCTGGGAGGCCACAACTCCCACCTACGGGAAAACTGAAGGGCATCTCTATTTTTAGATTAGCAAAAGAAAATAAATTTAAGTTTGAGTCTCCTTTGCAACTTTTAAAAGACATCTTTATTGAGATGATCATTCACATTCTATAAAATTCCCCCACTTTGAGTTACAATTCAGTGGTTTTAGTCTTCCTTGATGATTTTGATGGTCTTTTCTTAAGGCTCTTGGAAGACCCAGAAGCCTCTCAGACACAGGTGGGTGTGGAGGGCATAGCACAGAGGCAGACTTCTCATTTCCTGGGTCTCCCCTTTAATGACTCTCAGAGACCCCTCCTTCCCCCTGCCCCTGGCTTCTACCCCAGGGGTGTAGAGTTTTGCCATTTTCCAAGCAGAACTTCATTTCCTCTTCTGTGTCTACACTCTTTGTGCTTCTTTCTTGCCAGCTTTTTCTCCTTTGCCCGCCCTTCCTTCCTTCCTTCCCTCCCTCCCTCCTTCCCTCCTTCCCTCTTTCCCTCCTTCCCCCCTTCCACCCTTCCCCCCTTCCCCCCTTCCCTCCTTCCTTCCTTCCCTCCTTCCTTCCTTCCTTCCTGCCTTCCTTCCTGCCTGCCTTCCTTCCTTCCTGGTATGTGACTAATTTCTGTTTCAGGACATAAATGTTGTCCAGGCTGTTCTTTGGTCTTTCTGTTGGATAATGGACATTTGGCATTGAGAGAGGCTGCTTTTTCTGAAATCATGTTCTTGGGGCCCAGAACCTAGGTGTGTGCTTCTGACTTTGTTTTCTTCCTGATCCAAATTCTGATATGTCCATTTAAATTGATCTAGACCCACAGGGCACTGTGGGACAGATCCTCAGTGGAACATGACTCTGTAACGAGAGCATTTTGTTTTGTCAAAATGAGAACATATTATTGCCTTTCATCTGATTGTAAACATAATACATGTTTATAAAACAGTATAATGAGACAAAAATGTAGACAGTAATAAGGGAAAATCTCCCTAATTGTATTTCTCTTCACAGAGAAAGCCCCTGTTGGGCATATATACTCTAGTTTGTTTATTTGTTTGACTACACATATATGTATTCTTTTCTTATGTATAAAAATTCTGAACATGCACATTTCTGCAACTACTGTTTTCACTTAATGATGCATGGACCTCTCTAGAGTGTACGTTTCTTCCTCCTTACAAAGCAGTTGGCTTCGCCCAGGGTGCACCAGGACACGGTTTTGGCTCTGTCCCCAGGGTGTCACGGGACCAGGGGATGATCTCACAGGGTCTGCCATCTGCCCTGCCTGGCCGGAGGCTGCATCGAGAGGGCCAAGGGGCACCACGTGTCGTGGGTACTGTCAAACAAGAGCCTTCAGAGCCTTCCACAGTCTTTCTTTTGCTTCCCAGCATTGCTTCCCCGCTGGTGGACTCTGAATCTAGAACTAGCTCCAGGCGCCTCTCCAAATTCAGACGGGAGCTGGGGCACTATTATAATGCAAATCTAGGCAAAGCCCTCCCAATACCAGGATCCAGAATGGGGTGGGGCCCTTTGCCCTGAAAAGCTGTTTAGTTTGAAAATACAAACAGGAGACAGAAAAGTTTGGCTAAATTAATGGATAAAGTTTTAACGATGGTAACCATAGTAGGGTTCATCGACAGCCAGCGATGGTTCTGAACACTTGACATGTATTAACTCACCTAATCCCCACATTTTACAGACAATGCAAAGGAGGCTCTGGGAGGTTGAGTGACTTGCCCCAAAGTCGCACAGCTCCTAAGTGAAGGATTCGGAATGGACTCCAGGCAGCCTGGTCTGACTCCCTGTACTGCGCTGTGCTTATCTCTGGCCCCAATGCCGCCATGCAGAAGTGTCTGGGGGCACTTTGTCTCTGTCAGACAGAATTCGGAGATGTGTATGCTTGCCCTGGTATGGCACTTCTCTTTTTTTGAGACAGAATCTCACTCTGTCACCCTGGCTGGAGTGCAGTGGCATGATCTCAGCTCACTGCAACCTCCGCCTCCCAGGTTCAAGCAATTCTTGTGCCTCAGCCTCCCGAGTAGCTGGGATTATAGATGTGCACCATCGTGCCTAGCTAAATTTTTGTACTTTTAGTAAAGATGTTGTTTTGCTGTGTTGGCCAAGCTGATCTCGAACTTTTGGCCTCAAGTGATCTGCCTACCTCAGCCTCCCAAAGTGCTGGGATTACAGGCATGAGCCACCATGCCTGGCAGTGTGGCACTTCTTACGTGTGTTCAGCGGACACTGTTTATCTTCTGTCCCTCCAAGACGGTGCTGAGCTCAGGTCGTTCATTACTGGCAGACAACTGCTGATTTCCAACAGAATTGCCATCCTCTTCTCCCCTGCGACTTTCAGAGTGTGACCTCAGACTCAAAAATTAGAAGTGAAAACATCTTAAAAACTATCACCTTTTCTTCCTAATCCTCCTCTCCCCTCCCTGTCTTCCTTGTTGTCCCCATCTAATGAACTATCATGGCAAAAAGAGCCCATTTCTGGTCATTTTCTGTGGCCTTTCAAACTCCCACCTACCCCACTGCTCCTGGGTGCATTATCCGAAAGCTGAGACTTCAGTGCAGAAAGTGCCAGGCCCTCTGTCCCCCCAGATCGCCTTCCTTGTCTTCCCTGTGCTTGCCTGTCACATTGTGTGGGTTCCAGCGCTGGAAGGAATGAGGAACAGATTCTCTGGTTCTCCTTTTGAAGTTTACCTTTGCTCCACCACTTCTGAGACCTTCCCGGAAGTTGCCCCTTGTTTCTCTCCTCTCCAGGGCTGCCCCAGAGCTGCCTCTCACCTCTTCCTGCTGTCACCCCACCACCATCAGGGCAGAAGTTGGGACAAAGCCTCTCCTACTGGCTCCTGCTTTTCTCCCTTAGGTCCAGCCTCCTCTTCTCCATCTTCAGGAGTCTCCTTCTCCACTCACACGTCATGACTTCAGCACCTCGCATCAGTCCAGAACATGACTGCTTGTTCAAGTGCCACCTTTCTCATGCATTTTTTTCTAGTGACAATCACAGCCACCCTGTGGGGCAGGAGTGTCATCATCCCCATGTTTCAAATGAAGAATTGCAGTTCAGAGAGGGCAAGTGACTGGCCCAGCCTCAACAGCTAGCCAGTGGACCCCACCAGGGCTTCTGACTCCAGTCCGGGTTCCCTTTCCACCCAAATCCATGGAGGGAGCTGAGCCGAGAACATGTGTCCTTCAGGAAGACATGAAGCCAAAGCCTCCACCTCCAAACCCAGGGGCCCAGGGAGTCCAGGCACCCATCCACTCACAAGGCTGGATATGGTGCATTCCAGGAGAGGGGTTGGGGGCGAGTGGCCTCTCTGTGTACCCGTGGGGATAGATGCGCAAGTGGCATCGCCACATCGTGAGTCCTGGCTTCATGGGTGAGCTCCAGGTCCAACGAGAAGCCAAGCAGGGGGCCCTTCAAGCTCAGCTTTGGGCCCGGGTCGGGGTACAGGGTAGAGCGGGCCTCCCCAGCCCCTGCCATGAGGCCAAGGCAGTGCATCGTTCGCAGCGTACATTCAGAAACCACAGCCTAGGAGCTGGTTATCATTCCAGTTTACAGCTGATGGAAGAGCAGGTGCTTCCGAGAACCCACAGTGCTCTTTGGCCAGTGACCCAAGGGTGCCTCTGAGAGGCCTCGCAGCACCCGGAGGTGCTGCTGAGGCAACGCCCTGACTGTAAGAAGGACCATTCATCCTCAGAGAGTGGCCGTGATGCTGCTGCGACAGTCCCACCATCCCTCCCGACTCTCACTCCCAACAGACTTCCCACTGTAAAGCTGAACTCTCCAGCAAATCACCTCTCACCAGACTCTCTCCTCACTCTCTCTGGGTCCACTAGAGGTTCCTCAGCCTCTCTTTGTCTTGGTTTTCCCAGCTGTAAAATGGAGCAAAGAGGGCCTATGTACCCACAAAGGTGCAGTTGGAGCGACTCCTCCTACATTAGGGCCTCGAGTGGGGCTTCATGATTGGTTGGTGGAGGTCTCCAAACCCACCCAGTGCCACCGAAGGCTGGGACTGCAGATGCAATGCCACAGGTGTCCTTCCTCAGCCTGGGCAGCTGCACATCATGTGTAAAATGGGGATAATAAGATAATAACAGCCCCTTGCACCTATGTAGCTGTGAGGATTAAACAAGATAAATGTGTAACAGTGCCTGGCTATAGAAATATTTACTCTTGTTATTAAGGGAAGAATATGTGTGGCTAAAAAGGGATCGAAGATGTAAAAGCCAATCCCTCCCCCTCTAGCATATTTAAGGGTAATGTTGAGTTGGTTTGTGGACCATTTGCTGCCTGTTAGAGCTGGAAGGTAGGGACCCCCTCTCAACAGCGATGCTACAAATTATACCCATTGGAGGTCAACCAAAAGACAAAGCTTATTGGCTGGACATGGTGGCTCACACCTGTAATCCTAGCACTTTGGGAGGCCAAGGCAGGCGGATCACTTGAGATCAGGAGTTCGAGACCAGCCTGGCCAACATGGTGAAACCCCATCCCTACTAAAAATACAAAAATTAGCTGGGCGTGGTGGTGCACACCTGTAATCCCAGCTACTCAGGAGGCTGAGGCAGAAGAATCACTAGAACCCAGGAGGTGAAGGTTGCAGTGAGCCGAGATCGCACCACTGTACTCAAACCGAGGCAACAGAGGGAGACGCAATCTCAAAAAAAAGAAAAAAAGACAAAGCTTGTTAATACCAGCATATTGTTAAGGGAATAAAGTAGGCTGCAGAACAACTGGTGTAATATGGTGCCATGTAGGGAAAATTACATGTGTGCATAGGAGAGGGGTCTGCAAGGTTGTGCCCTAAGATGTTAGAGTGGTTCCTTTGCTTTTCTCTTTTATAATTTTGTATTTGACTTTTAAATAAGGACCATAAATCACTTTTATAAAATACATTCTCTCCAGCCCCTACTACTCCTTTAAAGAATAAGAGTGGTTTGCCCAAGAAAGACAGTTTTTTTTGCTCTGGTTTTCTTGATTCTGACATCAGAGGAAACTCCGTCTCATCCACTTGGGGCTCTGGGTTCAGGGGATTCATTTCAGGCAGATTAAAGTGGTGACCAGGGGCATTCGTGGACACAGGGAGGGACAGGAGCACCATCAGTTTGTCTCACACAACCACTGTCATCCTCACTGAAGGCTGTTGCCTGATCAAAAACAGTATTGGGCCAGGCACGGTGGCTCACACCTGTAATACCACCACTTTGGGAGGCTGAGGTGAGTGGATCACTTGAGGTCAGGAGTTCGAGATCAACCTGGCCAACATGGTGAAACCTTGTCTCTACTAAAAGTTCAAAAATTAGCCAGGCGTGGTGGTGGGTGCCTATAGTCCCAGCTACTTGGGAGGCTGAGGCAGGAGAATTGCTTGAACCCGAGAGGTAGAGGTTGCAGTGAGCCGAGATGGCACCACCACACTCCAGCCTGGGCGACCGAGGGGGACTCTGTCTTAAAAAAAAAAAAAAAAAAAAAAAAAAATATATATATATATATATATATATATATATATATATATGTCAAAAATGGGGTAGTTTTTAGATCTATAGTAGTTCTAAAAACAAAGGCCATCCAAGCATGACAGATTTACAAGCACTATTGGCTATTCCAGTAGTTACAATGGAGGAGAGAAGCTTTTAGTTAAAACAAACAAACAACACAACAAACCCAGAAACCTTAGGTCAAAACCAAAATTGTCCTCTCAGACACAATCTGGGAATTTTCTCATGACAGTGGGCATTAGCCAACTGACATCAGCAGCAACCATCCGTGTGCACACAGTGGCACCACCTCCTCCCAAAAAGCAGCCTTCATCTATGCCCTCATACAATCGTTGATTATTCTCTTTGGATTGAGGCCCGGAATTATTTAAGTTTCTTCTTGCCAGCATGAGTCTTTCCTTTCTGTATGCTCCTTATCTTCTCTCTTTAATTTGGCAGTTCTGCTTGAAATCTGGGTCTTTCATTAGTAGTAGTTCAATTTGGTTCCAGAACATTCTGTGGTGTGATGCAATGTGACCAGAGCTCACACTTCAGAGCTCTTCAAGGGCCAGTCTTACTGAGCAGCTCCCAGTGTCTGCCTGTGTGCTGGGCGCCACTTGTGGTGGGCAGGAGAGAGGAGGGGACACAAAAGGAGACACAGCTCCTTCTTAGAAGCTCAAAGTTGGGGACCACCTGCCACAGAAGAGTATGTTTAGCATCTGAGACACCAAGATCCAGCGTCACAAGGGTGTTTATTAAGCCTCCTCATCTCTTTCTTTTTCTTTTTTTTTTTTTTTCCTCAGGCAGTCTTACTCTGTCACCCAGGCTGGAGTGCAGTGGCATGATCTCGGCTCACTGCATGCAACCACCACCTCCCGGGTTTAAGCAATTCTCCCGCCTCAGCCTCCCCAGTAGCTGGGATTACAGGTGCCCACCGCCACACCCAGCTAATTTTTGTGTTTTTAGTAGAGACAGGGTTTCACCATGTTGGTCAGGCTGGTCTCGAACTCCTGACCTCAGATGATTCACCCACCTCGGCCTCCCAGTGTGCTGGGATTACAGGCGTGAGCCACCGTGCCTGGCCTTGCTGTTGATTCATCTATAGTATGTTTGACTTGATGACCTCCAGTTACCTTAGACAGAGGTTCTCATCTAAGCTCCAACTTTCCATTTCCTTTGTCCTCGTCTTTCCCCTTAACCCCTCCACATTTCTCTCAAAATCACCCCACTTCTAAAAAATACTGTTTATTTTTCTTTTAAATTTCAAATTATCTATACTCATTGAAATAAATCAAAATAGCATAGAATAAGCGAAAAAAATGGATCCCACCCTTCCCCACTCCCATTCCCTAGGGCTAACCATAGTTAACCATTTAACGACTAGGTTTTTTTGTTGTTATTTTTTATTTATTTATTTTGAGACAGAGTCTTACTCTTGTCACCCAGGCTGGAGTGCAGTGGTGTGATCTCGGCTCACTGCAACCTCTGCCTCCCAGGTTCAAGCATTCTCCTGCCTCTGCCTCCTGAGTAGCTGGGATTACAGGTGCCTGCCACCACACCTGGCTAATTTTTGTACTTTTGGTAGAGACAGGGTTTCTCAATGTTAGCCAGGCTGGTCTCCAACTCCTGGCCTCAAGTGATCTGCCCACCTTGGCCTTCCAAAATACTGGGATTAAGGCATGAGCCACCGCACCCAGCCCTCCTGGGCTCTCTTTTCCTTTAGTTGCACTCGCTCCCCGCTCCTGGAGTAGAGGGATTTCCGAGAGACTGTGGGCTCCAGCCTTCACCTAGGCCCAGGACTAGGATGCCTGCCCTAACATTTATCTTTATACCTTAAAGCAAAACAGCTGGACCATAAGCATTCAAGAACAAACTGTGAATAAGGAGAAAGTTCTCCCAGGAAACAAGAGCTTTAGTTCTGTTGGGCCAGCCCTTATATTCCTTAGCTGTTACCAGTCACTGCTTGATTTAATCTCGGCTATCACTTGGCCTGACAGGTCTGCTGCTGGTGCCAGGATGTCTGGGTTTTGAAGCCTGGCTCCATTACATACTTCCTGTGTGACCTTGGGCAACTTACTCAACCTGTCTGTTCCTCAGTTTCCCCAGCTGTATTATGTCAGCATAATAGTTTGTTGTGTGAATTAAATGAGGTAATAACTGGAAATGCTTCAAACATGGTTCCTATCATGAGAAATCCTGCTTTCCGCCTAAATGTGCTGGAAAATTCCTGGTGGTGCAGAACAGGAGACCAGAGCAAAGGAAAGACAGGGTGCAGAAGCCAAAAATTACCTTGGAGAACAAAGCGCATGTTAAGGTTATTTTTGGATTCTAGGTTTATCTCTGCTTGGTCTCCAGTTACCTGCAAGAGATCCATTTAGGGGATTTTTGTTTGTTTTTAACGATAGCTTTATTGAGATATAATTCGTATGCCATAAAAGTCACTCTTTTAAAATGTTTCCGGTATATTCACAAGGCTGTGCAGCCTTCCCTGTCCTTGATTCCAGTCTGGGTTTTTAACTGCAGGGGTAAGGAGGACCACGCTTTCCCCAGACCAGAACCGCGGGCCAGGGGGCGATTCTGCTGAGTCACCGCGGGCGCCTGGTGCGCGGCGGCGGAGCCCGGGACCTTCCTTGGCTGCCCCCTAGCGAGGGCCGCAGCGCAGCCTGAGACACCCGCCGGGGCCGCTCCACGGCCGTCGGATTTAGACTGGAAGCTCGGTCCAGGTCCCCAGCTTGATGCGCCCGCGGTGTAGGAGACCAGCCCGACTCGGGCTTCCCCTGAGCCCCTGGACTCTTGACTCCAGCAGGGCCTGGGTAATGAACGTCAGCTCCCCTTTCCCAAAGGGGTTGCTCTGTTGGGAAGGCACCCGTTTGATACAGTAGCATAGAGATGGGTTTTAGCATCAAAATATCAGAATTCAAGCCTTGCTCTCTGCTTACTAGCTGTGTGACCCTAAAAAGGTTTCTGAACGTCTCTGAGCTTCAGTTTCCTCATCATTCCTTCTCACGGGGTGGTTGTGAGCATTACAGAGATCCTCTCTGTGAAGCCCCTGTGAGTGGCTCATCCTGAGGGCTGAAATAAACATGTTATTAATAATCCAAAACTGGCAAGGGATGTTGATTGGTCCCCCTCCCTTGCCCAAGGAGCTTTCTAGAACCTGAGTTATCATTACCAAACTGTACTGCCTTGAGTAAGAAAGTTAGAAGGAATGGGAAGGATGGTGGCAGGTGGAGGAAGGCGGATTGGTCATCACCTCCTTGCAGCAAGAAACAGCCCCAGATCGTGGGAAACCTACAGACCTGCTAGACAGACTAGGAGCAAAAGCTGGGGCTTTAAGAATCCCCAGAGAGGTTCTCCTGAGAGAGTAGCCAGTTGGATTTTGTAAGCAGAGATTTGGTTGGGGAGGAGGTGACGACGTAGGGAGCAGAGGGGCAAAGCTGTCGGGAATCCTGCCTTGAGGGCAGGGATGTGTGTTGGGGGGAGTTGGGTCACTGGGGCTCGGTGGCCTTGGGCAAGTTTCTACCTCTCAGGTCCTTTACCCACCTAGGGTCTCCATCCTGCCCACCTCACAGGTTACAGTGAGCCTGGATGCACTGTCATGGGCAGGTGCCCAGGAAAATGGCAGACATGTTCCAAACAGCACGCAGCATTCCCCAGTGATGCCCAGGGTCACCTTGGAGGTGGGCGAGATGCCTGGGGTTTCTCGTCCACCCCACAACACCTCAGGGGACAGCCAAAGCTGTCCCTTCAGGTAAGCTGCACAGAAGATGTGAACTCTGCTGCGAAGACTCTATTCTTTGGGAGCAAAAGGGACCCAGGGTCTCACCTGCACATCCCTGTCCCTGAGGGCCTAGGGGTTCTTGGAGGCCCAGCCTTGGCAAAATGAGGAAGAAGGTGAAGGTTGTCTGGGCCCCTGCCAGGCTCCTTCCTCGGCCACGCACTCCCCTTCCTGCACACACACCCTTCTCCCTCCACCCCATCTCCATTGTTGTCAGAAAAGTCACAATAAAAAGGTCCATATTGTCTAGTTCCCATACTTTGAATTTTTAAAATTTTATTTATTTATTTATTTATTTATTTTTTGAGACAGAGTCTTAACCCAGGCTGGAGTTCAGTGGCATGATCTAGGCTCACTGCAACCTCTCCCTCCTGGGTTCAAGTGATTCTCATGCCTCAGCCTCCCGAGTAGCTGAGATTACAGATATGTGCCACCATGCCCAGCTAATTTTTGTATTTTTAGTAGAGACGGGGTTTCACCATGTTGGCCAGGCTGGTCTCGAACTCCTGGCCTCAAGTGATCTGCCTGCCTGAGCCTCCGGAAGTGCTGGGATTTCAGGTGTGAGCCACCGCACTCGGCTCCACACTTTTCACTTATTAAAAGACTGTGGTGTCCATCAATGGATGAATGAATAAACCAATGTGGACTATCCCTCCCATTACCCAAGGAATGAAGCACGGAGCCGTGCCAAGATCTGGATTCACAGTGAAAGAAGCCAGTCCCAAAAGCCACGTGCTGTGTGACTTCCCTTATACGAAATATCCAGAAGAGATACATCCATGGTGACAGAAAGTAGATGAGCAGCTGGGGACTGGCGAAGGGGAGAAGGGGGAGCAGCTGTCTATGAGGTCCAGCCTTTCTTCTGGGTTTGGTGAGAATGTTTTGGAACTAGATAGAGGTGATAGTTGTACAACATTGTGAATGTACTAAATGCCACTGAATCATTCATTTTAAATCATTCTTTACGTTGCATGAATTTTAAGTCAATCAAAAACAGTTGTTTGAAAAGAGAAAAGCCTATGGGTAGCGGCAGCAGTGATTGGATTCATGATTCGATTCCATGGCTCATCCCTCCCCTGCCTCACCCCCTCGCCCTCCGACGTCTTCTTCTTTTACTCTGAACTGTTATCTTTGTTCTCATCTCTCTCTCTCTCTCTCAACCCTGCAGACACTTTTCCCTTTCTTTGTCTGCCCCCACCCTCCAGATTTCCGTGTCTCCAGTGTCTCCCTACGAGGCATGAATTGAGACTGGGAGGGTGTGATTCTGAAGAAGGCACCAACAGTGACTCAGCTAGCCCCTTCCCCCACCCCGCCCCCCGGGCCTCAATTTAGCTAAAAAACCACAGGGACGGACTCAGGAGGCAATACCTTTCCAAGGGTCCCTAAAAAATGTCCCATTTTAGTGTCCAGGTTTCACTCAACTTTAGTCCCTCCCCTAAAATGTGTTCCTTACCTCCCACCCCACTGCATCTAAGTCACTGCCTGAGAAAACAGGATTGAGGAAAGGAGAAAGGAAGAGAGAGAGAGAGGAGGAGAGAGAGAGAGAGGGAGGAAGGCTGATGGATTTAGAAAAGAAGAAAACAAGTGGTCTGAGGAAAACAGCCTTGGTGTGTTTATTTTCCTGTCTGTGTATCGCTTCTCGGCCTTTTGGCTAAGATCAAGTGTATTTTCCTGTCTGTGTGTCTCGCTTAGATTACAGGGATCTGTGGGTGATGACACGTCTGGTCCAGGCTGCGTAGTCACCTCAAGGGCATGCTTATTTGTTTTTCAATTCACTATCTTTGCATGGGAGTCCCAGGCCAAGAGGCACAGCTGCGCCATTTGTCTGTTGGTTTAGATATCCTTTATCCAGTTCTTCCAGAGAAATCATCCTGCCCTTCTGGAGGAGGTGGGCAGCAGGGGTCAGAGATGGGAGGGAAAGGAAGGAGCCAGGTCCTTGGCTAGGATGCCAGGGTCCCCTGCCTCTCACCTGGCCTGGGCTGGAGGCCTCCTGCTGTCCTGTCACTGATCACTACCCCGCCCCAGCCTCCTGAGTTAGAAGACACAGGCTAAAGTAGAGTATTTCTTCATTGAAAAACCCATACAAAATAAAGGTTCATAAAAAATAAAAATTTAGACTGGGTGCTGTGGCTCACACCTGTGATCCCAGCACTTTGGGAGGCCAAGGCAGGTGGATCGCTTGAGCCCTGGGGTTCATGACCAGCCTGGGCAACATAGTGAAACCCCATCTCTACAAAAAATACAAAAAATTAGCCAGGCATGGTGGTGCATACCTGTGGTCCCAGCTTCTCAGCCTATGGACCCACATAGAATACAATGTCAGCATAAGAAGGGAGCCCTGGGGTCACCAAATGGTTTGGGTGGCAAAGAACCTGAAGGTTGAGAGAAGTGGCTTGGTTACCCAGCTGTTGGATGTGAGACCTGGCCACTGCTTCTTCCATTCCCTAGACCTGCACCCTGACATCTCAAGTAAAAAGCTGGGGGATGTTTTATGGTCCAGGATGAAGGAACGGGCAGTGAGGGGCAGCGGAGCATCACTTTGCATTTCTGTCTGCCTCGTACTGGCTGTGTGACCTGGGGCAGGTAACTTCCCAGACTCCTGGGAATCATAACACCTATGATGATGATGATGATGATGATGATGATGACACCTACCTCAAGGATTGCCCTGAAGGGTCACAGAGATGCCTGCAAGGCACCTGCATGGAGCAAGCGCCCCTTCTCTGGCAGGTGCTGGGTGAGCACTACCTGCTGCCAGGCCCTGGGGCTATGGCACTGCGTGACCCTGCAAGTCCTACCTGGCGAAGCTGTCGTTCTTGTGCTCAGTCAGTGTTGGTTGTAAGACTGAGAAGAGTCACTTCATTTTGCTCTCCAGGGACATCTTTCTGGGTCCTATTTTCTGCCTATGTCAAGTAGCGCCTCAAGGATGCTCCTGAAAATGGGCTTGTCTTTCTTAACATGGCAGGTAGGTCCCAAAGCATTAGCATGGGGCAGCTGACCTAGCCCAGCCAATGCAGTGCGGTGACTCTTGCAACCGAGTCTAATCAGAAGGTCCATGAACCTACGAGCATTTCCTGTCCCAGGATCAGGGTGGAGGCTGAGCCTCCCTGCTTAGAGATTCTTCCCATGCATTCCACTTTTTTCCCCAAAAGAAAATATTGACCCTTGAGAGGCACACAGTTTATTTATTTTGCATAGTAAATAGTAGCCTGTATTTTAAGGATGAGTTGATTTCTGCATCAGCCCCTGTAGGTCATCAGCCTTCTATTGGTGCATCTGACTCTCTCTAGCCCTGCAGGGATGGTGGAGGGGGAGGGGAAGGAGGGATCTTTATTGGAAACCAGGACAGTGAGACTCATTGCCCTGTCATCTGCTCTGTGGTGCTGAATGAGGCAGCCCAACAGAGAAATACCCTGAGCGAGCATCCCCAGCCTCCAAAACAGTGGCGCATTGCCCTGAGTCCTGGGAATGACCTTTGATTCTCCTGCTCCTGACTTGGAACCCATGGAAACCTCTAGAAGCAGCTGAGGAAAACCCAACATGAAAAGCAGAACTCCACACTGAGAATATAGGAGGTGATCGGAACATACAATGATTCTTGCTAAGACCGATTCACAGTTTTTCTTTTTTTTCGATCGAAGAAATACTGGAGAAGCCTAAAGAAGGAATCTAAAAACTCTGGCACGTGGGCCAAAACTGTCCTTGAGCTAAGAATGATTTTCACATTTTTAAGTGGTTGAAAAATGAAATAAAATAAGATGATGTTTTGTGACACATGAAAGCTATGTGAAATTCAAATTCTAATATCTATAAATAGTGTTTTATCAGAACACAGTCATGCTCATTTATTTATGCTCGATGGCTGCTTTCCCGCTACAATTACGTTGAGCAGTTACAACAGAGACCACGTGGCCCACAAAGCCTTACAATATTTACTATCTGGCCCTTTCCAGAAAAAAATGTGCCGACTCTTGACCTTAACCTCAGCAATTTGGGAGGCCGAGGCAGGCGGATCGCTTGAGCTCTGGAGTTCATGACCAGCCTGGGCAACATAGTAAGACTCCATCTCTACAAAAAATACAAAACATTAGCCAGGCATGGTGGTGCACACCTGTGGTCCTAGCCACTCGGGAGACTGAGGTGGGAGGATCGCCTGAGCCCAGGAAGTCGAGGCTGCAGTGAGCTGTGATGGCGCCACTGCACCTCAGCCTGGGCGACAGAGCAAGACCTTGTCTCCAAATAAATAAATAATGCAAAGTAAAATAAATAAAACCATATAAAAAGGAATCAATTTAAAATTATAATGAAAGCTGGCCGGGCGTGGTGGCTCACGCCTGTAATCCCAGCACTTTGGGAGGCTGAGGTGGGTGGATCACGAGGCCAGGAGATCGAGACCATCTTGGCTAACACGGTGAAACCCCGTCTCTACTAAAAATACAAAAAAAAAATTAGCCGGGCACAGTGGCGGGCGCCTGTAGTCCCAGCTACTCGGGAGGCTGAGGCAGGAGAATGTCTTGAACCCGGGAGGTGGAGCTTGCAGTGAGCCGAGATCGTGCCACTTGCAGTCCAGCCTGGGCGAAAGAGCGAGACTCCGTCTCAAAAACAAAAACAAAAACAAAAACAAAAAAAAATTATAATGAAAGCCAAGGGGCATAGTAGAACAAATTTTCTAGAGCTCATTAAGTCAAATGAGTCACCAGTTAGTAAAACGCAGTCAGGGGGAAGAGAGGGCAGGATTCTTTGAAGCAGCGGCTCTCCTAAAAACAACCCACCCTTGTCCAGCTGCCTTCCCTCCTGAGGGTGTTCCCTTTGACTGTGTGACCCCCATCCCCTATTTCCCAACCATCCAAGCCCACCTCTAGCATAATACGAGCTTTTAATCCCTCTCCCTGACCCCAACCCGATTTTGAAGCCCAGTCTAGTATTTTCTCAAATACACTTCTTGGCTCCATTCCTTCCTTTCCATCACCTCTGCCTTTTCACTGCATGCTTGGACCACTGCAGTCAGCTCCCTACGAACAGTTGCTCTCTACCCATCCAATCGGCCCCGCCTGCTGCTGCCAAATTCACCGAGGGCACCTCTGTGGTGCTGCCTGTGGACAAAGTCCAAGCCAGCCACCTCACCCGCCTACAGGTGAGTGGGGAGCAGCCAGCGTGTCCAGCGGTTTACCCCATCGCCACAGACTTGGTGATGTGTCGATGTACAGAGAAGGGGTGTTGGCAGCCACAACACAAGCAACCCCGCCCCACGTGAGATCTAAGATGGGCGTGCTGGGAGCCACCTCTGAGAATCCAACAGAAGGCAGAGGGGAGAACGGCTCACACGGCACAAACACTCCTTCCTTTTTTTTTTTTCTTTTTTTTTTCTTTTTCCTTTTTGAAAGGAGTCTTACTCTATTGCCCAGGCAGGAGTGCAGTGGTGCAATCCCAGCTCACTGCAACCTCCACCTCCTAGGTTCAAGCGATTCTCCAGCCTCAGCTTCCCAAGTAGCTGGGATTACAGGTACACTCCACCATGCCCGGCTAATTTTTGTGTTTTTAGTAGAGACGGGGTTTCCCTATGTTGGCCAGGCTGGTCTTGAGCTCCTGACCTCAGGTGATCTGCCTGCCTTGGCCTCCCAAAGTGCTGGGATTACAGGTGTGAGCCATGGGCCCTAGCTTCCTTCCATTTAAATGTATGCCTAATTTGCCCATTGAGAACGGCTGAGACGCATTTTAAGTGGCCAAGGTCTACTTAGAGTTAGTGTTCATGACCAGGCCCAGGTCAAGCCTGGCTGGCCAGATGGTGCCTTTGACCTGCTCTGTCTCTGTGCAAAGGAATGAGCTGAAGGATGGGGGTGCAGTGTGTGGGCAGTGGGCTGGGGCTGGCAGGACTCAGTGACTAAGGGAAGAGAACTTTCCTCACTACCAGCCTGTCTTTTCAGGGCACCGCGGGGGGCTTTGGGACTTGGTGATGAACACAGCACAGAGAGCTGTCCAGCATGCGGGTCCCTGGCTTCTCACACTTCCCAGGCTCCTTCAGAGGCTCTCTCCAAAGGGAGCTGCTCTCTCTAGAACCCACGAATTTGGAATATAGGCAACCACTGCATTGGGGACCACTGACCTCAAACATAGAGACCAGAGCAAATGGGGCTCATCACGTGAAACTCATCTGGAACTCTAGCAGGTTCTTTTATATATATATATATATATTTTTATTATTATTATACTTTAAGTTCTAGGGTACATGTGCACAACATGCAGGTTTGTTACATATGTATACATGTGCCATGTTGGTGTGCTGCACCCATTAATTCATCATTTACATTAGGTATATCTCCTAATGCTATCCCTCCCCACTCCCCCCACCCCACAACAGGCCCCAGTGTGTGATGTTCCCCTTCCTGTGTCCAAGTGTTCTCATTGTTCAATTCCCACCTATGAGTGAGAACATGCCGTGTTTGGTTTTTTTGTCCTTGCGATAGTTTGCTGAGAATGATGGTTTCCAGCTTCATCCATGTCCCTACAAAGGACATGAACTCATCATTTTTTATGGCTGCATAGTATTCCATGGTGTATATGTGCCATATTTTCTTAATCCAGTCTATCATTGTTGGACATTTGGGTTGGTTCCAAGTCTTTGCTATTGTGAATAGTGCCGCAATAAACATACGTGTGCATGTGTCTTTATAACAGCATGATTTATATTCCTTTGGTTATATACCCAGTAATGGGATGGCTGGGTCAAATGGTATTTCTAGTTCTAGATCCCTGAGGAATCGCCACACTGTCTTCCACAATGGTTGAACTAGTTTACAGTCCCACCAACAGTGTAAAAGTGTTCCTATTTCTCCACATCCTCTCCAGCAGCTGTTGTTTCCTGACTTTTTAATGATCGCCATTCTAACTGGTGTGAGATGGTATCTCATGGTGGTTTTGATTTGCATTTCTCTGATGGCCAGTGATGATGAGCATTTTTTCACATGTCTGTTGGCGAACTCTAGCAGCTTCTTTTCACAAGTTCATGGAGAGAGGTTTCCCACTGAGGGAATCACATCTGTCTGATCAAAAGAGGCTTGGAAAATGGCTCTCCTGTTCATTCCCTGGAAACCTCTGATGGAACCACTGCCACTGTGGCAGCCCCAGCACTGGCACCCCAGCCATGATTGGTGCCCCAGCCACATCTCTGCTGTGAGCCCCAGAGCCCTGGTTAATTAATCATCCACGTGTTGATGGGGAGAGGCCCATTCACAAAAGCGACATAAAGCCCAGGGAGACGTGGCCGTGGCAAGAAGGGTGTGGGACTACATTCCGCCCCCAACTGAGAGATTCAGAAACCAGAAAAAAATGGAAAAACATACTGTGCTCTTGGGTGGGAAAACTAAATATCATGAAGGGAGCAATTTTTATAGTTTTGGCCTATAATACAATTCCAGCCGAAATCCCAGTGGAACTTTGAGAATTTGCAGGAAAAAAAATTGTCTAAAGTACATCTGGAAGACAAACTTACAAGAAGGTCAAATAATTTTGAAAAAGAAAATGATATCTAAGCCCACCTAGAGAATAAGACTTGAGATCCAAAGCTAAATCAGGAGGCTCTAGCAAAATTGACGGATAAGCAGGACAGAGTGCATGGTGCATTCACCTGGGGAAGAGGGCAGATTGGTCTACAAATAGGCCTGGGTCCACTGACTTTAGCTGTTATATTTGGGGAGAAACTTTTCAACCTCACTCCATCTTAAACCTAAAAATATTCCAGATAAATTAATAAATATAAAAAATTAGACCACTAAAAATGTAGAAGAAAATGGATGATCTTTCTATACCATAGAGCAATGGAATAAATCACAAAGGAAAACAGATTTGACTATATAAAACTTAAACCCTGCCCATCAAAAACCATCAGAAACCAAAATAAAAGGCAACCAACTGGAGAAGATAGTTGCCACAAGTATGATCAAGGGTTAATGTTATTCATAAATTAAGAGCCCACACAAGTCATTAGAATAAGCACTGAGACCTGAACAGACAAGCAAAAAGAATGAGAGTGGGTCGGCGCGGCGGCTCATGCCTGTAATCCCAGCACTTTGGAAGGCTGAAGCAGGCGGATCACTTGATCCCAGGAGTTCCAACACCAGCCTGAGCAACATGGTGAAACCCTGCCTCTACAAAAGTCATAAATATTAGCCGGGTGTGATGGCACACGCCTGTAGTCCCAGCTACTCAGGAGGCTGAGGTGGGTGGATCACTTGAGCCCGGGAGGTAGAGTCTGCAGTGAGCCAAGATCACACCACTGCACTCCAGCTGGAGCAACAGAGTGAGACCCTGACTTAAAAAAAAAAAAAAAAGAGGAGAAAAATGCTGATCTCATTAGTAATTAAAACATCAGGCCAGGCGCAGTGGCTCACACCTTTAATCCCAGCACTCTGGGAGGCTGAGGCAGGCAGATCACTTGAGATCAGGAGTTCTAGACCAGCTTGGCCAACATGGTGAAATCCCGTCTCTACAAAAAATACAAAAATTCGCCAGGCGTGGTGGCACATGCCTGTGATCCCAGCTACTCGGGAGGCTGAGACAGGAGAATTGCTTGAACACGGGAGGCAGAGGTTGCAGTAAGCTGAGATCGTACCATTCCAGTCCAGCCTGGGCGACAGAGCGAGACTCTGTCCCAGAAAAAATTAAAACATCACATATTTAAACAACACTAGGATATCATTTAAAAAAACATTAATAGACTGTTTTTTAGAGCACTTTTAGGTTCACAGTGAAACTGAGTGGAAGGTACAGAGACTTCCCGTATGTTCCCTGCCCTCCACGTACAGCCTCCCCCACTGCCAACGTCCTGCACCAGAGTGGTACACTTGTTACAACCAATGAATCCTCATTAACATATCATTATCACCCAAGTTCATAGTTTACATTAGTAAAACATCATCTTTCATCTATAAGCACAAAAATTTTTTGGCATTTATTTAGGTGTATGATTAACTCAGTGTTGACAAGACTCACACTTCATACCCACTTGCACCGCATCTGAGAAGCAATTGGTGTCTACAGCCGCTACACCCTCAACAAGCCCGATCTTGTTTGAAAAGCAATTGGTGATGCTTCTCAAAATTCTATGGACAAAGTCAGCCGGGCATGGTGGCTCATGCTTGTAATCCCTAAACTTTGGGAAGCCGAGGCAGGCAGATCACCTGAGGTCTGGTGAAACCCTGTCTCTACTAAAAATGCAAAAATTACCCAGGCATGGTGGCTGGGGCCTGTAATCCCAGCTACTCGGGAGGCTGAGGCAGGAGAATCGCTTGAAGCAAGGAGGCAGAGGTTTCAGTGAGCCAAGATTGCACCAACTGCACTCCAGCCTGGGTGACAAGAGTGAAACTCCATCTAAAAAAAAAAAATTATGGACAAAGTTTTTCAAAAAGATATTTAATGCAACTTTATTTGTAATATTGGAACATCTGAGGCCATTTCAGTGCTAACTATTAGGGGATGGTTAGGAAAATATGGTACATATGTGGAAAGGAACATTTGGTAGTTACTGCCCCTGATGTTTACAAAGGCTTTTAGTGACCAACAAATGCTCATGCTATAATCTTATGTGAAAAAAGCAAGTAGCATAATTGCAACTATATTTTTAATGCATAGAATAAAAGGCTAGAAGGAAATATCACAGATCCTTGACATACATTCCCAAACCTTTGTAAATCCGCGGATTCATGAAAACAGACACGTTTGCACAAGTGCCTGATCTTTTCTGTTATACATTCATTAGAAGTCAAGCCCTGGTGCCACAAAGTATCTGCCTTTTCAAATGTGATCAGAATGTTCTCTTTTGCTTCAAGGCCATTTTTCACGAAGCAGTGGCATTTTTGCCTCTTCATCAGAGTCACCGTGTGCCCTGGAGGACTGAGAACAGCAGAGCCGTTTTAGGATGGGACAGGGCAGCCAGGAGGATTGGGCTCACTCCCTACTGAGTGCCTCACTCCCGTACAGCCCCCATAGAGGAAGAGGGGTTCAAATTTATTCCTCAGCCAGATGGCATGTGCCGCCTGTCCTGGAATTTCACATCACTTATGATGGACCAAAATTCCAAAAGCTGAATCCATGATTGTCAAAGTCTGGTATGGCAGGATGTCAACAGTAATCGTTTCTGGGCAGAGGGATGATTTTCTCTTCCCATCTTGCTTTGTATAAATACATTTTCTATAATAAGGTTGTATTACTTTTCTCATCAAGAAATAGCAAAGTACTGTTTTACTCAAAATATGAATAGAGCCAGGCATGGTGGCAGCTTATGCCTGTAATCCCAACACTTTGAGAGGCGGATATGGGAGGATCACTTTAGCCCAGGAGTTTGAGACCAGCCTGGGCAACATAGTGAGACCCCCGTCCCCACTCCCCCAAAGAAAACCCACAAAGCATTTATCCTGGATTATTCACAGGGGCCAAAAAAAAAAAAAAAATTCAGGCCTCCTATAGCCATGAGCTACGAATATGAAAATATGCAAATGTGTAAGAAAAGCCAGCACATCCGATTTTTACTTTTACTTTCACACCTCTGTCCACCATGTTCCAAGAGAAGAAACTTGGTCATTGAAAGGAATAGATCAAATCCAAAGAACAAAACCACTGTGCTCATTAAACTTCTTAGTGTTCACAAAGCTTTAGCTGCAGGTTGAATGGGGCAACCCGAATTGGCTGGCTCACCTGGGCTGCAGGGAGCAGAGATCGCGACACTGCACTCCAGCCTGGGCAACAAAGCGAGACTCTATCTCAAAAAAAAAAAGTTCATAAATTCAAAGTTATGAATTATTTTTAAAATAATAATAATTTACAATAAAGATGAGGACAAAGTGTGAGTAAATGGTGGTTTCTATCCAGCTCTGTTGAGCTGAAGTGGCATCTCCCTGCTGGGGCTTTTGGGGAAGAAGGGTGTGTGTTGCTCTTCAGATCCCAAGCCTCATGCCCCTACTGGGCCCTGTGGGGTGCTTCTCAGCCCACCAGGAGAGCCACCGTTGGAACGCACACGTGGGGGACCTGGTGGGTGCCGGTGTGGTGAATGGGGGCCACAGCCTGACTCCAGGAAGCCAGCAAACTCGGAGCTGGAGGAGTCAGGACACCCCCGATGAGTCAAGAGTTGGTTTTGCTGCCAGTTGACATCTGATTGAACCATCTCTTCACTTCTCCGTGCCTCACTTTCCTTACCAGACAGGCTCTGCTGATGCTGTCCCTCTCCTGTTCAGTCATGCCCTCACCGTTAAAGAGAAAGAGCAAACTGCTAGGCAGCAGCATTGATTTTTTTAATGAAGTGGAAAGAGAGCTGGGAATAACAAGTCGGGCCCACCTCACCTGCCTCACCTGGTGGGTTTATTTGTTTTGTTTTTTTTTTTTTTGTTTTGAGACAGAGTTTCACCCTGTCACCCAGGCTGGAGTGCAGTGGTGTAATCTCAGCTCACTGCAACCTCCACCTGCCAGGTTCAATTGATTCTCCTGCCTCAGCCTCCCCAGTAGCTGGGATTACAGGCACCTGCCACATGCCTGGCTAATTATTGTATTTTTAGTAGAGATGGGGTTTTACCATGTTGGCCAGGCTGGTCTCGATCCCCTGACCTCAGGTGATCCACCCACCTCGGCCTCCCAAAGTGCTGGGATCACAGGCGTGAGCCACCATGCCTGGCCGTCACCTGGTGGTGTTGAATATGAACTGCTGCGGTGTTGGTAAATTAAGCAAGCAGATAGATGTAAATAACGCTTTGGCAGGAATATGGAGCACGGGATGAGGATGGGCGGCCAACTGTTAGAGAGGGTAGCAGGGAGGCTGAGATCTGCCTGCCATGAACTGGGAGGAGAGGCTCCTCTCTCTCTTCACCCCCACTCTGCCCCCCAACACTCCTCAGAACTTATCCTCTCCTCTTCTTTCCCCAGGTGAGCTTTGAACCAGGATGGCTGAGCCCCGCCAGGAGTTCGAAGTGATGGAAGATCACGCTGGGACGTACGGGTTGGGGGACAGGAAAGATCAGGGGGGCTACACCATGCACCAAGACCAAGAGGGTGACACGGACGCTGGCCTGAAAGGTTAGTGGACAGCCATGCACAGCAGGCCCAGATCACTGCAAGCCAAGGGGTGGCGGGAACAGTTTGCATCCAGAATTGCAAAGAAATTTTAAATACATTATTGTCTTAGACTGTCAGTAAAGTAAAGCCTCATTAATTTGAGTGGGCCAAGATAACTCAAGCAGTGAGATAATGGCCAGACACGGTGGCTCACGCCTGTAATCCCAGCACTTTGGAAGGCCCAGGCAGGAGGATCCCTTGAGGCCAGGAATTTGAGACCGGCCTGGGCAACATAGCAAGACCCTGTCTCTAAAATAATTTAAAAATTAGCCAGGTGTTGTGGTGCATGTCTATAGTCCTAGCTACTCAGGATGCTGAGGCAGAAGGATCACTTGAGCCCAGGAGTTCAAGGTTGCAGTAAGCTGTGATTATAAAACTGCACTCCAGCCTGAGCAACAGAGCAAGACCCTGTCAAAAAAAAAAAGAAAAGAAAAAAGAAAGAAAGAAATTTACCTTGAGTTACCCACATGAGTGAATGTAGGGACAGAGATTTTAGGGCCTTAACAATCTCTCAAATACAGGGTACTTTTTGAGGCATTAGCCACACCTGTTAGCTTATAAATCAGTGGTATTGATTAGCATGTAAAATATGTGACTTTAAACATTGCTTTTTATCTCTTACTTAGATCAGGCCTGAGTGGCCTCTCTTTAGCAAGAGTTGGTTAGCCCTGGGATTCTTACTGTAGCCACATTAATAAACAACATCGACTTCTAAACATTCTATAATACCATCTTTTGGCCAAATTGACTTCGCCTCTTCCTCTCTCTTTCCAAATGAAATGTGTTTCATTTCACTGTCAGACCACATGGTTGGGGACCCCACAGAGCACACAGCCCTCCCTCTGCCTTCCCATGCTGGCCCTTCACCCACTGCTGGAGTGCCAGGTTGGTCCAAGGGTTGGACCAAGTTGTCTGAGGTTGTCTCAAGGTTGGTCGAGGCTGTCTCCGTGCTGGGTTGTGCTACAAGGAGCCCTTCTTTCCATGGGTGTGGCTGGCAGTGAGTGCTCACAGCAACAGCCCACAGTGCAGCCCGAGGGCAGGATGGACTCAGTCCCTGCCTCCATACCCATTTCTAAGGAGGCAAAATGGCAAACACTCTACTTTTCTCTTTTAATGCTAAAAATAAGAAAACACCTTGCAGCCCAGGGTATGGGTAGTGCATGGAAGCCGTGGAGTTGTGAGGTGGGAAGTGACCTCTGCTGGATATGTCTATTCAGGAAGATTGCCGGAGTAGGTGGGGTCTCTGGGAGGTCCCCTGAGTGTGGGAAGCTGGGACCACCAGCTTTCTCGCACAGGGAGTGGCCATCCCAGCTTGGAGAGGTTCCAGGACTGGTTGGGAGGCACGTTTCAGATTTCTATCTGTTGAATCAGCGAAGATATTGGATTATGAGGAATTTGGGAATTAGGAAAGTGGGTGCAGGTGGGTTGGGGGTAGGTGAAGGAAGACATGGGCGTATTGGGGGAGCAGGGGCTGCTCAGAGGTGTTCCAGAAGCTCTGGGTGAGGAGGTGAGAGGGACCGGGGAATGCAGCTCGGCCCAGCCTCCCTGCCTGAGGTCAGCCATCACGTGGTGATGGCAAGATGGAAATGTGCTTTCTGACTGCTCCAGCCAGTGCTGCCAGATTCAGCTCCCCAGGGAGGGCACCTGAGAGGCTCCAAGCCAGGAGATCTGTTTTCTCCTTTGTTTTTTTTTTTTTTGTTTTGTTTTGTTTTATTATACTTTAAGTTCTAGGGTACATGTGCACAACGTGCAGGTTTGTTACATATGTATACATGTGCCATGTTGGTGTGCTGCACCCATCAACTTGTCATTTACATTAGGTATATCTCCTAATGCTATCCCTCCCCCCTCCCCCCACCCCCTGTTTTCTCCTTTGAATCCTTCTTAGAGGCCGGGCGCGGTGGCTCACGCCTGTAATCCCAGCACTTTGGGAGGCTGCGGCGGGAGGATTGCTTGAGCCCAGGAGTTCCAGACCAGCCTGGGCAACATAGTGAGACCTCGTCTCTACAGATAATAATTTTAAAAATTATCCGGGCATAGTGGCATGCACCTATAGTCCCAGCTACTCAAGAGGCAGAGGCAGGAGGATCACTTGAGCCCAGGAGGCGGAGGTTGCCGTGAGCCAAGATCCCACCACTGCACTCCAGCCTGGGCGACAGAGACCCCCATGTCAAATAATAATAATAATAAATAAATCCTTCTCAGTCCCTTCCTCACTGTGTCCCCCTCCACTGAATTTTTCCACCTCCTCTCCCACTTCCCCCACTCCCGCTTTCCCTCTCCTTCTCTCCCCACTCCATCTTTTTCTTTCTCTGCTGTTTCTCGTCCCTCCCTCCTCTCCATCCCGCAACACTGCCTACCCTGTCCCTGCCCCACCCTGGTGCTCAGGATGTGTGAAGTGAGGGGTGGTAGCCCCCAAGACCTCAACCCCGAAGGTTAGCCTGTTGAAACCACTTTCTCCCAGCTGCCCCCCTGGCAGTTGGTGCCGCTGAGGGAAACTGGGATTGGGGGCCAGATTTTGCCTCTTTTCCTGACAAAGAGAGATGAAGAGTTCTCTCACCAGGTGCCTGGGACTGGGGTGTGGGTGTCCCAGCCTATCCCAGCGCATCTGTTCTGCATCATGATTAATAGTGCTGCTTTCAGCCGGGCGCGGTGGCTCACACCTGTAATCCCAGCACTTTGGGAGGCTAAGGTGGGCAGATCACAAGGTCAGGAGTTCGAGACCAGCCTGGCCAACATGGTGAAACCTCGTCTCTACTAAAAATACAAAAATTAACCAGGTGTGGTGGTGGGTGCCTGTAGTCCCAGCTACTTGGGAGGCTGAGGCAGGAGAATCACTTGAATCTGGGAAGCAGAGGTTGCAGTGAGCCAAGATCGTGCCACTGCACTCCAGCCTGGGTGACAGAGCAAGACTCCGTCCTAAAAAAAAAGGAGTTTTGCTCTGTCGCCCAGGCTGGAGTGTAGTGGCGCCATCTCGGCTCACCGCAACCTGCACCTCCCGGGTGCAAGCGATTCTCCTGCCTCAGCCTCCCAAGTAGCTAGGATTACAGGCGCCTACCACCACACCCGGCCAGTTTTTGTATTTTTAGAAGAGACGGGGTTTCACCCTGTTGGCCAGGCTCGTCTGGGACTCCTGACCTCAGGTAATCCGCCCACCTCAGCCTCCCAAAGTGCTGGGATTGCAGGCATGAGCCACCGTGCCCAGTCAACTCCTTCTCAAAAAAAAAAATAGTGCTGCTTTCTCTTTCAAGTGTCCTGATTTGGGTGATAGTAAATGCCACTCTACTTATAAGGGATCTACCTCAGAATGCTAATTGGGACATTTTTGTAGCACTCTACTGTTGGCAGCAGGTGATGCTCACAACAGCCCGTGAGGGTGGATGACGTCCGCTTCACAGATGACAAAGGAGCCTCATGCTCAGACCGTGGGCTGCCAGAGCAGGTCCATGGCTGCAGCCCCACATGGACCATATTTCCCCCTTGTCACTCTTTCCACCAAGCCCCCTTGGAACTTCAGTTATTAAGCTCTCTTGGGTGGAATCCAAGTTAGAATCACAACATGTGCCTCATATGGATTGTGCCAGTGAAAAATGACATTCTATTTAGAGGCAGGGCAGCCTGGCTTAGAGTCAGTTTAAAATATGTATTATGCTGCAACAAATGTACCATGATCCTGTAAGATGTTCACAACAAGGGAACTGGATGTGGGGTATACTGTCTGTACTAACTTCACAAGTTTTCTGTAAATCTAAAACTGTTTCAAAATAACAAGTTCGTTTAAAATTAACTCCAGGAGACCAGGTACGGTAGCTAATGCCTATAATCCCAGCACTTCGGAAGGCTGAGGCAGGTGGATTGCTTGAGCCCAGGAGTTTGAGACAAGCCTGGGCAACATGGTGAAATCCTGTCTCTAAAAAAAATCACAAAAATTAGCCAGGTGTGATGGCGCATTCCTGTAGTCCCAGCTACTTGCGGGGCTGAGGTGGGAGAATCATCTGAGCCCAGGAGTTTGAGGCTGCAGTGAGCTGTGATTGTACCACTGCACTCCAACCTGGGCAACAGAGCAAGACCCTGTCTCAAAAAACAAAAATGAAATAAAGTCCAGGAAAGAAGTAGGTTTTACCACTCTTATTTTCTGAAGAGAAAACTAAATTTAATGTGTAAAGTGAGGACAAGTTCACCAAGTTAGTGTTTGAGTTGCCTAAAATATGTTTGCTAAAACTATTCAAAGCTTTCACATAAAACATGATCAGAAGTTCTATGCCAAAACATATGTGTGTATATATATATATGCACTATATATACTGTATATAAAAATGCAAAATCTAAATTGCCAACCTTTTTGAAATTGCTCTGAAAGGAAAGCATTTCAAGATAATTTGCTTACCCAAAGAATATACTTTCCAAGAAAGCAAGTAATACTTAAGGTGTTCATAATCCTCATCAAATTAATTCTTGCTACTGAAAGCTTACAAGGAGCTGTTTTGATGTCGGGTGTGACAGGTTTGACTTGGCAGAAGGTGTCACTTTACTAACAACATTTTAAATAAGTGATAGAAGACAAGAAACTACACGTTAAATGCCAGAACAAAGAGTGTCTAAGTGGATGCTAAGAGTTGAAATATGGCTGGCTACCTGCCCAAGAGAGCTGAAAAGTAGATGAAAGTTGGTTACCTATAAACTAGTGCACCCTAATGAATTAAAAGGTGTTGATGAGTTAACTTGTTATGCCTTCCAGATAAGACATGCAAATGGGGCTTCTTCCTCCTTCACTACTTCCAAGGGATTTAACAAGGAGACCAATGCAAATGATAAGGACTGTAGGGCTCAAGCTGGGGACAGATTGGGGAAAGGGGGACCATCATGCCCATATAGATGTCCCTGTGCCCTGGCAGTCAAGGCTGCTGAAAAATAACAAAACCCAGAAGTCTGCGTGATGCTGCCTCACCATTTGTCCAAAGCCTTCTTGCGGCAGTTTGCAGGCTTTTGCAAAAGCTCCAGGACCAAGGAGCTATGTTCATGCTGGAAGCTTGTTCAGGATTAGCTGTTCTTTGTGGGATGGGCGCAGCCAGGGCCAGGTGTCCAGGGACAGTGTTTTAACAAAGGGCGTGAGGTGTCTGATCTCACAGTGGAACTCCACTTGCCTTTTTTTCATCTTCTCATTCTGCTTCATGCACAGAACCAGCCCCATCCTGAAACTGACTCTAAATTACTCCCGCCCCAGGTGGAGTGCCTTTCTCGGAGTTCAACAGAGCCTTCCTGTCGCCCAAGGGACAACTCCACTGAATGCCCAAGCCACACCCAAAACCTAACAAGTAAAAACCAAATTCTGTGCTCCCCCATCCTGGGCCATTCCTGGTTTCTCTACTGCTGTTGGTGATACCACCATCAGCTTGTCCATCATGACCCTGGCCAGTTCCTCCCACAACCCTCCACAGCACCCAGGGACCTCACCTCCATTCCATCCGACACAGATCTCCTCACCACAAACCTTGGTTTTGCAACAGCAGCCATGAGACCTTTACACCCTCCGCCCTTCATCCTGTCCCCCACTGAGGCCCCAGAGCCATTCCTTAAAGCAGCGCGCCACAAACTATGACCCACAAGCCAATTCTGGTACCCAGCCTGTTTTGCACAGCCAGTGAACTGACAATGATCTTTTCATACAGCCAGAAAAACAAAACAAAACAAAAAACAAAAAAAAAAAACCCACCATTCTGAGCATGTGACTTCCATGTTCAAGATGTCTCATGTTCAGAAAGGCCCCTGGAAAAGGAGGAAGGGGAGCTGGGCACAAAGGGAGACCCTCTCAGCTGAGCTCCTCCCATCCAGACATTTTCCTGGACTTCCTATCCAATGACTTCCCTTAGCTTCTTATCAGCCACCCCTGTCTGCCCAGGAGGCTGGAAGATGTGGCCTTTTAACTGGGCACAGCTCTGTCCTCTATCATATCAGGGCTCTGTTCCCAAGGAGGGTAGAGAGAATGGACACCAGGTGGACCCTCAGCAGTCTGTGCCACAGAGGGAGTGTTTGCAATTTCCAGACTAAAAGTCCCCATGTGCTTGACGGGGTATGTGACTACAACGTGATGCTTGATTTTTCCTCATATGACCAGAGCCACTTTGTCCATCTGGTACAATGTCAGCTATCTGCTAGGGGCCCTCCAGGATTCCCAGTCAATTCCATATCTGCATCACCACCATTGGCACTAAATAAAATAAAATACTCAAGTTCCTGCTGGTGAGCATGAGCAGTGCTACACTGGGCCCTTCAACCAAGGTGACATGATAATGACTGAAAATAATCACTGCCACTTATTGGGGATGTCTCATCTGCCAGGCATGGTACAAAGTGCTTTAAATAAGCATTCAACAATTTCATGCTGACAGAAGCCCTGTGAGCCAGTGGAGCTACTACTATGCCCATTATACAGGGGAGAAAACTGAGGCAGAGAGAGGTTAGGTAATTCGCTCAGCCTCACACAACCAATAGGTGGTGGAGCCAGGATTTGGGCCCCATCTGCCTGACTCTCTAGAGGCTCTATCTTCCAGTCTTCCAGAGTTGAGTCTAAGCCATGAATAGGACAATTAGACAGCAGAGGAAACCCATTCAGCCACCATGTGCATGAAGAGTAAGGAATTTCTGTCATACAGAGGGGAGTGAATTCACTGAGCTGAGAGCTGAGGAACCATTGATCTGATGGCTGAGACACCACTGGGAAGACTGGAGAGGCTTTTCTGGGCATGCAGTGCCAGGCACAGGAGGAGCTGAGGGAAGATGACTAAGAGGTACTGGCAAAGAATTCAGAAATTCTGATGGAAGCTTTACATGTTACCATCACATCCATCCATCTATCCACCCATCCATCCACCCATATCTTCCTCCCTCCACCCAATCATGCATACATCCAGTCATCTATACACCACCCACCCACCCATCCATCCATCCATCCATCCCTTCATCCATCCCATCATCCATCCAATTATACATACATCCAATCATATATCTGTACATAATCCATTCTTCCCTCGGTTCATCCATCCATCCATTCATCCAACCATCCACCCATCCCTTCCTTCATCCTTCCTATCATCCATCCAATCATACATATATCCAATCATACATCTGCACATCACCAGCTCATCCATCTATCCATTTATCCATCCATCCTTCCTTCCATCCATCATTCATCCATCATACATACATCTAACCATACATCTCTACATCATTCATTCGTCCATCGATTCATCCAATTATCCATCATTCCTTCCTCCATCCATCCCATTATCCATTTGATCATACATATATCATCTATACATCATCCATTCATCCATCCATCCATCCATCCACCCATATCTTCATCCAATCAATCATACATACATCGAATCATCTACACATCACCCATCCATCCATCCATCCATTCATCTATCCACCCATCCATCCATCCATCCATCCATTCATCTATCCACCCATCCATCCATCCATCCATCCATCCATGTAACCATCCAGTCATATATCCAATTACACATCCATCCAGTTATACATTCATACATGCATCTAATCATTCAATTATACATACACACATCCATATAATTCTACATCCAATTATACCTCCATCCAATTATACATTCATACACCCACCTAATAAATTATTAATTCATATATCCATCCATATAATTATACATCAATTATACATCCATCTAATCATTCAGTAATTCACCCACCATCCAGTCATCTATCCAATAATACATTCATCCAATCATCCATCCATCCATCCACCCATTCATCCATCCATCCGTCCGTCCACCCATCATGGTTTGAGCCATGATTTACCACGATGGTCCCCTGTGGACAGCCCAGGTGGGGCAGAACTGAAGGGAAGCCCAGGGCTGCCCCCATAAACATTTGCCTCCTTTACATGGATGAGAACTAGATCCACATGTATAAATCCTCATGATTTGAAGGTGCTTTTACCAACATTCACTCATGGGATTCTCCCAGGAGCTCTAGGAGGAGGCAGGTAGAGTTGAGGTCATCTCACGCATTTTACAGATGAGGAAACGGAGGCCCTGAGAGGCAGGTCCAAGGCCACCTGACCAGAAAGAAGTGGAACTGGGACTTGAACCCAGCCATCTTGCCCCTTGGTCCCATGCTCTCTAGCCTGTAACTCCTGCTTCCTGGTGGGGCATCTCCAGGAGGACCCTATCGGCTGGCCATGGGCCTGCCCTGGAGTCTTTTGCTCTGTGTGGCCATCCTTCCTCCCTCAGGAGAGTGTGTGCTCCCAGAGCACAGGCTGTATCTTCTGAGCATTTTGTCCCTTCCCAGTACCTAGCACTCATCTCTGTATACATCGGGCTCTCAAGAACTCTCAACCTTCCAGAGTGTAAGGCCTTGACCTGCTCAGCCCTGGATACTGCATGATGCATTGATAAGCCCATAAAATAACCAGGGCAGATTGACTCCCAGTGGCCAAAGTGCCACAGGGAAGGGACAATTCAGCCCTTCTAGGAGGAGGAGGGGTAGTTTTCTCATTTCTATTAAGGCAACAAAAGCTGCCTTACTAAGGACATTCTTGGTGGAGGGCGTGACTGTCAACCACTGTGATCATTTGGGCCTCTCTTGCCCAGGCTTCCCATTCTGAAAGGACAGTTTTATTGTAGGTACACATGGCTGCCATTTCAAATGTAACTCACAGCTTGTCCATCAGTCCTTGGAGGTCTTTCTATGAAAGGAGCTTGGTGGCGTCCAAACACCACCCAATGTCCACTTAGAAGTAAGCACCGTGTCTGCCCTGAGCTGACTCCTTTTCCAAGGAAGGGGTTGGATCGCTGAGTGTTTTTCCAGGTGTCTACTTGTTGTTAATTAATAGCAATGACAAAGCAGAAGGTTCATGCGTAGCTCGGCTTTCTGGTATTTGCTGCCCGTTGACCAATGGAAGATAAACCTTTGCACCACTAGCACCACTAGCTGGTTAAGAGGCACTTTGTCCTTTCACCCAGGAGCAAACGCACATCACCTGTGTCCTCATCTGATGGCCCTGGTGTGGGGCACAGTCGTGTTGGCAGGGAGGGAGGTGGGGTTGGTCCCCTTTGTGGGTTTGTTGCGAGGCCGTGTTCCAGCTGTTTCCACAGGGAGCGATTTTCAGCCCCACAGGACACTGCTCCCCAGTTCCTCCTGAGAACAAAAGGGGGCGCTGGGGAGAGGCCACCGTTCTGAGGGCTCACTGTATGTGTTCCAGAATCTCCCCTGCAGACCCCCACTGAGGACGGATCTGAGGAACCGGGCTCTGAAACCTCTGATGCTAAGAGCACTCCAACAGCGGAAGGTGGGCCCCCCTTCAGATGCCCCCTCCATGCCTCCAGCCTGTGCTTAGCCGTGCTTTGAGCCTCCCTCCTGGCTGCATCTGCTGCTCCCCCTGGCTGAGAGATGTGCTCACTCCTTCGGTGCTTTGCAGGACAGCGTGGTGGGAGCTGAGCCTTGCGTCGATGCCTTGCTTGCTGGTGCTGAGTGTGGGCACCTTCATCCCGTGTGTGCTCTGGAGGCAGCCACCCTTGGACAGTCCCACGCACAGCTCCACAAAGCCCCGCTCCATACGATTGTCCTCCCACACCCCCTTCAAAAGCCCCCTCCTCTCTCTTTCTTCAGGGGCCAGTAGGTCCCAGAGCAGCCATTTGGCTGAGGGAAGGGGCAGGTCAGTGGACATCTGATCTTGGTTTAGTATCCTTCATTTTGGGGGCTCTGGGTGTGGCCTGGGCCTCTGGACTTTGGCCACGGTGTTTGTTCCAGCCCTTCTCCTAACCTGTCCTTTCCAGACACTCGGCATCTAGGTTATTAGCACCTCGCATACTTTCTGACATGCTCCTCAGTCCTGATTTTGACCGTCTTCTCTTGCTTCCCATCTGTGTCAGTCAAGGCTGCATTTGGCTGTAAGAAACAGAAACCCCAACTAACTGTGGCATTTACATGAAGAGGTTTACTTTTCTCACATAATCAGATGTCTAGACTTGGCCAGCACCTCAAGGGTCATTGATGCTCTCCTGTCTTTATTTTCTGTCATCTTTAGTGGTTGGATTGTTGCCTCATGGTTACAAAGTGGCTGCTGCACTTCCAGGCATCACATCTGCCTTTGAAGCAGGAACAAGTTGCAAAGTAAAGTGGCCAAAAGGGCCCTGAAACTAAATGTGTCCCCTTAGGAAAGCAGGAGTTTTCTTGCAAGTGGCAATCTTCTGCTTATGTCTCATTGGCCAGAGCTGGGTCTTACGGCCACCCCTTGCTGCGAGCAAGGCTGGGACATTAAGCATTTTGCCGTCCAACCTCTTTAGCAGAATAAACCAAGGGGGAAGAACGTTAATAATGGCTTTTGAGTCACTAGTTGGCAGTATCTGCCCCTCTATCTTTCCATCCTCCCAATGGAGTTTCAAGGTTCCTTTCTCAGTACTTCTTCAGGCTCTGCACGTTCATTTGGATCTTGTGTCTCGGGGTGAAAAACTGGCCCAAGTGTCTCCCCAAGCATCCACCTTTGGATTAATTTGGAAAATGGCTGTCAAGTGCCCGCCTCTTGCTTGGTATAATGCTACAGCTTTAGAGGACGCAGCAGGCATGGGCCTTGCCGCTGAGGTTCTTAGCCTCATGAGAATATCCAGATCAGATTCTCTTGGCTCCTTCTTAGAGCCAGTGATGCAAGACACTTCCTGCTCATCTTGTCGGGACGGTTTTACAAGTTGCCTGCCATCCTGAGAAAGTCTACAAAACGATGCCAGACCTCATGCCAGCTTCCCAAGCCTTGACTCTCAGTGCTCCCTCAACAGGATTCTGGAAGAATCTCCCAAACAAGTCTCAATGCCCTCTGGACCCTGTGCAGGCGTGAGACTCAAGAGCATTGGCTCCCACCCCTGGTGGAGGGAACACTGCTGGGGCTGGGATCTTGCCTGGTTGCTCCGCCTGCACCCAAGACAACCATAATTAAAATGTCCTTCATTGAACTTGGAAAGCCTTCAAAGCTGACAACTCCTTATGTGTACCCGGAAAGGCCTGGGAGTGTGCCAGGGCATTGCTCGGGAGGGACGCTGATTTGGAAGCATTTACCTGATGAGAGACTGACAGCAGCTCCTGGTAGCCGAGCTTTCCCTCCTGCCTCTGCTGTGAAGGTGGACCCATCCAACAGTCAAATGCCTGACTCTGGACAGGAGCGGACCTATTTATTGCCATGCAAGGGACTCTGCACTTTTGAATTGTGGGTCATGGGCTTGGATTTAGGGGTTAGAGCTGGGAGAAGTCTTGGAAGTCACCTAGAGATGACACTGCCATTTTGCAGATGAGGAAACCGTCCAATCAAAATGGACCAAGGACTTGCCCAAAGCCTCACAGCAAAACCATAGGCCCCCGCACTAACCCCAGAGTCCCTGTGCTGTCTTAAGGATCAAATAGTTGTAAGCAATCATCTGGTTTTCAGTATTTCTTCTTTTAAAATGCCTGGGGCCATGCCCAGCAGTCTGTTTCACTGCAGCGTTTACACAGGGCTGCCGGGCTTTCCTGGTGGATGAGCTGGGCGGTTCATGAGCCAGAACCACTCAGCAGCATGTCAGTGTGCTTCCTGGGGAGGGGGTAGCAGGGGCTCCGGGCCCTGCTTCAGGGCTGCTTTCTGGCATATGGCTGATCCCCTCCTCACTCCTCCTCCCTGCATTGCTCCTGCGCAAGAAGCAAAGGTGAGGGGCTGGGTATGGCTCGTCCTGGCCCCTCTAAGGTGGATCTCGGTGGTTTCTAGATGTGACAGCACCCTTAGTGGATGAGGGAGCTCCCGGCAAGCAGGCTGCCGCGCAGCCCCACACGGAGATCCCAGAAGGAACCACAGGTGAGGGTGAGCCCCAGAGACCCCCAGGCAGTCAAGGCCCTGCTGGGTGCCCCAGCTGACCTGTGACAGAAGTGAGGGAGCTTTGCATGTTTATCCTCCTGTGGGGCAGGAACATGGGTGGATTCTGGCTCCTGGGAATCTTGGGTTGTGAGTAGCTCGATGCCTTGGTGCCCAGTTACCTCCCTGGCTGCCTGCCAGCCTCTCAGAGCATTTAGGGCCTTCTGGACTTCTAGATGCTCCTCATCTTGCCTCAGTCAGCGCGTCAGTTCCAGAGACTTCTCTGCAGGGTTTTCTGGGGCAGGTGGTGGCAGACCCGTGCCTTCTTGACACCTGAGGTCAGTCCACCCTCCTGCTCAGACTGCCCAGCACAGGGTCACCTCCCAAGGGGTGGACCCCAAGATCACCTGAGCGCACAGAGGGTGCAGATGACTGGACCACACCTTTTGATGATCTTAATGAGGTGGTCCCAGAGGAGCTCAGACATGCAATCTAGCATCCAGTTCTGGGACTCTGTCTCCTTTTCAAACGTATTCATGTAGAACAGGCATGACGAGAATGCCTTGTCAACATGGGTGATGGGGAATCAATCAGACAGGGCGCCGGGCTCAAGGCTGCAGTCACCCAAGAGTGGCTCAGCCCACCAGGCCCTAGGAAACGCCTGCACAGCCTGGAGCTCCTGGAGTCATTTCCTTCATGTCTTCTTCACTGCACTTACGTAAAGATGCCAGCCATTGGTTTGGTGATTTGGAGGGTGCCCAGTTGCCCAACAAGAAATGCAGAAGAGGCCTAGCCAGGATTTCACCAGCAGTGGAGAGTAGAGAAGATGTGGCCAGAAAAGAGTTTCCTTTCCCTCCTAAAGATGGTACTCCCTGCAGCTACTGGGGAAGCCTGCAGCGTTCTCTAGGGCTCTGTGTGTTGAGAGCAGCCCCACCCTGGCCCCTTCTGAGTGCATTTCTGCTTTGTGACTTGATCCGTGAAGTCCCCTGAGATGGGCAGAGGGGATGTCCTCGAAGCTGGGGCAGAGCCTCATCCTTGAACGTGAAGGACGTTTGAAGACTGTGGCATGATCACAGGATGAGATCACAGGGAACTTGAGTTTCTCTCCTCCTCTCCCTTCACAGTTATTTCACTGAGGGAAATCCCTCCCCTGCCCAGAATGAAAACTCTAGCCAACTCTTGACTTTTCCATCACTCCAAAGTAGTTGAAAGTACATTAGTCTCCACAGTGGCAAAACAGTGTGCAAAAGCTAAATAATTAGAACAGCCAGTCCCATGTGACAGTCAAAGCTTCTAACTCCATTCAAAGTTGCAGCCATTCCCCTCGAGGGCTGGCGGGGAGGGGAGGGGTAAGAGAAACAGGAAGGTTCTTACTGAGTTGGTCCTGGTGTGAGCTGCGTCACACTCCCTGCAGAGGTTTCAAGGAGACTCTCTCTCTCTCTGTCTCCATGGGGACCTTATTTGAATTCTTCTAGACTCTTACCCCAGCCTGCCATCTCCAGCTATCCTCCCCTGAAGAGCCCTTCTGCTGCGCTGGATTCTGGTGGCCATGTCATCTCCTCGGCCCCGTGGGAGTCTGAAGATCTGGCTGCAGCCTCACCTCTGAGGTCCTGCTGGTTGCCACCTCTTAAACATGATCTGAGGCTCCCATGCACTCTGACCTGTGCCCACATGGGGCCCACGGGAAACACGCTGGCAAGCAAACTGTGGGTGTGCAGACGGTTCTCAGGGCTGCAGCACCTGTCCTTTGCTCTGCCCCCAAAGCAAGGCCAGCCCATCTTCCATCCTCTAGTGTTCCTTGGTGGGGCCCTGACCACAGTCCACCAGGTCCCTAACCAGAGGGGACACACACCAGGTGTCCTCAATGTATTGCCTTGAAACAGTTGTGCTGGGACTGTGATGGGGGGTGGCCATGTAGCCACCCCCACCACCCCCAAGCCACTCTCTCCAAGGAAATCCTCCTAAAGATCCCTTTACATCCTCCATGTGGTGGGGAGGTTCTAGAGTTGGGTGCATGTGTCTTCAGCTACTGACAATGCAGACCTTAGTTGGCACCTCGCTCTGGCCTATCCTGTTTGCTGTTCTTGGCGCTCCAGTGAAACTCCCCATGGGCCATCCAGTTGGGGTGCAGTGTGGCCACCCCCTTGCAGGTTCCTACCTTGCTGGAGAGCACAGGGCCCTCCTGGCTCTTGTAAAACACTCCCCATGGTACAGAGAGGCCAGCAGTGATGTGAGGCCCAACCTCCCTCCATGGTGTTCCCAAGCAGCTCCCTTTCTGGGGTCAAGGGGTGGCAAAGACAGTGCAGCGTCCAATTTCTGACTCAAGCCGGGCCTGGCTATCGCAGCTCTGCACTGTGTGTGACAGCAAGGCAACTCACCCAGTGCCGTGGCAGTGACCGTGTCCAAGGAAGCCTCCTCACACCCTCTGTCTCAAGGACTCTGGCATTTAGCTGGACTTGCTGTAGCTCTGAGCCTTTCTGCCATTGCCATCACCTTGTCAGAAACTCAGGCCGAATCTGCACTCAGAGTTGTGCCCAGGCAGTTGAGCCAACACTCGCTCAGCGATATTGTCACATGACAAGGCACTGTCACCACTGGGCGTCGTGGGTAGCGCAGTGTCGGCTGGATGGACCCGGAGGGTGTCTGTGTCATGCTAGTGCTAGTGATGGGAGCCCCGTGAGCCCATTGCCCGCCCTCCCATGCCCTCAGCAGCTGCCTGGGGACAGCCAATGGCCTGGGTGTTTCTGAGGCTACCACATGGCTGCCAGGAAACTCGAGAACCTTTCTCTCCCTTGCCTACACTCTTCACACAGGCCTGTGCTGGCCAGCGGTGGGGATTCGGCATTCCTATCTTAGGTGCAGAGAGTGACTGACTCATTGCAGGCCTGGGAGATAAGACTGATGGCCCAGCCAGCAAGATGTATGGATTTCTCAGAGGCAGTGGCCTCTGTCATTGTCCTCAGGAAATGCTGGTGATTCTGGTGGCCTGAGGTCAATGCATGTCAACGTGGCCAACTTGCCTTATAAACTTTTTTTCTGGACAATTGCGTGCACTGTCCTGTAACAGTGTCCTGTTGTTTATGATGCAGAAATAGGTGTTTTTAAAGCCTATTGATTTTGGTACTATTAATGTGGTCAGGAACTTTCTCAGTCTTTCTTGTTTGGGGTGAGCTGTGGCTTCCTAAACAGGAACCCAAGACACCCCCAAAAGCTGCTCACCAGCACTGCCAGCCTCCCTCTTACCAAGTAGCACCCGTTCAGGACATTCTGCGAAAGGCATTTGCCCAGAAGTTGGGAGGAAGGAAATGTAACATTTTGGGGCACCTACCATATGCCAGGCACCAGGCTAAACGTGTTCACACAAATTCTCTTACTAACCCTCACCATCCTTCTACAAGACAAACTAGTATCTTCATCTTGGGGTTCAAGATGAGGAAATGGAGGCTCAGAGAGGTTGAATGAATGCCGGTGCCTGGATATGAACCCCATCTGCCTGACTCCGCAACCCAGGCAAAGTCTTTCCTTGAACTTCCCAGCAGCCACTGCTTAGACACAGCCTCCACAACCATGGCTCAGCAGCAAATTGCTTCTCTGACCTCACTCAGCCTGTGTGTCCTTGTTGAGTGAGGCATTCAGGACCCTGGTCCCAAAGTGGAGAAAGTCTTTCCTACTAGGTCATAGCTACACCTGCATGTGGGTGCTGTGCCTTTTGTTTAGTGAACTTTTATCACCAGCATCCTCAGCAATGACATTTGCAGAGAAGCCAGAGCTGAGGCACCTTGGTATTCTTGGGATGTGACTTTCCAGAATGTTTTAGGGAAAATGCCCGAAGGTACAGAGAGCTTGGTTTCTAGTAAACAATAACTGTCTTGCTTTTACCCCCCTTCATTTGCTGACACATACACCAGCTGAAGAAGCAGGCATTGGAGACACCCCCAGCCTGGAAGACGAAGCTGCTGGTCACGTGACCCAAGGTCAGTGAACTGGAATTGCCTGCCATGACTTGGGGGTTGGGGGGAGGGACATGGGGTGGGCTCTGCCCTGAAAAGATCATTTGGACCTGAGCTCTAATTCACAAGTCCAGGAGATTTTAGGGAGTTGGTTCTTATCAAAGGTTGGCTACTCAGATATAGAAAGAGCCCTAGTGGTTTTTTTCTAATACCATTTCTGGGTAATTCCTAAGGCATTTAGTGTTCTGAAAGATGCTAGCCTTGTCCAGCCTGGGAGTTGAGAATGAATGTCTAACAGAAACTCTAGGCCGGGCGTGGTGGCTCACGCCTCTAATCCCAGCACTATGGGAGACCCAGGTGGGCAGATCACCTGAGGTCAGGAGTTTGAGACCAGCCTGGCCAACATGTGAAATCCTGTCTCACTACAAATAAAAAAATTAGCCGGGTGTGGTGGTGGGTGCCTATAATCCCAGCTACTCAGGAGGCTGAGGCAGGACAATCGCTCGAACCCAGGAGGTGGACGTTGCAGTGAGCCGAGATCGCATCATTGCACTCCAGCCTGGGCAACAAAAGCAAAACTCCGTCTCAAAAAAAAAAAAGAAACTCAAATATGTGTGACAGGCGATTCTCACTGCAGGCTGCCCTGTGGCCAATCCAGGAGCAAGGCCTTAACCATGTCATCCCCAAGCGATTGCTTGTAAACTTTCTTCTGTGCAGCCTTCAACCCTTATTATGATTTTCTTCTCAGGAACCAAACTGCTGTATTCAAGAAAGGCAGCTTTGTGTAATCATTTATCATAAATATCTTAAGAAAAATCCTAGAGATTCCTAATTTTAGGAAATGGGAGACCTATGGTACTGATATAATGTGGGCTGGGCTTGTTTTCTGTCATTTGCTAGATAAATGAACTTGAGAGCCTACTGTAAAATGTGGAAGCTTCTAGATTGCAGAAGGGCTGGAAAGACACTGTTCTTTTCTCCCGAATGATGGGATCTGTCCAGTATTTAGAGCTGCCTCTGAGGCCATCTGATTCTAGGAGACTCTGCCTCATTGAGGATATTTTGAGGCCTAACTACACATTCCTGCCCCCAGAGAGGTCACAGCCTATAGCAGGCTGATGTTTCTCATGTCACATGGCACAGAAAGGCACATTTTCGTTCTCAGGCTAACAAAGAGCTTCAAAAACTATTAGAAGGGACAGTGGCTATAAGAGAAGAACCTCAGTCAATGTGTGAAATTAACTAGGAACCTGGCTCCTGTTTCTTTTAGGTCATGTTTTTCAGCTTAGGTAAAACTAGAGGCTTTGATAAAGCATGACCTCTAGAAATCATTGCTTTTCATAAATGGAAGTGGGTTTGAGTTTTTTCTACTGATTGTTAGTGCAGGTGATGTCTACATGCCCCCAGAACATATTCCATGCAACAAAAAAAGCCCAGGTCACCGTCTTTGCTGGGAACTTGACTTTTGTGCTCACTGAATTTTAAGCTTTCTGACAGCAGCCTGGAATCATGGAGGGATAAAGTACCTATTAGTAAGATGGAAAAAGGTGTTTCAGGTTGGAGCTGCAGTCTGTTGAGAGTAAGCTATGGGAAGGCCTGTATACGAGGGGTGGACTTTTCTTCTGTAAGTGTCCAGAGACCAGGCCTCCTGAAGAGGGCATGGGGGCTTAACTTACCTGGACTACTGTGTTTACAATACTCATTTATCTTGAACTCCTCCTAACCCCTGAGAATTGCTACATTTAGTATTTGCTGAGTACTTCCTAGCATCCTAGGGAATCAATAGAACATTCTCCCAACCAGGCTGGGTGCAGTGGCTCATGTCTGTAATCCCAGCACTTTGGGAGGCCAAGGTAGGCAGATCCCTTGAGGCCAGGAGTGCAAGACTAGCCTGGCTGACATGGTGAAACCCCGTCTTTACTAAAAATACAAAAGTTAGCCAGGCATGGTGGTACACACCTGTAATCCCAGCTACATGGGAGGAGTAGGAGGCAGGAGAATTGTTACTGAGGCAGGAGAATTGCTTGAACCTGGGAGGTGGAGGTTGCTGTGAGCCGAGATCATGCCACTGCACTCCAGCCTGGGCGACAGAGTGAGTGAGACTCTGTCTCAAAAAAAAAAAAAAAAGAACATTCTCCTAACCTGGCTTCTTCCTCCAGGGGTGTAATTAATCATGTCAGTTTCCTCATTGATACACACACACACACACACACACACACACTACAATCCTGTATCCATTACTTTTCAAGGTACGTTTACTATTTACTTTTGGGGTCCTTGTCTCTTTTTTAATAGTGTTTCTTAAAGTCTTGTATTATATCAGAGTACAGTAACATCCCAGTCAAGAGCACTCTAGTAAGCTCTAGGAGGAAAGCGACTTCCGGAAGGCAGTGGAGACCTGTCCTGTTGGGGCAGCATAGGGGCAGCCCCTGCCTCTGGTCAGTTCTGGCGCTCAGGCTCAGGGTTGCCTCTGGGCTGTTCTTCCCAGAGACTGACAAAGGGCTCCCATAAGGCACCTGCAGAGCCTGTGAGAAGCTGAAGTCAATGTTTTCCTGACACCAGTTGATCTGTGCAGGATCCATTGATTTAACCACCTGCTGTGTGGCATGCACTGTGGTCGATGCCAGGAACAGGAATTGGAGGGGCCCATGAGCATGGCCAGTATCACAGGCTGGAGGTGCTGCTGCGCTCTGACCGGGCCTCTTGGGGATGAGCCCATGTCAACCACCTTGCCTCCGATGGGGTCGGGCCCACAGGTTACCTTTGTGTGTCCATGACCACACCTTCCTCCCCGACCTCATCCAAATCTCTTTCTTTTCCAAGCCCCTGAATCCTTCAGGGCTGCAGGTTTTGTTTAAAGCAGAGCTGGTGAGTTGCAAAGGTTGTTGCGTTGGGACTAGATGGGGTGTTCAAAGAGTTGGGAGTTAAAAAACATAAAGGTTATTTATTAGAACCAAGGAGTTTAATTCTCCTGTTCTTAATATGCGGCCAGGTTAATGAATGTCACGTGAATGAACCAGAAAAAAATGAAGTGTGCCCTTGATCAGCTGGGTTGGTGTGCAGCAAGCTGTGTGACCAGGGGACAGCAGTGGTCCTGAGGGCCGTCAATGTCTGCCGTGCAGAGCCCTTCCTCCCACGGGGGCCTACCTCACCTGTGCCAAGGGCTTGTCTGTGGTCAGTGACCTGGATAGATCTGAATGGGGCTTCTTTTTCGAGGAGTCTTATGGCAGGTCTCTCAGTAAAGACTCCATTCTTGATGATCACACATTTTGGATTTTCCAAATCTGTCAGAGAATGGGCTTGAGGCGGGGTTTGTGGGCACTAGTTTCACTGGTTTCATTTACCAAAAAGGGGAGCAGAAGTCAAGTATGGTGGCTCATCCCTGTAATCCCAGAGGCAAGAGAATTGCTTGAGCCCAGGAGTTCGAGACCAGCCTGAGCAACATAAGGAGACCCCGTCTCTACAAAAATGAAAAATAACATTTTAGTCAGACGTGGTGGCATGCATCTGTGGTCCCAGCTGCTTGGGAGGGTGAGATGGGAGGGTTGTTTGAGCCCTGGAGTTAAAGTTGCAATGAGCTGTGATTGCACCACTGCACTCTAGCCTGGGTGACAGAACGAGACCCTGTCTCAAAAAAAAAAAAAAAAAAAAAGAAAAAAAGGAAAAAAAAAACTCATGCCTGTAATCCCAGCACTTTGGGGACCGGGGTGGGCAGATCACGAGGTCAGGAGATCAAGACTATCCTGGCCAACATGGTGAAACCCCGTTTCTACTAAAAATACAAAAATTAGCCAGGTGTGGTGGCACGTGCCTGTAATCCCAGTTACTCGGGAGGCTGAGGCAGGAGAATCGCTTGAACCAGGGAGTCAGAGGTTGCAGTGAGCTGAGATCGTGCCACTGTACTCCAGCCTGGGCGACAGAGTGAGACTCTGTCTCAAACCAAAAAAAAGGGGTGGGGGGCGGGGGCAGGAGAACAGTGAGAGGTAGGGAGAGGAAAGGGGATTCTCGCTACACCCAAACCAGGTACCATCTAGAGGCTAGAATCTTTGGGAGGCTCAAATTCCCTAGAAAGCAGGAGAAGCTTCTGTAGCCCTCCCGCTTTCCCAGTAGATTAAGCCCAGGGCGGCTCCAGATGTGTGACATGCTCTGTGCCCAACCAGAGCCCATCATAGGCAGAGGAATAACACCCACACCAGAAGGGCCCTCGGAGGTCACCACGTCCAAGAACCCTCTTTACAGATGAGGAAACTGAGGCCCAGAGAGGGGAGAGCCACCTAGCGAGCTGGTGGCGGCTAGACCAGGAGAGCTGTCATTCCAAGCAAGCAAAGGCAACGAGACGAGCCCAGAGCTGTGCTCCCATCTCTTTGTTAGGGGGCCTGGGATGCCCTCTCAGTGTCATTTTGTCCAGGATGATGCTCCCTCTCTTAAGCGATTAATGCGCCCTTGCTAACCTTTTGCTATCGCTGCCTCTTCAAACCAGAGGAGTTGAGAGTTCCAGGCCGGCAGAGGAAGGCGCCTGAAAGGCCCCTGGCCAATGAGATTAGCGCCCACGTCCAGCCTGGACCCTGCGGAGAGGCCTCTGGGGTCTCTGGGCCGTGCCTCGGGGAGAAAGAGCCAGAAGCTCCCGTCCCGCTGACCGCGAGCCTTCCTCAGCACCGTCCCGTTTGCCCAGCGCCTCCTCCAACAGGAGGCCCTCAGGAGCCCTCCCTGGAGTGGGGACAAAAAGGCGGGGACTGGGCCGAGAAGGGTCCGGCCTTTCCGAAGCCCGCCACCACTGCGTATCTCCACACAGAGCCTGAAAGTGGTAAGGTGGTCCAGGAAGGCTTCCTCCGAGAGCCAGGCCCCCCAGGTCTGAGCCACCAGCTCATGTCCGGCATGCCTGGGGCTCCCCTCCTGCCTGAGGGCCCCAGAGAGGCCACACGCCAACCTTCGGGGACAGGACCTGAGGACACAGAGGGCGGCCGCCACGCCCCTGAGCTGCTCAAGCACCAGCTTCTAGGAGACCTGCACCAGGAGGGGCCGCTGCTGAAGGGGGCAGGGGGCAAAGAGAGGCCGGGGAGCAAGGAGGAGGTGGATGAAGACCGCGACGTCGATGAGTCCTCCCCCCAAGACTCCCCTCCCTCCAAGGCCTCCCCAGCCCAAGATGGGCGGCCTCCCCAGACAGCCGCCAGAGAAGCCACCAGCATCCCAGGCTTCCCAGCGGAGGGTGCCATCCCCCTCCCTGTGGATTTCCTCTCCAAAGTTTCCACAGAGATCCCAGCCTCAGAGCCCAACGGGCCCAGTGCAGGGCGGGCCAAAGGGCAGGATGCCCCCCTGGAGTTCACGTTTCACGTGGAAATCACACCCAACGTGCAGAAGGAGCAGGCGCACTCGGAGGAGCATTTGGGAAGGGCTGCATTTCCAGGGGCCCCTGGAGAGGGGCCAGAGGCCCGGGGCCCCTCTTTGGGAGAGGACACAAAAGAGGCTGACCTTCCAGAGCCCTCTGAAAAGCAGCCTGCTGCTGCTCCGCGGGGGAAGCCCGTCAGCTGGGTCCCTCAACTCAAAGGTCTGTGTCTTGAGCTTCTTCGCTCCTTCCCTGGGGACCTCCCAGGCCTCCCAGGCTGCGGGCACTGCCACTGAGCTTCCAGGCCTCCCGACTCCTGCTGCTTCTGACGTTCCTAGGACGCCACTAAATCGACACCTGGGTGCAGCTGCTCCACTCCCTCGGCCTCCTCCCGTGCTCAGGCTGTGGCCGCACGCGCCCCTCACGCTTGCCCGCCACTCTGCATGTCACCAGCACCCCCGCTCCGTGCTCCCCACCTTGTTTGACTCTCTGGCCACTTGATTTGTCCACAACGGCCCATCAGCCCACAGGAGGTTGGTGGGTGCCTTCCACCGACAGGATGACGGGTGCCCTCATGGTGTCTAGAACTCTCCAACCCTCCCATGTAGGCATAAGCAGCCTCACTTTGCAGATGAGGAAACGGAGGCTCAGAGAAGTACAGTAACTTGCCGAAGGCCAATGAGTAGTAAGTGACAGAGCCAGGTTTGGGATCCAGGTAGGTTGTCTCTGAAAGACACGCCTGTCCTGCATCCCACAACGCCTCCCAGGAGGTGCTGGAGTGTGGACGCCTAACACAGAGATGTGCAGGGCACACACAGCAGGCGACACACACAGCATCCAGAGGTGGCCCAGAGCTCATGCTGTGCCTTTGGCCCAGTGCCCTGCCCCCACCCACTCTGCCTTGTGGCAGGAAGACAAGGAGCAGACACAAGATCTCCCTGGTCCACATGCCACCACCTCCCTCTGCAGAGGACAAGGGGATCCTCATGCTGGCATTGGAGGGGGTTGAGCAGGGCCCACCTTGAGCCCTCAGGAGCACGACCACAGCAGCCCTGCAGGGAGGGATTGGTGGGAGGAGAGTCCCAAGTATCAGGGAGAGGAGAGTTGGTGTCCCACAGGAGACCTCAGAGCCACAAGGCGAGCTTGTTCATAAATTTGGGACCCTTAGCATTTCACAGTTATTTGCAGAGCCCAGAAATGGATGTTACTGAAGCTCACAGTTGCAAGCATCTGTTAAATTTTTATTAGATTTTACTTTTAGAGAAAACTTTGAAATGCTATAAAGAAGCCTGTGTTTAAAAGTTAAGACAGAGGCTGGGGGCGATGGCTCACGCCTGTAATCTCAGCACTTTGGGAGGCCAAGGCAGGTGGATCATTTGAGGTTAGGAGTTCGAGACCAGCCTGGCCAACATGGTGAGACCCTGTCTCTACTAAAATTACAAAAAATTAGCTGGGCGTGGTGGCGGGCACCTGTAGTCCCAGCTACTGGGGAGGCTGAAGCAGGATAAGTGCTTGAACCCAGGAGGCAGAGGTTACAGTGAGCCAAGATCACACCACTGTACCCTAAGCCTGGGCGACAGAGTGAGACTCTGTCTCAAAAAATAAAATAAAATCAAGTTAAGAGAGAAAAAAATATATCCTATATCCTTTGTTAAATTCCAAAACAGTAGGGGACAAATAACTGACTTGACAGGTTACTACAATATTTCCTGAAATGATGTTTTCTTGAATACTGGCCTACTAGAGGTTCATAGGTGTGTTTGGATTAAAAAAGAGTTCCATGGCCCAGTGACTGGGGGAAAAAAATAAAAGACTAAAGTAAGTTAAACAGGCTTTTCTTCTGCAGGACTTGTCAGAGCCTTTAATGTACTAATGGCCATTGTGACCCTCTGAGAAGGTCACAGAGTGGGTTTCCCAGACTTACTTGATTCTACCTGCTAACATTTCCTGGAGGAAGTTTGGGAAATGCCGATTTAGCAGATTCTTTTGTTGTGCCGTGGATGGTGCTGGTTGATGTGGGCAAAACAAAGAACACGTGAGTCAGATCCGCCTGGGGCTCTTACTGAAGTGCAGGTTCCCAGGTGCCACTTTAGGCTTACAGACCCAGTTGTGGGGTAAGCCTGGGAGTCTTTTAGCAGGTGATTCTGCCACATAGTATAGTTGGAAAACCTCTGGGCATACTCATTGCTGGTCCCTCTAGAAATCCAGGTGACAATAGCCAATGAGAAGCTCCAAGAGACCCAGTTGTCCATGGGGTAGAGGGAATGTGATATTGAAACCAAAGAAGAAAATCTATGATCAGTTTTCAGCAGTGACTATCAAGAGAAGGAGAAGGGTGAGTTAGCGCTGATGCTGGCTGACAGGTCAGCGGGTTGGTTTCACCAAGGAGTGTGATGAAGGCTGATGTTGTCTGTGGGAATGTATGATGGTAACTGGTTTGTAGCTAATTTGGGGAAGCAGTGAGAATTCGTGCCCTTTGAAGACCAGCAAGTGGCAAGAAACCCACCAGGCCTGGCTCAGGGCTGGGCTGGGCTTGGCTCGTCTCAGAGCAGCTGGGGCTGGTGGCCAAAGCCACCATTAGTGAGGGGCAGGCCCTGGGGGTACAACCAGCAACTAGGGGACAAAGACAACCCTGCCAGCCTCTCCTCTTCTGGAGGCGTGTGACCAGAAATGGAGATGGGTTGGTCAGCGTAAGATGGCCAGGAAGGTGGGAATCAGGACTGCTGGCAATCTAGCCACATGGGCAGGGGAGCCGGGTGGTTCCAGGCAGTTTCCAAGGCCAAGAGGGTGAGCAGGCACCTCACAGGGAATCAGGGCCAAGCCTGGCTGCAGTGTGGAGACAATGCACCCACCCCCATCCTTGGATCTTGCAGGAGGCTGGGTCCTCACTGAGCTACCAACATCCATGGCCCTGAGGCTTTTAAAACACCCATCCATGGAGTGGGGCTGGTCCCAGTGGGGTGAGGCTGACCCTGGCAGAAACAGGGCAGGAGCCTGTGGGTTAGGGAGACTGCACCTTCCTTAGATAGCCTCCATGCCATCATGTCCCCGTGACAGTTTCTGCTGCGTCCCCTCTGCATGGTCCCACCCTCGGCCAGCCTGCTGCCCCCTCTTGCCAGGTTGCGCTAATCAATGACCCCAGTGTGCTGTGTTGATACTAACAATGCGAGGCCTAGCAGATTCAAGGGAAAAGAGAACCAACTGGGTTTCCACCAGACCCAACTAAACAAACATGGACCTATCCCAGAGAAATCCAGCCTCACCACAGCTGGCTTTCTGTGAACAGTGAAAATGGAGTGTGACAAGCATTCTTATTTTATATTTTATCAGCTCGCATGGTCAGTAAAAGCAAAGACGGGACTGGAAGCGATGACAAAAAAGCCAAGGTAAGCTGACGATGCCACGGAGCTCTGCAGCTGGTCAAGTTTACAGAGAAGCTGTGCTTTATGTCTGATTCATTCTCATATATAATGTGGGGAGTATTTGTCACTAAAGTACAGCTGTCATTTAAAGTGCTTTGTATTTTGGGGCAGGCTTTTAAAAAGTCCAGCATTTATTAGTTTTGATACTTACCCCAGGGAAGAGCAGTTGGCAGGTTCATGAAGTCATGCTCCTAATTCCAGCTTTCTTAGTGTACTTTCAGTGAGACCCTGACAGTAAATGAAGGTGTGTTTGAAAACCAACCCCAGGACAGTAAATGAAGGTGTGTTTGAAAACCAACCCCAGGACAGTAAATGAAGGTGTGTTTGAAAACCAGCCCTAGGACAGTAAATGAAGCCATCTTCTCACTGCATAAACTGCACCCAGATCTTTGCCCATCCTTCTCAGTATTTCACTTCACCCATTGTTTACTGTCTCAATGACTGGGGAAATGTCTGGGGAAATGCTCCCGTAATTGCACAGTGGCGTTTTTCCTGGAAAATCCCACCATGGCTCTAGATAAGACCTATTTTTCTTAAAGGTATCTAAAATTTCCAGCATAAATTCTGTCTGAAACACCTGAATTTTAATCAGTACTGGAGCCCGGAGGGCATCTCCAGTTGCCACATAGCTCTGAGCATTCAGTGGTGTGTTGAGGGCTGCTCCCGGAAGTGCCTGCAGAGTCAGGGCTCCCCAGCCTCATCTAGTGAGGCAGTGGAAGGGCCTGTGGGGATTTGGAGAGCTGGCCTGGGTCTCTGAAGTGATAGTGACAGCTGCTTGTCAATCACGGTGCACATTTAGTGCCGGGGGCAGGGGGCAGGGAATACCAGCCTCATGCATGCATGCATTCATTTGTTCCTTCCTTCATTCATTCATTCAGTACACATGGGTACAACATCCCTGCCCTGGAGTTGCCCAGAGTCTAGGGAGGGGAAAGATCTATTACCCTGGACCTCGGCCAGCTGGGGAGTGCTGCTGGTGGAGAGGGGCCGTGTGCAGCGAGGGAAGGAGGAGTCGTCAATACCCCCACCCCAGCTTTGCTTTCTTGTCATCAGCCCCAGGGCCCCAGCCTGTGTCCCTCCTCTCCCATTGCTACTTCATCTCCTGGGTCCTCCTTACCAAGCCTGACCACACAGAGGGCCTTGGCCGCTTCCATGGGGAATTGGAAAGCAATAAGATAGCATCCCCTAGAAGCCCAGTGAAGTCTGGGTCAGGACCCTTCTCTGAGCTCTGACTTGCTCTTGGAAACACTTCGAGGCTTAGCCTCCCCACTTTGTTTCCTGAGAGTGTGACCTGTTCCCCTCCAAACACCCCCTTCTCCTCCAGGGCCATGCCCACCCGTCAAAATCCCCCACGGGCAGGACGAACTGTGGGTGTCAGTCACCATCTATCCTGCATCCTGGTTCCAGGGCCCCCCCCAGCCCCGCCTCCATAGGGACAGGTGTGCAGACACCCGTCCCTGGCTGCTTCCTCTTGTGGAATGGGTTCAAAAGTAAGCAGTGTTGTTTACACTGACAAACTGAAAAAAAAAGAAAAAGAGATAACATTGGAGGCTTGGCACAGTGGCTCATGCCTGTAATCCCAGCACTTTGGGAGGCTAAGGTGGGAGGATGTCCCCAGCCCAAGAGTACTAGACCAGCCTGGGCAACATAGCAAGACCCCATCTCAAAAAAAAAATTTAATTGGCCAGGCAGAGGTGGGAGGATCACTTGAGCCCAAAGGGTGGAGGCTGCAGTGAGCCGTGATGGCACCACTGCACTCCAGCCAGGGCAACAGAGGGAGACCCTGTCTCTAAAACAAACAAACAAACAAAAGAGTTAACATTGGCCAGATTAGGATTCACCAGATAGTGTTAATATTAGTTTGATTTGAGACTTTAATCAGAAAGCACATGTGTGGTGGGGGTGGGTGTAACCTAAGTCAGGTAGAATCTTTCCAACTTGGGGGGGGCACACTCCTGATTGTAGCCATATGAGTCTGTCAGTGTGGTGGAAGAGGCCATGGGTTAATGGGCAGGTAAAAAAGCACCTTGCCTGGAATTGAGTAGAAAGTAAGGCCCTTCAGACCCCGTGACACACTTGGGGACATTTTCTTGAGTAACATCCTAAGATTCATGTACCTTGATGATCTCCATCAACTTACTCATGTGAAGCACCTTTAAACCAGTGGTCTCCAAATTCAGGGGCACAGTAACATCCAACAGGCTGGAGAAAGAACGTACTAGAACTTCCATTCCTTTTTCATGTCCTCTTCTAAAAGCTTTGTCAGGGCCAGGCGCGGTGGCTCACGCCTGTAATCCCAGCACTTTGGGAGGCCGAGACGGGTGGATCACGAGGTCAGGAGATCGAGACCATCCTGGCTAACACAGTGAAACCCCATCTCTACTAAAAATACAAAAAAAAAGAGCCAGGCGTGGTGGTGGGCGCCTGTAGTCCCAGCTACTCGGGAGGCTGAGGCAGGAGAATGGCGTGAACCCAGGAGGCAGAGCTTGCAGTGAGCCGAGATTGCACCACTGCAGTCCAGCCTGGGTGACAGAGCGAGACTCCGTCTCAAAAAAGAAAAAGAAAAAGAAAAAGAACTATGATTGGGGAGGACGGTCACTTTCCTGTTCTTACTGATCAGAAGGGATATTAAGGGTACCTGATTCAAACAGCCTGGAGATCACTGCTTTCAACCATTACCTGCCTTATTTATTTTTAGTTACTGTCCTTTTTTCAGTTTGTTTCCCTCCTCCATGTGCTGACTTTTATTTTGATTTTATTTATGTTTATGTTTAAGACATCCACACGTTCCTCTGCTAAAACCTTGAAAAATAGGCCTTGCCTTAGCCCCAAACACCCCACTCCTGGTAGCTCAGACCCTCTGATCCAACCCTCCAGCCCTGCTGTGTGCCCAGAGCCACCTTCCTCTCCTAAATACGTCTCTTCTGTCACTCCCCGAACTGGCAGTTCTGGAGCAAAGGAGATGAAACTCAAGGTAAGGAAACCACCTTTGAAAAGAACCAGGCTGCTCTGCTGTGGTTTGCAAATGTGGGGTTTGTTTGTTTGTTTTTTAGCCTCAAAGACCTTTCTTCAAATGAGCTCTGGCATAGAAGCACCGTGTAAAATAGTTAGAATTCTGGGCAAAGGGGAAAAGAGAGCTGGGGGCCATCCCTCTCAGCACCCCACAGGCTCTCATAGCAGCAGCTCCTAAGACACCTGGTGGGACCTTGGTTTCAAAATCGCTACTCTAAGGCTGGGCACGGTGGCTCACACCTGTAATCCCAGCTCTTTAGGAGGCCGAGGAGGGTGGATCACCTGAGATCAGGAGTTCGAGACCAGCCTGGCTAACATGGCAAAACCCTGTCTCTACTAAAAATACAAAAACTAGCCGGGCGTGGTGGTATGCGTGGTGGTAATCGCAGCTACTCGGGAGGCTGAGGCACAAGGATTGCTTGAACCCCAGAGGCAGAGGTTGTAGTTAGCTCCAGCTTGGGCGACAGAGCAAGACCCTGTCGCAAAAATTGTTTAAAAAACAAACCCAAAATTGCTACTCTCATTGGGTTCCTTTGCCCATTCCTGATTTTGGCAAGAGAAATGCTTCCAGATTGCCCTGATCTGGGTAGGACAGCATCACGCCATAGCAACACTGCCCCGTGAGCTCACTGGCCCCTCAACTAGCTTGTGGTCCTTGGTTAATGTCAGTTTCTTTTTTGAGTTTGTGTTATGTCTAAGGGTCATCTGCTGGGTAACGGAACCCAGGGACTGCCCTAGTCCCTAGACTGTGCCATGCCTGACTCTGCCAGCTTTGTCAGTGATGCTGGTGCTCGCCTCCTCGGGTGCTCACCTGCTCTGAGCACACCCAAGGAGTTCTTGAGGCCTTAGGGTTGTTTGCGAGAGAATGAAAGAACACGACCTAGCTCTCTTTAGCATCCTTGGTCAGGTTCAACACTGCCCCCAGGGGCCTCTGGTGGAGCCAACCACCATCAGCCAAATAAATCCATAATTAGAGTCAGAAAATGGATGTCTGCATATGCATAGTGCACTAATGTCCTGCCGATGATTGACATGGAGTGGAGAGTGACCTGATCATTGCTGTAAGCTCTGCTGGCCTTGGCACAACTCATGCTGATAACTAATGCACACAGTTCCTCTGGGAGGAAATGTCCTCAGGGAACTTGGAGTTTGGGTGGGGATGTGGGTTTGTGTGCCCAGCAAGCCCTTGTGGTTGTAGCAGACACTAGTGGCATCTAGGAGGCAAAGGGTCACCCCAGTCTTAGCCACGTTTTGAGTCAAGGTGGCGGAGTGGGGCTGGTGTTGACTCTTGGTGGCAGTAACTTTTCCCAATGGTGAAAAACCCCTCTATCATGTTTCATTTACAGGGGGCTGATGGTAAAACGAAGATCGCCACACCGCGGGGAGCAGCCCCTCCAGGCCAGAAGGGCCAGGCCAACGCCACCAGGATTCCAGCAAAAACCCCACCCGCTCCAAAGACACCACCCAGCTCTGGTAAGAAGAACGTTCTCTTGAATCTTAGAGGAAGCTGAAGCTCTCAGAGGTACAGCCTTCATTTTAGGAGGCCTTAGGCCACTGAGAATGAATAACCCCTGGCAGCTGGTCAGCAGCTTGCAGTTTACTAAGCACTGGAGTCTTCATTGCCTTCTCAGTCCTTTTGATTTCTGAGGCAAATGTTGAATCCCTACCTTTTTTTTTTTTTTTCTTTTGAGACAGAGTTTGGCTTTTGTTATCCAGGCTGGAGTGCAGTGGTGTGATCTCAGCTCACTGCATCCTCCACCTCCCAGGTTCAAGCGATTCTCCTACCTCAGCCTCCCTAGTAGCTGGGATTACAGGCACCTGCCACTATGCCCGGCTAATTTTTTGTATTTTTAGTAGAGACAGGGTTTCACCATGTTGGCCAGGCTGGTCTCGAACTCCTGACCTCAGGTGATCCACCTGCCTCGGCCTCCCAAAGTGCTGGGATTACAGGCATGAGCCACCACTCCCAGCCTGAATCCTCACTTTTTATCAATGAAGAAATTGAGGCTGATTCTGCAGCATGATAAAAAAAAATACAGAAAAAGGAAAAAAAAGAAAGAAATCGAGCCTCTGAGAGTTTGCTTGACTGAGTCTAACCAGCTCATTTTAAACCCGAGGAAAATGCAGTCACATGACTACTAAGTGGCAGCTCTCGGAGCCTCTCTGGCCCCAAGTCCAGGGTTCCATAGAGGCAGCCCCAGCATGGCGTGTTTTCAGTCCCCAAATGAGACTCTGGAGACAAATGTCTCTGGAGACAGAGCAGCAGCCTGGATAAGTCACAATGGGTGGCGTCACTCAGGGCTCAACCCCTGGGCAGCTTAACTTGCTAGGGACGTTAGGAGTCTGCTGCAAAACCTGAGAGTCTTAGCTGAGCAGTCACAGGCTGGGCCCGTTGCCCTGGGCTCCTGTGAGTAAAACCCAGTCAATTTTGAGTACCCAGTAAGGCATCCATTGAGTTATTTTGCAGCCAGGAGTGCTATTAAGAACAGTGGCGGCTGGGCGTGGTGGCTCATGCCTGTAATCCCAGCACTTTGGGAGGCCAAGGTGGGCGGATCACCTGAGGTCAGGAGTTCGAGACCAGCTTGGCCAACATGGCAAAACCCCGTCTCTAATAAAAATACAAAATAATTACCTGGGCGTGGTGGCGGGCGCCTGTAATCCCAGCTTCTCAGGAGGGTGAGGAAGGAGAATCACTTGAACCCAGGAGGCAGAGGTTGCAGTGAGCTGAGATCGCACCATTGCACTCCAGCCTGGATGACAAAAGTGAGATTCCTTCTCAAAAAAAAAAAAAAAAAACAGTCGTCCTCTTTGGGGATTAGGGACAGCCTGCCTGCCTGCCCGAGCACTTCTCTCTTCCATTGCCCCAGTGAAGTATTCCAGGCCCCTGGGTTTAGACTCTGCACCATGTAGGGGTGTCTGACCTGCACTTGCTCCTTGGTGGCACGGGCAGCCTATGGCACTTGCTGCGGGCTGTGACCAAAGCCTGGCCTGGATCTTGGATCTTGGTGACTCTGCTTCTCCCTGGCCTGAGGGAGCTGCCCAGAGCCTGCCCACCACCTGCTGCATGTCTTTGCGGTGGCATTTCTCGCACACATGCCGTGCGGTGGCACCCCCAAGGATGGCCATTCACTAAGGCCCATTGTTTTTGTCTTTTCGCTTCGTGTTTTCTGGCCTGGTGTTTTTCTCATATACATGTGATCCAGGGATAATTCCCAGAATTTTGACAGGATTTTAAGTAGCGTTTGGATCCTGCTGTTTTTTTTTCACTTAACATCGGGCCAGTTGACTCACACTCTGTTTTTTGTTGTTGTTTTTTTGAGACGGAGTCTCACTGTGTCACCCAGGCTGAAGTGCAGTGGCACAATCTTGGCATACTGCAACCTCTGCTTCCCAAATTCAAGCAGTTTTCCTGCCTCAGCCTCCTGAGTAGCTGGGACTACAGGCACAGGCCACCACGCCCTGCTAATTTTTGTATATTTAGTAAAGACAGGGTTTCACCATTTTGGCCAGCCTAGTCTCGAACTCCTGACCTCAAGTGATCCGCCCACCTCGGCCTCCCAAAGTGCTGGGATTACAGGGGACTCACACTTTGTAACAACCTGAAACAAGGTGATGCATTTCCCTTTGGGTCTTACCTGCTCTTCGGTGGCTGCCTGCAGGTGGAGAGACCCTCCCCCTTGGGCCCCTCGACCTTGTTTCAGAATGGGGCCCCTGCTGGGCCAGCTGTGGGTGCCTGCCACGTGAAGGACTCATTAAGGCCCTGTTTAAGCCTGATGATAATAAGGCTTTCGTGGATTTTTCTCTTTAAGCGACCAAGCAAGTCCAGAGAAGACCACCCCCTGCAGGGCCCAGATCTGAGAGAGGTACTCGGGAGCCTACTTCGCTGGGAGCAGCCTCCCTTTGCGTGTGTGGCCATTCACTGGCTTGTGTTTCTAGAGCCGGGAGGACCCTTTTCTGCAATGCAGGGTTCACACAGGGTTCGCAGCCTGAAGATGGAGCAGTCCGAATTCTCTTCCCTGTGCAGTTTGCGCAGCTGTGTTTGTCTGATGGGCTTTCTAATCCTGTGTGCTCTCCTTGACTTCAGGGACAATGGCATTACAGGCATGAGCCACCATGCCTGGCTGTCTCCCTATGTTTCAGATGAAGACATAGGCTTAAGGAGGTCAGGTGACTTGCCCACGACCACTCTGTAAGTAAGAGGCATGAAAAGTATTTGGAGCCACCACCACCAAGCCCACTGGTCACCCTGGGTCTCTGAAGTCAGGGAGGCAGGAGGATGGGAGGTCTGAGGAGGCAGAGAGGCTGAGCCTGGAGGCCCTGGAGGCCGAGGCCCCATCTGTTGTTTCCTTATGTGGAAAATAAGAGGCTTCATTTGTCCTATTGCCACAGAGCGTACTACTTCAGGAACATCCAAGACATGGAAATCCGCAGGGCACGGTGGCTCACGTCTATAATCCCGGCACTTTGGGAGGTTGAGGTGGGAGAATCGCTTGAGGCCAGAAGTTCAAGACCAGCCTGAGCAACATAGTCAGACCCAGTCTCTATAAAAAACATTATTTTAAAAAAAGACATGGAAGTCAAATTCTAAAAACTGGTGCTGGCTGGGTGCGGTGGCTCATGCCTATAATCCCAGCACTTTGGGAGGCCGAGGCGGGTGGATCACCTGAGGTCAGGAGTTCAAGACCAGCCTGGCCAACATGGTAAAACCTCTACTAAAGAAATCTTTACTGAAAATACAAAAATCCAGTCTCTACTAAAATAAGTCTCTACTAAAAATACAAAAATTAGCCAGGCGTGGTGCTGCACACCTGTAATATCAGCTACTCGGGAGGCTGAGGCAGGAGACTCGCTTGATCCCATGCAGCGGAGGTTGCAGTGAGCCGAGATCACGCCATTGCACTCCAGCCTGGGCATCAGAATAAGACTCCGTCTCAAAAAAAAACCCACAAAAAAACAAAACAACAACAAAAGAAAACTAGTGCTTATTCGTCACTGGCCAAGCTGCCCATTGGCTACATGGGTGCTTCAAAGAGCTGCCCTTCTCCAGGTCTGGCCAGCAGGTATGTGTTACAGCAAATGCCTGGGGCAGCGGCAGGGGCATTGCTGCGGGAAGCTTCTGGACTTGCAGGAAAGCTAAGTTCTCAGACTGCAGGGGAGCTAAGCACACCTCGGCACAGGGTGAGGCCTGCGGTTCTCAGACTTCAGTCTTTGTGGAGCTTGAGAAAAATGAGGCTTTGCAGGTCCCACCCCTAGAGATTCTGCTCTATCCACTCTTGAAGGGGATCGAGAAATTTGCATTTTGCAACTCCCACTTTCCTCCTTGAAAGCTCCGGAGATTCTGACGCAGGGTTCCGTGGGCCACACTTTGGAAAACACAGACCCATGAGATAGAATACCAGAGTGTTGAAGTGTAACGGGGGCCTGGGAAGTGCAGTAACAGAAGCAAGTTTGAGGGTAAAGGACACCCAGAGGAGGGAGGGACAGCATCTGCATGGAGAGGAGAGGAGACCCCCCAGCAGCTTCCAGGGTGTTGGAAGGGTGCGCTAATAACTGCTATGCATGGCAGGTGGGGAACTGTACGGCAGGGCACAGCAGCATGAAGCGGTATGGCTCGTGTGGACAGCTAGGGACAGGCAGGCGTGGAGCAGGCATCCTGTTCTGAAGCCCAAATCCCACAGAGGAGCCAGGGTGCTGGCAGGAGCCCTGAACTAGCCGAACAGCTGAACAGCTGAACATTCACCCTGTGGGGAAAGGGTCAGAAGCGTCCAGGCTTGAGGGCACAGCTGGGTCTCGTCACTGCATCACCCTTATTTAGGATAAAGGCCCTGAAGAATTGTATTAGAGGTTGGCAAAGCATATCTACCACCTCCTGGAGCCACGCTGGCCGCAGGGATTATAATTATTTCCATTTTCAAATTAAGGCCTCTGAGCTCAGAGAGGGGAAGTTACTTGTCTGAGGCCACACAGCTTGTTGGAGCCCATCTCTTGACCCAAAGACTGTGGAGCCGAGTTGGCCACCTCTCTGGGAGCGGGTATTGGATGGTGGTTGATGGTTTTCCATTGCTTTCCTGGGAAAGGGGTGTCTCTGTCCCTAAGCAAAAAGGCAGGGAGGAAGAGATGCTTCCCCAGGGCAGCCGTCTGCTGTAGCTGCGCTTCCAACCTGGCTTCCACCTGCCTAACCCAGTGGTGAGCCTGGGAATGGACCCACGGGACAGGCAGCCCCCAGGGCCTTTTCTGACCCCACCCACTCGAGTCCTGACTTCACTCCCTTCCTTCCTTCCCAGGTGAACCTCCAAAATCAGGGGATCGCAGCGGCTACAGCAGCCCCGGCTCCCCAGGCACTCCCGGCAGCCGCTCCCGCACCCCGTCCCTTCCAACCCCACCCACCCGGGAGCCCAAGAAGGTGGCGGTGGTCCGTACTCCACCCAAGTCGCCGTCTTCCGCCAAGAGCCGCCTGCAGACAGCCCCCGTGCCCATGCCAGACCTGAAGAACGTCAAGTCCAAGATCGGCTCCACTGAGAACCTGAAGCACCAGCCGGGAGGCGGGAAGGTGAGAGTGGCTGGCTGCGCGTGGAGGTGTGGGGGGCTGCGCCTGGAGGGGTAGGGCTGTGCCTGGAAGGGTAGGGCTGCGCCTGGAGGTGCGCGGTTGAGCGTGGAGTCGTGGGACTGTGCATGGAGGTGTGGGGCTCCCCGCACCTGAGCACCCCCGCATAACACCCCAGTCCCCTCTGGACCCTCTTCAAGGAAGTTCAGTTCTTTATTGGGCTCTCCACTACACTGTGAGTGCCCTCCTCAGGCGAGAGAACGTTCTGGCTCTTCTCTTGCCCCTTCAGCCCCTGTTAATCGGACAGAGATGGCAGGGCTGTGTCTCCACGGCCGGAGGCTCTCATAGTCAGGGCACCCACAGCGGTTCCCCACCTGCCTTCTGGGCAGAATACACTGCCACCCATAGGTGAGCATCTCCACTCGTGGGCCATCTGCTTAGGTTGGGTTCCTCTGGATTCTGGGGAGATTGGGGGTTCTGTTTTGATCAGCTGATTCTTCTGGGAGCAAGTGGGTGCTCGCGAGCTCTCCAGCTTCCTAAAGGTGGAGAAGCACAGGCTTCGGGGGCCTGGCCTGGATCCCTTTCCCCGTTCCTATCCCTGTGCCCCTCGTCTGGGTGCGTTAGGGCTGACATACAAAGCACCACAGTGAAAGAACAGCAGTATGCCTCCTCACTAGCCAGGTGTGGGCGGGTGGGTTTCTTCCAAGGCCTCTCTGTGGCCGTGGGTAGCCACCTCTGTCCTGCACCGCTGCAGTCTTCCCTCTGTGTGTGCTCCTGGTAGCTCTGCGCATGCTCATCTTCTTATAAGAACACCATGGCAGCTGGGCGTAGTGGCTCACGCCTATAATCCCAGCACTTTGGGAGGCTGAGGCAGGCAGATCACGAGGTCAGGAGTTCGAGACCAACCTGACCAACAGGGTGAAACCTCGTCTCTACTAAAAATACAAAAATACCTGGGCGTGGTGGTGGTGCGCGCCTATAATCCCAGCTACTCAGGAGGCTGAGGCAGGAGAATCGCTTGAACCCAGGAGGCAGAGGTTGCAGTGAGCCGAGATAGTGCCACTGCACTCCAGTCTGAGCAACAGTGCGAGACTCTGTCTCAAAACAAAATAAAACAAACCAAAAAAACCCACCATGGCTTAGGGCCCAGCCTGATGACCTCATTTTTCACTTAGTCACCTCTCTAAAGGCCCTGTCTCCAAATAGAGTCACATTCTAAGGTACGGGGGTGTTGGGGAGGGGGGTTAGGGCTTCAACATGTGAATTTGCGGGGACCACAATTCAGCCCAGGACCCCGCTCCCGCCACCCAGCACTGGGGAGCTGGGGAAGGGTGAAGAGGAGGCTGGGGGTGAGAAGGACCACAGCTCACTCTGAGGCTGCAGATGTGCTGGGCCTTCTGGGCACTGGGCCTCGGGGAGCTAGGGGGCTTTCTGGAACCCTGGGCCTGCGTGTCAGCTTGCCTCCCCCACGCAGGCGCTCTCCACACCATTGAAGTTCTTATCACTTGGGCCTGAGCCTGGGGCATTTGGACGGAGGGTGGCCACCAGTGCACATGGGCACCTTGCCTCAAACCCTGCCACCTCCCCCCACCCAGGATCCCCCCTGCCCCCGAACAAGCTTGTGAGTGCAGTGTCACATCCCATCGGGATGGAAATGGACGGTCGGGTTAAAAGGGACGCATGTGTAGACCCTGCCTCTGTGCATCAGGCCTCTTTTGAGAGTCCCTGCGTGCCAGGCGGTGCACAGAGGTGGAGAAGACTCGGCTGTGCCCCAGAGCACCTCCTCTCATCGAGGAAAGGACAGACAGTGGCCCCCCTGTGGCTGTGGGGACAAGGGCAGAGCTCCCTGGAACACAGGAGGGAGGGAAGGAAGAGAGCATCTCAGAATCTCCCTCCTGATGGCAAACGATCCGGGTTAAATTAAGGTCCGGCCTTTTCCTGCTCAGGCATGTGGAGCTTGTAGTGGAAGAGGCTCTCTGGACCCTCATCCACCACAGTGGCCTGGTTAGAGACCTTGGGGAAATAACTCACAGGTGACCCAGGGCCTCTGTCCTGTACCGCAGCTGAGGGAAACTGTCCTGCGCTTCCACTGGGGACAATGCGCTCCCTCGTCTCCAGACTTTCCAGTCCTCATTCGGTTCTCGAAAGTCGCCTCCAGAAGCCCCATCTTGGGACCACCGTGACTTTCATTCTCCAGGGTGCCTGGCCTTGGTGCTGCCCAAGACCCCAGAGGGGCCCTCACTGGCCTTTCCTGCCTTTTCTCCCATTGCCCACCCATGCACCCCCATCCTGCTCCAGCACCCAGACTGCCATCCAGGATCTCCTCAAGTCACATAACAAGCAGCACCCACAAGGTGCTCCCTTCCCCCTAGCCTGAATCTGCTGCTCCCCGTCTGGGGTTCCCCGCCCATGCACCTCTGGGGGCCCCTGGGTTCTGCCATGCCCTGCCCTGTGTCCCATGGTGGGGAATGTCCTTCTCTCCTTATCTCTTCCCTTCCCTTAAATCCAAGTTCAGTTGCCATCTCCTCCAGGAAGTCTTCCTGGATTCCCCTCTCTCTTCTTAAAGCCCCTGTAAACTCTGACCACACTGAGCATGTGTCTGCTGCTCCCTAGTCTGGGCCATGAGTGAGGGTGGAGGCCGAGTCTCATGCATTTTTGCAGCCCCCACAAGACTGTGCAGGTGGCCGGCCCTCATTGAATGCGGGGTTAATTTAACTCAGCCTCTGTGTGAGTGGATGATTCAGGTTGCCAGAGACAGAACCCTCAGCTTAGCATGGGAAGTAGCTTCCCTGTTGACCCTGAGTTCATCTGAGGTTGGCTTGGAAGGTGTGGGCACCATTTGGCCCAGTTCTTACAGCTCTGAAGAGAGCAGCAGGAATGGGGCTGAGCAGGGAAGACAACTTTCCATTGAAGGCCCCTTTCAGGGCCAGAACTGTCCCTCCCACCCTGCAGCTGCCCTGCCTCTGCCCATGAGGGGTGAGAGTCAGGCGACCTCATGCCAAGTGTAGAAAGGGGCAGACGGGAGCCCCAGGTTATGACGTCACCATGCTGGGTGGAGGCAGCACGTCCAAATCTACTAAAGGGTTAAAGGAGAAAGGGTGACTTGACTTTTCTTGAGATATTTTGGGGGACGAAGTGTGGAAAAGTGGCAGAGGACACAGTCACAGCCTCCCTTAAATGCCAGGAAAGCCTAGAAAAATTGTCTGAAACTAAACCTCAGCCATAACAAAGACCAACACATGAATCTCCAGGAAAAAAGAAAAAGAAAAATGTCATACAGGGTCCATGCACAAGAGCCTTTAAAATGACCCGCTGAAGGGTGTCAGGCCTCCTCCTCCTGGACTGGCCTGAAGGCTCCACGAGCTTTTGCTGAGACCTTTGGGTCCCTGTGGCCTCATGTAGTACCCAGTATGCAGTAAGTGCTCAATAAATGTTTGGCTACAAAAGAGGCAAAGCTGGCGGAGTCTGAAGAATCCCTCAACCGTGCCGGAACAGATGCTAACACCAAAGGGAAAAGAGCAGGAGCCAAGTCACGTTTGGGAACCTGCAGAGGCTGAAAACTGCCGCAGATTGCTGCAAATCATTGGGGGAAAAACGGAAAACGTCTGTTTTCCCCTTTGTGCTTTTCTCTGTTTTCTTCTTTGTGCTTTTCTCTGTTTTCAGGATTTGCTACAGTGAACATATATTGCTTTGGGGCCCCAAATGGAATTATTTTGAAAGGAAAATGCAGATAATCAGGTGGCCGCACTGGAGCACCAGCTGGGTAGGGGTAGAGATTGCAGGCAAGGAGGAGGAGCTGGGTGGGGTGCCAGGCAGGAAGAGCCCAAAGGCCCCGCCGATCTTGTGGGAGTCGTGGGTGGCAGTGTTCCCTCCAGACTGTAAAAGGGAGCACCTGGCGGGAAGAGGGAATTCTTTTAAACATCATTCCAGTGCCCGAGCCTCCTGGACCTGTTGTCATCTTGAGGTGGGCCTCCCCTGGGTGACTCTAGTGTGCAGCCTGGCTGAGACTCAGTGGCCCTGGGTTCTTACTGCTGACACCTACCCTCAACCTCAACCACTGCGGCCTCCTGTGCACCCTGATCCAGTGGCTCATTTTCCACTTTCAGTCCCAGCTCTATCCCTATTTGCAGTTTCCAAGTGCCTGGTCCTCAGTCAGCTCAGACCCAGCCAGGCCAGCCCCTGGTTCCCACATCCCCTTTGCCAAGCTCATCCCCGCCCTGTTTGGCCTGCGGGAGTGGGAGTGTGTCCAGACACAGAGACAAAGGACCAGCTTTTAAAACATTTTGTTGGGGCCAGGTGTGGTGGCTCACACCTAATCCCAACACCTGGGGAGGCCAAGGCAGAAGGATCACTTGAGTCCAGGAGTTCAAGACCAGCCTGGGCAACATAGGGAGACCCTGTCTCTACAATTTTTTTTTTAATTAGCTGGGCCTGTTGGCACTCTCCTGTAGTTCCAGCTACTCTAGAGGCTGAGGTGGGAGGACTGCTTGAGCCTGGGAGGTCAGGGCTGCAATGAGCCATGTTCACACCACTGAACGCCAGCCTGGGCGAGACCCTGTATCAAAAAAGTAAAGTAAAATGAATCCTGTACATTATATTAAGGTGCCCCAAATTGTACTTAGAAGGATTTCATAGTTTTAAATACTTTTGTTATTTAAAAAAATTAAATGACTGCAGCATATAAATTAGGTTCTTAATGGAGGGGAAAAAGAGTACAAGAAAAGAAATAAGAATCTAGAAACAAAGATAAGAGCAGAAATAAACCAGAAAACACAACCTTGCACTCCTAACTTAAAAAAAAAATGAAAAAAACACAACCAGTAAAACAACATATAACAGCATTAAGAGCTGGCTCCTGGCTGGGCGCAGTGGCGCATGCCTGTAATCCCAACACTTTGGGAGGCCGATGCTGGAGGATCACTTGAGACCAGGAGTTCAAGGTTGCAGTGAGCTATGATCATACCACTACACCCTAGCCTGGGCAACACAGTGAGACTGAGACTCTATTAAAAAAAAAATGCTGGTTCCTTCCTTATTTCATTCCTTTATTCATTCATTCAGACAACATTTATGGGGCACTTCTGAGCACCAGGCTCTGTGCTAAGAGCTTTTGCCCCCAGGGTCCAGGCCAGGGGACAGGGGCAGGTGAGCAGAGAAACAGGGCCAGTCACAGCAGCAGGAGGAATGTAGGATGGAGAGCTTGGCCAGGCAAGGACATGCAGGGGGAGCAGCCTGCACAAGTCAGCAAGCCAGAGAAGACAGGCAGACCCTTGTTTGGGACCTGTTCAGTGGCCTTTGAAAGGACAGCCCCCACCCGGAGTGCTGGGTGCAGGAGCTGAAGGAGGATAGTGGAACACTGCAACGTGGAGCTCTTCAGAGCAAAAGCAAAATAAACAACTGGAGGCAGCTGGGGCAGCAGAGGGTGTGTGTTCAGCACTAAGGGGTGTGAAGCTTGAGCGCTAGGAGAGTTCACACTGGCAGAAGAGAGGTTGGGGCAGCTGCAAGCCTCTGGACATCGCCCGACAGGACAGAGGGTGGTGGATGGTGGCCCTGAAGAGAGGCTCAGTTCAGCTGGCAGTGGCCGTGGGAGTGCTGAAGCAGGCAGGCTGTCGGCATCTGCTGGGGACGGTTAAGCAGGGGTGAGGGCCCAGCCTCAGCAGCCCTTCTTGGGGGGTCGCTGGGAAACATAGAGGAGAGCTGAAGAAGCAGGGAGTCCCAGGGTCCATGCAGGGCGAGAGAGAAGTTGCTCATGTGGGGCCCAGGCTGCAGGATCAGGAGAACTGGGGACCCTGTGACTGCCAGCGGGGAGAAGGGGGTGTGCAGGATCATGCCCAGGGAAGGGCCCAGGGGCCCAAGCATGGGGGGGCCTGGTTGGCTCTGAGAAGATGGAGCTAAAGTCACTTTCTCGGAGGATGTCCAGGCCAATAGTTGGGATGTGAAGACGTGAAGCAGCACAGAGCCTGGAAGCCCAGGATGGACAGAAACCTACCTGAGCAGTGGGGCTTTGAAAGCCTGGGGGCGGGGGGTGCAATATTCAAGATGGCCACAAGATGGCAATAGAATGCTGTAACTTTCTTGGTTCTGGGCCGCAGCCTGGGTGGCTGCTTCCTTCCCTGTGTGTATTGATTTGTTTCTCTTTTTTGAGACAGAGTCTTGCTGGGTTGCCCAGGCTGGAGTGCAGTGGTGCGATCATAGCTCACTGCAGCCTTGAAGTCCTGAGCTCAAGAGATCCTTCCACCTCAGCCTCCTGAGTAGTTGGGACCACAGGCTTGCACCACAGTGCCCAACTAATTTCTTATATTTTTTGTAGAGATGGGGTTTCACTGTGTTGCCCAGGATGGTCTTGAACTCCTGGGCTCAAGTGATCCTCCTGCCTCAGCCTCCCAAATTGCTGGGATTACAGGTGTGAGCCACCATGCCCGACCTTCTCTTTTTAAGGGCGTGTGTGTGTGTGTGTGTGTGTGTGTGTGGGCGCACTCTCGTCTTCACCTTCCCCCAGCCTTGCTCTGTCTCTACCCAGTCACCTCTGCCCATCTCTCCGATCTGTTTCTCTCTCCTTTTACCCCTCTTTCCTCCCTCCTCATACACCACTGACCATTATAGAGAACTGAGTATTCTAAAAATACATTTTATTTATTTATTTTGAGACAGAGTCTCACTCTGTCACCCAGGCTGGAGTGCAGTGGTGCAATCTCGGCTCACTGCAACCTCCGCCTCCCAGGTTGAAGCAACTCTCCTGCCTCAGCCTCCCTAGTAGCTGGGATTACAAGCACACACCACCATGCCTAGCAAATTTTTATATTTTTAGTAGAGGAGGGGTGTCACCATGTTTGCCAAGCTGGTCTCAAACTCCTGGCCTCAGGTGATCTGCCTACCTTGGTCTCCCAAAGTGCTGGGATTACAGGTGTGAGCCACCACGCCTGCCCTTAAAAATACATTATATTTAATAGCAAAGCCCCAGTTGTCACTTTAAAAAGCATCTATGTAGAACATTTATGTGGAATAAATACAGTGAATTTGTACGTGGAATCGTTTGCCTCTCCTCGATCAGGGCCAGGGATGCAGGTGAGCTTGGGCTGAGATGTCAGACCCCACAGTAAGTGGGGGGCAGAGCCAGGCTGGGACCCTCCTCTAGGACAGCTCTGTAACTCTGAGACCCTCCAGGCATCTTTTCCTGTACCTCAGTGCTTCTGAAAAATCTTGTGTAAATCAAATCATTTTAAAGGAGCTTGGGTTCATCACTGTTTAAAGGACAGTGTAAATAATTCTGAAGGTGACTCTACCCTGTTATTTGATCTCTTCTTTGGCCAGCTGACTTAACAGGACATAGACAGGTTTTCCTGTGTCAGTTCCTAAGCTGATCACCTTGGACTTGAAGAGGAGGCTTGTGTGGGCATCCAGTGCCCACCCCGGGTTAAACTCCCAGCAGAGTATTGCACTGGGCCTGCTGAGCCTGGTGAGGCAAAGCACAGCACAGCGAGCACCAGGCAGTGCTGGAGACAGGCCAAGCCTGGGCCAGCCTGGGAGCCAACTGTGAGGCACGGACGGGGCTGTGGGGCTGTGGGGCTGCAGGCTTGGGGCCAGGGAGGGAGGGCTGGGCTCTTTGGAACAGCCTTGAGAGAACTGAACCCAAACAAAACCAGATCAAGGTCTAGTGAGAGCTTAGGGCTGCTTTGGGTGCTCCAGGAAATTGATTAAACCAAGTGGACACACACCCCCAGCCCCACCTCACCACAGCCTCTCCTTCAGGGTCAAACTCTGACCACAGACATTTCTCCCCTGACTAGGAGTTCCCTGGATCAAAATTGGGAGCTTGCAACACATCGTTCTCTCCCTTGATGGTTTTTGTCAGTGTCTATCCAGAGCTGAAGTGTAATATATATGTTACTGTAGCTGAGAAATTAAATTTCAGGATTCTGATTTCATAATGACAACCATTCCTCTTTTCTCTCCCTTCTGTAAATCTAAGATTCTATAAACGGTGTTGACTTAATGTGACAATTGGCAGTAGTTCAGGTCTGCTTTGTAAATACCCTTGTGTCTATTGTAAAATCTCACAAAGGCTTGTTGCCTTTTTTGTGGGGTTAGAACAAGAAAAAGCCACATGGAAAAAAAATTTCTTTTTTGTTTTTTTGTTTGCTTGTTTTTTTGAGACAGAGTTTCGCTCTGTCGCCCAGGCTGGAGTGCAGTGGTGCGATCTCCGCCCACTGCAAGCTCCACCTCCCGGGTTCTTGCTATTCTCCTGTCTCAGCCTCCCAAGTAGCTGGGACTGCAGGTGCCCGCCACCACACCTGGCTAATTTTTTTGTATTTTTAGTAGAGACGGGGTTTCACCGTGTTAGCCAGGATGGTCTCAATCTCCTGACCTCGTCATCTGCCTGCCTCGGCCTCCCAAAGTGCTGAGATTACAGGCGTAAGCCACCGCGCCCAGCCAGAAAAAAACATTTCTAAGTATGTGGCAGATACTGAATTATTGCTTAATGTCCTTTGATTCATTCGTTTAATTTCTTTTATGGATTAGTACAGAAAACAAAGTTCTCTTCCTTGAAAAACTGGTAAGTTTTCTTTGTCAGATAAGGAGAGTTACATAACCCATGACATTTCCCTTTTTGCCTCGGCTTCCAGGAAGCTCAAAGTTAAATGTAATGATCACTCTTGTAATTATCAGTGTTGATGCCCTTCCCTTCTTCTAATGTTACTCTTTACATTTTCCTGCTTTATTATTGTGTGTGTTTTCTAATTCTAAGCTGTTCCCACTCCTTTCTGAAAGCAGGCAAATCTTCTAAGCCTTATCCACTGAAAAGTTATGAATAAAAAATGATCGTCAAGCCTACAGGTGCTGAGGCTACTCCAGAGGCTGAGGCCAGAGGACCACTTGAGCCCAGGAATTTGAGACCTGGGCTGGGCAGCATAGCAAGACTCTATCTCCATTAAAACTATTTTTTTTTTATTTAAAAAATAATCCACAAAGAAGGAGTTTATGTGGGATTCCTTAAAATCGGAGGGTGGCATGAATTGATTCAAAGACTTGTGCAGAGGGCGACAGTGACTCCTTGAGAAGCAGTATGAGAAAGCCTGTCCCACCTCCTTCCGCAGCTCCAGCCTGGGCTGAGGCACTGTCACAGTGTCTCCTTGCTGGCAGGAGAGAATTTCAACATTCACCAAAAAGTAGTATTGTTTTTATTAGGTTTATGAGGCTGTAGCCTTGAGGACAGCCCAGGACAACTTTGTTGTCACATAGATAGCCTGTGGCTACAAACTCTGAGATCTAGATTCTTCTGTGGCTGCTTCTGACCTGAGAAAGTTGTGGAACCTCAGCGAGCCTCACATGGCCTCCTTGTCCTTAACGTGGGGACGGTGGGCAAGAAAGGTGATGTGGCACTAGAAATTTATCCATCTCTAAAGGAGGAGTGGATTGTACATTGAAACACCAGAGAAGGAATTACAAAGGAAGAATTTGAGTATCTAAAAATGTAGGTCAGGCGCTCCTGTGTTGATTGCAGGGCTATTCACAATAGCCAAGATTTGGAAGCAACCCAAGTGTCCATCAACAGACAAATGGATAAAGAAAATGTGGTGCATATACACAATGGAATACTATTCAGCCATGAAAAAGAATGAGAATCTGTCATTTGAAACAACATGGATGGAACTGGAGGACATTATGTTAAGTGAAATAAGCCAGACAGAAGGACAGACTTCACATGTTCTCACACATTTGTGGGAGCTAAAAATTAAACTCATGGAGATAGAGAGTAGAAGGATGGTTACCAGAGGCTGAGGAGGGTGGAGGGGAGCAGGGAGAAAGTAGGGATGGTTAATGGGTACAAAAACGTAGTTAGCATGCATAGATCTAGTATTGGATAGCACAGCAGGGTGACGACAGCCAACAGTAATTTATAGTACATTTAAAAACAACTAAAAGAGTGTAACTGGACTGGCTAACATGGTGAAACCCCGTCTCTACTAAAAATACAAAAATTAGCCGGGCACGGTGGCTCACGCCTGTAATCCCAGCACTTTGGGAGGCCGAGGCGGGCCGATCACGAGGTCAGGAGATCGAGACCATCCTAGCTAACATGGTGAAACCCCGTCTCTACTACAAATACAAAAAAAAGAAAAAATTAGCCGGGCATGGTGGCGGGCGCCTGTAGTCCCAGCTACTCGGGAGGCTGAGGCAGGAGAATGGCGTGAACCCGGGAGGCGGAGCTTGCAGTGAGCCGAGATCGCGCCACTGCACTCCAGCCTGGGCGACAAGGCAAGATTCTATCTCAAAAAAATAAAAATAAAATAAAATAAAATAATAAAATAAAATAAAATAAATAAAATAAAATGTATAATTGGAATGTTTATAACACAAGAAATGATAAATGCTTGAGGTGATAGATACCCCATTCACCGTGATGTGATTATTGCACAATGTATGTCTGTATCTAAATATCTCATGTACCCCACAAGTATATACACCTACTATGTACCCATATAAATTTAAAATTAAAAAACTATAAAACAAAAATAAATAAGTAAATTAAAATGTAGGCTGGACACCGTGGTTCACGCCTGTAATCCCAGTGCTTTGTGAGGCTGAGGTGAGAGAATCACTTGAGCCCAGGAGTTTGAGACCGGCCTGGGTGACATAGCGAGATCCCATCATCACAAAGAATTTTTAAAAATTAGCTGGGCGTGGTAGCACATACCGGTAGTTCCAGCTACTTGGGAGACCGAGGCAGGAGGATTGCTTGAGCCCAGGAGTTTAAGGCTGCAGTGAGCTACGATGGCGCCACTGCATTCCAGCCTGGGTGACAGAGTGAGACCTTGTCTCTATTTTAAAAATAATAAAAAGAATAAATAAAAATAAATTAAAATGTAAATATGTGCATGTTAGAAAAAATACACCCATCAGCAAAAAGGGGGTAAAGGAGCGATTTCAGTCATAATTGGAGAGATGCAGAATAAGCCAGCAATGCAGTTTCTTTTATTTTGGTCAAAAAAAATAAGCAAAACAATGTTGTAAACACCCAGTGCTGGCAGCAATGTGGTGAGGCTGGCTCTCTCACCAGGGCTCACAGGGAAAACTCATGCAACCCTTTTAGAAAGCCATGTGGAGAGTTGTACCGAGAGGTTTTAGAATATTTATAACTTTGACCCAGAAATTCTATTCTAGGACTCTGTGTTATGAAAATAACCCATCATATGGAAAAAGCTCCTTTCAGAAAGAGGTTCATGGGAGGCTGTTTGTATTTTTTTTTTCTTTGCATCAAATCCAGCTCCTGCAGGACTGTTTGTATTATTGAAGTACAAAGTGGAATCAATACAAATGTTGGATAGCAGGGGAACAATATTCACAAAATGGAATGGGACATAGTATTAAACATAGTGCTTCTGATGACCGTAGACCATAGACAATGCTTAGGATATGATATCACTTCTTTTGTTGTTTTTTGTATTTTGAGACGAAGTCTCATTCTGTCACCCAGGCTGGAGTTCAGTGGCGCCATCTCAGCTCACTGCAACCTCCATCTCCCGGGTTCAAGCTATTCTCCTTCCTCAACCTCCCGAGTAGCTGGGTTGCGCACCACCATGCCTGGCTAACTTTTGTATTTTTAGTACAGACGGGGTTTCACCACGTTGGCCAGGCTGCTCTTGAACTCCTGACGTCAGGTGATCCACCAGCCTTGACCTCCCAAAGTGCTAGGATTACAGGAGCCACTGCACCCAGCCTAGGATATGATATCACTTCTTAGAGCAAGATACAAAATTGCATGTGCACAATAATTCTACCAAGTATAGGTATACAGGGGTAGTTATATATAAATGAGACATCAAGGAAATACAACAAAATGCAATCGTGATTGTGTTAGGGTGGTAAGAAAACGGTTTTTGCTTTGATGAGCTCTGTTTTTTAAAATCGTTATATTTTCTAATAAAAATACATAGTCTTTTGAAGGAACATAAAAGATTATGAAGAAATGAGTTAGATATTGATTCCTATTGAAGATTCAGACAAGTAAAATTAAGGGGAAAAAAAACGGGATGAACCAGAAGTCAGGCTGGAGTTCCAACCCCAGACCCGACAGCCCAGGCTGATGGGGCCTCCAGGGCAGTGGTTTCCACCCAGCATTCTCAAAAGAGCCACTGAGGTCTCAGTGCCATTTTCAAGATTTCGGAAGCGGCCTGGGCACGGCTGGTCCTTCACTGGGATCACCACTTGGCAATTATTTACACCTGAGACGAATAAAAACCAGAGTGCTGAGATTACAGGCATGGTGGCTTACGCTTGTAATCGGCTTTGGGAAGCCGAGGTGGGCTGATTGCTTGAGCCCAGGAGTTTCAAACTATCCTGGACAACATAGCATGACCTCGTCTCTACAAAAAATACAAAAAATTTGCCAGGTGTGGTGGCATGTGCCTGTGGTCCCAGCTACTTGGGAGGCTGAAGTAGGAGAATCCCCTGAGCCCTGGGAAGTCGAGGCTGCACTGAGCCGTGATGATGTCACTGCACTCCAGCCTGGGTGACAAAGTGAGACCCTATCTCACAAAGAAAAAAAACAAAACAAAAAACCCAAAGCACACTGTTTCCACTGTTTCCAGAGTTCCTGAGAGGAAAGGTCACCGGGTGAGGAAGACGTTCTCACTGATCTGGCAGAGAAAATGTCCAGTTTTTCCAACTCCCTAAACCATGGTTTTCTATTTCACAGCCCCCCCTTGCAGGGACAGAGCCCTCGTACAGAAGGGACACCCCACATTTGTCTTCCCCACAAAGCGGCCTGTGTCCTGCCTACGGGGTCAGGGCTTCTCAAACCTGGCTGTGTGTCAGAATCACCAGGGGAACTTTTCAAAACTAGAGAGACTGAAGCCAGACTCCTAGATTCTAATTCTAGGTCAGGGCTAGGGGCTGAGATTGTAAAAATCCACAGGTGATTCTGATGCCCGGCAGGCTTGAGAACAGCCGCAGGGAGTTCTCTGGGAATGTGCCGGTGGGTCTAGCCAGGTGTGAGTGGAGATGCCGGGGAACTTCCTATTACTCACTCGTCAGTGTGGCCGAACACATTTTTCACTTGACCTCAGGCTGGTGAACGCTCCCCTCTGGGGTTCAGGCCTCACGATGCCATCCTTTTGTGAAGTGAGGACCTGCAATCCCAGCTTCGTAAAGCCCGCTGGAAATCACTCACACTTCTGGGATGCCTTCAGAGCAGCCCTCTATCCCTTCAGCTCCCCTGGGATGTGACTCGACCTCCCGTCACTCCCCAGACTGCCTCTGCCAAGTCCGAAAGTGGAGGCATCCTTGCGAGCAAGTAGGCGGGTCCAGGGTGGCGCATGTCACTCATCGAAAGTGGAGGCGTCCTTGCGAGCAAGCAGGCGGGTCCAGGGTGGCGTGTCACTCATCCTTTTTTCTGGCTACCAAAGGTGCAGATAATTAATAAGAAGCTGGATCTTAGCAACGTCCAGTCCAAGTGTGGCTCAAAGGATAATATCAAACACGTCCCGGGAGGCGGCAGTGTGAGTACCTTCACACGTCCCATGCGCCGTGCTGTGGCTTGAATTATTAGGAAGTGGTGTGAGTGCGTACACTTGCGAGACACTGCATAGAATAAATCCTTCTTGGGCTCTCAGGATCTGGCTGCGACCTCTGGGTGAATGTAGCCCGGCTCCCCACATTCCCCCACACGGTCCACTGTTCCCAGAAGCCCCTTCCTCATATTCTAGGAGGGGGTGTCCCAGCATTTCTGGGTCCCCCAGCCTGCGCAGGCTGTGTGGACAGAATAGGGCAGATGACGGACCCTCTCTCCGGACCCTGCCTGGGAAGCTGAGAATACCCATCAAAGTCTCCTTCCACTCATGCCCAGCCCTGTCCCCAGGAGCCCCATAGCCCATTGGAAGTTGGGCTGAAGGTGGTGGCACCTGAGACTGGGCTGCCGCCTCCTCCCCCGACACCTGGGCAGGTTGACGTTGAGTGGCTCCACTGTGGACAGGTGACCCGTTTGTTCTGATGAGCGGACACCAAGGTCTTACTGTCCTGCTCAGCTGCTGCTCCTACACGTTCAAGGCAGGAGCCGATTCCTAAGCCTCCAGCTTATGCTTAGCCTGCGCCACCCTCTGGCAGAGACTCCAGATGCAAAGAGCCAAACCAAAGTGCGACAGGTCCCTCTGCCCAGCGTTGAGGTGTGGCAGAGAAATGCTGCTTTTGGCCCTTTTAGATTTGGCTGCCTCTTGCCAGGAGTGGTGGCTCGTGCCTGTAATTCCAGCACTTTGGGAGACTAAGGCGGGAGGTTCGCTTGAGCCCAGGAGTTCAAGACCAGCCTGGGCAACAATGAGACCCCTGTGTCTACAAAAAGAATTAAAATTAGCCAGGTGTGGTGGCACGCACCTGTAGTCCCAGCTACTTGGGAGGCTGAGGTGGGAGGATTGCCTGAGTCCGGGAGGCGGAAGTTGCAAGGAGCCATGATCGCGCCACTGCACTTCAACCTAGGCAACAGAGTGAGACTTTGTCTCAAAAAACAATAATATAATAATTTTAAAATAAATAGATTTGGCTTCCTCTAAATGTCCCCGGGGACTCCGTGCATCTTCTGTGGAGTGTCTCCGTGAGATTCGGGACTCAGATCCTCAAGTGCAACTGACCCACCCGATAAGCTGAGGCTTCATCATCCCCTGGCTGGTCTATGTCCACTGGGCACCCGAGGCTCCTCTCCCACCAGCTCTCTTGGTCAGCTGAAAGCAAACTGTTAACACCCTGGGGAGCTGGACGTATGAGACCCTTGGGGTGGGAGGCGTTGATTTTTGAGAGCAATCACCTGGCCCTGGCTGGCAGTACCGGGACACTGCTGTGGCTCCGGGGCGGGCTGTCTCCAGAAAATGCCTGGCCTGAGGCAGCCACCCGCATCCAGCCCAGAGGGTTTATTCTTGCAATGTGCTGCTGCTTCCTGCCCTGAGCACCTGGATCCCGGCTTCTGCCCTGAGGCCCCTTGAGTCCCACAGGTAGCAAGCGCTTGCCCTGCGGCTGCTGCATGGGGCTAACTAACGCTTCCTCACCAGTGTCTGCTAAGTGTCTCCTCTGTCTCCCACGCCCTGCTCTCCTGTCCCCCCAGTTTGTCTGCTGTGAGGGGACAGAAGAGGTGTGTGCCGCCCCCACCCCTGCCCGGGCCCTTGTTCCTGGGATTGCTGTTTTCAGCTGTTTGAGCTTTGATCCTGGTTCTCTGGCTTCCTCAAAGTGAGCTCGGCCAGAGGAGGAAGGCCATGTGCTTTCTGGTTGAAGTCAAGTCTGGTGCCCTGGTGGAGGCTGTGCTGCTGAGGTGGAGCTGGGGAGAGAGTGCACACGGGCTGCGTGGCCAACCCCTCTGGGTAGCTGATGCCCAAAGACGCTGCAGTGCCCAGGACATCTGGGACCTCCCTGGGGCCCGCCCGTGTGTCCCGCGCTGTGCTCATCTGCGGGCTAGCCTGTGACCTGCGCTGTGCTCATCTGCGGGCTAGCCTGTGTCCCGCGCTCTGCTTGTCTGCGGTCTAGCCTGTGACCTGGCAGAGAGCCACCAGATGTCCCGGGCTGAGCACTGCCCTCTGAGCACCTTCACAGGAAGCCCTTCTCCTGGTGAGAAGAGATGCCAGCCCCTGGCATCTGGGGGCACTGGATCCCTGGCCTGAGCCCTAGCCTCTCTCCAGCCTGGGGGCCCCTTCCCAGCAGGCTGGCCCTGCTCCTTCTCTACCTGGGACCCTTCTGCCTCCTGGCTGGACCCTGGAAGCTCTGCAGGGCCTGCTGTCCCCCTCCCTGGCCTCCAGGTATCCTGACCACCGGCCCTGGCTCCCACTGCCATCCACTCCTCTCCTTTCTGGCCGTTCCCTGGTCCCTGTCCCAGCCCCCCTCCCCCTCTCACGAGTTACCTCCCCCAGGCCAGAGGGAAGAGGGAAGGAGGCCCTGGTCATACCAGCACGTCCTCCCACCTCCCTCGGCCCTGGTCCACCCCCTCAGTGCCGGCCTCAGAGCACAGCTCTCTCCAAGCCAGGCCGCGCGCCATCCATCCTCCCTGTCCCCCAACGTCCTTGCCACAGATCATGTCCGCCCTGACACACATGGGCCTCAGCCATCTCTGCCCCAGTTAACTCCCCATCCATAAAGAGCACATGCCAGCTGACACCAAAATAATTCGGGATGGTTCCAGTTTAGACCTAAGTGGAAGGAGAAACCACCACCCGCCCTGCACCTTGTTTTTTGGTGACCTTGATAAACCATCTTCAGCCATGAAGCCAGCTGTCTCCCAGGAAGCTCCAGGGCAGGGCTTCCTCGGGAGCTGACTGATAGGTGGGAGGTGGCTGCCCCCTTGCACCCTCAGGTGACCCCACACAAGGCCACTGCTGGAGGCCCTGGGGACTCCAGGAATGTCAGTCAGTGACCTGCCCCCCAGGCCCCACACAGCCATGGCTTCATAGAGGCCTGCCTCCAGGGGACCTGTCTGTCTGCCACTGTGGAGTCCCTACAGCGTGCCCCCCACAGGGGAGCTGGTTCTTTGACTGAGATCAGCTGGCAGCTCAGGGCCATCATTCCCAGAGGGAGCGGTGCCCTGGAGGCCACAGGCCTCCTCATGTGTGTCTGTGTCTGCTCGAGCTTACTGAGACACTAAATCTGTTGGTTTCTGCTGTGCCACCTACCCACCCTGTTGGTGTTGCTTTGTTCCTATTGCTAAAGACAGGAATGTCCAGGACACTGAGTGTGCAGGTGCCTGCTGGTTCTCACGTCCGAGCTGCTGAACTCCGCTGGGTCCTGCTTACTGATGGTCTTTGCTCTAGTGCTTTCCAGGGTCCGTGGAAGCTTTTCCTGGAATAAAGCCCACCCATCGACCCTCACAGCGCCTCCCCTCTTTGAGGCCCAGCAGATACCCCACTCCTGCCTTTCCAGCAAGATTTTTCAGATGCTGTGCATACTCATCATATTGACCACTTTTTTCTTCATGCCTGATTGTGATCTGTCAATTTCATGTCAGGAAAGGGAGTGACATTTTTACACTTAAGCGTTTGCTGAGCAAATGTCTGGGTCTTGCACAATGACAATGGGTCCCTGTTTTTCCCAGAGGCTCTTTTGTTCTGCAGGGATTGAAGACACTCCAGTCCCACAGTCCCCAGCTCCCCTGGGGCAGGGTTGGCAGAATTTCGACAACACATTTTTCCACCCTGACTAGGATGTGCTCCTCATGGCAGCTGGGAACCACTGTCCAATAAGGGCCTGGGCTTACACAGCTGCTTCTCATTGAGTTACACCCTTAATAAAATAATCCCATTTTATCCTTTTTGTCTCTCTGTCTTCCTCTCTCTCTGCCTTTCCTCTTCTCTCTCCTCCTCTCTCATCTCCAGGTGCAAATAGTCTACAAACCAGTTGACCTGAGCAAGGTGACCTCCAAGTGTGGCTCATTAGGCAACATCCATCATAAACCAGGTAGCCCTGTGGAAGGTGAGGGTTGGGACGGGAAGGTGCAGGGGGTGGAGGAGTCCTGGTGAGGCTGGAACTGCTCCAGACTTCAGAAGGGGCTGGAAAGGATATTTTAGGTAGACCTACATCAAGGAAAGTGTTGAGTGTGAAACTTGCGGGAGCCCAGGAGGCGTGGTGGCTCCAGCTCGCTCCTGCCCAGGCTATGCTGCCCAAGACAAGGTGAGGCGGGAGTGAAGTGAAATAAGGCAGGCACAGAAAGAAAGCACATATTCTCGGCCGGGCGCTGTGGCTCACGCCTGTAATCCCAGCACTTTGGGAGGCCAAGGTGGGTGGATCATGAGGTCAGGAGATTGAGACCATCCTGGCTAACACAGTGAAACCCCGTCTCTACTAAAAATACAAAAAATTAGCCGGGCGTGGTGGCGGGCGCCTGTAGTCCCAGCTACTCCGGAGGCTGAGGCAGGAAAATGGCGTGAACCCGGAAGGCGGAGCTTGCAGTGAGCGGAGTGAGCAGAGATCGCGCCACTGCACTCCAGCCTGGGCGACAGAGCGAGACTCTGTCTCAAAAAAAAAAAAAAAAAAAAAAAAAGCACATGTTCTCGCTTCTTTGTGGGATCCAGGAGATAGAGAATAGAAGGATGGTTACCAGAGGCTGGGAAGGGTAGTGAGGGGATGGTGGGGGGATGGTCAATGGGTACAAAAAAAATAGAATAAGACCTAGTATTTGATAGTGCAACAGGGTGACTATAGTCAATAATAATTTAATTGTACATTTAAAAATAACTAAAAGATAGCCGGGTGCAGTGGCTTACGTCTGTAATCCCAGCACTTTGGGAGGCTGAGGTGGGCGTTTGAGACCAGCCTGGCCAACATGGTGAAACCCCATCTCTACTAAAAATACAAAAATTAGCCAGGCATGGTGGCGGGCGCCTGTAATCCCAGCTACTCGGGAGGCTGAGGCAGGAGAATCACTTGAACCTGGGAGGCAGAGGTTGCAGTGAGCCGAGATCTTGCCACTGCACTCCAGCCTGGGTGACAGTGAAACTCCGTCTCAAAAATAATAAAAATACGGCTGGGCACGGTGGCTCACGCCTGTAATCCCAGCACTTTGGGAGGCCGAGGCGAGCAGATCACAAGGTCAGGAGATATAGACCATCCTGGCTAACACGGTGAAACCCGGTCTCTACTAAAAATACAAAAAATTAGCCAGGCGTGGTGGCAGGTGCCTATAGTCCCAGCTACTCACAAGGCTGAGGCAGGAGAATGGCATGAACCTGGGAGGCGGAGCTTGCAGTGAGCCGAGATTGTGCCACTGCACTCCAGCCTGGGCGAGAGAGTGAGACTCCGTCTCAAAACAAAAACAAAAACAAAAACAAAAACAAACACACAACAAAAACCTAAAAGAATATAAATGGATTGTTTGTAACACAAAGGACAAATGTTTGAGGGGATGGATACCCCATTTTCCATGATGTGATTATTATACATTGTGTGTCTGTATCAAAACATCTCATGAGCCCCATAAATATATACACCTAACTATGTACCCACAAAAATTAAAAAAATATATTTTTTAAGGTGAAGAGGGAGGCGAGATGCTGGCCTTAACCCCTAACCCGTTGTTCTCCCTGCAAGCTGTCCACAGAGCCTCTCAGACTCGAGGTTCAGCTATATGGATGCATGAGCTTGGTCCCCAGCCAACATGGGAGACACTTCACCATCGGCAGCAGCTACAGCACAGGAACCCTGGGTCACTGCCATGTCCCCTCTGTGACTTTGTTTAAACAGAAAATGATGCTCTGGGCCGGCTGTGGTGGCCCACGCCTATAATCCCAGCACCTTGGGAGGCGGGGGTGGGCAGATTGCCTGAGGTCAGGAGTTGGAGATCAGCCTGGCCGACATGGCGAAACCCCATGTCTACTAAAAATACAAAAACTAGCCAGGCATGGTGGCGCATGCCTGTAATCCCAGCTACTTGGGAGGCTGAAGCAGGAGAATCACTTGAACCCAGGAGGCAGAGGCTGAGTGAGCCAAGATCGTGCCAATGCACTCCAGCTTGGGTGAGGGAGTGAGACTCCGGCTCAAAAAAAAAAAAAAAGAAAGAAAAAGAAAAGAAAGTGATCCTACTGGAACCATGCTTACTCCCCTCCCCACCTCACACTGTGTAGAAATTAGTGCTGTCGGCCGGGCGCGGTGGCTCATGCCTGTAATCGCAGCACTTTGGGAGGCCAAGGCAGGCGGATCACGAGGTCAGGAGATCAAGACCATCCTGGCTAACACAGTGAAACCCCGTCTCTACTAAAAATACAAAAAATTAGCTGGGCATGGTGGCAGGCACCTGTAGTCCCAACTACTTGGGAGGCTGAGGCAGGAGAATGGCATGAACCTGGGAGGCGGAGCTTGCAGTGAGCCAAGATCGCGCCACTGCATACCAGCCTGGGTGACAGAGTGAGACTCAGCAAAAAAGAAAGAAAGAAAGAAAGAAATCAGTGCTGTCTATACTTCTTTCTGCAGTGATGGAAATATTCTGTATCTGTGCTGTCCAGTATAGTAGCCACTAGCTACATGTGGCACTTGAAACATGGCTGGTACAGTTGAGGAAGAGTGGCTGCCATATCGGACGACACAGCTATAGATTCTGTCACCCCACCCCGAGAGTCCAGAGCGGGGACTTCTGCCTTAGGCCCTATTCAGGGCTGGTTTTTACTTGAACCCTTACTGTGGGAAGAGAAGGCCATGAGAAGTTCAGTCTAGAATGTGACTCCTTATTTTCTGGCTCCCTTGGACACTTTGTGGAATTTAGTCTCCCTGTGGAAAGTATTCCACAAGTGGTGCCACTACCCCAGCTGTGAGAGCAGCTGGGAGCTGCTTTTGTCATCTTTCCCTGGAAAGTCCTGTGGGCTGTCTCTTCCTCATGCCTTGTCCCATGCTTGGGCATGGTGTCAAGCGTCAGGAGGGAGAAAGGGTCCTTATTTATTTATTTAGAGAGGGAGCCTTCTTCTGTTCCCAGGCTGGAGTGCAGTGGTGCGATCTCGGCTCACTGCAACCTCCGCCTCCTGGGTTCAAGTGATTCTCCTGCCTCAGCCTCCTGAGTAGCTGAGATTACAGGCACATGCCAACATGCCCGGCTAATTTTTTTTTTTTTTTTTTTTTTTTTTTTTTTTTTTTTTTTTGAGATGGAGTTGTACTCTCATTGCCCAGGCTGGAGTGTAATGGCACAATCTCGGCTCACTGCAACCTCCACCTCCTGGATTCAAGCAATTCTCCTGTCTCAGCTTCCCAAGTAGCTGGGATTACAGGTGCCCGCCACCATGCTCAACTAATTTTTGTATTTTTTTTTTAGTAGAGACGAGGTTTCACCATGTTGGTCAGACTGGTCTCAAACTCCTGAACTCAGGTGATCCACCTGCCTCGGCCTCCCAAAGTGCTAGGATTACAGGCATGAGCCACCACGCCCGGCCTGAAAGGGTTCTTATTTAGTGTGCATTTTGACATTCAATTTAATTCCAAGGTCTTGTGGGGTCATGGTTTACAGGATGTTGATATAGAAAAGACTTCACTTAATGGGCCGGGCGCAGTGGCTCATGCCTGTAATCCCAGCACTTTGGGAGGCCGAGGCAGGCAGATCAGGAGGTCAGGAGATTGAGACCATCCTGGCTAACACAGTGAAAACCCATCTCTACTGAAAATACAAAAAATTAGCTGGGCGTGGTGGCAGGCACCTGTAGTCCCAGCCACTCGGTTGGCTGAGGCAGGAGAATGGCATGAACCCGGGAGGCGGAGCTTGCAGTGAGCAGAGACCACGCCACTGCACTCCAGCCTGGGCGACAGAGCAAGACTCTGTCTCAAGAAAAAAAAAAAAAAAACAGACTTTACTTACTGGAAGCCAACCAATGTATATTTAGAATAATTTTTCCTGGGCTGAGCTGTCATTTACTTTTGCAGTATCTCAAGAAGAAGAGTTTACAGTGTAAATATTTGATGCACACTTTGATTAGATAGATGAAGCAAACTATTTTCAAGAGCTTTGCAAGGACTTACTTGTATCCAAACACCATTCTAAAGGAGTCTTACCTACTTCTAAAGGCTGGTCTCTACTTGGAACCACTTGCTTGGCCCTGGTTCAAGTCCTGCTGCAAACCTGGAAGTCCTGTCATTGTCTTCTTCCCTCCAGAGCAGTGGCACCCAATCTAATTTTTGCTGTGCCCCAGCAGCCCCTGGCACTTTGCCCTGTAGACTGCAGACCTCATGTAATGTATGTTAAGTCCACAGAACCACAGAAGATGATGGCAAGATGCTCTTGTGTGTGTTGTGTTCTAGGAGGTGGCCAGGTGGAAGTAAAATCTGAGAAGCTTGACTTCAAGGACAGAGTCCAGTCGAAGATTGGGTCCCTGGACAATATCACCCACGTCCCTGGCGGAGGAAATAAAAAGGTAAAGGGGGTAGGGTGGGTTGGATGCTGCCCTTGGGTATATGGGCATTAATCAAGTTGAGTGGACAAAGGCTGGTCCAGTTCCCAGAGGAGGAAAACAGAGGCTTCTGTGTTGACTGGCTGGATGTGGGCCCTCAGCAGCATCCAGTGGGTCTCCACTGCCTGTCTCAATCACCTGGAGCTTTAGCACGTTTCACACCTGGGCCCCAACCTGGAGAGGCTGACCAATGGGTCTCAGGGGCAGCTCGGTTGCTGGAGTTTTTGTTTTTATTTATTTTTATGTATTTAAGGCAGGGTCTCTGTATTAGTCCATTCTCACACTGCTAATAAAGACATACCCAAGACTGGGTAATTTATAAAGGAAAGAGGTTTAATGGACTCACAGTTCCATATGGCTGGGGAGGCCTCAAAATCATGGCGGAAGGCAAAGGAGAAGCAAAGGCATGTCTTACATGGCAACAGGCAAGAGAGCGTGTGCAGGGGAACTCCCATTTATAAAACCATCAGACCTCATGAGATTTATTCACTATCATGAGAACAGCATGGGAAAGACCCGCCCCCATGATTCAGTTACCTCCCACTGGGTCCCTCCCATGACACATGGAATTATGGGAGCTACAATTCAAGATGAGATTTGGGTGGGGACACAGCCAAACCATATCAGTCTCCCTCTGTCATCCAGGCTGGAGTGCACTGGCATGATCTCGGCTCACTGCAGCCTCTACCTCCCTGGGTCAGGTGATCTTCCCACCTCAGCCTCCCAGGTAGCTGGAACTACAGGTACCTGCCACTATGCCTGGCTAAATATTTTGTATTTCCTGTGGAGACGAGGTTTTGCCACGTTGCCCAGGCTGGTCTTGAACTCCTGAGGTCAAGCAATATGCCCACCTCGGCCTCCCAAGGTGCTGGGATTACAGGTGTGAGCCACAGTGCTCGGCCTAAGTCACTGCAGTTTTTAAAGCTCCCAGGTGATTCTTCAGTGCAGTCAAAAGTGAGAACTGGCTGGGTGCGGTGGCTCATGCCTGTAATCCCAGCACCTTGGGAGGCGAAGGTGGGCAGATGGCTTGAGGTCAGGAGTTCAAGACCAGCCTGGCCAACATGGTAAAACCCCATCTCTACTAAAAATACAAAAGTTAGCTCGGTGTGGTGGTGCGTGCCTGTAATCCCAGCTACTTGGGAGGCTGAGGCATGAGAATTGCTTGAACCCAGGGGACAGAGGTTGTAGTGAGCCGAGATCGTGCCACTGCACTCCAGCCTGGGCAACAGAGTGAGATTCCATCTCAAAAAAAAAAAAAAAGCGAGAACCACTGTCCTAGGCCCTGATGTTTGCAGGCAACTAAAAAAGGAAGTGGACATCCCCAGTCAGCTGTGGCGCACCAAGAACAAGTCATGGGAACATAACCTAATTTTCTAAATGGGTTACTAGGCACTTAGAGCAAAACAATGATGCCGAAATCCTGATTTCAGCAAAGCCTCTGCCTGCCTGTCTTGGAAGTATCCACATGAGGCTGCTGGGGCCTTGGTGTCCCCAGCAGTTTCTAGTCTCTAGGTCTTGCTGTGGGTGTCTGTGCAGTGAGGGTGTGTGTGGCGCTGGGTGAGCTCTGTCTAGGCCTGGCACAGGATGCGGTCTGGTAGCTGCTGCTTCTCTTCTGCAGAAGCGCAGCCAAGCACCCTCTGGGGTTTCAGGCCCACACCCAGCCTGAAGTTCTGGGAGTGGCTCACTTTCCAACCTTCAGGGTCTCCCAGCAGCTGACTGGGGAGTGGTGGAGGGAAAAGGGATTGTATTAGTCCGTTTTCACGCCGCTGATGAAGACATACCCGATACTGGGCAGTCTAAAAGATAGAGGTCTGATGGACTCACAGTTCCACGTGACTGGGGAGGCCTGACAATCATGGTGGAAGGTGAAAGGCTTGTCTCACACGGTGGCAGACAAGAGAAAAGAGCTTGTGCAGGGGAACTCCCCTTTATAAAACCATCAGATCTCGGGAGACTTATTCACTATCATGAGAACAGCACGGGAAAGACCCTCCTCTATGATTCAATTACCTCCCACCAGGTCCCTCCCACAACATGTAGGAATTGTGGGAACTACAATTCAAGATGACATTTGGGTGGGGACACAGCCAAACCATATCAGGGCGTCCCAGAAAGGGTATAGGGTCTGAGACCCAAGTCAGCATGAGAAAGTATGCTTCTCATGGTGGCCCAGTTGGGTGGAAGTGGCAGCCGGGCCGTCTTTCCACCAGGCCACTCAAGTAGCAGCTGAGAGACCCCTGCCCTGGCCAGTCCCCGCCCTCCCCTCTTGCCACTGCCTCTGGTTCTGAACAGATGGGCACCCTCATCTTGTATTTGTGATTAATGTCTAACAATGTAGTTTTGTGAGAAGGGTTTGCTGATACAGCCTTGCTGCAGATGCTGCGAACTGTGGCCTGGGGCAGACCTTACCTCCAGACACGCCCTGAGGCAGGGGAGGGCACTGGCCCGTAGCTGGCCGAGAGCTCTCGGGTTGCGCGACAGGGATACTTTTCAGCGGCTGGGTCGCTATCCAAAGTGAGAAAACGAGGAGGGACCAGGAGGCTGTCCGCCTCAAGAGATGTGGGGGCCAGGTCCAGTTATCTGGGGAAGCAGTAAGCTTCTCTGCTGTTTCTAACCCCAGGCCTCCCCTGGTCTAAGGCAGGGCCTCCCAGCCTCGGGGCACTTTAAAGATATCTGGGCCTGGCCCCATCCCCACAGTCTGACTGAGTGGGTCTGGATAGGGCCTTGGCATTGGTGATTTCCTGGGTGAAAGGAGGCCCCTCACAGTCTCTGGAAGCTTCTCTGTGTTAGGAAAAGCTCTGGGCTTGACTCTGCTTTGAAAGTCAAGATCCACAAATCCTCTCAGCCTCAGTTTCTCCTTCAGCAAGATGAAATGGAAATGCTGTACCTACGTCCCGGGGTGGTTGTGAGACCCAAAAAAGACAATGTTCTGGAAGGTTCCTGGTGTGTTGCAGTCCTCTAAGAACCTGAGTTAGAGCCACGCTGAGTCTCAGATTCTTGGCTCCTTCTGTTTCAAACTCGTCCATGTGATAGCTCAGGAAGGGTAGGCAGGGCCCTGCCCCCTACTCAGAAAACACCATCCTGGTCCTGGGGATCCCCGCAGCATTAGTCCCCTGTTTTCCCAGTGTATTGAGAAAAATTGCTAACAAGCAGTGGGGCACACCACCAGCCTCCTGGGTTCCTTTCAGTTTGGGGATTTTTGGACATTCCCAGGAATGTCTTAAAAAACACTTCAAAAAACATTAACATAAATATTTTTATCAAAGCCTGTATTAAATGGTCTTTCAAGAAAATACAGTAACAGGTCAGGCATGGTGGCTCATGCCTGTAACCCCAGCACTTTGGGAGGCCAAGGCAGGCAGATCACCTGAAATCAGGAGTTCAAGACCAACCTGGCCAACACAGCCAAATCCCATCTCTACAAAAAATACAAAAATTAGCTGGGTGTGGTGGCACACACCTGTAGTCCCAGCTACTTGGGAGGCCGAGGCAGGAGAATTGCTTGATCCCGGAGGCGGAGGTTGCAGTGAGCCAAGATCGTGCCACTGCACTCCAGCGTGGGTGACAAGGTGAATCTTTGTCTCAAAAAAAAAAAAAAAAAGATAAAATACAGTATACAGTAATAGAGAACAATCCTTTTTTCAAAGTAGTGACCCCAAATGAACAAAATCTGCATCTAGCTTAAATGGGAACCTGGTTTTCTCTACGCCCATTCAAGCCCCCTGCAATAGGGGCCCTTCACCCCGCATCCATGGACTCCTAAAATTATATGGAAAATGGCTGTGTGTGAGTGTGGATGGACATGTGCACACATATTTTTGGCTTTACCAGATGCTCAAAGAGCCTAGGACCCAAAAAGGGCTGAGAATGACCGTGTCGGCCACTTCAGGGTCATCAGGAATTGCTGTGCACTGCTCACTTCTCCAGTGAACACTTTCTGCTTCTGTGTTTCCTGGTATCCTTTGGGACTCCTGGCTAGGTCATGTGTTTCTCTACTTTCAAAAGGGCTTCAGCCAGGCACGATGGCATGAGCCTGTAGTCCCAGTTGCTCTGGAGGTTAAGGTGGGAAGATTGCTTGAGCCCAGGAATTTGAGGCCAGCCTGGGCAAGTAGATAGGTAGATGATTGATAGATAGATAGATAGATAAATAGATGGATAGATAAGTCGCTAGACAGTCATCCATCCACCCATCCACACATAAAAAGGCCTTTGTCATGTCATGTTTTGTGGCCCACCTGCCAGTGTTGCCCACAGTTGCTGCCCCTCCAAACTCATCAGTCACTGGCAAACAGGAGGAATGTGTGGCTCATGTCTGGGCATCAGTGGCTGTGGGAGACATCCTTGATCTTCTCCAGCTTCTCCTTCCACATTTTCCTTTGCAATCTGGCAATATCTATTAAAATAAAATGTGCATGACTTTTGACCTAAGAGCTTCACTTCTAGGACCCACTTACACGTGTGTGACATGATGTTCATACGGGTTTATTTATCTGAGGTTGTTCATACACACCATTGCCTGTAATCACTACAGGCGGGAGCAGCCTACACATCCATCCACAGAGGAGTAGATGCCTTTTGGTACATCCGTGGCGACGGAATACTAAGCAGCCTGTGTATCTATACACTCACACGTGTTTGTTTATGTGTGGAATATCTCTGGAGGGTACACAAGAAACTTAAAATGATCACTGTCTCTGGGGAGGGTACCTGGGTGCCTGGGAGGCAGGTCAGGGAAGGAGTGGGCACAGGTATTACCAATTGGAAGACAGTAAAAACAATAGCTCCTGGCCAGGCGCAGTGGCTCACGCCTGTAATGGCAGCACTCTGAGAGGCTGAGGCGGGCAGATTGCTTGCGTCCAGGAGTTCGAGACCAGCCTGGGCAACATAGCAAAACCCCGTTTCTATTAAAAATACAAAAAATTAGCCAGGTGTGGTGGCATGCACCTGTAATCCCAGCTACTCGGGAGGCTGAGGTGGGAGAATCACCTGAGCCTGGGAGGTCAAGGCTGCAGTGAGGTGAGATTGTGCCACCGCACTCTAGCCTGGGCGATAGAGCAAGACCCTGTCTCAAAAACAAACAAAAAACAGTCCCTGGCACTCTGGGCCAGGCCTGGCAGGGCAGTTGGCAGGGCTGGTCTTTCTCTGGCACTTCATCTCACCCTCCCTCCCTTCCTCTTCTTGCAGATTGAAACCCACAAGCTGACCTTCCGCGAGAACGCCAAAGCCAAGACAGACCACGGGGCGGAGATCGTGTACAAGTCGCCAGTGGTGTCTGGGGACACGTCTCCACGGCATCTCAGCAATGTCTCCTCCACCGGCAGCATCGACATGGTAGACTCGCCCCAGCTCGCCACGCTAGCTGACGAGGTGTCTGCCTCCCTGGCCAAGCAGGGTTTGTGATCAGGCCCCTGGGGCGGTCAATAATCGTGGAGAGGAGAGAATGAGAGAGTGTGGAAAAAAAAAGAATAATGACCCGGCCCCCGCCCTCTGCCCCCAGCTGCTCCTCGCAGTTCGGTTAATTGGTTAATCACTTAACCTGCTTTTGTCACTCGGCTTTGGCTCGGGACTTCAAAATCAGTGATGGGAGTAAGAGCAAATTTCATCTTTCCAAATTGATGGGTGGGCTAGTAATAAAATATTTTAAAAAAAAACATTCAAAAACATGGCCACATCCAACATTTCCTCAGGCAATTCCTTTTGATTCTTTTTTCTTCCCCCCTCCATGTAGAAGAGGGGGAAGGAGAGGCTCTGAAAGCTGCTTCTGGGGGATTTCAAGGGACTGGGGGTGCCAACCACCTCTGGCCCTGTTGTGGGGGTGTCACAGAGGCAGTGGCAGCAACAAAGGATTTGAAACTTGGTGTGTTCGTGGAGCCACAGGCAGACGATGTCAACCTTGTGTGAGTGTGACGGGGGTTGGGGTGGGGCGGGAGGCCACGGGGGAGGCCGAGGCAGGGGCTGGGCAGAGGGGAGAGGAAGCACAAGAAGTGGGAGTGGGAGAGGAAGCCACGTGCTGGAGAGTAGACATCCCCCTCCTTGCCGCTGGGAGAGCCAAGGCCTATGCCACCTGCAGCGTCTGAGCGGCCGCCTGTCCTTGGTGGCCGGGGGTGGGGGCCTGCTGTGGGTCAGTGTGCCACCCTCTGCAGGGCAGCCTGTGGGAGAAGGGACAGCGGGTAAAAAGAGAAGGCAAGCTGGCAGGAGGGTGGCACTTCGTGGATGACCTCCTTAGAAAAGACTGACCTTGATGTCTTGAGAGCGCTGGCCTCTTCCTCCCTCCCTGCAGGGTAGGGGGCCTGAGTTGAGGGGCTTCCCTCTCTGCTCCACAGAAACCCTGTTTTATTGAGTTCTGAAGGTTGGAACTGCTGCCATGATTTTGGCCACTTTGCAGACCTGGGACTTTAGGGCTAACCAGTTCTCTTTGTAAGGACTTGTGCCTCTTGGGAGACGTCCACCCGTTTCCAAGCCTGGGCCACCGGCATCTCTGGAGTGTGTGGGGGTCTGGGAGGCGGGTCCCGAGCCCCCTGTCCTTCCCACGGCCACTGCAGTCACCCCTGTCTGCCCCGCTGTGCTGTTGTCTGCCGTGAGAGCCCAATCACTGCCTATACCCCTCATCACGTCACAATGTCCCGAATTCCCAGCCTCACCACCCCTTCTCAGTAATGACCCTGGTTGGTTGCAGGAGGTACCTACTCCATACTGAGGGTGAAATTAAGGGAAGGCAAAGTCCAGGCACCAGAGTGGGACCCCAGCCTCTCACTCTCAGTTCCACTCATCCAACTGGGACCCTCACCACGAATCTCACGATCTGATTCGGTTCCCTGTCTCCTCCTCCCGTCACAGATGTGAGCCAGGGCACTGCTCAGCTGTGACCCTAGGTGTTTCTGCCTTGTTGACATGGAGAGAGCCCTTTCCCCTGAGAAGGCCTGGCCCCTTCCTGTGCTGAGCCCACAGCAGCAGGCTGGGTGTCTTGGTTGTCAGTGGTGGCACCAGGATGGAAGGGCAAGGCACCCAGGGCAGGCCCACAGTCCCGCTGTCCCCCACTTGCACCCTAGCTTGTAGCTGCCAACCTCCCAGACAGCCCAGCCCGCTGCTCAGCTCCACATGCATAGTATCAGCCCTCCACACCCGACAAAGGGGAACACACCCCCTTGGAAATGGTTCTTTCCCCCCAGTCCCAGCTGGAAGCCATGCTGTCTGTTCTGCTGGAGCAGCTGAACATATACATAGATGTTGCCCTGCCCTCCCCATCTGCACCCTGTTGAGTTGTAGTTGGATTTGTCTGTTTATGCTTGGATTCACCAGAGTGACTATGATAGTGAAAAGAAAAAAAAAAAAAAAAAAAGGACGCATGTATCTTGAAATGCTTGTAAAGAGGTTTCTAACCCACCCTCACGAGGTGTCTCTCACCCCCACACTGGGACTCGTGTGGCCTGTGTGGTGCCACCCTGCTGGGGCCTCCCAAGTTTTGAAAGGCTTTCCTCAGCATCTGGGACCCAACAGAGACCAGCTTCTAGCAGCTAAGGAGGCCGTTCAGCTGTGACGAAGGCCTGAAGCACAGGATTAGGACTGAAGCGATGATGTCCCCTTCCCTACTTCCCCTTGGGGCTCCCTGTGTCAGGGCACAGACTAGGTCTTGTGGCTGGTCTGGCTTGCGGCGCGAGGATGGTTCTCTCTGGTCATAGCCCGAAGTCTCACAGCAGTCCCAAAGGAGGCTTACAACTCCTGCATCACAAGAAAAAGGAAGCCACTGCCAGCTGGGGGGATCTGCAGCTCCCAGAAGCTCCGTGAGCCTCAGCCTACCCCTCAGACTGGGTTCCTCTCCAAGCTCGCCCTCTGGAGGGGCAGCGCAGCCTCCCACCAAGGGCCCTGCGACCACAGCAGGGATTGGGATGAATTGCCTGTCCTGGATCTGCTCTAGAGGCCCAAGCTGCCTGCCTGAGGAAGGATGACTTGACAAGTCAGGAGACACTGTTCCCAAAGCCTTGACCAGAGCACCTCAGCCCGCTGACCTTGCACAAACTCCATCTGCTGCCATGAGAAAAGGGAAGCCGCCTTTGCAAAACATTGCTGCCTAAAGAAACTCAGCAGCCTCAGGCCCAATTCTGCCACTTCTGGTTTGGGTACAGTTAAAGGCAACCCTGAGGGACTTGCAGTAGAAATCCAGGGCCTCCCCTGGGGCTGGCAGCTTCGTGTGCAGCTAGAGCTTTACCTGCAAGGAAGTCTCTGGGCCCAGAACTCTCCACCAAGAGCCTCCCTGCCGTTCGCTGAGTCCCAGCAATTCTAAGTTGAAGGGATCTGAGAAGGAGAAGGAAATGTGGGGTAGATTTGGTGGTGGTTAGAGATATGCCCCCCTCATTACTGCCAACAGTTTCGGCCGCATTTCTTCACGCACCTCGGTTCCTCTTCCTGAAGTTCTTGTGCCCTGCTCTTCAGCACCATGGGCCTTATACGGAAGGCTCTGGGATCTCCCCCTTGTGGGGCAGGCTCTTGGGGCCAGCCTAAGATCATGGTTTAGGGTGATCAGTGCTGGCAGATAAATTGAAAAGGCACGCTGGCTTGTGATCTTAAATGAGGACAATCCCCCCAGGGCTGGGCACTCCTCCCCTCCCCTCACTTCTCCCACCTGCAGAGCCAGTGTCCTTGGGTGGGCTAGATAGGATATACTGTATGCCGGCTCCTTCAAGCTGCTGACTCACTTTATCAATAGTTCCATTTAAATTGACTTCAGTGGTGAGACTGTATCCTGTTTGCTATTGCTTGTTGTGCTATGGGGGGAGGGGGGAGGAATGTGTAAGATAGTTAACATGGGCAAAGGGAGATCTTGGGGTGCAGCACTTAAACTGCCTCGTAACCCTTTTCATGATTTCAACCACATTTGCTAGAGGGAGGGAGCAGCCACGGAGTTAGAGGCCCTTGGGGTTTCTCTTTTCCACTGACAGGCTTTCCCAGGCAGCTGGCTAGTTCATTCCCTCCCCAGCCAGGTGCAGGCGTAGGAATATGGACATCTGGTTGCTTTGGCCTGCTGCCCTCTTTCAGGGGTCCTAAGCCCACAATCATGCCTCCCTAAGACCTTGGCATCCTTCCCTCTAAGCCGTTGGCACCTCTGTGCCACCTCTCACACTGGCTCCAGACACACAGCCTGTGCTTTTGGAGCTGAGATCACTCGCTTCACCCTCCTCATCTTTGTTCTCCAAGTAAAGCCACGAGGTCGGGGCGAGGGCAGAGGTGATCACCTGCGTGTCCCATCTACAGACCTGCGGCTTCATAAAACTTCTGATTTCTCTTCAGCTTTGAAAAGGGTTACCCTGGGCACTGGCCTAGAGCCTCACCTCCTAATAGACTTAGCCCCATGAGTTTGCCATGTTGAGCAGGACTATTTCTGGCACTTGCAAGTCCCATGATTTCTTCGGTAATTCTGAGGGTGGGGGGAGGGACATGAAATCATCTTAGCTTAGCTTTCTGTCTGTGAATGTCTATATAGTGTATTGTGTGTTTTAACAAATGATTTACACTGACTGTTGCTGTAAAAGTGAATTTGGAAATAAAGTTATTACTCTGATTAAATAAGGTCTCCATTCATGGATTCCAAGGACAAGAAAGTCATATAGAATGTCTATTTTTTAAGTTCTTTCCCACGCACCCTTAGATAATTTAGCTCAGAACAGGAAATGATAGTATTAATAAAAGCTGGACATCAGGATTAACAGCTCTCTCTGGGGCCCTGAAGGTGAGAGTTCTCAGACTTGCTCATTTGCAGTTGCTTCTTTGTGATGCTGGCAAACCATCCTAGTCCCATTCAAAGGGCAATACAAAGCCTTGTGGCTGACCTCACGATGCAGCACTCAGTTTGCAAGACCGGCACCAGTGTATGCAAACCTGAGAAGGTTGGGGATGAGGATATGGGATCTTTCATCCCTGGAAATTTAGTCCAGAGGCCTGGGGCTGGAGCAGAACACCAAGCCAATCAGCTTAATGAATGGCTTAGATTCCTGCTAGGTTTGCAGAGCTGCCTTCTTTCCTTTGGTACCTTATTATAGATTGAGGAGTATTTCTGCTAAACCAAGATAGGGATAACCAGATAGTGTCTTCATAGCAATGCCACAAAGGAAAACAAAAACAAAACAGTAATCCATCATATTATTCCTTAGTAACTATGCCAAGGTCATGATACTGAATCCTTAGATTGTTTCAAAATACTACTTTTCTTTGCTCTTCCTGATGTGTTTGCCACCGCAGGCAGATGTTTAAGTAAAACAGATTTTAACTGCAGCTACAAAAGCAGCAACAGGCCAGCAAAAGAGAAGTGCTATCTCAGAGAGCATGGCTTTCAGAGCCACAAGAGACAGCCTCACTGGCTGTTTCAGCTTGACTGCCATGCAAAGAGAGCAGAGGGAGAACCAGCCCCACCCACTTATTCATCTTGTACAAAAAAAAAGCACCTACCAGCCTAGGCTACATAGTGAGACACTATCTCCACAAAAAACCCACGAAAACTAGCTGGGTATGGTGGCACATGCCTACAGTCCCAGCTACTGGTAAGGCTGTGGTGGGAGGATCTCTTGAGGCCAGGAAGGAGATCCAGGCTGCAGTGAGCCAAGATTGCACCACTGCACTCCAGTCTGGACAATCGAGCAAGATCCCATCTCAAACAATAAAAAAAAAAAAGCATGTAACCTCCTCAGAAGAAAGATGTTATAATCTCAGGCAGCAGGCAAGAACCAATCCAGGCTCTAAGCAAATTATGTATCTCACTGACCCCACCAAACCTCAGAAAAATTTAACAGTGAGAAGCAAAATCTCCTTTAAAGAGCAACTTAGAACAGATAGAAAATATCATACAGCTGACTTCACTAGAGAGAAAGTGCATCAACTGCTTTCACTCAACAAAAAGAAAAAAGAGATGATCAATGCAGATCCCCTCTCCTCCTGGCAGCCCTTACCCTCAGTGAAAAGCCACCACCATTCTCTCTCTGGTGGCCATCAGATCAACCTGCGGCGTTCCCACAAGACAGAATGGAGATTTTCCAAGGTATAGAGCAAGTCAGAGTACCCCAAAGAACGGCGGCAGAGAGCCAGCTCCGAAACTGCCAACACTACCATGCATACACAGTTCAGTAAGTCAAGAAAGGCCTGGTACACAGCATTCTGTAACTTTTTTTTTTATTTTTTTCAATTTTTCCTTCTTTTTTTTTTTAAGCACTAGTCTGTGCTTTGCGAACAGAATCAAGACATTAACAAAGATCAGCTTCTCTGAAGAAAAGCATTTCTATAGAACAAAGACAGCTACATGTTTCGCTGCCATTACACAGCTCCAAAGCAGGAAAAGAAAATATTTACAAAATACAAGGTTTTTTTTTCCATTTTTTGTTTTTGTTTTTTTTTCAATGCTAAAAGGGTTATTCAGAATTTTCAACCTTATAAATAGAAGAAGCACTTTATGCATAGGGATATGGTGCATTATTGTATTTTTTTTTTAAAGAAACAATGACAAACCCTTTAACTTGCAAACAGAAAAAAAAATCACTAATGTTGAAAATTGTGAAAAAACCCCAACCATTAAGCAGTTGTCTACTATTTTTATACGATTACAAAATGGCCAAAAAAAAAGAGTCTTCTCCCCCCTCCCCCTTTTTGGTGATGTGATCATACAGGAGACAGGCACAAGGTTAACAGAGAAGGGTGAAGGGGGAACAATGGGAACCACAGCTAGGACCAGACAATGTTCCACAGGCAAGGGGAGCGTGAAAGACCAAGAGTGGAACTAACACCGACAGGGATCTGGATGTGAAGGAAACATGGCAAAGTGAATCAGAGGGAAAAAAAAAAAAAATCACACAGGGAGATGGCTGCTCACTTCCCACAACCCCCAGTTTGCAGGGGAGTGGGAATAGAGGTTAAGTAGTCCTAACCCTACCTTCAAAGATCAGGATAGGTGGTAAAAATATTCCAAGTGGAAGGATGGGTTGTGGGTGTGTACATGGCATGGGAGAGCAGACAGGGAAGGGTACCAAGGGGCATGAGGAGGGGAACCTGAGCAGCCACAGCCAGGTTACTGCAGTGAGAGAGTCAAAACAGAGAAGACCAAATGCAGATGAAACAAAAAATCAGTCTCTTAAGTTCTGGGTGAGAAAGGAAAGGTGTTCTGCCAGCTGAGCACTCGGGGAGAGCAGCTGGCAGTTATGGCAGAGAGGCTCTGGTGGGGATGTTCCAGCACAAAAAACCAAGGGGACCCAGCCAGGAGGGCCACAGCAGAGCCAAGCCACAGATGGGAGGGGAGGGGGTAAGAGTCCAGAGCACCCTGCCCCATTCCACCCTAGCTCAAGAAGGCCATGCTAAACTGTAGCCCTCTGCCCGCCAGGCTGTTCTGCCCTGCCCACAGGTGTGAGGGAGGGGGTGGTCATCTAAGATCAGTAAGTCCAGTGATTCAACAGTGCAGAGGATGTGCCAGGACCAGGCCAGCAGGGTCTCATCCTGAACTTCTGTTTGCCAACGGGAGGAAGTGCTCAGGTGTGTGACAAGAAAACATGGAAACAAAAACAAAACAAAAATTAAAACAAGAAAAAAAAATACCAAAGTAGGATCTAAATTCCTTAAGTTCACTAAAAACTGTGAAAATTTCCGGCATATGATGTTTGAATATCAAACGCAGAGATTTCTGAAGCTTTAATGCCAATAGTTAGTGAGTCTGTTTAGATGGCTGTCTCCCGCTCATCTGTGAGTCGGGCGCTGAGCTGTGGCTGCTGCCACCAGATGCCGACTCTTGAGGGGGACAGTGGGAGGCGAGGTGGGCGCTGCCTCTGTCTCCCGGCCAGTCTTGCTGCCTGAGGTGCGTCGAGTGCAGCGGGCTGCTCGCTCCTGTGCATCCAGCTGGTCCTCACACTCCGCCTGGGGACTGTGCGCCAGGGGGAAGGTCCGCCGCTCCCAGGGCTGGACAGACTGTAGGCAGACAAGTTGCTCTTTGAGGACCCAGTCCCAGCCAGCCTGCTTCCTGCTCCAAGGCCCTGCCACAAACCTTGTGGCCTGGAGCCTAGGACCAGTCTATCTAGTGTTCCTGGGACAGTCTGGGAACACCCCTCCTAGGGTATACCCAGACAACTGTATTGATCATTTAGCAATGATCAATACAGTTCCACTGAACGTTGAGGAGATCAATTTAAGTGCAGCCCTTTGTCCCTTCAAAAGGGGGAGGGGATGGCTAGGTCCCTCTTCAGCAGATGCTGCCCCTTCCTGGTTCCATCCCCCAACCATGCCAACCCCACCCAAAGGCTGCGTCCCTTACCTGTTCATCCAGCCCCAGCTCTGGTGTGGAACAACGGGTATCCTCACTGGCTAAGTGTCGCGGAGTGTCCCGAGCCACAGGGGTGAGGGGTGCTGAGTGCAGTTCCGGGCTAATGGGGCTCCTAGGGGACTGACCATGGGAGTATTCTGACAAAGAGTGGCTACTGCTGACATCAGGGGAGGCAGGCTGGGGGGTGGAGGGGTTGGCACTGCCCAGCTGGGGGGTTGTCCGGCCGTCTGATGACCTGTAGGACCTGCACACCAAGGAATGCAAATCTGAGTGCCTGGGAAATGTTTACTTATGGGGGTAGAGGGCATGAAAAAAGCATCCCCACTGGAGGAGTTGAGGCAAACAAAGACCAACAGATTTTCCTTAGGATCCAGCAACTCCCATTTCTTCCCACTATTCTCTGGAGGGGTAGGTATACAACATTTACCATCCCAAGAAAAAAGCATGGCTGAACAATGCCAGGTGAGTCCATAGCAAAGTGCCTAGTGAATTCAGGAGGTTAGGGAGATTCGTGTAGACTTTGAAAACTGTAGTCAAAGAAAAAAAAGTAAAAGTAAGAGCTCCCAAAACTTTCTACTTGAGAATCCCGAGGGTTTCTGCCACTGTTAACAATAAATGGAGACAGGGTAGTGATGGACGTTAAGGGGGGGCAGTTTCTTCAAGTGGCATCACAAAGCCACTGTCCAAAGGAAGGTTAACTTGTAGCGAGGCCTTCCAAGCTCCCCGGGTTGAATCACCATGACCCCCCAACTGTCTTCCAAATGCCACAGATCATGGGAATTCAGAATTACATAGTGACTTCTCAGCAAGGATCTAGCACTTGGCTCCTTATATCTCCACTAGTTCCATATATCTCCACTAGTTCCAACAAACACCAAGGAAATTCTGAGCTATTTGCCACTGCCAGTAGATGAGTATGATGAGCAACCAAGAGGCAGTAGCAATTCCATGGACTCAAGTAGGGCCCAAACTCCCTGTCCACCCTCTCTCCACAGGCCCTGGGGACCCAAGCCTGCCCCATCACCTGCTGCCCCGCCGCTGGGGTGGCACACTCGTGGTCCACAGCCACCGTGCCCTCTCCATCTCCTCACATTTGGCATGCAGGGCGGCAAAGGCTGCATCGGATAGGTCCTCAATCTGCAATAGAGCAGCTTCATCGATCCCCTCTTTTCTCCAGGAGTTAAGAACCAGTCCCACCCCATTCTAGGTTCTTCCCGGTCACGACAGGAATACAAGGAGCTTGCACTTGACACCCACAAGTCTTCAGGCCATTTAGGGTGTGTGCACTCATATGTATGTGTGCATGTGTACACACGTGTTCTTCTAACAGAAGAACCAGGCCATTACCTCTTCATTCTCCTCATCAGGACTCCCCTTCAGAGACTGAAGATCAACCTCCCGCCAGCTGCAAAACCAAGAACAGACAATCATGAGATGGCAAGCAGGCTAAAACTGGGGGCAGGGTCTAAGTGTCCATGCAAGGATGAGAATCCTGCACCTGTGGGTGACACTGCTCTCTGCCGGGTAGGCTCTGCCCTATCACAGCTCAGTCTCCCTACCCTGTCAAGGCCTGTGAAATTGGCCACCTACTCAAATGCCCAAGAAGGCCAGAAATGAGAGAAGCGGCCTAGGGTAAGGCTGAGGCTGAGAGACTGTGACAAACACAAGAAAAGAAACCTGTTTAAAGGGGACCACCACTGTTCAGGACCAGCTGATTGCTCCCATATGGAAATGCATACCCAGGGTTGCCTAATCTTCTGTTTGGCAACAAAAGCTGGAAACAAAGATTTTTATGTGAAATCCTGCTTTGATGTTGACAACAAATTCAGTATTTTAAAACATACTGTATGTGTTGACAAAACCGGTCTCTAGACCAGTAAGTGAATGGCCTACCAGGCTGTGACTGCTGGTTCGTTTGGTGTATTCCTATAATGGAATGAGAGAGAACTATATACAGAAATAATTTCGTTCTTATCAGATAAGAATTTCTCTTAATGAGAAGACAGAACCAAAGACTAGGGCCCAACTCTTGGTCAGAAGAGAAGAGGGAAAAAGGGCAATAGCAGGAAGAATGGGGAGAGGAGCCAACTATTCTGAGCTTCTACCTGGGCGTAAGGATTTCCTTGTATTGCAGTTTCTCTACGCGAGTTGTTGCAGCAACAGACATTGGGATGACAATGTTGTTAATATCGAATGAGCTCTCTCCCCTTCTCCTCCTTACTGGCTGCTGCTGTAAGATAAAAATTAAGTTTAAAAGGAAGGTACAATTTTACAGACATCAAATCATTCATCTAAGAGTTAAAGCAGGATCACCAATAACCAAGCATCTGGGTCCTTGGGTTGAAGCTGAGTAATGACCATAGCAGCTGCTCCCACCTAGGAGTCAGTCTCCAACAGCAAAAAACATCACGGAGAAATACCAGGTGGTCATGAGGAGTTAGTCCCATTCATAAGTCCCACTGGTCACCCTCTTCCTTCAAGGGCTCATGCGTAAATTTCATAGGGGTGGGTACCTGGGATCTTAACTGTTGGGGTTCCTACTCTATATACACCTCTATTAACCTCCTCTCCTTTTACAATCTTTATTTCCTTCCTTTATCCCCGTTTATGACTTAAGACTCATAGTGGCCCCTCCCCTAAAAGCAATGCTTGAAAGCTTATGCTGAAAGAGGCCCAAAGGATAGGCCCATCTCAATACATCATCTAACCTTGGTTGTCATGAATGCACCTCCTTCTCAAAGATCTGAACTCTTCAGCTAAATCTGCACCCACCATCTGCCCAGTCTTTATGTGATTTCCCCTCTTTTGATGATTCTTGGGGAAAGAGCTGAGAGCTTTCTAGCTGTATCAAAGGAGATGAATGGAGGGAAACTAAAGAGGAGAACCTGACTATACCTCACATTCCTGGTGAAAGGAAATTTGCTTCTATAGGAAATAGTTGAGAAGACCAAACTCTTGGAAAAGTAAGACTTCCAAGGATCGAATATCAGAGGCAGAGGTAAGCATCTACAGTAGCTGGAAGACTAGGGAACTAAATGGCTTAGTCTCTTGGATGGAGGAAGAAGTCTACTAGCTGCTGCTGCCCAGATAGTTAATACCCTATCCTGAAACAGAGACTAGCAACTGAGCTGTGAGAGGCCAGAAGGAAACAGTGGCATAACAAACACGCTGCCATGGCAACAAAACAGCTGGAAAACACCTAAGAGGCTGCATTTACACCTAAACCACCAAGTGTGGTCAGTCCACAGGGAAGGGGTTGGAGGAGTAAGAAGTCCCCTATAACTAACCCCTCTATCCTCTGTTCCTGGACGGTGAGATACCATTTATTCATCCTATCATCTTAGGACATTCTCAGAGAATGTTAAAAGTCAGCACTTCCTGGGCCAGAGTTTCAGTCACTGTCATTTATAACTTCAGATGACCACAATGCCCTTTTCACTTCAATTTCTTTCTCTATCAAATCAGATGACTGCCATTGACCTCAGAAATTTAGGATATCTGGTTAACCAAAATGGTTAAACAGACTTTTGGGGATCTTGCCTGAGTTCTGTAGCTGAGGATTAGTGATCTCATACCCAGAGACCTCTGCCACTGCCAGATCTGTGCTGAAATTATACATCCCACTACAAGAAATGCATCTTAAGAAAGCCTCAAGAGAGACAGCCTTCCCAGTATCTTGGTCAAGAATAAATGTGAAACTGCTGGCAGAAACAGGTATACACTTTCCCTGAAACTTCTTGGGCTTGTTGTTAGTACCTTCGAGAAAAAGATACTGGAAGCAGGTTGTGGGATGGTTCAACGGGTTCTGTATCTCATCCTCTGCCTAGACACACCCCCTATTATGTTAGCTACTCATTAGGTCTAAATTAACTACTATCTCCTATTTAGAGCCAGAGATAGAGAGCAGGTGATGAGAATAAAACTGGTTCCCAAACTTGGCTGTATATCAGAAGCAACATTAAGGAGTATTTAAAAAAAAAAAAAAAAAAGGTTCTAGGACTCCCCCCGCTCTTTTATAAAATCAGAATTTTGTTTGTTTGTTTGTTTAAGAGATGAGGTCTCACTATGTTGCCCAGGCTGGACTCAATCTCCTGGGCTGAAGAGATCTTCCTGAGTAGCTGGAGCTACAGGCATGCAATATCACAGCCAGCAACAAATCAGATCTTTAGAAGTGTCTGGTTGGTTGGTTTTGTTTTTTAAAGCTGCTGAGGTGATTCTGATGCAGCTACTGGCTTTTGGGAAGCACTGACAAAAACACTCGCTCTCCTCCCTACCTTTCTCCAGTGTCCTCTGGCTTCTTTACTTGATTTCAAGGAGAGCTGGCCCTTTGTATCCATGGGTTCAACCAATTGTGGATTGAAAATATTTGGGGGGAAAAAAATTGTGTCTGTACTGAAAAGGTACAGATTTTTCTTTTCATTATTCTCTAAACAATACAGCATACTATTTTTATAGCATTTACATTGCATTAGGTATTATCAGTAATCTGGAGATGATTTAAAGTATATGGGATTTAAAGCATACACATAGGTTATATGCAAATATTATGCCATTTTATATTAGGGACATGAGCAACAATAGCTTTTGCTATCTATGGGAGGTCCTGGAACCAATCCCCACTGCAGATACTGCAGATACTGAGAGCCTGCTGTTATCTGGCCTATCTTCTTTCTTTTTTTTTTTTGAGACGAAGTCTTGCTGCGACGCCCAGGCTTGAGTGCAATGGCTTGATCTCCGCTCACTGGAACCTCCGCTTCCCAGTTCAAGTGATTCTCCTGCCTCAGAGTAGCTGGAACTACAGGCACATGCCACCACGCCCAGTTAATTTTTGTATTTTTAGTAGGGATAGGGTTTCACCTTATTGGCCAGGATGGTCTCGAACTCCTGACCTCAAGTGATCCACCCGCCTCAGCCGCCTCCCCAAGTGCTGGGATTATAGGTGTGAGCCACTGCGCCTGGCCTATCTTCTTTTACATAAATCCAGAGTCTTTGAAAAAACTTGGCAATGAGAGCGCCTCAGGGGTTAGCATAGTGCTATACACAAAATTTTTACTCAATAAATGGTAAAAATTTCAAGTGATCCAGGCCTAAGTTAACATTCTCCAGACACAGAAATATTGAAGTGCTCACCAAGTCCTGAATCTCTGAGTTCAGATTTTCTATCAGAATTAGTTTAGACTCTTTTTTATAAATACTTTGGTTATCTGAAACCCTTTGCTGCTGGATAACTGAGTATGTGAGGGACACTACACACCTATTTAGATAAAATTTGTGGGTTACGGGGGTAAAGAAAGTCGAAGAGCAAAGAGACCATTTGGAAAAGATTGATTTGTAACAGCAAAGAGAGAACAATGTGAATTCCTACCTGATCACAGGAGCCTAGTGAGTCCATTTTATGAGCTTGGAAGTTTCCTGATCTAGGCTCTGAAGGAACTTCCTAAGTTGCCTCTGCAATACCCTCACCCAGGCTTAGCCTGTGTAGTGTAATGGTAAAAGAGCTGGCTCTACAGTCAGGCTGCCTGAGTTTGAATCATAATTATAACCCTCACAAGTTGCCTTGACAGTTTTCATGCATATAAAATGAAATCCACAGTACCAACCTACATCTCAAAAGGCATTATAACATGTAACACATGTAAATCACTGATCACTGGCATGTAGTAAGTGTTCAATAAACATTACAGTTGTAGACTTTTACATTTACCATTACATTACATTGTAATTATTATACAAAAAGGACCCTTTGAGTAGGTCCATAGCAGCTACAGGTATGTATGTTCCAAGAGGGCACACTTGAGGAATTAAAATATTAGAATGAAATTAAAGGAAATGTGTCTGGAATAGCTGTGCAAACTGCTTCCAGATGGAGTGTGGTATCGTAAAATCTGGTGTGTGCATGCCAAATGTCCTGCCATGGGGGCCTGCTGGATCCGTAATTCTGCTCTGTATACCTAAAAAGCATGGACTCTGCCTTCTCCCTTCCCTTCTCTTCTGGTACCCTCACGCCTAGTGTTTATTCTCAGTACTTCACCTCCACTCACCCAGAGAGTAAAACCAAGGAAATCAAACACTGCTTCCAACGCCCATGGGAATCTCCCCTCTACCCACCCCTCCTCTCTTGTTCACTTCTTGGGCCAACAGGATTAGGGACACGGAACTGTTGAGTCCTGTGTGAAACTTAGTCCAACAGATCTTGAATAGTCACAGATCACCTTAAGAGTTTGTCCCTGCATCAAGCTTTCTATGGATGGCTCAGCATAAATCCATCTCTGCTATGAAAAACAACTCAAGAAAAACAACAGAAGGTCAAATACCATGACTTTGACTTAAAAATGGTACAGACATACATACATATGTCATGATGAGCTGAGATCCTATAAATGCCCTGGGCTTTATAACCCACCCTCACACTGTCCTCTGGAGCCACTTGAGTGAGCTGTGACCTGCAGAGGGGGTGTCCGGCCAATCCCACACAGGTACTTACCGATGTGCTGGCTGTAACCTGTGAGCTAGAGCTGGCGGGTGCAGGGGAATCTGAGGAGGTGGAGAGCTGTCGCACCAAGGGACTGTGTGGAGGATGGTGGGTGGCTGCCAAGTAGCTCGAACTGCTCATGTCTGTGTGATGCTTCAACACTGCAGAAGTCAACAGAAAAGAGAGAAATACATGGCTATCTTAACCAGCGTTACTTCTAACACAAGCTTGGAATGGCAGCAATACATACTAAAGGCAAAAATGTTTTCTATGCCTAGAGGATAAAAAGGTGAAGCACACTAGCTGTGGGAAGTAGGGGCAGGGCAGAGGTTGCTGTAGCAGTTAAAAAGTGACCTCCATTTAGAAGCAGTAGCGTCCCTCTACTCTGCTTTCCTAGAAAGTGAAGGACAAAGCTGGGGGCAATTAAGAGAAGCCTAGGCTGCCCCAGAAAGCCCTGAGCAGGTGCAGTTGCAGGTAGAGGTGCCATGGGCCTGGCCCTACCTTCACTTCTCTCAGATGAATGGTCTCGCAATCTCATTTTGCTGTGGTTTGGGTCATGCACGGGTGGTGGTGGGTTGAGCAAGCGCTCTGCTTTTGGCGCTGTCACTCGCTCCACCATGGGCACGGCCCCCACATCGTCTAAGTGCTGCCTGTGGGTCCTGTCAGGCCGGGTTTGGTGATGGGACAGCTCTGAAGAGGGGAACAGAAAAAGAGCTGTGAAATATGTCCTCTCAAATATTTTCTTATTCGAGTTCCAAGCTCTCGAGTTCTCTCTAGGCCAACGCCGTATACCCAGGGCAGCAGGACAGTCCTTCAGGACTGAAGTTTCTAGTAATTTGCACAATGGCTAGGATAGGCACAGGGAGCCCAGAACCAGAGAAACATGTCACCAGGATACAGAAGACACCTGCCCGTAGATGAACTCAATGCCATGCCATTGCTGGCTGTTCACTGAGCATTTTGGGTCTTGCTCCAAGATCCATGGTGTCTAGAATAGCTCCCGAAGTCCATCTGAGAGCATCCAAGACAAGCAGAAGCAGTCACTGTGAGCTGAATTTGTTATCGGTCAACTGCCTCTCCCAACCCCAACATGCATGCAAACTACAAATTTGAGAATATAAAAGGAATGAAAAGTCACTGATACTCTGGGGGACTTCCCGGCTCCCTGACACTTACTGGCTGTTGTTAGGAAGGAGCTGACCAATTTGTGCCTGTCCTTACGAGCTGGATCTGGCAGACTGCCCGGCATGGGTGCTCTGTGCTTAAGCGATAACTTTTTGGGAGGTTTGATTTTGTCAAAAGGCTTGTTCTGCCACTGAGATTTCAGCATGCTCTGGAAATGCAGGCTTGTGGGAACATCTGCAAGAAACATAAAATGCTACAGGTTAGTCCAAACACCTGGCCTCTCTAGTGTTCAAGACCTACACTCCATCCTCCTTTAATTTGCCCAGTGGCCTGACACTTGGCAGGGCAAGTGCTGTCATATGGAAGATCTGTTTACGTGAGCATTACTGAAGGTCATTCTTCTATTTGCAAGCAGGTCACTTTAGCTTTTTACTTTCAAGTCCCAAAGGGAAACAAAACAAGACACCTTTTTGGTTTGGTTGATGGAGTTTTTGTTCTTGTATCCTTGTTTGTTGAATTTACTGGTTTGAAAACATCCTGTTTCTATTCTAGAGATTTAAAAACATATTTAAGCCTACTTCTTTTCTATCAATATAAAGTTAATCAGGATGCAATTATTCAACAATATTCATTATCTATGTTATCAGGCACTGTACTGAGTACTACATACTCTCTCCAAATAAGAACTACATACCATTCTCTCTTTCCTTCCTCTGTGGCTCCGCCAATTCCCATCATGAGATTATCGGGGATTTTTAGCTGACTGGTTAATGTTCAATATCACAAATCAACATCTTTTGGACTGAATTTTTTATGCTGTTTCTTATCTTTCCATTTTCTTAGATTTTTCCCAAGAATATATCCTTGAGCAATTCCTTTAGAAAAGGAATTTCTAGATTTAAACCATTTTCCTCTCAAACATTTAAAGCTATTCAATTCTTCCGTGTATTCTAATATCCAGTGCTATATTTAAGAGGGAATCGGATTCTTTCTTACTTGTAGGTGGTCTGGTTTTTGCCTTTTAAGCTTCTGCAAAAAACAACAACAAACTTGTGGTATTACACTGACTCTACAGATCAATTTGGGGACAACTTCCATGTGTTCCACCACCAATACTGAATCTTTCAATCGACTGACGTGGTATCTCTCTCTCCATCTATTTACGTTTGTCTTGATTTTCTCTTGACAGCGTTTAGTTATTGTTGACATACCGGTCTTAAATACAATTTGTTAAGTTTATTCCTAAGAATTAATGTTTTCTGATGGGCAGAAGTTGGAAGAGTTTGCAGGGTTCAGAAGAAGACAGGAAGATGAGGGAAAGTCTGGAACTTCTTAGAGATTTGTTAAATGGTTTTGACCAAAATACTGATAGAAATACGGGCAGTGAAGGCCAGGCTGACAAAAGTCTCAGATGGAAATGATTAAAGATAGTACCTTTTAAAATTTCAACTTCAGTTCTTCATTACTAGTATATAGAAGTACAATAAACTGCTATATAATGACCTTGTAGCCTGTGAAACTACTTCGTTATAGACTTTTTCTTGTTTATTCAGTAGGATTTTCTATAGACATAAGTACATCATCTACAAATGGAGACTGTTTTACCTTTTCTTTCCAATCTGTATTCCTTTTTTACTTCTTGCCTATTACTCTGACTGGAACCTCTGGTGCTGATGTACAACTTTTAGATTTTCCTTTTCATGTTTTCAATATTCTGACATTTCACCACCATGGATAGCGGTGTGAGTCTGTTTTCAAGCTTCTGCAAAGCTTTCCAGGGATATTCAAATCTAAAAGCCAGCACATTTTTCCTCACCTCCCAGTTCCTCCTAGGAATCGGTAACCACTTGGGGCATGCTCAGAAGTTCCCGCCAGAGTCCCTATCCACTGCTTCAGAATAGAATGAAACACCACTACTTCAAGGAAGAAGGCTCTGGTGGGGTGAGAGGACAGGAAAGGAAAATCTAACCTAGCTATTCCAAGATGAGTCCAAATTTATCACCCAGACAAATGCCCAGGTCCTATCACTACTCCTTCTGCCCTTTAATTCTGGGTCAAAAACCTCCTGTAATCAGTTCCCACCTCACAGCAACTTACTCCTGGCATGTGCTTTGGGCTATCTTTCTATTTATTTCTTCACAGTTATCTTGTCTTTATCCATCTTTCAAAAATAATTACAAATTCCAGTCACTGATAGCATGTCTTCTAGAACTATTAGAAATTTATTGTGTGTGTGTGTGTGTGTGTGTGTGTGTATTTTTTTTTTGAGACGGAGTCTTGCTGTCGCCCAGGTTGGAGTGCAGTGGTACCATCTCGGCTCACTGCAAGCTCCGCTTCCCGGGTTCATGCCATTCTCCTGCCTCAGCCTCCTGAGTAGGTGGGACTACAGGCACCCGCCACCTCGCCCGGCTAGTTTTCTGTATTTTCAGTAGAGATGGGGTTTCACCGTGTTAGCCAGGATGGTCTCGATCTCTTGACCTCGTGATCCACCTGCCTCGGCCTCCCAAAGTGCTGGGATTACAGGCGTGAGCCACTGCACCCGGCCTGTTTAATATATTTTCTAAAAGCTTATGGGGTTTTGGGTCCCATAGAGCACAGAGGATATGCTCACTCTGAACTGAGGATAAGAAGGCAGGGAAGAGACGTCTAAATTAACATTACTGAACCCATTATTATCTGCCAGGCACTGTGTGTTTATCATCATGCGTGTGCCACTTAATCTTTGTAACAGTTCCATGAGGCAAACACAATTATGCTTATTTTAAAGATAGGGAACAGGTGCAGAAAGGTACATTAACTATGTCCAAGGTTACATAGTTTAATGAGTAACAACCAACTTTCAAACTCAAGATTATACAACCCTAAAGCCCATACTCTTAGACAATATACCTTGAGGCTACTCACTGATCCAGAGGATGGAGAGGATTCTGTAGTAAAGTCAATTATTTCTCAAATTACTCCCAAGAAATAGACAGTACAAAATATTTTCCAAGCCAGTTCTGCAGAGTAAAAGAAATTTAGCCACTCCTGCCTATGGTATAGATGATGAATTTCATGACACTGAATGTTATGCCTTCGAGGACTGAATGTTAGGCCTTCCAGGACTGGAATAAAAATCTGAGTTGGGAAAAAAAAAAAAAAAAGCTAACATTCTCAGGGATGATTTTTCCCAGTGGGTAAGCACCCTCAGCTCCATGATTGCTGGGCTTTATGACAGTGAAACAAATTAGGAAAACTATTAAAGTTTTAATGAAAACAAACATTTGCTACCTGTCCAAGTGTAAAAACACAGTCTCTGAGGACAGTGCTGTCTTCTCAAACATTTTTCATAATCACTCTTTTCCACACTTAAAAACTCAGCTATACCAAATCCTAGGAAATAAAGCATTGTCTAGAAGCATTCGGCCCTGTAGAACAATCTGAAAGCTGGGCTGAGCTGGAATGTATAAAAGAGGCTCAAGAAAGGAGACGAGGTCACTTCTGCCCATCCCACAATACCCCTTTGTCAGCAGAAGAGTTACTCCCACTTGGCAAAGGCTGTGTATGTTTTGTATATATATGTAATGGAACTCCAAAAAGCATAGATTTTATTTTTTCCTTTTATTTTCCCCCATCGTTCTCCCAAATCTGAAAATGAAGCCAGGAAAAAAAAAAGGGACAGGGATATGAGAGACCTGGTTATAGTGAAAACAGCAATGACTAGAAACAAGTAGGCCTGGATTCAGGTCCTGGTTCTATCTCGAGTAGAAGGAGAAAGCAAGAACAAATCATTCAGCTGGGCTTTAGTTCCACCTGTGAAATGAGGCAGTGGGGCTAGATCAGGGCTGGCAACATTCTAGCATTCATTCTCTAACCCTCCTGTTGTACTGGAGGTACAAACACAGCTGTCTTTCCTGTTGTACTGGAGACCTCAGATTCTTCCCAAACAATACATTAAATAACTCCAGACAGTTACTGTCAATTCATTTGAATAGGCACAAGAAAGGACATCTATTTGTTACTGCTAGATTATATGACTGCTATGAGTCTCTCAACTCTAAAATGTTTAGTCAATGACTCTTCAACTGGAACTCCACTCCTAAACCCTTCCCCTCAACTAAATGCTCTTAAGTGCAAGTTGGCACATTGTAGAACCCAAGTCATGGAACACTACCTTGTACTCTCCAGTTGACGTATTAAGCGGAATCAAGAGCGATTCCTCTTTAAACCCAGTATAAACAGTTTAAGGAACTCCAGCTGCTAGACTTTGTTAGAAGTTTGCTGTGTTGCCTTTTAATTGCTTCCATGTTAAGAGTGAACAGGAACCCAGTTAGATCCCCCAGTCAGTAAAAAAAAAAAAAAAAAAAAAGATATCTTAGGAATTGCTGGTTGAGTTCATATACTAACTAGTAAGTGATAATACCTAGGTTCTGTGAAGAGTTAAAAATCTAAAATAGACTGGATATGGGACCTGAAAGTAAGCAAAAAAAGGGATATGAAATGGAAGAGAACACACCAGAGATCCATTCAGCTAGAGGTCTCCTACATTCCATACCCACATAGGTAAACTGCTATTTTCAGAGAAGAGGGTGCTGATCCTTATCAGGTAAATAACAGGAAAATAAGACGAATTACTAATGTCATCCTTAAGTTACTGTTTCCTCAAACAAAATGAAAGATGAATGAGAAGACCCTGACTTCAGGATGACTAGGGTCTGACATTCCACGATTCACCTGGCTGTCTGGCTCCTTACTTTCCACCATTTTCTCAGGCGCACTTTTTCCGGGTGTTTTGTAATGCTCACTTCTTCCTCCTGCTGGGAAGTTGCTGTAGCCTCATGTGCAGGGTTTGGCAAGCTCTCTCAAAATACCACAGATCTTCATGGCCAGCAGGTGGTGCTCTTATTAAGCCCTTTTTATAAAGTTAACAAGCTTTTCTCCAAGGTTATATATCCTCTACATTTCCAACTAAGGATTAACTGGATTTGATTACTTGAGGTGATAAAACAAAGCCCCCTTCCTGCTGGAATACTAACAGGTTATTATACCCTAGTCTCTCCACCTTCCACAGCCAGGCGTAGAGTTGGCTATAACACAGTCCCTCAATTTCTATCACCCACACACACTTAATGAGAGGGGCTGAGGTACAGTCAAGGTGCGAGGCACAACTCCAGGATGAAAAGCAGCAGTTGGTTGTTATTCTAACAAACTACACAAACTGGTTAGGAAACAGCACTAAAACTACTTAAAAAAATATCTGTCCTATGGGGCCAGAAAACAGCTAAGTATCACATTCAAACAATTTTCTGCCTTTATGTCTGGTATAAATGTAACTATATGGGATTAATGAGTCAAAATCATTTTTAACCTTGTTATGAAAAAAAAAAAAGTTGGAAATCCTGCCACTTTAAAACATCTTCTAGAGAAGAGGTTGTAAGGGTGGCCCAGTAGTAAAATCTACCACACAAATGTTTGACCTATACAGTCGTATGCCAAGCTGCTAGCCTTCACTGTTATTTACTGCTATACAATGATGTACAGGGAATCCCAAGACTTCAGGGGGTGTGTTATTTACACGGGATATTATGTGAATGGTGCCCTTTGGAGTTGGCTATCTCTGCAACCATGGGAATCTTCTGATTTCCAAATGGACTGCATTCTGAATGTGGCAGTTGTTTGGGTCAAAGCAAAATTATTCCAACAGGAATAATATTAGACATGGTAATCAGGTCTTCAGGTCAACCAACTGAGGTGTAATTAATCTACAGGCAAATACAGTAGTTAATAGAGCCTACATGTAAAAAAAAAAAAAAAATATATATATATATATATATATATATATATATCTCCACAGTCTCATAAGGAGAATTTAATGACCAACTTTTTCGTCCAAACCCCAGGGCCATAGCTAGAAGCTCTTCGTATGTGTGTGAGACATAGACAGAAAAACAAATAGGATTAGATGCAGGAAAATAAAAACCATAAAGACCAGAAAAGGGGGAGTGTTCCCTATCTTTCTTTCCATTCCCCCTCATTGCTGCCTGTAGTTGCTCTGAATGATGGTGTGGGAGGTGTAAGGTATGCGGCAGGGCAGCATTCATGTCAGATCTATAGTGTCCTGCAGTCAGCAGGACAGAAAATGTTCAAGGGAAATGGAACCTCTTAGTAGAGATGCTGAATGATGGAACAGGAGCTGAGAGACACACAGTCTGGGTATATCTGAGGGTGGGGGAGGTTATTTGCAACTGTATGTGGTAATGCTGTTGACAAAGAAACGACTGTTCTGTTTAGCAGGTGATATCCAATGAGTGTGCTTAAGTGTCCGGGCTTCCTGTCCTTCTTCAAGTATGAGACTATACAATTCAACACAGTAATTCAGAGAGTAACCCAACAAACATTCCTAAGTCTTCCTAGTGGCGCTGTCTGTAGCCAGAATCCCAAAAAGGGTAAAAATCTGACTCCTCTTAATAATCTGTCTGGAAAGGAACTTGAAATATAGTAAAAGGAAGGACAGGCATCAGATAATCTGGGTCTGAACTGTGAAGGCATTCAAACCCATTAGCCATTTAGTTTTAGATAAGCCACAACCTTACCAAGCCTGTTCCTTGAGCACTAACACTGAAGTAACACCTTACAAAATTTCTGGGCCGGGCATGGTGGCTCATGCCTATAATCCCAGCACTTTAGGAAGCCAAGATGGGTAGATCGCTTGAGCCCAAGAGTTTGAGACCAGCATGGGCAACATGGGGAAACCTCTTCTCTACTAAAAATGCAAAAAATTAGCCAGGCATGGTGGTGTGCACCTGTAGTCCCAGCTACCCACTGAAGTGGGAGAATCACCTGATCCTGGGAGGCCGATGCTGCAATGAGCCAAAAACCACACCACTGCATTCTAGCCTGAGTGACAGAGTGAGACTCTGTCAAAAAAAAAAAAAAAAAAAAAAGCCAGGTGCGGTGGCTCATGCTTGTAATCCCAGCACTTTGGGAGGCCAAGACGGGTGGATCACGAGGTCAGGAGTTCAAGACCCTCCTGGCCAATATGGTGAAACCCCCATCTCTACTAAAAGTACAAAAATTAGCCGGGCGTGGTGGCGCGTGCCTGTAGTCCCAGCTACTCAGGAGGCTGAGGCAGGAGAATTGCTTGAACTTGGGAGGCGGAGGTTGCAGTGACCCGAGATTGCACGACTGCACTCCAGCCTGGGTGACAGAGCAAAACTGTCTCAAAAGTAAAAAAAAAAAAAAAAAAAAAAGAATTTTGAAAGCAGCATATGAGACAAATATGAGAAGAGTACTACAAACTTTAAAATGCTATACAAATAGTAACTGCAGTTACATGGGCTACATAAATCCAATGGCAAGGGAAGGTAAAAGTCAGTGACTCTGGAATCTGAAGCACAGAGGAAAATGTTTTAGTGTTTTCCACTCATTGTGTTCAAGTTTATTTATTGCTCCACCAGCTCCTGACTATCCATGTGTTCCAGGTTTTCTGTTTCCTTTCTCTTACAAGAAATCACATGGCCACAGGAATATTACACCACATCCTTATCACAGCTAGGGGGCTTTGGTAACAAAAGCCAAAAATCCCGGTATCTACTGGATTTAGGTGGCCAGAAATGCAATCATTTGAAGAACAGATGCAGAACAGGGGATTATAGTTATCTAATGTTTGATCAACTGTCAATTAGAAGGATTCTCTCTAGGACAAGGGTTAGCAATGATTGTTTTTATAAATAAACTTTTGTTGCAACACAATCAGGTTCATTTGTTCACATATTGTCTATGGCTGCTTTTGTGCTACAATGACAGGGTTGAGCAGTTGTGACATGAACTGACATCAATTATATGGCCTGCAAAGCCTAAGGTATTTACCATATGGCCCTTGAAGAAAAAGTTCAGGCCGGGCGTGGTGGTTTACACCTGTAATCCCAGCACTTTGAGAGGCCAAGATGGGTGGATCACTTGAGCTCAGTTCAAAACCAGCCTGGGCAATATAGCAAGACCCCATCTTTGTAGGGGGCGGGAGGCGGGGAAGCAGGTTGTGGTGGTGCACACTTGTAGTCCCAGATACTTAGGAGGCTGAAGTGGGAGGATTGTTTAGAGCCCAGGAAGTCAAGGTTGCAGTGAGCTGTGATCACTCCACTGAACTCCAGCTTAGGGCACCGAGCAAGACCCTGTATCTAAAAAATAAAAATTAAAAAAAAAAAAACAAAAAAAAAACTTACAGACTACCTGGGAGATATTATGAAGAACAGCATGGAGCCCTTATCCTCAGGGAGATTACATCCCATCCCTTCCCCACCCCCCCGCCGCCAAGACAGGGTCTCACTACCGTTCCCCAGGCTGCAGTGCATTGGCTCAATCATGGCTCACTGCGGCCAAGACTTCCTGGGCTCAGCTGATCCTCCCACCTCAGCCTGCTGAGTAGCTGGGACGACAGGCGTGTGCCACCACGCCCAGTTAATTCTTGTGTTTTTAGTAGAGATAGGGTTTTGCCATGTTGCCCAGGCTGGTCTCAAACTTCTGACCTCAGATGATGAACCCGCCACGGCCTCCAAAAGTGCCAGGATTACAGGTGTGAGCCACTGTGCCTGGTCCCTAAAATTTAAATAACAGAAAGCAAATACACAAACAGCCATAACATAATTCATTAACATATTGATAAAACACAATAGGGTAGGTGCAGTGGCTCCTGACTGTAATCCCAGCACTTTAGGGAGGCCGAGGTGGGTGGATCACCTGAGGTCAGGAGTTGGAGACCAGCCTGGCCAACATGGTAAAACCCCATCTCTACTAAAAATACAAAAAAATTAGCCAGGCGTGGTGGCATACGACTGTAGTCCCAGCTACTTGGGAGGCTGAGACAAAACTGCTTGAACCCAGGAGGTGGGGGCTGCAGTGAGCCAACATCACACCACTGCACTACAGCCTGGGCAACAAAAGCGAGACTCTGTCTCAAAACAAAACAACAACAAAAACAAAAACCCACCAGTGATTTGAGAGGAAATTCCTACCTTCTGTAGGCTGGGCACAGATCATGAGATTACGTGAAAATTCAATGAAACCAATCCAGATTATGAAAGCGCTGGCTTCCATCTAGAATAGTGGTTTCAAAATGTCTTTGCTCATGCACCCCCATTTGATATGTGATTTTTAAAAAATCATAATTTCAGATAGTTGTAAAGATTATATTTGAATACTACATAATGCTTTAAAAACATTTTTATCAAAACTTTGGCATATAAATATATTTAGCTTCATTAATTGAAAAAAAAAACTTCTTTTAAACTTATTTAGCTAATCAGACTTTAGATATTAACTCAGTATTTATTCTAAGACAGACAAGGAATAGGACCATGTAACTGAGCTCAGACCCATCCCAGCCACTTGAAGAGTTAGAGGGAAATCTCTTAGTTGCAATCTTTTAGTGGTACCCTCTGGTTTGGTAGATCTGTTGCAGTCTTTTTGGAGAATTCTAAGAGAAGACTTGGTTGATAGAACTCCTGAGTTATCTCTATTTTATTTTTAAAATTCAAAACTTTTTTGCTTAATACCTGGGAGATTCTCCTTCAGGTGCTGAGAACTCTTAGAAATGATTTCTTTATTTGTTGTCCCCACCATCCAAGACCTTTTTTTTTTTTTTTTTTTTTTTTTTTGAGACAGTCTTGCTCTGTTGCCCGAGCTGGAGTGCAGTGGCGTGATCTTGACTCACTGCAACCTCTGGCCTCCAGGTTCAAGCGATTCTCCTCCCAAATAACTGGGATTACAGACATATGCCACCACGCCCTGATAATTTTTGTATTTTTAGTAGAGAAGGGGTTTCACCATGTTGGCCAGGCTGGTCTCGAACTCCTGATCTCATGATCCGCCCGTCTTGGCCTCCCAAAGTGCTGGGATTACAAGCGTGAGCCACCACACCTGGTCTCGAACTCCTGACCTCAAGTGATCTGCCTGCCTTGGTCTCCCAAAGTGACGGGATTAAAGACGTGGGCCACGACACCCAGCCTCAAGATTTTTACACTCTGGGGCAAGACCCATAGTGGGACTCAATATGGCCAAAAGGAATGCTCTTCTTTTGTCAAGTGGGAGAGGTACAGGTATGGGAAGGGAGGTGGGAAAGGAGGGCTGTCAGACACAGAGATTTAACAGGGAGGCAAACTTTAGAAAGACAGTACAAGCTAACAACGAAGATTTGTGCTTATCTACACCCTGCAAAGCTGTCGCGTTACCACATAAATGCCAGTATGAAGATATTCTCCTAGAACACTGCCGTCCATCCTACATTATATCATGGCACGCACAGACAAAACTTTTTTTTTTTTGAGACAGAGTCTTGCTCTGTTATCCAGGCTAGAGTGCAATGGTGCAATCTTGGCTCACTGCAACCTCTGCCTCCCAGGTTCAAGCAATTCTCCTGCCTTAGCCTCCCAAGTAGCTGGGATTACAGACAGGCACAACCACGACTGGCTAATTTTTTATATTTAGTAGAGACGGTGTTGGTCAGGCTGGTCTAGAACTCCTGACCTCAGGTGATCCGTCCACCTCAGCCTCCCAAAGTGCTGGGATTACAGGCGTGACCCACCACGCCTGGCCCAGACAAAACATTTTTAAAGATATACTAAGCGTATTTTGGACCAGATTACTGTGGCTAGAGGCAACTGAGCCCAGATCCCTCCTAGCTACTTGAAGAGTTAGAAGGAAATCTCATATTAAGTTGCAACCTTTTAGTGGCACCTTCTGGTTTGGTGGATCTGTTACAGTCTTTTTGCAAAATTCTAAGAGAAGACTTGGTTGACGAAAGTTGTACCTTGAAAGTATCTGAGTTGTAACTGCACCTTGGCTGATTTTCTTTCACCTAGAAGTCTCTCAAGTTTCTTTCATTAGACTTTCTAGTCTGTGGTCTTTCTTACCATCTGGAAATGCTAGAACAGGATGAACACAAGAGTCCAACTGGGAAAGACGTTCCAACAGAGGGGCTTCATAGTGAATTTCGGGAGGCATGGTGTTGATGCTGCCTGAACCACACAGTGCGCAGGAGGGATTCACATCACAGCCAGGGCGGATTGTGCTGTTCCGGTGAACCTGTGAAAAAAGCCAAACAAAACTGACAATTCAGCATCTGATAAAAAGCCAGCTCCCCATTTGTTATCCCCATTTGTTATTGAGAAGTTAGCTCCCCATTTGTTATTGCGAAGACCTTTCTAGATACTTGTGTGACACTACTAAAAGGATGTTTGATTAGTTTGTTAAAAGATTTCCATTTGTCTAACACACTGACCTTCAAAGTGGGTAAGGAAACTTGCTTCCTTTTCATTGATGAAATCTAACTACTTGAAGCTCTAAGTGCTTACCTAGGTATCAAACTTCTGACAGTTTAAAAAGATACTAAAACTGTGCTTTCTGAGAACACTTTATAAAATCTGCATGCTTTCACGACCTTGATGGTCCGCTAAGACGAACAGTTGGTTCTTGATTCCCAGGTGGGACATTACTTGCTTTCTTCAGCAAATTTATCCACCTAGGAGCCTTCAATTACCAACCACACCTCTTCTCTTCTTTTCACACCTCTTCTTCAAAAGACTTTCAGGTGGTCTCAAGCCAGGTGGCAAGCTTCCCTGAAGCTTGTAACTTAAAAGTAACTTATTAACTACTCTTTAACCTGGCCTAAAATCCACTGTTACAAAGCTCATACCTAAGTAATAAAATAACATTTTGTACAGCAAATGCTCACTTTCATAGTCTTCATGTTAGATTAATTCCAAAGGGATAGAAATTATTTCCACTGAACTTCCTTTGTGCACATGTGGGCAGAATAATTGATAACCTCTCCAGGTAAGTCCAAAGTTAAATATGAACTAATTTAAGTCTTCAAAAGATTGAATTCTGTAAAAAAACTGAACATCTACAATTTTATACTTTGAGCAAATTTCAGGTCATGCTGAATGCAGGATCCCTACATTCTAGTGTTAGGATGAACAAGTCTGGCATTTGCCAAAGCCTAACTCATAAAGTCACCTGGACACACAGCCCCAGAAAAAGAAACTTGCATGTTGAATGGCACTATAAGAAGGCATCCTAGGTGCAAGCTCAGTAGTAGAACAAAGACAAAAAGCATCAAAACTCTACTAGCAAAAACTCTAACATTTACTAGAGCTCCATTTATTTTCAGCAGAGACATCTCGAAAGCCTTTTATGGATTTGTGTAAGAGAAAGATATACATAAGAACAATGTGGTCTTTATCAACATTCCCCCGACATTCTATTGCAACCACATAGAGAGGTGGCACGCAAATAAAGTCTTTTAAAGGTTAGACTGGGCAAATCACACAGAACTAGAAGCCACTGAAAGGGAGTGATACCAACTAGGCATGCTACTTTTGTGTAGACAATATTAACTGGTATTGTTTTGGGAAAAAAAAAAATCCCTGTATCTATGTAATCAGAGCTGGCTTTCTGGAGAGGATGACATTTTGAGGTAAAGAGAAATGAGTAGGTAGAGATGAAAATGAGATCACACAGTGGGTGAGTGGGAGGATTTAGGAAAATTGGTTAGGATCCAAAAATTACACTGAAACTTTCAATATTCAAAAGAGATTATCTCACTCCAGTAGGTATAGCAAATAAAAAATAAAAAGAGAGAGACTAGAAACCAACCCATGACATCAACTAGCTCTCCATATGGGACATTTAACAACACTACATTTTATGGCTAGAGTGTATCACTTAAGTCAAAGTCAATATTGGGAGGCCAAGGCGGGTGGATCACTTGAGGTCAGGAGTTTGAGACTAGCCTGGCCAACATGGTGAAACCCCAACTCTACTGAAAATAGAAACGTCAGCTGGGTGTGGTGGTGGGAGCCTGTAATCTCAGCTACTCGGGAGGCTGAGGCAGGAGAATTGCTTGAATCTGGGAGGCAGAGGTTGCAGTGAGCTGAGATCACACCACTGCACTCCAGCCTGGGGGACAGAATGAGACTAAGTCCAAAGACAAGCAAACAAACAAAAAAACAAAACAACAATAAAAAAATTCAATAGATGTGGCTAGGCGTGGTGGCTCACAACTGTAATCCCAAAACTTTGAGGTGGGAGAGAGGATTGCTTGAAGCCAGGAGTCTGAGACTAGCCTGGGCAACACAGTAAGACTCCATCTCTTAAAATAAAATTTAAAATTAAAAAAAAAAAAAAAAATTTAGCCCAGCATGGTATTGCATGCCTTTAGTCCCAGCTACTCAGGAGGCTGAGGGAGAAGAATCGCTTAAGCCCAGGAGTTCAGGTTATAGTGAGCCATGATTGCACCACTGCACTGCAGCCTGGGAAAAAGAGTAAGATCCTGTCTCAAAAAAAAAAAAAAAAAAAAAAAAAGGCTGCGCATGGTGGCTCACGCCTGTAATCCCAGTACTTTGGGAGGCCAAGGTGGGTGGATAACCTGAGGTCAGGAGTTCGAGACCAGCCTGGCCAACATGGTGAAACCCCGTCTCTACTAAAAATACAAAAAACTGGGCATGGTGGTGGGCACCTGTAATCCCAGCTACTGGAGAGGCTGGTAAGAGAATCACTTGAACCTGGGAGGCAGAGGTGGCAGTGAGCTGAGATTGCACCACTGCACTCCAGCCTGGGGAACAAGAGCAAAACTCCGTCTCCAAAAAAATTTAAAAATTAAAAAAAATAAAATAAAGGGTAGAAATTCTACTTATAACTTGACAAAAGGGTAATGTGCACACATGTAACTTAAACAGTAATCTCACTTTTAAATTAAAAACTGTAAAGTACTAATAGAACCCGAGGAGTATATAAAAATATATTTAATACTTATTTTTTTTTTGAGACAGAGTCTTGCTCTGTCACCCAGGCTGGAGTGCAGTGGCGCGAGTCTGCCTTCCAGGTTCACACCATTCTCCTGCCTCAGCCTCTCATGTAGCTGGGACTACAGGCGCCCACCACCACACCCAGCTAATATTTTTGTATTTTTTTAGTAGAGACAGGGTTTCACCATTGTTAGCCAGGATGGTCTCGATCTCCTGACCTCGTGATCTGCCCGCCTCGGCCTCCCAAATGCTGGGATTATAGGCATGAGCCACCGCACCCGGCCAAAGATATATTTAATACTTATTAAAGGATACATTTTGGAAAATTTTTGAAAGAAAACTTGAATTCATACCCATGTTGCACAAATCCACACCAAGAATCTATCCTGCAGACAAACTTAAGTGTACACACGCACACGCTCTTCCACTGAAACAAGATGCCAAATCATCTGCATGAATTCATTTAAGTTAAAAAACAACAAGAACACACACAATATTGTGTTTTACAATAAGAAAACAAATTTTTAAAAATATCACAACAGATGGTGTGCACGTGTAGCCCTAGCTATTTGGGAGGCTGAGGTGGCTCACTTGAGCCCAGGAGTGAGGAGCTATAGTGATCATGTCCACTGCACTCCAGGCCTGGGAGACAGAGTGAGTCAGTCTCTTAAAAGAAAAAAAAAACAAGGATCTCCTGGGCTCAAGAGATTCTTCTGCCTTAGCCTACCAAGTAGCTGGGATTGAAGGCATGCACCACCACGCCCAGCTAATCTTTTGTATTTTTAGTAGAGACGGGGTTTCACCACATTGGCCAGGCTGGTCTCAAACTCCTGACCTCAGATGATCCACCCGTATCAGCTTCCCAAAGTGCTGGGATTACAGGCGTGAGCCATCGCGACCGATCCCAGTCATGAAATCCTATTGGCAGAATCCAACCACTTCATACCACCTCAACTACACTCAATCTAGTCCAAGTCACTATTTTTTCTCAAATGGGTTTCTTCAAGCCTCCTAACTGATCCTCCTCCTACTGGTTCTTACTTCCAAATCAATCAACACAGTAATCAGTGTAAATCTTGTTTTAAAATCTCAATCACATCATACCAACCTCATAATCTTCCAAATGACTTCTCATCTCACGAGGAATAGAAACCAAACTTCTTGCATGGTTCCCACAAGGTCCTATAGTATTTGTCGCCTCTATCCCCTCTCTCTGACTTCACCTCATTTTTTTGTTACTCTCCTAGCTGACACTACCAGTTACTCTGATTTCCTTGCTATATTTCTCCAAGATAGCAGGCAACCTTCCAGATCACAGGCCTCTGCACTTGGCTCTTCAACCACTAATTCCATGGTCATTCTCTCACATCGTGTCTTTTTCTTTAAATGTCAGTATTCAAAGTAACTTTTTTTTTTTTTTTTTGAGATGGAGTCTCGCTGTCGCCCAGGCTGGAGCGCAGTGGTGGGATCTCAGCTCACTGCAAGCTCCGCCTCCTAGCTTCATGCCATTCTCCTATCTCAGCCTCCCGAGTAGCTGGGACTATAGGCGCCCGCCACAACACCTGGCTAATGTTTGTATTTTTTGTAGAGACAGGGTTTCACGGTGTTAGCCAGGATGGTCTCGATCTCCTGACCTCGTGATCCACCTGCCTCAGCTTCCCAAAGTGCTGGGATTACAGACGTGAGCCACCGTGTCCGGCCCAAAGTAAGTTTTATTTAGAAATACAAGTGAAAGGCCAGGCGCGGTGGCTCACGCCTGTATTCCCAGCACTTTGGGAGGCCAAGGCAGGTGGATCACCTGAGGTTAGGAGTTCAAGACCAGCCTGACCAACATGGTGAAACCTCGTCTCTACTAAAAATACAAAAAATTAGCCGGGCATGGTGGCGGGCGCCTGTAATCCCAGCTACTCGGGAGGCTGAGGCAGAAGAATCGCTTGAACCCAGGAGGCAGACGTTACAGTGAGCTGAGATCGCACCACTGCACTCCAGCCTGGGCGACAAGAGCAAAACTCCCTCTCAAAAAAAAAAAAAAAGTGAAAAAAGATTATATTCTTGACTGTAACAACAAAAAATGTCCTGGAATAAGTTTAACAAGAAATTTAAGCACAAAGCTTAAAGATATTGATATTCTACAAATTAATGCAGAATCTTAATAGACTTGAGGGGGGAGGGGAGACAAGGCAAAGGGGATTTAAACAAATAATCTAAAAGATACAACAGAAAGAATGTAAGGAACCATTCCCCAAAATTTCTGATATGCAAAAATACAGGGGAGTGATCTGGCCTATTACATGTTTTATAGTTACAGTAATTAAAATAATCTGCCCTCAGTTAAGAAACAGAAAATTTCAATAAAAACAAAAATTGACCAAAGTATATATGACAGTTTATTGTTTAACTAAAATAATACTTTTAAATCAGTTTAAAAAAACAAAAGGAGGTATTACTTTTTCAACAAATGAATCAGGAAAACCAAGAGGTCATACAGAAGAAAACGGCTGCATTTCTGCCTCACACCAAAATTAATTCTAAATAAAGATTTATTCATTTTCATTTTATTTTATTTTTTTGATACAGAGTCTCACTCTGTCGCCCAGGCTAGAGTGCAATGGTGCGATCTCGGCTCACTGCAACCTCCATCTCCGGGTTCAAGTGATTCTCCTGCCTTAGCCTCCCAAGTAGGTGGGATTACAGGCACCCACCACCAAGCCTGGCTAATTTTTGTATTTTTAGTAGAGACGGGGGTTTCGCCATGCTGGCAAGGTTGGTCTCAAACTCCTGACCTCAGGTAATCCACCCACCTTGGCCTCCCAAAGTGCTGGAATAACAAGTGTGCGCCACCGTGCCTGGCCCCAAATAAAGATTTAAATATAAAAACAAATATTATACTCAAATCTAAAAAAAAAAAAATTGTGAAGCAATATATAGTGGTTAACAGTATGAGCTGTGGAGCCAGACTGCCTGGGTTTGAACCTTGACTCCGCCACTTACTAGCTGTGTGGCCTTAGACAAGTTACTGTGTCTTCATCTTTACTAACAGGAGAGTACCTGATAGAGTTGTTTTAAAGATAAATAACTCACAACAGTATCTGGCTCTCGACTCTTAATCACTTTTGTAAAACCGTTAAGTATAGCTACTGATAGAACATTTACCATCAAAGATCTTGATTTCAAAATTCTAGCTTCTTAACACTGTATAATATGATCATTGATAAGTCACATGACATCCTTAAATTTTCTCACTTGTTAAAAAGGACTGATAATACCAATTTCATGGGAGTGTAGGAAAGATCAAATGACTCTGTAACTGTTAAAACATTACACAAATGTTAGCTAAATTAGTATACCGCATGATTTCTCAACAGCTGGCACTTCTTTGTTGTGGGGCACAGTCCTGTGCACTGTAGATATCTAGCAGCATCTCTGTCCTCATGGTGCATGTGCCTCCCTACTCCCCCAATTTGTGAAAATGAGTAATTACTACAGATATTGCCAAATGTCTCCTGTGAGGACAAAATCACTGAGAACCATGAGGTTCAAATTACGGTCATCCCTTCTAGAAAAATTCAAAGCACAGGCTCCCATTAAATATTAGTGGTGAGTCACAGTAAACATAAGACTCAGTAAAAAAGGAAAACAAAAAAAATAAAAATTAATAGTAAGAACAAAGCTCTCAAAGACTATTGTCAAGAACAAGCCTGAAGAGAGCTTCCCCTACCAAAGATCAGATAACGTTAGCATCATAAAGAAAAGACTACAATGGCTTGAAATACCTCAAATATGTTTCAATCAATGACTCACAGCCCCTTCATGAAAAACTTCAGTGACTGTCCTTAGAGGATAGTAGAAAACTAATTTGTTATTTTGAAAATTGGTAAATAAAAAAAAACAACAAATCATGCTTTCTTCTGTACAAACTGTACCTCAGGGTAAACAAATAGTTGAAAAGGACAATTTTCCCTTTATAAACATATTCTATCTAGCTAATAAAAGAAAAACAGAAATGATACAAGTAGAATATCACCATTCTTCAGCTTCCAATTTAACAATGGGTCCAGGCAATGATCACCAGTAGTTGATAACAAACAGTTTAGTCATTACGTGTCTTCTGATACAAGCATAAGGCGGCCACCTTGTGTTTTCTCACAAAACTAAAACTGGACTTATTCACGTTTCTACTAGTTTTCAACAAAAACAAGGGACAGAAAAACATCACTGTTTTTTAAATGCACTAAAAATAAGATGGATTAATAAATGGAAGGATGATTGTATGCTAAAATGTTAGTGGTAGAACCTAGGGAGTAGCTACATAGGTGTTCACTGTAAAATTCATTCAACTTCGTATCTGAATAATTTCATAACAAAATTTGGAAAAGAAAACAGTGACACCACAGGACTTCTGCTTCTAGCAGAGTAATAGTGATCAGATTTACCTTTCAGTCATAAACCAGAAAACTGGACAACAGGCAGTATAACACTGAGAAATAAATGGGGTGGTCTCTAAGACTGCCCTGGTTTTCCGCCTGGAAGTACATTCTAGACTGCAGGGCAGGGAGAGGATCTGAAGCAGAGTATAATAGCTTCACTGAGTTGAGGAAGCAAATTCTCACTAGATCAGAATTCAGAGACTAAGGAAACTGAAAATTGCAAGGCAAAATTCTTGAGAGGAGGAAGCTTTACAGAAAAAGAGCCCCAGAAATCTTCATAAGATCCCCCTGAGTGTTTGCTAAATATTAAAAGGTGCATGTAAAGGGTGAAACTATCAGGCCAGGCAAGAGCAACTAGGCAGCTGTGAGCTGAAATGGTTTCCACAGCTAACACAAGCCTGAGAGGCTTTTAAACTGTGACCAGCCAAAGTTGCATAGAGAATTCAAGACAGAAGATCCTGCTTTAGTTGTGGAGCTAGACTACTAAGGTGGCCAACTCCTCACCTGACCTAACAAATGACAAGGAATTTACCTGCCAGCAAAACAAAGCCTCTTTAAAGGAAAATGGCACAATCCACATGCTACAAGCAGGGAAAATTATTAATTGGATTTTCAGCTTAAAACATAAATAAAACATTGTTAGATATGCCAAGAGGCAAGAAAATACTACTATAGGGATAAAATTTTTAAAAGAAAGTAGGCTGTGGGAAACTAAGGTATCGGATAAATGAAGTTTTCTCAACAAATAAATCACCTATATGGATAGCTTGTATCAAACCAACACTCTCACTAATTGGAAAAGCCAGATTTAAAACACACACACACACACACACACACACACTCTCTCTCTCTCTCTCTCTCTCTCTCTCAAAACATAAGAAAAATGCTGACATAATGACAATATTGAAAGCTAAGATTCCAGAGAGGAAAAGAACCTGGCCAACATGGCGAAAACCCATCTCTACTAAAAACACAAAAATTAGCTAGGCATGGTGGCACGTGTCTGTAATCTCAGCTACTTGCTGAGGCAGGAGAATCGCTTGAACCTGGGAGATGGAGGTTTCAGTGAGCCAAGGATGTGCCACTGCACTCCAGCCTGGGCAACAGAGCGAGACTCCATCTCGGAAAAAAAAAAAAAAGAAAGAAAAAAAAAAGAGCAGAGCTTTTGGTACTCTTGTAGGGCTGAATGGATAACACTAGAGACTTGAAATGTCAAATTATCAATAAAAAGAGGACAGGGAACTAAGCATGACACACTTCCAAGTACCACCCTCCCAAAGAAAACGCTGAAGTTGTGAATGGTAGGAGGCTACAAAGCTAAGTGGAAAGTCTCTGAAAAGGACAGAGATGTTTCTGGCAGTCTCGTGAGGAGACTAGAATTAGATCTCAGGATATGCTAAGAGGAAAGGAGGCTGGGCACAGTGGCTCACACCTGTAATCCCAGCACTTTGGGAGGCTGAGGCGGGCAGATCACCTAAGGTCAGGAGTTCGAAACCAGCTTGGCCAACATTGTGAAACCCCGTCTCTACTAAAAATACAAAAATTAGCTGGGCATGGTAGCACGCGCCTGTAGTCCCAGCTACTTGGAAGGCTGAGGCAGGAAGGAGAATCATATGAACCCGGGAGGCAGACGTTGCAGTGAGCCAAGATCATGCCATTGCACTTCAGCCTGGGTGACAGAGCGAGGCGAGGCTCTGACTCCAAAAAAAAAAAAAAAAGAGAGAGAGAGAGAAAAGGAAACTGATCAACACATGTTCTCAGCTGGAACTGAGAGAGAGAAACAGACTGTTATCTTTTTGAGACAGAGTCTAGCTCTGCTGCCCAGACTGGAGTGCAGTAGCTTGATCTTGACTCACTGCAACCTCTGCCTCCCAGCTTCAAACCATTCTCCTGCCTCAGCCACCTGTGTAGCTGCCACCACAGCTGGCTTTTTTATTTTTGAGATGAAGAGATTGCACCACTGCACTCCAGCCTGGCGACAGAGCGAGACTCCATCTTGGGGGAGGGGAGAGGGACAAAAAACAAACAACAACAACAAAAAATCAGCCTGTGCAACACAGTGAGACCTGCATCTCAATAAAATAATAAGAGATAAAATACTTGATACACGAAGAAATTCCCACGTTCCCTTAATTAATACTGCAATGCTATCAATTCTCTTTGAAGGAATTCCCAAGAAATACTCAATTTAATACTTATGAAGGAATTAATACCAAAGTAAAACTCTATTCACCATTTTCTGTTAATCATAGCATATTCGTCCAAAACACTAAAAGAATTCTTTTGGCTCAAGGACAGGTTATAATCATTTGCTTTTGCTTTGCATTTGATATTCGTTATCTAACTCATCCACTGTTAACATGTGGAAAGATTTTCATAAGTTTGGCAACTCTATCACAATCAAGCATATCCCACAACTGGCTCTTGAAGATCCATCAGAGTGAAGAAACAAAACGTGTAAGCTTCTATTTTATCTCAGTCTTTCAAAATTTATTTTGTATGTGTTTTATAATGTATATATAAAACACCGTCATAACAGTTTAGAGGTAACTGTTCCAAGCACAGAGTGATTTCTGAGTATTCTTTTAGTAGCTTTATGTCCTAAGGTACAATTTTCTACATGGCACGCTTGCTCCTTTCCAAATGTCTAACTAGTATGAAAAAGTTGGTTGGGCCTCCAAGGTCTATTGCACTCTGTCAAGGAAGAACGTATCAAATTATTAACTTTTAATACTGACTCATATTCTAGTTCATTAGTCCTCAACCATGGTGTCATGAAACTGGATTTAAATAGGTGGAATCAAAACTAGGAGGCCTAGAATCATATATTAACACCTTTATTTACCCTGATGTCTACAGGAAACCTGGTCATAGCCATGAGAGAATGCCCTGTACAAAAATGCCACTCTTCAAGTGTGATACAATGGGAAGAAGAGGAGGACTACTCGGAATTCTATGGAAGCCAGCTTTAAAATTTGGCCCAGAGCAATCCCCCCTATGACAACAAGGACTACAAAATTCTAAAATGATGCCAGTACACTGCCAATTTGTTAGGAAATTGCTACTTTTTAAAAAATTGAAAAGAAATGCTATTAAGGGCAATAAAAATTTCAAGGGTATGTTAGTAATAAATGTAGCCATTACCTATTCTACTGGTTATTAGTACAAAAAAACCCAGCCTTTTCAACCATTCATTTCCAAACACTGATGGTTTCCACTGCCAGACTATACACAAGTTTCTAATGGTCCACAGTAAATTGAGAATGAGAACAATGCAGTAAATTATTAATAAAACTACATTCTTTTCTTTTTTAAAAAAATACTATTTGTCTTATGGTTTAATTATAAACATAATTTTACTTAAAAAATAAAAAGCAACCTTATTTGAAAATTGGCTGGTACCAATTTTATTTTAATAACTTTATTGATCTGAAATCTTAGTACGTTTAGGTTAAGTTATAAACACCTACTTCACTTAGGCACTGGGCCAGGAAAAGAACATAATGGCATATAAGAACTTTCCACTGGAGTGCTTCTTCATTCACTTAGATAATTACTAACATCCACCATACTAGACCCCTAAAGTGATGAAACACACAATAAATAGCAATATAGGCTATTCAGTAATTACAACTAGTAATTCCGTCATTTTATAATAAAATTATGATTTAGGAAGTACTCCATGTTCTCCATGAGCCTTACTCTGATATTCACTTACCACACCCTAGTGGTTATTCCTTAGATTACATTTAAAATATTCCACATTCAGAGTTGTAGAGGCCTTACACTATTATCTCCTCCAGGATTACTACTGTTAGTCTGTCTTTCCACCTCCAGTCTCTTGTGCCAATCCATCCCAAACATAATAGTTACAGATTGGCCGGGCGCGGTGCCTCACGCCTGTAATCCCAGCACTTTGGGAGGCCAAGGCGGATGGATCAGCTGAAGTCAGGAGTTCGAGACCAGCCTGGCCAACATGGTGAAACCTTGTCTCTACTAAAAATACAAATATTAGCCAGGCGTCGTCGTGGGTGCCTGTGATCCCAGCTACTCAGGAGGCTGAGGCAGGAAAATTGCTTGAACCCGGGAGGCGGAGGCTGCAGTGAGCTGAGATTGTGCCATTGCACTCCAGCCTGGGTGACAGATCAAGACTCCGACTCAAAAAAAAAAAACAAACAAACAAACAAAAAAAAACATGTTACAGCAGATTTACCTCCCCCAAAATAGCTTACAACACTTCTCTGCTCAAAAATTTAAAACTTATAGACTGAAACCCAAATCATCAGTTTGGGCATTCAAGGCTTCCTATTTATTTACTGATAGATCTCATTTCTCTTTATTCCCAACGAGTTTAATTTACTGAACACTTTGTTTTAGTCATTGATTTTAAGAAGTACAAGTGATATAACAACAGCTTTTTTTTTTTTTTTTTTTTTTTTTAGATGGACTCTCACTCTGTCACCAGGCTGGAGTGCTGTGGCGAGATCTCAGCTCACTGCAACCTCTGACTTCTTGGTTCAAGCGATTCTCCTGCCCCAGCCTCTCGAGTAGCTGGGATTACAGGCACGTGCCACCACGCCCAGCTAATTTTTGTATTTTTAGTAGAGATGGGGTTTCATCATGTTGGCCAGGGTGGTCTTGATCTCCTGACCTCATGATCTGCCCCACCTTGGCCTCCCAAAGTGCTGGGATTACAGGCATGAGCCACTGTGCCTGGCCAGCCTTTTTAAGGGCAAAAGAGTTACTGCACTAAACGTGCATCTCAATTTTAAGATATATTCCAGCCATAATTCAACTAAGCTGATAGCCCTTTAAAAACACAGTAATTGGGCTGGGTGTGGTGGCTCACGCCTGTAATCCCAGCACTTTGGGAGGCCGAGGCGGGTGGATCACTTGAGGTCAGGAGTTCGAGACCAGTCTGGCCAACACGGTGAAACCTCATCTCTACTAAAAATACAAAAAATAGCTGGGCGTGGTGGCGTATGCCTGTAACCCCAGCTACTCGGGAGAATGAGGCAGGAGAATCGCTTGAACCCAGGAGGAGGAGGTTGCAGTGAGCCGAGATCGCACCATTGCACTCCAGCCTGAGCAACAGAGCAAGACTCCATCTCAAAGAAAAAACAAAACAAAACAAAACCTCAATGAGTTCCCTCAAGTATGTTTTATTTGGTTCTGGAATGCAGTAGAGATCATTTAAGATGCAGGTAAGGAAAAAATATTAATCACTTGCTTTGTGTGTTCTGTACTCTGTACTCACAATAACTGTGAACTCACTGTCATGTAACAATATTAGAACATAATTTACCTGTTAACTTCTTTGCTGTCATTAGAAAGTAAGCTCCATGAAGATAAGGGCTTTGTTTTCCTTACCAATGCAACCTGGCTGCCCTGAATAATACGGTGGGCATTCAAAAATGCTGTTGAATAAATCTGTCTGGAAAACCGAGCAATTCAAGATGACAGAAGACAAGATGCTTGCTCATCAGCAAATACCACTGAGGTCATGTCATGAGTGAGGAGCCATGTGAGACACAGAAAGCAACCTAGACAGAAGGAATGGGGTGTGTCTCTAACTCTGGAAGAACTCCAGCTTTCTGCTAGATCTAGTACATGGTATATTTCCCAAAGTCAACTAATTTCTCTGTCTTATTTTTCATGCAGCTTACTTTTGTGTCAGGATGATTCTGTTTTAGAAAGTGGCATTGGAACAAAAGGATATTTAGTTTTATGCCTATCTCTTGCCTAAGCTACCTTTTATAATTTTATATGTACATTCAAAACTACATTCGTTCTTAGGCATGGATCAGAAGAAGGTTGGCTACTTCACATATTAAAAAACAAAATCCAGGAGGCCACCACATACTTCAGAAAATTTTTATACGACTCCTGATGTCATGCCATAGTGGCTGGTAAACTGCCAAAACAGAGGAAGGGTGCTTTATTTTCATGAGGTGGCGGTTTTTTTTTTTTTTTAATGTAAAAGCATTCTGTGTTAAATTCATCAAGGAATTGACAAAAAGCTATTTTCCTACACTTGACGGTAATATACTGTTTTCTGACATTCCTGTTATCAACTCCTCTGAAAATCTTTTAGAGATATACGACTATTAGTAAAAAAAAAAAAAACAAAAAAAACTGAGACTGAAATGTCAATATGAAAACCCTGCCAAATACCTTATTCTTATCTATTTCTGCTATTTTGATATTTCAGGTAGAGTCCGAGGAATAGACAGGAAGAAATGGTATCGCCTGACAGTCAATTCTACAATTCTTTTCTTTAAAGAGAACATGGCAAACTTACACAGTACAACTGCATACTAGAATAAAACAAGGAAAGTACTGAAAATTCACCATGCAAATACTAATTGTTCCAGCAATTCTCTCATCTCCCTTATTTGTCATTAGCAAATATGTTGCTAATGGCTCTCTTAAGAAAAATTCCCATTCTCTGCTCTCTTTTACAGCAACATTCTTTGAAAATGTTATCTACAATGGTTCCCTCAATTCCTTCTGTGGCCTTGTCTCCTGAAACCACTCCAACCATGCTTTAATTCACCTTTCTCCCTCTACCAAAACTGCTCACCAATGTCTGCAACAACCCCACCCCACTAAATTCAATGGTCTCAATTCTCAGCCTTCATCATACTGATCCTGTCTGTAACAACTGACACAGACAATCCCTCCTCCTCCTCCCTCTCCAAAACACTTTCTCCCCTTGCCTTTCACATACCACACTCTCTTGGTTTTTCTTCTACTTTATTCGTCACTCCCTTCCCAATCCTTTCCTCATCTTTCACAGGAATGAGGAAGAATACCTAAGCTCTGGAATACATCAAAGGGCTAATCCATATACCTCTTCTTTATCTGAGCTCTCCAGCACTCTCTATTCCCTCCTCTATTGCATTTCTCTCTCCAGGATATTTTTTTAATTAATTAATTTTTTATTATTATTATACTTTAAGTTTTAGGGTACATGTGCACAACGTGCAGGTTAGTTACATATGTATACGTGTGTTTTTTGTTTTTGTTTTTTTGTTTTTTTAAAAGACAGAGTCTCAATCACTCTGTCATCCAGGCTGGAGTGCAGTGGCACAACCATGGTTCACTGCAGTGTCGACCTGGTGGGCTCAAATGATCCTCCCGCCTCAGCCTCCTGAGCAAATGGACTACACACGCTCGCCACCACAGCAGGCTTTTTTTTTTTTTTTAAAGATATGGGGTCTCACTATGTTGCCCAGACTGGTCTCAAACTCCTGAATGCAAGTGATCCTCCTTCCTCAGCCTCCCAAAGTGCCAGGATTACAGGTATGAGCCACTGTGCCTAGCCTCTCTCCAAGATTTAATGCTATAGGACATACTGCAGAGTTCATTTATTATTTTCTTTCTCTTAACAACTAGAATATTTCATAGGGTAAGCACTTTTGTCTGTTTTGTTTAGTGTTGTATACCCAGTGACTAGACAGATTTAGCTCGTTGCAGGAAGCCAATAAATATTTGTTGAAAGAATGAATGAACAACAACAAAAGTGGTAACAATAACAGCCACTTTGTACGAGGAACTTATCAACCAGATATCCCAATAAGCATGTTACATATATTTCATTGAACCCTCAAACAACCCTATGAGATCTCTGAGGCTTTGGAGAGGAGTGGAAGTCAGGGTGGTTAACATGCACCAAATTACCAAACTACTAAGTGGTAGTACCATGATTCAAACCCAAGTTTATCATCTTCAAAGATAATGCTCTTAATTCCTGCACAGTACCAATTTTACTGGAATATTATTATCTCATTAGTTTTGGAATAAAGGCAACTGCTATTTGAAGAGTCAGCAATCTAAAATTCCCTACAGTTGTGAATTAATCTCCATTTCCTTTGTGAAGACAAACTTTTTTTTAGTAATATCAATTTAAAAACTTTAGTGAAGATTCCTTTTTTTCTCAGGCAGGGTCTCACTCTGTCACCCAAGCTTAAGTACAGTGGCACAAATACAGCTCAAAGCAGCCTCAACCTTATGGGTTCAAGCAATCCTGCCTCAGCCTCCTGAATAGCTGGGACTACAGGTGTGCACCACCATGCTTAATTTTTAAATACTTTGTAGAGATGAAGGTCTCACTATATTTTCCAGGCTGGTATTCAATTCCTAGGCTCAAGCAATCCTCCCGCCTTGGCCTCCCAAAGTGTTGGGATTACAGGCATGAGCCACTGCACATGGCCAAGATTCTTTTTTAGGGCAAAGGATTCTATACTGCCATTTTCAGTGATAACAGTGAAGGTGAGAGGGCACACTATTCTCCTTCAAAGTGTTAAGGGCAGTACTTAAACTTTCAGTCTCTCCCATTTCTATTAAAAAGCTCAAGACAGTGGTTTTCAAAACTAGCTGCAGAGTCACCGAGGAGCTTTGTGTTTTCTGAAAACAAGATTCCAACATCCAACTCCAGAGCAAACAGGGCCCAGGAACCTAGTATTTTATAAAGCTCCCCAGAAGACCTTGGTGGTTAGCCAAGTTTAGAAAACACCAAAGTTGGCAAGAGACTAACTCTATCTGAGCATCTGGCTCACTGCTTGACAATGACCAACTCTCATCTGTACCGACCTTCTTGGAAAGAGGAACGATGCTGTTGGGTCGAACAAGCCTCCGCTTCTTACAGCTCAGTACAGGACGTGTCCGGGCTGCCACACAGGTGCCATCAGATGATGAAGAGACGAGATTCAGTCGTTGCTTCTTATGTAATTGTTCCTCAGCATCAGAGCTGTCACCTGGAATGTGGTCTGCCAAGACAGGCTGAAGACTATACAAGGGGAAGGAAGAGTATTCTCAGAACACACAAAGAAACAAAATAAACAAACAACAAGAAAACACAAAGAAACAAAGCCTCTTATACTAGTTCAACCTCTATTTGCTAATGTTCAGACACAAAGAAGCATTCTAGAGCAGAAGCAGTTCTCCTCTTGATGTCTGTTAATCTACCTGTGTGTGCTTATGTGTAAGGTTCTTGGTGCACATTAACTACATCATGTCTGAAAGATAAAAGTCAGTAAATAAACTCAAGTTCTAGTGATTGAGTTCTCCTCTACATAAAACACACGAGTAAATAAAGTCTAGAGAACTACAGTTGGTTAGAAAATGATGAATTTTGCAAATGTTAATGGGCTTCCTTAGAATCAGTTCTATGAAACCCGAATTTTAAGGGTGTTGTACACATCATTCACTTGTACAGAATCTCCCTGAATCTTTTGTTTTCTCCCTTGAATCTTCATAAATACAGATTTACAAACATAGCCCTTGGAGATCTAATCTGTCCTAAGCAGAGGAGGTTAATATAAACACTTCTGAGGAATTCCTGCAAGATTAAAACAATAATAATTCACAGTAACTGTAGTGTCTTTTATTTTACTCCATGCCCACTCCATTTTAGTAGGTAAAAGGAAAATATACAATTAATTAAAATGCACTGCTTCATTATACAGTGAAGATTAAAAATGTTACTAAGTGATAAGGCTTCCGCTTCTTTAAACCAGGGTCAGTCCTGGCTAAAGAGAACTAAGAGCTCCAAAACACCTTTACAAGTCTACTAAGTGTAGGAAGTAGAAGAGCTAAAACTTACGTGTTAATAACTCCATTGACAGGTCTGAGTGCTCCACATGATTTGGTAGACAGTGACTCTGAAATATGACCAATAATAGGGGCACCATGGTTTTCCAATGGCTGAGAAACAGACTCAATCTGATTAAGAAAAAGGAAAAAAGAAATTAACATGTACCCAAGCGCACCCCTGCCTGAAAAGCACCACCACTTCATTTGCACAAAGCACCTAAAACTTCTGATGATCAATTTGAAAAACACAACTTGAATGACTGAAGAAAAAGAAAATAAGAGAATCAGTGGTCAGGTATGATGGCTCGCAACTATAATTGCAGCACTTTGGGAGGCCAAGGCAGGAGGATCGCTTGAGACCAGGAGTTTTGAGACCAGCCTGGGCAACACAGCGAGACCTCATCTCTAATTAAAAAGAGAGAGAGAGAGGTTGACAGAGAGAAGGAGAATATTATATTAGCTTTTGCTCTGGGGGGAAGAGGGATGAGGAATCCAAATGTACAGACTAAAAGTAAGTACCTATTGACAGGAAAATGACCTCAATAATTCTATGGAACAGAAGCTTAGCAAAACAATTACACAGTAACATAAGCTTTCAACTAATGATCAAGGATATACTAACATCAGTATCAAGATGACTAAGAGGAAATTTAAATGTAGTTAATATCTGCTTAACTCTAACAGGGTATGCTAGAAGCTTGTTTTCTAAAAACTATGCTTTGTTTAAAAATATACACACAGGCCGGGGATGGTGGCTCATGACTGTAACCCCAGTATTTTGAGAGGCAAAGGTAGGAGGATCTCTTGAGCCCAGGGGTTCAAGACCAGCCTGGGCAACATGACAAAACCCCATCTCTACAACAAAAAAATACAAAATTAGCCGGGCATGGTGGTGCGTGCATGTAGTCCCAGCTACTCAGGAGGCTGAGGTGGGAGGAGGATCACCTGAGCCGGGAGGCAGAGGCTGCAGTGAGCCATGATCATGCCACTGCACTCCAGCCTGGGTGACAGAGTGAGACCCTGTCTCAATGAATAAATAAATAAATAAACACACACACACATTTTTCCCTGACAGAAAACAAAGTTAATAAAATCTCAATGAATCTAATTATCTGATGCTATCAGATACTAACTATTGTCTTTAGAGTATTCAAATCAAATATGTTTAGAATATAAAATGAAATAACAGATGAGAAAGAATAGAAAAAGTGTGATTTGCAGTATTCAAAACAAATTATATATTTACTAGGCTCAAAAGGGATAGGAACAGTATGAATGCCAGTCATATAGCACCTCTGAGGTATAGGCAATAAAGCAACAGATGCAGCTATCCCTCAGTTCTAGCAATTGTTGAACTATCCCAGAAAGGCTATGGGTCTTTGACTCCTTACTTTATTTTTTTGAGATGAAGTCTCGCTATCCCGCCCACGCTGGAGTGCAGTGGCATGACAGCAGCTCACCGTAGCCTCCACCTCCCTGGTTCAAGCGATTCTCCTGCTTTGGCCTCCTGAGTAGCTGGGATTACAGGCACACACTACCATGCCCATGTAATTTTTGTATTTTTAGTAGAGATGGGGTTTCACCATGTTGGCCAGGCTGTTCTTGAACTTCTGACCTCAACTGATCTGCCCTCCTCGGCCTCCCAAAATGCTGGGATTACAGGCGTGTGAGCCACCACACCTAACCTGTCTCCTTACACTTGAACTGACTCTGGGGCACGCTGAAGTTCTCTTTCCTATAAAAGCTTTCAAGGTAAATATTCCTATAAATGCTTCCTACAAATGCTTTCAAGGTAAATATTTTGAGGCTGAAATTCTACTTTTCAATACTGATTTCTTTTGTCTTTATACCCCCAAGGATAAAACACCAAAGGACTGAACCTGAAAGTAGTCCTAGACAAGCATCAAAAAGAACAGACTGAGGCTGGGTGTGGTGGCTCATGCCTGTAATCCCAGCACTTTGGGAGGCTGAAGCAGGCAGATCACCTGAGGTCAGGAGTTCGAGACCAACCTAGCCAACATGGTAAAATCCCATTTCTACTAAAAATACAAAATTAGTTGGGCATGGTGGCGCCTGTCTGTAATCCCAGCTCCTCCGGGAGGCTGAGGCACAAGAATCACTTGAACCCAGGAAGTGGAGGTTGCAGTGAGCCAAATCACGCCACTGCACTGCAGCCTGGGAAAGAGAGAGAGAGAGACTGTCTCCAAAACAAAACAAAACAAAAAACAAACAAAAACAAAAAACAGATTGGGAAGATAATCTAAAAGTTTTAATACAAATTATCCTAAAATACAGATCAAACTATATACACAGACAAGTCATATAAGTATGCTACAATGAGTGAACACCGAGAAAAGGCTGTCTTTTTTGTTGGATATCCTGTACATCTACTAAGATATCACAAACATCTTGAACAATTGTCAATGCTATCAAAAATTACAGTAAATCTGGCATAGACACATTGCCTTAAGCTCTATGCAGATTTCCCTTGGAAAGCAACACGATATTAAGCAGCAAGAGCTATAAGGATATTCCTATCTTCTGACAAAATATTCTAACCAATTTTTAAAAATCTACCCTAAAGGAGTAACTCAACAAACACACCCCCAAAAATCTTATTCACAAAGGTGGTCACTGCAATGATATCTATCAATAATCTAAATGTTATAAGCATTATAACTATAGTTATCACTTGTGGTACACCAAATCAAAATATTAAAAAGAATCATAAAGGATATTTCTTCTCTTATGGAAGAAGAGATTTCAAGAGAAAAAAATAATAGTTTAATATAGTTGTAGTGACTAAAAATATATATACACAGATAACAACAAGACAAAGAGTGTTACAGTTGTAAAACTATTCTGAAATTTTCTTTACATTTTAGGTAATAGTTTTATATTAAAAAGAAACCCCCATAAAACCAAATACCCTCCTGAATGCTAGTAAGGATTTACTACACAGGGGAAACCTCAAAAAGGCTAAACAAATATGGTATGACAAAGAACAAGAAAAATCAAAAGAATTTAAGATTCAGGTTGGTATTAACTAACAGATGTATAACTTCAGGCATGTTATAGGTATTCTAGATTTCAGAAGTTCTGGTTTAGATGAAAAAGTTTCCTTTCAATAGAAAAATGCTGTTTAAAAATGCTGTTTGTTTTTATTTCGGCATTAAATTATGGCAGTGATTTGATTTATATATGGTATATATAATTTATATGGTATATTTGATTTATATATGGTATATATAATTTATATGGTAGTGCCTTCACGTGTTCTAGAAGGTACTACGTTTAAGTAACGGGTTGACTGACTCTCCATTTGATTAAGTTTTTCTGGTAGGGATTATGAGATTTAATTGCAAGAACACTTGTCAAGATAAAATGTTGCCATTCTCTAACAAAGTCTCATTTCAAAACATTTATCTTTCTTATACAAAGTCTAAAGAAGAATATGTCAAGTAAAATCACCAGTAATGTCACGATCCATATAGCTAACTACTACTGCTATAACAGCCTGTCTTGTTTCTCATGTCTGCAGGTGTATATATTTAAATGCTATTCAGCTTTAACATGAATGTTATTGATTTTCTTATAGAAACCTGAATCTTCCTGGAGTAATTCAGCCCCCAAATCAAAATTGAAGTCAACAGGCAACACATTATTAACATGGAAATGTTGTCAAGAACATAGAGGTATACAGAGATCAAGAGCATAAACATCAGAAAGGGACTGTGGCTGGCCTGCATTCCCAGCCACAAAAAAGGAAGCACTGGATACTCAGGAAGGATCTACTTAAGATCTTGGGAAATTCTGTAATCAAGCTAGTATCCAACAGCAGGCATTTGGACATGTCCTGCAACCCATCATCAATGCAAAGAGCTTAAAATATTAATCCCAATCACAGTGTTCCATTTGGAAAAAGAAAAACATAACACACAAACACATGTAATTTCACCTAGCTCCTTAAATGCAGGCACTCTCCCTTGAGAAAAAATGAACATTTCCTATCCTGCAGTCTAAAAGGCTGCAAATGCAGAGGATAAACATTAACAAACACTTAAGAAATATTAAATCCGCATACTAATTTCAGCTTATTACTACTGCAGTGGTTTACATCATTAGTGTTTTTAGAAAACTAAAGCATGACTGAGATATCTGCTATCCAATAGGCAACTGCAAAAAGGATGAAAGAACTTAAGACTCTCCTACCTAGAAAATAAGGATTATCACTGAAGCTTCCATTTGAATTTTATTTGATGTTGAGATGAACTCAGGGTTTATGCATCCCACAGCCAGAAAGAAAAGAGTAGAAAAGCTAAAGTGGTAGACAGAGTGCCTCTGTAATCCCCTCCTCTCCAAAGCAGGGCCCTAGGGGATTATCTTTTGGCGTAATCTTACAGTTAAAGGTAGCAAGGAGGGTTGCTGAATTGCTCCCCCCCCCGCCCCCCCGCCCCGATTGAAAGGGCCAGGTGTACAGCATAAAATTACTAACATAGCAATGAGATTCAAATTTGTTATTCACATAAAGCAGGCATCTGATTCATTACTCCACTCTGGGCCAGATCAAGTAAGCGTGACAAAGAGGCCTTGAATGAAAAGCTAAAACTAAATAGTTTTTACGGGGGTGGTTTTTTCTAGGGTCTAAGAACCAATGTCTACTAGATTTGTTTTACCAAAAAGTAGAGAGGGTTAAGGGGTAAAAACAGAGAGCCACACACTTAAAAGCACACAATAAAATTAAACTCTACCTGCAAATATGTATTTTTACTTTATTCAATTAATGCCATGTCACACCTGCTTGCAATGTCATTTTTTAAATGTATCACATTCATTTGGCTAGAAAAGTCAACAGTTCAGTTTTGGTTAGTTATTCCCTTTCTGACAAACATTAAAATGGAAAGAAAATGCTAACTGGGTGACAGGAATTTAACTTATTCCTGGGTTAAAATAGTTTTTGACTTTGTATGATTGATTTCATGTCTCAAGCCCACCCCACCCCCATTTCAATGATACTGAGCATAGTTTCGCTTAAATTCACCAAAATATTGCTGGCCTATAAATAGTATACTAGCCATTTCCATTAGCTAGCACCATGGCCATAAAATTGTACTAAACAAGAAGTGGAATGTTCCGAAAATTCCATTTTCACTAAGTTATTGCCTAGGCTTTAATTTCTGCCTATGTGGGGCTATGTGCCTCACTTTCCGGCTTCTGCAGGTTGAGGATAAAAGAAAATCTATATAATTACATGAGAACAATTTTGAACTCATTTTTTTAAAGTTTTGATTAGCATAATGCTGTTACTAATCCAATGGTTCCTAAACCTAAGATTTATGTTTACCAACACTTGAAAATAACTATCTAGAATTTAAAGAAATATAGCAAATGCAAAAATGCATCTTAAATTCTTATTGTTCAACTTATTTATCCATAGCCCAATTTATTATAAAAGACCTAACTTGTCAGTGTTTTCTAACACTGTGGGTCAAATATTTCTTGGCCAATATCTGTCCCTTTACCTTCTATCCCAAAACCCTTGTCAGGCCAATGAACCACTCACTGTCCCTAGTGACTGCAAAACTTCAAAGAAAGGAAGAGTATTCCTACTTACACCAATGGAATGAAGATGTATCTTGGACTGTGTAAAAAGAAACAGCAATAGCTTACATTTTTAGCATGCCTTTCTTCTGAGAAAGCATTAGCTCTTCACTTAATAGTACACTTGTTTTTCTCATCACTTCTGTAAAGTAGGATGAGCAAGGAAAGGGTAAAGGAGCAGGATCATTTTACAAACAGAAACTAACACACAAATAATGTGTTACTTGTTAATTGCCATAGAAGCAATGTTTTTCGCTAAACAAAACCCTCCTTAACGTCAAATCTAGTATTTTAAAAAATATTTATCCAAGAAGGAGATTTTAAAAAATATATACATGTGTCTGCTCATCGGTGCAAAAAAATACAGGAAAGATAAGCCAAAACGTACTGAAATTGCTAACCTACAGGACGCTGAGTGAGAAAAGGATATAAAGAAGAATGTATAGCTTTTTTAGAACCACAGTAATGTTTCCCATACAAAAATAAAAATTAACAATGCGGGGTGGGGAAAACAGGGAAGGCTAGAATTGAATACTGTAGTAACAAATGAACCTAACTGTATTACAAAACAACATAACCATACTGAAAGATTTGGTGGAAGGAAATAACTAACCTACGTAACTTCAGAAAACTGTATTTTGACTGCACAACAGTTAACATACTGTACAAAAATATTGTACTCTAGTTAGCAAATGTGTTTTTCACAGGGGTACTAGATGACAACTGTGAGACTATACGGGTACTAGGATTAAACGAGTATCAATAAGGAAGGGGGAAGGCTGCTGTGTTGAACTGGTATGAACTTACGGTTTTTTATATATATATACAGGTTAAGTAGATACAGAAATATAGATGTGTGTGTATGCACCTGTGAGCATAGATACATATGTTTCCTTGCTTTGCCTTTTGAGACATCCTAGAAGCAGTGACACTTACGAAGTAACAATGAGCACAACTAGTACTCAGATTTTAGTTCCTAATAAAAGGAACCTGAGCTGAAGTAGGCAAAATACAAGAGGAACCTGGAACATCTAGTAGTAGAAAGTATTTCAAAATATAAGCGGTACATGCTAAAAGGACACAGGAGCCAATCTGAAAGAGCGCCCAATACCCAAAGTTGAGATAACTGGAGCAACTGTATAAACAGTAATAGGTTATGATCCATTAAATAAAATAAATATCCATGGGTCCATCCTGATATTCACAACTGAGTCAATGAATGAGTAAATAAATGAGGGGGGAAGACACCTCTTCCTAACAGAATTCCATTTAATGCAGGTAGGAAGTAGAACAACCACCCTTTAGTAAACAACACAGCAATAATTGCTGTAGGAAAAAGTCATCAGTGAACAATAAAATTATGAGTAAAAATATAATGAGCAACAGAATATTTACATAGTGTCTCCCTATAAGACAGTCATTTATTCCAGCCAGGGCAAAATGGCAAAACCTTGTCACTACAAAAAAACATAAAAATGTGCCAGGCATGGTGGCACATGCCTGTGATCCCAGCTACTTGGGAGGCTGAGAGATGGGAGGATAGCTGAGCCAGGGAGGTGAAGGCTGGAGTGGTGATTGCGACACTGCACTCCAGCCTGGGTGACAAAGTGAGACCCTATCTCTAAATAAATAAATAAATAAATAAATAAATATTGTCAGTTATTACAAAGGGAAAAATGCTAATTTTACAGAGGAGAAAGCTGTCAGGCACCACCTTAACCAAGGGAACAAACCTATCATCACTATTAGAAAGACAAGTCAAAATCATGAACCCCCTGTGGTGTAGAGAAGGGTATAGTATCTTCTGTGGCATTCCTGTAAAACAATGCGTAACCTCTAATAATGAGAAAACACCAATTTGTGGAATGCTATACAAAATAACTGACCAGAAATCTTGTATCCAAGTAATGAAATACAAAAACTAAGAACTCTCACATATTGAAGGACATTTAGAGATGCAAAAACTAAAAGCAATGATAGATTCTGGACAACAGAAAGGACATTAATAAGAAAACTAATAATACAGAAATTCAAATAAAGTATGTCTATTACTTTGTATAAGTTCAATGTTAATTTCAATGTTAATTTCGTGGTTCTGATAATTAACGATTATTGTGACAAGATGTGTTAAGATTAGAGAAAGCTCCGTACGGAGACTCTGTACTACTATTTCAACACACACACTCTCTTTCTTTCTGACACAATCTCGCTCTGTTGACCAGGCTGGAATGCAGGGGCACAATCTTGGCTCATTGCAACCTCTGCCTCCTGGGTTCAAGTGATTCTTGAACCCAAGTGAGGCACCTGGGTTCAAGTGCCTCAGCCTCCCGAGTAGCTGGGATTACAGGCGCACACCACCACACCTGGCTAATTTTTGTATTTTTAGTAGAGACGGGGTTTCACCATGTTGGCCAGGCTGGTCTCAAATTTCTGTCCTCAGGTGATCTGCCCACCTCTGCCTCCCAAAGTGCTGGGATTTTAGGTCACCGTGCCCAGCCTAAAATCATATTTTAAAAGAATGAAGAAAAAATGTATCTAGCATTAATAAAACAAACTTCATTCATACATAAATCTGTACAGTCTACAGGTTCCTATCAGTTACAGTACTCACTTAAGATAAATATAGAATCCATTCTGAATTGGCCGAAATATCCAACACTCCATCACAGAAAAGTATTTGCAGTTACCTGATAATGCCAGGCTCTTTCAAGCCTATGCTGCATTACACGTTACTCCCTACACCATGCTTCAGCAAGTCCGTAAGACTCAGAAAAAAGTCCATCCTTCCCTAGGAAACTACCTTTACTGACTCCCTCCAGCACTCCCATTTTATGCTTGTTGGAAGAACAAGAAGCACTCAAGAAAAGATAGATACCTGGTTCTACTTTGTCTTTCAGACACAAAGTGCAGTCTGGAACAATGACAATTAGCTTTTACTAACTTTCATTATCTATCAAACATTGTTAAAAGCAAATTATAAATTTTAAATTAACTTTGTAAGAAGGCTAGAAATCAGGTAGTAGGAGGAGAGTGTGACTCCTCCAATTTGGTTCTTGTTTTTAAAAATTGTTTTGGCTACTGGCCAGGTGCAGTGGCTCACGCCTGTAAACCCAGCACTTTGGGAGGCTGAGGCAGGCGGATCACTTGAGGTCAGGAGTTCAAGACTAGCCTGGCCAACATGGTGAAACCCCCGTCTCCACTAAAAATACAAAAACTAGCTGGGTGTGGTGGCACACGCCTGTAATCCCAGCTACTCGGGAGGCTGAGGCAGAAGAATCACTTGAACCCAGGAGGTGGAGGTTGCAGTGAGCCCAGATCACACCACAGAACTCCAGCCTGAGTGACAGGGAGAGACTTCATCTCAAAAAAAAAAAAAAAAATTGTTTTGGCTCTTGAAAATACTTAACGTTTCCATACATACTTGAAAATCAATGTTCAATTGTTACCAAAAACAACACAACATAAACCAAAAAATCCCTCTCCCTCTCCCTCTCCCTCTCCCCACGGTCTCCCTCTCATGCGGAGCCGAAGCTGGACTGTACTGCTGCCATCTCGGCTCACTGCAACCTCCCTGCCTGATTCTCCTGCCTCAGCCTGCCGATTGCCTGCGATTGCAGGCACGCGCCGCCACGCCTGACTGGTTTTGGTGGAGACGGGGTTTCGCTGTGTTGGCCGGGCCGGTCTCCAGCCCCTAACCGCGAGTGATCCGCCAACCTCGGCCTCCCGAGGTGCCGGGATTGCAGACGGAGTCTCGTTCACTCAGTGCTCAATGGTGCCCAGGCTGGAGTGAAGTGGCGCGATCTCGACTCACTACAACCTACACCTCCCAGCCGCCTGCCTTGGCCTCCCAAAGTGCCGAGATTGCAGCCTCTGCCCAGCCGCCACCCCGTCTGGGAAGTGAGGAGTGTCTCTGCCTGGCCGCCCATCGTCTGGGATGTGAGGAGCCCCTCTGCCTGGCTGCCCAGTCTGGAAAGTGAGGAGCGTCTCCGCCCGGCCGCCATCCCATCTAGGAAGTGAGGAGCGTCTCCGCCCGGCCGCCATCCCATCTAGGAAGTGAGGAGCGCCTCTTCCCAGCCGCCATCACATCTAGGAAGTGAGGAGCGTCTCTGCCCGGCCGCCCATCGTCTGAGATGTGGGGAGCGCCTCTGCCCTGCCGCCCCATCTGGGATGTGAGGAGCGCCTCTGCCCGGCCGAGACCCCGTCTGGGAGGTGAGGAGCATCTCTGCCCGGCCGCCCCGTCTGAGAAGTGAGGAGACCCTCTGCCTGGCAACCACCCCGTCTGAGAAGTGAGGAGCCCCTCCGCCTGGCAGCTGCCCCATCTGAGAAGTGAGGAGCCTCTCCGCCCGGCAGCCACCCCATCTGGGAAGTGAGGAGCGTCTCTGCCCGGCCAGCCACCCCGTCCGGGAGGGAGATGGGGGGGTCAGCCCCCCCACCCGGCCAGCCGCCCCGTCCGGGAGGGAGGTGGGGGGGTCAGCCCCCCGCCTGGCCAGCCGCCCCGTCCGGGAGGGAGGTGGGGAGGTCAGCCCTCCGCCCGGCCAGCCGCCCCGTCTGGGAGGTGAGGGGCGCCTCTGCCCGGCCGCCCCTACTGGGAAGTGAGGAGCCCCTCTGCCCGGCCAGCCGCCCCGTCCGGGAGGGAGGTGGGGGGATCAGCCCCCCGCCCGGCCAGCCGCCCTGTCCGGGAGGGAGGTGGGGGGGTCAGCCCTCCGCCTGGCCAGCCGCCCCGTCTGGGAGGTGAGGGGCGCCTCTGCCCAGCCGCCCCTACTGGGAAGTGAGGAGCCCCTCTGCCCGGCCAGCCGCCCCGTCCGGGAGGGAGGTGGGGGGGTCAGCCCCCCGCCTGGCCAGCCGCCCCGTCCGGGAGGGAGGTGGGGGGGGTCAGCCCCCCCGCCCGGCCAGCCGCCCCGTCCGGGAGGTGAGGGGCGCCTCTGCCCGGCCGCCCCTACTGGGAAGTGAGGAGCCCCTCTGCCCGGCCAGCCGCCCCGTCTGGGAGGGAGGTGGGGGGATCAGCCCCCCGCCCGGCCAGCCGCCCCGTCCGGGAGGGAGGTGGGGGGGGGTCAGCCCCCCCGCCCGGCCAGCCGCCCCGTCCGGGAGGTGAGGGGCGCCTCTGCCCGGCCGCCCCTACTGGGAAGTGAGGAGCCCCTCTGCCCGGCCAGCCACCCCGTCCGGGAGGGTGGTGGGGGTGTCAGCCCCCGGCCCGGCCAGCCGCCCCGTCCGGGAGGTGAGGGGCGCCTCTGCCCAGCGGCCCTTACTGGGAAGTGAAGAGCCCCTCTGCCCAGCCACCACCCCGTCTGGGAGGTGTGCCCAACAGCTCATTGAGAACGGGCCAGGATGACAATGGCGGCTTTGTGGAATAGAAAGGCGGGAAAGGTGGGGAAAAGATTGAGAAATCGGATGGTTGCCGTGTCTGGGTAGAAAGAGGTAGACATGGGAGACTTTTCATTATGTTCTGCACTAAGAAAAATTCCTCTGCCTTGGGATCCTGTTGATCTGTGACCTTACCCCCAACCCTGTGCTCTCTGAAACATGTGCTGTGTCCACTCAGGGTTAAATGGATTAAGGGCGGTGCAAGATGTGCTTTGTTAAACAGATGCTTGAAGGCAGCATGCTCGTTAAGAGTCATCACCACTCCCTAATCTCAAGTAATCAGGGACACAAACACTGCGGAAGGCCGCAGGGTCCTCTGCCTAGGAAAACCAGAGACCTTTGTTCACTTGTTTATCTGCTGACCTTCCCTCCACTATTGTCCCATGACCCTGCCAAATCCCCCTCTGTGAGAAACACCCAAGAATTATCAATAAAAAAAAACCAAAAAATCTTGCTGGGATTTTTCACTGGGTTTGCATTGAATCATTGTGTCTAACATTGACTCTCCTAACACATAAATATAGCATACATCTCCGTTCACTTATGTAATCTTTTTCAGAAGTTTTATGGTTTCAGCAGTAAAGTCATTAACGTCTTTTGTTAGATTTATTCCTAAGTATTTTATGTTTCTTGATACTACCGCAAATGGAACTGTTTCTCCGGGTTATTTTTCAGTTGTTTGCTCTAATAAATAAAAATAGAATTGACTTTTATATATTGACCCCGTACCTGGAGACCTTGGCTAAATCTCTAATTCTCACAGGTTTAGGGAATTCCATGGGGTTTCTAAGTATCATATCTTCAAATACAAGCAGTTTTGCCCTACCTTTTCCAATTTCCATGCCTTTAATTGCTTTTTTCTTGCAGTATTGCATTAGCCAAGACAGAGTACAATGTTTTTGTTTGTTTGAGGCAGGGTCTCACCCCGTCGCCCCGGCTCAAGTACAGTAGCATGATCTCAGCTCAGTGCAACCTCCACCACCTGGGCTCAAGCAATTCTCCCACCTCAGCTTCCAGAGTAGTGAGGACTACAGGTGCACGCCCCCACACCAGGCTCATTTTTGTATTTTTTTGTAGAGACGGGGTTTCGTCAGGTTGCTGGAGCTGGTCTTGAACTCTGAGGCTCAAGCGACCCGCCCACCTTGGCCTCCCAGAGTGCTGGGATTACAGGCATGAGCCACTGTGCCCAGCTTACAATATTTTTAGGATATATTTTTTTCCTAATTGTAGACCAACAAAACAAGCACTTTCACCAAGTAGTGTGATGTTAGGCGTTAGGTTTTTTTCCTAATTTTTAAACAGCATCACAGCTCAGGAATAAGGTCTTCACCTTTGATTTTCACGATTTTTACTACAATGTTGTGATTCTCATGGTTATTATTCTTGAAGTTTCATGATTTTTTTATTTTATTTTTGAGATGGAGTCTCACTCTGTTGCCCAGGCTGCAGTGCAGTGCCATGATCTCGGCTCACTGCAACCTCTGTCTCCTGAGTTCAAGCGATTCTCCTGCTTCAGCCTCCCGAGTAGCTGGGATTACAGGTGTCTGCCACCACGCTTGGATAATTTTTGTATTTTTAGTAGAGATAGGGTTTCACCATGTTGGCCAGACTGGTCTCAAACTTCTGACCTTAGGTGATCCACCCACCTCGGCCTCCCAAAGTACTGGGATTACAGGCATGAGCCACCGTGCTCGGCCTAAAGTTTCATACATTTGTAAACTGACTGTTTAAATTCAAAAATCCAGTCATTAAGTTCCTCAATTTTTTTCCATCTTTTTTTTCTTTTTCCTCATGACTAAGAATCATATTCTCATGTTTATTCATATGTATGGTAATTTTCTATTATATACAGACAATGTATGCAATACATTATAGAGACTCTGAATTTAGTTAGCTTTTCCTAAAGAGTGTTGATTTTTGTTCTAGCAGGCATACTACTACTACCTGGTTACCTTCATTTTGTGGAGCTAGTTTTGTTTTTATAAAAGCATAGTGGAGTCTATTTTGGTTCCCTCCTTAATCCTATGGTGAATGCCTTCGTCCTGGGAAACATTCTTTAACTCTTTAAGTGTGAGCCTTTATTGGTTTCAATCAAAGCCCTCAGGTTTTTGCCAAGTCTAGTTGGAATTCGAACTCCAAATTCTGCCTTCCCTGCATTAGGCAATGATGATCTTCTCTGTTCAGCTCTTTCAGCCTTCCAATTATTGCTTTCCACTATGCCCTATAAAATCTTCCCTAAACATGTGCAGGTCAGGGGTGAGCACAAAGATCTGAAAGGGGCTCAAATAGATTGTGGGCCTATGCCCCTCCCCATCTCCCATAGCTCCCTCTTTGCCACTATTCCCCTCCTTCAATTTCTACCTACTTGGCAGCCCTGAACTCCATCCTCTGATAATATACAAGCCCATGAAGCAGTGACTATTGAATTCTAGAAGCTCTGGGGCACATGGACTGAGAATGCTCTCATCTCTTCCTGGCAATACTTTCTGTCTGAAATTTTGCTGACATTGTTGAGTAATTTACCTAGTAATATGCACAGGTTCCAAGCTTGCCCTTCTTTGCTCATTACTTTTTCTTAAGCAGGGGAAAGCAAGCTTCTATTTATTGAAGAGAGAGAATGAGAAGGTGGGGAAGATAAAAGGCATGTTTCAGAACACTAGAGAACAACTCTCAACCGCTTTTTACATGCTCTCTTTCCAAGGGCACACCCTCTTTGTTCAAAAGGAGTCTTAAATTTCACAGAAGCATTTATCTGTACACACGACTTATCGGCAGCTACCAAGCTAGAGGCCCGTTAAGTTTTCTCTCCCTCAGCTAGCCTTACACCTTTAAAACTGCCTTTGAGTCAGAAGTCAGAATGAAGAGGTTAAAATAAAAAAAAGAGGCATTTTTCTAGGCATTCCTCCTTAGGTCTTCCCTTTCTCTAACCCACTACTCTGTGGTATAAAAACAGTACCCACTTCCCTAACCCAGAAAATATTCCTTGATTTGCTCCATGACTCAAAAAAGGTTCACCCATGAATTCAGTCTCCAGTTCTTTTGCTCATAGGTTGGGTCCTTTTAGAACAACTTAGTTCAATAATATCTGTACTGTATTCAAGACCCAAGCAGATATATACTGGTTCTGTCAATAAACAATCATCCTGTTTGGAAATAAAGCAAAAAGACTATGTATCCTTGCAGTGTACCACTGGGACATTACCTAACAAGCCCACCCAGGAAACATCTGACTCTCCATAAATTATTTAACTTTGTTTTACCTACTATCTATAATTGATTAGGGCCCAGAAGTCTTACTGGATGTTTATTTTAGAACGCTGACAAGTTAAAGTTGGTTTGCATCTTGTTGAAAACAATGTCCAAAGTTACAGCTTTATTGTTCTATAGGATATTAATAACTTTTGTATGCTACTGAGTAATCATATTCCTGCATTCTTCCTTTTTATCTGGTATTAAAATACTGTTAACAGTTTGGCCACCATCATGATTCCCTTGTTATTCAGTAAATCACTATATATTTAGGAATTATGTCTAGGCTGGTGCAGTGGTTCACACCTGTAATCCCAGCAGTTTTGGAGGCCAAGGCCAGCGGATTGCTTGTGCTGAGGAGTTTGAGACCAGCCTGGGCAACTTGGTAAAACCCCATCTCTACAAACAATACAAAAATTAGCCAGACATGGTGGCACATGCCTGTAGTCCCAGCTACTTGGGAAGCTGAGGTGGGAGGATCACTTGAACCTGAGAGGTAGAGGCTGCAGTGAGCCAAGGTCGCACCACTGCACTCCAGCCTGGGTGACAGAATAAGACCCTGTCTAAAAAGATGGAAAGAAAGAGAGAAAAAGAAGAGAGAGGGGAGAGAGAGACAGAGAGAGAGAGAAAGAAAAAGAAAAGAATTATATCTAATGTTTTGAAACTATATTTTGACAATTCTAAAGACGCTGATTTTTTTGTTAATTCCAGCTGAGTTTCAGAAATGAGAATAAAAAAATTAAACATAACAGAAAATACCTCTGACATTATTATTTTTAAACTACAAGTCTTCAAATATATTTTTGGGTAATAAACAAGCGCAGTCCAGGAGTTTGAGGCTGAAGGGAGCTATGATTGTGCGATTACACTCCAGCCTGGGTGACAGAGCAAGAGCCTGTCTAAAAAAAAAAAAAAAAAAAAAAAAGGAATAAATACACCTACCTCCATTTGGGGAAAAAATTAACAAAATGGAAAACAGGCTGGTTACATGTGGGTATGAAAACCTACAGTTGCCCTCTGTCCCGGGCAACCTAATTTTTTTTTTTAAGCAAAACTGAGAAAAGTCACTTTCCTAAAATTTAAAACAAAACAAAACAAAAAAACCTGGGGAACAAACAAGCAAAGTTAAATACTGCCTTCTTATACAGAAAAACTTTGCCTGGCAATTGACATACGCACAGCTTTGCAAATATTTGGCATTTTATAAATTTAAGCCAATAGCTTTTAAGAAACATATGCTCTGCGCCCATTCTACTAATAATAAACAATGGAAATGTATTGTCCCTGCTCCCCCCACCCCACCCCCCAACCCCTGTCTTCTCTTAATACTTTCTGAACGCTTTTCAGAAAGCATGGATATATTCATAAAGGGTAGATAATTCACGAAAACAGGGAAGGGGTAATCTCTCCTTGACAAAATAGTGACAGTGTATACTTAGTTGTTTTCATTATTTATTTTACTCAATCCAAAAAGCATTCTATTGCACAATGTTGAAACTAGTATGGCCAACACAAAGGGAAAGATGGTCTTGACCTTCAAGAATCTTACAATTTAATACACACACAGGAATCTTACAATTTAACACACAAGTAAATGAATGAAGGGTAGGGAAAGGACCAAGCTCCTAAAGAGTGTGTGTGTACAAGTGAATCTGTATAAACTGTCTCACAATCACTGTGGATTTTTTAAGACAATGAGGATTAGTAACACAATGGAGGACTGTTATGCCCTGTCCTTCAGAAGTGCTGAGGTAAGAGAAAACATGACTACAGGGAGATTACTCAAAAAAGTTTGGAATCCCTAAATTCTATATACAAATATATAAGTATCTACATAGAACTTACTCCCCTATCACATATGCCTCATGTTTCATGTTTCCTGTACCCATACCACCAATGTATCTATGTTTCCTTTCTCACTTAACAATTTTTACCCTGATTAGACCATTCACTAAAAGTTTCATTAATAACTTAAAAAAGATCTGTAAACAGCATGCAATGAACTTATATTATAGACTTAAATAGTGGCAAAACTTGGCATTCTGCTCTTTAATTTATTCAAAACTACTTTCCAGTTAAGAACTATCAATCTTCTAGTGTCTTCACATTTATCTCTAGCAACAGTGGCTGGCTTTCAAAATTAGGTGAGAGATCTTTCCAAGATCTAAACATCTCCAATATCTGCCTCAGAGAAAATTTAGTTTCCACCACATCATGCGTTCCTGCTAACAATGATTAAAATAAATAAAAGAACTATAAGGTTGGTTTATTTGCGGATACAAGAACAGCTTGCTTAACTCACCATTTAAAAAGCCATCACTTCATACTAGCTTTATTATCTGAAGCATAATCAAAATAATAAACTACGGTTGTGGGACTTTGGAATTTCTAATTAAGTTATGGAGACTTAAATCAAGAAATATGAATATTCATAAAACCCAGTAACCTTTTAGGCAAAGTAAAAAAGTGAAAAGAACAAGTGCTCTTGGAATTCAGAAAGAAAATTAACTATGGTATTGAGAGAAACCAGGAAAGAGAAGGAATCACAGTAGAGCTAGGATACAGAAGGAAACAGAAAATGACAGTTTAATGCTCATTATAGAATAACAGTGAATCACCCACAGAGACCATTTTCAGTGTTCTTGTGAATTTAACCTCTAGTCTAACCTTTTAATGAAAAGGCTATAATATATTAGAGTGGCCCAGAAAGGTGACCTTATGTCTCAGGTGTCAGAGCCACACCCAGGTCTCCTGATTCCCAATGATACTCCCTAAAGACTTACTTGCTCTGGCTGTAGTGTTTTGAGAATTGGAGCTGCTTTTAATCCTATGGTCAGCTACACAGCTGCAGGAGGGGCCCTAGATTCCCTATTCAGGAATTCAGATCTTAAAACGCCAAAAGTGATAAAAGTAGATATAGTTCCCCTTCTTCAGCCAATGCAAGGATTCTAGTTACAGAGAAAAAACGGTGTGCCAAGACAACACCCTTAATTCTCACGCATTTCCCCCTTTCTATCTTTTATACTTACCAATTTATCAGTCCCATGATCTGTCTTCACCTCAGAACTAAGCGGAAGAAATAAGTCTGTTGTATGCTCTGGGGGAGGTACCTCCCCAAGAACTATCAACCCCTGCAGGATAGAGAGGAGAAAAATAGCATAAGTGAGCAGTATAAACTTCAAATTTAATTTAGGAGTTAAGTCTCAAAAGAACTGTTGGTGTACTAGAGGCCCCCTCTTCCTCACCCTATGGTTCAGAAACAAACTACAGCAACAGCAGCTTTGTTTTCCCAAAGAGCTATTTCAACAAGCAGCAGACCCAGGCTCCCCTCTCTGCCACTTGACTGCTCTGACCTACATGGCTCATCAGCCATTTAGCATCTTTATTCATATCTTTCAGATATGAAATCTTTACCAGATTATGGCATTTATACCATATTACTAGACTCCACTAGATTAACAGCAGCAATGCAGTTTTTGTAGCCAACAAATGCAGTTTATGACTTACTAAGCTGAAAATGCTACTATTCTTAATCATGTACTCCACCAACTATACCTGCACAAACAAAACTGAATGAAACAAATGTGGAACAGTCCCCTACAATTTATGAGAAACCAAGAGCTTCTTAAAAGCTGGCCCAAAGGAACCTGCTTTTTTCATAAGCATAAATATTACTTCAGATTAAGTTCCTGCTTGACAATTTCAAATTCAGACCTTTGGAAATTCATTCCAGGAAACAATTTACATAAAAAGAAATTAAAAATGAACCCACAAGTCCTCCCCATTGTACATATAATGAGCCAGGATGGGTAAAAGCAGAAGGTATCTTATTATTAAAAAAACAAAATACTACATATGAATCCCACCATGTATACCAGAAGAGGTGACAAAAATAACGCTATGACACTATATAACCGAAAGACTGGGATGCAAGTGATCAGGGTTCCCAATCTCTTTCTCTGGTCTAAAAAATAGAGATCTAACTAGATTAAGAAGCTCTTAATGGAAATTTATTATCAGAATCACCTGGGGAACCTTATCAAACTATACTGGCTTAGGTCCAACATCTACTCAGTACCTCTGGGGGTGGGGCCAGGTAGTCTACCTTTTTATGGGGGAAGGGAGGCAGGACATGGTGGGTACATGGAGGTGGGTGTCTCTCTCCTCCCCCACCCCGCCAACCCCACTATGTTACCGAGGCTGATCTCAAACTCCTGGGCTCCAGCAATCCTCCCACCTCAGCCTCTGGAGTAGCTGGGATGACAGGTGCCTACCACCATGCCCAGAGGTGGATATTCTACTATTCTTTAAAAGCTTGTAAAGTTGAAAAACACTAGACTTGATTAGTGTGGGCTCAAAGAACATCCTAAAGTATAGATTTGGGGGACTAGGGATTGTGACTATTAGTCTTAGCTCTCTAGGCCATACGACAGACTCTTATGAGCCACTAAACCAGATGATCCATCCCTGGGGTCCTTGTAACTAAAAAACCAATATGAAATACGAGCTGCAGAAAAGGGGAAAACATTAAGAAAGAAAAATGGAATTTTATTTCAGTTTTTTAAAAAGAAGTATGTATCTCTTTTTCTCTTGAAGCAAAAGAAGCACTGCCTCCCTATTCTGGAATATGACTACACTTAGCCCGTATCAAAAATGAATTGGAGGGTCCCGGCATGGCGGCTCACCTGAGGTCGTCAGGAGTTCAAGATCAGCCTGGCCAACATGGTGAAACCCCATCTCTACTAAAAATACAAAAATTGCCCAGGCGTCGTGGCACATGCCCATAGTCCCAGCTACTCGGAAGGCTGAAGAAGGAGAATCGCTTGAACTCAGGAGGCAGAGGTTGCAATGAGCCAAGATCACACCATTGCACACCAGCCTGGGCGACAGACCAAGGCTCTATCTCCAACAACAACAACAACAACAACAACAACAAAAATGAATTGGAGGCTGGGTGTGGTAGATCACACCTGTAATCCTAGCACTTGGGGAGGTTGAGGTTAGGAGTGCGAGACCAGCCTGGCTGACACAGTGAAACACCGTCTCCAGTAAAAATACAAAAAATAGCTGGGCGTGGTGGTGAGCCCCTGTAATCCCAGCTACTTGGGAGGCTGAGGCAGGAGAATCGCTTGAACCTGGGAGGTGTAGGGTGCAGTGAGCCAAGACTGTGCCATTGCACTCCAGTCTGGGCAACGAGAGCGAAACTCCACCTCAAAATTTAAAAAATTAAAAAAAAAAAAAAAAAAAAAAAGAATTGGAGTCTCCTCAGAAACAAGAGAAAGGCCATTAACTAGTAAGCAAGAAACATTAACCCTAGCCTTTAAAATGAGGTTTCTCTGGTTAAAGAACTTCTGCTTCAAAATATTTTCTTCCCTAAATCAAAAGCATAAAATATACCTTACAAACTTTATCACATCCAAATAAAAACTATTTGCAAAAGACAGCTATCTTGTACACCACTGCCTTCTCAAAACGTTGTATTCAACAGATATTCCCTACTTAAGGGCCCAAACTGTCTTCCTGCTTCCTGTACAAAGCATGCCAAAAATCATTTTATTATTCAAATTTTCCCATAACCGGTTCCTAAGAACTTTTTTAAAGATCAATTTCCAACTACTTTCCCCAAATATTTGTTAGTGTTATACCAATCTCATCATCTCCTAGACAAATGTTTCAATGAATGTGAAGCTGTTGCTGCTGCTGGAGGTAAGGGTTATTAGTCAGTAGAAGGTTAAAAAAAACTGAATTAAAGGTTAAAACATGAGCTGTTCATCTTTATTTATACTCATTTTTATATTTTATCAGTCCAAATTGCCGTTCGTCCTTCCAAAGAGATTTTCAACAAGTCCCACCTCCTTCCAAGAAAATGTCCCGGGTTAATGAGTTCCTACTTGCTTTATCCACACTGCCAGACCTCCTAAAGCACGGTGATTGTATCTTACTTTCTGTGTATTTAAATCTCATTTCCAGAGCATTCATAATCTTATGCCACATTATTTATTTCACTTATTATTGCCTCAGTTTCTTGTTTGTTGAGACAGGGTCAAGCTCTGTCACCTGTGCTGGAGTGCAGTGGTGTGGTCACGAATCACTGTAACCTCCCCCTCCCGGGCTCAAGTGATCCTCCCACCTCAACCCCATAAATAGCTGGGATAACAGGTGCATGCCACCACATCCAGCTAATTTTTGTATTTTTTTGGTAGAGATGGGGTTTCACCAAGTTGCTCAGGCTGGTCTCGAACTCTTGGACTCAAGTAATGCACTTGCCTCAAACTCCCAAAGTGCTGGGATAACAGGTGCAAGCCACCACACCCAGCTAATTGTTCTATTTTTTGGTAGAGATGGACTTTCACCATGTTGCCAAGGCTCGTCTCAAACTCCTAGACTCAAGCAATCCACCTGCCTCGGCCTCTCAAAGTGCTGGGATTACATGTGCAAGCCGCTGCACCCAGCCTTTAATTGTTAACTAATGTTAGTTTATTGAAGATGTGGACAAAATACAAATATATTTAAATGACCCATGTCCCTTAGCAGAGTCATACACCAAGAAAATAAATGCATAGCAAATATTCGTTGAGTTGTATAATTTTTTTCCTAACAGGAAAATATTAACTTTATAATAATTATAGCCAGAAGATAAATAAATCTAACAATTAGATATAAAATTACTCCTTCAATTTTTCTTTTTCAGTTATATGAAAGTAAGGACACAGTATTTTCCAAAGGGAAGAATTTTTCCTTAAACTACAGAATAATTTCTAAATACAACCCTCAGATAGATTATGAAGACATCTCCTAAGAGAGTATAATAAAACTTGGTAGGGACCATCTATTCATCGACATAATTTTATAGACCCACAGAGGATGTAGGTCAAAGCTTATGTCTCTACAGGCCAATACATGGCAGAACTGGGGCAAAAGTCTGCATCTAACTAATATTTCATTCCTCTTTTGTTCAGTTAATTCAATCATTTATCCGCTCATCAGCATTTGTTAGGTACTAAGGATACAAGAAAAAATGAGAGACCTATCCCTCTCCCCTAACCCATCCTTCAAAGTGCTTATTACGTTCTAATACTGCGGCAAAGAAAAACAATGTAAATAGGTAAATGTTATGTACTACATTAGAAGGTATTAAATGCTAGAGAGAACAAAATATAGGATAGTGAGGGGATTAAGAAGTGGAAATGGTGGGGTTGGTCGTGACGGCTCATGCCTGTAATTCCAGCACTTTGGGAAGCCAATGCAGGAGGACTGCTTGAGGCCAGGAGTTCAGGACCAGCCTGGGCAACGTGGCAAAACCCTGTCTCCACAAAAACAATAATAATAAAAATTAGCCTGGTGTAATATCACACCTGTAGTTCCAGATATTCAGGAGGATCACTTAAGCCCAGGAGAGAGAGAGAGATACAAGTGGGAGGGGGTACTACAGGCGCATACCACCACGCCTGGCTAGTTTTTTGTATTTTTAGTAGAGAAAGGGTTTCACCATGTTGCCAAGGCTGGTTGCAAACTCTTGGGGCCAAGAGATCTACCCGCCCTGGCCTCCCAAAGTGCCGGGTTGCAGGCATGAGCCACTGTGCCCCTGCTTGAATGTTTATTTGAAGACAGAATCAACCAGCTATGCCAATGTGCTTACAAGATAGGAGGGAAAAGAGTCAGAGACACTGCCAAGGTTTCTAGCTTCCACAACCAGAAGAATGGAACTCTTCTTCATTTGTTCAGAGGACATTTGAATACACATTAGTTTTAATTAAACCTATTTTTGAAAATATGTGCTCAAGTGTTACACTGAAGCAACCAACAATCATCCATACACTGTCCATTGCCCCCAAGATATGTAAGTTCACTATGGCATTCAAAACCAAACACTGGATCCTCTAATTTAATACTGTACCTCACACCAAAAAGGATGAAAACAGCTAAAAAGAGGCTGAGCAAATAAAAAGCATCCAAGTAGGTAAGAGTCATTCATGCAGGTAGCATCTATTGAGTGGCTACCACGTGCAAGGTAGTGTGAAAACACAGTAATAAAATAAAAACAGATTCTACCATAAGGAGCTTATGTTCATCTAGCCTTGAACAGACAAAGAGACAAAGTATTATGACAGTACTATAACAGAAGTTGAGAGAAGGTGATGTCAGAGCAGAAAAGAGCCTAACTGAAGAGACTGATGAAAGTGAGGCTTTACAGAGGAGGTCTACGTAATTACTTAACATTCCCCGAAATATATTTAATATATTTTGAGCTATATTTATTCATTAACTATACACTTAATGACTTTGCCCTTTTCTGTATACAATGTTTCATATGCCACAATAACATTTATTTCGGATAAAGTTTACTCATGTTTAATAACCATGAAAAGAAAGGTTAGCATTAGCTGAGAAAACTTCATAATGTTCTACTCCACACCTGTCATGCTACCCCAACATGGGCTTCCCTAACATTCCAGGTTTAAACTGGGTCAGTGTTGAATAGCTGTGCCATTAGCCTGGTGGCAATAAACTTAGGGCTGCTGTACTATGAAATAGCAACCGGTAGAAGCCGAAGAAAAAGGTCAAGAGTCTCCTTTTCCTTCGCCATGTCCTGAGTCAGAGCCAGGATCATGCTTAGGCTGCACAGGCCTAGAAAACTCCAAGAGTGAAGCAAGCTTCTGCTTTACACAAGGACCAAAGGAACTGGAATGGGTCACAGTTACATGCAGCCTTAATACCTCCTAAGTGACTCCTCTGTGGATGAACCCTCTATTAACTGTATTTGCAATACAGCTAACAGGCAATTTCACATACTTCCTTACATCACTCTATCAGGTCAATCTTCCCTATGCATCTCAAGACAAACCAGTGACCCCACTGCAGACCAGTTCCACAAGAATCACCCTGGGCTACCTGGAAAAGATAAGTTGTCTAAAGTGCTTTAAAAAACCCTATTAAGATGAGAACTTCAACAGCTTTACGAAAATTTTGAAGAGAAAGGTGTTATAAGCTTCTGCAGTTCCCATTCAGCTCCTTCCCTATTCAAAAGTTTCAATGCTCTTCCACCTCCCATCCTCAATAACATTTCCATCCTCAGCTACAGCTGTGTAATCTCAAAGAGTAGTCAGAAGAGGAGATTTTAAAAAACAACGTAAGAGTCAAGCCAGTGCTTCTGGGAGGCCAAGGCAAGGAGGATCACTTGAGGTCAAGAGTTTGAGACCAGCCTGGACAACACAGCGAGACCCCATCCTTTAAAAAAAAAAAAAACCCTTTAACAATTAGCTAAGCATGGTGGGACTTGCCTATGGTCCCAGCTACTTGTACTTGCAAGGCTAAGGTAGGAGGATAGCTTGAGCCCAGGAGTTTCAGGTTACAGAGAACTATGATCTGGCCATTGCACCTCAGCCTGGGCAACAGAGCAAGACCCTGCCTCTTAAAAACTGCTTAGTCCCTATTCTTTCCCCTCATTTACCAGGTGTGAAATTTCAATAAACATGTTTCAGTGAAATGATGAAAAGGACACAACAGCAAAGTATGTTAGAAAAAAAAATGCTTTGGAATCAGATAAAAAGTCCTGAGTTTAAATTTAGCTCTGCCTTTTACAAGCCTCTGAAGATTTATTCTGATCATTAAACGAACATACATGAGTAAACCTTTAATTAGTATACACTCAAGGTACATATATTGTTTTCGTTTCTCCTTCTAAAGCATGGAAGAGTTTCTTTTTAAAAAACAAGCTGACAAACTATGAAAATTAAAAGAGTACAACAGCATGCAGAAGTAGTACAGAGGAGTTCCTAGAAGTTATATTCTTTCTCCAGAGAGTAATATTATTCCCAAAAGGGACTCTACTCACTTCACAGCTTGGAAGGTAATACCTACCTTCTGACAGAACAGAAACTGGTGTCTGGATCCTAGAATCACCTAGCAGTAGTCACAAATACTTTTTTTTTTTTTTTTGGTAATACGCCACTTAAATAAAATTAATGTTAATAAGCAACAAAGTAAATCCTTAAAAAGAAAAGCCCCACCATCCCTCCAATCTCCCACCCGAAGACAAATTATAACTCAACAGCCTATCACCAAGATTCAGCCTATCACCTAGGTTCATCTCAAAAAAAAAAAAAAAAGACCTGTGCAACCCAGGAAGTGCTGGGAAATCTTGGTGCAGCATGGAAAATATGAACACCAACCCACTTAACCAAAACACATAGGAAAAACTTTCTTCCATTTCAGTAACTAAAAAAAAAACCCAAGCACTTAAAGTGATTACTAACTTGAGCAACAGCTCTGCACTCACTTGGATGTGTAACCATGAACAAACTACTTGACTGCTCTGATCTTCCATTGTTTATCTTGAAAATCGTGAATGAGAGTAAAATGCTTAGCACAGTGCCTGACATATCACAAGTGCTCAAAAACTTCTATTAATTATAGTGTTACATAAAGACTAAATGCATGTGAATATATCATTGGGGGAAAATTCCATGGCTTGTTAGAGCAAGTTGAATATTGTCTCTTCCAAATTTATGTTCACCCAGAACCTGTGAATATGACCTTGTTTAGAAAAAGGGTCTTTGCAGATGTAATCAAGTTATGAAGAGCCATTTAGTGTGGGCTCTAAATTCAATATGACTGGTGTCCTCCTAACATGGAAATCTACACAGATGCAAAGAGAAAGATGGTCATATGAAGATGGAGGCAGCAACTGCAGTGATGTAGCTACAGGCCAAGAACACCAAGGACTAGCACAATATCAGAAGCTGGAAAAAGACAAGGAAGGATTCTTCCCTAGAGCCTCCATAGAGACCATGGCCCTTTTGACACCATAATTTCAGACTTCTGTCCTCCAGAACGGTGAGAGAACACATTTCTGATTTTTTAAGCCATCCCATTTGTGATAGTTTGTTATGGCAGTCTAGGAAACTAATCCATTTGTTGAAAAAGAAATGTATAAATACGACACGTAAAGCTGTGAATTTTCTTGATGCATTACTTATTGGAACTATCAACCTAGTTTTATTCTTCCTATCGGAACTCTGAGAAGTAAAAGATTATCTATGATGTTGTATTTTACAGACCAAGAATCTGAAGCTCAGAAATGTTAAGTGACTTTTCTTCTCAAGGTTCATGTAAGCAGCTGGTAGCAAAGCCACGATTAGAAACAAAAATTTACCAAGTCCAAGTATGGTGCTTAATACAATACGCTTTGAATGATGAAACTCTTGGATAAGCAACATACATTCATGTGCCAAATAGCATTATGGTCAATGACAGACCACATATACAATGATGGTCTTATAAGATTTTAATACAGCTGAAGAATACCTGTTTTAGCACAAAGCACTACTCCTGTGTTTGTGGTGATGCTGGTGTAAAGAAACCTACAGTGCTGCTATTAGAAGTATACCACATACAATTATGTACACTAAGAATATAATAGCTGATAATAAAAGCTATGTTACTGTTACACTTATTTCTGATAATAAAAAGTGTTATGTATTTACTATACTATACTTTTAATCGTTATTTTAGAGAGTACTTCTACTCATTAAAAGAAGTGAACTGTGAAACAGCCTCCAGCAGGTCCTTCTGTTGGCACTGTCACAGGCAATGAAAGCTCCGTGTGTGTTGTTGGCCCTGAAAACCTAACAGTGTAACAAGATGTGAAGGTGGAAGACAGTAATACTGACAAACCTGACCCCATGTGGGCCTACGTTCATGTGTGTGTTTGTGTCTTAGTTTTTAGCAAAACAGTTTAAAAAATAAAACTTTCATTTTAAAATGGAAAGTTTTAAAGATAGAAAAAAGCTTGTAGAATAAGGTGTGAAGAAAATATTTTTGTACAATTACAATGTGTTTGTGTTTTAGGCTAAGTGTTATTACAAAAGAGTCAAAAAGTTTTAAAAACTTAAAAGTTTATAAAGCAAAAAGTTATAGTAAGCTAAGGTTAATTTATTATTGAAAAAAATATTTAAAATAAATGTAGTGTAGCCTCGGTGTACAGTATTTATAAAGTTTATAGTAGTGTACAGTCATGTCCCAGGCTTTTCAATTTCAGTTACCCTTCACCCACCGACTCACCCAGAGCAACTTCCAGTCCTGCAAGCTCCATTCATGGTAAGTGCCCTATACAGGTGTACCATTTTTATCTTTTCTACTACATTTTTACTGTATTTTTTCTATGTTTAGGTATGTTTAAATACATAAATCTTTACCACTAATTGCCTACAGTATTCAGTATAGTAGCATGATGTACTGGTTTATACCCTAGGAGCAATAGGCTATATACCATATTGTCTAAGTGAATAGCAGGCCATACCACCTCAGCTTGTATGTATTAAGTATGTATATATGTAAGTATGTATGTATGTATGTATGTAGGTATGTATGTATGTATGTATGTATATGAGACAGAGACTCGCTCTGCTTTGCCCAGGCTGGAGTGCAGTGTCGCGATCTCAGCTCACTGCACCCTGTCTCCCAGGTTCAAGTGATTCTCCTGTCTCAGCCTCCCGAGTAGCTGGGATTACAGGCACCCGCCACCACACCTGGCTAATTTTTTTGTATTTTTCATAGAGACAGGCGTTTCACCATGTTGGCCAGGCTAGTCTCAAACTCCTCACCTCAGGTGACCCACCCACCTCGGACTCCCATGCCTCGGCCTCCCAAAGTGCTGAGATTACAGGCGTGAGCCACTGCGCACGGCCCTCAGCTTGAATTTAAGTGCACTTTATGATGTTCACGCACCAATGAAATCACCTAACAACACATTTCTCAGTTTCCCTTTCGTTAAGCAATGTGTGATGGTATACACAAAACTCCAGATTATTTTCCAGATATTTAGAAATACTTTTCAGATATTTTGATATTTTGAAAGTTTCTGAAAATTGCTCTGTCATTACTTCTGAGTGATGAGCTGAAGAATAAAGCATGAACCAAATGAGGTGAGTATCTTCTTATACACAACTAGTGAGATTATAAACTGACACTGCCAAAATACTTCTCTGAAGAATGCATTAAGAACATAAAAGAGCATTCATACCTTTGACTGAGATAAAGATATTTATCATGGCATATTTAATTTAAATAACAAATGTAACTTAAATAGTCAACAAAGAAAGCCAATAGCATGCAGCCATTAAAAATGTTTTCCAAAAACCAACTGGGAAATATTCAGGGCACATACGTAACATGACTGTATTTGAACAAATTACTTATGTGCTACGAAAATGTACCATAATGTTGGTAGCGAGATAATTTTGAGCTGTTGGGTTGTTTTTTTTTGGGGGGGGGGGAGGGTGGGTGTCTTTTATACTTCTATGTCATTTCAAAGTTTCCTGAGAATTGATACACAGTATTTCATCAATTCTAAGAGGTACTCTCCCCACATGTCAACAACTTTTAAATCAAGATGCATTTTACAATTTCTGTTATGCCCTAGTTTAACTGAAATAATTTCTTTGTCGTACTTAAAACAATGGTACATCTTACAATCAATAGCATCTTAAGTTCTATGAAATGTAGCAGTTTTATAACAAGGAACTAAGATGATATAACATATACACATATATAAACCCACATATATATTTATGAATGTATATAAAAAGATGAAGCAACACTTATGACTACTATTATACTAATCTCAGTTGTTACTAAGAGACTCTAGTTCTCAAATATAGAAAATCCCACTTAACTACTGGCTATAAAAACCTAGAAACAGACACTGAAGAGGTGTCTCTGATAGAGAAAGACTGTGTTTTTCTCCTCAGTACAGGCATATCCAGTCACCTCCTAGTTATTCTTAGTCATCATTTCAGTTCAAGTTCTACAAATCTCACTTTAAAATTTCCTTTGTGAAGACTTGGGAAAGCAAAATATGCACCAAATCTAGAATGTTTATTAGTTTTGTTCCAGCTAATTTTTAAATAAGTAAATCAGGATTTAATTTGTATGCTACCCTAAGGGAACAAACTAGTAAGAATAAAAAAGTGAGCCCTCTGGACTGTGTCCTCAATTAAAGTATGCTCTATTGAACTTTTAGGGGGAGGGGGAATATATATATATATGTATCTCCAATCTGGAAAGAAGCTATAAGTCCGCAGTGACATTTTTAGAATAAAAGTTTAAATGATTAGATAGCCCACAGAACTTTCACTTCAAACCCTGATCATTCTGTTCATTTTATCAGTTGATCAACCTTCAACTTTTGGCCTACTAATTTAACGGATACTGTTCACAGGAAAGCCATTTTCTTAAGGCTTTGACTAGTACTAAGGTCAAAAAGGCATTTTGACCCTTATTTTTAGTAGCAATAGACTTTTTCTAGACATGGGTCTACATAAAGATAGAGCTCAGCCACACCAAGCTAATATAAAAAATACTTTGCAAGAATGTAAGCTTCATGAAGGTAGGATTTTTGAGAACACTGCTGAGACACAGTAAGCACTTAAAATAATGGTACATCTTACCATCAGTAGCATCTTAAGTTCTATGAAATGTGGCAGTTTTATAACAGGGAACTAACAAATATAAATCTAACAAATATGACAGTTAACATCAATGGCTTGCTTGCATTATTCAGTCTGTTTTCCTTGTTTCCTGTTAGCTCAGATACCCACACAGTTTTGTTCTAAATACACGTTCAGTTAAACATTATATTCTAATAGTGTTTTCCTTTTTATGAGACAGGCCTTTCTTAGTTGTCCAGGCTGGAGTGTGGTGGCACAATCTTGGCTCACTGCAACCTCCACTTCATGGGCTCAAGAGATACTCCCACTTCAGCCTCCTAAGTAGCTGGGACTACAGGCACATGCTATCATGCTCAACTAATTTTTGTAATTTTTGTAAAGACAAGGTCTCACTATGTTGCCCAGGCTGGTCTCGAACTCCTGAGCTCAAATGATCCTCCTGCCTTGGCCTCCCAAAGTGCTGGGATCACAAGAGTGAGCCACCACGCGCAGCCACATCAGGTTCTTAAATTAAACCACTATATCAGGTCATTAAACCATTTACTTTGCAATAGTTAAGAAGAGGGTTATGGGGGTTACGAGGTGGGAGGGGATGTGAGAAAAGCGATATTGATAGTTTTCGGCAGCATTTAAAAACATCAGATACTTATCCCTTACCTTATTAGCACGTATCTGTTTGTAAATGTCTGTTTGCTGACGAATTCGATATTCCAAGTCAGAAACATGAGCCTGAAGCCAGTTCCAGCGGCTGACAATAGCTGCCCGGTCTGCAGCCCATTTCCATTCTGACCTGCGTCTCCTAAAAGGAAATAAACTGAGTGAAATCCAAGAGTAGCAGTAATATCTATACCAGATTGGGGGGTGGGGAGTGGAATTTAACTTTTAAAGGCCCTTGCAGAGACTAACTCTAGTGTCAAGAAAAACCCAAGAGAGAGACAGACACCTCCCGCTCATCAGGATGCACATGGATATAAACTTCCAAATAGGTATTTCCCAAATTAAGTGGAACTGCGTTCTAGCATCCTGATCCTGTGGCACACAGTTTCTCTGAAATCCCATTAATTTCTCTGGGACAATAAAATTATTGTCCATGCCAAAATAAAACATACATTAAGAATAATTTATACAGGAAATCCAAGTGACACTAAGAATTATTAAAACTAATAAAGAATTCAGCAAAAGTGTTCAGTAAAGAATATTTAAAAACTAATAAAGTAGAAAATATTCATTAAGTACCATTCATAACACCAACAAAACTAATGATATATTAAATATCTTTACAGAGAAAATAACGCCTGAAAGCATGAAGATCTATACAAATGGTAGGACACATTTTTTTAGGATGGCGATTCTCATGAACATCTATAAATTCAAAGAAATTCCAATCAAATTGCCTACAGTATTTTTAATGAAAGCTGAGAAACAGATCCAAAAGTTCACATGGAATAAAGGACCAACAGCAAGAAATTTGCAAGAAGGCATGATGCAAATACACATTACCAGATAGCCAGATTTGCTGCAAAACTATAGAGAGCCTCAAAACGTAGAACTAGATACATAAAAGATAACGGGAAATTTTTAAAAAATCAGATCAGTGCAGAAACGATCAAACTACTCAATAAATAGTACTAAACTGGCCAGTTCTTTAAAGGAAAAAGTAAAATTAGTTCCCTTCTTCATGATATAATTACAAAATTTTGGCATTTCAAATTGCTAAATATGAACAGCCAAACTTAAAAGAATATCTTCGGGACTTAGAGCAGGGAGCATTTCTTAGATAATACACAAAGATTTCACCTACTTTTCAACATACAATAGAAAATCTAATAAAGTTAAAAGGCCAACTACATTTTGGTGGAAGATATCTAACACATATAACTGACGATTAAACATCAGAATATGTAACAGAAATCTCAGAAATAGGATAAAAGAAAAAAAGACAATCTTAACAGAAATAGGAAATTCACATAAAAGGCAAATAATAAATATATAAAAATGTGTCATCTCGTTAAAATTTGGTTAAAATATAAATATTAGGTAAAACATTAAGATGCTGTTTGAAATCTGGATGGGAAAACGCACAGTCTGATAAAGCCAACAGGTGGTGAGAAATGGAAAAGAGCAATTAATATATTGCTGATAACAGTTAAAATTGGAACCACCATTTTTGAAAAATAATTTGAAAATACTTAGCGAGGTGTAAAATGTGCATACCCAACCATCATGATACTGTATTCTTTTTTTTTTTTTTTTTTTCTCTGAGAGGCAGGGTCTCACACTCTATCATTGAGGCTGGATTGTGGTGGTGCAATCACAGCTCACTGTAACCTAGAGTTCCTTTGCTTAAGCTATCCTCCCACCTCAGTCTCCCAAGCAGCTAGGATCAGGAGCATACTACATACCTGGCTTTTTTTTCTTTCTTTCTTTCTTTTTTTTTTTTTTTTTTTTTTTTTTTTTTGAGATGGAGTTTCTTTCACTCTGGTTGCCCAGGCTGGAGTGCAATGGCGCAATCTTGGCTCACCACCAACCTTCGCCTCCCAGGTTCAAGCGATTCTCCTGCCTCAGCCTCCCAAGCAGCTGGGATTACAGGCATGCGCCACCATGCCCGGCTAATTTTGTATTTTTAGTAGACACGGGGTTTTCTCCATGTTGGTCAGGCTGGTCTCAAACTCCCAACCTCAGGGGATCCGCCCACCTCGACCTCCCAAAGTGCTGGGATTACAGGCACGAGCCACTGCACCCAGCCCTGACTAACTTTTTTTTGAGACGGAGTCTTGCTCTGTCGCCCGGGCTGGAGTCCAGTGGCATGATCTCGGCTCACTGCAAGCCCCGCCTCCCGGGTTTACGCCATTCTCCTGCCTCAGCCTCCCGAGTAACTGGGACTACAGGCGCCCACCACCACGCCTGGCTAATTTTTGTATTTTTAGTAGAGACGGGGTTTCACTGTGTTAGCCAGGATGGTCTCGATCTCCTGACCTCATGATCCACCCACCTCGGCCTCCCAAAGTGCTGGGATTACAGGCGTGAGCCACTGAGCCTAGCCCCACTGGCTAATTTTTAATAAAAAATGTTGTGGAGATGGGGTCTTGCTATGGTGTCCAGGTTGTTCTCAAACTCCTGACCTTTAGCCTCCCAAAGACACGAGCCACTATGCCCAGCCATGAAATTCTGTTTCTGAGAACATAAACTACACATTCCTCTGCATAAGGAAACAGGTTCACTGGAGGAGAGTCTGTAATAGATAAAAACTAATTATATTCTAATTCTGCTGAAATTGGTAAATAAACTATAATTTATTCATTTAATAGTTCTATAGTAATAAAAATAAACGACATCTGTATGTATCAACATGATTAAATCTAAGAACACAATGTTGAATGAAACAACTACAAAAAAACTAAACAAGATTAAGTACACACAAGTAGTGAAGGAATTTGATGAAATACTATCTAGCAATTTATTTACTGTATGTATCAACATGACCTAATCTCAACAATGGGGAATGCAAAAGCTGCACAAAAATAAACAAATAAACATTAATAAGGATTGTTACCAATACAGATAACTGATGAATATATTTTAAAATGCCTAAAACTGACATACAACAAATTTACAATCAAGCTCCTCATTATCTCTGGAAAGGGGATGGAGAAGTTGGATTTTAGCTCTACCTATAATGTTTGACTTCTCATGTAAAAAAACAAAGATGGAAATGTGACAACATTAACATTGTTTAAATATTACACTGGGGATACATGGTGTCTACTATATTCTGTAATCTAAATATTTCATAATCTACCACAAAACTATTTTCCCAGAAAGCAGCAGCAGTCACACAGCCCTCAGCCCCACTTCCCATCAGGATACACACACTCACTGCTAAAACTTATGACTATAGGTGAACTTGAACACAGTCTCCCATAGGGGCAAAATACAAAATGTCAAAAATAAAAAAGAACAAATCTGACCACGACAGAGTAAGACATGAATTAATACTTAATCATACCATAATAATTAAGACCAAGGGTAGTAATGGTATTTTAACTTTTGTATGGACCAAACATAAACCATTCAAACCAACCACTGTGATAATTATCAATTATGTCTCTTCTTTTAGAAAGAAAACATTTTACAGTTCCCTAATTTTGATGGAACCACTTCAAGATAAAAAGATACTTTTAAAGTACAGTTATCTGCTTCAATGTTGGCTGCAGGTCTAGCTCTACCCTAAATCCAGGAAATGATCTCAAGAGATCAATAAGAAACTAGGGATCATTCTTGAACAACAAAAATGCCCCCTACCCACAAAGAGACAAAACTAGTTAACCCTCGTATTTTATTCCCACCTTTCCTTACTTTTCAAGGCTTACCACCTTTCTATCCTGCAAAATCTTTTGGATTTATAGATTCCTTTCATTCCTAAAACTACCACCACACCAGGTCCCCATCTATCACCACTGGGCAACCCCAACAGCCTCCTTAGCTGCTCTTCCCAACACCAGTCAATCATACTACTTTTCCTCAATCAACTCCCCTCACACCTTTTTCATCCTGGCATTCTAATGTTTAAGGAACCATGCAGCTCCTTTGAAAATACAAAAGGAAAAGAAAATTACTTAAAACATTTTAGTTCGCAAGAACTTTGATAAATACACTTTTTCTTGGATATTAATGAAGGTCTTATGTCCCCTACACAGGTATTTACCTAAATAACAATACAAAGCGAGCCTCCTGATAATATGTTTTGGATAATATGGTTAATAAACTAATTAAAGAAAGGCAAGACAGCACTAAGGAATACTAACAATTCCCAATTTATGAACAAGTTTCATTTTACAAGTGTATCTGTGATATGATGGTTTAGAACTCGAAGTGATTTCCAGGAGAAAGTTGTTACAACATTATTCTTCCATAATGCTGCTCAAACTCTGATCATCTCCAATGAAAAATGGAAAACCACAACTCAAGCGTCCAAAAAGTATCTTGTGTTCAAAATACCAGCAATATGAGCAGAAAGCTAAACTGTTATTAAGCATGAGAGGTGTACAGTTAACAAGTCTGGATAAGATATGAAGATGTTACCATACTCCAGTGGCAGAGCAGAGCACCACTAAACAGTAACACAAGAATAAGAGCTTCACATCTTTTGTTCCTTAACAAATACAAGCTATATAAACTCAGCTTATCAGAGGTAAAGATAGACTTCCTCCTCAATATTCGAAGTGTAAATTTATCACTCTGACAATTTACAGCTCAAAACAAGGGACACACATTGAACATTAGGGACATGTTTAATGTTATACCATACAGACTTCAGGAAAGAACACAGGACTAAGGTTGCAGAATAATACTTTAAATACAATGAGGACTTGGTTTCTAATATAGTCATTATCAATAATGAAGAAAATCACGTGGATTCTAACACTGATGAGTCAACTCATTCCTGATGCTTGTTTCTGTGCTATTAGTGAAATAACTGTTTTAACTATGTGCCTGAGTAGGACACTAGAATGCCTTAGAACGTTTGATTTTACTGTGTGCTTTATCCTAGTCCATACAAAAACATGTACTATATATACTGTAGTTATCACCTGAGTGGGAATTCTTTTCAACTCGTATTTTGCTCATTGCTTTTATAAACTTTTTATTGGTAAAAATGGCTTTGTCACCATGTGCTATACAAAAATTCATTAAAATGTTACATGATGAATTACTTTTTGGTTACCTAAATGCAGTATCAATTTTGCTTTTGTGACACCACATGAATAGTACATCTTAATGTTAACCAGCTATGTGCTAGTATTGGTTTACATAAGAAATATTTGTTGTATATAAATATTTCATTAGCTATGAACTTGTACTTTAATCGTTCTTTTTACACAGTTAGACTATTACCACAGAGAATTGAGAATGCTCTGTTGACTCTAAGAACATAGATCTTTCCTGTGTTTGTTTCACACTGCTTTTGAGCTAGGTAGTGAGTACCTGTGAATGGTTTTTTGTTGTTTTCTTCATGTGACTCAACAATTTTAAGACTTCTCATTGGTGAAATCTATGGTGAAACCCCATCTCTACTAAAAATAAAAAAAATTAGCCAGACGTAGTTGCGCACGCCTGTAATCCCAGCTACATAGGAGGCTGAGGCAGGAGAATTGCTTGAATCCAGGAGGTGACGGAGGCTGCCGTGGGCCGAGACCACACGCCACTGCCCTTCAGCCTGTACAACAGAGTGAGACTCCCTCTCCAAAAAAAAAAAAAAAAAAAAAAAAAAGCGCCCTCTATAAACACACTTAAACCATACAGTAAAAGTAATTAATTTTTTTCCTTGCAAATTCAGGGTTCAGCTTACATGTTGGCTAAAAATTAATTTTTGTTTTTAGTTCTTTAAAGTTATTAATAGTCAATGGGTTTAAAAGGGATTATCAATAGATCAACTATTTTGTATTTATTAGATAAGTAGCACCAAAAGCTAGACATTGAACCACATGGAACACCACATGTTGACTACCAGGCCTAGTGCCTCTAATTAAGTCACCTAATTCTATTCTAAGATGGGAAATTTGTATGTCAATCCAGTAGAACAAGGCTGGTGGATTATGCTTCTCTTCCCTGATGTATTAACATAAATTTTTTTAAATCTCATTAAGGCAACAAACATGCCAGAAAAACCCGAATGGTGGTAATTTCAACTTTGATTCTGATTTCAGTCCCATCTTGATTCTTTCCTTTTAATGAAACAAAGGTTCTATTAGCCAACTAAAGTAAAATGACTGTTCACAGCGAGCTACACAGTGCTACATTCACACTGGTAGATAAATTGACAAAGGATTATGTGCTACTTCCAAGTGTGCAGGAAATCCTGAGACATCTAAGTTCTGAAATCTCCAGGTTATTTAGATAACTTTTAAAAACCAAAAGATTCAAATAAAACTGAGATCATCCCAGAGCGTACAATTGCCAGATTAACAGTTTTCAGGGTAAGAGTTAGGGTCACTGTGGGGCAGGAATGAGAAATCTTGAAATTGCTGAGTCACATGAAAAAAACAAAAACAAAAAACCACTCACAAGTACTCACTACCTAGCTCAAAAGCAGTGTGAAACAGAGGGAAGATCAGGAGACAAGTTCTCACTTTTACTTACTTTATGTGATCCTAAACATATAAATTGACCTCTGCAAATAAGAACAACATCTGCTTCACAAAGTTGTGATAGCCATACAATGATGTAATCCTAACTGCAACCTAAAATGTATGTATTAGATAAGAATAACAATTTAGTCAGCCGGGCACGGTGGCTCAGGCCTGTAATCCCAGCACTTTGGGAGGCCAAGGCAGGCAGATCACAAGATAAGGAGTCTGAGATCAGCCTGACTAACATAGTGAAACCCCGTCTCTACTAAAAATACAAAAAAAAATTAGCCGGGCTTAGTAGCACGCGCCTGTAATCCCAGCTACTCAGGAGGCTGAGGCAGGAGAATCGCTTGAACCCGGGAGGCAGAGGTTACAGTGAGTCGAGATCGTGCCACTGCTCTCCAGCCTGGGGGACAGAGCAAGACTCTGTCTACAAAAAAAAAAAAAAGAAAGAAATAACAATTTAGTCATTATAATGGATTTAAATTCCGTATCAAAAAGGTACAAAAAAGGAAGAAAAACAGAATAAGATTAAAGAAAAACCTCTCAGATAAATTCAGGAAACAAGTGTTTTCAGTTAGCAACAAGCCATATTCTGAGAGTTTCTTGAGCTTTGAACTTTAGAGTCATCTAAAAGTTCCACTCTAAACAGAAAAATCAAAGTAGTCTATTAGAATAGACATTGCATTATCAGTGACATTACCACCAAATTTAAAAAGATGGAGGGGATAAAGCACAAGGAGAAAAAGAAGAGAACCAAACTGTCCAGAGTTAAATATCCCACATTTTAGTTGTAAAGTAAAACCCAGGAAAAAACTCGGATACATACTTCGTCTTAACCCATTCTCATCTGTCACATGACCTAGGTTGTGTCAGCTTTCTACAGATATCTGTAGTAATGTGGAACAAATGTACCAGAGCCAATACTTTTTTTTTTGAGATGGAATCTCGCTCTGTCACCCAGGCTGGAGTGCAGAGGCACGATCTCAGCTCACTGCAACCTCTGCCTCTCGGGTTCAAGTGATTCTCCTGCCTCAGCCTCCTGAGTAGCTAGGATTACAGGTGCCTGTCACCATGCCTGGCTAATTTTTGTGTTTTTAGTAGAGATGGGGTTTTGCCGTGTTGGCCAGGCTGGTCTCGAACTCCTGACCTCAAATGATCCGTCTGCCTCAGCCTCCCAAAGTGCTGCAGTTACAGGTGTGAGCCACAGCACCCAGCCCCAGAGCCAATTCTACCTAAACTGCCAATTCATCCTGACAGACCCTTGAAATTAAACACAGCACTTTTGTCTTACTGCTTCAACTAGATTACCTCTAATATTTAAATGAAATTTGTGTAGTTTTGGTAGTTTATTTCAGCCAAGCATTTAGCCCACCATGAACTCACTCTATCCTTCTTCCTTCCATTTAACAAATATTTAAGCAACTATTAGTTACCAAGAATTAGACTAGGTTAGGGATGCAAAAACAAGAACTGGGGCTAAAGTTTACAATTTAATGGGGCAGATAGATGTTAATAATCAAATAATCATATAAAATATACGATAAGAGATCCTAACTATGTCAGATTTAGACTGGGGGATCTAGAAAGACTTGTGATATAAATATTTAAACAGACCTCCAAAGCATAAAATAGGACTTGGATGCACAAACTGGTAGGGCTTGGGGATGTGGAGCAGAAGACATTAGGTGGAACTGTGGTGTGTCACAAAGAAACGACATGTATACAATGGTTATGTGGTTAGAGCTCCAACAGTGAACAACGAAAAGAATTCATTCAACTTGACAATGGATACAGGTAGGCAGGGCCAGGTCACACAGAACCTGGCAATCCATGTTAATCTTATAAAACAATATAAGCAATCCTCATCTTTCCTCATGCTCTTTTATTTATCTCAGACCCTGTTTGAATGAAAATTTACAAATACAAGCTAAAAGATAATAAACTCCCACAAAACCATCAACCAATTTCAACTATCAACTTTTGGCGAATCCTACCTCATCTATAACATCTATCTCCCATCCCTATGAATTATTTTTAAGCCAATTCCCAACATCACATCATCACCTCTAAATATTTCGGTATGTTTCCAAAATGTAAGGTCTTTTAAGAATATATACCAGTATATTTTATAATCTAAAAAACAATAATTCCTTAATGTTAAATATCCAGTTACTGGTTAAATTTCCTGGATTGTCTCAGTTTTCTCCAAATCAGAGTCAAATAAGATCCACACAATTCATTTACTTAATACATCGCAAGCTCGTAACACGCTCCTCCTCATTTTCTTTCCTCACAATTTGTGGAAGAGACAGCACTATCTGTCCTTTAGAATTTCCTCCATTGTGGATTTTACTGACTGTGCCTTTAACACAAAGCCCATACTTCTAAACTTGATAATTTGACACCTCTAGGCTGGCCATGCTGGCTCATGCCTGTAATCTCAGCACTTTGGGAGGCTGAGGTGGGTAGAGCATTTGAGATCAGGAGTTCAAGACCAGCCTGACCAACATGGTGAAACACTGTCTCTACTAAAAATACAAAAAAATTGGCCAGGCGTGGTGGCCTGGGCCTGTAGTTCCAGCTGCACGGGAGGCTGAGGCAGGAGAATTGCTTGAACCCAGGAGGCAGAGGTTGCAGTGAGCCAAGATCACGCCACTGCACTCTAGCCTGGGCGACAGAGTGAGACTCTGTCTCAAAAATAAACAAACAAACAAACAACCTTTAGTAGTTTGATACATTTCATTTTCTGTAGGTTAGCTGATAAATTTTTTTTGTACATTAAATTTTTACATGTTTAAGATTGAGATAGGTTTTAAAATACACTCAATCTTTTAAAAATCATTTAAGGTACTTTAAACTCCTTTCAATACCCGTCAGTCAGATTTTTCATCAAACATGGTAAACATATACATATTATATACTCTGCCTAGCACAATAAAAGAAATGTAATTGTTTGTCATACCCTATGCAAATTTCCAACCGGAAAATACCCAGAAGCATCTTCTAACACTAAAACCCACGTCTCTCCAGGAAAGTTTTTCCTTGTGCATCGTACCTCACAATTCACTCTTTGTCCTCTTCAAGCTTAGTTGGATCCTCTTATTTTGTTATTTGTATGTGCTATTATTTCCAAGTCATGTCATATATATAACTGGTCTCCAACTAGATTATCCATGCCTCCTTATGGGAACTACCATGTGTTTTAACTGTAAGACAATTTTTAATGATGTCTGCGCACATGTAGTTTACAAGTAAATTTGCAAAAAATATAAACAATATGAGAGAGTTTTAGCTGATGCCTTATCCTGTTTAATTCTCAAATGTTTATATTTTAAAAACACTTAACTGAAGTATTCTAATGGAGGAAAAAATGGCATGACAAAGAAGTATGGAAATGGCTTACAGTTCTTGACTGGCTGTAGGACTGAACATGGAATTTGAGCATGAAGATTTTGAGCAAAATACTAGGCTACTTACTGTGCCTTTTTTCTTTTTTTTTTAGACAAAGTTTTGTTCTTATCGCCTAGGCTGGAGTGCAATGGTGCGATCTCGGCTCACTGCAACCTCCGCTTCCCAGGTTCAAGCGAATCTCCTGCCTCAGCCTCCCAAGTAGCTGGGATTACAGGTGCCCGTCACAACGCCTCGCTAATTTTTTGTATTTTTAGTAGAAACAAGGTTTCACTTGGACAGGCTGGTCTCAAACTCCTGACCTCAGGTGATCCACCCACCTCGGCTTCCCAAAGTGCTGGAATTACAGGCGTGAGCAACCGCACATGGCCTACTGTGTCTTCTTTAGAGAATAAGACTGTTATGTTTCAAGAATAAAGCAAATGACAAATAGTGAAAGGCTCTCAGTTATTCAAAGTACTGCCATTCCAGAGCAGCTCCTCCAGAGTGAATTAATTTTCTGTCTACTTTTCTTCCTTTCAAAAGTTAAACTGAGGTTAGAATGTTCAAATTCTGTATGTGATACTAATTTCTCTTTCAAAGAGATTGCTTGAGGCCGGGCATGGTGGCTCAGGCCTGTAATCCCAGCACTTTGGGAGGCTGAGGCGGGCAGATGACTTGAGGTCAGGAGTTCAAGACCAGCCTGACCAACATGGTGAAACCCCGTCTCTACTAAAAATACGAAAATTAGTAGGGAATGGTGGTGGGTGCCTGTAATTCCAGCTACTTGGGAGGCTGAGGCAGAAGAATTACTTGAACCCTAGAGACAGAGGCTGCAGTGAGTGAGATCACGCCATTGCACTCCAGACTGGGTGACAAGAGTGAAACCCTGTCTCAGAAAAACAAAAACAAAAACAAAAACAAAAAAACCCAAAATGATCACTCGAGCTCAGGACTTCGAGACCAGCCTGGGCAACAGGTGAAACCCCATGTCTCTACAAAAAAATACAAAAATTAGCCGGGAATGGTGGTGCAAGCCTAAGGTCCCAGCTACTCAGTAGGCTGAGGAGGGAGGATCGCTTGAGCCTGGGAGGTCAAGGCTGCAGTGAGTCGAGACTGCGCCACTGTACTCCAGCCTGGGCAGCACAGCAAGACCTTGACACACACACACACACACACACACACACACACACACACACACACACACAACCAGAAGGGTGAAGGAGCAGAAAAGTACAGTGTATTGAGGCAGGGTCCCCCTTTCATCCCTACTACCCCAGTCCCACATATTCCGCAGGGAGAACTTGCCTCCGGCTATCTCTAGAAGAATGAGAGAATTTTAATACTAAATCCAACAGAAAAACATCTTCTTTCTCACTTTGAAAATACGGTTTATTGGAAAAGAGTATGGTGTCTGGAGTCAGTGAACACTGAGTTCCAAATCCTGGCCCCACCACTTAGCTAGCTATTATCATTGAGCCCCCAGTCAGCTACTGAGAAATCAAAAAAGTTCCAACGCACAATCTCCAGGAATAATGCTCCAACTTTAGTAAGTCTAAGAATTGCCTGAGAGAGTTAAGTCTCACGTACCTTTATGAAGAAAAAGCCTCTTAGTTATTATGTAAGATATCTATGAGACCATACTTTTTTTGTTTTGTTTTGTTTTTGAGATGGAGTCTCACTCTTTCGCCCAGGCTGGAGTACAGTGGTGCGATCTCGGCTCACTGCAACCTCTGCCTCACGGGTTCAAGCAATTCTCCTGCCTCAGCCTCCCGAGTAGCTGGGATTACAGGCGTCCACCACCACACCTGGCTAATTTTTGTATTTTTAGTAGAGACGGGGTTTCACCATGTTGGCCAGGCTGGTCTCAAACTCCTGACCTCAGGTGATCTACCCACCTCGGTCTCCCAAAGTGCTGGGAATACAGGTGTGAGCCAATGCGCCCAGCTGAGACCATATTTTCAGAAATAGTCCTTAAAGACACTGAGGTTTAGCAACAGAACCCATCTTCAAGAAAATGAGTTGAACCAAAAATTAATTTGTTAATAAACTTACCAGTTCTTAAAAATAAATGTGGTAAAAAGGAACTGAGGAGATATGGAAACAAAACAAACAAAAAAGTGAATAAATAGAAGAAACCCTGGTACAGGCAAGGTGGTGTAGACTCTATTCTTTCTCCCAGCTCATCCCTGTTCTAAGCACAATTATAAATCCTGCAAATAACACAAGAGGCAATCAAAGGAAAACTCTGAAAGATAGAAAAGGGAAGGCAAACTAGTTAAGGGCCCCAGGACTAAAGGAACAACACAGTAACAAAAGCATCTAATAAACACTACCCAACCGAAAGAAGGTAACCCAAGTTTGGCATTTCCTGGCTTCCAAGAGAGCAACAAAGAGCATCTCAGACAGGCTCATTCCCTGCCTCCATATAAGGGAAGTATTTCCTTCAATACCAGGGAAGCACTGCAGCAACAGCAAGGGGGATGGATCAGGAGGTCTGCTAATAATAGGAAGCCAGAGGAAACGTTATTGCCCCATTTCTCTATTTCTTTTTACGGCAAATACTCATTATTCTAATTTGTCTCTTCTCACTGTTTCTTTAACACAGGGTTTCAACCCACTATTGCACCAAAGCTGCTGGTCAAGGTCACCAATGACCTCCACTGTACTAAATCCAATTTCCACATTTCAGTCCTTACCACCCTTGATCCATCAGCAGTATCCAACGATTACTCCCTCCTTCAAATACTTTCTCCACTTCTCTTTCAAGACATACTAACCTGGCTTTTCTATTGTCTTTTTGAATTCCTTGTAAGACTGCATATGCGAAATCACTAAATCTTCTTTCCTATACTTCCTTTCTAGGTGATCTTACCCAAACTCATGGCTTTAAGTATCCAACTATGTTTCTGACTCCCAAATTCCTACCTCGAGCTGAAATCGCTCCCCTCAACTCCAGATTCCTGTTTCTACCTGCCTACTCAACACTTCTATTTGAATGTCTAAAAAGTGTCTCAAACTTTACATGATCAAAATGAAGTTGATACTTTCCCCTCCCCAACTCCTATATGCCATCCCAAACCTGCTTCAACTAGATGGATCTGTTCAGGTCAAAAACCTCCATGTAATCCTTAATTTCAACCCCCAACCACCTCTATCTCTCTCATAAACACACTCAATTGGCAAATCTTATTGGCACTGTCTTCAAATATATCCAGTATTCAGCCACTTCTTGCCACTTCATTGTTAGTACTTTGGTTGAATCTTTCTAGATGAGTCCAAGAGCCTCTAAATGGGCTTCTAGCTCTCACCCTTGACCACTTTCAGGATTATCATCATGAACATAGCAGCCAGCCTAATATTGTATAAAAGGATAAGTTCGATCATGTCACTCCTCTACCCAAAACCTAGCCTAGTTGTTTACCATCTCTAAAAACCCAAGTCCTGACAACGACCCTGTAAGGCCTCAAACAGAGAGCCTCTATCACCCAATCCCTGCTACCTCTCTGGCCTCATCTCCTGTTCTCCTCCTGGCTCATTCCATTCCAGTCACTGCTGTTTGCTGAACATGTTAGGCAAGCTGTCACCCACAGGACCTTTTATTTGCTATTCCTAAAGCAGATATCCTCACTTTCTTCAGGTCATTTCCTTACATGACACTTTATTAAGGCTTTCCCTTAACTGTCCTATAAAATTGCAACCCCTCTCCAAATACCCCCTACACACCTTTCTTTCCCGCTTCCTGGCTTTATTAATAGAACCTTCATGAAAATTATTTTTAATTATCTATCTTTCTTACTGTCTGTTTCCCCCACTAGAATCATATCCGGAAAACAGAGATTTTTGTCTTGTTCACCATAATATCTCTGGGTGCTTGGAACAATGCCTAGCAAATGGCAGGTACTCAAATATTTGTTCAAAGGGAAGGAAGGAAGCAGGAAGAGAGAGGGAATGAGGATAACAGGTTGGAACTATGATCCTAACTTTTCCTTACAAAAGATTAAAACCAAAGTAATTCCAGACTGAAGCTAACCCCTTTTCTCATCTGGTGCCAACAGACCTCATAAAACTAACTCTGGCCTCCTCATAAAACTAACTCTGGCCTCTAATGCTGAAAGCGAGTCAAGCAATTATAGTCCACACTCTTAGTCCAAATATACACAAACCAGGGAAAATAAAGCTATATTACAAAGTGAAAACTACCAACAAGATATTTGAGAGCTCTTCTTTTTTTGGAGATAGGATCTTGCACTGTCACCCGGGCTGAAGGGCAGTGATGCAATCATAGCTCACTATAGCCTCAATCACCTGAGCTCAAGCAACCACTCTCACCTCAGTCTCTGCAGTAGCTGGGACCTCAGATGTGCACCACCACGCCCAGCTAATTTTATTTTTTCATAGAAATGGAGCCTCACGATGTTGCCCAGGCTGGTCTCAAACTCCTAGGCTCAGGTGATTCTCCTGCCTCAGCCTTCCAAAATGTTGGGATTACAGGCGTGAGCCACTGCACCCAGTCTAATCCCAACCATACACAACTTGAATGGAAACTTGCTGAGGGTACTATAGATGTTCCAGAGTAAAAACGTTTCCGCTTTTACACATGGTAAAATACAAAATTCTCACATCTCAATTTCTATGCTTTTGCAAACCACTTACTAACAGAATCGTGAATTATATGATACGTGTAAGATAGTTAAGTTTTATTGGCAGATTTCGATTCTGCCACATCAAATTGAAAAATATTCTGTCATGTTCATCATTATATATTATATAAATTTGCCTCCCTCAAAAACCACCCCCCCACCAAAAAAAAACCCTTAAGAAATAATTTTTAATGACATAGACCTCAAAGGTCGAGCTAGTTTTCAGTTAAAGAATGACTGAGGGCACAAAGGTGGACATTTTTACCATCCTAAAAATTGGAAGATATCACTCCCAGGGTGGCTGTGTGATTTCAATGACATAACATTTTTAAAGTCTAGCATTCCATTATAAGTGCTCAGTAAATGGGAAGTTGCTGCTGCTCTTACAAGCTTCTGACTACCATACCTGGTTGAACTAACTCAGTTACCACAAGGTACTCTATGCCCTTACATCTAATGACAAATATTTGTTTTGAAAAACGTATACTCCTTAAACACACTTGAGAAACAGGAACCGGAGACCCAAGTACATTTTGTTCTGAATCAAATTCCAGCATGCACAGCAAAGTGCATGTAGAGGGGTGAGAGGGTGACTAGGGAGACTGCTTCAATGGGAGATTATTCTGCAGTAGTGCCTTAACTGTAGAACAGTGATGATGATAAACTCATCCTAAATTTAGGACTACTGACAGGAACAAGTGACCACAGTAACTGTTCATCTTAAGTCGTAAAAAGCTTTCTGGCAATACTCGTCTTCAAAAAAACCTAGCATGTAGGAAAAATCTTTTATGTGTTTGAATAAGGGTAATATAGTTAAAGCTAAAGGCTTAGATTTTTAACTGGTCTAATGAGAGAAAGCACAGTAGTCATATAATAAGAAGGTTTATGTTTTACTTCATTTTACTAGTGTTTCCTCATGAGAATTAAGTAACAGAAATTATAGGAATCACAAATGAAGTGCTTACTCCATGCAAAACACTGGTCTGGCACATTACAGATATTAATTCACGAAATCCTCATTAAAACCCTGTCAAGTGGGTATTATGATCATCACTGCCCCATTTTTATAATAAGGAAACTAAGACAATAAGGCTAAGTAACTTGTCTAAGGTCACACCACTAACAAGCAGAGCCAAGACTTGACATAGGTGCTCTGGGCCAGAGTTTTTGTTAACAGTTGGAATATACAAATTTACAAGTATTACTGCCAAATCAATTTTCTCAAAAATAAGTCAAAGTGGAGGAAGGGGGGAGATGACCCTCTGAATTCACTAAGGTTCTGTGAAAAGATGCTGAAACAAATAAAAAGAGTATTTGATTGTCAAATATATGCTATTTAGAAATACTAATGGAAAAGAATACTGTGGGCAAGAAAAGAATCACAAGTATTTGTGCTGAGTTCTGAAAGGAGAGAAATAAGGTTGGGGTGGGAGGTGGGGAAAGCAGGTCAAGCATGGAATAGAGCATGAATAAAAATGCACAGTCAGAAAAGTAAAAAGCTATGTCCTAGATACAAAGCAGTAGTAATAGGTAGAAATAGTATTACAAAAACAGCAGTGTCACTAGGTATCAGGCACTCAATGCATAACTAAAGAGAACATAAAAATAATTAAAACTATAGTGAAACAAATAACAAGAACATGTCATATTCCTGGTTGTGATAACTACCTATCATAATTGTAGTTTTTTTCCCTTAAATTATTAAGTTGGAGCAGTTATTTTACGTCTGATGCATTGCTTAAGCGGTTTTAAAGAAGGGCATAGAATATGTGATGATAAATTTGACACAATAATTTGAGTTCATGTGAATGAGTGTTCAAACATTGCCAAGAAAACACTGAAAGATAATTTTTAAAGATGGAGTTTCGCTCTGTCGTCCAGGCTGGAGTGCGATGGCGTGATCTTGGCTTACTGCAACCTCCGCCTCCCGGGTTCAAGCCATTCTCCTGCCTCAGCCTCGCAGGTAGCTAGGACTACAGGCATGTGCTGCCAAGCCCAGCTAATTTTTTGTATTTTCAGTAGAGACAGGGTTTCACCATGTTGGCCAGGCTGGTCTCAAACTCCTGACCTCAGATGATCCCCCTGCCTCCACCTCCCAAAGTGCTGGGATTACAGGCATGATCCACCGTGCCCAACCGAAAGAGAATATTAAGGAAGACTCTGCCCAACCAATTATTAAAATTGCCATTATACAACAAGTATAATCAATAGATACGGATGGTATTTGAACTAGACTAGACAAAGAGATCAGCAGACCACAAAATACAACATATACATCCAAGTATACATGGCAACGTAATATGCAAAGATGACATCTCAATTCTCAGAGGAAAGAACATTGTATTTAATTGTTGATATTGATATAACCAACTACACATTTGGGAAGAAAGGAGAGGGAATTCCTATCTTACACTACACACAAAAATAAATCTAAAGTGTGTTAAAGACTTTAGCATAATCACTGCATTGGGAGGCATTCTTAAAGAACAGAAGAAAAGCAGAAACCAGAAAAGTTTATTTTTTGGAAAATTAATTAAAAATTCTCATGCTCTCTGATCCACTTTTCAAGATTCGATCCCACAGAAACGAGAGCACCAATACAATAATGTTTACTATCAAGGTAACTGAAAGCAATTGTATTTCCCAAAGGAGAATGGCTGAGTATATTACTGTACACCTCTATAGGGAGTGTTATATAATCATTAAGAATGAAGACAGGCACGGTGGCTCACACCTATAATCCCAGGGCTTTGGGAGCCCAAGGTGGGTGGATTGCCTGAGGTCAGGAGTTCAAGACCAGCCTGACCAACATGGTGAAACCCCATCTCTACTAAAAAATAAAAAAATTAGCCAGGCATGGTGGGGTGCACCTGTAGTCCTAGCTACTCAGGAGGCTGAGGTAAGAAAATCGCTTGAACCCAGGAGGTGAAGGTTGCAGTGAGCCAAGATCAAGTCATTGCACTCCAGCCTGGGTGAAAAGAGTGAAACTCTGTCTCAAAAAAAAAAAAAAAAAAAAAAAAAGAATCCAGACCGGGAGTGGTGGCTCACGCTTGTAATCCCAGCCCTTTGGGAGGCTGAGGCGAGCGGATCACCTGAGGTCAGGAATTCGAGACCAGCATGGCCAACATGGTGAAACCCCATCTCTACTAAAAATACAAAAATTAGCCGGGCATGGTGGTGTGTGCCTGTAGTATCAGCTACTCAGGAGGCTGAGGTGGGAGAATCGCTTGAACCTGGGAGGCAGAGGTTGTAGTGAGCCAAGATCACACTACTGCATTCCATCCTGGGTGAGAGTGAGACATTGTCTCCAAAAAACAAAACAAAACAAAACAAAAAACTGGGCAGATAAATTTTTATTTATTTTATTTTTTTTTTTTTTTTGAGATGGAGTGTCACTCTTGTTGCCCAGGCTGGAGTGCAATGGCACAATCTCGGCTCACTACAACCTCCGCCTCCCAAGTTCAAGTGATTCTCCTGCCTTAGCCTCTCGAGTAGGTGGGATTACAGGCATGCGCCATCACGCCGGGCTAATTTTGTATTTTTGGTAGAGACAGGGTTTCTCCATGTTGGTCAGGGTGGTCTTGAACTCCCGACCTCAGGTGACCCGCCCACCTTGGCCTCCCAAAGTGTTGGGATTACAGGCGTGAGCCACCAGGCCCGGCCGGGACAGATAATTTTAGACATCAATTTAAGTGGGAAGAAGACTACAAAGAATACAAAGAAACTAGCAATGCCTGAAGACATTTTTTGTTGTCACAACTGGGGGTGGGGGGATGGTACTTGGTAGAGGCCAGAGATGCCGCTAACCATACTACAACACAGGACAGTTTCCTACAAGAAAATGTCAGTAGAGCTGACACTAAGAAACCTTGCTGTATATGAACCACTGATAAGAATAAAATCTTAGCTTTCCAAGGTCAATCTTGCCTTTTAGCCCCATCATGGCCCCACGTGTTTGCAGGTTCTTTGGCTAAGCCACCAAATAGCTGTTATGGTCTGTTAACAATCAAATGAATGGCAAGGGAGAAGTTTAAGCCATGACCCAGCATTTAAAAAATAATGGAAAAGAATACAACAGAAAACTAAGAGTATGCAGCATGCAGAGTATGTGGGGAAAGTAATTTTTGTTAAAGTTAGGCATATGCAAGCCTTTGTGTCTCTCAAATTTACCTGTAGGTATAAGTGGGGCAAACTGTTTATCGCACGGTAGATCATGCTCAAAGAAAGTCATTCAAGATACTCCTCAGTTCTCTCATCCAAAAAACTCATGAGTTGGACTAAAAAAAAAACAAAAAAACCTACGAGGCACTTTCTTTATAAAATGTTAATGAATTTATGATCATCTGCATGAAGTCTACCCTATATGTACAGATGTAACCTACATGGGAGGGGGTACAGTCCTTATAGGTAGACACCTGAAAGGCTCAATTCATTTTAGATGTTTCAAGAAAATTCCTTAGTCAATAACATTCACATAGACTTTGTAAGATCTTGATTAAGCCATGAGGCCAAATCTAAATCTAAATCACCCACTCAGAAAGTGCCAAAAACCTTAAAACCAAAAGAAACATTAGAGATTATCTATCTCTAAGCATCTCAATTTTTAAATGAGTAAAATGAGCCCAAAATGGGGCCCAAAGGATTAAATGATTTGCCCAGAGTCATAAGCCAAGTCAGACTGTCAAACCGTTAAAGCAAACTGATAAGAAAAAGATGCTCAGGGCCAGGCATGTTGGCTCACGCCTGTAATCCCAGCACAATGGGAGGCCGAGTAGGGCAGATCACAAGGTCACGAGTTCTAGACCAGCGTGGCCAATACGGTGAAACCCCGTCTCTACTAAAAATACAAAAATTAGCTGGGCATGGTGGCAGGCGCCTGTTGTCCCAGCTACTCGGGAGGCTGAGGCAGGAGAATCGCTTGAACCCAGGAGGCGGAGGTTGCAGTGAGCCAAGATCGCACCATTGCACTCCAGCCTGGGCAACAGCGAGACTCCCTCTCAAACAAAAACAAAAACAAAAAAACTAAAACATCTAACTGAATCAGGCTGCTTAAGTATCAAAATAATCTTAAATATCTGAAGAGGAAGAAGGATAAAGATTCCCTAACATGCGGAACTAAAACTAGAAAAACTTTATTCTAATGTTCTTAGACTACTATCAAATTCTCCCTAGGACTTCTACATTGCTGATAACAGCTTACAATATTTTTCCCAGTTTAGTTAAGACCACATGTCAGTATTTTATTACAATCTTTCAAGCAAGAAAGAAGGTCTCTGATATACTAATTTAAAGACATATACACTCTTGATAGAGCTATATTAGGAAATGGCAATGGCTAATTCGTAAACTAGATTTTTAAAAAATGACAATATCTTGTTTAAAGTTATTAGACTATGACAGTCATCTGAGTGGGGAGGTAACTAGTTCCCCAGCAGAAGCCTTAATCCCATTAAGGTTTATCAGACAAGTGTATAACAGAAATGTTCATTTCTTCTCAGAAGGAGGTTATGAATTATATCACACGGATTCTGTTTAGATGAGGTTTAGAACAATTTTTCTTTTTAACAGTTTCTCCTTTTGATTTAGACACTCTCTAAAGATCTGTCCAGATTTAGGTCCATTTCACTGAAATTTTGTACTAAAGTCCACGAATTTTTTTCATTTTTTCTTTTGCAAACAGGTATTTTTGTAAACCCAAGTTTTATTTATTTATTTATTTTGAGATGGAGTTTCGCTCTTGTCATGCAGGCAGGAGTGCAATGCACAATCTTGGCTCACTGCAACCTCCACCTCCTGAGTTCAAGCGATTCTCCTGCCTCAGCCTCCCGTGTAGCTGGGATTACATGCGCCTGCCACCACACCCAGCAAATTTTTTTTATTTTTAGTAGAGATGGGGTTTTGCCATGTTGGCCAGGCTGGTCTCACACTGCTGACCTCAGGTGATCCACCCATCTCAGCCTCCCATAGTACTGGGACTACAGACGTGAGCCACCGTGTCCAGCCTGTAAAGCAAGAATTTTTAAAGAGCAAAAAGAAAGTGCAGATTTTCTGTCTCCTTACTACAGATGAGAAAATAGTATAAAGCTATCGAGTGTCAACAGTTCTATATTACCCCCGTCCCCACCCCCACTGTACTGCTCCTGAAAGCTAAACAGAAATCCCAAGGAAAGTATACATTCAAGGAACGAAGATAACTTTAGGTATGTATTACATGATGCATATATGGGTTTTCAGCGAACTATATGTGATTTCAAACTAAATTAAAAACAAGGCTTTACTATGACATTATGAATGAAAAACAGTTTATTTATAGGATACTTTGACTCTACTCAAAAAGTATGCTTAAACAATCCAACAACTTTAGGAAAGCCAACAGATAAATCTTTGCAATCAGGCAGAAATACTAAGGCATTTAAAAAACATACCCAGACCGCTTTTAACATTTACCCCAGAGATCTCTAGGCTCATCACAGAGGGTAACCACAAAATGCTTAAGCTGCATACAGACATCAGGCAAATGCCACATAACTGCTGGACAGTAAGTTATCACCACAGTAGTTACCAATGTGACAAAGCAGAGGATAAGGAGCATTCAGAGTTGGAAACTACGGTGGAAACGTTTCCATTTATGGCACATTTTCTGATTGGTTTTATAACTCATGTTACTAACTATAGAATCATAGACGAGAAGAATCCCCGGAACCAAGCCTCTTATAAATAAGTCAACTGACCTGAAAAACTTACGACAGAGTGAAAACTAGACCCAACTTCAAACTGAGATAGGATTTTATACTTCACAAAAATTAAAGTTAGTTATTTAGATTTTATTAGAAATAGCTCAGCACGTAAAGTCCTCAAAGGAAACAGACATACAGTCAAAAAAAACCATTACTGCGGGGCGCAGTGGCTCACGCCTGTAATCCCAGCACTTTGGGAGGCCAAGGCAGGCGGATCACGAGGTCAGAGGATCAAGACCATCCTGGCTAACACGGTGAAACCCCGTCTCTACTAAAAACACAAAAAATTAGCCGGGCGTGGTGGTGCGTGCCTGTACTCCCATCTACTAGGCATGCTGAGGCAGGAGAATGGTGTGAACTCGGGACACGGAGCTTGCAGTGAGCCGAGATGGCACCAATGCACTCCAGCCTGGGCAACAGAGTGCGACTCCGTCTCAAAAAACAAAAACCAACAACAACAACAACAAAACATTATTAAACTATAATAATGTTTTCTATCAAGACACAAAATATTAAAAGTAGATCAGGAAGGAATAATAAGTCAATTCATTATCAACCTTGTGACTCTTCTGTCCAGCCTCTTCCAGAGGTTCCCTTTACTTTTAAGTGCAATGCAATCTTTAACCTTAACTCTAAAAACTCATTTAGAGTCCTCCAATTTCTTATCAGTTTTCCAATACAGCTCAAGAACTTTTCCAACAGTGAATAAAAGTTGCATTACTTTTCCCTTTCACAGCTTGTTGGCAGGGAATTATTTTAAATGTACAACAAAAATCTATAAATCTGTAGCTTCCAAAAGAGTGTTTGAAAATATATTTTAAATGGCAAAATAATCTCAGTAATCAACAGTAATACTGAAGTAATGTTTGAAAATTACATTTTTAGAAAGTATAAAGTTACATTTATTACAAGTGAAGAAAAAAATTTATATGAGGGAATGTTTTTAAAAAGGGTTACAAATTCTTTGACACTTCTCCCAATGAGAGGCAGATTTCTGTCAATTCCCCCTCAAATCTGAGGGAGCTTGTGACCACTTTGGTCAACAGAATATGGTGGATGTGGTACCAGATGACTTTCCAGGACAGGTTATAAATGGGTATGCAGCTTCAACTGAGCACAGAGACTTCATGTTAAGAGATATTATAACCCTGAGAATTCCATGCTGAAGAGCCATGTGCACACAGTACTTGACGAAGCAACCCAGCCAAGCAAAGCTTTCTAGCCATTCCTTAAAAGCTGCCAGACTTATGGGTGAAGAAACTATCTCACAAATTTGTGTATTGACTCTCCTTCCAGTAACGTAAATTCCAAGAGAGTAGGAATTCGTCTTTGTTTTATTCACTGATGTATCCACACCATTTTAATAGTTTCCTTTTATGTACGCAGTAAGCATTCAATAAAGGTCTGTTAAATAGATATTAGTGATGGTGGCAGTGGTAGGTGGAGAAGGGGATATCCTATTCATGAATAGTTCACAGCAGTAACCATGTGCATGCCTCGCAAAGCAGCCAAAGATTTTCAGAGAGTCTATCTAATTCCAATGAAAAGCCCAGGCTTTTAAAACGGTATTTTACAAAGACTGATGGATCTGACTAAAGAAATTTAAAACTTCTATCATTCAAAAACCATAAAAATTAAAACATAAATAAATAAAAAGCTAGGGAAAACAATTTGCATTTTAATTATGCTTTTAAAATGCAAAAAAACCCTTTCAAATAACTCAAAAAGACACAAAGATTTACAGATTTCTTTATATAAAAAAGTGACAAATAAATACAAAAGAAATACACTACTAAATCAACCAAATAAAATAATCCAAGAATGTCTTTTTTGTTTATTAAATTGGAAATTCTTTAAAAACTACTATCTGTTAGGCTTCAGAACACTGCTGACAAAACAGCAGTTTCATTCTGGAGAACATAACATTTCTCAAAAGCCTTAAAACTGTCATTATCCCATGACCACTCCCCCCTACCCCCACCCCAGAAAAAGTCCACATCTAGAAATTTAACCTAAGGTAATAATCTGTGATATGAAGCAAACTTTACACACAATGTTTTTAAACTCTTAGATAAAAGAGCACTAACTGAGGGTCATGTTCCCGACGTTAGTTTTATTTGCTTGTAGTTGGGTTTTCTTTGGCCTTCACAAGTGTGTCAAAAAAATTCAGTAAGTTGCCAGCATTTTAAAATCTATTGCACACAAACACAAGATCTGCCAGCACTGGGTCTGCAAGCCTCTTAATGACTATTAGCTAAACAGTAGCCAATCCCTTCAGATGTGGCACATGATACACAGTTCAAAATCATCCCTAATCTGAAAGCTTGGTTCATTTACATTAGATGCTTTATCTTCTAAAGTTATCTCAGTTGGAAGCCCTACACTAGAGATCAAACTTTAAGCATGCAGGGCTTGCTAAACGCTGATTGGTGGGCCCCACCCCCAGAGTTTCCGACTCAGGACATCTGAAATGGGGTCCCAGAATTTACATTTCTAGCAGATTTCTAGGTGATGGTCCAAAGACTACACTTTGATGGTCTAGAGACCACATTTTGATGAAGTTTCCTTGCTGAAGCCAGAGAGAGGCCTAGCATCCTTTGAATTACACAATTACAGGATACTTAAACAATATTGGAGATTCCATTAATGGGGGAGGGAGGCAAGGAAGAGCAGAAAAGCCGACGGATAAACAACCAATGGTCAGTGCACTGCTTCCCTCTATCAGAGGTGGAAAACCATTGCCCTACACTAAATTTAAGAATAATCCTAGATTAAGTTGCTAGTCCAAATTTTCTATTCTACATTCTTTCTCATGGGCCTTATCCATTTCTCAAGGTTTAATGACCTCTTCTACACTTCATGGATAAAATAACAGGGGTAAACAAAAATTGTGGTAAAAGATCCCACGTAGCTCCAATATTTTATGACTAACAAATGTGTATCACCAGCCTTAATATTTTCTACTGAATTTGCTTTCTCCAGCTGGATCCTAAACATAGCAGCTTTTGCTGAATGCTTCCTTTGTTCCGGGCATTGTGCTACAACATTACATGACTTTTCATCATTTCATCATTATAACAACTCTATGAAACGGTGCCTACTATCCCCATACTACAGATGGAGAAAAAGAGGTCATTTGTCAAGGGGTTAGGTCATTTGTCAGAGAAGCAAGCACAGGTAAAATCTACATCTGTATACAGGTAATCTGGCTCCAGAGTCCTCAATTTTCTTTTTCTTTTTTTTTTTTGAGATGGGGAGTCTCGCTCAGTTGCCCAGGCGCAATCTTGGTTCACTGCAACCTCCGCTTCCCAGGTTCAACTGATCTCGTACCTCAGCCTCCCGAGTAGCTGGAATTACAGGTGCACACCACCACGTCCAGCTAATTTTTGTATTTTTAGTAAAGACGAGGTTTCACCATGTTGGCCAGGCTGCTCTCAAACTCCTGACCTCAAGAGAGCTGCCCACCTCGGCCTCCCAAAGCGCTGGGGATACAGGCGTGAGCCACCACACCCGGCCCAGAGTCCTGAATTTTAACCACTACACTTCATCTAAAATTCAACTTGTACAAATTCCAACCTTTCATCTAAAACTAGCTCTTCCTCTAAACTTGCCTACTGTCAATGTTTTCACCTTCCTGCTCAGGCTGCCAGGCTCCAAATCACTAAGTTCCTACCATAATTAAGTCCTTCTACATTTCACATCTGTCTTTTTCTTTTTATTTCAATTGACCTAAATGTCCTTATTCACCCTTCACCTGGCCTCTAAAATGCCTAGTATTTCTGCTTCTAGTCTTACACCCAACGGTGCTCCTCACTCATTGCCTATGGGTCAAAGGCCAGCTTATTTAACATCAAATTCAATTTAAGACCTTACCTACCTCTTGGATCCATTTCTGTGGTTCCACAAACAGATTAAAAATTATACTTAAAACACACCAACACACATGCAGAGCTTTATTTCTGAAGAAGAAGAAGAGAGAGGGGTGGAAAGGAAAAAACTTAAGAAACAATGTTCAATCTGAAAGTATCACTTCTAAGTGGAAGGCTACAAGGGATAATTAATAGCTACCAAAACTGAACACTGAAACATCACATCCCTCTTTCATGGAGCCATGTAAGTTAAAAAAGAATCTTAAACTGTTGAGGTATACCAACATAGACAAAATCTGAATGCCAAAGTGAGTTTCACTCTAGGATCAGGTTATCTGGCAGCTCCTGAAACAGGACAGTTTCAGGAACCCTGTACAAACCTCAGTGAAATGAAATAACTTCAAGCTGTTTGTTACAGGGGACTCTTGTGTCTTTTAGTCTAAGTAAAAGCAGCACAATTTTCTACAATATATTTATATAAGCTGCGCATTTCCATGAAAGAAAGGAGGTCTACTGTGGATATATGCTTGGTATGAAATTATGTCAGAAACAAGTGGGAGCGAGGGGCAAGTCAACATGCTGTCACTAAATAAAAGACAGACCCCCAGAAATGACCTCAACAATCAAAGAAAACATGATAGTGTAAGTTAACATGATTAATTTTTTAAATTAATAGACTATATTTTAAAGTAATTTGAGGTTTAATGAACTGAGTAGACAGCAGAGTACCCATATACCCTCCCTTCCATTTCCTTTGCATATTTATTATACTTAATGAGCCAATACTTGCATATTCTTATTAACCAAAGTCCATTTACATCAAGGTTCGCTTTGTTTTGAATTTTGACAAATGTAAAACATGTACTTACCACGAAATTTTACAATATGCAATACCAAAAAATACAGCTAGATTCAAAGAGAGAATGTTTCAGCATCTCATTATCTTTATCACAGTAACATAAACTGAACTCCGATCTTCTCCCCTGCTCCCACCTAGTTTTCCCAGTCTTCCCATCTCAGTAAAGAGCAATACCTTCCATCCACTTGCTCAGACCAAAAATTCCTTCCTCTTTTATAACCCATACATCCAGCCCATCAGCAAATCCTACCTGCTCTAACTTCAAAATATATCCAGAATTGAACCTTAATTCTCACACTTTACCACCACCACTGGAACCCAAGACACCATTCTCTCACTAGGTTATTATAGTAGCCCCCTAACTCTTTTTTTTTTTTTTGCTTCTGTCCACAAACTAATCAGATCATGTCACTCCTCTACTCAAAGCAGGAACTGGCATTCTACCTTAGAGCAAGAGCTACAATCCTCACAACAGGCCTACTAGGTTCCACACAACCTGTCTCCACCTACCTCAGTTCCCTTTTCTGTCTATGACTTCACCTCCTGTGTCCTCTTCACCACTTGCTGTTGAAGCTACACTGGTTTGCTTGCCGGATTACTTCAGGCAGTCTCTGTCCTTAAAGTTTCGGCACTGGCTGTTCTTTTTGTCCAAAATATCTTCCACAAATGCTCACACAGCTGACTTCACATCCTGACACAAATATCACTTTCATAGTTAGGCCTTTTTCCCTGATGACCCTATTTATCACTGCATTGTTTTCCCCTGTACTCCTTATCCCTCTTAACCTGCTTTATTTTTTTCTGCATAGCATTTGCTGCAACCAAATATATATTCTACTTTGTTATTTTACTGACCCCCCCACCCCACTAGAAAATAAATGCAGCAACTGAGGTTTCTGGCCTTAAAAAGCACTTAGTAATTATTTGTTGAATGAATAAACTATGGTGTACAGATTCTCCTCAACTTACAATGGGGGTTTTGTCCCAATAAACCCATCATAATTTGAAAATATCATAAGATGAAAATGCATTTAACGCACCTAACCTACTGAACATCAAAGCTTAGCTGGGCCTACCTTAACGTGCTCAGAACACATACATTATCCTACAGTTGGGCAAAATCATCTAACACAAAGCCTATTTTATAACAAAGCATGAATAACTCATTTACTGAAGACTGTACTGAAAGTGAAAACAACGGCTGTGGGTACTCAAAGTACAGTTTCCAGTTTTCACACGATAATAAAGTTGAAAAACCATAATTTGAACTATAGTAAGTTGGGGACCATCTGTCAAGGTTCCTAAAGGTGACATACAGGTGCTAGCAACTACAGTCTAAAAAAATAAAGCCCCAATTCTCAACAAATCAGTAACTGATTCTGGAAACACAGAAGTTCCTTTGACTCTCTTAAAGGCTTCAAGCCCCTCTATCAGAAAAAAATGTCTACAGTTTGAGGAGACTAGCCTGCTGCCTTCGGGATGTCCCCATCTATTTTCTAGCCACTAACACAGCCACAAAGCATACCACACTTAGGAACAGATCTATGGGTAGGACACAAGCATATTTAGGCTGCTATCATAAAGATAAAGATGCATTCAGCCATAAATACTTAAACAAGTATTCATACTGGAAATATGAAACACTTTTAATCATATTCCTAACAAAAGTACCACGAGATTAACTGGCTGAGAAATAATGGGGGTGATCTCCTATCGACTACAAAAGTGGGTTAGAAACTGAAGTAATCTAACCTCATCAAGCAAGTAAAGCTTCACTTTACTGCACTTTGCAGATGCTGTTTTAAAAAAAAACAAATTCAATGTTTATGGCAACCCCGCATCAAGCAAGTCTATCAGCGTCATTCTTCCAACAGCGTGCACTCACTTCATGTCCATGTGTCACATTTGGGTAATTCTCACAATATTTCAAATGTTTTCATTATCTGTTATGATGATCTGTGATCAGTGATCTCTGACACTGCCATTGTAATTTCTGGAGGTACCACGAACCGTGCCCATAAAAGATGGAAAACTTAACTGATAAAAATGTGTGTTCTCACTACTCCACTGAATGGCCATTCCCCTGTCTCTCTCCCTCTCCTCTTGTTTCCCTATTCCCTGAAACACAACAATATTGAAATTAGGCCAATTAGTAACTCCTCAATGGCCTTTAAGTGTTCAAGTGGAAGAGTCTACAGCTCTCGCTTTAAATCAAAAGCTAGAAATAGACACTTGCGGATGTTTTCTGGTAAAATAGCTGAAAGAAAAGAATTTTTTTTAGAGACGGGGCGCAGTGGCTCATGCCTGTAATCCCAACACTTTGGGAGGCGGAGGCAGGCGGATCACCTGAGGTCAAGAGTTTGAGACCAGCCTGGCCAACATGGCGAAACCCCCTCTCTACTAAAAATACAAAAATTATGTGGGTGTGGCATTGCGCACTTGTAGTCCCAGCTACTCAGGAGGCTGAGGCAGGAGAATCACTTGAGCCCGGGAGGCAGAGGTTGCAGTGAGCCAAGATCGTGCCACCACACTCCAGCCTGGGCGGCAGAGCGAGACTCCATCTCAAAAAAGAAAAAGAATATATATTTTTTAAAAGCTAGAAGTGATTAAGCTTCTGAGAAAGGTATGTTGAAAGCCAACATAGGCTGAAAGTAAGGCCTCTTGTACCAGTTAGCAAACTTGTAAATGCAAAAGTTCTTGGAGAAAATTTAAAAAGTGCTACTCCAGTGAACACACAAATCGTAAGCAAGAGAAGCAGCTTTATTGCTGATATGGACAAAGTTTTAGTGGTCTGTATAGATCAAACCAGCCACAACATTCCATTAAACTGAAAGCCTAATCCAGAACAAGACCCTAATCCTCTTCAATTCCATGAAGACTGAGAGAGGTGAGGAAGCTGCAGAAGCAAAGTCTGAAGATGACGGAGGCTGGTTTACGAAGTTTAAGGAAATAAGCCATCTCCAATAACCTAAAAGTGCAAGGTGAAGCAACAAGTGCTGATGGAGAAGCTGTGGCAAGTTATCCAGAAGATCTAGCTAAGATCATCGATGAAGATGGCTCCATTAAACAACATGTCAGCAATGTAGAAAAAACAGCATTCTATTGGAAGACACAATCCAAAACTTTTGTGGCTAGAGAGTAGAAAGGAGAAATCCTGTCTTCAAACAGAGGAGAATGCTTACTTCAAAGCTTCAAAGGACAGCCTCTCTTGTTAGGAGCTAATGCAGCTGGTGATTTTAAGGTGAAGGCCAATGCTCCTTGACCATTCTGAAAATCTAAGGCCCTTAAGAATTACACTACATCAGCCAGGTGCAGTGGCTCATGCCTGTAATCCCAGCACTCTGGGAGGCCAAGGAGGGAGAACTGCTTGAGCCCAGTAGTTGGAGACCAGCCTGGGCAACACGGCAAGACCCCGTCTCTATAAAATAAAATAAAAACAAATTATGCTACATTTACTCTGCCTATGCTCTATAAATGAAACAACAAAACCAGGATGTCAGCACATCTGTTGACAGCATGTTTTACTGAATATTTTAAGTCCACCATTGAGACCTCATGCTCAGAAAGATTCCTTTCAAAATACTGCTGCTCACTGACAATGCACCATTGCCCGAGAGGTCTGAAAGAGATGTACAAGGATATAAATCCTGTTATCATGCCTGTTAACACAACATCCATTGTGCAGTCCACAGATCAAGCAATAATTTTCACTTCTAAGCCTTATAATTTAAAAAATACATTCTGTAAGGCTATAGCTGCCATAGATAGTGATTCTTCTGATGAATCTGGGCAAAGTAAATTGAAAATTATTCTGGAAAGGATTCACCATTCTATTGAGTCACTCATGATTCATGGGAGGAGTTCAAAATATCAACCCCAACAGGAGTTTGGAAGAAGTTGACTCCGACTCTCATGGATAATCGAGAGGTTCAAGACATTGCTCGAAAAAGTAACTGCAGATGTGAAAGACACAGCAAGATAACCAGAATTAGAAATAGAGCCTGAAGATGTGACTGAACTGCAATCTCGTGATAAAACTGAAACAGATGCAGAGTTAAGTTGACTCTGACTCTCATGGATAACTGAGAGGTTCAAGACACAGGTCGAAAAAGTAACTGCAGATGAGGAAGAAACAGCAAGATAACTAGAATTAGAAATCGAGAATTAGAAGGAAAGAAAGGGAAGGAAAGAAAGGGAAGGGAAGGGAGGGGAGGTAGGGAGGGAGGGAGGGAGGGAGGGAGGGAGGGAGGGAGGGAAAGAAATTGCCACAGCTTCCCTAACCTTCAGCAGCCACTACCCTGGCTAGTCAGCAGCCATCAACATGGAGATAAGACCTTCCACCAGCAAAAAAGATTATGACTCACTTCATGAAGGTTCAGGTGATCGCTGGTATTTCTTTTAGCAATAAATATTTTAAAATTAAGGTAGTCCACTATTTATTATGACATAAGCCTACCGCATACTTAACAGACTACAGTATAGTGTAAATGTAACTTTTATATGCAATAGGAAACAGAAAAAGCCCATGTCTCTCACTTTAGTGTGATATTCACTTTATTGCAGTACTGTGGTCATCTGGAAATGAACCTGTGATATCTCTGAGGTATGGCTGTATTTTCATACAAATAAAGGCACTCCCCCTAAATCTAGAGTCTAGATCCCAAATACATCTGTCCATATAGGGGGTACCACTCCCAAGACCAAAGGGGTGTATGGCTGCTATCTCCAGCCGTACCAAATCATATATACAGTGTAATATCTGGTTACTCTTTATTCAGGACAGCTACATTCAAAGGAAACATAAAATGGGCAGAATAAGGACTCCTTGCTCATTAACAAAACAAAGCCAACTCTTATGTCAGAGTACCCTTTTGATCAATTAGTGTGATTATGTTCAGTAGTAACAGATTCTACCATCATTGTTGTCCATTTCATTTCCATTCTCAAGCTTTAAAACCCCAAAAGGACAGAAAGAGATACTACAGGCTAGTATTAGTAATACTAAAAATAGTTACCTCTTATTGAAACCTGAAGGGCCTGGTACTTGACATATATCATTTTCTAATCTTTATATGAATTCAATAAAGCAAATATTGTTATTTCAACACTATTACATATTAGAGACTGAGCAACCTGGACAAAGTCACACAGCTTATCAGTACCAGTAGGAATTCAAACTTAGGTCTGACTCAACAGTCTGCATTCTTAAATATACCTCAATAAAGCTGTTGAAAAAGTAAAAGTCGGCCGGGCACAGTGTAATCCCAGCACACCTCAATAAAGCTGTTGAAAAAGTAAAAGTCGGCCGGGCACAGTGTAATCCCAGCACTTTGGGAGGCCGAGTCAGGCGGATCACCTGAGGTCAGGAGTTCGAGACCAGCCTGGCCAACGTGGTGAAATCTGGTCTCTACTAAAAATACAAAAATTAGCTGGGCGTGGTGATGGGCGCCTGTAATCCCAGCTACTCGGGAAGCTGAGACAGGAGAATCACTCGAACCCAGGAGGCGGAGGTTGCAGTGAGTCGAGATCGCGCCATTGCACTCCAGCCTGGGTGACAAGAGTAACTACGTCTCAAAAAAAAAAGTAAAAGTCTCCATCTTTCCACTAGACCACACTGCTTTTCTCAATCAATCTTTATGACAAACATGTAAGGCATATTGGGTTCTGGATAATATGTCAAGGAGATATACTATTTTGGAATATTTTGGCAAATAAAGGGGGGCTTTAAAACATGAAATTTTTTTTTCTTAATAAGAACTGTAATCTATTTCCCCAACTTCATTATTAAGTGAGTTTTAGGCCTAGGTCTTCCAGAACAGTTTCCTCCAAAACATACAGTGTAATATCTGGTTACTCTTTATGTGTGCATAAGAAATGTCACTGTGACAAATGTTATAAAGAAAAAATTTGATTACCCTAAAAACAAATACATAAACAGCCCGCAAGTTTAGCTCCTAAAGTAGGAAAGAATAATGTGAAAATGTTTCTGGCTGTACCACTCAACAAAAATTTGCCCGCCAATAAGGAATCCTTTCTTCAAAAATTGGTCATGATCATTAGCCAAACTGTAACAGGAACATCCAGCTGGATTATGGAGCTAATAAAGAACAACAGAGGGGATCCACAGGAAATTCAACAGGTAATTTACAACTGGCTCTCTCATCAGACTGGCAGACTGGGTCTAATCCGAGGTCAGATGACATGGGGGATTATGGAAGCCAATAACAATCATATTTAAATAAATGTCCTTTACAGAACACCACCACTTTCCTCATAAAAAGTTCAAAGGACTATTTTCACCCCTCACAATTACAGTAAGGATAAGAAGCCCAAGCACAGCTTGAAGCAGCAAAATTTTCTGAAAAGGAATTGAATTCTGTGTTCTCTTCAGGATCTTCCTTTCCCAATAATGGGGGTATTAAATTTCACTTATAAATCAAACTGAAAGGGAAAAAAAGAACAATAAAAAATGAGCTGGAAAACCTACATTCATCATCTTCAAAACAACACCAAGTTAGAGACAGTTTTAAAGCAATGTTACAACTCCTTTAGAATCTGGCAGGTTTTCTGGTTTTTACCAGATCCCGCTCCGGCAACAACAAAAAAAGAAACAGTTTTAAACAGTTTTATGGGCGTGGTGGCTCACACCTGCAATCCCAACACTTTGGGAGGCCAAGGCGGACAGATTGCTTTTCAGCACAAGAGTCTGAGACCAGCCTGGGCAACATGGTAAAATTTTGCCTCTATAAAAAAATACCAAAAAATACCAGGCATGGTGGTGGCACACTCCTGTAGTCCCAGCTACTTGGGAGGCTGAGGTGGGAGGACTGCTTGAGCCCAGGACAGCAAGGGTGCAGTGAGCCGAGATTGCACCAATGCACTCCAGCCTGGGGAACAGAGCCAGACCCTGTCTCAAAAAAAAAAAAAAGTTAAATGCTGATGACTGAATAGAACACAATTCTCTGTAAATTCTTCAATGTGATAAAGCATTTCCTACACCAGTTACCAGTGGCAGCACCTAATAAGACTTGAGAGCAACTTAATACTTCACCCTCATGTATGTATGAATTTAAAATAGAACATCACAATAACTACGAAGATACCCAAACACCCCTTCCCTAATTTTTTTTTTTTTGGTACAAACAAAGTCTCGCTATATTGCCCAGGTGGATCTCAAACTCCTGGGCTCAAGTGATGCTCCTGCCTGGGCTTTCCAAAGTGCTGGGGTTACAAGCGTGAACCACTGTGCCTGGTCGCTTCCCTAATTCTTAACGTGTCCCACAAAAGATTCTGCTTGATCTTGGCCCCCACTATATCATCACTATCTCTAGTAAATAGACTCAAAGCCTCTGCTTTCTCTGTGGCTCTAGCCACACTGGCAGAGACCAAAGGAGAGTTCAATGATAGGCCCTCTCACAGAACCTTGTGCCTTACCATACTTGTCAGTTACAATTTTATTCACTTGATTCAAGCATTTTTTGGATGCCTCATATGTTTCAAGGTACCTTTGTTACAGCAGTGAACAAGGCAAAGCCCCTAACAGGAGGAAATTCACATTCCAGAGGTAAGAAGAGAATTAAAAAGCCAAAAAAAAGTGTGTGTATGCATATATGTGTGCATAAGAAATGTCACTGTGACAAGTGTTATAAAGAAAAAAAACACAGTAAGAGGACAGAGAGTGAAGTTGTCCTTGTACAGTTGACAGTCAATAACACCTCTTTTAACAGTAGTAGAGACCTGAACAGGGTGAAGAACAGAGCCAAGCTGACAGGAGATCTGGATTAAAGCTTTCCAGGCAGAAGGAATCGAAAATAGGCGGGAATATACTTAGCTTGTTGAGCAAGGCAAACAGTATGGCTGGAGCACAGAGAGCCAAAAGAGAGGTGATAAAGACAACACCAATGAGGTAAATAAAAGCAGACAGAACTTGGATCCTCTAGAGCCTGCAGCTCACGATATGGAGTTTGAATTTTAGTCTACGTGTGACAGGAAGCCTTTGAAGAACTTTGAGGAGGGACACGGATGTGTTATCGACACACTATAAATGACCAGTAACTTCAGAAGCAAGGAGGCCAACTGGGAGGCTGCGAAGGTTGTCCAGGCAAAGGATGATAATAGCTTAGACTAGGGTGATGGTAGCAGTCAAATGAGGAATGTTATTTATTTTCAGAATGTAATCTGAAGGTGGAGCCAAGATTTGCCAATGGAATAGAATGTAGAGATGAAAAGAAAAAAAAAATCTATTCATCTCTGCATTCCCTCAGAGAATGTACCTGACCACCATGAAAGCAAGGGCCATGTTTGTCCTATTCAGGTCCTTGAACAAAGGAACAGTGCAGTATGTTCTAGTTGAATTAATAAATGACCTGCTTCTTTCCCTACAGAATCACAATATTGGCATTTATTTTGGCTGGCAAATAGTGGTACGATGTCAAGCATGGAAATTAAGCACCTTAGGAGAAGAAAAGGGAGTTAAATAAAAAAGAGATCCATGTTTCACTGAACTTGCAAATTCAACTCAAAGCACCACCTGTCTGAAAATGGAACGTATATATATAAAAAAACTGCTCATTAAGGAAAATAAATCACAGTATCTCAGCAACAGTGCTTTGTCGTGAGTTACAAGATTGGCTACACCATCTGACAGGATTACTTAAATTGACAAAGACCTGCCTCACCAAACACAGCTAGAGGTCCTTGGGTCCTTGTGGTACTGGTATCAGGAATCTGATAAATCAGTCAGAGTGTGGAGTGTTTTTAAAACACAGACAAAATATATTTAGCAAGCAAAGTCTGTTAAAGGGAAGATTGGAGATCACTTTAAAAATAATTCAAAGCCTGCTCTAAGTATTTGCAAAATTGTAAGATTATATTTCTGTGCTTTTGAATAAGATTCAGATTGGACAGTCTCAACTCTCCCTTGTGGGAGAGGGTAGGGGTGGGGGTGGACCTGTTTTCTACTAAGAAATTTATAGGACTCTCCAAAAACAGAACTTAGGGCAGTACTCCTTAATAGTGACCATACATTAGAATCATCTAGGGAGGGCTGGGCACAGTGGCTCACACCTGTAATTCTAGCACTTTGGGAGGCCGACACAGGCAGATCATTTGAGCCCAGGACATCAAGACCAGCCTGGGCAACATGGTGAAATCCCATCTCTACTAAAAATACAAAAATTAGCCAGGTATGGTGGCATGTGGCATGTGCCTGTAGTCCCAGATGCTCAGGAGGCTGAGACGGGAGAATCACTTGTGCCCAGAAAGGTAGAGGGTGCAGTGAGCTGAGATGGTGCCACTGAACTCAAGCCTGGGCAAAAGAATGAGATCCTGTCTCCAAAAAAAAAAAAAAAAAAAAAAAAAAAAAAAAAAAAAAGGAATCAACTAGGGAGGCTTTTAAAACATGAATGCTGGAGACCCACACCAGATAAATTAAATCAAAATTTAATCGGGGGTGGGTCCTGGGATTTTCCCTTTAAGTGTTTCCCACGTGATCTGAATGTGCAGCCCAAGTTGAGAATCACCAATTTACAGCAATAAAGTTTAAAGTAGAGGATTTAAATAAAAGTCTTTTAAAGAGACAACACTTTCAGAAGTCAACAAACTTGAGCCTTCATGTTAACACGTGGGGGTCACAGTGGGCATTTTGGAGCACAGATAAAAGGACCTGCTTTGGAATTGTAAAAGGTTGTTTCATACATACTCAAACAGTTCAGGAAAGGATAGAACGAAAACGAAAACAAGAAACCTTGATTAACCCCACCACATTCCTTCCCAAGGGCTTGAATTTTTTAACCGAACACTACAATAGCAACAAACCTAGAGAGTCAGTTCAAGACGGCTTCTCCCTGTAATGCTGCCTTAGAACTCTACAGAACAGCAGTCACTGCTGCACAGCTAAATACATCTCCAGCCAAGGAAATCTAGACATAGAAGATAGAAAATAAGATCCCAGTTTGTCCCTCCTCTTTCCCCTCCCTCATCACATATCAACAGCTAACTTTGAACACATCTGTGGTTCGCTGTACCACTTACAGGGGTACAGAGGAATGAAATTACCAGTCCTCACTGTAAAATAAACACATTTCTTTAAGAAATTCTATAAAGCACAAGAGTAAAGCAAAACCTTAGTAAACTGACAAATGTTCCCATTCTCCCAGCACATGAAGAAGACTGCCACAGTCTTTTTCAATTACACTTTGAAACCCTCTGTCCTGGTTTTCAAGCACAAGCTGATCTTCACCTCATTATAGATACTCAAACTGCCACCCGTCTTATTTTTAAATATCAGAGAAGTGACAAAATTCTATCTATGATCAAGGATGTATTATAAAAGAGAAGAAATTTTGCCTGGTTTTTACATTTATTTAAGTCCCTTCTACAATGAATAAAAATGGTTGTTCAAATCAATGGGTGAATGGGAATACAAATAAAATATGGGTAGCATTTTAAGGCATGGTATTAAGGCTAACATGATTTCCATCTAACATCCAGTTTCTGAAAATCTGAAATCAGAACACAGGACCTTTTCATTTCAAATTTACATTAAAGTTCAGCTCACTGATTAAGCATTTCCCTCAATAAAATTACATTTGTCATACCTTAATTGTGCAAAAGCTGCAAACTGGTAAAAAACTTGAATGCCATGGCATGATTATTCAAAAATAACTGGTACACCCTATGCCTGAAACCTGAGTGCCTACTGTGAACCTGCCAAAATGATTACAATGACAACCCATCATCTTCATTACATGAATTACTGCAATGTGAACAGTATTCTGCTGAGCACTATACAGTAATCAAAAGACAAGCTCCACATCCTCAAGAAGCTTATAAATTTGACTGAGGAGATAGGGCTGATAGGCAAGATAGCAATAAAACACATAATAAGGGCCTAAATCATGCAGTACAAACTAAGTTTTGAATACCAGTTCCCAGCTTGCAGTCTCAGACATAGATAGCAACACCACCACCACCACCCTTGCCAAGCCAAGTAAGTAAAAAGTAAAATGAGTAGGCTAGGCACGGCGGCTCATGCCTGTAATCCCAGCACTTTGGGAGGCCGAGGCAGGTGGATCACAAACTCAAGAGATTGAGACCATCCTGGACAACATGGCGAAACTCTGTCTCTACTAAAAATACAAAAATTAACTGGGCATGACGGCGCATGCCTGTAATCCCAACTACTCGGGAGGCTGAGGTAGGAGAATCACTTGAACCTGGAAGGCAGAGGTTGCAGTGAGTCAAGATCGTGCCATTGCACTCCTGCCTGGGCCATAACAGCAAAACTCCATCTCAAAAAAAAAAAAGTAAAATGAGTATACAGGAGTCCTAAAAACTTGAGAAACCAAAGGAAGCAATTCATTTGGTCAAGAGAAAGGTCAGGGCAGTTTCAACCTTCCCATTTATTTAGCTGTGTGACTTTCAACAACTTACCCAACCCTTTAAAGGAAGATAGTACCTACTAATTACCATGAGAACCAAATGAGATAGTGTATATAATGCGCTTTGCACAATGCCTGGCACATAGTCTCAAATACTGCCTATTATCATTACTGTTAGAAACAGTAAAATCCTAGTGTTGGCAGGGGCCTTTCAATAATCCAATTTTCCAGTCGAATAGTTCTCAGGGTGTAGTTACCATCAGCATCATTTGGGAAATTGTTAGAAGCCCATACCCTAGGGCTCCACTCCAGACCCACTGAATCATAAATTATCAAATGTGCGCCCAGTAATCTGTGTTTTAACAGCACTCCAGGTGATTGTGATGACCATTAATGTTAGAGAACTGCTGCCCTAATTAAACCCTCTAATTTTACGTATAAAGAACATGGAGGCCAGGTTCAGTGGCTCTTGCCTGCAATCCCGACATTTTGGGAGGCCGAGGTGGGAGAACCACTTGAGTCCAGGAGTTTGAGACCACGTAATATAGTTAGACCCTGTCTCTGAAAAGAATACAAGAATTAGCTAGGCATGGTGGCATGTGCCTATAGTCCTAGCTGCTCGGGAGGCTGAGGCAGAAGGATCACTTGAGCCTGGGAGGTCGAGGCTGCAGTGAGCCATCATCATAGCAGTGAGCCATCATCATACCACTGGACTTCCAGCTTGGGCGACACAGCAAGACCGTGTCTCGAAAAAAACAAAAGTAAGCAGATGGAAACCTGAAGAGATAAAATAACCTGCTCAAAACCACAATCATGGAGACTGTTTGTTTAGGGTCCATTATATGCCAAGTACCAGGGTGACCACTTTTTACATTTTTAATATCAGGTCCTCACAACAGCCCAGCTGGGCCCCAATTAACAGAAGAAAAACTGAGGTTCAGGTGTGAGATGGATGGAGTAATTTGTCAAAGGCGGCTCAATTTTTAATGGGCAAAATTAACATTCAAATCCAAGTTGTATGTGATCCCAAACCCTTACTGAAACCAGGACCACTGAGTGTTCTGAGGGAACGATACCAAGCACACGCCCAGACTTCCCCACCCAAGGGCATCGTTCTTTTCATTCTATCATACCACCTTAGCTGCAATGATTTTACCATGAAACATAACCAGAAATTAGCACTTTAAAGCAACTCTCAGAAGACAGGTGGTAAACGATTCTTCACTCCAACTAGAAAGGAAAAAATGACAACATACTATGAAAAAAGCTATGAGGCAGGAAAAAGCACACGTCAAGGCATGGAGATACGGATATAGACTAGGTAATTTTGCAACCACATAAGTGAAAGAAAATTTGCTATCCAATCTTCCTGTTCTCTACTCCCAAGAGCCTAGTGCTTTTGTATAGTTTTCAGCTCAGTAAAGTGGCTCCAGATTTATAAAAGCTCAATGACAATAACAAGGTATCTTTATTACAAAATAGTTGTTAAAAGTTTGATTCGAAAAATTTTAAGGAAACCTTTCAGGTAACTGAAAGTGGAGGGTAGGGGCGCGACTCATGAAGGAGTTTTTTAACCAAAGAAATGATATGATACATTTTTAAATGACCACTTCAGTTGCAATATAAAATAACAGATTTTGGAGGAAAATGTCAATACAAGGATATCAATTATCAATTATTAGGTTACTATATTGGTTCAAGGAGAGATGATGGTGGCTGTGGAGATGAGTGAAATCAACAGATCCAAGATATATTTTAGAGAGTATTGTAGAAGACTAGGAATGGGAGTGACCAGACAGGAATGAAGACTTCTAGACTTACTGCACACTGTCATGAGGAAGGATGGGGATGGAAGGGTACAGTGGAATAAGCTGGGTTTTAGCAGAAGGAATCAAGAGCCCCATTACAAACACATTAAATGGCCTGGCGTGGTGGCTCACACCTGTACTCCCAGCACTTTGGGAGGCTGAGGCAGGCGGATCACCTGAGGTCAGGAGTTTGAGACCAGCCTGACCAACATTGAGAAACCTTGTCTCTACTAAAAATACAAAACTAGCTGAGCGTGGTGGCAGGTGCCTGTAATCCCAGCTACTGGGGAGGCTGAGGTGGGAGAATCGCTTGGACCCTGGAGGTGGAAGTTGCAGTGAGCTGAGGTCGCGCCACTGCACTACAGCCTGGGCAACAAGAACAAAACTCCATCTCAAAAAATAAAAAATAAATAAAAATAAACACATTAAACGTTTATAATGTATTTACAAGACTAACAATCAGATAAAGTCTGAACTTCAGAAAGGAGATAGAGCTGACCTGAAAATATAAATTACGAACTATTGTTATATGGATGTTACTTAAAAGACGAGGAGGCCAGGTGTGGTGGCTCATGCCTGTAATCCCAGCACTTTGGGAGGCCGAGGCAGGTGGATCACTTGAGGTCAGGAGTTCAAGACCAGCCTGGCCAACATGGCGAAACACCACCTCTACCAAAAAAAAAATACAAAAATTAATCGAGCACGGTGGCATGCACCTGTCAGCCCAGCTACTCAGGAGGCTGAGGCAGGAGAATCACTTCAATCTGGAAGGCGGAAGCTGCAGTGAGCTAAGGTGGTGCCACTGCACTCCAGCCTGGGCAACAGAGTGAGACTCGGTCTCCAAAAAAAAAAAGGGCAGAAGATGGGGCGGAAGAATAGAGATAGGAAAGAGGAGGATGTTGAGAACTAAACCCTGAGGTACTTTTAGTATTCAAAGTGTAAGGGGGTCTGGAAATCTTGTAGAGACCAGTAGGGGTTGGAGTATGACATCTTCCAATAATGAATTCTCGTTGCTGTCCCCTTATGGGTCTGGGTCTACCTGATAGTCTCTTCTGGAAGTCGGTATCACTTGTGCTTAATTTCTACTCTTTTGTGCCCTCTATACAGCCTCTACTACAAATCTTTTTTGAAGAAGCACAGGGAGAAATAACTTGGGGGAAAAAAAAGCCTATCTTTTAGAAATAGATTCTGAAATATTTACAGATGAAATAATATGTTGTACAGAATTGGCTTCAAAATAGTCCAAGTAAGGGGTGGTCTAGATAAAAAAAAAAAAGAACAGCTCTGAGTAGATGCCTGTTACAGTTGGGCAATGCACACATGGGAAGGTTCACTGCACTGGTCTCTCTGAATATTTCACAATAAAACATAAAACATAGTATGGAAGGTTGGCAAACACAAGTCCATGAGAAACCTCTCCATCTTACCCAGATTAACGAGAGATACAACCAAGGATCCACAGGTTTGATGCAGACATTCTAAAAGATTCAATTATACCAAGACTTTAAAGGTGACAGATTTTTTTCCCCTCAACTATACATTTTTTTTTTTTTTTTTTTTTTTTTTTTGAGACAGAGTCTCAACTCTGTTGCCCAGACTGGAGTACGGAGCCATAATCATGGCTCATTTCAGCCTTGACTTTACTGGCTCAAGCGAGCCTCCCAAGTAGCTGGGACTACAGGCATGCCCCACCATGCCTGGCTTTTTTTTTTTTTTTTTTGGTAGCGACAGGGGCCTGCTATGTTGCCCAGGCTGGTCTCAACCTCCTGGGCTCAAGCCTCAGCCTCCCAAAAGTGATGGATTATAGGTGTGAGCCACTTCACCTGGCCTATATTGTTATCTTAAAATGTCTCAGTGACCCAACAATTTGCCAAAGAGCATGTAGAGCAAACTAGGCTCTATTCAGCATTTCCATTTCTTAATGTATCTATTTGATTTCAATAAAATTTCATCATTTTGAAGATCTCTCCCATTAGCTTGGGAAACTACAGAAACATGCACATAACTACTGAGAAGGTATCAAGTGTTCCTACACTAGTTTAAAAAAATCATTCAACACCCACATAAATTCTGATATGCACTAGGCTGAACAGCTGTTAACCACTGAGAAGCTGGGCACTGCATCCTCTCCCTGGGTCAAAACTCTATATGCTAATCAAACAGGGTCATGTATTTGGGAAAATAATCCATGGTAAAAGTCACAAAAAGACCTTAATTTTAAAATGAGAATTCCTAATCTATACATTCTTTAAAAAATCTAGGGTATATAGGTTGATGTACCTTCCTTGATCAAAACTCTTACTTCTCTGAAGCCTGTCAGAGTATTTTCACCACAAGGCTTAGATTAGGTTTCATTTTACATATGCATGCACATGTTCACATACCCATAATCATCCTTCTTAGTAGTATATAGAGACGGACCATATCGTTACCCTCTTCTGCTCAAATAAATGTCTTCCCCTACAAATGCTAAGGAGTAAAATGATCCAGAAAAAGTAGAAATTTGGCATAATCAGCACTGACTTCCTCAACGGTAACATACATGACATACACACATTAGGTAAACTGGATGCCCAAAGGCCAATCCAACCTCATGTCTTCCTGGCATTTCTCAGGCCTTTCTCGTCACCCACCCCACCTAGGTTCCACGTTTCCAAAAAAGTTCCATGAAGATTCAGGAAAAAACAAAAAGGGAGGAAAACTCATTTTATTAAATTTACATCGTATCCTTCTTCCCAGGGTTCAAAATTAAATAAAACCAAAAGAAGAAAACCAGAAAGACAAAAGCACTTTTGTCCAAGGTGGCAAAACACAAGAGCAATTTAACTGCCATTATGAACCAACTTATACTAAAATAGTATTTCCTGGAATGTGTATAAATTAAAAAACAAAACAAAATGTTCATGGTTACTTTTACTTTCAGGGTTGGGAACTGAATCCCACAAACAGCAGCTAAACCTCAAAAAAATTGTAATTCCCTAATTATTTCCAGATTAAAACACTTCTCTTGAACACATGTTTCTGCTGTTCTTTGGGGTGAGTGTAGGGCACAGCTGGAGTACAGTATAACACAGAAACAGCAAGTGCACTAAGAGCATCAAATCCTTCCCCCCAAAATTGTTTATCTCTTCCAGACTCCTATTCACACTTATTCCCCTGACTTAATTTTAATTCTGCCTCTTGGCCCTCTTACCTTGTCCCTTTCTACCCTACTCACTTATTCTCTATTCATCCTCATTCTCTGAAATGATAGTCAAAATAATACTTCATGCTAAAGCATTTTCTTAAATATTTCCAGATATTCCAACTTGTTATGATCTCCCACTTCTTTAAACCAGAAGCTATTACTACTTTTAGAGTGCATACCTATTTCTGCCCCATATTTATCACATACAACTTACGTATGATTTAGTTAGCATCCTCAAACTTAGAAAATGATTCTCAGAGCCCAGCAAAAATCCTTACTATAGCAGCCAATCAATATCTATTGAAAAATACATGTACCCCCTCGATACAACTGTCATAAAAGTTTTCAGTGTGCACTTAATTTGATAATGTCACTTCCATCTTTCTGTTTTGAAAACTGTTTCGCCGGGCGCGGTAGCTCATGCCTGTAATCCCAGCACTTTGGGAGGCCAAGGCAGGCTGATCACAAGGTCAGGAGATCGAGATCACGGTGAAACCCCGTCTCTACTAAAAAAAAAATACAAAAAATTGGCCAGGCGTGGTGGCGGGCGCCTGTAGTCCCAGCTACTCAGGAGGCTGAGGCAGGAGAATGGCGTGAACCCAGGAGGTGGAGCTTGCAGTGAGCCAAAATCACGCCACTGCACTCAGGTCTGGGCGACACAGCGAGACTCTGTCTCAAAAAAAAAAAAAAAAGAAAATTGTTTCATAAGAATGACTCATCCTTCAAAGGAAAAATTCAGATGAAAAGGTGTCTGCACTATGTAGTGTGTTAAAATTTGTTCTCAAGCCTCTCCAGCTACCCTCAGGAGTGAACAGTGGCAAACTGCAGCTTAGGCTAGTGAAGTGATCTGCCCTACACCAGTCAAGTTAGCCAAGAATAGAAGCCACATTTCCTGACTCCTGCCTTGACTCCTGATCTCTTTCCACACATGCAAATACAAGTTCAGCATCCCAAACCCAAGATCCAAAAAGTTCCCAAAATAGGAAACTTTCTGAGTGTCAACATGACACTCAAAGGTAATGTTTATTGAAGCATTTTGGGTTTCCAGATTTGGGATGTTCAACTGGTAAGTACAGCTGACCCTCTGTATTCATGGATTCAATCAATCAAACAGCAAAAATATTTAAAAAACAATGTCTGTACTGAATATGTACAGACTTTTTCTTCTCATTATTCCCTAAGCAATACAGTGTAACAACTATTTACATAGCATTTACACTGTATTAGGTGTTATAAGTAATCTAGAGATGACAAAGCATACAGGAGGGTGTGCATAGGTTATACACAAATACTATCCCATCTTATATCAGGGATTTGAGCACTGTCAGATTTGGTATCCATGGAAGTTCGTGGAACAAGTCATCCAAGAATACTGAAGGATAACTGTATAATGCAAAGATTCCAAAATCCAAAACACCTCTGGTCCCAAACATTTCACATCAGAGAGACTCCACCTGTAATGGCTTTCAGTTCTGTAAATCAACAGCACATCTAGTTGTGTGAATACATACGTGGCTAAGGTTCAAAGTACTTTAAAAGTATTAAGTCCAAGACAAAGATGAGATAGTATTCCTCACCTGATCCAAGGGTCACACCTGACAGCAAGAACTGGAGTCAAAGGATCATCACTGTAACCCATCAACATAGGTACAGTTCACAATATTAGGAGAGGTCATGAAGTAACATACATACAGGACACACATAAATTTCACCTCTAACCAGGAATCCTGTGATAGAATTCATTAAACCTATTCTCACTCAACTACCCCCAGTGGCTTATGAATCAATCCTAAAGGCATCAGACACAAGACTATTACCATTACAAATTTCTAATCTGCTAAGAAGTCTTGAGTTTTAAGGAAGAAACTAGTGCCAATTCATTAAAAAGGAAGGCAGAAAAATGGAAAACCAGAAGTCTTTCATTGCTGCTCTATCCCCATAATCTAAAACAATACCTAGGACATCACAGGAAACCAATGTCTATTTACTAATGTCTATTTACCTCTTAGCCTTTATTAAAGTGAACTCATAGTATTGACATTATTTTCTCATCCTCACAGGGCATTTGACCACATTTTGGAACCAAGTTTAAAATCTTTCATAGGCCCAAAAAAAAAAAAAAAAAGTATATAATGACTAACATGCTTTAAATACCATGACAAATATAATTAAATACTTGCTCTCACTGAATTCAAAATTTTTAGTTCCCTCAAGGTGAAGTTACTCATTTTCCATTATTTCTCTCTAACATCAATTTCTCCACCAGATTTCCTCCACCTGTGCCACTACTCACCCATCTAAATGTGCACATGTGTACTCAAGCATTCAATGAATTGCTTATTATGTACTACTCAGCACGAAGAAGCAGAGGAAACCCAGCCTTTGGAGTGATATGAACCTGACTCTACTTCTTGCTTTTAACCAATTACTAAGCCTTGTGACCTCGGGAAGTCAATCATTATGTCTAGTACTCCTGTTGCCTAACTGTAAAAATGTGAAGGATTATTACGTACATAAAAGCATAATACCAAAAATAGGCACTAACTGATTGTTAGTTTCCTTCCCTCTCCTACAACAGCACCCTGACTTTGGAAACTAACCCTCCACGAACTGAAAGCATTCTCAGAATATACTGTCCTTAAAAAAAGAGGAAGGAATGAAGGGAAAGAAAAGAGAAGAAAAAGGAGAGAGGGAAGGGAAAAGGCAAAAATTTTTTAAAATACTTTTGGTCCTGGTTTACAAGCCACCACAATAATTCAAGTAAATTAGCATAATCCAGAGAGACAAAAACTTTTTCTATTTTTTACTACACCAAAAAAGCTCATAATAAAATTTCAAAGTATTAAAAAATAAATGAAAGTAATCCCTTCCCTTCCTCCATCCCAACCCATCCCATCCCTCAGAAATAATCACTGTTAGCACTCTGGTGTGCACATATACACATACACATACATACATATATATTTTTGTTGCCAAAATTTTACTGCAGATATCTGGAAAATAAAGAGTAGCATAAAGAAGAAAAATATGTAATCTATACAACCGGAAAAAATTTTAAGCTGCAAATAAGTTTCCACAACTAAATTTACATTGTAAAACACATGATGGGGAAAAAAAGGTCTTTACAATAAATATGGTACAAGGACAACTGAATATCCACTATCCACAGGCAAAATAAAATTGGATTCCTACCTCACACCATACAGAAAACTAACTTAAAGTCGATCAAAGCCCTACTTCAATGTAAGCATTGAAACTCCTGGAAAAAAGCATAGGAGTAAATTCTTCATGAACTTGGGTTAGGCAATGATTTCTTATGCTGTGACACAAAAAGCAAAAGAAACAAAAAAAAAAACATAAATTGGACTATATCAAAATTTAAAACTTCTGTAAATAATAATCAAGAAAATGAGAATACAATCCACAGAATGGAAGAAAATATCTGAAAATCATCTATTTGACAAGACACTGGTCTCCAGAATATATACAAAAATCACAATTCAACAATTTTTAAAAACCAAATAACTTTAGAAATGAGCAAAGGATCTCCAAAGAAGATATACAAATGACCAATTAAGCACCTGAAATGATTATCAGCATCATTAGCCATTAGAGAAATTAAAATCAAAACCACAATGAGATACCACTTCACATTGACTAGCATGGCTATAATTAAAAAGACAATTAGAAGTATTGGCAAGAATGTGGAGAGAATGGAACCCACAAATATCGCTCATGGTAATACAAAATGGTAATATAAAATGGAAAACAGGCAGTTCCTCAAAAAGTTATACACAGGGCTACTTTATGTGTTAAATGCTGAGGATGCATAAAGGATCAGAAATTCAGATAAAGCATTCCCAGAACAGTGATTGATCCTGTTTGTTTAAAAAAAAAAAAAAGACAATGTACTCAACAATTAACTAAAGTACTTGTATTTCTCTTTACAAAACTAAGTTATGTAAGAACTAAACATTTTAAATTGAAAATTGTTTATCTGGTTCTTTGAACTGAAAATCCTTTTATATTCCCACCTGTGAGTGTACACAACAAGGTGAAGCAAATGCATTAAACCCAGTAGGTCTCAGGACAGGAAGCATTTACACTCAGAGGCTATCCCACAGAGCAAAATCCACACTGAAGACTAAATCATTTCACAGAACCCTAGATTTAGATAAACTTGGAGACAGGAGAGCAGCTGAAGAGCCCTTCTCTTTCCTCAAGGTTGTCTACACATCTAAATCAACTTCACTGGGGGAGCATAGGGGCTGCTTAAGGGTCTAAGACAAATAAATTCTTCTATGCAATACTTTACATTTATTTACAAACGGTCTATCTTACACTAAGCTCAAAATATTCCACTGAGCTACTGCAGAAAATCTGGGTGCGAAATAAGAAAAGACAATCAGAGAGTGTATACTCATAAAAGGAATTAAAAAGAACAAAATGCCCAAGAATACAGTATCCTCACAAAAAATACCCTAAATGAATCTAGTAAAAATTTGGCAACCCATATTCTGGAAAGATATTCTTTACAAGTTAACCTGTATGTCTTATGCAACTTCCAAAGTCCCAAAGAAAGTAATACAAAATTAAGTGGTTTTGAGATACTAGTCAGCTTTTTCGGAAAGAGGGTTAGAGAGGACTTACTTCCTTGTATTATGAAACAAAAAACGCTCTGATGAATTAAAAGGGTAGTTTCTTTCTTTATTTCTCTTTTTTTCAGACAAGTCTCACTCTGCGTGCCCAGGCTGGAGTGCAGTGGCATGACCTTGGCTCACTGCAACCTCCACCTACCAGGTTCAAGCGATTCTCCAGCCTCAGCCTCCCGAGCAGCTGGGATTACAGGTGTGTGCCATCACACCTGGCTAATTTTTTTGTATTTTAGTAGAGCCAAGGTTTCACTATATTGGTAAAAGGGTAGTTTCCAAAAATAAAAACATGTACAAGGAAATTTAAAATTCTCCTATTAGTGTCTGGAAGGATGAAGAATTTCTACTATTTTAGGTTGAGAAAGAAAGCTAAAGGCAAAAGATCAACAGACAAAAATTTAAACAATTTATAATTTCTAACTTATCCAAGTTTGACTCCAATATTTTTACCAAAGGATAAATATCTCTGCTTCAAAGAATCATAAAAACATTACAACAGCCTGGCACAGTGGCTCATGCCTGTAATCACAGCACTTTGGGAGGCCAAGGCAGGAGGACTGCTTGAGTCCAGGAGTTTGAGACCAGCCTGGGCAACAGAGCAAAACCCCATCTCTACAAAGAAAAAAAAAATTTTTAATAAGGGGGGCATAAGGGTGCACTCCTGTGGTCCCAGCTACTTGTGAGGACCACTTGAGTCCTGGAGATTGAAGCTGCAGCAAGCTACGACTATGCCACTGCACTCTAGCCTGGGCAACAGAGCAAGACTGCAGACTGTATCAAAACAAAACAAAACAAAACATTACAACATATGAGAATGTTCAACTTCACTAATACTTTCCCAATGCAAATTTAAGTAAAGATAGTATTTTTTATTTATCAGTTTAGCAAATATTTTTAAAGGATCCTCCATGCTAATTGGAGTGTGGTTAAACAAAAAACCTGCTTGTTACACTGCTGGTATGACTACAACTGGGAACCTTTTGGAAAGCAACCTAACAAGATATATCTGTAGTCTTCTGAATTGTTCACACTCTCTTTTATTCTTAGATTCATACAATATAAATAAATACAAAAAGCAAAGCCTATGTGCACAAACAGCAAGCATCAGAAAGTCCATGAAAAGAATAGTACAAGTATATAGTAAAGGAATTAACTTATACTTTGCTTTTCAAACTATGTTCAATCCAATAGATTTCTAAATATGGCAAGTTTCTAAAAATCCAACTCCTTAAGTACACTGTAAAGACATTTAGGCACACAGCTAAAATATACTCAAACTAAGAAGTCCTCAAAGGCCGTAAGATACACTAAAAATATAATACCTCCCAGTGAAATAAAGGGAAAAGCAGAAGTCAGGTGAGAATATTTACATATATGTACCCATTCAGCAGTTCTGTAGAAGTCATTATCTTCTTTGGGAGGCCGAGGCAGGTGGATCACCTGAAGTCAGGAGTTCAAGACCAGCCTGGCCAACATGGTGAAACCCCGTCTCTACTAAATACACCAAAATTAGCCAGGTGTGGTGGCAGGCGCCTATAATCCCAGCTACTCAGAAAGCTGAGGCAGGAAAATCGCTTGAACCCACGAGGCAGAGGTTGCAGTGAGCTGAGATCACGCCATTGTGCTCCAGCCTGGGCAACAAGAGCAAAACTTCGTCTCAAAAAATAAATAAATAAATAAAAAGGCCGGGCACAGTGGCTCACGCCTGTAATCCCAGCACTTTGGGAGGCCGAGACAGGTAGATCACGAGGTCAGGAGATTGAGGCCATCCTGGTTAACACGGTGAAACCCTGTCTCTAGTAAAAATACAAAAAATTAGCCGGGCGTTGTGGCGGGTGCCTGTAGTCCCAGCTACTCAGGAGGCTGAGGCAGGAGAATGGCGTGAACCCAGGAGGCAGAGCTTGCAGTGAGCCGAGATCACGCCACTGCCCTCCAGCCTGGGCGACAGAGCGAGACTTCATCTCAAAAAAAAAAAAAAAAAAAAAAAAAAAAAAAAAAAAAGAAGTTGTTATCTTCCCAGTAGAAGAGATGAGAAAATTTGAGGTCCAGATTGGTTGAGTGATATCCGAGGACCACAGAGCTAGTAAAATTATGGAGCTAGAACTTGAAGTCTGATTCCAAATCACATGTTTCCTATGCTACCCCAAACAAAGGGAATATTTTCTACAGTGGCATTACAACAGACCAAGTAACAGCAGAGGTAAAACAAGTTTCACATGTCTGTGGCTCTTTGTTTTTTACAAGTTTTTATTACTTTGTCATGGGGGGGAAAACGAAAAATTTTAATTAGGTCAAGGAAAGATATAACTATACTACTACTATCATTCTGAAGGAAGGGAAGGTATACCTTCTAAGTCCTGCATAGTTTAAAAATTCCCATTACTTGCGAGACCAGGTGAGACTGCACACTTCTAGACTTCCTATCGTGTGCCAAAACTCTAGGGATAATCAAAAAATGTTTGTTGAATGAACGCTAATTTAAAATAGAAAAAGAAATTCCAGATTTCCTCCTCAGTACAAGAGGCCTGCAACAACAAACTTCTGAAATACCAGCAGTCTACTAATTGCATATTCAAATTTAAACCACAGAAAGTTGAATCAACTCTGCCAATTTCTGGGACTCTCTAAATGAACTCTTAATATAAAAATACATACTCAGGCTCAGCATTTTTTCTAATCATTTACAAAAGTAAAAGGACGTCAGGACAAGTTCTGGTGAAATTTTATAAACAGCCATGAATTGCAGCTGTAGACTGCCAGATACATAACCTGTATATGACAGGGGGTACCACGTGGAAATTAGAGACATCCCCCTTCACCAAAAATATTATATCCAGGGGATACTACATAATAAAAAAAAAATCTGAAAAATGGAATGGGATTAAGATCCTTTAGAATAGGCTAGTAGTGATGATTTTGCTTTTTCAGTCCCCTCCTCACAAACGAATGATGATGACACTGCCCTTAGCTTTCTATGTGCAAAGACAGTATTAACCTTCCCAGGCCAAACTTACGACTACACCTTTTCCACACGAAATGCAAGGCATTTCTAACTCCCCAGATTACCTCACATTCGTTGGATGCCACACAATAGATTATAAAGTATCAAGATATATATTAATTTTTAAAAGTTCACCAGGAATTGGATATTCTAAACTGGGTTTCTGATTCTTAACAGTGAGAATGAAGTCAAGCTCCTTATTTGGTGGTTAGAGGAGAGGATTTGGCCACAAATAATTCTTTTAGGATTGACAGACAAGTACTACGTAAGTTCTATCATCTCATCCAAAAACTTGCTTCTTATATTCTGCTTTTAACCCGATCTACACAATGAAAAGCCACGGAGACTAGTTTTGCATGAAAGCAAAGGACTTTTCTAATATGACTTCAGAGCATGCCATGCTTTAAAGTCCATGTTCAACCACTTACTATCATTTTCCAACTCACTCTCTATGGGCCCATCCCATATTTCAACTACAGGTATACCTCCTGGCCCTTTCTATTTCATAAGCTTCTTTGGAAGACAAATCTACTGATTTATGCAATAAACTTTCTACCTCTACTTAACCAATTTGATAATTTAATAGCTGGAGATAATTCTAAATTCCCCAAACCTTAATCAAGAATTTTGGAAAAAAAGAGCTATCTAGAACAGTTATCTTCCTGAAAACACTGTTGTGCTAAACTGAAACACAGCCTTTTCTCAAGAGCTAAGCAGCTACTTGGGTCTACATTTTAATGCACTAAATAATTTTATAAGATCATGTTTGAAACCAAAAAACCCAAAAAGGATTGTCAAGCTAGGTCAGCTTACAAAACCCCTTCTGTTATGAACTAGGAAATCAAACAACAAAACATAAGCTCTAAGAAATGAGCATGGAGGTGCTCCATCCATACTAGCTTTTCCTTGTTTTTTTCTTGAGAGGAGTGACTCTCTGTCACCCAGGCTGGAGTGTAGTGATGCAATCCTGGTTCACTCCAACCTCCACCTCCTGAGTTCAAGGGATTCTCCTGCCTCAGCCTCCCGAGTAGCTGGGATTACAGGCGTCAACCATGACACTCAGCTATTTTTTGTATTTTTAGTAGAGACAGGGTTTCACCATGTTGGCTAGGCTGGTCTCAAATTCCTGACCTCAAGTGATCCTCCCACCTTGGCCCCCTCAAAGTGCTGGGATTACAGGTGTGAGCCACCGCGCCAGCCCATACTAGCTTTTCTGAAGCCTCTTTACTCATTCTTTTGTTCTCTACTCTAGCAGCTAAAGACATCTCCTAAAGAAACAACTAGTGTGCCTCCATACAACCCCTCAGTAAGCACTCAGTATTGAGACTAAACTGTGAAAAGCACTAAAATAAATGCATCATTCATCTATGACCTTCTGAGAATACCACCACCTCATATTTGAATAGACGTCTAGTTTTCATGAGAACTTTCACGCACTCATTTGATCCTCTTTAAAAACCACAGGAAACAGGGCAAGCCATCTTATCAGCTCTATTTACAGAGAGGGAAATCAATTTGAAAAGGTTACATAGCTTAATCAAGGTCACAAAGTGACTGACTGGCCAAGCTGGTACTCAGTCTTATGATAGTCCAGGGCTCTTTCCTCTACACTGATCCTAAATTGAAAAAAAAAATTTTTTTTGGACTGCTCCTGCAAGGTAGGGCTACCCCATAGGCAGAGAGTAGCTGAAAAATTCTGTATGTGTCTATCACAAGAAGTTGACAGGCCTAAAAGGTTTCACATTTAGATGTTTCTTTTTTTGAAAAAGGTGAAGATCTGGCTGGGCACAGTGGTGCACATCCTTAGGTAGTTCCAGCTACACAGGAGGCTGAGGCAGAAGAACTGCTTGAGCCCAGCCTGAGCAACACAGTGAGACTCCATCACTAAAAATAAGTAAATAAATAAATCACATAAAAAATAAAAAATTTTAAAAGGGGGTAAAGAGCCAATGAATTGACTAAGAAATGTGTTGTTTCAAATCAGAATGACCTTGAAAAGCCATAGTACTTGCATGCAAAAATATGATCCGATTTAAAAAGTCAATATGCTTAAAATACAACAAAAATCAACCAATATATGTATTTCGTATTACTGGTTTAAAATTTCTGAATATGCTGTAAAGAGAAGGAGGTGAAAAACGTCAACCAGACTGGGGTGGTGGCTCATGCCTGTAATCCCAGCACTTTGGAAGGCCAAGGTGGGTGGATCACTTGAGTTCAGGAGTTCACGACCAGTGTGGGCAAGGTGGCAAGATCCTGTCTCTACAAAAATTACAAAAATTAGCCAGATGTGGTAGCATGCGCCTGTAGTGCCAGCTACTCGGGAGGCTGAGATAGAAGAATTGCTTGAGACTAGGAGGCAGAGGGTGTAGTGGGCAGAGATCATACCACTAACCCCTCCAGCCTGGGTGACAGAGTGAGACTCTTTTTAAAAAAAAAAAAAAAAAAAAAGAGAGCGAGAGAGAAAGAGGCAGAGAGAGAGAGAAAGATCTCAACTGATAAGATACTACATAATCACATTATCTCTTGCTTGACCAACTTAACAAATATTTCAAAATGTTTATAAAAATCAAAATGGGTCAGCATTGGAAGAAGTTGTAAGTAAAATTCAGGTGTTCTCCACATGAGGCAACTGCTGTTAATAGAAGACTATATGACGGTATTTTCTCGAAGTTTGGTACAAAGATCAAAAATAGAATCACAGGCAAAACCCTTGAAAGGCCTAGGAATCTGAATTTTTAAGTACTAGGTTGTTGATGAATATAAAATTTAAAGATGTGTATTTAGGGTAGAAATAACCTTGACCTTGGTAGCTGTGGAACTTGTGTGGTTACTCGTTCTGGGCCCTGGTTTTCCCAATGGTAAAACAGAGGAGGTAGGGACACAAACGTCCTACTTCATAGAAAAGTTATAAGACTTTAAAGGCGATGGTTTATAAAAAGTAATTAGCACACAGTTTTGACACACACTAAACAATAATTAGCTACTATGGTGGAAATTTTATTTCTATTTAACACTTCTGACATTAGCAAATAGTGTACCAAACAGACATGCTTTTTACATAGTTACATGATTCTTCTCAACAACCGCTCCCCCGAAAGAAAGCAGTTTTTAAGAGGGTCACTCTCATGATTTGAAGAGAACTGGGAGAGGAGGAACATAAATCAGTTCTGTCACATTTTAAGGATTAGAATTTAAACATTAAAAACAATTTTAATATGTTCACATATATAACTATCACCTGGTTGGACCATGACAAAAACCCACCCCTAACCATAAACAAGGGTAACTTATCATTTATCAAAAACAGGAAACGTTCCTATCTCTCAAGATCAGCGCTCTGAACTAATTATTTAACATAAGGTCATTTTTACAAGTTCACATGCTGAATGGCTTACAATTAAAAGCCTCTTCTAACCCAAATCACCATCCTCCTTCACTTACCTTTTTTTTTTTTTTTTTTGAGATGGGAGTCTCCCTCTGTCGCCCAGGCTGAAGTATAGTGGCACAATCTCAGATCACTACAACCTCTACCTCCTGGGTTCAATTGATTCTCCTGCCTCAGCCTCCTGAACAGCTGGGTACAAGCACCCACCATGCCTTGCTAATTTTTTTTTGTCTTTTTAGTAGCGACAGGGTTTAACCATGTTGGCCAGGCTGGTCTGGAACGCCTGATCTCAAGTAATCTGCCCACCTCGGTTTCCCAAAGTGCTGGGATTACAAGCATGAACCACCGTACCTGGCCTGTTGCTTACACTTAAAAAAAAAAAAAAAAAAATTCCTCCCCTCTCCCTAGACTCCTAACCTAATCAAGTTACCATATTCAGAAAATTATTTTATCTCACCCATTCTTGCCTCTTTTTTTCTTTTTTTTTGAGACGGAGTCTCGCTCTATCGCCCAGGCTGGAGTGCAGTGGCATGATCTTGGCTCACTGCAAGCTCCACCTCCCGGGTTCACGCCATTCTCCTGCCTCAGCCTCCCAAGTAGCTGGGACTACAGGCGCCCACCACTGCGCCCAGCTGATTTTTTGTATTTTTAGTAGAGACGGGGTTTCACGTGTTAGCCAGGATGGTCTCGATCTCCTGACCTTGTGATCCGCCCGTCTCGGCCTCCCAAAGTGCTGGGATTACAGGCGTAAGCCACTGCGCCCAGCCTGCCTCTTTTTTTCTACTAGGGCTATCACAATTCTGGCCTTCATTTCATTTGACAGGAAGGCATGGGTTTATACCCTAACCAGAACAACAATGAACAGGATTTCTGCCTCCACTCCTCTAATCCAGGGGTTGGCAAACTTTTTCTGTAAAGGGCCAGATGGCAAATATTTAGGCTTTGCAGGCCACACAGTCTCCGTCTCAACTACACAACTCTTGCCATTATAGTACTAAAGCAGCCACAGACAATATTCAAGTGAATGAGTATGACTGTGTTCCAATAAAACTTTACTTACAAAAACTTGCCTTAGACTGCGTTTGGCATACAGGGCATAGTCTGTTGATTGTGCTAATCCAACCAACTAATATCAACTTTCCTAAATTCCATCACAGATCATGTGATTTCTGATTTAAAAGTCACTTTCCTTGGCTGGGCACGGTGGCTCACGCCTGTAATGCCAGCACTTTGGGAGGCCATGGCGGGTGGATCACGAGGTCAGGAGATCGAGACCATCCTGGCTAATAGTAGAGACGATGAAACCCCGTCTCTACTAAAAATACAAAAAAAAAAAAATTAGCCGGGTGTGGTGGCGGGCGCCTGTAATCCCAGCTACTCGGGAGGCTGAGGCAGGAGAATGGTGTGAACCCAGGAGGTGGAGCTTGCAGTGAGCTGAGATCGCACCACTGCACCCCAGCCTGGGCAACAGTGCGAGACTCCATCTCAAAAAAAAATAAATAAATAAAAAATAAAAGTCACTTTCCTTACCAAAAAAAAAAAAAAAAATAGAACTTAACATTCCTTGGCCTGATACTCAAAGGCTTCCTCCATGAGTATAATCTTCATTATCCTTGGTCATTTCCTTTTTCCCATACTAGATTCCAAATTGTATTCCATGATTGTGGCTGCTTATACTGCTCTAATTCCAAACCTTTGCTCAATTTGTATACAGAATGTCCTTCCTTCTTTCCCTCTAAACACCTACATCTCCCTTGCTTCCCACACTACCACCTAGAACTAAAATCCATCTATCCTCTAAGAAGTCTCCTTCCCTTTACCCAGAAATTCTTCTTCAGCAGAACTTCTATGGCACTTAATCTGTATCTTTTCTGACAATGATTGCTTTGTATCTTTTACCACAGTGAATTATATCTTAGATCCCCTAAGCCTGTGGGCAGAATTTATTTACAAGTCATCTCTGTATTTCCCACAGCACTTTAGAATCAAGAGATAAAAAAACAGGTATTATTGTTTCAAAGAAAATATTCCTACAACTAAATTCCTTTACATAACATAGCACTGTTAATAAGACCAAGACACACTTATTCTGTATTAAAATGTTACCTAAAAACTAATGACACTGGCTCAACAAATTAAGCCTTCAAAAATTAGTCTCCATCTTATTACCCAGAGGGCAGCATGGCAAAGTGGGAAAAGGAAAAAAGGACAAGATTGACATCCTGATTCTGCCATTGTTGTTAAATTTCTGCTTCCTTATCTTGTGAAATAGATGTTACCACTGCCTACCTGGGAAAACTAGGAATAACGACTACAGTAAATTATTATGCATTATGGCTTTTATAAACAGAAATTTAAGAACAGCTAAGTTAACTGCAAGATCCCTATTCTGTCAAAAAAAAAAAAAACACGAGTATCTTGTGTTCAGCATTATGAATATAAAGAATAAAGACATGAGCAGTCTCATAACATAGACAAGTTCAGTCTACTGTAGATCCTTTCACAGAGAAGTAATACAACATACTGAGTGCTAACCTTCCAGCTATTTCTAAAAAGATGGAAGTCCAAGGTTATTTCTAAATTATTTTAAGCATAAAGCTAAATATTTAAGAATGAGTTATAACTAAGTTTCTACCAAATTAAAACAACGATGCTTACAACAGCTTACAGGGCTCCTGATCTCACCTTCTACCACTCATTCTATAGCTGGATCAGTATGCATGCTCCTGCCACCCCGGGCTTACTGATGAAAATCCAACAAACCGGGCTCAGTCCCATCTTAGGGCCTTTGCAAGTGTTCTCTACACCTTGAATGCTCTTCCTCAAGATCTTCACAGGTCTTGCTCACACACTTCATACAGATCTCGTTCAAACTGTCACCTCCTCAGAGAGGCTTTCCCTGACCACCCTATTAATATAGGCATCTCTCTCCCATAACCATCACTTTCAATCTCCTTAGGCTCTTTCCTTTTTATATCTCTTTATAGCACTTGTTAACTAGCCTTCGGTCATTATTTACTTATCTGTCTTCCCTAGTAGGATAAAACTCCCTGAAAACTGTAATATCTTATTGGCTGCTGTACTCCTTGTAACTAAAATCATGCCTGGAACACACTGAGTACTTGATACATATTAATTTTTAAATTGATGAATAACATTTGTGAGTGACGAGGAATATTCATCATTGCAACTTACATAATTTCTTAAACCAGCTGCTTACAATTAAATCTAGCATGTTGAGGCTACTCCTAGAACAGGGGTTCTTAATTTGGGGCTTTAGGGAATCATTAATACCCATGTTTCTGGAAGGAAAATCTACAGCTTTTCTTTAAATGGTCCCTAATCTGAAAAACATCCTAGACCAGTGATTTATGACTCTGGCTACATCATGGAATCTCCTGGTGAATTTTAAACATACAGATGCTTGGATCCCATCCCAGAGGGTGTATTTTTTCTCATCCGTGGTACAACCACAGGACTTCTAAAAAATTACCCAGGTGATTCTAGTGTACAGCAAAAGTTGAGAACCATGCAATTTGAACACAACAAATGTTAACTGGGTGAGAGTCCTCAAAGGTACTTACAGTGGGAAGAAAACAAAAATTGAAAACTATGAATTTTGAGGGAATTGGCATTGCTGGCAAACAGATCAATACACAAGTTCCTGAATAATTCTGTATCATAAAAACATTTTAAACAAAAACTAGTAGCTCTACCTCCACTTAAATACTAACCTGACATTGAGATTCTAGAGCTTACTCCCAGAACACAAATAACACCTTTCACTTAAAACAACGTATTTCAGACATTCACTTCTTAATAACTTACTTATAAAAACCTAAAACTATCAAGAAAACAACAGAATACTTTTTGAAGACGAATCAGCTATATTACAACTATGAAGCTCTTTGTAGTTTTATTCCTAAAAATGCCTTTGAAGCAACACATTTCCACCAATTAATGTCCTCATTTAGCCTCAACTGTTACACAGGATGACAGGCCCTGAATTTAGGTGAAACTAATACTGACAATAGACACAAAGGGGGGGGGGGAATTTCAGAGATTTATTTAGATCATGCCAAAAGGGTTTGAAAAGAGCAGGTGTCAGACTGACACAGGTGGTAAATTGTTTTCTTTTTGAAGTCAAACAAGCAAACATTGAGTAATAAGCGAATTCACTGATACCAACTGAGGGTTTCATAAGTTACTGGTTTTTATACCTTCATCCAAGTAGCCCTTTTAAAAAAGGGATTAGCAAGATAGAGAGCAAAACAACAAAATGTTAAGTATTTGTAAAATAAATAAATCCAGATGCTTAAATCCACAGTGATAAATAATTTTAAATTATTCCTGGATACTTAGAATCACGATGAAACTCATTCCATCTATCCCTTTCTTTCTTTATTCTTGGCTGTATGGAGATACCTGCTGACACAGAAGCACCAGGTCATGAGCACATCTGACATAAAACATTACAAACTTAAAGCAGTATTTTTTAAAATCTAAAGGGCTTAGGGAAGACAGCCATGCTCCTAGCTATGAAGCCTCTGTGGCTTGACTTCCTGGTCATATCACAAGGATTTTTTTTTAAAGTATTATTCAGTTCCCTTGTTGAGTAAGTTAATTTACTAGGAAAGTGCAAACAAAGACATACATGCAGGTACGCAGCTCATCAACGCATTTTAGTTGTGGGGAAAGATCAGGCTTAGGAGACACGAATAATTATAAAACTATTAGAGTTGGAAGAGCCCTCTTTAAATTTCCCTTCTAGAAAGATGGGCACAAGGAAATCCTTAGCTTTCTATGTCGTTTTACTCGGTAAAATAGTACACTCTTATTAGTAACTTTATCTTTTATCAAAAGCCTGTGGAAATAAATGTTCTGGGATTAACTAGTAAATATATAAATAAAGCCACAGAAACATATTCCCAAAATGTGGGCTGGAAATGAAAACAGAACAGCATGGGATACAAAACCCCACTGGCTGTTTACAAAATGTTTCGTGTACATGACTTTTATGTAATAGGAACAGAACACTAGTATAGGAAATGAAGACTACATGGAAGGGCTGGCTACTTGGAGGTGACGGAGTTAAAGATTTCATGAACCATCAAAAGACCAGGTCATTTATACACTAGATTATCAAACCAGAAAAAGTCTGAGTCCCCTCATTCCATTACATTTGAAGAAATGAGAAGCACCAAAAAAACAAAGTATCAATACAAAGAAGAGAGAGAAACTAAGACAATCTGACCCTGAAGGAATCGCAATGTGGAGGGAAAACCCAGCCCTAGGAGTTAATTGTCTAAGTCAGGTAAGAAAAGAGTGAAAAAGTTGAACAGCACAACAGACTATTTCATGAACACCAGATGCCTCGATATGTAAGGACTTTAAATAAAGAGAAAACACTCTCCTCATAAGCTGCTGCTTCAGTGCCTAGTTCTTCACTCAACTATACCCCCCTCTAAATCAGATGCAGCATTTTGAAATCGACCTCACTCCCTTAACCACACTTAATTTTTGGAGTAGAGGTTAATGAACACACCAGGATAAAACGATGTCTAGTTTGGCAGGAGTGGGAGTACAAAAGTAAGGGGAAAAAGACAAGAAAGAACAAAGCACTGGTTCGCACACCTCTCTCCACCCCAGTTAAGCTGTGGAAAGCTGACTGGCATATCCACATGCTTAAATTATACGTTACTGGCAATGTGGGAAGTGGGGAAATGCTAACATTCTGATTTGTCCCTTGACAAATGAGGGAGGATATTCCCCCCTCAGGGTTGCACTTTAAGAATTTCTACTTGCAATGCTCACTGCAGCCTCGACCTCCCAGGCTCAAGTGATCCTCCCATCTCAGCTTCCCGAGTAGCTGGGACTACAGGTGTGAACCACAACATCTAGCTCATTTCTTGTGGTTTACTGTACAGATGGGCGTCACCACGTTGCCCAGGCTGGTCTCGAACTCCTTGAGCTCAAGTGATCCCCCTGCCTCAGCATCCCAAAGCACTGGGATTACAGGCCTAAGCCACCGTGCCCGGGCTCTCACCACAATTATAAAAAGAGAGAGAATGAAGGGAAGGGTAGAATTTCCTCTTTAAAAGTGGTCTGACTCACCAAACCATCTTCACTGCAAAGCCTTAAACAGTACCAGAATACAGGAAAAGGATATTGTATGCTTTTCTTAGAGCTGGGACAAAGAAATGAGAGGGTGTGGTGGGGGGAAGGAGTAAACAATCAGAGCATAAGTAACCCATATTATACATGGTTTATATGATGCCATCTCCAGGTTTAATCTTTCCCTTTTATTATTTTATGATTATTTTAATGGAGATGGGGTCTTGCTATGTTGACCACACTGGCCTCAAAGTCCTGGCCTCCTAAAGTACTGGGATTACAAGGTATAAGCCACCACGAGCAGCCTAATCTCTCAATTTTAGTTTCCTTACCATAAAACAGACACAATGCTTACTATACAATTAAAATATGCTATAAAATAGTAAATGAAATAACTATACTAAAAGGCATTCCTGGCATTCAGAAAAGTTGATGGTAGCATCCTTTCCCCCTCAAAGATAGGTACAGGAGGCCCTAATCCAATAGTTCTCAGCCAGGGATTTTTTTTTTTTTTTTTTTTTGAGATGGAGTCTTGCTCTATTGCCCAGGCTGTAGTGTTGCCATCTCGGCTCACAGCAACCTCCACCTCCTGGGTTCAAGCGATTCTCCTGCCTCAACTTCCCAAGTAGCTGGGACTACAGGCGTGTGCGACCATGCCCAGCTAATTTTTCTATTTTTAGTAGAGACAGGATTTCGCCATGTTGGCCAGGCTGGTCTCGAACTCCCGGCCTCAAATGATTCGCCCACCTCGGCCTCCCAAAGTGCTGAGATTACAGGTGTGAACCGCTGCTCCCAGCCTTGGGGATTATTTTGACCTTACCCCAACCCCCAAAAGGGCACATATAATAAAGTCTGGAAAAATTTTGTTGTCTCAACTAGGGTGAGGGAAGGTCCTACTGGCATTTAGGGGGTAGAGGCCAGAGACGCCATCAGACATTCTTACAGTGCACAGAATAGCTTCCCATGACAAATAATTATTAGTCCCAAAAGGTTAATGGTGCCTCTGTTAAGAAAACCTGCCTAAAAAACATTCATTTTTGGAAAAACCACATAAACACAGAAGAGGAGCATAACACTCTAGTTCCTACAGTCTATTAAAAAAAAAAAAACTATTTAAAAGATATTACAGGCTAAGTGCAGTGGCTCACACCTATAATACCAACACTTTGGGAGGCTGACACAGGAGGATTACTTAAGCCCAGGAGTCTTCGGCTGTAGTAAGCTATGATCACGCCACTGCACCCCAACCTGGGTGATAGAGTGAAACCCTATCTCTCAAAAGAAAACATACTCTAAGAACAATCCTTTCTTGTGATAGCTATTACTCAAATGACAAAAGCTGGGGGAAATACCTTGTAAATATCAGAAAAAAACTTCTCCTCCTAAGTAGTTTAAAAATATGCAGATAGCCGGGCACAGTGGCTCACACTTGTAATCCCAACACTTTTGGGAGGCCAAGGTGGGCGGATCACCTGAGGTCAAAAGTTCAAGACCAGCCTGACCAACATGGTGAAACCCCATCTCTACTAGAAATACAAAATTAGCCGGGCATGGTAGTTCATGCCCGTAATCCCAGCCACTTGGAAGGCTGAGGCAAGAGAATCCCTTGAACCCAGGAGGCAGAGGTTGCAGTGAGCCGAGATGGCACCACTGTACTCCAGCCTGGGCGACAGACCGAGATTCTGTCTCAAAAAAACATTAACAAAGAATACTCCAGATCATCCAGAAAGTCAGTATCTGATAGTGTTTATACGGAGAACTCCTGCACTGGAATGTAAACTCCTAACTCTAGATCCATCTCTTCTCAGGTCTTCCTATCACCTCAGCCTACAGCAGTCAATCCTTCCCTCTAACCACTCCCTCCTCCTAAGATTTCAGCATTTAATGCCTGTACCATGTATCTAATACTTAGTACACAATGCCTAATTCTTGTTTTTTAATTTTTATTTAAAATACTAAAACGAAACAGAGACGGGGTCTCGCTATGATGCCTATTCTGGTCTAGAACTCCCGGGCTCAAGGGATCCTCCCAAGGAGCTCAGCCCACAATGTCTAATTCTAATGCTTCCTCTTTTACTTGAAAGTGGAGGGGAAGGCTGGGAGCAGTGGCTCACACCTGAAATCCCAGCTACTCAGGAGGCTGAGGCAGGAGAATCGCTTGAACCAGGGAGGTGGAGGTTGCACTGAGCTGAGATCACACCACTGTACGCCAGCCTGGGTGACAGAGTGAGACTCTATCTCCAAAAAAAAAAAAAAAAAAAAAAAAAAAATCAGTCACATAAATTACTCATTGAAGACAGGAACCAAGTTTTCAATTCTTCTTAAGTGTTTTCATCATTCCTGATCTAACCACCAGAGAAGTGTTTCCTTGCCCTTTGGTGGCAAGGTTAATCTTGGTGATAAATGATCCTGAAAGGCTAGTCTCCAAATAATTAGAACCTTGAAAATGTTTATATTTTTCTCTGCTCGGAAAATTCTGGAACCCCTTTTCTAGGACTGCCACAAGGACACTTTTGACTATCCTCAATGATGACACATTTTAGTTTCCATTCAGATTACCAATTATGGTAACTCCCCTGATCACTGTTTAAGTACTACTTATTAAAGGAACAAACATTAAGCTATTGCTCTTGGAAGGCCAGCCTGCTAGGAAACACCCAAGAGCAATTCTGTACCTTATCCTTCCCTAAATTAGTCAGCCAATCTTACCATTCAAGGATGAAATTAAAGGCATTTATCTCATCTAGTAATACCATCAGTAAACCATGGAAGCTTAAATAATCTAACATTGCTTTGGACATTATGGAAATGACAACCTCAGCACCTAATAAAATGTAAAACCAAATATATACATATCATGTCAATGTCTTGAATGTACAATTACCTTGAAAATTTCAAAGTCACCTCACATTTCTCAACTCTTGGACCTGAGACCTGCTTACTATCAAGTTATCATTGAGAACAAATTAAGAATTCTCAATTGAGAGGTCACCTGTTGCACTAAGCAAACCGCCTGCAAATACTAAATTAGCTTTTCTACTTACACTATCAAGTCAAATTACTTCTGGTAATGCTTGAGTGTATTTGCATGAGATCAATTTCATATACAGTTGGGCAGAAGCAAAATGAGTCTTAAGCAAGCTTCATTCTGTTTTCATCTTACAAAGAAAAGACTGGCCTGTCCTCCCAGCCTTTTGAATAAGGATCTTGAAAAATTCACTACGCACAGGGTGTGCCCAAAGAATACTTGCTGGAAAAATATGCTGGGAGAGTGCCAATTTAAAAAGAAAAACATTTTCGCCCAGTTGGAAATCTAGAGAAAGAATAGTTGTAGCAATTCAGCTAAAAACTCTCAAGACCTGAAGAAAATTTTAGAAAAACCCCAGATCTTTTTGTTATTGGAGTAAAATTCTATGAAAGGCAACTAAATGAATCAATGAAGTATTCAACTATGCTAATTTTATGCACCTAAAAAGCAGTAACTGAAATTCTGCCTTTGACATTTGACGGTGCAAAAAGCACTAAGTACCTTATTTGTTCTACATAAATGAACTTTATAATCTGCAATAGTTTTTAAATCAACTGTTTCTGGGAAATAATGAAAGCATTTTATTTTCCTTTTTAAAAAAGCAAGAATAACAAAACTTCTTTATTGTTTTGCTTTTTGGGAGGAGGGGTTGGGGGAATTGGGATAAATTTTTGTTTTCCATTAGAGACTTTTTTTTTTTTTTTGAGACAGTCTCGCTCAGTCGCCCAGCTGGAGTGCGGTGGCACGATCGATCTCGGCTCACTGCAACATCTGCCTCCCAGGTTCAAGTGATTCTTGCACCTCAGCCTTCCAAGTAGCTGGGATTACGGGCATGTGTCACCATGCCCAGCTAATTTTTGTATTTTTTGTTTTGTTTGTTTTTGAGACTGAGTCTCGCTCTATCGCCCAGGCTGGAGTGCAGTGGAGCAATCTCAGCTCACTGTAACCTCCACCACCTGGGTTCAAGTGATTCTCCTGCCTCAGCGTCCCGAGTAGCTGGGATTACAGGTGCCCGCCACCACACCCGGTTCATTTTTGTATTTTTAGTAGAGACGAGGTTTCACCACGTTGGCAAGGCTGGTCTCAAACTCCTGACCTCAAGCGATCTGCCTGCCTTGGCCTCACAAAGTGCTGGGATTACAGGCATAAGCCACCACACCCGGCCAAGAGACTTATTTCTGAAGCATAACACTCCAGCAATAGCTTGATTAAGCTAAAAAGATACCCATCTGTTACAGGCCTTTGTCTTCAGTCTCTCACTACAACACCCACCCCTTTCCAGGTCCACTCAGAACCTTACGCTCAGATTTTTTTTTCACTGCAATAAGTGAACACAACAAAAAATTACAGTTACTACAGGGACACACTGGTCCCAGGTTGCCTCATGAGAAAAGCAGGTGAGTAGGCCTGCTGGAGCTTTGCACTAACTCTATGGACCCTGTGGAAACTGCATGCAATGCAGGCTACATGGAGGGTCACCGGGCTGCTCACTATACCTCAGCAAAGCAAAAGGCCTGCCTATGCCTATGACAACAGCCTTTCCCATCACAGCCTGGTCCCACCACAAAACAACAAGCAATATTCTTCCAAAAAGTACAGTCCTAATTTTAAAAGTGAGGAACTCGAGCCTAGGTAGACAAAATGTAACAATTCTTAACAGTTGTCCAGAATTCTTTCTACTCTATTACTCCCCTTTTAGTACTAATACCACAAATGCTAAGAAAAATAACCTCTAGTTCATCCTTCAAGTTTTCTGGTACTTGCCAAATCAATAAAAATAACATGTGAAATGTTAATCACAAACCACCTACTCAGACACTGAAATGACACAAATACAGACTAAGTAGATGAAAACCAATCAGGATAGTCCTCAACTATTCTTTCAATATCCTTTCAAGTTCTATGGTAACTAGATTTACCAGCAAGAGTTTTCTTGAGGAAAATACTAAACACAAAGCACATGCTTACAATTCACCTGTAAGCACAAGTTAAGAATAATGGAGAAAGAACATAAAATACCTTCATATCTCAAAAGAGCTCCTTTTCCAGCAACTGGGGAAATAGTTGTTTGGGGCTTTTCCACATAAGATATAAATCATCCCTTTCGAATGTCAAAAATGTTTAATTTAGCCATTTGATGGGGAAAAACCTTTAATAGTTCACTTCTCTAGAGTGTTTATTACAGTAAAGGAAAACTATTTAAACTTCCCACCATCCCTCCTGGTCAATGCTGGTGTCCACCCACGTACTGTGTGGTCAGAGAGCTGTCTAAAGGAGTTACAGCAAACAGCAAAGCTATGTGCCTTCAGGTTGCTCCATTTCTCAAAATACAATCTTTTTTCTGCCCTCTCTCTATCAGTTCCAGGAGTTATCTTCTATTCAGAAGATAGAACATGTATGACCACAAGCAAATTATTTAACATATCTATAGTCTTGGGTCTCAACTGTAAAACAGGGTATCATCATCATATGGAAGATTTAAAGACAACAAACCTAAACCACCTAACATACAGAAAGGTGTGATCAATAAATACTAATTCCTTTCTTTTCTTCCTTTTTTAAAAAAAATAACTTCAACCACTTCCTAGATGTTAGTCTGCCCTAGCAAAATGTCCCTCCTCTACCCATCCAACTTTTTTTAAGACAAGGTCTCACTCTGCTGCTCACGCTGGAGTGCGGTGGTGCAATCTCGACTCACTGCAACCTCTACCTCCCAGGCTCAAAGCAATCCTCCTACCTCAGCCTCCCATGTAAGCTGGGACTATAGGCGCATGCCACCACGCCTGGCTACTTTTTTTTGTAGAGAAGGGGTTTCGCCATGTTACCCAGGCTGCTCTAGAACTCCTGGGCTCAAGAGATCTGCCCGCCTTGGCCTCCCCAAGTGCTGGAATTACAGGAGAGAGGCATCACGCCCATATAACCCATCCAACTTCTACTCCACAAAAGAAAATGAGTAATTTTCTTTTACTCATATTGTAGGCTTAAGGATGTATCTGGTTAAGATACATATGGCCATTATACCTTTCCTCAAAAAATACGTATTACCAAATTAATGTATAATAGTCTTCTGAATATAAACATAAACGCCATATTTTACATGATGGTTGGTAGACCTCTTTTCATCAACCAAATCTAATGAACAATTTGATTCTGTTTACACTAAAAAAGCTAGTGCTTATGCCCAGGAGATAGGTAAAGAGCCTAGATTATTATCTTGATCTCTTATTAGCTGTTTGACATTAAGTTACTTAAACTTTCCATTCTGCAGTTTGAGTCTGTAAAATTAAAATTATCTATCTCATTGTACTGTTGGAGGATTACATAAATTAATTTGTAAAAAGCTCTTTATAACTAAAGAGCTAAAAACAATTCAACAAATGTAGGCTATTATTTCTCTACCAGAATGTCTCAACTCTGTTGTCTGCTTAGGCAAAGTTGGTTAAAAACATTGTTCCCAGCAGGGCACAGTGGCTCACACCTGTAATCCCAGCACTTTGGGAGGCCGAGGTGGGCTGATCACGAGGTCAGGAGATCGAGACCATCCTGGCTAACATGATGAAACCCCACCTCTACTAAAAAAAAAAAAAAAAAAATACAAAAAATTAGCCGGGTGTGGTGGCAGACGCCTGCAGTCCCAGCTACTTGGGAGGCTGAGGCAGGAGAATGGCGTGAACCTGGAAGTTGGAGCTTGCAGTGAGCCCAGGTCATGCCACTGCACTCCAGCCTGGGCGACAGAGCGAGACTCTGTCTCAAAAAAAAAAAAAACCTTGTTTCCTAGCTCACCCAAATCAGTTCGGTCAAAATCCTCCTGGGTTCTCAGGTTTAAGACTAATTCAGTCCCAAAGGCCCTAAACTCTGCCACCCTGTTTCTTCCCAGGATACATCTCTCGTAAGTACCTGAGAAACAAACCGGAAACAGCAATTAAAGGGAGAGCAAGGAAATGGCACTACATATACAAGGGTATTCAATTCCCTGGCACATGCCCTCTATTCTTTTAGGCCTAAGTAAAACAACTTATAAGAACATGATTTTAAATGAACTATGACACCTCTCTCTAGTTGCCATTCCCCAATCTCCCCATTTCCCCCGCCCCCAAAACAATTTTCTCTACAATTCCTCTTACCTGAGTTCTGAATATAATCTACATGATTACTACAATGCTACTAAATAGGCTGCTAGAGCAAACCACAACATTCACAATTTAATAGCAAATTTTCAGTATATTCTGCTTGCAGAGCAGACCCTACAACTTTCATCAGGCTTAAAATAATTTCAAAGCAATTTTGTCTACCATGGTACAAGAAACCTTTCTTCACACTTATAGAAATATAAAATCAAACAGGACACAGTTGCCACAAAGCCTTAACTAATGAGAATCAAAACTGGTAAGATTTATTCTTATGTTTACTATATACTAAACCCCCTTGGTTTCAAATCTATATAAACTCAATGTTTTCTTTACATTGGATATGTAAGCATAATTTTCCCAGATGCACAATAGAAAATTGGAGAAAGATAATTCACTGGTAAACATGAAAGGGCATGACCTTAGGCATGAATTTCTACCCAGCTTGCAAAATAATCTAGTCCACTTTGGTCCATGTTTAGGGAGGTGGGGAAATGAATTAAAGTACCATCCATTTATAACAGAATGTGGACCCATGCTTTCCCTTTTCTAGTTAAAACTATTTGTTTTATCACACTGACAGAGCCTAATCGGGGGCTCTACAAAGGACACTCCAGGTATACCCAACAAAGGAAAATATTTAAATAAAAATTAATGAATGCCTACCTCATCTGCTCCTTCTCCATCTTGACATATCCATCCAATGTAGTTACCCCTGCCAAACAAAAATCTGGGAATCACCCATGGCACCTCTTCCCTTTTGCTCACCACATGCAATCAGTCACAAGCCCTCATCACCCCTACTTCCAATAACCAATTCTCTTAAATCTTTCCTGCCAAAGGCTGAGTCCACCATTCAGCTAACTGGTTAGCCTAAATTCACCTCTATTCCCCTTCTCCACACAAGCGGGGTCTGAAAAATACAAATCACGTAAGCCATGTCAATGGCTTCACAATAAAAATTTTAACTTTATATAATCAACAAGGCCATCTGTATGATCTGGCAACTAGCTACCTCTCTGGTCTCATTTCTCACTACTTGTAAAATACACTATACTTTGCTCTGTTCTTTGAGAGTCAAGCACCTTCCATTTCCAGGACCTTAGCATGTCTTGTTTCCTCAATGAGCAGCAAAGCCCCTTCTCACCCACCAATTCCTTCTTATCCTTCAGGTCTCAGCTTACATGTCACTTCCTTCAGAAGACTCACCATCACATCCCCATCACATGCTGCCTAGATATATCCAATATGCACCCTCAGATCACTCTGAACTTTGTTCCTGTAGCACCCACAACAATCATAAATATATCATCTATGTAATTACCTGCTTAAATATTAATCTCTCTCTAATCTATATTCCCCATGAGGGCAAGACAAGGATTGTATCTTTCTTAACCACTGGATCCCTAGCATCCCAGCATGTAGCAGGCATTCAATGTAGAGTTAATGAATGAATTAATCAAATCCAAACTCCTCCAATGAAGGTTTTCAGGTCTCTACAGAGCAACTCCTCCCCCATTTATAGAAGATTATTTGGAAGCTTATTTCCTCACTGTTTTTTATTTTTTCAGACACAGGGTCTCACTTTGTCGCCCATGCTGGAGTTTAGTGGCACAATCATAGCTTACCCAAGCCTTGAACTCCTAGGCTCAACCCATCTTCCTGTCTCAACTTCCTGAGAGCTGGGATTACAGGCTCAAGCTACTGCACCCAGCCATTTCCTCATTTTTAACACTTGCTGGAACTTGTAAGGAATACAGAAACCTTCATTTTTAAGACTCTAGTAAAGAACCTGGACTCTCATGAGCTATTAAGATTATTTTGCAAACTGAGTACTGAAATGCTTCTGGTAACCATCTATTGCTGTAGTCAGCCAGGCTTAAAACTTCAATCACCTATGATGATCCCTCCCGTCATTGCCCCCACACATCACAGTTATTAAGTCCCATTCAATTTACCTCTACATCATTTCTGGAATTATCTCTTTTTCTTCTCACATTACATTTACCATCTGTACCTATAATACTATGTCTTCAACATATCCCATTCCCATGGTGCCACCAAAGCCCTATACCTTTCAACTTGTCTTCTCTGTGTGCCCTGTGCTTTCTGCCTATACTGACCTCTGAGTAGGTCACAATCAAAAGAAAACTGTCTATCAAAATCTTTGCCAACCTTCAAGGTTCATTTCTAACATCACTAAGTGCCAGGCACTGTTCTAAACATTCATCTTTGTCTTACTAAGTTCTTCACTCCCTTCACTCTTTAAACTTCTTGAGGATACAAACTTAGCTTATTCATCTGTTATCTCGTGTCTTACACATTTACTTACTCCATAAGTACTTATTATATGACTTTAACACTACCATAAAAGAGTACGTTCACTTCAGAGAACAAAAACAACAATCACAAGGTGGCAGAAAACACTATAGCAACTATATCTACGGTAAATGGGTAACACCCAAATTCCTGATGCCTAAGTTCCCTTCTTCAGAATCCCACAACAAGCACTAAGAATGATTTTCACTACCTACGTTTCTTCTCAGGAAAAAAATGAGAAGAGAATAGAAGAAAAAAACACAAGTTCCTACTTCTGCCACTTGACGTCATGTGCAGATTAGGAGAAAAGCCAAGGGGCATTAAATCAAAGGTGTTCAACAAATGAAAGTTTACTCAGCTCTGAAGTAAATTCTGTAAGAATACAATGAAATTATTCCCACATTTCTATCCCATACATCAAGAAATAAGATAATCACTTTAATGGACTATGAAAAGTAAATCAACCAAAGAAATGAATGAAGGCATTAGAAGAACCAAAGCTTTAAGTCACAAGTCAAGAAACCTGTTTTGTTTCAACTTATACCAGTGCTTTGCTGGGTTCTTTGCCTCAGCTTCCCCCAATGCAAAAAAATGGTGATGAGAATAGTTTCATTCATGTTATTTAAAGATAAACAGTCACATTTCAAAGTAGTTTGAGACCTAAAGGTCACGTAGGGTCAGCTCCCTCACTTTAATTAGAAAAATGGTTACATTAGTCCTATAGCTAGTTTTTAGCAGAAGAAGGGTTTAGCTGAGAAGACTTGGGTATCCTGGCTGATGTTCCTCCCAACCCACCACTTTATGAAATGATAAAGAGTAGAAAAATGATAGCCGGGTGTTTGGTGCATGCCTGTAGTCCCAGTTACTCCTGAGGCTGAGGCAGGAAGATCACTTGAACCTGGGAAGCAGAGACTGCAATGAGCTGACATCACGCCACTGCACTCCAGCCTGAGTGACAGAACAAGACTCTCTCTCAAATATATACATACATACAAACATACATAAAAAGTAAAAAATGACAAAGCAATTTGATTGCCATTTTGGCAACATCATCTGTGTATTCTTAATAAATTCAAATAAGAGTTACTTTTATTTTTATTTTTACTTATTTATTTATTTGAAATGGAGTCTCGCTCTGTTGCCCAGGCTGGAGTGCAGTGGTGCGATCTCGGCTCACTGCAAGCTCCACCTCCTGGGTTCTGGCCATTCTCCTGCCTCAGCCTCCCGAGTAGCTGGGACTACAGGGGACCGCCACCACGCCCGGCTAATTTTTTGAATTTTTAGTAGAGATGGCGTTTCACCGTGTTAGCCAGGATGGTCTCAATCTCCTGAACTCGTGATCCACCCACCTCAGCCTCCCAAAGTGCTGGGATTACAGGTATTTTTATTTTTTTTTTGAGACACAGTTTCACTCTGCCACCCAGGATGGAGTGCAGAGCTGAGATTTCAGCTCACTGCAACTCCTGCCTCCCGGGTTCAAGTGATTCTCGTGCTTCAACCTCCCAAGTAGCTGGGATTAAAGGCGTGCACCACCACGCCTGGCTAATTTTTGAATTTTTGGTAGAGACGGGGTTTCACCATGTTGGCCAGGCTGGTCTCCAACTCCTGACCTCAAGTGATCCACCCACCTTGGCCTCCCAAAGTGCTGGGATTACAGACATGAGCCACCAAGCCAGACCAAGAGCAACAATATAGAACATTCCAAAGTATCTAAAAAGCAAAACCTATAAACACACTAGTAATTCATTTTACCATGAGGTCTTCATAAACTCCAAGAGGATAAAATTCCCCAGGAGGGGCTAGGCACAGTGGCTCTCGCCTGTAATCCCAGCACTTCGGTAGGCCAAGGTGGGTCGGGAGTTACCTGAGGTCGGGAGTTCTGAGACCAGCCTGGGCCACATGGTGAAACCCCATCTCTACTAAAAATACAAAAATTAGCCAGGCATGGTGGTGGGCGCCTGTAATCCCAGCTTACTCAGGAGGCTGAGGCAGAAGAATTGCTTGAGCCTGGGAGGTGGAGATTGCAGTGAGCCGAGATCATGCCACTGTACTCTAGCCTGGGCGACAGAGTGAGACTCTGTCTCAAAAAAAAAAAAAAAAAAAAAAAAAAGGGCTGGGCACAGTGACTTACACCTGTAATCCCAGCACTGTGGGAGGCCAAGGCGGGTAGATCACCTGAGGTCAGGAGTTCGAGACCAGCCTGAGCAACATGGCAAAACCCTGCCTCTACTAAAAGTACAAAAATTAGCCGGGCATGGTGACAGGCACCTGTAATTCCAGCTACTCAGAAGGCTGAGGCAGCAGAATCACTTGAACCCGGGAGCCAGAGGTTGCAGTGAGCCAAGATCGCGCCACTGCACTCCAGCCTGGGCAACAAGTGCAATACTCGGTCTCCAAAAAAAAAAAAAAATTCCTGAGGGTGAGAAAACTCACTGCAATCAAGACCATCCAAAATTCAAATAAGCGCTTTAGTGTCACTGAACTGCATCCATAGTTTATTTTTACCCAACCCTGATCTGAAACAGACTTCAGGAGACTATTAGACAAAACACAGGTTAGCATAAATTCAACCAGAAATAAAAACATGAAAATAGGGAAACAAAATGAAGCTATTAAAAAGGTACAAGCTTAGCTCTAAATTTCCAGATGTCAATAGGAAAAAAGAAACCTAGTGAACAATTACAGCACCCAGGTAATAAAAACAGACTAAAAGCTTAGACAAACATACAATTATTCTTGGCTGCACATCTTTCTCCCTGAGGTCTTTATAAAGAAGGCATTGCAGAATACAGAGAATATCCTCAACAATATTTCAGTAATCACAATGAAATGTTTTATGAGGTTATTTTTATACTGAACTTCAAGATAAGCCTAGAGTAACGGTTGGGAGAAAAAAAAGAAAAAAAAAATTTCAGGGACAGAGAGAAAAAAAGAAAGGAAAAAAAAAAAAAACTTAGGAGAGAGAGACCTACATAATGTGGTCCAGGTACCCAGAACACTGCTGATTTAAGAGCACAATTAAGAGAATTTCTGGAAAAAAAATATTATTTTAACAAGTAGTTACTATATAGAAGTTTATAAGCACAGGACCCAGAAAACGAAAAGCAAATTTAGCAAAATGTGGAATGGGTCCAGGAATTAAACAAAATTGCAGGGAAAAAAAAACAACTCTAAGAGGGAAAAACAAAGAATATAAAAGAAAGAAGAGCAAGCACAACTCAGCAAGTACATTACATACATATGATAATTAAATGCTTTTATTTCTACATCTACAATTAAGAATTAAACATTAAGATATTTACGGAAGCATGCAGCTTCCTTCTTAATCCCATAATCAAGGAGATAAAATTTAAATTCCTGTACCTTCCACAGTGATGAAATATCATTGTTTAGTGACATCATATCAAACACAAGGTACTGCAGAATTTTCAAAGCAGTTATATGTCCACTGTACCAAGAAAGGAAGATATGTGAAATATTTCATGAAAATTTTCCAAGAAGAGTTTAAAACAAAAAGGGTAAGAGTTTTTAAACCAGACATAAAATCAGTCAACCATAAAAATTAATTTAAAAAACTCTCTCTAAAGTCTCATTTAGCAATATAGTTTACTGTCAAGCATAATACAATGATAAACATACAATTTGCTAAACATTCAACAACATAGAAAAATTAATCATTCTATAGCTATCATGTACCAACGACACAGAATGGATCACTGTTTCTCCTCTGGGAGGTGGGAAAGAAAAAAACAATTGAATTCTTAGTGAAGAAAGGGATTATAATTTCCACAGAACTATCCACTTGTAATTTAAGCAACATCATTTAAAAACAGCTCATTCCAACAGTCTCCTCTACTAAATATTTTCATCAGGGCTACCTAGACGAAACCTAGCCCACCACTCTATCTTGGGCAAAAGAGTAAAATACAGACCAGCTACTGGAAGGGTGGGGGGAGCCAAAATTCACCAGCTGGGTCAAGTTCCTGAAGAATTAACTAACTACATTCTAGGATTCATTTCTCAGCATCAAAGAACAACTTTTTCTTCTTCTTTTTAAATTAAAGCAATGCCTCCATTCTCATTGTCTGGTCAACTGCTGAAAACCTTTAAAACACTCAGAAGATCAACAAACACTTGGCTAAATAAATACCAGCCTTAAGAGTCAACCCGGTGATCTTGCTCAACAAGAACTTTAAAGTATTTATGCTTTACTGGTGGTTTTAGTTTAAATACAATTTTTTTTTTTTTTTGAGACGGAGTTTCGCTCGTTGCCTAGGCTGGAGAGCAATGGTGCGATCTCAGCTCACCGCAACCTCCGCCTCTCACGTTCAAGCGATTCTCCTGCCTCAGCCTCCAGAGCAGCTGGATGTAGAGGCGTGTGCCACCACGCCCAGCTAATTTTGTATTTTTAGTAGAGACGGGGTTTCTCCATGTTGGTCAAACTGGTCTCGAACTCTCAACCTCAAGTGATCCGCCCGCCTCAGCCTCCCAAAGTGCTGGGTGGGATTACAGGAGTGAGCCACCGTGCCCGGCCCTAAATACAATTACAATGTGCAAAAAGAGCATGTACTTCAGAGTACTTTCAGTACCCAAATATGATCTAACGCATGAAAATTCAACTTTTTAAAGTATCAGTTGATTTAATTGCAAGAGGATTCAACTGATCCCAAAATGTTTCCTAAAAGCCATCCTTTGGCTGTTCTTATACACTTCACACCCTTCCAAACCGTAAACCATTATGTGAGAAGAATGCTCAGAACTAAGTAGTGAATGAATGGCCTTAAGGTTTTTCCAAGTCATTAAACTATCCTACAGAATAAGAAAAATTCTCAGGTACTTTTATTTCATTGGTTTGTAACGCTTACCTACAACAGTACCAAAACTCAGAAATGTTTTCAATGCAACGTATCCTGAAAACAATAAGCTTATAGTGTCTAGGTGCTTTTCTGTTACTCAAAATAAGTGCATGCAATTTAAAATCCTTTAACTACAGTGTTTATTATACCTCTAAGCACAAAATATTTAACGTTAACCAAGATATTTTCAAAGCGGTGATTTAAACAGCAAAGTTAGTGGGGATAATGCCATGAATATTAGCAAGCTGAATTAAGCTACTAATCCATTTAAAGAAAGATGGGTTAAGGAAGAAGCAAGCCTCTGAAGCATTTGCTTTAAATCTAAATACAGAAGTGGACTTGAGCACAGTGAACTAACAAATGATAATAGAACTAGGTCTACAAGGAAGAAATTCAGCAAAAATTATCCATTTCTTCCTTCAAAATAGAAAAAAAAAGTTTCATTTCAGATACAATATCCATGCAGATAATATAAACAAAATTGGGAAACCAGAAAATTTACTTTTAAAAATCATAGCTGTCTCAACAACCAAACACTCCAGTGAAAATCTTCATCACCTTTTAATACAGTCAAGGAAACACCAATTCTTCCCACATATTCATCTTTTTCAGCCTTCTCTAGTAAGCCAGCCTCTAGCAAAGAGAAAATGAAAGATCTACTAGTCAATTATCCTGCCCCTCTTTTCCAACTCCTCATGCTCTCTCTCAAATCTGATATTCCTAAGGAGATAAATGCACTTATTTAACATGTATCTTTAAGTATGTTATAATATAGTACTGCTTTATTTAATTAAGTACATAGATGCTGAATTGGGAGTGACAGGAGTGAAACGTCTCTGTCTCCACCATGCCAATTTGGAGTGCCACCCATAAAAAGCTTATGTAAAATTTTCTCAAACCAACAGATTTAGAAAAACCAGTAAGATGAGGTGGGCGGATCACGAGGTCAGGAGTTTGAGGCCAGCCTGGTCGACATGGTGAAACTCAGTCTCTACTTAAGAAAAGAAAAAAGAAAAAAATTAGCCTGACTTGGTGGCGGGTGCCTGTAATCCCAGCTACTTAGGGAGGCTGAGGCCCGAGAATCACCTGAACCCAGGAGCCAGAGGCTTCAGTGAGCTGAGATCGCACTACTGCACTCCTGCACTCCAGCCTGGGCGACAGAGCGGAACTGTCTCAAAACAAAACAAAACAAAAAACAACAAAAAAAACAACCCAGTAAGAATTTATTCCAAATACATCAATACATTTAACTCAGCTTAACAAATCTGCTTAAAATGGGCTTTTTTTTTTTTTAATAGGAAGAGAGTCAGGTTGTGAAACTAGACTGTGCTTGAAGGCGATGTATTAAATATTCTGAAGCATTTTCTAATTGTCAGTCCTTAAAATGTAAGAAAATCTCAAGTGTTAAAATTGAAGACTGGGTGTGCTCTCTGCTGAAAGTTCAATCAAAAGCAACTGTAATTTCCTACAAAGGTAACTAGGTCAACTCAGCATTTGTCCCTGCTTACTGGAAACAACAAAATCTCAACAATCAGGCCATTAACTTATCATGTCCTATATATAGTTTCAAAAGAAATCTAAATTCACTCTTAAAGAGGTACTAGTACAATTTTACACATAAGATGTCTCCTAGTTATTTTTCTTAGACTTCAAAAGGAAATTACCACCATTTAGACTACAACAATACAACCCTACAGCAAAAATATCTTCCCCTTCTTCACTAGCATGTATATGCACTCATCTACCCAACATCAGGGAAAAAACAAACAGAACCTAGACACCTATGTACAAAGAATCACATTCTCTCCATAATGGCGATTCATTCATTCTTCCTTGTGCCAACATTTCTCAAGAATGCTATCATGCATGAGGTCTACTCACAGGGGTACATGACGCTGCTCGGGATCAGCTCTGGTCAGTTCTTCCTCTTCAATATCAGACTCCCCTCCTGAACTACTGTCAGTGACATCTGAATCAAATGCCTGTTCACTGCACCTCAAGTTGGCTATGCCACTAGCTGTAAATCTCTCCAATTCTTCTGAAATTGAATTGCTTTTCAGAAAGTTGCTAAGTCCCTCTGAAGTGGTGGTCTCACTGGCAGCTTTTCTCAAGGCAGCTTCAGCCTTTCGAGTCAGCATCAACTGGCTCCGTGGTCTCAAGGATTCCAAGTTTGGCAGTTTGCTCAAAGTCTTCTCCAAAAATCCACCCAGCTGATGTTGTATATGCCTCTCAACCTGCTTGGCTTGCACAACCTGTAAGCGCTTTTGTAATCTGCGGGCACGGCTCTCAATGTCAGCCTGTCGCCGCAGTAAAGCTGTTATCCTTGTGTCAGAATCTAAAGCACTGAAAAGAATGGAAGACAGGGGAGACTTTTTACCCTCCAATTTGACACCCCCCAAGTTAGAGCTGGAGTCTGTACCAGGTGATAACCTACTGCTTCCTTGAAGTGCCGGCTGTTCCATGGAATTGACAGAAGATTTGTTTGCAGTGCTATTATTGCTATACAAAGTTGTGTGTTCTACATCAAGGCTTCTATGTGGAAGAGTGCAATTGGTCATACCCCCCTTCAAGTCCCCAGATTCAGATCCTCCCATTTCACCCCCATGAAGAGCAGATGAAGTGAGAGCCCGTTTTCCCCCATTGAGGGAAGTGGAATTGTCATGATCAGAATGTGTTGAACTTTTAGTCAATTTCTTAGCCAACCCATTTACAGGTGCTTGTGGCAGAGCTGTCTGACCACTCGTATTCATGGTTCTAAGATTTTCTAAGGAAAACTCCAAAACTGGCTGTCTCCCCAACAGCTCAGCTCGGAGTTCATAGGACTGAGATAAGAGAGGATGAGATTTAAGGACTGTCTGCTTGCTGAAGACCCCTTGCAACTTCAAAGACTCCTTTGAGGGAACAGATGTTACATCAGAGCAGAGATAAGATGCCACCAGTGGTTGCAGCTTTCCCAAGTCTTCCTTGGTAGGATTATTTCGGAAATCTAGGCTGGGATCCTCTGCAGCAATGGCTTTTCTTTTGGTTCCGTTGGCAGCAATAAGGATGTTGGCGTTGCCGTTATTTTCGGCACTGCCAGGGGACAAGGTAGAGGATGGGGGAGCCAGTTTGAACCGGATATGGTGTGCTTCAGCTGCTGCGTCAGTGAGAGCGGGCGCCATCGCAGCCATTCAGCACAGAGAGACAGGAAGTCCAGCCTCTCCCGATGCCGAGGCCGAGGCCAGCTCCACGGCCCCTTACTGCCTCCCCAGAGAACAGACTAGAAGAGAAAGGAGAAAAGAGTATTAGAAATACAAGCACTTTTAAAAACATGTATATTTTTAACAAAAGCACTACTTGAGGCTGTTGTCTAAACTGCCTCCAGAAAGAAAACACTCTGGAGCTAACTGTACCACAGTTATTCTAGAGACCCAAATATCTTTCATCTGGGAGAAAGGGGGAGGCAAAATCCCTGCACAAGAGAAGGAAGAATTGCACCCTTCTTGTCATTTGTTACCACAGATTGAAAGGTGCCAAAACACAAGTTCGATTCAGAGAAAATCACAGATTGTTAAAATTAAATCATCTCCATTAAAAAAAAAATCTCTTTAAGCTTGTTGAAATAAATGGATTTAAAGCAAGACACATCAAACTAAGCAATAATTAAACAGAAAAAAATTAGTAAGGAATTCCCGTGTTCACTAAAAAAAGTATGCCAAATATCACAGGTCTGTGCATTTTTCTGGCCAGGGAATCCAGTTTTCATCAGCTTCTCACTTCTCTAGAAGTACAGATTATACTACAAAGCTAACTGTACCACATCTGTAATACCAACTTGTTTCATCAGTTTTCTTTTCTTTCAGATCAAAGTGGTCATCAATATCTTCTCTACTGGCTTCTTCCTCTCAGCCTAGGAATTTACTCAAGTATCTTCTGCCCTCAGTACAGCCTCTCTCTCATACTTAATTGCCCAAATATCTCTCTTTCCCTTTACCCCAAAACTTCTCTAAGAATAGTATAAATAACTGTCTCTGCACTCTTCACTCTTCCATAATCTGGATTTCACCCCCTACTGCTCTGGCAAAGGTGACCAGTAATCTTATTATCAAATCCAATGGTCAAACCTCAGTCCCCATTCTATCTGACTTCTCTGAACCACTGGACAATACCGACCTTCTTCTAATTCTTTCCTGATGTCCTTGTACTATCATCCTCTTCTCTTCCTCCTGGACCCTTAAATGCTGGTGCTGCACAAGGTCCCTTCTGCCCTCTTCTCTCTCAACAACCACTAGTATGGTAAGGTTTCTTAACCATAAGAAAAACTTCTGAGCTGCACTAATCAAGATTCCTATACCTCTATGTTCCTCAAGCCCCCTGAAGCTCAGAATTCACTTTCTCCTTCCAGCACACTATTCCGCATCCTGTTTCATTACCTTAAGTAATGACACTGCTTTTATTTAGTAACCAAGCTAAAAATCTCAGTCATTTGCCTCTGTTTGATCCCCCTTGATCTATGTGGTCTGGGAGCCAAAGGAAACATACGTAAAGAACTAAGCCAGTTGTTATTTAAAGTGTGGTCTCTGGACTTCTGGGGATCTCACAGGCTATTTTGGAGGTTCGTGAAATCAAAGGTATTTTCATAGCAATACTAGAATATTATCTGCCTTTTACACTGTGTTGACATTTGCAATCAGAGTACAAAAACAAAGGTGAACAAAACTGCTGGTACATTATTAGCACAAATCAAGGAAGAGGCACCAAACTATACTAATAGTCATTATACTCTCCACTCAGTTTTTCTTTTTTTAAGGGAGTTCCACTTAAGATGTCCTTGATGAACAGCAAAAATTATGAATTATCTTGAGCCTTTAGTGCATTTTTTAAAAATATTCTTTGTGATGAAAGGGAAAGCATGCATAAAGCACTCTGCTGCTTTATGAATTCTCAGGAAAAAGCACAGTACAACTGAGTTGCAAAATGAACTAGAGCTTTGTTCATGGAACACGATTTTTACTTGGCAGAACTACTGACAAACATTATTTGAAACCTGCTTCACTAGCAGACATTTCCTTGCAAATGAACAAAGTGAACCTGTCACTTCAAGGAAGACCACTGACGATATTTGCTGCCAATAATAAAATCTGAATTTTTTAGGCAAAGATTAGTGTTTTTGAAAACTTGTATCAACAATCATGAACTTAAACATTTTCCCAATATTTTATTTGGTGGATGTGGATGTGTGTGTGTGTTTAACAGAGTCTCGCTCTGTCGCCACGCTGGAGTGCAGTGGTATGATCTCAGCTCACTGTAACCTCTGCCTCCTGGGTTCAAGTGATTCTCCTGCCTCAGCCTCCCGTGTAGCTGGGACTACAGGCACATGCCACCACGCCTGGCTAATTTTTGTATTTTTAGTAGAGACAGGGTTTCACCATGTTGGCCAGGATGGTCGCAATCTCCTGACCTCATGATCCGCCCACCTCGGCCTTCCAAAGTGCTGGGATTACAGGCCTAAGCTGCCACATTCGGACTTTCTGAATATTTTAAAAGCCATTTCTGATTTAACAGACTTGTGACGATATTAATGAATGTGAATTTTTGATTGCATATAATGTAATGTGTAACATTTGGAAGATCTGCATAACCCAGTGAACAATAAAATGTCCAGTGAATGTCAGGAAATCATGCATGGGTAAAAAGTTTAAGTGCAAGACAAATCATTTATTTGTTGCTGTTATTTTGAAACAGGGTCTAGCTCTGTCACCCAAGCTAGAGTGCAGTGGCACAATCATGGCTCACTGAAGCCTCAACCTCCTGGGCTCAAGTGATCCTCCTGCATCAGCCTCCTAGTAGCTGGGACTATAGGTGTGTGCCACCATTCCCGGCTAATTTTTTGAATTTTTGTAGAGATGGAATTTCATTTTGTTGCCCAGGCTGCTATCAAACTCCCAGCTTCAGCCTTCCAAACTCCTGGGATTATAGGCATAAGCCGCCATGCCCAGCCTGAATTACTTATTAAATATTTTTTAAATTTCTCAAAGTTTATAAGAAAAACAATTTATTTGCTGTTCTCAACAAATTTTAAGAGTTAAAAAAGGCTCCTGAGACCAAAATGCTTGTGAAATCACTGGACTAAGCACCCCGCTCCCTACCCCAAATGAGGGCAATCTCCAATTTAATCAAAAATGCTTACCTTTGGAGCAATACCAACACAGGATGGTAGGCCCTACAGGACCACAGTAAGCTTCTTTATAGTATGACAATTTGAATCATTAACATAAAAATACTCAAATAAATGACTGAGAAAACATTATTCATAAAAGCACCAATATACATATGGGTCGAATCTGTCTTATTGCTGTGTGTGTGTGTGTGTGTGTGTGTGTGTGTGTGTGTGTGTGTGTGTGTGTGTGTGTTTCTGAGATGTAGTCTCGCTCTGTCGCCCAGGCTGGAGTGCAGTGGCGTGATCTCGGCTCACTGCAACCTCCGCCTCCTGTGTTGGAGTGATTCTCCTGCTTCAGCCTCCCGAGTAGCTGGGACTTCAGGCATGTGTCACCATGCCCAGATAATTTTTGTATTTTTAATGGAGATGGAGTTTCACCACGTTGGCCAAGCTGGTCTCAAACTCCTGACCTCAGGTGATCCGCTTGCCTCAGCATCCCAAAGTGCTAGGATTACAGGTGTGATCCACTGTGCCTGGCCTCATATAATTATTAACACCAAAAGTTTCTTGTTCCAGGGTTGTATTTTAACCAACACTCTTTATGAACTAGATTTTCAGGGCTTATGTAGTTTTCTCCTGTGGGCTTTCTGGCATATGGCATTCTGTGTGGCACAAATTATTCTATGTTGTCTTTTCCCATTTCTAACTTTAAATATAATACTAATTCCTAATATATTATTAAACATTGTGTTACAGACCAGTTGACAGTACTAATTCCTGTTATTAAACATTGTGTTACAGACCAGTTGACAGCTGGACCAATATAGTTGTTAAAAATATTTTGAGTCACTTTTATAATATGCAAAGGGTTTTTCCCATGGACAAACAAAAATCACTACCAGATAATTCCCATCAATTCAATCTCCTCCCCTTTTGAATGTCAATATGTAGTTGATATGAGCAATGCAAGGAGGCATATTATCAGTGCCAGATGATTAATACAACATGTGAAGAGTAATTGTACCCTACTGCCTGACAGCACTACAGTAAGACTTAGCAAGGGCAGGAAACAGCTTCCCTCTGAGGACCCAAGCAAGGGCACAAATATGCTTTATGACTTACATAAAACTTAGGAAAACCCAGGCTCACTCCAGCACAAATGAAAAAGAGGGTCATAATTAACATCACATCACAGAAGGTGCTTAAGTAGTAAACTTCTCAAAGTTATTCTGAGATTATTCAATTCTTTAAAGCTTACAACTTTAAGAAAAAATGCCGGCTTAAATCCCATCTACTCCAGCTGGGCACAGTGGCTCACGCCTGTAATCCCAGCATTTTGGGAGGCCGAGGCAGGCGTATCACCTGAGGTCAGGAGTTCAAGACCAGCCTGGTCAACATGGTGAAACCCTGTCTCTACTAAAAATACAAAAATCAGCTGAGTGTGGCGGCGAGCGCCTGTAATCCCAGCTACCTGAGAGGCTGAGACATGAGAATCACCTGAACCCAGGCAGCAGAGGTTGCAATTAGCCAAGATTGCACCACTGCACTCCAGCCGGGGCAACAAGAGCAAGACTCCATCTTAAAAAAAAAAAAAAAAAAAATCCCATCTACTCCAAGACTTCTCTGAAATGATGTCTATGAACTTGACATTAACATATACACTTCAAAGACAATAGTTTATTTGATTTGCACTTTATCCTTGGTCTCAATATCCCCATAGGATACACAGCATAGTGTAGTTACTAAAACAATCATCTAAGTAAGGGGGTGGGGGAGGAGAGAGAGTGCAGAGAACAGGAAAAAGTGACCACTTTTTCTGAAAAAATTCCCATTCCTAATTCCTAAATCTTGAGATTTCTATACCAAAGAAATACCATTTATTGACTTGACATACCTTTATTGACTTGAAATACTATGCTAAGATTCAACATTACTCCCAGAGATATTCATAAGTAAGAGGAGCACTGACTCAAGTGAGCAAATCTCAGTTCCCATCCTGGCTCCACCTCCTGTAGGTTACCTAACTATTCTGTTCTTTAAGTCTCCTCATCTACAAGTAACAGAGCCTTCCCGACAAGGATGCTATGATGATGAAATAAGATACTTTCAATTACTTGGCCACGTACCTGGAGCAACCACCCAGTATTATTTGCACTTTTATTACACTGGAAACAAAAAGGAAACATAGAAGGAATGAATTTCCATGGCTTTTTAATGCACAGGAAAAAATGCACCTAGTTTGCAATTAGCTACAATTGCCATAAACCACCACCTAAGTTTAGTACTTTAATCTTTTCCCTGTTATGTCTAGACTTACTTTTAATATTTCATGATGTTGTTTATAATAAAAAGAAAACTGAATGCCAAAAACTCGGTTAAATTATTAAATATCCATACAATGGAATACTGTGCAACCCTAAGTGTGGCAGAGCTATATTTACTAACATAGAAAAGTGCTTGCTTCATTATTAAATGAAAAAAAGTTACAAAACAAAACACAGTATCATCTCAATTTTGCTTTAAAAAGTCATTGGTAAGATTCTTTTGTCTTTTGTTCCTTGGCTTATGTAAAGTCTCCACCATAAACATGTATTACTTCTATAATAAAATGGAGAGAAACAAAAAGAAAACAATGGAAATTCTTAAAGAGCCAATAACTAAGTAAAACAAAATCACAGTAACATTCTTTTTTTTTTTTTTAAGAGATGGAGTCTCGCTCTGTCACCCAGGCTGGAGAGCAGTGGCGTGATCTAAGCTCACTGCAAGCTCCACCTCCCGGGTTCACGCCATTCTCCTGCCTCAGCCTCCCCAGTAGCTGGAACTACAGGCGTCCGCCACCACGCCCAGCTAGTTTTTTGTATTTTTAGTAGAGACAGGGTTTCACCATGTTAGCCAGGATGGTCTCCATCTCCTGACCTCGTGATCTGCCCACCTTGGCCTCCCAAAGTGCTGGGATTACAGGCATGAGCCACCACGCCCGGCCCATAGTAACATTCTTAAATTTAATATACAGAGCAAAACAATGATTCCTATCCCACTTGACCCCTACAAAATTCAAAAAGCTTCAATCTTCGACAATGTAAAGCAGGGAAAGACTGTCAAATTTAAGCAGTTCTTAGAGAAGCTCAGGGCTAAAGGAAAAAAAAACGAAAAACAAAAAAAGGAAGCAGTTCTACACAAACAGCACAACAGCCTATCTGATAAATCATCTTTCTCCAAAGAATACAAAGCCTTAAAAGCTATAATTAACTGATTAATCCTCATAACAACCTGGGCAGTAGAATTAGGGCTGAGATTATAATTTCTAATTTACCGGTAGGGATAAAGTCAGACTGTACATTCAGAATAAAAATTCAAGCCCCAAATATCCCAATTTTTAGTTCATTCAGTTAGTAAACTATAATCTGACAAATACAGATGGAGCTGCTACACCTGCTGTCACTCACACAAATTGAGATTCTGCAGTAAGCTTGTACAGATAAAAGAAAAGGCTACCTATTCAAGGTCATTTAGCTATAAAAGGTTGGGCTAGATAATCAATAGTTTCTCTCTCAGTTTCAAAGAAGTATTTTAGGGTCTGGAAGATGTTAAATACACTCAGCAAGCAAATACATTTCGGAAAAACTTCCCAGATGGAGACTCACAACGTATTGCATCATACTGAATATGCAAATGTTTACCTTTACCAAACTTTTTTAACAAGCACCTTTTTCCATTACATCTATTAATATCAAGCAGAAACATCATTGTGAGAAATACAAGTTGGGATAAAGTTCAAATATGTGACCTCTAGGGTCCCTTCCTATGTTAATTCTATTATTCTAAATTGCACCATCAGTCCAAGGACAAACTTCTACCTAACACAAGTGGCACTTGGGAAGCAAAAATATACTTCTAGGATAGAGTTTCTCAACCTAACCACTAACTGACATCTCACGATGAGTAATCTATCACAGGGGGCTATCCTGGCAGTAGCATGTTTAGCAACATCTCTGTTTTCCACCCACTAGATGCTAGTAGTGCCCTTCTGAAAATTATGACAATCAAAAATGTCTCCAGACATGTCAAATATGGGAGCTGGGGGGTTCAACATCACACCTCCCAACAGAGAACCATATCCTAAAGATTATACACACACATATATATACTCTTTCAAAAGCAAAACGTATCCAGCTGCTTCAAATACTGTAAGTCAAAACTAACTCCACACCCACAAATGAAAACCTCATTTATTCCCAGTCAATTTCCAAGACAAGACTCCAGATACACAAGAATAACCTGGAAGCATCCACCTTGCAAAAATATTTAGCTGCAGAGAACAAAGGGGAAGGAATAGGTCATCCAGGTGGCCAACAAGACAAGTATTACAACCACACTTGCACTGAAAGCAAAAGCAAAAATCAGATGGGGAAGAAAAGTTTGCCCATAATGTGGCTTCTACTAACCTCTTCCTTCACCATTACCTCATTTCTCTACACAAAGGACGGAAAGAAACAGCAGGAAGGATGATTAGGGAAGTGTCCATGAAGTTGCCGCAATTTTAGCTGAGACTTGAAAATTAGCTAAAATGTCATTATGCAAAAGGCTAGGACAAGAGAATGGTAATGTGGCATTCTAGTGAGAGGAAATGGCATAAGAAAAGGCAACGCTGTGTGGGAAAAGGCGACATTCTGAAGGTTAAAAGAAATGAACAATTTGGGCCGGGCGCAGTGACTCATGCCTATAATCCCAGGACTTTGGGAGGCTGAGGCGGGTAGATCACCTGAGATCAGGAGACCAGCCTGGCCAACATGGCGAAACCCCATCTCTACTAAAATTACCAAAAATTAGCCGGGTGTGGAGGCGCGCACCTGTACTCCCAGCTACTTGGAAGACTGAGACAGGATAATTGCTTGAACCCAGGAGGCAGAGGTTGCAGTGAGCTGAGATCGGGCCACTGCACTCCAGCTTGGGTAACAAGAGCGAGACTCCATCTTAAAAAAAAAAAAAAATTAACAATTTGCTTAAAACACAAAGCACATTTTAATAGAGGAAATAGTAGAATGAAGGTGGAAAGGCAGTTTGAAGCCAGATCCTTAACGGACAGCCTTTAATAGCCTTAATTCAGACTTAAAGACAGTAGAGGGGCCAGGCACAGTGGCTCACGCCTGCAATCCCCGCACTTTGGGAGGCTGAGGCGGGTGGATCACCTGAGGTCAGGAGTTTGAAACCAGCCTGGCCAACGTGGTGAAAACCCGCCTCTAATAAAAATACAAAAAAATCAGCTGGGTGTGGTGGCGGGCACCTGTAATCCCAGCTGCTCGGGAAGCTGTGGTAGGAGAATCGCTGGAACCCGAGCGGCAGAGGTTGCAGTGAGCCGAGATCGCACCATTGCACTCCAGCCTGGGTGACAAAAGTGAGACTCCATCTCAAAAAAAGAAATAAATAATAAAAATAAAAATAAAAAATTTAGCCGGGCATGATGGCAGATGCCTGTAGTCCCAGCTACTAGGGAGGCTGAGGCATGAGAATCACTTGAAACCAGGAGGCAGAGGCTGCAATGAGCTAAGATTGAGCCACTGCATTTCAGCCAGGGCGACAAAGAGAGGCTCTGTCTCAAAAACAAAAACAAACAAACAAAGACAGCAGAGGCCAGGTGCAGCGGCTCAGACATGTAATCCCAGCACTCTGGGAGGCCAAGGCAAAAGGATTGCTTGAGGCCAGGAGTTTGAGACCAGCCTGGTCAACATAGCGAGATCGAGTCTCTGAAAAATAAAAAGTATATACATATATATATGCACACACATATATATGTATATGTATATATAAAATAATGACAGCAGAGTATCATTAAACACTTTTTAAATGGGAGTGAAACATCAGACTGTGCTTTAGAGAGATCAGTTGGGTAGGATGGATTCAAAGTAAGTAAAAAGGCATCTATAGATGGCAAAGACCAATAAAAAAGCTACCACAATAATCCAGATATGATGCAATGAGAACTTCAACCAGAAAATAATAGTCAAAGTCTCTACCAAAGCTTAAATCCAGAAATGTGAAGGGGCCAGTCTAACAAAAAGGCCAAATATATGACAAACAAAAACATGATGGCTTATAAAGAATGGAAAGAAAGCTCTCTTTTCCTTCATAATTTCATCTCCTTTGTGACGAAATCCTTCTTTTCTCACGAAGCTTTTCAGGTTTGGTATGTCCTCTCTATACTTCTAACACTATCAGTCTAGCCCAGGTCCTCATCAGCTCCTGTCTAGATTATCACAACAGCTTCCTGACTAGTGCCTCAGTGCCCCAAACTATCCTTTACCTTTTTATCATCTCACTTTCCTACTCTGAACAAGTTCCTCACACTTTTTTTTTTTTTGAGACAAAGTCTCGCTCTTGTCCCCCAGGCTGGAGTGCGATGGCGCGATCTCCGCTCACTGCAACCTCCGCCTCCCAGGTTCAAACGATTCTCCTACCACAGCCTCCCGAGCAGCTGGGATTACCGGTGCCTGCCACCACACCCAGCTAATTTTTTTGTAATTTTAGTAGAGATGGGGTTTCACCACGTTGGCCAGGCTGGTTTCGAACTCCTGACCTCAGGTGATCCACCCGCCTCGGCCTCCCAAAGTGCTGGAATTACAGGCATGAGCCACCACACCCAGCCCTCACACCTTTTTAATGAGTTCAAATTCTTCAAGATGAAACTTAACGTCAGGGCAAGCACATCAATTGATACGGACCCAGAACTCCCCACAGATTCCCAACTCCGTATCTTTGCCTATGTTGCTACCTCTACCTGGAAGGTCCTTCTTCTACTTTTTTTTTTTTGTCCCCAAACTTACTAATTTTTCAATACATAGCATCTCCACAAAAACTTCTTAGACTCTTCCAATTCATATCACTTTCTTCCTGCTTGAATTGTATAATGCACTTAAAGTCACTGTCATTCAGTTCAAATTATCTGAATTTTCCCTAATTGTTAACTAATTCTATTTCCAAGACAAGCAAAATTCCTTAACAGCACCCTTCTTTAGCGTGCTAACTTTATCGAGAGCTTGGTACATAGTAAGTGCTGTAAGCCCTAAGTGACTGGACTAGAGAAGTCCAAAAGGCCTCGTGGGGGTTGCCCTCAAGTGTAAGATTTTACTAAGAAGAGAAAAAGGAGGAAACACGAATCAAAAAATTGACACAATCAAAATAATGGGAAAGACGTGGGGCATGATCCACAAAACAACTTGCATGAATCAGGTGGTATATGTACAGCTTCTCAAGAGAAAGAGAGGAAAAGAACAGTGATTTGTGATGAAGTACTGCAAGCTACATTATGGAATGCACTGCAAAGTATTTATTTTACATATAAACAAAAGTAGATTTGTTGTGGAATACAATGGGGAAGGAGAGACAAAATTTTTACTATAAAACAAAGAGATAATGTGTGTCACCCACAAGACCATTATCAATTTCCTTGGCCAACAGGGCTTCTTAGCTGAAAAAGCTTTATATTACTAAAGGAATCATTCCTGAGTGCAGGATAGGTTATTACAAATGTTGTTCACTAACATTAATTAGCGTTTTACTATGTCAATCACTATGCTAAGTATCTTACATATATTCTCTTAATCTTCACAATAACAATGTAAGGTAAGTACTACTGTCCTCATTTTATAGATGCTCAAAGAAGTTAAGTAATTTGCCCATGATCACACAACTATGAAGTTGCAGGGGCAGGATCCATAATGCTAAAGCCGATGCTTTTAACTACTACACTAGATAGTTTAAGGCTTAAACTGAAACGGTCTTAACTGCCTGACAGTAAATTCTGAATTTTAGTCTTTAGAGGAAAGTCAGTCAAAGAACACCAACTACCTACTGAGTATCTCCAATAAATATTAAAATGCCTAGAGTATTCAAAGCACCACAGTAAGTACATACAAGGATGACAAGCAGCAGTAAAGAGAGACACTACTGTGTGATTTGGGGGACGGAGGCAATCCTCATACAGGCTGAGAAGTAGGCGGAGTCAGAAAATGCTTTTCAGAAAAAAGAACATCCAGGCTGAAACCTAAAGAATGAGTAGGAGCTGGGTGCAGTGGCAGGCGCCTGTATTTCCAGTTACTCAGGAGGCAGGAGGATGGCTTCAGGCAAGGAGTTCAAGGCCAGCCTAGGCAACATAGCCCCCATCTAAAAAAGCCACCCAAACAAAAACACTAATTTTTTTTTTTAAATGATGGCCTACCATGGTAGCTCACACTTATAAGCCCAGCACCTTGGGAGGCCAAGGCAGGAGGATCGCCTGAGCCCAGGAGGAGTTTGAGACTAGCCTAGACAACACACTGAGACCCAGTCTCTAAAAAAATAATAATTAGCTGGGCATAGTGGGAGGGTCACTTGAGCCTGGCGGGTGGAGGTCGCAGTGAGCTGTTATCACGCCACTGCACTCCAGCCTGGGTTACAGAGCAAGATTCTGTCTCAAAAGAAGGAAAAGAGGAGAGGGGAGGGGAGAGGAGAGAGGAGACAGGGGAGAGAGGAGAGGAGGTGAGAGAAGAAAAGGAGGGAAAGAAGGAAGGAGGGAGGGAAGGAAGGGAAGGAGTAGGGCCGGGAGAGGTGGCTCACGCCTGTAATTCCAGCACTTTGGGAGGCCAAGGCAGGAAGATCACTTGAGGTCAGGAGTTTGAGACCAGCCTGGCCAACACAGTGAAACCCCGTCTTTGCCTGTAATCCCAGCTATTCAGAAGGCTGAGGTACAAGAATCACCTGAATCTGGGAGGCAGCGGCTGCAGTGAGCTGAGATGGCACCACTGCACTCCAGCGTAGGCGACAGAATGAGACTGTCTCCAAAAAAACAAAAAGAAAGAAATGAGTAGAATTCAGCATTGCCTATACAACTACTTCAAGCATCCCATATTCAAAACCCATTCCCTGCCCCAACACCAAATCCAAAACTTCCTCCTGCTCCTCAACATTGTCTATTTGAGTTAATCATGACCTCAAATCACCAACTTACTTTTTACCATAAATATTTAATTTAAACATCTACTAAATGCCAGATACAAGATAGTAAAATATAAATTAGGTGTGAAGGTAGCCTAGCTTGATAAAGTACTGTATTTCACCTGAAGGGGTCAAGGAAGGCTTCTAGAAAAGATGACATACTGACTGAATTTTGAAAGGTCCGAGGTGGTGCACAGAGGGTGAGGGTTGGCAACACACAGAATGACAGGCACATTCATTCCATCCTTGGTGCCAATGCCCTAGTGCAGAACCTCATTATGTACTATAGTAATTCAGGCAGTAATAATCTCCCAACTATTCTCCCTTCTTCCTGTCTCAGCAAGCCTCTAATCTAGCGTCCACTACCAAAATGATTATTAGAAAGGGAAGAAAAAAGGAAAGGAGGGGGTAAACCTAAATCTAACCATTTAAAATCTTTCACTGACTCTAGAGTAAGGATGAGTCCAAATTCCCCACACACCATTATCTGTCCCCTTTTTACATTAGACCTCATCTCCAGCCTGTCCTCACTGCAGCCACCTGAAACATATGTTTCCTGGCTCTTCTATGCCCCTGCACCTTTACTCATGCTACTCTTTCACGGTTCAGCTCAAGGTTACATGCTCTTTCAAGTATTCCCCATTACTCCCAGGTTGAGGTGGGGTCCCTCCCTCTAGGCTCTTACCTGCACCCCCATGACACCCTGGCTATTGCTCATGGTACAATATAAACTCACAATTTTGTCTTGTCTCTTTCTTCCCCAGAGTATGTACTTTTTTTTTTTTTTGAAACAGAGCCTCTCATTGTCACCCGGGCTGGAGTGCAGCGGCACAATATTGGCTCACTGCAACCTCCACCTCCTGAGTTCAAGCGTTTCTCCTGCCTCAGCCTCCTGAGTAGCTGGGATTACAGGCACCCGCCACCACATCTAGCTAATTTTTTGTCTTTTTTAGTAGAGACAGGGTTTCACCATGTTGGCCTAGCCTGACCTCGTGATTCGCCAGCCTCGGCCTCCCAAAGTGCTGAGATTACAGGCATGAGCCGCCACGCCTGGCCAACTATGTACTTCTTAAAAAAGGAGGGTTATAGCTTGTTTTATCTCTGTCCCCTACAAGCAGCACAATGCCTGGCAGACAGCAGACCACACCACGTTAAGCAACCTGAGCATTCTATGCTAAACCCATCAGATGAAGATCCATTAGGACGTTAATGGGGATGTCTGAAGTGATCAACCACCTAACAAGAAGAGGCATCAACTGAACCTAGGATAGGCTTCACCCACTACAAGTTCCAGTTATTTACTTGACCAAGCACCTGTACCCAGACTAGGAAACTTTTTAACTACACTTTTTAAGCTATTATTAAATGTGGTTACACAGCATTATAAAGGTAATAGCCATCAAAATCACAAATGTAATTGCTCAAACTTTTACCCAGCAACTGCACTTCTAGAAATCTATTCAACAGAAATATTCTCATAGGTACTCAAAGATGTATACACAATGCTTTCACTAAAGAACTGGAATACAAAAAAAAAAACCCTAATTAAAAAGATCAAGCCATATAACAAGTATGATCCCATTAAACATATATATATATACACATATATATACACACACATATATATACACACATACACATACACACACACACACACACGGATAGGCTAGGCCCCATGGCTCATGCCTGTAATACCAGCTACTCTAGAAGTCAAGGTGGGAGGACTGCTTGAGCCCAGGAATTCAAGACCAGCCTAGACAACATAGCAAGATACCATCTCAAGAAAACTTTTTTTTCTGAAGGATGTCTATATATCAAACTATTAATGGTGTTAATCCTACTTCTATGCTAGCACTGAATTCAAATTTCCTACCACTCTTTAGCTGACAAAAGACAGAGGAAAAAAAATCATACTTTTTATCATATCTCTTTCCAACAAGCCCTAATGGTTGGTGTAAGTGCTCCTGAACAATCCTAAAATCAGCGACTTCTGGAAGATTTTAAGAATTCTAAAGGAGGCCGGGCGCGGTGGCTCACGCCTGTAATACCAGCACTTTGGGAGGCCGAGACGGGTGGATCACAAGGTCAGGAGATCGAGACCATCCTGGCTAACACAGTGAAACCCCGTCTCTACTAAAATGCAAAAAAAAAAAAAAATTAGCTGAGCATGATGGCGGGCACCTGTAGTTCCAGCTACTCGGGAGGCTGAGGCAGGAGAATGGCATGAACCCAGGAGGCAGAGCTTGCAGTGAGCTGAGATCCCGCCACTGCACCTCCAGCCTTGGGGACAGAGCGAGACTGTGTCTCAAAAAAAAAAAAAAAAGAATTCTAAAGGAAACAGGTTATTCTGGGAGGGTCCATGGCCAAATTCCTGAGTTCCCACTGAAACCTACCTTATACCTTTAGAGAAAAGTCAATTAATGACTTTTAAAAGTACATTTTTCCAATGCCAATAAAATGTTAAGTCAATACTAATATCCACTTTTCATTCTCTTGGGAGGCAAGGGGTAAGGGGTAAATCACCAAGTGCAAAAAAATACAGTCCAATTTTTTGGAGACATGCTTAAGGTCTTCAAAGAGCTTCAGTTCTCCATGGTAACATACGGAGAGTTTAATGAAACTTTCCTGACAGTTCAACTTATCAGACTGGTATTTCTTTTTTCTTTTTTTTGAGACGAAGTCTCTCTCTGTCGCCCAGGCTGGAGTGCAGTGGTGCGATCTCGGCTCACTACAACCTCCGCCTCCAGGTTCAAGCAATTCTCCTGCCTCAGCCTCTTGAGTAGCTGGGACTACAGGCATGCGCCACCATGTCCAGCTAATTTTTGCTGTTTTTTTTTTAGTAGAGACAGGGTTTCACCATGTTAAGCCAGGCTGGTCTCAAACTCCTGACCTCAGGTGATCCGCCTCGGCCTCCCAAGGTGCTGGGATTACAGGCATGAGCCACCACACCCAGCCCAGGCTGGTATTTCTATGAAGTGTCTCTCCTATACTAGAAACCAGAAACTAGCTACAGTACTTAGCTTTGAGCCTCTTTCCCTTCACACCCTCTGGTGGAGGTGCTAACAAACAGTCACAAAGGCCAAATAACAAGCAGCAAGAGGAAAGTCTAGATATGAGTTCTTAGCAATTTTTGGTTTAACATCCTAACAACAAAATTGTTATTCCTCTTTTTTATTCCCTAATACTTACCTTCCAACTGAATTTAACCAAGTCTAACCTTAAGCTCTCCCCTTTTTAAAAAGGAATTAAAAGGTGAGGGACTCCATTAAGTTTGCTGTCACTCAAGCAACTTTTTCCAAATAAGAGCAGAATCTGCTGTAATTAAAATTCAGAGTAAGATCTCATTTTGGATTCCTGGTTCAGGTTACAAGAACCAGAGTTTTTAAAATAACATTTAGATAAAACTGCACTCAATCTACCTCCACTTTGCATTTCCTGACCCTCAAAATCTTGGAAAGAAACTTTAATTCTAAAAAAATTACAGCCAGGAAAAAAAAGGGCAAGTTCACAGTCAGCAACAATAAAATACACAGCTAAATAATTTCCTGGTAGAGGGCTTTCAAATGTTAACACTGTGGAAGCAGCTTAAAATCTTGGAAAAGCAAGGCTTGCAGAAAGTAACATTTATTAAACAACTATTTTGCCGCATTGTGCTACTAAATGGGGAAGGTCTACTCTATTTAAAAGGTCTCTTCCACCTTAAAGGGACTCTTTGCATAAAGGTTTAAAATCTTCATATAAAATGTTTGATTTTTTCTTTCAGACTGCCCAAACTCATTTGTTTTTGATTCATAAACATGAGCTGTGTTTTCTACTTTGGTCAAGTCAGTTTCCGCACTCTATTTTAGCTTTACCTTTATTCTACCAAAGACAAGAAAATGCTTGATAAAGAAAAATATATATTGCAGCTCTTTTTGGAGTCCAAGTATTTTGGTAAATCACACCTTTTGGCTTATTTTCTCCTATGTATTTTGTTCTACATCCTAAAAGGCACATGGCTTAAAAAAGAAACAAATAATAATAGTTACCCCCTCCCATACTAGTCATCTCCTATGACCCACAATCCTCCCCTCAATCTGCAAGTGACACCCAAGGATATCACTTACCTCCTATATCTTCTGATAGCCTTCAAACGCTGGTGAACTCTAGTACAGTGGATATTTGTCTTTTCTAATTCATACTGTCTTCTACAGCCATAGTGTGGTTCAACTGAGTTTTGATCTCACATTTCAGGGAATGGGAAGTACTGATGAGGGAATCTTATCTTGTCATATAAACTATTGTTCTGCACAACTTTTAGTATGCCCAGAGGTATATACGCAACTTATCAGCATAGAAACTGTAATTTAAACATACATCTTCAGAAGCAACATGAGAACTAAAAAAGTCTTAAAATAGACTTCCAAGAAACAGTTATGAAGTCCAATTTTAGGAAAAAGACATGATCCAAGTGTTCTTTGCACTGACACAGTAGGCAAGCCAGGTGTCTGGGGCCATTTTACTTAAGAACCTGCCCTGTACTCCTTTCTTAAGGTAAGTAAGTAAAGAGGCACTAAGGTAAAATACGCTTCCCAAGACGTAGACTAATCAAATCACTCAAGGCAGGAACATTTAAAATGAAGAAAGAGTACAACGAAAGCTGCTTTAAAACTCTAAATAAGACAAGCAAGGGGCCAGGCCCGGTGGCTCACGCTTATAATCCTAGCACTTTGGGAGGCTGAGGTGGGTGGATCACCTGAGGTCCGGAGTTCAACACCAGCCTGGCCAACATGGCAAAACCCCACCTATACTAAAAATAGAAAAAAATTAGCCAGGCGTGGTGGTGGGCACCTGTAATGCCAGCTACCCAGGAGGCTGAGGTAGGAGAATCGCTAGAACCCTAGGGGTGGAGGTTGCAGCGAGCCAAGATCGCGCCACTGCACTCCAGCCTGGGCAACAGAGCAAAGATTGTCTCAAAAAAAAAAAAAAAAAAAAAAAAAAAGACAAGCAAGGTTATATGCTCCCGTTGCTCAACCTACTCAGGAGGCTAAGGCAGGAAGATCACTTGAGCCCCGGAGTTCAGGCACTCTAAACTGTAGCACACAATGATTACATCTGTGCACGCCAACCTGGGAATCACAGCGAGACCCCGAGACCTCGTCTCTAAAATGAAAAAGAAACAAAATCTCTAAACCACTCAATAAGATTTACTCTGGGGCAATCAACAGACAACCACTTATTCAGTTTACCCTAGTCCCTCCCCTCTAAACTCAAGGAATGGAACGGAGAGGTCCTTTGTTGGGGGGTGGAGAGGGACAATAAAACTATATACATCTATCTAGCAAGAAAGTCGCTTATTTCTGTGTCTTAATGGACTCACCAAGAAGAAAAAAATAGCCCCTACCCATCTCCCCACAAGCTGAAAAAACATAAAAGGAATACGCATTACTCTTTAAACATGGCGTTTACTATGTTTAGAAAATCCAGTGTGGATTAGTTTGGTGTTTTATAGCACATTTTAAAAATTGCTTGTCTAGGCTAGGCATAGTGGCTCATGCCTGTAATTCCGGCACTTCTGGGAGGCCGAGGCAGGTGGATCACTTGAGGTCAGGAGTTCGAGACCAGCCTGGCCAACATGGTGAAACCCCCGTCTCTACTAAAAATACAAAACTTAGCTGGGCATGGTGGCACACGCCTGTAGTCCCAATGGCACATGCCTGTAGTCCCTGCTACTCAGGCTGCTGAGGCACGAGAATCGCTTGAACCTGGGAGGCGGAGACTGCAATGAGCTGAGATGGCACCACTGCACTCCAGCATGGGCGACAGAACGAGACCCTGCCTCAAAAAAAAAAAAAAAAAAAAAAAAATTGCTTGCCTGATATAACAAGGTAACTAAGCTTTACTCGCAAAGGGGCCTAATCAGAACCTCTCAATACTAAAATACCTTCTCAAACAACCACAACACCCCTATGTTTACAGAGTACACAAATCAGGTCATAACGAACAGAACAAACCTAAAACTTCTTATTCACTTTAAAATGCAATTAAAACCTGTGGTCAACTCAATCCTCTACAGAAGACGCAGAGACACTGGTTACAATGTAGCATTACTAGAGATGGAAGAGTAGCCTTAGTGACAGTGAAGAAAAAAGTTTAGTATAGTTACTTCACTTTCTTCTCACCTTGATATGGGTTCACAAGTGAACTAAGGCCTACTCATTTTCTAACTTCCAGAATTTTCCTCAACAGGAAACACTCACGTAACAAAGAGTGCTCTGCAGGTTTAACCAGAGAAATAACATGTGTAGGCAGGAAGAAAGAAAATCAGACAAAAATTTAACATCTCACGTTGGTAAAGCACCAAAGTCAAATACGAATGTTCTGAACGTGGCTTTCAGAAAAGATGCAAGAAAACTTCTAAAATACTTCACTTCAGTAGACTCATATAGATGGAAAGACCGAAAATCCCACCCTACCACAAAGGCTCTAATAATTCTTAACTGATCATTCTTTTAACTGGTCACAATCACAGACACTGGTATATACTCAAATGAGGTGGCCATCAGTGACAACCATCTTCACCATAATATAGACATTAAGAACCTTTGTAACATTTAATGTTTCCCTCCAAGTAGTTCAAAAAATAAAAAGTCAATCACCTCAAATTATGAGGTACTAACAAATACACCAAATATGCTAAAGGTCGAAGGAACGGCACACTTTGTTGCATAAACCTAGTGGAAATCCAATTCAGAATTTCATGACTGAAGGTAGTTATTCCACATTTATAATACATTTTTTAAATTCCCAAGGGATGAGCATTTTTACCTTGCCTTATTTTTAGAACTACACATCACACTGCACATATCACATGACATGATGTAACTGTTAGCAAAGAAAATGGTCCAAACCATTGACAATGTACATGGTAAATCAGGATCAATGCATACTCAAGAACCACATTTCGTATTTACTTTAAAAAAAAAGTTTCTTAATTCAAAATGTTTTTTCAAATTGAAAAAATGTCTAGTAACCTATGTAGAAAAAACCAGAAATGTACTTTGTATTTTATAAAATAGGAGTTTACCCAATTATGGGAAAAACTGATATAAAGAAACAGATAAAGGAATAACATACTTCTAAAACTACAGGATTAAAAGTAAAAATTTTCTAGATCAACACCGAAATGCTAATAAATACACTTAGCATTAGGCACAAAACAATTACTACTCAAAAGTATTCACTGTTGATAGGTTAAAAAAATAGTTTTAACTGACAACGCCTGTAGACAATTGAAATTTTCTAAATTGGTCAGACAGCATGCTAGAAAAGGAACCAAGTAGAGCCTATAGGAAAGGGGAAAGGGAAAACACACCCACTTAAGCCTTTGTAAATAGTGGTCCTTTAACTGACCCAAAAAGCAGAGAAAACAGAAATTACAGACCATCCTGACAAATGGAAAACATATTCTAACGTACTAGTTTCCATACTTGAAAGGACTTTCAAAATGAAGTTCAGTAGCAATCTATAACTATATCATGATTATGCAAGGCAAAGATTATGTAATTTTATCGTTTATTTTAAAATGTTCTCCGACTCTAAAACTAAAACAAGTAAAACGTTTTGATCTCTCCAAAGCGAAAAGGAAAGGTTCCTCTGAGCTGCAATTTAAAAATATAAACACACACCCCAAAACAAACAAAAAAACACAATGATTGCTAGCCACGTGACAAAGGAGATGGCAACACCAGGATTGTGAATGGAGGGGAGGGAGGCGAGGCTGGAGGAAGAGAGATTTCTCGGAACTTTGGGGACCGCGGCAGTCGGTCTGCCGACCCTAGGAGCACTAAACTCCAGCCCCTACGAGTTGTGCTTCTAACACCCTCAAGTACAGTTTTATTAATAAGTCACAGAAAATGCTCCAGTGACCTCCAGGATAAAGGGGGGTGGGGGGGACCGAGGAAAAGGAAAGAGAGCAATTTAAAGTGGCGCCATCATGTCACCCCTTCTCCCCTACAGCAATCAGTAAGCAATAGTTAAGTAGCACGTTTCTCTATAAATCCACATCGGGATTCCAACATTGGAAAACGAGGATTTTTAAGTAAGACACGGGAGTAGCGTTGTTTATCGTATGGAAAACAAACTATTTGCTAAGAATCAAAAGACCGTCAGCCGGAAAACAGGCCCCCAAAAAGGCAGTTAAGATTCCAACTCACTTAAAAGCAAATAAATCCCTCTTCCTCTTTAGTTTAAAAAAAAAAAAAAAAGTCCGCCTGAGGGAGACTACATCTGAAAACGTAAGTAACCTGAATTTACAGGCAACAAAAATAATAAATGAAACAATCAGAGTTGTGATACAAACCGTGCAACGCGCCAAGATGTGTGTTTCGAGCAGAGAAAGGCCTTTTGCAGTCAAGAGAAGTTCAAGGCGAGAGCCAGAGTTTGTTTGGGGGGTTCTTTTACGGGAATAAATCATGTTCTTCAGGCCGCCTTTTTAAATAGAACGCCAAAGGAAAAGCTGGCGAACGAGGCGGCAGCTCCAGGGGAAGGGCCCCCGCACACCCCCGCCCTTGGGGCGACTCCCAGCCCGGACCCGCAGCAGGGAAGCCCGGAGAGGCCATTTAAAGTTCCGGGGGTTTTTTCTACCCTGCCCTGCCTTTCTAGTTACAACTAACAAAGAGAGAGAGAAATGGGAGCCACAGGGAGAGCGAGGAGAAGGAGAAAGGGCAGCAGGAGGAGGAGGAGAGGAGCAGCAGCAGCACCTACCACGTGATGGAGGAGCGTAGCCCGGGCGGATTCAGCCCCACAAAATGGGCGCAGTTTGCAAACAGCCCCCCGGCCTGGGCGCCGAGGGCCAGCGGCGGGCGGGGTCGCGCGACGGCGGCTCCGGCCCGGGCCCGCCGCTCTCCTCCCCCCGACGCCCGGAGCCGCCCTGACTTTCCGGGCGGGGGGGCGAGGCAGAGGGGGAGGGGAAGGCGGCGGCGGGGAGCGGCTGCTTTTTCTTCTCTTTCGGGCCCTTTCCCGGCCTTGCTCCGCACCGACGGGGCCCGAGCACGGCTGGAGACCGCAGCCCAGCCGGGAGGGCGGGCGGGCGGGCGGGGGCAGAGAGTGAAACCGCCCCCCCGCCCCGCACAAACAAGCACCGCCGTCTGCAGCCCGAACCCGCACCCAGGCCGCCACCCCCGGCCGCCTCTTTCCAGCCGGGGAGCGCGCTTCAGCCGCCCCCCGCGCCGCCGCGGCGAGACGAGTCGGCTTCGCTACGGTGCTCGGTTCTCCCGCCGGCTCGGCGAGCGGTGGCGGCGGTGGCGGCGGCGGCGGCGGCACTGGGAAAATGGCGGCCGAGCTCCTTTTCCCTCCCCCCCTTTAATCTGAAGCGGAGGGAGAATGGAGCGAGCGAGCGAGCGGGCGAGCGCCGGGGACACGGGGAGGAGGGACAGCAGCGCCTCCGCCGGCTGCGGCTGCGGCGGCGAAGGGCCGCTCCACCCCGGCGCGCCGCCAGGGGGCGCCCGCCGCGTCGCCCCCGCGGGCCGCCAGGAGGCGCGGCCGCCGCCGCCTCAGTCATGGCTCCTCGCCGTGGCCGATGTTTTTGTACCTCCATCTGCGGAGGCCGCGGCGCCCGGCCCCAGCTGCCCCGGACGTGCGGCGACGGCACGCAGCACTGCGGCAGGGGGAAGCCAGCCCTCGCTGCGGCCGAGGTGAGTCTAACCTGAGGCACTGACGCCGTCACATGCCCTCCGTGCTGAGGCCGGCGGTGCGGCTCGCCAGTTGAGGGGCAGGGCGGGCCGGCGCCGCGGAGCGAGAGGACGTGAGCGAGGAACTGTTTGCACTGTGTAGTAAAGAGGGTAAGGCCGTCGGCACCACACTATTCCAAGGCTAACCCTGCAGAAAGCTCCCTGACCAGTGAAGCGGCTTCCGCCGCCCGCCCTTTGTCCCTAGCAGCCAGCCTCCGTATACTGCAGCACGGCTGGGCACTAGCCCCAGCACCGCGCTCCGCAGCCACCAGAGTTGGGCGGGGTGGGGGGGGTGCACGTAGTCACTGCGCAGGCCCCAGCCAGGGCCCGCGCCGGGCCAGCCCGGGAAGGGACAGCCGGGAGCCAGAGGGGAAGTGATGGCCCCGCCGGCGCCGGGCCCGCTGGGAACTGTAGTTTTCGTGAAGAAACACGCGTCTTGTTTTGGGTGTCATGGCTTGGCAGATCCGCCAAAACAGGCAAATGGCATTACACAATGAGTATTTATGCTTCCTGCCGCCACCAAAAGGAAGTTCACTGCCATGCTAAAAGTTTAACAAAGAACTCCATAAAGAAACACAAGTCTCACAACAAAAAGCCAACTTCCCACCTCGTTACCAGAGTTGGTTTAAAGTGGTGGCACCTTATCATTTCTCATGACCAGTTTATCAGTACAGAACTTTATATTGTCCCCAAAATAGGACCTTTAAAATAATGGAACCTTTCCTAGACTTAAAGAATTCATAAACATAATGTAATACAAAGTGTCACACAAAGTGTAATTCTACCACCCTTTAAAGTTGCCAAAAGATGAGTGGAGTATCTTGAGATTTAAAAGACTAATCTAGGATTCATCAAAACTAGCTTAAATGACTGAAGAAAAAATCGTTCAAATCATTAAATCATCAAATTCGGCAGATAAGAAGGGTATGTATGCTCTACTACCAAAAAGGAAGACGCAAAATGCTTCACACTTTTTTGTGGCTTACCAGAACCAATATCCGGCATTATACGTCACTTCTGCTTATCAAAAAACACCCTCACAGTCGTTACAGAACGGTTTTAGTCTTCCCACAAAGTTACACTAACTCACCTGCCCCTGCAACATCTGCACCTAGGTTTCTGCGAGTTTCCATTTGTACTCCTAAAATCACACTCTCAAGCATAGTCATAGTTCTCAAATACCAAAGGCAGGCAGTTTGGAGTCATAGGGTCAAATTACACAAAGAATAAACTAATATTTGTATACACATCCAAAAGAGGTCTTTAGTCTTGGATTTTTAATTTACAACCCTGGGGAAAAACTTTGACTTTTTTATTGTACACACATACACACATAAATAGTAATTCCACAAAATACAGTAGAAGGGTATTGGACCAACAGATGGCGAACTAGAGCCCCAATCTGAGGCTCTTGAAATCTAAATTAGCAGAATGAAAAATACCAAATAAGGCAAAGCCCTTTGCAGCGTATACTTAAATATTAAATTCAGACACACCATAACAAAATAATCTTACTGCTGCTCCAAATTTTTAAGACTCAACTGTCAGATTTAATTAGGCAACCAAATAAGCAAGATTATATGAAATATATTTTTCTAATGGATTAGGAGAAAACTGGAAAATGCTCATTTTTAAAACCATGTATTTGGGGGAACTATAAATTCCAGTTTCCCCTTTCTCTCATTGCTTAGTGCAAGAGTCAAGAGTTCACAGGGTTTATGGCACTTAAATCAGTCAACCTGTTGTATATTCTTATCTAAAATCAGACATCTTTCTTATTAGGCATCAACTTGTACTTTTATTTTTTTGACAGGGTCCTGCTCGGTTGCCCAGGCTAGAGTGCAGTGGTGCAATCAAACTCACTGCAGCCTCCCAGGCTCAGGCGATCCTACCTCAGCCTCTTGAGTAGCTGGCACTACAGGCATATGCCACCATGCCCAGCTGTTATTTTTTTCACTCCTTTTTGTTTTGGTAGATACAGAGTCTCCCTATGTTGCCCAGGCTGGTCTCGAACTCCTGGACTCGAGTGCTGGCATTACAGGCATGAGCCACCACACAAAAATCTTATGAAGAGAAATAAATTTTCTTAAATTTCCCCCCAAAAAATAGTGGATGTCCAAAAGACTGATTGAAAACACCTACATACAAAATAAAACAAACAAACAAAAAAAGATTTAAAGAAAAAGGCCTGGTGCAGCAGCTCACTCCTGTAATCCCAGCACTTTGGGAGGGTGAGGTGGGAGGATCACTTGAGCTCCGGAGTTAGAGACCAGCCTGGGCAACAGAGTGAGACCCTATCTCTACAAAAAAAATTTTAAATTAGCCAAGTGTGGTAGCATGTGCTTACAGTCCCAGCTACTCCAGAAGCTGAGGGGATTGCTTGAGCCTGGGAGGTCAAGGCTGCAGTGAGTCATGATCATGCCATTGTAGTCCAACCTGGGCAACAGAGCGAGACCATCTCAAAATGAAAAGTGATAAAAAAATAAAAACACCAACATATTTCAAATCACTCTTGGAATAGTCATGTTGACTCTCCAATATCCACTCTATTCTGATTAGTTTTAACCCATTCTCTTTGCCAATGATTGGTTAGGAATGGCCATGAGATGTGAGTAGAAGCCCCCTGGACAGCCTCCAAAAGAGAACTGTGAGAAAAGGTTCTTCAATCCTAAAAATGATGGAGGAAAAAACAGTCCCTCTTCCTCAGACAGTGACACCTCAAACTGCTACAGTCACCTTTGCAGCAAGCCTGAAGATGCCACCAACATCAAAGGGAATAGAGAGTTGGTCCTTGGTGATAGCATTAAGCCACTGTATCAACCAATCCTGACAATTTGTATGACTTCTGGATTTCCAGCCACATTACAACAATGTAACAATAAACATTTATTAATTGCTTAAGCCAATTTGAGTTAGGTTCCTTATATAATAAATGAAGTCAAAAAACAATGATTGAGTTCTAATGTTTTTTAGTATTTGTATCTTACTTTATGATTACAGTATTTTATATAACTAATCTTATTATTTCTTCCTCAGAAAAGACATTCCATGGCCAGGCATGGTGGCTCACACCTATAATCCCAGCACTTTGAGAGGCCAATGTGAGAGTATTGCTTGAGCCCAGGAGTTTGAGAACAGCCCAGGGAAAACAGCAAAACTTCATCTCTTCAAAAAATAAATAATAAAAAAATTTAGCCGGGGGTGGTGGCATACACCTGTAGTCCAAGCTACTCAGAGGCTCAGGCAGGAGGATCACTTGAGCCCAGGAGGTCAAGGCTGCAGTGAACCATGATCACGCCACTGCAAACCACCCTGGGCAACAGAGCAACACCCTGTCTCCAAAAAAAGAAAAAGAAAGGAAGGGAGGAAGGAAAGAAAGAAAAAAGGAAAAGGTGTTCCCTCTTACACACAGCTCTGTACCCATCCATCTTTGTCTGTGTTCTCTCTACCTAGAAAAAGAGGACCATCCCTCATTACCACCATTCCTTGTTAATTCCTCTCTCCAATCCACCTACAACTCATGTTATCCTCTTATATTCCACCACACCACTGTTATCGTCTACTCACTTCACTTGACAATAATGTAGGCTGGGCGTGGTGGCTCATGCCTGTAATCCCAGCACTCCGGAAGGCCAAGGCAGGCAGATCACCTGAGGCCAGGAATTCGAGACCAGCCTGGCCAACATGGTGAAACCCCACCTCTACTAAAAATACAAAAAGTAGCCAAGCATGGTGGTGCACGCCTGTAGTTCCAGCTACTCGGGAGGCTGAGGCATGAGAATCACTTGAGCCCGGAAGGCAGAGGTTGCAGTGAGCCAAGATCACACCACTGCACTCCAGCCTAAGCGACAGAAGGAGACTGTGTCTCAAAAAAAGAACCAATAATGTACAGAGGTGGCACTACATTACCCTTGGTTAAATGCTGTCTGTAATTCCTCTGAGTTTGTTTTCATATACCAGTCTTGCCACCTCAAGCCAGCCTGAAAGCCCTTGCAGGCAGGAACTGTGGTTGTTCTAATTTAAGATCTGTAACTCTCATCTATAGATAATAAACGTATTCCAAAAAGGCACTCTCTACCTTCCCTGCCACATACCTTCTAAACAAGCCAGAAATTCCTAAACAGAATAATCTCACAAATTCAGTACCTCGTATGTCCAAACTAATCTCAAAAGGACAATGAATAACTTTTTTTGCACTTAAGAAAAAGCAATTATTATATATTAACTCAGGACAAGTTCTAAAGCCTAGGCCATTTAGTTTCAAAAGCACAGGGGCCCATTTTTTTGGTTACTTACCTAGGACCTAGCCCAGGGCCTGGCACAAAAGAGACACATCATAAGAACTGACTGAATAAATGAAAAAGGTAGAGTGTAGTACTTAAGCACACAGGACCTAGGTAGCCCGATTCTAATCCTGCCTCCCTCACTTATTCTTTGTGTTACTTTGGGCAAAGTACGTATTCTGCTCTGTAAAATGGAGGTAGTAATACCACCTACCTCTTAAGTTTAACTATTATTAGTGAATGAAGCTATTTTCCACAGTTCTAAACTTTAAAGGTTAAAATCTGAGTGAAGCAAAAATCAGCACCTCTTTCCTAATTCAAACTTCAAACACCTATCTACTTAGGACTTGGACCTACTTTAATTAAAAAAAAAAAAAAAAAAAAAAAGCCTGGATGTGGTGACTCACACCTGTAATTCTAGCACTTTGGGAGACCGAAGCAAGTGGATCACCTGAGGCCTGGAGTCTGAGACCAGCCTGGGCAACATGGTGAAACCCTGTCTCAACTAAAAATACAAAAATTAGCCTGGCATTGTGGCACATGCCTATAGTCCTAGCTACTTGGGAGGCTGAGGCAGGAGAATCACTTGAACCCACAAGGTGGAGGATGCAGTGAGCCAAGATCGCACCACTGCACTCCAACCTGAGTGACAGAGCGGGACTCTGTTTCAAAAACAAAATCCCTGTCTAGACTCTAGCAAACAATGTTTTCATTCATGAACTTAGATAACACTATATATAAAAATACTTTTAGCTCCCTAAAAACATATTCTGAGAATGATTATTTACAATCATAAATCTAATGCCACATTAAATACTTCAAATACATTTAATTCAACAAAAATCTAGTGAGTACCTATTAAGCTCAAGAATTTATTCTAGATATCACAGAAATGAACACACAAACCTATGTAAAAACCCATATTAAAATTATAAAAGAAACATCTTTAAGCTGAAACTGAGGCATGTTCTCACATTAATATTTAACCAGCTAAATATTAAATAGAAAGCCAGAGTCAACTAAACCAAAGTTAAGAAATTTAAGTCAAAAAATTTAGGATGTAGAAGGAATATGTTCAGCCGCCACATTTTATTAGTGTGAAAATGAGGCCAACAGAAAGAAGCCAGTTAAGAGATTGCCAAAGCGTCAAAGCCGGAATCAGGGTCTCTCAGTCTTCAATTCTCACTTTTCCCGCTTCTAATTCACCAGTGCTACTCAATTGGTGAACTGGATGTGCAAACATGCTAAAGGCATTAAACCTAAACCATACTACCTATTTCACAGTGTCACAAGTATAAAGATTTAGCCAAATGCAAGTAGAAGAAAATCCTCATACTGATTACAATGACTACAAAGCTCAGAAATCAAGATTTTTTTTCATTAAATGGAGGCCTTAACTGATTCAAAATATCATACAGTATTTTTATGTACTGACTGAATCCAGTAGAAACAAACTTTCAGTAAGATTAAACAAAAGCATTTCATAAATGGCAAAGTATTACAAGAATGCATAGCATTCCTTCATTTCAATCCAACCTAACAAGATATTTTCCTCCTCATACTACTGATACAAACTGCAGGATTTACATAAAGATATTATTTTGCCATCTCACCACAGAACTGACCCAATAATTCATACAAAAGAAAAACTAATTATTAGGCAGCCTCCTAATTTAACTGTGTTAGTAATGAGAACAATACTGTTGTAGGTTAAACCTAAATGTACTAGTAAGTCTAGAAATAATTTACTTTAGGATAATTCAGAAGACAACATTAAAGCTCAGCTGAATACAATTATATCACTGAAAGAAACAAGTCAGGTTCTCTCAGGCCATCAGCTCTTGTTAAAATCTAACACCCAAGATTGTTGGTCTTCTCCACAGTGGTGGATTTAATAGCAGCTACCAGCACTCATTTCTAGTGCAAGCAGTTTAAGCAGGATTTTATACGAACATTTTAATAAAGTTCCTCAATGAGTTTACACACACACACACACACACACACACACACACACACACACCCTGATTATTTTGGTGAATTTTAGTTAATTCTAATGTTTTTAACTTTAGTTTAGAATATTTTAAAATTCTCAAATAACTAGAATGTGTGAACGTTCAATGACCAAACATAGAAGGAGTATTCTAATATACTGATTTTGCAGATTAAGCAATCTACGCAGGACCCAAACTTTTTATCAGATAATAAAGCTGAGTGTCAGAATTTGGCCAAAATGTACCAAGAAACTACCTGAGTTCTTTTCCAAAGGAAACATAAAGGTAAATACGCAGAACTTCAAGGCAGCTGTGAGCAGCCAAGTTGTGGAGGGCCTGACAAAAGTGAGTCAGAAGGGAAAATGTTCAAAGAGAAAAGGAGGCAGCAGGTGTACAAGGCAAAACACACCTTAAAAAATGTCTTTATAGGCTGGGTGCGGTAGCTCATGCCTGTAATCCCAGCACTTTAGGAGGCCAAGGTGGGCAGATCACGAGATCCGGAGATCGAGACCATCCTGGCCAACATGGTGAAACTCCGTCTCTACTAAAAATACAAAAAATTAGCTGGGCATGGTGGGGGGCACCCGTAGTCCCAGCTACTCGGGAGGCTGAGGCAGCAGAATGGCATGAACCTGGGAGGCGGAGCTTGCAGCGAGCGGAGATCACGCCAGTGCACTCCAGCCTGGGCGACAGAGCGAAACTCTGTCTCAAAATATATATATATATATTTTTCTTTTTACGTCAGTTGCTGATTCTAAGTTATGATGCAACTTGTAAAATCTTGTTCTGATGGCATGGCAAACCTAGGGACTTTGGAAGATGGCAGACCTGTTTCCTCCAATGAAGCAGCATACCATTCTTGGAAAGGGAATTACTTTTTTTTTTTTTTGAGACACAGTCTCACTCTGCTGCCCAGGCTGCCAGGCTGGAGTGCATGGCAAAATCTGGGCTCACCGCAACCTCCACCTCCTGGGTTCAAGCGATTCTCCTACCTCAGCTGCCCAAGTAGGTGGGACTACAGGCGCGTACCACCATGCCCGGCTAATCTTTGTATTTTTAGTAGAGACGGAGTTTCGCCATGTTGGTCAGGCTGGTCTCAAAATCCTGACCTCAGGTGATCCGCCCATCTCAGCCTCCCAAAGTACTGGGATTACAGGCGTGAGCCACCACGCCCAGCCTAGAACATTATTTTTAACCCACTAATTCTTGGATTCTTGAACTTGTTTCTATGTACACTCAGGAACATACAGCTACAAACGGGAAGTAACCAAAGCCACTGAATATATGCAGGAGCAACTTTTTTGGAGTATCAATTTAATCAAGGATTATAGTAAAATCAGATGTACTTTTGTTAAAATAAACACAAATATATTACAGGTTGACCATCCCTAATCTGAAAATTCAAAACCCTCCAAAATCTGAAACTTTTTGAGTGCCAACATGACACCTCAAATGGAAAATTCCACACGTGACACCTTTGCTTCTGATGGTTCTCTGAACCATCAGAAACACTGTTTATTTCAAGAACAAAATTATTTTAAATTTTGTATAAAACTGGTCGGTTGTGGTAGCTCATGCCTGTAATCCTAACACTTTGGGAGACCAAGATGGGAGGATCATTTGAGCCCTGGAGTTCAAAACCAGCCTGGGCAACATAGTGAGACCCTATCTCTGAAAAAAAAAAAAAAAATTAAGTCCAGGTGCAGTGGCTCAGGCCTGTAATCCCAACACTGGAAAGCCATGGCAGGTGAATCACTTGAGCTCTGGAGTTCAAGACCGGCCTGGGCAATGTAGCAAAACCTATCTCTACCAAAAACACAAAAAATTAGCCAGGCATGGTGGCATGCACCTGTGGTCCCAGCTACACAGGAAGCCAAGGTGGGAGAATCACTTGAGCCTGGAAGGTGGAGGCTACAGTGAGCAGAGATGGCGCTACTGCACTCCAACCTGAGTAACAGAATCAGACCCCATCTCAAACAAAAAAATTAGCTGGGCTTGGCACCGTGCATCTGTACCAGTTAGTACCAGCTACCTGGGAGGCTGAGGCAGGAGAATGACTTGAGCCCAGGAGTTCTAGGCTGCTGTGAGCTAGGATCACATTACTGCACTCCAGCCTGGGCAACAGTATGAGACATCATCTCTTAAAGAAAAAGGTAAAAAAAGAAATTATCTTCAGGCTATGTGCATAATGTGTACATGAAACATAGAATTTCATGTTTAGATTTGGATCCCATCTCCAAGATAGTACATTATGTACATGCAAACATCCCAAAATCTGAAAAATCTGAAATCCAAAAAACTTCTGGTCCCAAGCATTTCGGATAAGGGATATTCAATGTATACAGAGCAAAAGGCAAAATTCTCACTGTTTCAAGATAGAAAAGGAGTCCTCAGAGAGAGATGTCCTGCTTGTAACAAACAGCTCCAAACAGCCCTAGACCCTGAAAAGTACTTTAAGGAAAGATAAAGAGGTACTGGTTTAGACCATTTATAGATAAATATGCATGGCTAAAACCCCTGAATGTAATCCTTCCAGGCAGAAGATAAAACCTGAAATCTAACGTATAAATTGTCATGGGTACAATATTATAAAAGAGACCATAAGTTACCGAGAACATGACTGGAATTCAGGAAATGCTAAAGGTCCTGTCTTATCTCTGTAACTCATTTACAAAGAAATCATGTATGATTTTCTCAACTGCAATCTTTTTTGTTTCTGAATTAGACTGACAAAAATTATAGAATATAATATTCAATATTTTCCACCATATTCCAAATTCTCACAATCACATTTAAACACAATTTTATCTAATGAAATGTGTCCCAAATGAACCAACTTTAACCAGCATCAGAAAAAATAAAATAAAATAGTTAAATGAAACTGTATCTTCTTTGGTATAAGAAGTCCTTCAGGCCAGACGTGGTGGCTCACATCTCTAATACTAGCACTTTGGGAGGCCGAGGCCAGTGGTTTGCTAGAACTCAGGAGTTCGAGACCAGCCTGGGCAACATGGTGAAAACCCGTCTCTACTAAAATACAAAAAATTAGCCAGGCGTGGTGGCATGCGCCTGTAGTCCCAGCTACTCGGGAGGCTGAAGCAGGAGAATTGCTTGAACCCGGCGGGAGGTAGAGGTTGCAGTGTCAGTGAGCTGAGATCGCGCCACTGCACTCCAGCCTGAACGACAGAGCAGACTCCGTCTCAAAAAAAAAGAAAGAAATCCTTCAGCACAGAGGGTAGGAAAAAACAACTACTCACACTTCCCAGAATACCTACCGTGGCAATACCAAAATACGACCATGCTTGTTAATATTTGGGCTACGGCATTAAATGTTTATAACATAACACAAACACTTGTAATCCAAATGTGAATGATTATCTTCAATTTTCAGTAAAATAAGACCCTATAAAAGCCCTACCATTAATACATATTCATTCATAAACATACTGAGTACCAGTGGATGTTAAACACTGTAGAATCTCTAAGGAAAGAATACTCCGTCACTTTATAAGCTATGTGGTAGTCAAGAAAAATCCTTTCTACTCATTGATACGTTAAATGATCAAAAAATCCAAAGCTAAAAAATGATCAGAGAACAATGAAAAAATTTTAGTGGCTTTATGCTTCCAATTCCATTTTCTTCTGGACTCTTTTCTGAAGCTTGCCTAAATCATCCCAGGAATGCTAAAATTGGGTGTTATTTATGGCATAACCAAAATGAAATAACAAAGTAAGTACCCCAAATAAAACTAGGAGAAAAAATCCAGGGAACCAAGCAGGCAGTAAGGATCTAAAGTTCTATACTTGGAACCTCTACCCTGAATGTTAAATAATAGATGTTTTTTAAATAGTTGACTACCAAGTGTGGTGGCATGTGCCTGTAATCCTAGCTACTTGGGAGGCTAAGGTGGAGAGACTACTTGAGCCTAGGAGTTCTAGACTAGTCTGGACAAATAGCAAGACCCTGTCTCACGGGTGGGGGAGCAGGGGAAGGCAACCAAGCTGGGTGTGCCATGTGCCTCTAGTCCCAGCTACTTGGGAGGCTGAGGCAGGAGGAGTGCTTGAAACCATAGGCCACTGTACTCCAGCCTAGGCAACATAGGAAGACCCTATCTCTAAAACAAACATAAACAAAAAGGCCGGGTGTGGTGGCTCACACCTGTAATCCCAGCACTTGAGGAGGCCGAGTTGGGAGGATCACTTGAGGTCAGGAGTTCGAGACCAGCCTGACCAACATGATAAAATTTTTGTATCTTTAGTCTCTACTAAAAACAAAAATTAGCTGAGTGTGGTGGCAGGGGCCTGTAATCCTAGCTACCTGGGAGGCTGAGGCATAAGAATCATTTGAACCTGGGAAGTGGAGGTTGCAGTGAGCGGAGATCACACCACTGCACTCCAGCCTGGGTAACAGAGCAAGACTCTATCTCAAAAAAACAAACAGTTATATCTTTAATTATTATCTTCATTCAGTAATTAGGCAATTAGAATTTACAATTGCTAAATGAATGTTCAAAGTTCAACCAAAATTAGTCCAAGATGAAGCCAAGAACACATCTCAACTCATTCAATAAAGCCATTATTACTCTGATGCCAAAACCAGACACAGATATCACAAGACAACTACAGACCAATATATCTTATGAATACAGATGTAAAAGTCCTCAACAAAGCAAAATGAATCCAGCAACATATTAAAAGGCTTATACACCATTGCTAAGTATGACTTAATCCCAGGGATTCAAGGTTGGCTTAACTTCTGAAAATCAATTAATGTAATACACCATATTAATAAAGGATACAAACCACATGATCATTTGAATAGATGCAGAAAAAGCACTTAACAAAATCCAACATGCTTTCATGATAAAAACACTCAACAAAGTAGAAATTGAAGAAAACATCTTCAATCTAATAAAAAATACCTATGGGGGAAAAAAAGAATACCTACAAAAACCCCATAGCTAAAATCATACTTAATGGAGAAAGCCTGAATGCTTTCTCCCTCAGGTCAAGAACAAAACAAGGATATCCACTCTTACCACTCTGTTTAACACTGCACTGAAGGTTACGGCCAGGGCAAATAGGCAAGAAAAAGAAATAAAAATCACTCAGGCTTAAAAAAAAGAAGGAAAACTACCTTTATTTGCAGATGATATAATCTTGTATATAGAAAATCCTAAGAAAATCCCACAAATAAACTATTAGAGCCAATAAACACATCCAACACAGTTACAGGATACAAGCTCAATATACAAGTAGTAATCGTATTTCTATACACAAGCAATAAGCAATCTGAACATGAAAAGTTTTTAAAAATTCCACTTACAATAGCATCCCCCCCCCCAAAAAAAAAAGACTTAGAAAGCCAAGCACAATGGCTCACACCTGTAATCCCAGCACTTTGGGAGGCCGAGGCAGGCGGATCACTTGAGGTCAGGAGTTCAAGACTAGCCTAGCCAACGTGGTGAAACCCCGTCTCTACTAAAATACAAAAATTAGTTGGGTGTGGTGGCAGGTGCCTGTAATCCCAGCTACTCAGGAGGCTGAGGCAGTGGAATCACTTGAACCCAGGAGGCGGAGGTTGCAATGAGCCGAGATCACACCACTGTACTTTAGCCTGGGTGACAGAATGAGACACTGTCTCAAAAAAAAAAAAAAAAAAAAAAGACTTAGAAATAAATTTAACAAAAGCAGTGACAATCTTATACTCTGAGATATATAAAAATTACAAAAGAAGTTAAAGAAATCCTAACTAAATGGAAAGGCCAGGTGTGATGGCTCACACCTGTAATCCCAGCACTTTGGTAGACTGAAGTGGGTGGGCTGCTTGAGCGCAGAAGTTCAGGATCAGACTAGGCAACATGGCAAGAACTCATCTCTACAAAAATACAAAAATGAGCTAGATGTGGTGGCATGCACCTGTAATCCTAGCTGCTTGGGGGGCTGAGGAGGGAAGATCACTTGAGCCTAGTAGGTTACAGCTGCAGTGAGCCATGATTGCATTACTGTACTTCACTGCAGCCTGGATGACAGAACAAGACTGTGTCCCCCCAAAAAAAAAAAAAAAAAAAAAGGAAAGACATCCCATGTTCATGGATGAGAATGGATCAGAAGATACAACTCTGTTAAAATGGCAATATTCCCTAAATTGATCTACAGAATCAATGTGATCTCAGCATACCCAAAAGAAATTTGAATAGGAAAAACAAAGTTGGGGGACTCACACTTCCTGATTTGAAAACATAATTCAAAGCTATGGAAATCAAGACAGTGTGGTAGTGGCATAAGGATAAACATACAGATCAATGGAATATAAGTGTGGGTTCAGAAATAAACCTTTACACTGACAGTCAATTGATTTTTTGACAAAAATGCCAAGACAATTCAGTGGAGGAAAGAATGGTCTTTTTAAGCCAAGTGCTGTAGCTGACACCTATAATCCCAGCATTTGGGGAGGCTAAGACAGGAGGATTGCTTGAGGCCAGGAGTTTGAGACTAGCCAGGGCAACAAAGCAAGACCCCCATCTCTACAAGAAACAAACAATGGTCTTTTCAACAAACCATGCTGGGACAACTGAATATTCACATGCAGTAGAATGAAGCTGGACCACTATATCTCACACCATACACAAAAATTAATTCTAATTAAATTTAAACATGGATTATAGACCTAAATGTAACAGCTAAAACAATAAAATTCCTAGAAGAAAACAAAGCTAATCTTCATTTCATTTGGTGGCCTGACATCAAAACCACATGCAACAAAGGAAAAAACAAGTAAATTTGGCTTCATCAGAATTATAACATTTTGTACATTAAAGGACACCATCAAGAAATTGAAAACACAACCCATAGATGGGAGAAAATATTTGCAAATCATGTATCTCACAAGGGATTTGTATCTAGTATATTTAAAGAACTCTTACAACTCAACAATAAAAAGAGAATCCAATTTTAAAATGGGCAAAGGCTGAGCATGGTGGCTCACACCAGAAGGAGAGGATCCCTTGAGGCAAGGATTTTGAGACCTGCCAGAGCAATATAGCAAGACCCTGTCTCTACAAAATAAATTAATAATAATAAAAAAAAACAATTAGCCAGGCATGGTGGCACACACCTGTAGTCCTAGCTACTCAGGAGCTTAAGGCAGAAGGAACCCTTGAGTCCAGGAGTTTGAAGTTCCAGAAACTATGATTGGGCCGGGTGCGGTGGCTCACGCCTGTAATCCTAGCACTTTGGGAGGCCAAGGCGGGTGGATCATGAGGTCAGGAGTTCAAGACCAACCTGGCCAAGATGGTGAAACCCCATCTCTACTAAAAATACAAAAATTAGCTGCGCGTGGTGGTGGGTGCCTCTAATCCCAGCTACTTGGGAGGCTGAGGCAGAGAATCACTTGAACCCAGGAGGCAGAGATTGCAGTGAGCCAAGATAGTGCCACTGAACTCCAGCCTGGGTGACAGAGCAAGACTCCATCTCCAAAAAAGAAAACTGCGATTGGCCACTGCACTCTAGCCAGAGTGACAGAGCAAGACCTAGCCTAAAAAACAATAGGTGTATAAAAATAAAATTAAAATGTGCAGAGAATTTAAATAGACATTTCTCCAAAGAAGATATATGAATGGCCAATAAGCACATGAAAAGATCTCATCAGGTTGAGCACAGGGGATCAGGCCTGTAATCCCAACACTTTGGGAGGCCAAGGTGCGGGGACTGCTTGAGCTCAGGAGTTTCAGACCAGCCTGGGCAACATGGTAAAACCCCATCTCTACAAAAAATACAAAAAGGCCAGGTACAGTGGCTCATGCCTTTAATCCCAGCACTTTGGGAGGCTGAGGCGGGTGGATCACCTGATGTCAAGAGTTTGAGACCAGCCTGGCCAACATGGTGAAACCCCGTCTCTACTAAAAAGACAAAAATTAGCCAGGTGTGATGGTAGGCGCCTGTAATACCAGCTACTGGGGAAGCTGAGGCAGGAGAATCACTTGAACCTAGGAGGCGGAGGTTACAGTGAGCCAAGATCACACCACTGCACTCCAACCTGGGTGAAAGAGCAAAAGTCCGTCTCAAAAAAAAAAAAAGTTTCAAAGTTAAAACAAAAATCTTGTTAAAGATAAATACACAAGATGCTAAAGAAATAATCTACTTCTTCAAGTCATGCTATCAATTTGCACCAAAATTTTCATTTCCTATGTGTAGGTGTTGAGGGTCTTGTACCCATGATAAATGACATACACCTGTTCTGGGCTGACTTTTGTTCCCCAAAAGAGATATATAGTACTCCAAGGGGCTGGGCACAGTGGCACATGCCTGTAATCCCAGCACTTTGGAAGGTCAAGGCCACAGCATCGCTTGAGCTCAGGAATTCAATATCAGCCTGGGCAACATGGCAAGACCCCGGCTCTACTAAAAATATAAAAAAATAGCCAGGTGTGGTAGTGCACACCTGTAGTCCCAGCTACCCGGGAAGCTGAGATGGGAGGATTGCTTGAGCCTGGGGTTTAGGGGGCTGGAGGTTGCAGTGATCCAAGTGCCACTGCACTCCAGCCTGGATGACAGAGGGAGACCCTGTCTCAAAAAAAAAAAAAAAAAAAGATATGTAGTACTCCTAACATTCAGCACCTCAGAACCTGATCTTAGAGACAGGATCTTCAGGCCAGGTGGCTTCCCTTCCTCTCCACGTCAGTCTGTCCCACCTCAGCTCAGCCCACCGGAGACGGAGGGTGCAGGAACCTGGAGGCGGAGGTTGCAGGAAGCCGAGATCCTGCAACTGCACTCCAGCCTGGGCAACACAGCAAGACTCCGTCTCAAAAAAAAAAAAAAACCTTACAACAAAATGATGCAGCCCGGGCGCAGTGGCTCACGCCTGTAATCCCAGCACTTTGGGAGGCCGAGTGGGGCGGATCATTTGAGGTCAGGAGTTCGAGACCAGCCTGGCCAACATGGTGAAATCCTATCTCAACTAAAAAAAAACCAAAAACTACAGAAATTAGCCAGGCGTGATGGCGCATGCCTGCAGTCTCAGCTGCTTGGGAGGCTGAGGCAGGAGAATTGCTTGAACCCGGGAGTCGGAGGTTGCAGTGAGCCAAGATTGCGCCGATTGCACTCCAGCCTGAGTGACAAGAGCAAAACTCCATCTCAAAAAAAAAAGAAAATGCAAAGTCACCTAAGAGACAGTTTAAATACATAAAAAGCTCGATGCCAAATAAAACTGGATGGGTCACTTGATAAGTGGGATTGATAAAAAGCAAGACAGCTGATATTATATAATTCTTATTTGCTTCGATATTTACTGGGGAAGGTAGAGGGGAAAAGCTATCTAAATTACTCTTAATAAGCATACAAATCTCTAATAGTGAATCAAATGCATCATTAAATATACTAAATTCCTCAAACTGATATGTCAGATGTCAGGTAGTCATGAAGACCCAAAATAGTCTCCATGGGTTTTTTGTTGTTGTTTTTTTGAGACAGAGTCTCACTCTGTTGCCCAGGCTGGAGTGCAGTGGCACCATCTCGACTCACTGCAACCTCTGTCTCCCGGGTTCAAGCCATTCTCCCCCCTCAGCCTCCCAAGTAGCTGGGATTACAGGCATGTGCCACCACATTTGGCTGATTTTTGTATTTTTAGTAGAGACAGGGTTTCACTATGTTACCCAGGCTGTTCTCAAACTCCTGACCTCAAGTGATTCACCCAACTCGGCCTCCCAAAGTGCTGGGATTTCAGGTGTGAGCCACCACGACCAGCCCCTTCTCTGTGTTTTAAAGGCATTTAAGTATAAATTATTAAACTGCAGGACAGAACATATTAGCTGACGGTCATATGAGTGACCTTCTCTAAATGCCAGGAGGATAGAATCCACTTTTCCTTTATCAATATTTTCCTTGCTCAACTTCTGGCATATTAGGTACTCAATAAGTATGTGCTGAACCAAAACGAACAAAAAAATGCTGTCATCAAAGTAACTTCCATCTACTCGAGTAGGCTGCAACTTCAAACTGCCCAAACTAGCAAATCTCTAATAAAGATGGGCTCAGAAGACATATCAGCATGAATAACCTTCTGAGGAAAAGACAACATGGATTCTAAAAGTGGACATCACACCACACCAGTTCACCCAAATTCTCTGAGAAAATAAATATGTGTGGCTGGGTGACGGTGGCTCATGCCTGTAATCCCAGCACTTTGGGAGGCTGAGGCGGGTGGATCATGAGGTCAGGAGATCGAGACCATCCTAGCCAACATGGTGAAACCCCAACTCTACTAAAAATACAAAAATTAGCTGGGTGTGGTGGTGAGCACCTGTAGTCATAGCTACTCGGGAGGCTGAGGCAGGAGAAACGCTTGAACCCGGGAGGCGGAGGTTGTAGTGAGCCGAGATCGCACCACTGCACTCCAGCCTGGGCAACAGAGTGAGACTCTGTCTCAAAAAAAAAAAAGAAAGAAAAGAAAAGAAATATGTGAATATAATTTATGTGAGCTTTCACAAAACTCTTGATAAGATTCTAAATTAAAGTTTTTTTTTAAAGACCTGAGTGGCCACAGGATGAGAACATTTACTGTAGACTGGACATAACTGAGACACAGAAAATTATAGGTAGATGCTGAGGTACTTCCCCAAATGAAGAAGTAAAAACAGAAGATTGAAAATTTTTTTAGAAATGCTATATTTAACATTTTAATATATTGTACAAAAAATATACAGAGAATTCCCCATTTTGCAGATGGGATGATGAGATTCCTAATAATGAAATACCACACGAGTTGGAAAAATAGGGAACGGAGTGATGGAAAGGGTTTCTAAATATATTAAACGAGAAACATTTGCAAAAACTAAGATTTATATTCAGCTTAGAGAATGCTTTGGCAAGTATAAAAGCTGTCTAAATATGTGAAGGGTTATCTAGCAGAAGACAAACCAGACTTGCTCTAAGCAGTTCCCATGTAGACAAAATTGGGCCCAAAGTGGCAATTCCAGAAGGGCACGCTTCAACTCAAGCTTTCTAACCATCAGACCTAACTAAAAAGGTGGTTCTTACCTTGGATTACCTCTAAGAGCCCACTGAGATATGAGTGTTAAAAAATTACATGCGAGGAAATGGCAGGTATGTTACAGCATGGACAAATGAAAAGTAAGGCATTTACAGGAAAAAAAATCTAAGCTATACTTAAAAGACTCATGCCTTCAAGTCAAAAAAGGAATTTTTGAATAATTATAGAATATTCCCTAAAGACAACGTGATGTTCTATGCAAAAAAAAAAAAAAAAAAAAAAAAGGGAGGGAGGGAGGACCAAATCCTATTGGGAAAAAACTGTAAATCAAGGGTACCCAATCATTTGGCTTCCCTGAGCCACACTGGAAGAATAGCTGTCTTGGGCCACACATAAAATACACTAAAGTAACAATAGCTGATGAGCTAAAAAAGAAAATCTTAAAAAAAATCTCATAATGTTTTAAGAAAGTTTACAGATTTGTGTTGGGCCACATTCAAAGCTGTCCTGGGCCGCATGCAGCCTGTGGGCCATGGGTCGGACAAGCTTGCTGTAAATAGAACATATTTTCTTATCCTTCTACCAAATCACAGTGTAGTTATAACTAAAATGCAGTTCTGAGTAGTTATCATAAATCCAGAAAGGGAAAGCAATGCTGACAAAGATCCTGGAAGGAGGTTTCACTGGAGATTAAATTAAAAAGTCAAGCATCTTCAGTTGAGAAACATGAAAGCAAAGGGGCAATGTGATCAAAATCAGAAAACGTATCAATGTGGTAAATACTAATTTATTCACCTTTTATGCTTGAAAAGTATTTCTTTCTATAACAGATAAAAGAAACTTGTGGATTGTGTTACCACAATCTACAAGTTAAAAATAGATTCAAGTGCTTGGATAAATGTATGTATATTAGGTCCATTCAGGTCCTACAGGATAGAAGTGCTATCAGACGTGAGGCCCTACATTTCTGAGGTTAACATCTTAACAGATAACAATGTTTCACCTGAAAACATCACTTGGTGCCAATTTAGACAGAACAATTGGTTGGACAGACCCCGGACAGACAGACTCAAGGAGGCTGGTTGGTATAGACTTCCTTCCATTCTTTTACCTCAGTATGTATGTGTGTGTAATATATACATACATATTATACTAGAACATATATACATTCCTTATCTTTATACACTTAGAATGCTCCTTATATAGCTCTGCACCCTGAATTTTTCATTTATCATTTACTCAACATCCTAAGACATTAAAAATTCTTTTTTTTTTTTTAGACAGAGACTTGCTCTGTCACCAGGCTGGAGTGCAGTGGCACCATCTCAGCTCACTGCAACCTCCAACTCCCTGGTCCAAGCAATTCTCCTGCCTCAGCCTCCTGAGTAGCTGGGATTTCAGGCACGTGCCACCACGCCCAGCTAATTTTTGTATTTTTAGTAGAGATGGGGTTTCACCATGTTGGCCAGGATGGTCTCGATCTCCTGACCTCATAATCCGCCCGCCTCGGCCTCCTGAAGTGCTGGAATTACGGGCATGAGCCACCGCACCCGGCCAGAAAAATTCTTTCAAATACTATTCCATGGTTGTAAATGTCCATCCTTAAATATACCATGATTTATTTTCCTATAAATCTTGCTGCTCATTTAGGTTTATTCTCAATTCTCACTAATATGAATAATGTTACAATGAACATCTTTGTTCACAAATCTTTCTATATATCTTAATTTTTCCCCTTTAGGATAAATTCCTAGATGTGCAATTACTGAATTAAAGAACGTTTTTAATTTTGCCAATATATGTTGCCAAAATATCTTTCAAAAAAACTAGGCCCAATGCACACTCCACTAGCAGTTTCAGAGATTGTCCCCTCACCACCTTCGACAGCACAGTCAACTGTAAATCTGATAGGTTAAAAAAAGAGTATGTCATTTAATCTGCATTCCTTTGATTACTTATCAGGATAAAAATGTTTCTCATATGCTTCTTGGTCATTTGTATTTCTTCCTTATGAACTCTGATCATGTTCTTTGCCAGCAAAACTTTTCTTTCTCTTGGCCGACAAACTTTCTGTGGAAAACCAGCTGAGATGGAATCATTTAAATATCAGCAACTGCAGCTCCCCCTGCTGACAGATAAATTACCACCACCATCAAGTGCCCAGTAAAAAAAAGTGAGCTAGAACCATACGCTTGCCTGTCTTCTGGGCTGCTGCTACAAATACAAATTATACACGGTAATAAAAAAGAAAATACTGTGTATCTAAACTCATACTTAACAGAGCTGTGATGGAGAAGGCAAGGGGGACAAGCGTTTTATTTGTTTTTTGTTGTTGTTGTTGTTGTTGTTGTTGTTTTTTGAGACGGAGTCTCGCTCTGTGGCCCAGGCTGGAGAGTAGTGGCGTGATCTCAGCTCACTGCAAGCTCCGCCTGCCGGGTTCACACCATTCTCCTGCCACAGCCTCCCGAGTAGCTGGGACTACAGGCACCCAACACCACGCCCGGCTAATTTTTTTTTTTTTTAATTTTTAGTAGAGACGGGGTTTCACCATGTTAGCCAGGATGGTCTTGATCTCCTGACCTCGTGATGGGCCCGCCTCGGCCTCCCAAAGTGCTGGGATTACAGGCGTGAGCCACCGTGCCCGGCCCAAACGTTTTCTAATGTGCAGGAACTAGGCGGGGTGCAGTGGCTCACACCTGTAATCCCAGTACTTTGTGGAGGCCGAGGTGGGTGGATCACCTGAGGTCAGGAGTTCAAGACCAGCCTGGCCAACATGGTGAAACCCTGTCTCTACTAAAAATATAACAATCAGCCGGGTGTGGTGGCACGTGCCTGTAGTCCGAGATACTCAGGAGGCTGAGGAACGAGGATTGCTTGAACCCAGGAGGTGGAGGTTGCAGTGAGCCGAGACTGCGCCACTGCACTCCAGCCTGGGCAACAGAGTGAGACTCCATTTAAAAAAAAAAAAACTAATATGCAAGAACTAATGTCACAAACAATTCTAAAAATCAATTCCCTGCCAAATATACTACCTGGCATATATAAACATCACAGGCCTAAATATTCATTTCCCTATACTTTAACTATGTGAAAACACTCTAAATTACCAAATGACACTGGGTGGTCAGCAAACTAGTTCTCTTTTTCCAAAAACAAAAACAACAAAAACACTTTTGCCCTTTAGCATTCAAAGAAAGAGTATTAAAAATCTTAATTCTTGGCAATCCTTATTCCAAAGTTGCTTGCACTTATCAGACTGGGACCAATAGATCCAAAGAGTAAGGCCAAGACTGGCAAATGCATGTGACTCTCAGCTTTTCCACTGATACCCTCCTAAAGATGCATGTCCCAAGTCCAGCAATACAGTCTTTAACACTCATTTACTAAGTGCCATCAAGAGCAAGCAGTGATGGCCGGGTATGGTGGCTCACGCCTGTAATGCCAGCACTTTGGGAGGCTGAGGGGGGTGGATCACCTGAGGTCAGGAGTTCGCGACCAGCCTGACCAACATGGTGACACCCTGTCTCTACTAAAAATACAAAAATTAGCTGGGCGTGGTGGCAGGCACCTGTAATCCCAGCTATTTGGGAGGCTGAGGCAGGAGAATCACTTCAACCTGGGAGGCAGAGGTTGCAGTGAGCCGAGATCGCGCCATTGCGCTCCAGCCTGGGCAACAAAGAGCGAAATTCCGTCTCAAAAAAAAAAAAAGAAACAAAAACAGCAAGCAGTGAGGATAAAAGACAAGAGCAAGTCCTCACTCTCAAAGAACCTAGACACTAGCTGGGTTCAAAGTGGAGCAAACCAGCAATCAGTACAATAGAAGTGCTAGGTCTGCATATGCACACTCACATGCACACACACTAACAGTTTCAGAGATTGTCCCCTTACCACCTTTGACAGCACAGTCAACTGCAAATCTGATAGGTAAAAAATAGTATGTCATTTAATCTGCATTCCTTTGATTATTTATCAGAATAAAAATGTTTCTCATATGCCTCTTGGTCATTTGTATTTCTTTATGAACTCTGATCATAAAGTGATAATACCTGGGTCCAGAGGAAGCACTCAGTGTCAGCTACTGTTATTACTATTATCACTACTGTTATTTTGTTTTAAGGCTAATCAAGTGAAGCAGTGGGAGTGGAGAAGGAACAAAGAAATCTGTAACTGGCTGTGATCAATTAATAGTAAACACCAATATACTTGGACCAGCCACTACTGTTATTAAAGACTAGGGGGAGTAAGTTTCCAGAACAGGGTAGAGTCCATCTTAAGCAGAGGTAACTGCTTGTGTGAAGACCCAGAGGCAAAGAACAACAGGGTTCACAGAAGGAACTGGGCACAAGCTATCTGTACTACTGCGTACAGGATGCTCAGGAAGAAGTGGAGAGATGATCTGGCAAAACATTTCAACTCTACCTTCAAAGCTAGTTGAGCCATGGTGGAAGAGGGAGGGATATGATCATACGCTTGAACATGCATTTTACAAGGATCATGTTGGCAGCGACTTGGAAGAGAGAAAGCAGTCAAGGAGAATGATTACAAGACAACAGAAGGTCATGCAGCCAAAAGGGCGATGAAGGTCTGGACTCAAAAAGGAGAAGTAGGATGACTAGGAAAATATTATGAGCTAGGATCTCAAGAATGTGGTGACTAGAATGGCACAAGAAGGAACCCAGAGGCCTCTCAAATCCCTAATTTGAGTGACTGGCTGGGTGACACTACCGCTCACTAAGATACGAAGATAGGAAGAGGTTGGACTGGGGAAGTGGATAAGATCATTTTAAAATGCCCATAAGATGGCCAGATGCAGTGGCTCACGCCTGTAATCCCAGCACTTTGGGAGGCTGAGGCAGGTGGATCACCTGAGGTCAGGAGTTCGAGCCCAGCCTGGCCAACATGGTGAAACCCCATCTCTACTAAAAATACAAAAACTGGCCGGACGTGGTGGCGCACACCTGTAATCCCAGCTACCCGGAGGCTGAGGCAAGAGAGTCGCTGGAACCTGGGAGGCAGAGGCTGCCGTGAGCCGAGACCGTGCCACTGCACTCCAGCCTGGGGGATAGAGCGAGACTCCGTCTCAATAGTAATAATAATAATAAAAAAATAAAATAAAATGCCCATAGGACATCCAAGTAGAGATGTCCAGGAAGCAACTGTGTATATGGGATTGGAGATCAGAAAACTAGTCAGAGCTGGAAAAACACACATTTGCAAATCATCGGCATATAGACGGCAAGTGAGGCACAAGTTTATCTAAGGCATTCCTCATAAACTGCACAGGGTGAGAGGAAGAAGGGTCAAGGGAAGGCAAATACTAATGTTTTTAGGAGCAAAAGAGGAAAAAGGTCTGCAAAGAAAACCAAGAGTATGGGCCAGACTTGGTGACTCACACACTTTGGGAGGCCGAGGCAGGTGGATCACCTGAGATCAGGAGTTCGAGACCAGCCTGGCCAACATGGTGAAACCCATCTCTACTAAAACTACAAAAATTAGCCAGATGTGGTGGCGGGCACCTGTAATCCCAGCTACTGGGGAAACTGAGGCAGGAGAATTGCTTGAACCCAGGAGACGGAGGTTGCAGTGAGCCGAGATCACGCCACTGCACTCCAGCCTGGGCAAAAGAGCAAGACTCCGTCACAAAAAAAAAAAAAAAAAAAAGTTTCAAAGATAAAACAAAAATCTTGTTAAAGATAAATACATGAGAAGCTAAATAAATAATCTACTTCTTTAAGTCATGCTATCAATTTGCACCAAAATTTTCATTTCCTATGTGTAGGTGTTGAGGGTCTAGTACCCATGATAAATGATATACACCTGTTCTGGGCTGAATTGTGTTCCCCAAAAGAGATATGTAGTACTCCAGGGGCCTGGGCACAGTGGCGCATTCCTGTAATCCTAGCACTTTGGGAGGCCAAGGCCACAGGATCGCTTGAGCTCAGGAGTTCAATATCAGCCTGGGCAACATGGCAAGACCCCATCTCTACTAAAAATATTTAAAAATAGCCAGATGTGGTAGTGTGCACCTGTAGTCCCAGCTACTCAGGAAGCTGAGGTGGGAGGATTACTTGAGTCCAGGGGTTAGGGGGCTGGAGGTTGCAGTGATCCAAGTGCCACTGCACTCCAGCCTGAATGACAAAGGGAGACCCTGTCTCAAAAAAAAAAAAAACAAAGAGATATGTAGTACTCCTAACATTCAGTACCTCAGAATGTGATCTTAGAGACGGGATCTTCAGACCAGGTGCAGTGGCTCACGCCTGCAATCTCAGCACTTTAAGAGGCCGAGGTGGGTGGACCACTTGAGGTCAGGAGTTCGAGACCAGCCTGGCCAATGTGGTGAAACCCCATCTCTACCAAAAATGTAAAAATTAGCTAGGCACGGTGGCGAGCACCTGTAACTCCAGCTACTTGGAAGGCTAAGGCAGAAGAATCACTTGAACCTAGGAGGAGGAGGTTGCAGTGAGCTGAGATCACCCCACTGTACTCCAGCCTGGGCAACAAAGAGAGACTCTAAAAAAAAAAAAGAGATAGGATCTTCAAAGAGGTCATAAAGTTAAAATGAGGTCATCAGAGAGGACTCTAATCCCAATATGACTTGTCCTTATAAAAAAGGGGAAATTGTGGACACAAAGAAATACACACAGGGAGGCTGGGCGCAGTGGCTCACGCCTGTAATCCCAGCACTTTGGGAGGCTGAGGTGGGCAGATCACTTAAGGTCAGGAGTTTGAGACCAGCCTGGGCAACAAGGTGCAGCCCTGTCTCTACAAAAAATACAAAATTTAGGCTGGGTGCTGTGGCTCATGCCTGTAATCCCAGCACTTTGGGAGGCCGAGGCAGGCAGATCACCTGAGGTCAGGAGTTCAAGACCGGCCTGGGCAACATGGTGAAACCCTGTTTCTACAAAAAATACAAAAAATTACCTGGGCATGGTGACACGTGACTGTAATCCCAGCTACTTAGGAGGCTAAGGAAGGAGAATCACCTGAACCTGAGAGGCAGAGGTTGCAGTGAACCGATATTATGCCACTGCACTCCAGCCTGGGCAACAGAGCAAGACTCTGTCTAAAAAAACAAAAGAAATACACACAGGGAGAACTCTACATAAGGACTGGAGTTATGCTGCCACCAGAAGCTAGAAGAGAGGCTTGAAACAGATCCTGTCCCAGTTGCTTCAGAGAAAGCATGCCTCTGCCCTTAGATTTCTAGCCTCCAGAACAGGGAGACAATAAATTTCTGTTATTTAAGCCACTCAGCATATGTCACTCTGTGGCAGCAGCCTTAGCAAACAGATGTCATAAGAAAATTCGCAGCTCAGGTTTACTAAGTACCTACCAGGTGCTGTTCTAAACACTCTGCGTGAATAAACTCGTTTAATCCTTATAAAGTCCACTCTAGGATCTAGGTACTATCATTATACCCTTTTTACAGTGTGGACACCAAGGTTCTAAGAGGTTAATGAGCTTACCCAATATCACATAGCCAGAGCCCTCTCTCTCACCACTAGTGTATGAGGAGCTATTATTAACAGTAATTACAATAAGAGCTGGCGTGGTGGCTCACGCCTGTAATCCCAGCACTTTGGGAGGCCAAGGCGGGTGGATCACTTGAGGCCAGGAGTTTGAGACCAGCCTGGCCAACATAGTGAAACCCCGTCTCTACTAAAAATAGAAAAATAAGCCGGGCATGCTGGCATGCGCCTGTAATCCCAGCTACTTGAGAGGCTGAGGCAGGAGAATTGCTTGAACTCAGGAGACACAGGTTGCAGTGAGCTGAGATCGTGCCACTGAACTCCAGCCTGGGCGACACAGCAAGACTCCATCTCAAAAAAAAAAAAATTAGTAATTACAATAACAATAGTAGTAGTCCACTGAACCAAACACTGCCCTATGTCCTTTACAGATAAAATACAAAAGTCCTCTGAAGCAAGTGTTATTATTTCCAGTATGAAGGAGGAACCTGAATCTCAGAGAGATTAAGAAAATCGCCCAAAGTCACACGGTTAAGAGTGCTGAGATTAGGCCGGGCACAGTGGCTCATGCCTGTAATCCCAGCACTTTGGGAGGCCGAGGCGGGTGGATCACCTGAGGTCAGGAGTTTAAGACCAGCCTGGCCAAGCTGGTGAAACCCCATCTCTACTAAAAATAAAAAAAAAATTAGCTGGCCATGGTGACAGGTGCCTGTAATCCCAGCTACTCAGGAGGCTGAGGCAGGAGAATCACTTGAACCCAGGAAGTGGAGGTTGCAGTGAGCCAAGATCACCTGGACAACAAAGCGAGACTCTTGTCTCATTAAAAAAAAAAAAAAAAAAAGAAGAAGAATGCTGAGATTATATCTAATTGCTAACTTAAGGGGATATACAATGAAAACCTGTTTTTACTAAAACTTTAAGAACAAGTTAATTTTTTTTTTTTCTTTAATGAGACAAGAGACAAGGTCTGGCTCTATCACCCAGGCTGGACTGCAGGGGCGCAATCACAGTCCACTGCAACCTCCACCTCCCAGGCTCGAGCCATCCTCCCACCTCAGCCTCTCAAGTAGCTGCAACTACAGGTGCACACCACCATGCCTGGCTAATTTTCTTTTGTATTTTTAGTAGAGATGGGGTTTTGCCATGTTGCCCAGGCTGTTCTCAAACTCGTGTGCTCCAGCGATCTGCCTGTTCAGCCTCCTAAAGTGCTAGGATTACAGGCGTGAGCCATCGCGTCTGGCCAAGTTAAATTTTTTAATGCCTGACTTTGCAGTTCAATACTAGAAATATACATCTATAAATTCAAAATTCTTGAAGATCCCAAGAGAACACATGTCCTAGATTATGGGCCCTTTTGCATGTGTATCCCCTCAACCACTGTTCAAGAACTATTCTCTCGGCTGGGCACGGTGGCCCACGCCTGTAATCCCAGCACTTTGGGAGGCCGAGTTGGGCGGATCATGAGGTCAGGAGATCGAGACCATCCTGGCTAACACGGTGAAACTCCGTCTCTACTAAAAATACAAAAAATTAGCCGGGCGTGGTGGCGGGCGCCTGTGGTCCCAGCTACTCGGGAGGCTGAGGCAGGAGAATGACATGAACCCAGGAGGCACAGTTTGCAGTGAGCCGAGATTGCGCCACTGCACTCTAGCCTAGGTGACAGAGTGAGGCTCCGTCTCAAAAAAACAAAAACAAAAACAAAAAAACTATTCTCTCAGTTAGAACCCTTGCCATTTCTCTGACTTCCAGACACAGAAAGAGAAGAAAAGGAAGGATTGAGATGCTGTTCTTTAAAATTTTTTTTTTTTTTTTGAGACGGAGTCTCCCTCTGTCGCCCAGACTGGAGTGCAGTGGCACGATCTCGGCTCACTGTAAACTCCGCCTCCCGGGTTCACGCCATTCTCCTGCCTCAGCCTCCCAAGTAGCTGCAACTACAGGCGCCTGCCACCACGCCCAGCTATTTTTTTGTATTTTTAGTAGAGACGGGGTTTCACCGTGTTAGCCAGGATGGTCTCGATCTCCTGACCTCATGATCCGCCCGCCTCGGCCTCCCAAAGTGCTGGGATTACAGGCGTGAGCCACTGCGCCCAGCTAAAATTTTCAATTTCCTATTTAATTTTTAAAATCTGATACAAACATCAGAAAGTGTAAAAAGATATAATGCAATGAGAAGTCTCCTTCCTACTCTGTCCTCTACCTGAACAATTCCTAGACCTAACAGGTAACCAGTGCCACCATTTTCTTATTTATTCTTCTAAAGGTTTGTGTTGTTGCTGTTGTTTGAGACAGAGTCTCGCTTGGTCAGCCAGGCTGAAGGACAGCGGCGTGATCTCAGCTCACTGCAAGCTCCGTCTCCCGGGCTCAAGCAATTCTCCTGCCTCAGCCTCCCGAGTAGCTGGGATTACAGGTGTGTGCCACCACGCCCCAGCTAGTTTTTATATTTTCAGTAGAGACGGGGTTTCACCATATTGGCCAGGCTGGTCTCAGACTTCTGACCTCAGGTAATCCACCCACCTTGGACTCCCAAAGTGCTGGGATTACACGTGTGAGCCACCATGCCCAGCCCTAAAGATCTTTTTTTTTTTTTTTTTTGCATACATACACCAATGCAAATTATCTTTTTCTCCTGTTTTTTTTTTTCCAAAAAACACAAAGGGTATCAAATCATACATACTGTTCTGCATCTTGCTTTCATCACTTAACTGTCTGCCTTGCAGATCTTTCTATATCATATTAAATTATGTTTTAATTCTCTCGTTTTGCTTGTCAAGAACAGTTTTTACTTCATTTCACCATAGTTCAGTCTAGCACACAAGGCATCCAGCAGCCCTAAGAACTACCTGAGACAACTGATGATGGCTCCATGCTACACACTAAAGACCCTGTATCTTTTCTCTCCTCCTCATCTTCATTTCACTCTTTTCTCCGACTCACTCAATTCTCCTTCCTTTCCCTATTCCTCTCCCATCTCACCCACTCCTTAGCCCTAACCCTGACAACTAGACCCTAGTAACATCACTGACATTGCTTAGTCGTGGCTAGAAATATTCAGGCTTTAAAAAGGTACAGACCCCTAACACAGAGAAAAAGGGATAAATAATAATTTCCATGAGAACTTCTAATTAACGAGAGTGCCTTAAATTGAGGAGTTTTGGTTTGGAGTTATTCTTCCTTGTTACTTGCCTCCTCTGGCATTTTCATTTGTGAAGACTGAGTGAGTGTGACGCTATTTTCTATACGCATGGAAACAAGCACATACTCAGTCTAACATTTACGCAATGCCTGACAGAACGACAGAGTTCATTCTACAATAAGATAATTGGAAACAAAATATAAGATCTATATAAAATAAACATTTGGGCTCCAAAATATGCACTTTAATTAACCTATCATTTATTTTTACTTAAATTAAGTAGCTCCAATCTGAAACTACATCTTAGAAATGTTTTAAGGATATTCACCAATGAAAAAGAGAATAAAGTTCCCTCTCCCCACTTTTATTTTCCAGCCCACAAACTCAATGCTATCCTCCCCGCAAAAAGGACCTTTTTTTCTGACCAGACGAACACTGTAATTTTTAAGGTTTCTAAGTAATAAAAATAGGAAGAAAACATTACCCCCAAAAATTGGTTTACACTTAGAAGAAGTTTCCCACTGAGCAAAGGATTGGTAAGGAACATAATATTAAGGCAACCACCTAACTGCATTCTTAAGTAGTAACAGGTGGTAACTCACGATATGGAGCTGATTTCCTTTCTCTATTCCTGCCATGCCAGAGACCTCTAGTAGAACTTCTGAGGTTACTGTATTACAACCCAGGTTCAGAGAGATTTAGAGGTAAAACCTTAAACACTGGAAATAGCTTTAAAAGTAGGGCTTTGTGTACCAAATACATTCGTTAAAACCTAGGAAACTATAAAATGAAATCCAATGTATTGATCTCAATCCCCTTGCCTGCTTCCTAAAGAGGACAGAGGCCACCAACACTGGTGCTCAACACTTGCTAAGTCGAAACACTCTTACACAGGTCCTCTGATTCTTAACGGGTTCAGAACTTCTGGTTGCATTCCCCATGCAACCCCTCCAACTCTTTCAGGGAGAATGCTGGAAGAACTGTGTCACTTTGGCTTCCTGTATATTAATATAAGCACTCTTATCCAGCAATAGCAGCTGAAACATAAATGAAGATGAGAACTCAGCCTACATGACCTAAGATTTCCCACAAGTCCAGATATTTAGGTTACACACACTGCACTATTGTCTGATTTCTCCTCTGCATCAATCTGGAAGTCCACAGAGCAGATTAGCACCCAACAATCTTAACTAAGCTAGTATCCTACTCTGAAGAAAGGCGAAGCTGGTGGAGGGTTTCCAAGACTCCTTATCCTTCTCTGTCCTTCCTCCCATCCCCTCCTTACGTCTTTTCTGTTTGTTTTTATTTAATTTTTTTTTAATGTATTTTTAGTCACAAGAAAATCAAAGAAGCCACCTACTTAAGTCTTAAGCTCTGCCCTTTGCTTAGTCCTAATGGAGAGTTCTTTGGCCATCTATGTACAAGAGATTAGAGGAGCCAAAGAGACTGGAGAACCACATCAATGGGAGCTTTTTCATCTAAAGGTCATCTGTCCACACTGTCCAAATGAGGTTTACCCTGTGAAATAAAACTTGGTGTAAGTGCTACCTGCTGAGAAAAATAGTATGAAATGTCACACAAAGGACTGGGGTGCAGCAGGAGGACTCTGAAAGAGTCATACGTGTAAACCAGCAGGTCTTAGAATGCCCTAATATACTATATGAAGTTTCAGAGTAAACAAATGGTTAATGACACATCTTTTGTAACACATGAATCAGCTACTGATTTGCAAGAGTGGGACACACCCTAGTACCTATGACTCTAAAGTACCTGTTTGAAAAGTGGACCTAGATGTTTGAATTGCCAACCCATCCTAAGACCGGAACATAATTTTACAACTATGTAAGTTGCCATAATTTAAAGTTAAAAAGATCACTGCCTTTCATTATAATGGAAGTTAATTTGAGAACTTCATTAAAACATTCACACCGATAATCAAAGAACAGTAGAGATACAAAGTAAGATATAGCCAATCAATCCTAGGAAGCAAACACAAGAGGCAAGAGAAATGGCAGGTAAAGGAAGTGAAGAATAGCAAATTCAAAAACTACAATATTCCCAATTCTAAAGAAAAATGAATAAAATGAGGCTGGTAATGAAAAAATAACACATCTTACCTTAAGAGGCATCCAAGTAGCATTCATAGTGTCAGGATATAAAGACAATACTCAGAAATGAGCAAGAAGTCTTAGTAATTCCCTCGGTTACCAAGTATAAGCAGGTAGGAAAATCTTTTGTTTCGAGAAGGTATCTGAAAGAGAGGATTTTCATTTAGACTAAAAAATAATCAAGACAATGCAAATAGTTTAAGCTACCTGGGCAGGGATTTTGAAGTACTATTTGCCTCATCGCACTAAAAAAGTATAGAAAATACAGTCCCCTTTAGAAAAGGGCAAATGTGTGTCTCCATATATATGTGTGTAGAAACATACTTTACATAAAAAGAGAAATAAATATGTAACACGTATTTTAGATAATGTAAAATTGCTTATCAAACAATTAGCCAAAATCCCAGAGAGAATAAAGTAATTTTCCAGGGTACTTCATAAACACTAAACGTGATTTGTTAACTAACCGTCTAAAGAAAGACCCTTGCCACATTTAATTATATTTAGTAAAGTAAAACCTCTCTAATCATCCCGACTGTCCCAAGATTATGCTTAAGTTTCAGAGTCAATTCCACATGAAAAGTAAAACCTATTCTTGACTGAAGTACTAGAAACAAATAAAAGACCCTTCTTCCCCAGAGATCGTTAAAAGCAGACCGAGCAACTTAATTTTGAGGGTGGGAGGAAGGTAAATTTGCCTGGAGGCAGGAGGATGGACTAAATGACCTCTGGTAGGATCCTCGTTCAAGTCCTGGGCCTGTATACAATTCCAGCTTAACCAGTTACTGCTTCGCTTAAAATGGAGGCTTGCCCGCGTAGGGACAAAAATAACAGCACCCACTTCTTAAAAATAAATGTCGAAAAGTACCCCTTTTTAAATAAAAATAAAAAATAAACACCTCTGGAGTGGATGTGTTCTTGCTATGCGTTTGTCACTGAGGCTTCGAAGACTTGGCATCACTTTCCTTACCGCTCACCGGATTTTGGGGGAGGAGCGGGGGGCGACAGTTTGACTCTTGACCCAAGTCTCAGGCGGACTTCAGAGCCCCACAGGGGCCCCCAACTCCAGAGCCAGAGGGAGCGGAGAGGCGAGAGCCCGAGATCGCACCTCCCCCCACCGCGGACCCCAGTCCCAAACCCACCCCTCACCTCCCCGCAGTGGGGCGCCTCCTTCTGCCCCATTCCCATTGTTAGGGAGGGCAGAGCGCGGGGTGGGCTCAGGGCAGGGGCGCCCGCGGCCGCTGCCCGGCTCGCTTCAGGAGGGGCGCCCCGCGGGATGCGGCTTCCCTTCCTCTCCGCGTCGGTCCGTCCCACCTCGGCTCGGCCTGGCGCCCCGAGCTCCGCTCCGCGCCCCCGGCCGCGGCCCCGGCCCGCCCCCCGGGCAGCCAGGCCCTCAGGCCAGTCGGCCGGCAGCCGGCGTCCCAGGCCTACGAGTGGGCGCTGGGCGGGGGTCCCCGTGCCCCACACACGCGTCCCCTCTCCCCCAGCCCCGCCGCTTCCAGGGCCCTCGGCGGCGCCCGCTCCCCGGGCCCCGCGGCCCCCCGCCTCCCAGCCGGGCCGCTCCCTCGAGCTCGTCGGGTCAGGGACACCTCCTCTACCTCACCATCACCCTGGCCCACTCGTGCCCCCACCCCCAGGGGCACCAGTGCCAAAGGCAGCTCCCCCAGCCCCGGACCTACCTGCACGGTTCAACCAAGCCTAGAAGTGGGGGCGGGGAATCTTCCGCCCTCCTCTGGCGCCCATTGGCCCTTCAGGGGCACATCGTGAGCGCCATTGGCTGAGCAATGGTGTCCGTCAGAGCGATGGGGCGGGACAGAAGGGGGAGAGGGATGCTGGTGCCTTGGCGTCTCTGTTTCTGTGTATCTCGTTGTCTCTGTCTCTGTCTCGGCCCTTGGAAACGAGAGGCTTTTGGCTGAGAGGACTAGAAGGGGGCCTGAGGTGGGAGGAATAGGAATAGGAATCCTGACAGAGCGTCACGCCAGTTGGCCACTCTGAACGCCCTACCTAAGTCCCCTTTAGGTTCTCTTCTCCATCACCCCCAACCCCTGCCCCTCACCCCTCGAGGTTCTTTCATCCAGGAAGCGACGTGATGAAAACTCCAGGCCGGAAGGCCATAGGGAGAGATGTTATATATGTATATAAAATATACACATAAAAATGTTTATATATAAACTCAACCAGATATCAGTTCACTAGGGCCTGGAAAGGAAAGGGCACACATCTCACAGACAGGGAAGGACTTGAGATAGAGCCGGTAGAAGAAGGAATCAAAAATCACTCTAAGAGCTGGCAACAGTGGTTACCTCCTGGGAGAGGAACTGAGTGCCTAGGGAACCAGTGGGCGGAAGACTTACATATCTCGGCATATCATTTGTATCCATTGATTTTTGCACCATTCATCAAGATTCCAATTTAAAGAAAAGGATTTAAATGTTTAAATAAGGTCGCAAAACCAGGGGACAGACAAGATAATTGGGCAGGAAAATTGGCGCAACATACAGATTTGGGGAGGAATCTTAGCTTTTAATATGTTCAGTTCCCGGTAACAGGGTTTTGTAAAACCCAGTGAAGGTGTCCCAAGGCAACTGAAGTTATGGAACTTGAGAGAGGGTAGACAATCAGGACTAGAGAAGATGCAGTGTCCTCTGCCTAAAGATAGTGATCTATGACATGCTAAAGGATAAACTCCCAAAGAAGGGTAATAAGACACCCACAGTAAAAGGTAGGAGGACGAAAAAGAAGGTCAGTGAGGTAAAAGAAACAATATTAAAGAGGCATGAAAATTAAGGGAGGAAGGGTCTGTGGAAAATAGAATAATAAAACTATGAGAGAGGCCGGGCACGGTGGCTCACACCTGTAATCCCAGCACTTTGGGAGGCCAAGGCGGGTGGATCACCTGAGGTCAGGAGTTCGAGACCAGCCTGCGCAGCATGGTGAAACCCGATCTCTAATAGAAATGCAAAAAAAAAATTAGCCAAGCGTGGTGGCGCGCCTCTGTAATCCCAGCTACTGGAAAGGCTGAGGTGGGAGAATTGCTTGAACCGGGAGGCGGAGGCTGCAGTGAGCCAAGATCGCGCCACTGCACTCCAGCCTGGGCGACAGAGTGAGACCCTGTTTCAAAAAAAAAAAAAAAAAAAACTGTGAGAGCCTCATAGGTCCTACCTCTTTACCTCTTTAGGCTCTGGTAACCATGGGACAATAAGAATGAAAGCCAAGGCCGGGCACGGTGGCTCACGCCTGTAATCCCAGCATTATGGGAGGCCAAGGTGGGCGGATCACAAGGTCAGGAGATCAAGACCATCCTGGCCAACATGGTGAAACCACGGGCATGGTGGCGCATGCCTGTAATCCCAGCTACTCGGGAGGCTGAGGCAGGAGAATTGCTTGAACCAGGGAGTCAGAGGTTCCAGTGAGCCGATATCACGCCACTGCACTCCAGCCTGGACGACAGAGTGAGACTCCGACTCAAAAAAAAAAAACAAAACAAAAACAAAAAAAAAACACCTTTATCGATTAAGAATCTTTTTTCTGAGTTTATTAATTCTATTTAAATCAACCCCAGAAAACACCTTCAACACAGCCTCTCATTTCATATCTGTAAAATGGGGCAAAAAAAAAAAAATAGTTCCTACCCTTTAGAGTTGTTGTGAAGATTAAATTAGTGAATACATATGATGGATTTTTTTTTCTTTTTTCTTTTTTTTGAGACACAGTCTCGCTCTGTCTCCCAGGCTGGAGTGCAGTGGCACTATCTCAGCTCACTGCAAGCTCCGCCTTCCGGGTTCACGCCATTCTCCTGCCTCAGCCTCCTGAGTAGCTGGGACTACAGGCGTCCGCCAGCATGCCTGACTAATTTTTTGTTATTTTTAGTACATACGGGGTTTCACCGTGTTAGCCAGGATGGTCTCAATCTCCTGACCTCGTGATCCGCCCGACTTGGCCTCCCAAGTGCTGGGATTACAGGCATGAGCCATGGCGCCCGGCCTGTATGATGGATTTTTTAAGAGCCTGACTGGCGGGGTGAGGTGGCTCATGACTGTAATCGCAGCACTTTGAGAGGCTGAGGCAGGTGAATCACTTGAAGCCAGGAGTTCGAGACCAGCCTGGGCAACATGGCGAGACCTCGTCTCTACAAAAACACACACACAAAAATTAGCTGGGCATGATGGTGCATGCCTGTAGTCCCAGCTACTCAGGAGACTGAGGTGAGGGTCACTTGAGCCTGGGAGGCAGAGGTTGCAGTCAGCCGAGATCTCACCACTGCATTTCAGCCTGGGTGACAGTGTAAGAACCTGTCAAAACAACAACAAAAAAAAAAACAAAACAACAACAACAAAAAAACGCACGAAAAAAACCACATAAGCTCCTTGAGGGCAGAAACTGTCCCCTAGTCTTCTATATTTTATTTCACACAATGTACAGAAGACTAAATGAATAATTGTTAGCTGGTTTTTTTTTTTAAAGGGGATAAGATCAGTTACAATGTCTTTTTCCTCAGTCAATCACATAAGTATCTAAAATGACATTCCAAAGTAAGGACAGGAGTTTAAATCCTGAACTATGGTATCTAAAGTAAACTTGAACTTTCCTTATTTTTAAAAAATTTTGGCCGGGCGCAGTGGCTCACACCTGTAATCCCAGCACTTTGGGAGGCTGAGGCGGGCAGATCACAAGGTCAAGAGATCTAGACCATCCTTGCCAACATGGTGAAACCCCATCTCCACTAAAAATACAAAAATTAGCTGGGCGTGGTGGCACGGACCTGTAGTCCTAGCTACTCAGGAGGCTGAGGCAGGAGAACCGCTTGAACCCGGGAGGAGGAGACTGCAGTGAGCCGAGATCACGCCACTGCTCTCCAGACTGGCGACAGACTGTCTCAAAAAAAAAAAAAAAAAAAAAGAAAAAGAAAAAAGAAAAGAAAAAAATTCCATACATAGAATTCTGTGTGGCATTTTAGAGAAAATCATGGTGACTAGAGACACCAGGTGAAATTTTTTTTTTTTTTTTTTTGGTGACACAACCCCAGGAGATCCTGTGAACATGTGTCCCTTGACCAGGTGAATTTCAGGAGCTTGCACTAGTCCCAGGTTAGCTGGCACCAGGTTGGCCCTAGTTTGAGTGCCTTCCACATACCAGGTACTGTGCTGGAGAAGTAACATCAAAAAGGAAAATCAAATTTCATCTTCAATAAGCAATCACAATACACTGTGATGAGAGTTAGGGTGAAGGAGGTTCAGGTTACCATGGGCTTATATTAGGAGGGCAAATTCTGTCTTCAAGTCTTTTTGCTTCAACAGTAGCGTTTAGATCTTGTGGGCTGGGCATGGTGGCTCTAGCCTGAAATCCCAGCACTTTGGGAGGGTGAAGTGGGCAGACTGCTTGAGCCCAGGAGTTGCAGATTAGCCTGGCAACATGGCGAAACCCCGTCTCTACAAAAAATACAAAAGTCAGCCAGGCATAGTGGTGCCTGCCTGTAGTTTCAGCTACTTGGGAGGCTGAGGTAGGAGGATCGCTTGACCCCAGGAGTTCAAGGCTGCAGTGAGCTACCATCGAGCCACTTCACTTCAGCCTGGGCCGCAGAATAAGACCCTGTCTGAAAAAAAAAAAATCTTGTGATATAATAACAGCTTGTGCACTCTTCGATAGCTCAGCTGGTAGAGCAGAGGGCTGTAGACTGCATAGATAATAATAACAGTTTGCGTTTTTGAGTCAAAGATGATACCCCAGAATCATTATCGAAAATAATGGTTGATCCATTCACCTGTGCCTATGACTGTGAGCCACATTGTGACCAATCTGTGAGCAACATGGGTGGGAATGCAGTTTGGGGCCATGGAACTCACTTAACAGGAAGTTCCAATAGCAGTGGATTTACCATGTTGCGGCTGTAGGATCTTGGACAAATATTTAATGACCTCTGTCTCTCAGTTCTCTCAATAATAAAACATCCATCCGAGAGTTGCTGTAAAGGTTAACATAGGGGGAGTCTTGCAAATAGTAGGTGCTAAGATCCTGTCTTGAAAAAAAAAAAAAAAAAAAATATATATATATATATATATATATATATATGAAGAGATGAGATCTTCAATTGTACAGACTGTCCCTGTACCCATTCATTTGCATTTCTTTTCCTTTACAATAATACATATCTATGATTTCCTTTTATTCCCACTGTCATCAATTTAGTTAGATTACTGGGCAGAGATCACCAGTGGGGCTAGAGTGAAATGAAAATAAATGTACATTGACTCTAGGTATTCCTAAGTAATAGCACAGTTTACTGTGTTCTCCCTCATAAATCCTGGTAGCTGAATGTTGCCTGCTTTTAGCAGTTACGTTTCTGCTCATCTCACCCTCAATGTTCATTAAGAAAATAGTTATTGAATGGCCAGGCTCACTGGCTCACGCCTGTAATCTATTACAGGCGTGAGCCACCGTACCCAGCCTTGGTTATCATATTTCTAATTTATAATAGTTTTTCTTGTTTTCTTATTGTTCATTTTTTATAGCATCCTGTTCTTATATTATGGATATATATCTTCAGGTCTCGCTGAAGAAATAAAGAGGTGTATGTGTATATATGTGTGTGTGTATTATCTTTATTTTTATTTTTTGAGATGGAATCTTACTCTGTCGCCCAGGCTGTAGTGCAGTGGCGCTTTTGGGAGGCTGAGGTGGAAGGATCACTTAAGGCCAATATTTGGAGACCAGCCAGGGCAACATAACAAGACCCCCATCTCTACAAAAAAATTAAAAATTAGCTGGCCATGGTGGTGAGTGCCTGTAGTCTCAGCTACTTGGGAGGCTGAGGCAGGAGGATTGCTTGAGCCCAGGAGGTTGAGGGGGAGGTGAGCCATGATTGAGCCACTGCACTCCAGCCTAGGTGACAGAGTGAGACCCCATCTCTAAAAAAAAAAACAGAGAGAGAGAAATAAAATAGTTATTGAGCACCTACTGTATGTCAGGTCCAAGACCCTAAAGATGTAAAGATGAATAAGGTGGTGACCCTGCCTTCCAGTTTCCACAGAGGTGGGGAATATGGATAAAAGCAGACAAAGCCATTGCCATGGGATAAGGGCAGAGAATAGCATGTGCAAATTATAGAAGGTGAGGGATAATATACCACTTTCCAGAAACTGATGGTTCAATGAGGCTAAAGCATGGAGTTCAAGAAAGGAAACCAGATGAGATTAACTGCAATGTGGTTCTCAAACTTAAATGTGCATAAAAACTGGCCTTGTTGACTGGGCACAGTGACTCACACCGGTAATCCAAGCACTTTGGGAGGTCGAGGCGGGCGGATCGCTTGAGGTCAGGAGTTCGAAACTAGCCTGGCCAATGTGGTGAAACCCCATTTCTTTTTTTTTCTTTTTCTTTTTTTTTTTTTTTTTTTTTTTTTTGAGACAGAGTCTCGCTGTCGTCCAGGCTGGAGTGCAGTGGCGTGATCTCGGCTCATTGCAAGCTCCGCCTCCTGGGTTCACGCCATTCTCCTACCTCAGCCTCCCGAGTAGCTGGGACTACAGGAACCCGCTACCATGCCCGGCTAATTTTTTTGTATTTTTAGTAGAGACGGGGTTTCACCATGTTAGCCAGGATGGTCTCGATCTCCTGACCTCGTGATCCGTCCGCCTTGGCCTCCCAAAGTGCTGGGATTACAGGCGTGAGCCACCGCGCCCGGCCTGAAACCCCATTTCTACTAAAAATGCAAAAATTAGCTGGGTGTGGTGGTGCACACCTATAGTCCCAGCTGCTCAGGAGGTTGAGGCGGGAGAATCACTTCAACCTGGGAGGTGGAGATGGAGTAAGCCAAGATCAAGCCACTGCACTCCAGCCTGGGTGACACAGCGAGACTCTGTCTCCAAAAAACAAACAAACGAACAAAAAACTGGCCTTGTTTACATAGTCTCACAAGCTCCAAGCCTAGAGATCTTGATGGAGCGGGTCAGAGTGCTGCTGCTCTTAGGGCTACACTCTGAGAACCACCGATGGAGAAGAAGGGCGGGGTCAACTTGCAGAGCTGTGCTGGGAGGTGTGTGCTGCAGCCTTGAGGGGGTGAAGAACCTTTGAGAGGTTTTAAGCCTGCAAGAGATGTGGTCACATTTATATTTTAGAAAAATCACCCTGTGTGCAATATGAAAAATGAAACAGAGAGGGCAAGACTGGAGTCAGGGAGAGCAGTTAGGAGGCTGCTGCAGAAACCCAGGCAAGAAATCATAAAGACCTGAAATAAAACAATGCCAGTGGGGAACGGGGAAGAGAGGCCAAATCCAAGGGGTATTTAGGAGCCAGAATTGAGAGGGTGTGATGAGTGTTGATGGGATATAGGACAGGATCCTGAGATGGCTTGCAGGTCTTCAGCTTTGAGTGACCCATGGAAGCGAAGGAAGATGGGAAGGAGGGTGCCTATCACACAGAGAGAATGAAGGTTTGAGAGGCAAGTGTAGCTTTTGACATTTTGCTTTTGAAATGTCTATGGGACATCAGAAATAATCTCAAAAGACCACAAGTCAGGCAGGGCGCGGTGGCTCACGCTTGTAATTCCAGCACTTTGGGAGGCCGAGGTGGGCAGATCACGAAGTCAGGAGCTCGAGACCAGCCTGGCCAACATGGTGAAACCCCGACTCTACTAAAAATTCAAAAATTAGCTGGGCATGGTGGCGGGCACCTGTAATCCCAGCTACTTGGGAGGCTGAGGCAGGAGAATCACTTGAACCTGGGAGGCGGAGGTTGCAATGAGCTGGGATCGAGCCATCGCACTCCAGCCTGGGCAACAAGAGTAAAACTCTGCCTAAAAAAAAAAAAAAACCATGAGTCACTGGTTAACAGCCTGAGCAGCAGAAATCTCACAGTTCTGAGTCTGAATCCTATCTAGCCTGGCTCTGAAACTCACAATCTGGAGCTGGGGCTTGGTGCAGTGGCTCAGGCCTGTAATCCCAGCACTGTGGGAGGCTGAGGCAGGTGGATTGCTTGAGGCCAGGAGTTTGAGAGCAGCCTGGCCAACATGGTGAAACCCCATCTCTACTAAAAATACAGTTAGCCAGGCATGATGGTGTGCACCTGTAATCCCAGCTACTTGGGGGGCTGAGGCACGACAATCGCTGGAGCCCAGGAGGCAGACGTTGCAGTGAGCCGAGATTGTGCCACTGCACTCCAGCCTGGGCAACACAGCAACACTGTCTTAAAAAAAAAAAAAAAATGCTGGGCGCGGTGGCTTACGTCTGTAATCCCACTTTTAGAGGCTGAGGTGGGAGGATCACCTGAAGCCAGGAGCTCAAGACCAGCCTGGCCAACATGGTAAAACCCGCCATCCCCTCCCTGCCATGCCCCATCTCCCCCAACACTCTCCCACCCTGTCTCTACTAAAAATACAAAAATTAGCCGGGTGTGGTGGCACACACCTATAATCTCAGCTACATGGGAGGCTGAGGCATAAGAATTGCTTGAGCCCGGAAGGTGGAGGTTGCAGTGAGCCAAGATCGCACCACTGCACTCCAGCCTGGGTGACAGAGCAAGACTCTCTCTTAAAAAAAAAAAAAAAAAAAAAAGAATTTTTTTTTTTAATATAGAGATGGGCTTTCTGTGTTTCCCAGGCTATACTCAAGCTCCTGGGCTCAAGCTATTCTCCTGCCTCTGCCTTCAACCAGCCTCAATCCTCCAATTTTCTTATTTTTTATATTTTTCAACACCTTTTAAATTCTACATTCTGGCCAGCTGCAGTGGCTCATGCCTATAATCCAGCACTTTGAGAGGTTGAGATATGAGACTTGCTTGAGGCCAGGAGTTTGAGGCTTGCAGTAAGCTAGAATGGCGCCACGGCACAGCAGCTTGGGAGACAGAGCAAGACCTTGTCTCAAAAGAAAAAGAATTTAAATACTACATTCTAGGAGATTTCTTCAACCTTCAAATTTTGTATTGAATTTTTAATTTTGGCTTTTATTTATTTATTTTTTTTTTTGAGACAGGTTCTCACTCTGTCACCCAGGTTGGAATGCGGTGGCTTGATCTCAGCTCACTGCAACCTCCGCCTCCTGGGTTCAAGTGATTCTCCTGCCTCAGCCTCCTGAGTTCAAGTGATTCTCCTGCCTCAGCCTCCTGAGTAGCTGGGATTGCAGGCATGGTCCACCATGCCCAGCTTATTTTTGTATTTTCAGTAGAGACGGGGTTTCACCATATTGGCCAGGTTGGTCTCAAACTCCTGGCCTCAAGTGATCCACACGCCTCAGCCTCCCAAGGTGCTGAGATTACAGGTGTGAGCCACTGCACCCAGCCTTGGCTATCATATTTCTAATTTATGATAGTTTTTCTTGCTTTCTTATTGTTCATTTTTTATAGCATCCTGTTCTTATGTTATGGATATATATCTTCAGGTCTCGCTGAAGAAATAAAGAGGTGTATGTGTATATGTGTGTGTGTATTATTTTTATTTTTATTTTTTGAGACGGAGTCTCACTCTGTTGCCCAGGCTGGAGTGCAGTGGCACAATCCCAGCTGGCTGCAACATCTGCTTCCCAGGTTCAACTGATCCTCCCACCTCAATCTCCCAAGTAGCTGGGATTACAGGCACCTGTCACCATGCCCGGCTAATTTTTCTTTCTTTGTTTCTTTTTTTTTTTTTTTTTTTTTTTTGAGATAGAGTCTCTGTTGCCCAGGACGGAGTGCAGTGGTGTGATCTCGGCTCACTGCAAGCTCCACCTCCTGGGTTCAAGAGATTCTCCTGCCTCAGCCTCCCAAGTAGCTGGGATTACAAGCGTGTGCCACCACACCCAGCTAATTTTTGTATTTTTAGTAGAGATGGGGTTTCACCATGTTGTCCAGGCTGATCTCAAACTCCTGACCTCAAATGATCCACCTTCTTCAGCCCGCCAAAGTGCTGGGATTACATGCATGAGCCACCACACCAGCAAAATTTTTGTATTTTTAGTAGAGATAGGGTTTCGCCATATGTGTGTGTGTTTTAAGTTTTTCTGTTTTCATTTCTCTTGGCATATATACCTCGGAATGGAATTACTGGGTCATATGGGAGCTCTGTGTTAAACACTTGTGTCATATCTAAGAAAACTTGCTAATCCAAAGGTCATAAAGATGTATGTCTATGTTTTCCTCTAAGGCCAACATGGTGAAACACTGTCTCTATTAAAAAAATAAAAACTGGGCCGGGCATGGTTGCTCATGCCTGTAATCCCAGCACTTTGGGAGGCCAAGGTGGGTGGATCACCTGTGGTCGGGAGTTCGAGGCCAGCCTGATCAACATGCAGAAACCCCGTCTCTACTAAAAATACAAAAAAATTAGCGGGGCATGGTGGCGCATGCCTGTAATCTCAGCTACTTGGGAGCTGAGGCAGGAGAATCGCTTGAACGCAGGAGGCAGAGGTTGCGGTGAGCCAAGATCGTGCCATTGCACTCCAGCCTGGGCAACAAGAGCAAAACTCGGTCTCAAAAAAAAAAAAAAAAAAAATTAGTTGGGCGTGGTGGCGCGCACCTGTAGTCCCAGCTACTCCAGAGGCTGAGGCAGGAGAATGGCTTGAACCCAGGAGGTGGAGGTTGCAATGAGCTGAGATCATGCCACTGCACTCCAGCCTGGCAACAGAGCAACAGAGCAAGACTCCATCTAAAAACAAAAAAAAGAGTTTTCTACTTTTCAGTCTAACAAATGTTTTATAAACAAAGGCTTTGTTATATTTTGAGTTAATTTTTATAGATAATATGAGGTGAGGTTTCAACTTCATTCTATTGTGTGTGGGTATCCAGTTGTCCCAGGACCATTGTTTGAAAAGACTTTTTTTTCTACACTTTCTCTCATTGAATTGTCTTGGCATATTTGTTAAAAATCAGTTGACCTTGGCTGGGCACCATGGTTCACACCTGTAATCCCAGTATTTTGGGAGGCCAAGGCAAGAAGACCATTTGAGCCCAGAAGTTCAAAACCCTCCTGGGCAATATAGGCACACTCCATTTCTAAAAATAATTATTAAAAAGATTAGCTGGGCAGGCCAGACATGGTGGCTCACGCCTGTAATCCCAGCACTTTGGGAGGCCAATGCAGGTGGATCACCTGAGGTCAGAAGTTCAAGACCAGCCTGACCAACATGGAGAAACCCCATTTCTGCTAAAAATACAAAATTAGTCTGGTGTGGTGACTCATGCCTGTAATCCCAGCTACTAGGGAGGCTGAGGCAGAAGAATTGCTTGAACCCAGAAGGCGGAGGTTGTGGTGAGCCGAGATTGCGCCATTGCACTCCAGCCTGGGCAACAAGAATGAAACTCTGTCTCAAAAAAAAAAAGATTAGCTGGGCGTGGTGGCACATGCCTGTGGTCCCAGTGACTTAGGAGGCTGAGGCAGGGGGATCGGGAGACGGAGGCTGCAGTGAGCCTTGATCACTGCACTCCAGCCTGGGTGACAGAGTGAGACCCTGTCTCAAAAAAGAAAAAAAATCAGTTGACCGTAATGTGAGCACTCATTTCTGGACTTTCAATTCTATTCCATTGATCTATATGTCAGTCCTTATGCCAGTGCCCAGGGGCTCAACTACTGGTACTTTGAATTAGATTTTGAATCAAGAAGCGTGAGTCTTCCAATTTTGTTCTTATTTTTCAAGATTGTTTTGTCTATTTGAAGTTCCTTACATTTTAATGTGAATTTTAGAATCAGCTTGTCCATTTTTGCAAAAAAGGTAGTTGGGATTTTGATAGAGATTGTGTTGAGTCTGTAGATCAATTTGGGAGGCATTGCTATGTGAAGAGTAGTAAGTGTTTCAATCCATGAACACACAATATCTTTTCATGTATTTAAGTTTAATTTCTTTCAATAATGTTTTGTAGTTTGCACTTCCTTGGTTAAATTCATTCCTAAGTTTTTTTTTGGTGCCATTACAAATGGAATTGTTTTATTAATTTCATTTTTGGATTGTTCATTTCTAGTGTATAGAAATTCAACTGAGCCAGGTGTAGTGGTGCACCACCTGTAGTACCAGCTACTTGGGAGGCTGAGTCAGGAGGATTGCTTGTGGCCATGTTTGAGGCTATAGTGCATTATAATTGTGCCTGTAAATGATCACTGCATTCTAGCCTCGGCAACATAGTGCGGTCTTGTCTCTTAAAAAATAAATAAATAAACAACTGATTTTTGTACGTTGATCTTGTATCCTCCAACTTTGCAAAATTAATTTATTACTATTAAGATTTTGTGGCTGGGCACAGTGGCTCATGCCTGTAATCCCAGCACTTTGGGAGGCCGAGGCGGGCAGATCACGAGGTCAGGAGATCGAGACCATCCTGGCTAACACGGTGAAACCCCGTCTCTACTAAAAATACAAAAAATTAGCCAGGCGCGGTGGCAGGCACCTGTAGTCCCAGCTACTCGGGAGGCTGAGGCAGGAGAATGGTGTGAACCCGGGTGGCGGAGCTTGCAGTGAGCCAAGATAGCGCCACTGCAGTCCGGCCTGGGCAAAAGAGTGAGACTCCGTCTCAAAAAAAAAAAAAAAAAAAAAAGATTTTGCTTTATTTTGTGTTTGGTGTGGATACTTTAGGAACCAAAAGATAAATAAATAAGAACAAGGTCTAGCACTTTGGTCAAATTTATTCCTAAGTGTGTGTTTGTAAACGATATTGTAAATGAATTTTCTTAGTTTCATTTTCAGCTTGCTAATTGTTACTGTATAGAAATACAATTTATTTATTTATTTACTTTTTTTTTTTTTTGAGACAGTCTCTCTCTGTTACCTAGGCTGGAGTGCAGTGGTGTGATCTCGGCTCACTGCAACCTCTGCCTCCTGGGTTCAAGCAATTCTCTTGCCTCAGTCTCCCGAACAGCTGTGATTACAGGTGCGTGCCGCAACCCCCAGCTAATTTTTGTATTTTTAGTAGAGATGGGTTTTCACCATGTTGGTCAGGTTAGTCTCGAACTCCTGACCTCATGATCTGCTCACCTAGGCCTCCCAAAGTGCTGGGATTATAGGCATGAGCCACTGCACCAGGCCAATTTTTTTTATATCACTCTTACACCTGCAACTTTGCTGAATTTGTTTACTTGTTCTGACGGTTTTGTGGATTCCTTAGAATTTCCTACATACAAGATCATGTCATATGCAAATACATCTGGTTTTATTTCTTCCTTTCTAATTTGTGTGGCTTTTATTTCTTTTTCTTGCTAATTTCCTGGCTAGAAATTTAAGTATAATGTTGAATAGAGGTGGCAAGAGTGAATATCCTTGTCTTCTTCCTGATCTTAGGAGAAAAACTTATAGTCTTTCATCATTAAGTATTACCTGTGGGGCTGGATGCGATGGCTCAAGCCTATAATCACAGCACTTTGGGAGGCCAAGGCGGGTGGATCATTTGAGGTCAGGTGTTCAAGACCAGCCTGGCCAATATGGTGAAACCCCCATCTCTACTAAAAACATCTCTACTAAAAATATAAAAACTTGGCGGGGTGCAGTGGCTCACACCTGTAATCTCACCACTTTAGGAGGCCGAGGCGGGCAGATCACGAGGTCAGGAGATCAAGACCATCCCGGCTAACACAGTGAAACCCATCTCTACTAAAAATACAAAAAAAAAAAAAAGAAAATTAGCCAGGTGTCTTGGCACACGCCTGTAGTCCCAGCTACTTGGGAGGCTGAGGCAGGAGAATCGCTTGAACCCGGGAGACAGAGGTTGCAGTGAGCCGAGATCACACCACTGCACTCCAGCCTGGGCGACAGAGCAAGACTCCATCTCAAAAAAAAAAATAAACGTAAATTAGCCAGGCATGGTGGTGCGCACCTGTAGTCCTAGCTACTCAGGAGGCTGAGGAAGGAGAATTCCTTGAACCTGGGAGGCAGAGGTTGCAGTGAGTCGAGAGCATGCCACTGCACTCCAGCCAGGGTGACAGAGTAAGACTCTGTCTCAAAAAAAAAAAAAAAAAGGATTTATGGGAAGTAATTAAGGTCAAATGAGGTCATAAAGCTGGGCACTGATCTAATAGAATTAGTGTCTTTATGAGACGAGAACCCAGAGAGCTCCCTAGCTTTCTCTCTGCCACATGAGGCCACTTCAAGAAGGCAAGCCAGGTAATAAAGCCCACGCTGAGGTAGGAGGTGGAACTGGACTCCAGAGATGGGGCTTGGACACCAGACCAAATTGATGACTAGCTGAAACAGGGACAGGGTGAAAGCAGCTTTCCATAAGACACGCTCACCAGTGCGCCATGTCAGCTTACCATTTCCATGGCAGAACCCAGAGTTACCACCCCACCGCCTTTTTTTTGAGACGGAGTCTCACTCTGTCGCCCAGGCTGGAGTGCAGTGGCACAGTCTTGGCTCACTGCAAGCTCCACCTCCCGGGTTCAAGCGATTCTCCTGCCTTAGCCTCCCGAGTAGCTGGGATTACAGGCGCCTGCCACCGCGCCAAACTGATTTTCGTATTTTTAGTAGAGACAGTGTTTCACCATCTTGGCCAGGCTGGTCTTGAACTTTTGACCTCATGATCCACCTGCCTTGGCCTCCCAAAGTGCTGGAATTACAGGCATGAGCCACTGTGCTCAGCCTACCACCCCTTTCAATGGCAACAACTTGACAACCCAGAAGTTATCAGCCTTTTTCTAGAAACGTCTGTATAGTCTGCCCCTTAATTTGCATGTAATTAAAGGTCAATGTAAATATGACTGCAGAACTGCCCTGAGCTGCTACTCTGGTCACACTACCTACAGGGTAGCCCTGCTCTGCAAGGAGCAGTCCCTCTGCTGTTGCTATAGGCCACTGCTTCAATAAAAGTTGGCATCTAGGCCAGGTGCAGTGGGTAATGCCTGTAATACCAGCACTCTAGGAGGCTGAGGCGGGTGGATCATTTGAGGCCAGGAGTTTGAGACCAGCCTGGTCAACATGGTGAAACCCCATCTCTACTAAAAATACAAAAAAATTAGTTGGGTGTTTTGGCGCACACCTGCACTCCCAGCTACTCAGGAGGTTGAGGCGGGAGAATCACTTGAACCCAGGAGGCAGAGTCTGCAGTGAGCCACTGCACTCCAGCCTGGGTGACAGAGTGAGACCCTGTCCCGAAAAAAAAAAAAGTTGGCCTCTAACACCTTCGGTTTGCCCTTGAATTATTTCCTGGGTGAAGCCAAGAACCCTCTCAGTCTAAGCCCCAGTTTTGTGGCTTACCTGCCCTGCATCAACACCAGAAACTTAACCCTTTGGGAATCTCGATCTTGGACTTTCTAGCCTCTAGAACCATGAGAAAATGATCTGTATTATTAGGCTACCCAGTCTATGATATTCTGTTGTAGCCTGGGGTGACTAAGACATTGAGCCTGTATGACTTGAATTTTGTTACCTGCTTGGCCCCTTGATGGCATTTCAGTTTGTGACTCTTGGTTTACGTGATCACGAAGCCAAAACTGTTTAGGAAGGAAGCAAAATCAAGACAGATTAAAAATAAAAATAAAAAATAAAAGGCTGGGCACCGTGGCTCACGCCCTCCCAGCACGTTGGGAGGCAAAGGTGGGCAGATAACTTGAGGTCAGCAGTTCAAGACCAGCCTGGCCAACATGATGAAACCACATCTCTACTAAAACTACAAAAATTAGCCAGGCGTGGTGGTGGGCACCTGTAATCCCAGGTATTTGAGAGGGAGGCAGGAGAATCACTTGAACCTGGGAGGTGGAGGTTGCAGTGAGCCGAGATCACACCACTGCACTCCAGCCTGGGTGACAGAGCAAGACTCTCTCTCAAAAAATAAAATAAAATAAAATAAAATAAAATAAAATAAAATAAAATAAAATAAAATAAAATAAAGAGCCGAGCACGCTGGCTCACACCTGTAATCCCACACTTCGGGAGAAAGAGGTGGCAGGATTGCTTGAGCCCAGGAGTTTGATACCAGCCTAGGTAACATGGCAAAATCCCATCGCAATTTTAAAAAAATTTTAAAAAAGAATAATAGGGCTGGGCACGATGGCTCATGCCTGTAATCCCAGCACTTTGGGAGGCCAAGATGAATGGATCACCTGAGGTTGGGAGTTTGCGACCAGCCTGACCAACATGGAGAAACCCCATCTCCACTAAAAATACAATATTAGCAGGTCGTGGTGGCACATACCTGTAATCCCAGCTACTCGGAAGGCTGAGGCAGGAGAATCGCTTGAACCTGGGAGGTGGAGGTTGTGGTGAGCCAAGATCGTGCCATTGCACTCCAGCCTGGGCAACAAGAGTGAAATTCCATCTAAAAAAAAAAGAAAGAAAGAAAGAAAGAAGGTATTTTACATAAAGATTAAAAAGAAATTAAAACCATTATTTGAAGATAATGGCTTAAACAGAAACTCTGCAAATCCTTAGAATAAGAAAGTTCAGGCCAGGTGTAGTGGCTTGTGCCTGTAATCCCAGTGCATTGGGAGGCTAAGGTCGGAGGATTGCTTGAGCCCAGGAGTTTGAGACAAGCCGGGTCAACATAATGAGATCGCATCTCTACAAAAAATTGAAAAATGAGCCAGGTGTGGCAGTGCATGCCTGTAGTCCTGGCTACTCAGGAGGCTGAGGTGGGAAGGTCACTTGAGCCTGAAGAGTTCAAGGCTACAGTGTTATGATCATGCCACTGCACTGCACTCCAGCCTGGGAGACAGAGCAAGACCCTGAGACCCTGTCTCAAAAAACAAAATAAAAAACCCTCACTATATTGAACACAACATCAATGTTCAATAGCCATTCCCCTTCTCCTTTTCTAATAAAATTCCACTTTTTTGTGTTCCATCCCAGGACCACGATTTATCTAAACTGGTCATTCTGGATCAATAAGTTTGGCTAAAAATAAATAATATCGAAATTGGTCACAGGAAATCTATTCTTTTTTTTTTTTTTTTTTTTTTCAGACAAAGTCTCACTCTGTCGCCCAGGCTGGAGTGCAGCAGCATGATCTTGGCTCACTGCAACCTCTGCCTCCCGGGTTCAAGCAATTCTCTGCCTCAGCCTCCCAAGTAGCTGGGATTACAGGCGCCTGCCACCACGCCTGGCTAGTTTTTGTATTTTTAGTAGAGATGGGGTTTCACCATCTTGGCCAGGCTGGTCTTGAACTCCTGACCTTGCGTTCTACCTGCCTTGGCTTCCCAAAGTGCTGGGTCTGTCACCCAGGCTGGAGTGCAATGGTGCAATCATGGCTCACTGCAGCCTCAACCTCCCTGGGCTCAGATGATTCTCCCACCTTAGCCTCTCAAGTAGCTGGGATTAAAGGCATATGCCACCATGCCCAGCTAATTTTTCTATTTTTTTTGTAGAGACAGGGCATCCCTACCTTGCCCAGGCTGGTCTTGAACTCCTGGTTTCAAAGGATCCTCCTGCTTCAGCCTCCCAAAGCACTGGGTCTATTATTCCCTTTCATATTCAAACTTAATTCTGCATTTTCAAGGCCTTGAATTTTCAAGGACAGCTTTTTCTGTCCCTGAACTTAATCTTCAGCTCCTCTCACCTCCTGGGAGGTTGGGGGGTGGGGAAGAAAAGTCCCAACCCTCTAATCCTGCTTTGGTCTTTTGCTGCCAGCCCCCATCCTGAAGCTACCAGTCAATTTGTTTGCATACAAGAAGATATCACTTTGGAGATTCTAAGTGTATACGAGGAAATGAGGTCAAACACCAAATATATATATTTCACTATATCACACTTCAAACTTTTGTTTACTGTTTCCCTTCTCCTACTCTATTATAAACCTTTGAGGGTGGGGACTGTGAGTTATTTATCTTTATATTCCCAGTGTCAAGAGTGTTTAGCTATAATGGGAATGAATCTCAAAGTTTCTTGAATAAATGACAAGAAGAATCATAGTTGCATGAACTAAATTCATTATTCTCAGTCCTTGAGGTAAATGAATATATTGATATTATGTCTGCTTACTCTTTTTTTGCGAGAGAGAGAAAGAGGAGGGAGGGAGGGAAGGAAGGAAAAAAGGAAGGAAGGCGAAAAGAGTGAAAGAAAAGAGAGAGAAAAAGAGAGAGAAAGAAGGAAGGGGAGGGAAGGAAGGAAAAGAAGGAGGGAAGAAGGGAAAGGGAGGGAGAGGAAGAAAAGAAAGAAGAAGGAAGGAAAGAAAGAAAGAAGAAAAGGAGGGAGGAAGGAACGAAGAAAGGGAAAGAAGGAGGGAGGGAGGGAAATGAAAAAAAGAAAGAAAGAAAAAAGAAAGAAGAAAAGGAGGGAGGAAGGAAGGAGGGAGGGAAGGATGGAAGAAAGGGAAAGAAGGAGGGAGGAAGGGACATGAAGAGAATAAAGAAAGAAAGAAGAAAAGAAAAGAAAAAAGAAAAGAAAAGGGAGGGCTCTGCGGGTGGCGGCGGCGCGGGGAGCCGGTTGCAGGCCGAGATGCTGCAGATGGACCTGATCGACGCGACGGGGGACACTCCCGGGGCCGAGGACGACGAGGAGGACGACGACGAGGAGCGCGCGGCCCGGCGGCCGGGAGCGGGGCCGCCCAAGGCCGAGTCCGGCCAGGAGCCGGCGTCCCGCGGCCAGGGCCAGAGCCAAGGCCAGAGCCAGGGCCCGGGCAGCGGGGACACGTACCGGCCCAAGCGGCCCACCACGCTCAACCTCTTTCCGCAGGTGCAGTTGTCTCAGGACACACTGAATAATAATTCTCTGGGCAAAAAGTACAGTTGGCAGGATCGGGTGTCTCGATCATCCTCACCCCTGAAGACAGGGGAGCAGACACCACCGCATGAACCCATTTGCCTGAGCGATGAGCTGCCCCCCCAGAGCAGCCCCGCCCCCACCACAGATCGAGGCACCTCCACCAACAGCCCACGCTGCTGGTAGATGAGCACGCGCAGCTGGAGCTGGTGAGCCTGCGGCCGTGCTTCGGAGACTACAGTGACGAGAGTGACTCGGCCATCGTCTACGACAACTGTGTCTCCGTCTCCTCGCCCTATGAGTCAGCCATCGGAGAGGAATATGAGGAGGCCTCCCGGCCCCAGCCTCCTGCCTGCCTCTCCAAGGACTCCACGCCTGACGAACCCGACGTCCATTTCTCCAAGAAGTTCCTGAACATCTTCATGAGTGGCCGCTCCCGCTCCTCCAGTGCCGAGTCCTTCGGGCTGTTCTCCTGCATCATCAACCGGGAGGAGCAGGAGCAGACCCACCGGACCATATTCAGGTTTGTGCCTCGACACGAAGACGAACCTGAGCTGGAAGTGGATGACCCTCTGCTAGTGGAGCTCCAGGCTGAAGACTACTGGTACGAGGCCTACAACATGCGCACTGGTGCCCGGGGCTTCTTTACTGCCTATTACGCCATCGAAGTCACCAAGGAGCCCGAGCACATGGCAGCCCTGGCTAAAAACAGTGACTGGGTGGACCAGTTCCGGGTGAAGTTCCTGGGCTCAGTCCAGGTTCCCTATCACAAGGGCGATGTCGTCCTCTCTGCCGCTATGCAAAAGATTGCCACCACCCGCCGGCTAACCGTGCACTTTAACCCGCCCTCCAGCTGTGTCCTGGAGATCAGCGTGCGGGGTGTGAAGATAGGTGTCAAGGCCGATGACTCCCAGGAGGCCAAGGGGAATAAATGTAGCCACTTTTTCCAGTTAAAAAACATCTCTTTCCGCGGATATCATCCAAAGAACAACAAGTACTTTGGGTTCATCACCAAGCACCTCGCCGACCACCGGTTTGCCTGCCACGTCTTTGTGTCTGAAGACTCCACCAAAGCCCTGGCAGAGTCCGTGGGGAGAGCATTCCAGCAGTTTCACAAGCAGTTTGTGGAGTACACCTGCCCCACAGAAGATATCTACCTGGAGTAGCCGCGCAGCCCCGCCCTCTGCGTCCCCCGGCCCTCAGGCCAGTGCCAGGACAGCTGGCTGCTGACAGGATGTGGCACTGCTTGAGGAGGGGCACCTGCCACCGCCAGGGGATGAGGAAGTGGGGGCCGCTGGCTCAGGGTAGGGGAGGGTGGGGCAATGGGGACAGGCAAATGCAGTTTATTGTAATATATGGGATTAGATTCATCTATGGAGGGCAGAGTGGGCTGCCTGGGGATTGGGAGGGACAGGGCTTGGGGAGCAGGTCTCTGGCAGAGAAGGATGTCCGTTCCAGGAGCACACGGCCCTGCCCCATCCTGGGCCATACCTCCCCTGCCAGGGCTCGGGTGCTCTGGCTCCTGCCTTGATGAAGCCCATGTCCTGCCTTGATGAAGCCTGTGCCACCTGCAAGTGCCCGCCCTGCCCCTGTCCCAACACCCACCGAAGAGCCCTGAGCTCAGGCTGAGCCCAGCCACCTCCCAAGGACTTTCCAGTGAGGAAATGGCAACACGTGGAAGTGAAGTCCCTGTTCTCAGCTCTGTCATCTGCGGGGCTTCTGGGTGGCTCCTGCCACCGACCTCACTGGCATGCTAGCCTGTGGCAGGCCTAGGACCTCAGCGGGGAGGAGGAGCTGCCGCAAGGCCCTATCCCAGCAGGAGAGGGAGGCTTCCTGACTGACACAGGCTAGCCCCATCTTGGTCCTGTCACCCTGGCCCCAACTATTAAAGTGCCATTTCCTGTCAAAAAAAAAAAAAAGAAAAGAAAAGAAAAGGGAGGGAGGGAGGGAGGGAGGGAGGCAGGAAGGAAGGAAGAGAGGGAGGGAGGGAAGGGAGGAAGAAAGGGAAAGAAGGAGGGAGGGAGGGAAATAGAAAGAAAGAAGGAAAGAAAAAGAAAGAAAGAAAGAGAAATAAAATAAAAATTAAAAAACCATAAGGTTAAAGTAAACCCTTTTTCTTCATACAGATTAAAACACATGACTTCAAATTACAGCTTTGCTTCTTAATAGCTTGGTGATGTAGGATGTTATGTAACCTCTCTGTGCCTCAGTTTCCTCATTTATAAAATAGGGCAATAATAATATCTAGCCCATAAGGCATTGTGAGGATTAAATGTGAAATGCTGATCACAAATACCTAGCAGCCCAATAGATACTCACTGTAATAATTATTATTTTTATAATTTCTGCAAAAGTATGGTGATGATTCTTGGGTTAACCTAAAGGCAGATTTTCTTTTATTTCTTCCTGTTTCTTTTCTTTTCCTTGTTCACTTTAAAGAATTAAAAAGAAAATTGATTCCAGCATTTTGGAATAAAAATTTGCATCAAAAAGAATTTATTCATTTTATTGACATACAAATAAAATGTCATTTGTTTATTCAATAAACATTTATTAAATGTCTGGTAAATTTCAGACATCATGCCAGGCACAGGGATGACAATGACAATAAGATGTGGTCTCTGCCCTCAGGGAGCTGATAGTCCAGGAGACTGACAAGTAGACAGGTGATTACATGCAATGTAACAAAGGCTATGATGTCATACAAGAAGACAAGTGGGAGTATGTGATGGGAGTATGGTTTTGACCAGTTCCTCCTCTTAGATTTATCCCTTTTTCTTTGGCTATAAAGCAAAAGAATTGGTCCTGTTTTTTTTTCTTAACTTTGCAAATTAAACCATAAATTTTAATAACTTTATAAAGATAAAAGGCAAGCGGTCAGATTCAGTGGCTCACACCTATAATCCCAACACTTTGGGAGGCCGAGGCAGGTGGATAACCTGAGGTCAGGAGTTCGAGACCAGCCTGGCCAACATCGCGAAACCCTGTCTCTACTAAAAATACAAAAATTAGCTAGTTGTGGTGGCAGGCACCTGTAATCCCAGCTACTCAGGAGGCTGAGGCAGGAGAATCGCTTGAACCTGGGAGGCGGAGTTTGCAGTGAGATGAGATGGAGCCATTGCTCTCCAGCCTGGGCTACAGAGCAAGACTCTGTCTCAAAACAAAACAAAACAAAACAAAAAGATGAGCAACTTGAATTATGGAGGACACTAGAAATAGTGTTTCCTACAGAATCAGGGCTTCCTACCAACATAGTCACTTCTAGGGTTTTCGACCTGAAAAGTTCTGTGGCATATTGTTTCTTTGCTATCCACTTTTTTTTCCCTGTTTTTCCCCCTCTTTCTCTCCTCTACTTTATCTCCTAGAGATCTAGGTAGTTCCCAAAGGAATAATGCTTTACGGAGTCTAATGTTGATTTATTAGGTAAAAACAGAAAATGACTTTTTTTTTTACCCACAAGTTCCATACCAAAAAATGAATGTAAACTTCTTATGCAGTTTCACACATTGAAAATGCAGGTTATTTTAATTCCATTGCATTTTTCAGAATTCTCAATCGCAATCCTCTGACAACTGTTGAAGATCCGTATCTCTTTAAATTACTGGCATTAAAATATCTGTAAGTACTATAGTACTCTTGGGAGTCATGAGATGATTTATACTCTTTTTAAATTTTTCATCAAAGATTAAGTATTTTGCATTTAGGCTAAAATGTCATAATTTAAATTTTAACTGAGTTATTGAAAAACATTATTGGCAAAGGAAAGGATGTGTAATGGTCAAGATAGCCAGCAGGGGAAAGAGAACAGTGTTGAAGAACCCATATAGATTTGGAACATGTAGACACATGGAGGAATATTACTTAACCAAGAAAGCAAAGGGGAAAAGGTGTTCATTATTCTAAAAAGGAAGAAAAGAGTAAATAATCAAGATGGGTGAATGCAATATGAAAATGAGAAGTAAGATAATGGTAAAAAAAAAAAATAAACAGTGTAAGACCTACTCTTGAATATCATTAATTTGATGATGCAAATCAACTTTAATTTCTTTAATAAGAGCTCTCTGGAATTTTGCGGCAAATAAACTGTTGAACTGGCTTGTTTTATAGGGAAGCCAAAATTGAAGTAATCACATGTCCTTGAATTATCTTTTTAAGTACAGAATTTTTTACTGGGGTTCATATCATGAATGTTTCGGCTTTCTTCTTCAGAGACGTGGGAACAACACAAGTCCCGCTTACAACACTTAAGAACATTCTCATGATGACCGTTGAACTGGAAAAACTGTAAGTTATTTTTTTCTTAGACTTATTTTCACCCTGTTGCGTTTTTAGGTTTGTTTTATTATTTTCTTGTCAGGTTTATTGAGATATAATTTTCATATACTAACATTCACCCTTTTTCAGTGTACAATTTGATGAGTTTTGACAAATGTATAGTTACATAACCACCACCACATTCCCAATATAAAGCATTTCTGTCGCCTCAAAAAGGTCCCTCGTGTCCCTTTGCAGTCAATCACCTCCTCCCACCGTCAGCCCCTGTTAGCTACTAATCTGATTTCCTATAGTTTTGCCTTTTCCAGAATATCTTATAAATGAAATCATATAGCATGTAGCCTCTTGTATTTGACTTCTTTCACTTAGCATAATTTTTTCTTTTTTGAGATGGAGTCTCACTGTTGCCCAGGCTGCAGTGCAGCGGCATGACCTAGACTCACTGCAACCTCCACCTCCCAGGTTCAAGTGATTCTCCTGCCTCAGCCTCCTGAGTAGCTGGGATTACAGGCACATGCCACCACGCCTGGCTAATTTTTGTATTTTTAGTAGAGACGAGGTTTCACCATGTTGGCCAGGCTGGTTTCGAAGTCCTGACCTCAAGTGATCCGCCCGCCTTGGCTTCCCAAAGTGCTAGGATTACACGTGTGAGCCACCTCACCTGGCCTCACTTATCATATTATTTTTTGAAATTATGCTGCCATCCATGTTGCTGCACCCATCACTACAGCTGGCCCTCCATATCTGCAGGTTCCTCATCCATGGATTCAACTGAACATGGATGGAGAATACTTGAAAAAAATGAAATATATAAAATAACTATAAGACAATAAAAACAGTAGAAAATTTAAAATACAGTATAATTATTTACATACCATTTACACTGTATTAGGTATTTAAAGCATACCTGAAGCTATATACAAACATTATGTCATTTCACAGAAAAGACTTCAGCATCTGTGGACTTTGGTGTCGGCAGGGGGTCCTGGAGCCAATCCCCTGCAGACACCGAGGGACAACTGTTCACTCCTTTTTATTGCTCAGTAGTATTCCAGTTGTGTGGAAACCCCATCTCTACTAAAAATACACAAATTAGCCAGGTGTGGTGGCACACACCTGTAATCTCAGCTACTCAGGAGGCTGAGGCACAAGAAGTGCTTGAAGCTGGGAGGTGGAGGTTGCAGAGTCTCCTTTACACTTGCTGTCCTCCCTCCACTGCCGCCTGACACACTCCTCCCCAGCAGTGGCCTCTTCATAGGCAAATTTAAGGAGCACCTTTTAGTCCTTGTCCTGCTTGACTTGGCCCTGATGTTTGAAATTCTTGATGAATCTTTCTTCCGGAAACGCACTCTTTCTATGCTTCCAGGAAATCTTTTTCTTGGTTCTCCAGACAACTTCTTAGACTCCTTGACCAATTCCTTCTTGTTGCCAACAATGGAAACAAACCAGCCCTACCTAAGCAAAGCACATTAAAACTCACTAGAAAGATACAGGGGAGGGGGCGCCCACTAAACCACTAAAGAGACAGGAGGTGGGGAGCTGTAGGACCAGATTTGGGAAGCTGCAAGAATCAAGACCAGAGCCCCTGAAATAGCAAGAAGCTGGAAGCACAGGAACTGTCAGAGCCAGATGGCTGTCACTGCAGTCAGCGCCTCTGATTGTTTGTTTTTGAGATGGAGTCTCGCTCTGTTGCCCAGGCTGGAGTGCAGTGGCATGATCTCGGCTCACTGCAACCTCCACCTCCTGGGTTCAAGCAATTCTCCTGCCTCAGCCTCCCGAGTAACTGGGACTACAGGAGCCTGCCACCATGCCCGACTAGTTCTTTATATTTTTAATAGAGATGGGGTTTTACCATGTTCGTCTCAAACTCCTGACCCCAGGCGATCCACTTGCCTCGGCCTCCCAAAGTGCTGGGATTAGAGGCGTGAGCCACCATGCCTGGCCAGTTTTTGTATATTTAGTAAAGACTGGTTTTGCCATGTTGGCCAGGTTGGTCTCAAACTCCTGACCTCAAGTGATCCATCCACCTCCGCCTCCCAAAGTGCTGGGATTATAGGCATGAACCACTGTGCCCAGCCACCTCTGATAGTTTTCATCGTCCTCGGGCCACTGGCTCCCAAATCAGGTTCCAGACAAAAGCTTACAAGTAGTCCAGCTTTGGCCAGGCTCAGTGTGATGGTTAATACTGAGCGTCAACTTGATTGGATTGAAGGATACAAAATATTGATCTTGGGTGTGTCCGTGAGGGTGTTCCCAAAGGAGATTAACATTTGAGTCAGCGGGCTGAGAAAGGCAGACCCACCCTTAATCTGGGTGGGCACAAGCTAATCAGCTGCCAGCAAGGCTAGAATATAAGCAGGCAGAAAAATGTGAGAGACTGGCTTAGCCTCCCAGCCAACATCTTCCTCCCGTGCTGGATGCTTCTTACCCTCCAACATCGGACTCCAAGTTCTTCAGTTTTGGAACTCAGACTGGCTCTCCTTGCTCCTCAGCCTGCAGATGGCCTATTGTGGGACCTTGTGATCCTGTGAGTTAATACTTAATAAACTCCTGTATATATTCCATTAATTCTGTCCCTCTAGAGAACCCTGACTAATACGCTCAGTGACTCACACCTGTAATCCCAGTACTTTGGGAGGCTCAGGCAGGAGGATGGCTTGAGCCCCAGAGTCTTCTTCTTCTCCTTCTCCTTGTCCTTCTCTTCCCTTCCCCTTTCTCCTCTTCCTCTTCCTTCTCTTCCTCTTCCTCTCCTTCCTCTTCCTCTTCTTCCTCTTGTTTGTTTGAGAAAGGTTCTCCCTCTGTTGCCAAGGCTGGATTGTAGTGGCACAATTGTGACTCACTGCTTCTCAGCCTCCTGAGAGCCCAGGAGTTTGAGGCTGCAGTGAGCTATGATCACACTACCACACTCCTGCCTGGGTGACAGAGCAAGACCCTGTCTCAAAAAACAAACAAAAAACTCTGGTATGATAGAGGTGAATTGTCTGTTTTATCCTGATAATTCTGCTTACCTTAGTCCTGTGGTTCTCAACTGGGCCAATTTTGCTCCCCAAGTGACATTTGGCAATATCTGGGCAGAGGTCAAGGACGCTGCTTAACATCTTTTTTTTTTTTTTTTGAGACACAGTTTTGCTCTTGTTGCCCAGGCTGGAGTGAAATGGCACGATCTCGCCTCACTGCAACCTCTGTCTCCCGGGTTCAAGTGATTCTCCTGCCTCAGCCTCCCGAGTAGCTGGGATTATGGGCATGCACCATCACGCCTGGCTAATTTTGTATTTTTAGTAGAGATGGGGTTTCTCCATGTTGGTCAGGCTGGTCTCAAACTCCCAACCTTAGGTGATCAGCCCGCCTCAGCCTCCCAAAGTGCTGGGATTACAGGTGTGAGCCACCTCACCCGGCCTGCTTAACGTCTTAAAACACACAGGACAATTCCCCCATAAAAAAATGATGACCAGCCAAAAATGTCAACAGTATCAAGGTGAAGAAATTGCCATAAAAGCTTGGTAAACAGGGATGGTATGATGACACTATTGATAGGCCACATTAAAATACTTAGGGCCATATCCATTATCCCTGTTTTTATGATTTCTTCTTTGTCCCCATGCAGTTTCAGGGGCAAAATAAGGGAGTAAGTCAAAGGTGGTTCCAAATAGACATCTGGGAGTCTTAGGGTGTAATATGGCCCTCATGGAGGCCCTCGCTGAGCTTAGGGCCTGATTCTGGAATCCTAGCATTGCCAAGAGAGGCAGGCTGGCAGGTGAGAAGACAAATAATGGGAGAGCCCACATATGTTGGAATTCATTTGATGGTATCTAAGCTGGGGTGATTGTCCCCACTAGCATTACATGACTATGGATCCAGTTATTTGGAGAAATCCATTTCCTCCACAGGGAATATATACTACATTAGAACCAAAGATGGAATCCTTAGTAAATGGAATCATTTGGCAAAATTCAGTTGTCTGAAATTTTTGCATAAAATTCTCTTTTTTATTTTCATTGAGCCAAATAAATAAAGTATCAGGTATTTACTGGGGTCACCATTCTTTGATTCATTGATTTTTTTTTTCAGACAGGATCTCGCTGTCACCCACGTTGGAGTGCAGTGGCATAACCTCAGTTCACTGCAACCTCCACTTCCTGGGCTTAAGTGATTCTCCCACCTCAGCCTCCCAAGTAGCTGGAAATACAGGCGCGTGCCACCATGCCCGGCTAATTTTTGTATTTTTTGTAGAGATGGGTTTTCATCATGTTTCCCAGGCTGGGTTTTTTTTTTTTTTTTTTTTTTCAAATGTCTTAGGGTTTTTGCTTTATTGTTTCCTTGATATCCACAGCAGAAGTTCAGAGGTATAGCTTCAACATTAACAGGTGAAAAGTTCTACAATGACTTGTTGCACTCCATCACATTAGAATAATTGAACTATAATTTCCATACAACACAAGAAAACTACAGTATTTAGTGACAACTGAAAGATACCTGATAAATAAATATATCAACTTACTACTCATGAAAAGAATGGAGCTGGTTATTTCAGCTATAAAAGGGCAAAGCAAAAAGACCATTTTCTAGCCATTTGAAAGTTACTCAAAAAATTGATACAATGGAATGGAAAGGAAAACAAAAAAGATTGTAAGCAACTTTAACAATGTTCTTGCATTCTACTGATACACAAACCTCTAGGGTTTCAGTTGACACAATCAAGTTCAACTTGTACTGACAGAAAATATTAAAAACCTTCCTATTGAGTTTTTAATATCAAACAGGGAGGTTAGTAAATTGTTTTCTGATTCTTCTACAAAAAAAAAAGTCTAGAAGAGGGACAGGGAATGTAGTGTGCACCACTTATTATTATTCTAAGTAATAATTTTTACTTACGAGGTCAACACGAGTGCAAAGGGCTTAGTGATGCATCTTATTCTTTACTTTTGGACAGTAACACCCTCAGATGGTATTTTTATTGGTTTGTTTTATATCCCCCTTTTCCATTTGCCCTTCTGTTTTGAAGTGCTTTTTCTTAAAACTTAAGTTCTTTGCCTCCATTTTCTTTCTCTTTTTTTATTTTTAATTGATCATTCTTGGGTGTTTCTCGCAGAGGGGGATTTGGCAGGGTCATAGGACAATAGTGGAGGGAAGGTCAGCAGATAAACAAGTGAACAAAGGTCTCTGGTTTTCCTAGGCAGAGGACCCTGCGCCTTCCGCAGTGTTTGTGTCCCTGGGTACTTGAGATTAGGGAGTGGTGATGACTCTTAAGGAGCATGCTGCCTTCAAGCATCTGTTTAACAAAGCACATCTTGCACCGCCCTTAATCCATTTAACCCTGAGTGGACACAGCACATGTTTCAGAGAGCACAGGGTTGGGGGTAAGGTCACAGATCAACAGGATCCCAAGGCAGAAGAATTTTTCTTAGTGCAGAACAAAATGAAAAGTCTCCCATGTCTACCCGCCTCTACACAGACACGGCAACCATCCGACTTCTCAGTCCTTTCCCCACCTTTCCCCCCTTTCTACTCCACAAAACCGCCATTGTCATCATGGCCCGTTCTCAATGAGCTGTTGGGTACACCTCCCAGACGGGGTGGTGGCCGGGCAGAGGCGCCCCTCACCTCCCGGACGGGGCGGCTGGCCGGGCGGGGGGCTGACCCCCCTCACCTCCCTCCCGGACGGGGTGGCTGCCGGGCAGAGACGCTCCTCAATTCCCAGACGGGGTGACTGCCGGGCGGAGGGGCTCCTCACTTCTCAGACGGGGCGGTTGCCAGGCGGAGGGGCTCCTCACTTCTCAGACGGGGCGGTTGCCAGGCAGAGGGTCTCCTCACTTCTCAGATGGGGCGGCCGGGCAGAGACGCTCCTCACCTCCCAGATGGGGTCGCGGCCGGGCAGAGGCGCTCCTCACATCCCAGACGGGGCGGCGGGGCAGAGGCGCTCCCCACATCTCAGACGATGGGCGGCCGGGCAGAGACGCTCCTCACTTCCTAGATGGGATGGCAGCCGGGAAGAGGCGCTCCTCACTTCCTAGATGGGATGGCGGCCGGGCAGAGACGCTCCTCCCTTTCCAGACTGGGCAGCCAGGCAGAGACGCTCCTCACTTCCCAGACGGGGTGGCGGCCGGGCAGAGGCTGCAATCTCGGCACTTTGGGAGGCCAAGGCAGGCGGCTGGGAGGTGGAGGTTGTAGCCAGCCGAGATCACGCCACTGCACTCCAGCCTGGGCACCACTGAGCACTGAGTGAACGAGACTCCGTCTGCAATCCCGGCACCTCGGGAGGCCGAGGCTGGCGGATCACTCGCGGTTAGGAGCTGGAGACCAGCCCGGCCAACGCAGCGAAACCCCGTCTCCACCAAAAAAATACGAAAACCAGTCAGGCGTGGCGGCGCGTGCCTGCAATCGCAGGCACTTGGTAGGCTGAGGCAGGAGAATCAGGCAGGGAGGTTGCAGTGAGCCGAGATGGCGGCAGTACAGTCCAGCTTCGGCTCGGCATCAGAGGGAGACCGTGGAAAGAGAGGGAGAGGGAGACCGTGGGGAGAGGGAGAGGGAGGGGGAGGGGAGGGGGAGAGGGAGAGGGAGAGGTGCATTTTCTTATAAACCCAATTTCCTCTTTAGTGCAACTCTACCACTTGAAAGGAACCTTTCTATTGTAATTTGCAAGCTGTGAATAACCGCTATGTAATTCTTTCCAAGGATTAATAAACTGAGAGATGATTTGAACCAACAGAGGTAGGGGAAGATTAGAAGGGGGATGCAAGTGGCCACAGATCTTAGAGGCGGCCAGCAGAGGGCGCTGCTCCAAGGTGAAGGTCGCACCCTGAGAGGCCATCCTTTTTTGTAGGACCAGACTGGGGTGTAAGGACAGTGCCTCATCCTCACAACGACAGACCCGTGTTCTGGGTGTGGATTTGCCTCCCTTGCCTGCGGGACTTCTGCTAGCACTGCCGTTCCTAGACTTAGACCATGCTAGAATGAGTCCAGGAACCGAGGAGAGGAGATGTGAGTGGCTCCTCCCACTGTGGCCCCTAATAATTCACATGAAGAATTTTTGCTTTCCTTGCCAGGGACCCGGGACTCAGTGGGTCCAGAGGTCCTAGTGCCAAAGGAAGAAATGTGTAGATCACCTAGTGCCAAAGGAAGAAATGTGTAGATCAGGAAATACTATTATGGTTTTATTCAACTGGAAGCCGAGGCTGGCCATTTATTGTATTTATTTATTTATTTATCTATCTATTTATTTATTTATTTATTTAGAGACAGAATCTCACTCTTGTTTCCCAGGCTCCCAGGCTCAAGAGATCCTCCTACCTTTGCCTCCTGAGTAGCTGGTACTACAGTCGCATGCCACCTTGCCCAGCTAATTTTTTTTTTTTTTGAGACGCAGTCTCATTTTGTTGCCCAGGCTAGAGTGCAGTGGCGCGGTCGTGGCTCACTGCAACCTCCACCTCCTGGGTTGAAGCGATTCTCCTGTCTCAGCCTCCGGAGTAGCTGGGATTACAGGCATGTGCCACCGCGCCTGGCAATTTTTTTTTTTTTTAGTAGAGGCGGGGTTTCACCATGTTGGCCAGGCTGGTCTCAACTCCTGACCTTGTGATCCGCCTGCCTCAGCCTCCCAAAGCACTGGGATTGCAGACATAAGCCACCGCGCCTGTTTTTTTTGTTTTGTTTTGTTTTCTGACAGAGTGTCTGTCACCCAGGCTGGAGTGCAGTGGTGTGATCTCAGCTCACTGCAACCTCTGCCTCCTGGGTTCAAGCGATTCTCCTGCCTTAGCATCCCAAGTAGCTGGGATGATAGGCGCACGCCACTATGCCCAGCTAATTTTTGTATTTTTAGTAGAGGTGGGGTTTCACCATGTTGGCCAGGCTGGTCTCAAACTCCTGACTTCAGGTGATCCACCCACCTCGGCCTCCCAAAGTGCTGGGATTATAGGTGTGAGCCATCAAGCCCAGCCCTGCCCAGCTAATTTTTACACTATGGGCAAGTATGCTGCCCAAGAGTGCTCTGGAACTCCTGGGCTCAAGTGATCTTCCTTCCTCGGCCTCTCAATGTGCTTGGATTACAAGCATGAGCCACCTTGCCCAGCCGAAGCTGGCCATTTAAAGTTCCTCATGCTGCTGAATCAATAAGGATGGAAGGTGGCTACTATTATGGGCTAAGTGTTTGCATCCTCCCCAAATTCTTTTTTTTTTTTTTTTTTTTGAGATGGAGTTTTGCTCTTGTTGCCCAGGCTAGAGTGCAGTGGCACGATCTCTGCTCACTGCAACCTCCACCTTTCAGGTTCAAGTGATTCTCCTGCCTCAGCCTACCGAGTTAGCTGGGATTACAGGCATACGCCACCACACCCGGCTAATTTTGTATTTTTAGTAGAGATGGGGTTTCTCCATGTTGGTCAGGCTGGTCTCAAACTCCCGACCTCAGGTGATCTGCTGACTTCAGCCTCCCAAAGTGCTGGGATTACCAGCATGAGCCACCGCGCCCGGCCCCCAAATTGTTTTTTGTTTTTTTTTTTTGAGACGGAGTCTCGCTCTGTCACCCAGGCTGGAGTGCAGTGGCATGATCTTGGCTCACTGCAAGCTCTGCTTCCTGGGTTCACGCCATTCTCCTGCCTCAGCCTCCCGAATAGCTGGGACTACAGGCGCCCGCCACCACGCCTGGCTAATTTTTTGTATTTTTAGTGGACACGGGGTTTCACCGTGTTAGCCAGGATGGTCTCGATCTCCTGACCTCGTGATCTGCCTGCCTCGGCCTCCCAAAGTGCTGGGATTACAGGGGTGAGCCACCGCGCCCGGCCTCGGCCCCCAAATTCTTATGTTGAAGCCCTCACCTCCATGTGATGGTATTAGAAGGTGGGGCCTTTGGGACATAATTAGGCTTACAGTGCCCCATGATGGGATGAGTGTCTTAAAAGAAAAGACCAGGTGGTCTGGCTAGTGGCTCACCCCTGAAATCTCAGCACTTTGGGAGGCCAAGGTGGGTGGATCAGTTGAGATCAGGCGTTTGAGACCAGCCTGGGCAATACGGTGAAAAGCCATCTCTACTAAAAATACAAAAATTAGCTGGGCGTGGTGGCGCAAGTCTGTAATCCCAGCTACTTGGGAGGCTGAGGTGGGAGAATCGCTTGAACCCAGGAGGTGGAGGTTGCAGTGAGCCCAGATCATGTCATTGCACTCCAGCCTCCAACCTGGACAGAGAGAGCATCTGGAGAGTCTCTGTCTCAAAACAAAAAGAAAAAAAAAAGAAGAGACCAGAGAGCCTTTCTTCTCTTTGTCCACCAAGTGAAGATATGGCAAGAAGGCAGCCATCTGCAAGCTAGGAAAAGAGCCCTTGCCAGCACCCAATCATGCTATCACCCTGATATGGGACTTCCCAGCCTCCAGAACTGTGAGTAATCAATGTCTATTGTTTAAGCCACCCAGTATGTAATACTGAGCTGACTAAAACCATCACCGAACTAGCCTCTTTACATATGATTAGCAAGAGGAAAATGGCTCTGTTACTTAATAGAGGAAGGAGGCTATGTCTGAAAGCCAAAAATTCACTGGGGACACATCTTAGCAGGCTCTTGACCCTAAGACCTGGTTAATGGAAAAGTAGAGCAACCCAATAAAAACAAGACCACCAAGAAGTCAGGTCTTATGGAATAAAGTATTGAGTGTCCCTATGAGGCACAGAACCCTTCGAAAGGGGATTGGAAGAAGTGGTGAAGAAGGCGGCTATGATTATCAACTTAGACTTCATGGCCATTTGTAGAAGGAGGCTTCTAACAGCTATGTTTTATGTTAATTGGCTCTTTTCTCTTCTTTTTTCTTTCAACCTTATATTAAGAGCACTGGCAGAAGCTAGCGGTTTTGGCATCCTGTAATTATTAGTTGTATAACCTTGGCCAAGTAACTCAACCTTTCTGTGCCTCAGTTACTCATCTGTAAAACAGGGTAATAAGTCTCAACCTCGTACTTATGTTGTTATAAAGATTTAACACTAGGCTGGGCATGGTGGCTCACACCTGTAATCCCAGCACTTTGGGAAGCCGAGGAGGGTGGATCACCTGAGGTCAGGAGTTCAAGACCAGACTGGCCAACATGGCAAAACCCTGTCTCTACTAAAAATACAAAAAATTAGCTGGGTGTGGTGGCACGTGATTGTAATCCCAGTTACTCGGGAGGCTGAGGCAGGAGAATTGCTTGAACTAAACCTGGGAGGCGGAGGTTGCAGTGAGCCGAGATCATGCCACTGCACTCTAGCCCAGGCAACAGAGTTAGACTCTGTCTCAAAAAAAAAAAAAAAAAAAAATTAACACTTTGAACAAAAAAGAAAAAAATATTAAAATTTAAAAAAGATTTAACAATTGGGCCAGGCATAGTGGCTCATGCCTGTAATACCAGCACTTTGGGAGCCTGAAGAGGGAGGATTACTTGAACCCAGGAGTTCCAGACCAGCCTGGACAACAAAGCAAGACTTTGTTTCTACTTAAAAAAAAAAAAAACACCAAAGTCAGGTGTGGTGGTACACACCTGTGATCCCAGCTACTTGGGAGGCTGAGATGGGAGGATCCCTTGAGCCTTGGAGGTTGAGGCTGCAATGAGCCATGATCATACCACTGCACTCCAGCCTAGGTGACAGAGTGAGGCCCATGTCAAAAAAAAAAAATGATCCCCAACATTTAGCAGCTTAAAACAAAAAACATTTATTATATCACACTTTCTGTGGGCCAGGAATCTGGAAGGGACTTAGCTGGGTGGTTCTGCTCAGTTCTCTTGGGATGTTTCAGTCAAGCAGTGGCCTGGGGCTGCACTCTTATCTGAAGACTCAATTGGGAGAAAATATGCATTCAAGGTCACTCATTGGTTGTTGGCAGGCTGTAGTTCCTTACTGAATATTGGTTGAAGACTTCATTGGCTTACTACCTGGACTTCTCCATAGACTGCTTGAATGTCCTCCCCACATAGCTAGAGTGAATGACTAAAAAAGAGAGAGAACACACACAGCCCAGGTAAGAGTTCAGTCTTTCTAAGTCATTATATGAAAGAGATTCTTTTTTTTTTTTTTTTTTTTTGAGGTGGAGTCTCGCTCTGTCGCCAGGCTGGAGTGCAGCAGCACGATCCCAGCTCACTGCAACCTCTGCTTCCTGGGTTCAAGTGATTCTCCTGCCTCAGCCTCCCAAGTAGCTGGGATTACAGGCGTGTGCCACTATGCCCAGCTACTTTCTGTACTTTTAATAGAGATGGGGTTTTACCATGTTGGCCAGGATGGTCTTGATCTCTTGCCCTTGTGATCCGCCTGCCTTGGCCTCCCAAAGTGCTGGGATTACAGGCGTGAGCCACCGCGCCTGGCCGAAAAAGATTCTTGCACACACGTTTATAGTAGCACTATTCACAATTGTAAAAATGTGGAACCAGTCCAAATGCCCATCAATCAATGAGTGGCTAAAGAAACTGTGGTATAGATATACAGTGGAATACTACTCAGTCATAAAAAGGAATGAATTAATGGCATTTGCAGCAACCTGGACGGGATTGGAGACTATTATTCTTGTTTTTTTTTTTTTTTTTGAGATAGAGTCTCACTCGGTCACCCAGGCTGGAGTGCAGTGGCATGATCTTGGCTCACTGCAAGCTCTGCCTCCTGGGTTCACACCATTCTCCTGCCTCAGCCTCCCAAGTAGCTGAGACTACAGGCGCCTGCCACCATGCCCGGCTAATTTTTTTTTTGTATTTTTAGTAGAGACCGGGTTTCACCATGTTAGCCTGGATGGTCTCGATCTCCTGACCTCGTGATCCGCCCACCTCAGCCTCCCAAAGTGCTGGGATTACAGGCATGAGCCACCGCACCCGGGCCTATTTTTTTTTTTTTTTTTTTTTTTTTTACTAACCAGGGGTTTAACATAAATACAACCAGCATAGAAAGACCCAAAACTATACAGAAACCAAAACCAGAATGCCATGTGGTGGAGGCAAAGGGCAGAATTTCTGACCCCTTTGGCTCAGCTGCCCTTCCCCACAAATAAAAACCAAGAGGACAAATCAGGACAATAAAGAAGATTCATGCTAAGCTGTGGCAGAGGGGGGAAGGTATGATCGGGTGGCGGTGGGACAAGGAATGGCCATGGAAGATAACTGGGTCAGGTTGGACCCTGGGCTGGGAGGGGGAGGGCAAGGCCCCTCACCACAACTTAAGCCAAACCTAAGCTGCCCCCAGGTGCCATAGGTCCCTGTCCCAGCAGGGAGGCTGATGGGCCTGGGCCCATGCCCCTCCCCACCTTTGGGGGTCAGATAGTGGCCACCCAGGTTTGCTGGGTTGGGGCCTGACACAGGCTCTGCATGCCCATTCGGGCTGCCTGTGGAGAGAGAATGGAGTCACTGTTTAACCATGCTACCTGCCTCAGCCCCAGCAGACCACAGGAGGTTGGCCCCAGACTTACTGAGTGCCTGCAGCAGCCGTACAGACACAGCATCCTTGGCCACCTCATGCCCATCCCGGCCATCTAGGGTCAGCACAACCCAGATGAGGCCGCTGAAGGGCACCGGATGCCCAGGAATCACCACCTGGTACCAGAAGCGGTGCCAGCCAGCAGGTCCTATGCCCAAACACTTGGTGAGGAACACAGGGCTGCCCAGCTTCATTCGTTGGCACAGCAACTGCAGGGTAGCCCGAGCCCCTTGGGACCCTAACTTGTCCCTTGCCAAGGCCAACTGGCTGCCCTCTGGCTGTGGGGACCGCAAGGAGGGACCCACAAGCTGCTGGCGAAGTCGCTGCTTCAGTTCTGGCTTGAGCCACTCCACAGCCACCTGCTCTCCACAGAGGTGTGGCTGCCCTTCCTCCAGGGCCTTTTTGGCCATGGCAGCGGTCCAGTGCGAGCTGAATTTGAGCACAGCGATCTGCCCGGGCGCAGGTCCGGGGCTGGGCAGCAGCCGCGCCTCCTGCAGGCCGGGACCCAGCGGCTGCAGCGCGGGCAGCAGCGCGGGCAGCAGCGCGGTGCGGGTCAGATTCGGCGGCAGGCAGTCAACGCTCAGCTCACACTTCCCGGTGCTGCGGCACACGAGCAGCGGGCAGGACGGCCGCAGCGGGTGGTTGTGCAGCGGGCGATGGCGGCCTGCGCGCCGCGCCGCGAGCTGCAGCGGGCATATGCGAAGCCGCGGTTCAGGCCGCTGAAGGTCATCATCAGGCGGAACTCGTAGAGGCGGCCCACGCGCTGGAACAGCGGGATAAGCTGGTGCTCATACACTTCCTGAGGCAGCCGCCCGATGAACACCTCTGACCCAGCCGGCGGCGGGCTGCCCACCCAGCCTGGGGGTGGCCCGCCATACTTCCTCTGCCCGTTCACCTGCACCAGGCGATGCCTGTCTGCCTGACCCACGCCTCCAGCGCCGCCTTGTTCTCTGGCTTCACCCTCTCACACCACAGCTCACAATCCCGCTTGGACTGCATGGCTCTCTATTCTCTTTTTTTTTTGAGACGTAGTTTCACTCTTGTTCTCCAGGCTGGAGTGCAATGGCGGGATCTTGGCTCACCGCAACCTCCGCCTCCCGGGTTCAAGCGATTCTCCTGCCTCAGCCTCCCAAGTAGCTGGGATTACAGGCATGCGCCACCATGCCTGGCTAATTTTGTATTTTTAGTAGAGACGGGGTTTCTCCCTGTTGGTCAGGCTGGTCTCAAACTCCCGACCTCAGGTGATCCACCCACCTCGGCCTCGCATAGTGCTGGGATTACAGGCATGAGCCACCCTGCCCCGTCTATGGAGACTATCACTCTCAGCGAAGTAACTCAGGAATGGAAAACCAAACATCGTACGTTCTCACTCATAAATGGGAGCTAAGCTAGGAGGATGCAAAGGCATAAGAATGACACAGTGGACTTTGGGGAATCAGGGGGAAAGGATGGGAAGGGGGTGAGGGATAAAAGACTATTAATTGGGTGCAGTCTATATTGCTTGGGTGATGGGTGCACAAAAATTTCACAAATCACCACTAAAGAACTTATTCACGTAACCAAACACCAGCTGTTCCCCAATATCCTATGGAAATAAAATTTTTTTTAAAAAAAAAGAGTTCGGTCTTTCTGTAACCTAATCTTGGAAGTGTATATTACTTCTTCCATAGGCTATCAGTCTCCCAGACCAACCCTGCTACAGGGTAGAGGAGACTACATGGTATGTGAATACCAGAAAGTGGGGGCCATTGGGGACTGGCTATTTGGAGGATGGTTACTACAAACTATATTTGTAATTTTTTTTTTCTTGAGATGGAGTCTTGCTCTGTTGCCCAGGCTGGAGTGCAATGGCACGATCTCAGCTCGCTGCAACATCCACCTCTTGCGTTCAAGTGATTCTCCTGCCTCAGCCTCCCGAGTAGCTGGGATTACAGGCACGCACCACCACACCCAGCTAATTTTTTGTATTTTTAGTAGAGCCGGGGTTTCTCCATGTTGGTCAGGCTGGTCTCAAACTCCTGACCTCAGGTGATCTGCCAGCCTTGGCCTCCCAGAGTGCTGGGATTACAGGCCCGAGCCATGGTGCCTGGCTATATTTGTAATATTTTAACCACTAAAAAAAAAAAAAAAAAAAGAAGAAGAAGAAAAAGAAACAAGTATGGGAAAATATTAAGATCTGATAAAACCGGGTTATACTTATGCAGGTATTCATTACATTATTCTCCATAACTTTTTAAATGTTTAATAATAAAAGTAAAAATATTTTCCCCTTAAAAATGTGCAGAGCATACCTCAAATAATGTTGACAAAGAATCCTAAAGACAATTATTATTATTATTATTTTTTGAGACAGGTTCTTGCTCTGTTGCCCAGGCTGGAGTGCAGTGATGCCACCTGAGCTCACTGTAAACTCCGTCTCCTGAGTTTAAGCAATTCTCCTGTCTCAGCCTCCTGAGCAGCTGGGACTACAGGCGAGCACCATCATGCCTGGTTAATTTTTATATTTTCAGTAGAGACGGGGTTTCATCATATTGCACAGGCTGGTCTTGAACTCCTGGCCTCAAGTGATCCACCCACCTTGGCCTCCCAAAGTGCTAGCATTACAGGCATGAGCCACTGCACCGGGCCTCTCAAACTCCTGACCTCAGGTGATCCACCTGCCTTGGCCTCCCAAAGTCCTGGCATTATAGGCGTGAGCCACTGCGCCCGGCCGATCTTCCTTCCTTTCTCCCTTCCCCTCTTCTTCTTCTTCTTCTTCTTCTTTTTTAATTAATAGAGATGGGATTTTGCCATGTTGCTTAGGCTGGTTTCAAACTCCTGGGCTCAAGCTATCTGCTCGCTTCAGCTTCCCAAAGTCCTGGGATTAAGGGCGTGAGCCACTGCGCCTGGCCCCAGTAAGGATTAAAAGCTCAGGAATTATTAGTCAGCTTCCTTTTTTGTTCATCCTGTTGTTTGTTCATTTCAGTCTATTCCCTTTATATAATTTCCTTCTTCATAAGGACTATTTCTCCTTGTACTTTTGTGAGAATTCCCGTAACTTGTAATCCCAGCTACTTGGGAGGCTGAGGCAGGAGAATCACTTGAACCGGGAGGCGGAGGTTGCGGTGAGCCGAGATCAAGCCATTGCACTCCAGCCTGGGCAACAAGAGCAAAACTCGGTCTCGGAAAAAAAAAAAAGAAAAGAAAAGAAAAAAGAAAGGAAGGAAGATCCTCATTGGACAGAGCAAAAAGCAGAATTGATGGCACTGAAAATGAAATCAGCGGCTGATGTACAAGTTCCAGAATGTCTCCTAGAGTAACAAGGAAATCCGGGTGTGGTAGTTTATGCCTGTCATCCCAGCACTTTGTGAGGCCAAGGAGGTTAGTTAGCTTGAGCCCAGGAGTTGGAGACCAGCCTGGCCAACATGGTGAAACCCCATCTCTACAGAAAATATAAAAGTTAGCTGGGTTTGGTGGTGGGTACCTGTAGTCCCAGCTACTCTGGAGGCGAAGGAGGGAGGATCACCTGAGTCCCGGGAGGTCAAGGCCACAGTGCGCCTTGATAGAGTTTTGCCACTGCACTCCAGCCTAAGCAACAGTGAGACCCTGTCTCAATAAACAAACAAACAAACAAATAAATAATTGTAGAGACAGAAGATAAAATGGAGCCCGGTGCAGTGGCTCACGCCTGTAATCCCAGAACTTTGGGAGGCTGAGGTGGGCAGATTACTTGGCCCAGGAGTTTGAGACCAGTCTGCCCAACATGGTGAAACCCCGTCTCTACTAAAAATACAAAAATTAGCCAGGCATGGTGGTGTGTGCCTATAATCCCAGCTACTTGAGAGGCTGAGACAGGAGAATCGATTGAACCCAGGAGGTGGAGGTTGCAGTGAGCTGAGATCATACCACTGCACACTCCAGCCTGGGTGACAAAGCCAGACTCTGTCTCAAAAAAAAAAAAAAAAAAAAAGGCCGAGCACGGTGGCTCATGCCTGTAATCCCAGCACTTTGAGAGGCTGAGCCGGGCAGATCACCTAAGGTCGGGAGTTTGAGACCAGCCTGACCAACATGGAGAAACCCCGTCTCTGCCAAAAATACAGTATTAGCAGGTCGTGGTGACACATGCCTGTAATCCCAGCTACCTGGGAGGCTGAGGCAGGAGAATCGCTTGAACCTGGGAGGTGGAGGTTGCAGTGAGCCGAGATTGTGCCACTGCACTCCAGACTGGGCAACAAGAGTGAGACTCTGTCTCAAAAAAAAAAAAAAAAAGAGAGAGAGAGAGACAGGGTTTCACCAGGTTGGCCAGGCTGGTCTTGGACTCCTGACCTCAAGTGATCTGCCCGCCTCAGCCTCCCAAAGTGCTGGGATTACTGGTGTGGGCCACTGCATCTGGCTCCCACCATCTCTATTAAAATAAGATAAAATAAACATAAAATAATGAACCGACAAAATAATAATACAATTCATTGTAAGTAAAATGCTATCCTGAGTTCTGTGAGTCATTCTGGATAATTCAAATTCTCTAGAATTACCACCTCAGCTGACTTTTTTTTTTTTTTTTTGTAGAGACCAGGCTGGTCTTGAATTCTTGAGCTCAAGTGATCCGCTTCCCTCAGTCTCCCAAAGTGCTGGAATTACTTGTGTGAGCCACTGAGCCTGGCCTACAAATTCTTTATTATACAACACACAGTAGATGCTCAATAAATATTTGCTAAGCAGAAACATACACTCAAAATACCAGAAATTATCAAGGAAGTTGCCAGTTGGTCTCTTGGGTTCTTCCTCCCGACAGGTATACACACCTATTGTAAAGATGAACACATTAGGCTGTGAGAAACCAATACTGTTAAACATTCCAATCAGGTGACAAACTCCCTGGGCTCTGGTTTATATTACCAAGCACCCTGATGATAACTTGGCTTCCTGTGTGGCTTGTTTATAGAAAGAGAATGCTACCCAGGCTGACATGAGTTGCATTTCTGAGTTGATTTCTCACTGTAAATTAATAAACTGGCATTCTGGCTACATAGATCAGTCTCTTTGAACTCTTTGTACCTTCCACCATTAGTGTGATTTCTAAGGCTGCAAGCCAGACACTGCCCAAGACCCAGCACTGGACTCTGGTGAGTTCTTCCAGCTGTTGCCACCCCAGGAGCCTCTGGGAGCCCCTGGGAACCATCCAGCTTGCTCTCTGTCTCTACATTTCAGGGTGTGGGTTTCAGGGCATTCACAACATTCCTGCAACAGAAGAGTTTTGGGAACACCCCCAGCAGGATGTGGGTGATTTGAATGTATGTCAGAGATGTGGTTGTAACTGAGAAATCTTAAGCCTAGTGAATTTTATTCCACTTGACTTAAAGAAAGAGCACGTGAAAGAAGGGGACCTGAGGACATCTATGAACAGGGCCCCGAGGGCATGAACTTACTAGTGTTTATATGACTAGTGTTTATCTGGGCCTGTCTAGTCTGGAGAACCTGACTCTGGTGTACCCAAGCTTTGCAGTGGCTGTAGAGGTTGCTCTTTTGGAGGGAGAAGATAATTCATTCCTCCAACACCTGAATGAGGGTAGATTAACCCACCTCCTTCAGCTGCAATTTGGCAAATTTCTCTTCTTTGATTTAATGCTCAACGGACAAATTTCCTTTCTTCTTCTTCTTCTTCCTCTTCTTCTTTTTTTCTCCTCTTCTTCTTCTTCTTCTCCTCCTTCTCCTTCTTCTCCTTCTTCTTCTTTTCTCTTCCTTCTCCTCCTCCTTCCTCCTCCTCCTCTTCCTACTCTTCTTCCTCTTCCTCTCCTCCTCCTCTACCTCCTCCTCTTCCTTCTTCTTCTTCTTTCTTTTTTTTTCGGTTTTGAGACAGGGTCTCCGTCACCCAGGCTGGAGTGCAGTGGCACGATCTCGGCTCACTGCAACCTCCACCTCCTAGGCTCAAGCGATCCTCCCACCTCAGCTTCCCATGTGGCTGGGACCACAGGCGTGAGTTACCATGCCTGGCTAATTTTTGTATTTTTTGTAGAGACAGGGTCTCTCCATGTTGCTCAGGCTGGTCTTGAACTCCTGAGCTCAAGAGATCCTCCTGTCTCAGGCTCCCAAAGTCCTGGGATTACAAGCATGAGCCACCATGCCCGGCCTCAACAGGCAACCTTCTGATTAATAATTAGACCTCTGTGCCGGCCGTCATGGCTGATGCCTGTAATTCCAGCACTTTGGAAGGCCAAGGCGGGTGGATGGCTTGAGGTCGGGCGTTTGAGACCAGCCTGGCCAACACGATGAAACCCGGTCTCTGCTAAAAATACAAAAATTAGCCTGGCATGGTGGCGTATGCCTGTAATCCCAGCTACTTGGGAGGCTGAGGCACAAGAATCGCTTGAACCCGGGAGGCAGAGGTTACAGTGAGCTGTCATATATAATGAAACAGTTTTACTAAACTTAGGAAGCAGTGACTTGGTGTCTCTAGAAATTGCCTAACATACACATTCCAGGATACATTCTCTGTCATCTGGAATCTCCTCCCTTCCACAAACCCACGCTGTCTTAAGCACTATTTTCCTATTTGTTGTTGACCTAATCTAGAAAAAAGCGGCCATCACTCTTTCTCCCCCACTCAGTCCCTCAGTCCCGAAACACCCTTATTCTCCGCACTTGTCACCCCACCCTCTGCTGCCCCCACCGCAGCGCGCAAACGCACACGAGTTTAAAGTTTAGGTTGTGATGCTATCCTCGCCCGCAGATCACAGGACAGACATTCTCGGGGACAACTTTACGAGGCCATGTGCTCGTCCCCCTTAGGAAGGAAGAGGGAGAAATCCCTGCGGCTCGGTTTTGTTCCAATGGTCTGCTCAGCGAGTGATTCCCGTTTCCCCAAAGGCTGCCCCTCATTAGCATGAACGGGGACGCGGGTGTGGAGAAGGGGTTAGGGGAGAGAAAGCAAGCAAAAGCCCAGGCTCACTTTTAGAGCCTGGGAACCCTGTCTGCAAAAATGACAGCTAGAGCTTTCTGGCTCCTCTGTTTAATCGTCGGATCATCCCCCGAAGCTCCGGTGGAGAGAAAAAGTAAGATCGGTGTAGTGCGGAGCCCTGGGAGCCGAGCGGGGATCTGGGGAGGGGGCGCCCAGGCCTCAGCCGCCGGCCGACAACCGGGCCACCTTCCGTGAGGCCGCACACGCGCCCACAGGCCCGCGCCTGGCGCAAGCCGAGAACCGCGCGTCGCCGCGCGGCGGGCCCGCGACGGAGGAAGCCCCGAGACGCGCGCGCTCACGGGCCCTACGCTTCCCCGCCGCCGGGCCGCTCGCGCGCGCCGCCGAGAGCCCCGCCGGCCCTGCCCACCCCAACCGGCCGCGCGCCGTTGTGCCGGCCCCCGGCTCATCGCCCGCGCCGCCGCCGCGCCTCAGCTTCAGCTTCGGCCTCAGTCAGCCGCGCAGGGACGCGGAGCCCGGCGCCGAGCCCTGCTCTTGCGCTTGCCGGGCGGGCATGGACGGGCGAGAGGCGTTCTGCAAGCGCGAAATCGGTGAGCCCGGCCACCGCGCCGCCGCCCCGCGAGCCTTTCCGAGTCCCGGAGAATCCTGCACGCGAGATCCCAGGGCGCCCGACCCATGCGGGCCGTTTCGCTGTTGCTAAAAACCAACGCCCAGGGACTGGGAGAGGAACTGGGGTTCCCAAACTGTTTTTTGGAAGCAGCGATGAACGGGATAGTGCATGACGTGGACGTGCTGGGCGCGGGCATCTGGCTGGTGACCCTGCTGGTGGATCGGGACGGGCTGTACAAGATGAACCGCCTGTACCTCACTCACCCCCGACGGCTTCTTCTTCCGAGTCCACATGTTAGTCCTGGACTCCTCCAGCTGCAATAAACCGTGTCCAGAGTTTAAACCTGGTATTGAAACTGAGCTGAATGACGCTGCATATGTACTTTATACCACCGTTTGTAACGTGGGTGCCACAGCCCGGGCTGTGGGTCGTCCAGTCTTTTTTTGGGAGGGATGGGGGACAGTATTGTAACATGATTAGGATTTAGACGACAGGTATTATTTCCGCCACTCTGTGATTTAAGCACCGTCAGCCCCACCCCCATGGGTGAGAACGGCAGCTGTTGGCACAAAGCGGGCTGTCAATAAATAGATGTTGACAAATGGAGTGAGCGACCACCAAACACCATTGCCAGAAGGGACTGTACAGAACTGAGTTTAGAAAAGCTGCTTTTTGGGGGGAGTGTGTGGAGGGTTGGTAGCGGGGAATACCCAGTCCCACATCTTTTTTTTTTTTTTTTTTTTTTTTTTTTTTTTTTTTTTTTTTTAGACAGAGTCTCGCTCTGTTGCCCAGGCTGGAGTGCAATGGCGCCATCTCAGCTCACTGCAACCTCCGTCCCCCAGGTTCAAGCCATTCTCCTGCCCTCAGCCTCCCAAGTAGCTGGGATTACAGGCTGAGCCACTGCGCCCGGCCCCGCTCCCACATCTTTCTAGGCATGTGCTCTGGGAAATCCTGATACAATGTGATAAGGACCTTTGTTCTGTAATGTGGGCTGGTTACATATTGCTTTCCCTTCCCCACACCCCGTGCTACTTTTTGTATTTTTAGTACAGATGGGGTTTCACCATGTTGGCTAGGCTGATCTCAAACTCCTGACCTCAAGTAATCTGCCCGCCTCGGCCTCCCAAAGTGCTGGGATTAAAGGCGTGGGCCACTGCACTGGCCTGGTTGGGTTGGTTATCTTCTAAAGGTCGCTAGACTGTTTCCACCTTGCCTGTAGACTAAATATCAGTTTCAACTTGTGCAGCAAGATAGTAGATTGCAGCTTAGGTATTTCTTAAAGGCCTTATATTTTCTGTTTCATGGCATTTAAAAGACGCTATGAATTAATGTTCTGGTTATTTTGTCCAGGCAGCAGGTATATTGTGATGGGCCACATCTACCATAAGAGAGGGCAGCTTCCTACAGCTCTGCTCCAGGTCCTGAGAGGCCATCTCTGTCCAGGGGATGGACTGCTGAGGAGCAGCAGCAGCTATGTGAAAAGGTTTAACCCAAAAAGGGAAGGGCAAATTCAAGGTGCGATTCATACCCAATGCATTTGAAACAACCATCCTGGCATTTCTGGATCACAAGAGACATCGGCAACAAGACATGAAAGGTCTATCTTCATGTAATGGGTCCTCCTTTAGAAGAGAGCCCAAAGCTACTCTATGAATGACCTGCATAGTTACAACTGTAATCTCGAAGGTGTCACTTTGTTATTTACAAGATGCTTCTTAAATGGGCTGCTCCTGAGCTCAGTGTCAAGGTGATTCAACTGTTGTGCCAGACAGTGATTTACACAGCTCAGATAACTGACCTGTCTAGTTAACAGATCACTGCTTCATGTTTTTAAATATTTTAATTTAATACATTCTTTAGTAGAAATAGTCCAGAAAACATTTTCCTGAATTTAAATACACAACTTTTATATCATGTATCAAACCTGATTTTATATTCAAACCTGATTTATATTCAAAACTTATATGTGAAGATTAAATTCTTCACATAACAGTAAGCGCACTAGTCAAAAGACATTTACCTATGAAACGTCATTTAGATCAAACACAAGGGTCAAAGCCCAGGACAAGGATTAAAATTTTACACTTAAAAAGTACCAAGCCGGGCGCGGTGGCTCACACCTGTAATCCCAGCACTTTGAGAGGCCGAGGTGGGCGGATCACCTGAGGTCCGGAGTTCGAGACCAGGCTGACCAACATGGATAAACCCTGTCTCTACTAAAAATACAAAAATTAGCCGGGTGTGGTGGCACATGCCTGTAATCCCAGCTGAGGGAGGCTGAGGCAGGAGAATCACTTGAACCCAGGAGGCAGAGGTTGTGGTGAGCCGAGATCGCGCCAGCCTGGGCAACAAGAGCAAAACTCCGTCTCAAAAACAAACAAAGTGTACAAAAGGGCCAGTGTGCGGATGGGTGGATTAAAAAAATAAATTTAAAAAAAGTGCCAAAGGGCTTACTTCAGGCAAAAGTGTTCCTGATGTACCAAAGAGTAAGATATAGTTTATTTTCATGCCTCCCTGCTCCTAATAATGTATGTTTTGTGCTGAACTGGCAGCTATCCCAATGTGAACTGTATTCTGAGTGTATCTGATATCATTTTTCTATTAAGACCAAGTATAATGTTTGCTTGTAAAGCAATAAATCTTGCCTTGAAATTAGACCTTGGATGCACCTGTTTATTTTTGTTTTGTTTTGTTTTAGACTTTGAGCCCTAAAGGTTTGAGAAAAAGCCTTTCTCAAATTCATTCCCCAAACCTTGGAACCAATATTAACCAATGACAGCTCACAAGCAAGTGAATTCTAAACATTTTTCAGTTGGTTTTAAAAAGGTTTAATCACTAGCTAAATTAAATATTGATTTTATACCTGAGTCCACAAAGACATGAGAGTATTTTTTCAGAAGATAAGGCTGTACTTCAGTTTATAAGAAGTACGGTGAACAGAGACACCACTAATGCATAGATGAAGATGACTGCCTAAAGAGAGACAGGGGAAGGAATTTCACTGGAGAGAGAGCAGCCTATTTGGCCTCACGGTGATGCACTCAGGAAGGTCAGAATGTGTCCTGACGCTGTCCATGGCACCCAGTAGTAGCACTGTACACATAAAGGACATCCAGGATGGGACGCTAGGGAATCACAGGAGCCAAGAGGCAACAGCCTAACATTACAATACCTGATACTATTATTTGTTCCAATTATGGGGCAGACAGGTAATAAAGAGTTGAGAGGTTCTGAGTGTTCTATGGTAAAGCACTACTGAGAGATTTCTAGAGTATTTTCCAAAAATGAGTTTTGTCCAAATTTATTATAAATTTTACTAGAATTGCTTTTTGGGAGTCAGATGCATTATTGCATGATAGAATTATAGCTAATGAAGAGCTTCTGAGCTAGTTTTCTTTAAGATAAAAAAAATTAACTCAGGCCAGTCAAATCAAAGTTGAATTTTTAAATGTCAAAAGGCTAGGCCGGGAGCTGTGACTCACACCTGTAATCCCAGCACTTTGGGAGACCAAGGCGGGTGGATCACAAGGTCAGGAGTTTGAGACCAGCCTGGCCAACATAGCGAAACTCTGTCTCTACTAAAAATACAAAAATTAGCTGGGCATGGTGGTGCATGCCTGTAATCCCAGCTATTGGGGGGCAGGAGGATCGCTTGAACCTAGTAGGCAGAGGTTGCAGTGAGCCGAGATCGTGCCACTGCCCTCCAGCCTGGGCAACAGAGCGAGACTCTGTCTCAAACAACAACAAAAAGTATATCTATATGGCTAATTTCTTTAGTTGAATTTGGTTCAAATTAGATCAAGTGGTATAATCTTCTAAGAAAAGTCTTTTAGTATCTCGCTCCAAGTATCTAGAAATACCTTAGAATGTTTCAAATTATTAAAAATACTTCTCGGTTGGCTCTTCCCTCCACCTCCTCAAGTACTTCATTATTTTATCCATGGAATATCCCCATTCTCACATTAAGGGCAAGAAATCTGAGACCTATGGTAATAGTTTCTTTTTTTCTTTTCTTTTTTTTTTTTTTTGAGAAGGAGTTTCGCTCTTGTTGCCTAGGCTGGAGTGTAATGGCGTGATGTCAGCTCACCGCAACCTCTCCCTCCTGGGTTCAAGTGATTCTCCTGCTCTAGCCTCCCAAGTAGCTGGGATTACAGGCATGCGCCACTTTACCTAGCTAATTTTTTTTTTTTTTTTTTTGTATTTTTAGTAGAGATGGGGTTTCTCCATGTTTGTCAGGCTGGTTTCAAACTCCCAACCTCAGGTGATCCACCTGCCTTGGCCTCCCAAAGTGCTGGGATTATACGTGTGAGCCACCACGCCCAGCCGTATCATGATAGTTTCAATCAGGAAGAGTGAAAGCTGTAATAACCATGTAACTTTGTCTAACTAAGTGTGCAGAGATCTGAAAGGCCACCAGGTTGGCTCTTTAACATAAAGAAGTAGAGAGTTTGCCTAAAGGAATTAGCAGAAATAGGGAAATAACTTTTATTTGCAGATCCCAGGAAGGTAGATTACGATTACAAACAACAGCAAATCTTAGTGTCTCTAAATAACACTCTAGGCCATTTGGAATATAAAAAGGTAATTATTTTACTTCAGAAAATATCTCCAAAAGTTCACTTTTTTTTTGAGACAGAGTCTTGCTGTGTCGCTCAGGCTGGAGTGCAGTGGCACAATCTCAGCTCACTACAACCTCTGCCTCCCCAGTTCAAGCCATTCTCCCACCTCAGCCTCCTGAGTAGCTGGGACTACAGGTGTGTGCCACTTGTCCAGGTAAATTGTTGTATTTTTAGTAGAAACAGGGTTTCACCATGTTGGTCAGGCAGGTCTCTAACTCCTGACCTTGTGATCTGCCAGCTTCAGCCTCCCAGAGTGCTGGGATTATAGGCGTGAGCCACCATGCCCAGCCACAATTTTATTTAAACCTCCTGTAGAATTTGGATAGGAGAATAAAAGCTTTACCAATAGGAAAATACTTTTCATGAAATGGTTTCAAGGATTGTGAACTTGGCAGGTGAAGCATAACAGTTATTGAAAATACTTTTAGCCAAGGAAATCTACTGATGCAAATTAAATATATTTACAAGCCCAAGGCCTGTGGTAGAAACATCCTAAGAGTATCACAAATGTACAGTTTACTGCCTGGATTATTGAAAGCAAAATAGCTGTGTTATATAGATCTTAATAGCAGAAGCTTTCAAAGATTACTCACAGAAAAGCAGCTTTCAGAACTCATTATGTTCTAAAAAATGTATGTTTTTCTTTCTTTTTTATTTTTTTTGAGATGAAGTCTCACTCTTGTCCCCCAGGCTGGAGTGCAATGGCGTGATCACGGCTCACTGCAACCTCCACCTCCCAGGTTCAAGTGATTCTCCTGCCTCAGCCTCCCTAGTAGCTGGGATTTCAGGTGCCTGCCACCATGCCTGGCTAATTTTTGTACTTTTAGTAGAGATGGGGTTTCACCATGTTGGCCAGGTTGGTCTCAAATTCCTGACCTCAGGTGATCCCCCCTGCCTCGGCCTCCCAAAGTGCTGGGGTTACAGGCGTGGGCCACCACACCTGGCCAGGAATGTATGTTTTTCAAAAATTACTTTTGAAAGACTAAAGCCCTATAGTTGATAAAACTATAAAATGTCTTTATGTATTTGTATGGTGATAGAAACTGTAAAACACTTTATACCATTAAATACACATGAAATTAATATCTTCCTGGTCTCAGGATTTCCATAAAATTTACCCTTTTTAATTTGGCAATGCTAACAGCTACAGAAGACATGTTACCACCAACCAACCGTTGCTTCATTAGAAACTGCACCAAATCCAATGTCAAAAACATTACTTTATTTTTCTAGTATGAAATGTCCTATTACATACAAAACAATTGCTGTTTAGAATTTGCCACAATTTGTTGAAAACATAGCAATCTATTGCCTACAGGTAGGAAAGTTCTTGCTGCAACAAATTTTAAATGATTAAGCCCATATATATTTCTATATATATGAATAAATAGTGCAGAAATACTGTGACGTGATGAGATGCAGAATAATTTTATAATTCATTAAAATGTAGAATTCTTGCATCAGCACAGTGCATACAATATGTAACTTTTTTTAAAAAGTAAAAGGACAAAATAATCCATATTTAAGTATTTCCATCTTAATATTTTAAGCAAAAATGTTTTCATGTTTTCATATTGAGTGATTAGTCTCTTTAGTTTGTAAACATAGGTTTAAGTGACATCTTCATGTACAAAAAGGAATGGGCTTCATTAGATAAAATTAAGCCAGAATAACCTGTACACCTGAGCCTGTAATAAGAAAGAATTGGGAACTGTAGCAACATCTTTCTTTTAAGAAACCAAGGTCTGGGAAAGGTTTTGCATAGCAGGGAAACGTTGAAAGGCAGGAAACTTTTAAAAGCAATAATTAGATAAATTCCAGAAGTTGATAGGACAAAGCTAATATGAGTTAGAATAAAATCTAGTAGAATTTTTGCAAAGCTGCATAATCCAGCTATGGCAGATTTTATAGAAGCTATTACCACAATGCAGTAATACAATGTGTAAGAACACTGAAAGGAAGAACATGCAAAATACATCTTCCTCATTTTCTTCCTACTGCTTACACTACTTTTCCTTACATGGAAGAAACAAACAAACCAACAAGCAAAAAACAAACCCAATCAACAAATAACACAGAGGATGAGATCATCTAACAAAAAATGTCCTTCATACAATATAAGTAGCTGTCTGTAATTGGTAATTTGCCCGGTATCACAGAATATACAGATGAAGGCAATGTGTATCTTGTCGCATTACCTTTTTCGTTAGTATGATCAACTGATGCGACAGGATTAGCACCCCTGAAGATTTTTCTCTGACGTGATGACAATTGACTGGGAATGATAAAACGAGGGGCCACTGCTGTCCAGGAGAATTCCAGGTACAATTAGATTCTTTTGCCTTTCATGACCTTGCAGCCCTCCCTCCCCACAGAGGCTTACAGATAATCATTAGCGCACATTCAAAGACACCTCTGTCTGTGGGAGAAAAACTATCTCCATTTATTTTGTTTCACATACATCTATAGTTGAATTTTAATACAAAAAGAAAAATTAGAATCTGACAAATGTTTACAAAGAAGATACCTTCAAATAGATTTTACTCATTTTAACCTGGTGTGGAGTAATTGACAAATTGTACTGTTATATTCAAGTCACCAGAGTCTATAGTCCAGGACCACTTAGCCCAACCTTTATGCAAGCTTGATTTTAATCTACCATGAACAATAAACTCATTGTTGATTCGCAGTTGTGTGTGTGTGCACATGTGTACATAGCAGCTCCTTTCATAGAAAGAAAAGACATCTAGAGGTTGTCTTGTACTTTTACGTACAGGAATCATTGATAAGATAGGGATGGATTATATGTAACCGTGGCTGGATTTTATAAGAAAAAATAATTAGTTGACAAATGAGGGCAGCAATAAAAAAGCATCTTTTTTGCAACAATAAATAAATACAGTCAAAAGTTTTCTTTGAGACTCTAAACCAGCTTCTTCACTGAAGAGCAGACGTGGCATTTCCATGGAGTTATACTTGACCCCACAGTATCATTTTTTCTTGCTTTCTTTTTCTTTTTTTTTTAATAAACAAAATTTTCTCGCTTCTGCCACAATAATAAAACCATTTGATCTTGACAAGATAATGGTGTCGTTGACTTTTCTTTTTTCTTTTTCTTTTCTTCCTTTTTTTGTTTTTGAAACGGAGTTTTGTTCTTGTCACCCAGGCTGGAGTGCAATGGCTCAATCTCGGCTCAATACAACCTCTGCCTCCCAGGTTCCAGTGATTCTCCTGCCTCAGCCTCCCAAGTAGCTGGGATTACAGGCATAGGCCACCATGCACAGCTAATTTTGTATTTTGGTAGAGACGGGGTTTCTCCATATTGGTCAGGCTGGTCTCGAACTCCCGACCTCAGATGATCTGCCCGCCTTGGCCTCCCAAAGTGCTGGGATTACAGGCGTGAGCCACCGCACCTGGCAACTTTGCTTTTTTCTTGTCCATTGGACAAAATTGGCCAATAATATAATTGGACTGTTATGACCGATAAAAACAAAGTTAGATCAAGTCTTGTCAGGATAGCCTCACTAAAAAGATCTGGCTCCTTAATTTAAAATAGTTCAGGCAACAAGATTCTTGCTGTGTTTTATGTTAGGTTAACATGCTGAACTTTAGGAAGCTGTAGACTGCAGTTTGTTGTTGTGAGACCTACAGAGTATAGAAAAAGGGAACAATTGAGCACCTTTCATTTTTGAAAATGATGCTTTATGCGGATGCCAAAGTAAATAAATCTGGGAGAAGCAGCCATGTTCTTTCATTCACCCTTGGCAAGCGAATAGAAAAGAACGATTAAGAAATTTTTAACCTATAATAATAAAACTTTTCACTGTACACTAAGCATAATAGCTCACTGGAAAAAGCCAATATTTAAAATATGTATGTATATATATTTGTCTAATAAAGATTACAACATTTTCAGGCAACTGGACAAATAGAGACATTTACAGAAGCATTACCATTGTGGTGAAAGGTGCGTGTGTGTGTGTATGTGTGTGTTTATTTACACGGATGAGGGGAATATAAAGGGAAAAATTATGCTAAAACAAAAGAAAAAGCAATTTTAAAATCATATTTTTCTATTAAAGGCCAGAAAGTCTCCCAGTTTCACACAGTTTTATTCACAATTTTTTTTTTTTTTTGAGACGAAGTCTCGCTTTTGTCCCCAGGCTGTAGTGCAAAGGCGCGATCTTGGCTCACTGCAACCTCTGCCTCCCAGATTCAAGCGATTCTCCTGCCTCAGCCTCCCGAGTAGCTGGGATTACAGTGGCCTGCCACCATGCCCGGCTAATTTTTGTACTTTTTGTAGAGACGAGGTTTCACCATGTTGGCCAGGCTGGTCGCAAACTCCTGACCTCAGGTGATCCGCCCGCCTCGGCCTCCCAAAGTGCTGGGATTACAAGTGTGAGCCACCAAGGCTGGCCTCACAACTTTTGTCAGTAAACCAAATTACTGTACAGTTACCAGGACTAAGTCAAAGGACTTTATATTGCAATAGCAGATAAATTTATATTGCAATAGCAGATAAATACAGTATTCCAATAGTTTACAATTTTTAAACACATTGTTTCACGTGGCTGCTAGAATAAATTTTTGACCACTATACATCGTTAACATTAAAAAATTATATTAGCTAACCTGACTTTTTGGGGGGCAATTTTGGATTACGTAATCACAAGGTACAATAAAACAGTGACCCCAACATCCAGTTCTGATTCCAGTTAAAAATTTAGACTAAAGATATCACAATCCATAAGAAAAGAAAGAATATGGATGGTATAAATGATGAATTATAACAAAGTGCAGTAATGAAAACAATGTGCAAACAATGCTGGAGATCATAAATTACAATGGGAAAATATGGCAAAGGAAATTCTGGAAACCCATAATAAAATCAAGTTTCAATAACTGGCTAGTTATGTTTCATTCTACCTTAAATCTGGAAAGCAATAGAAATTCCCTAAAAATGCGACAGCAAGTTGTCTTTATACAATTCTTTGCATTGTAATTTTTTTCTTTTTTTCTTTTTTTTTTTTTTTTTTGATTTGTTTGTTTTGAGACAGGGTCTCACTCTGTAGCCCAGTCTGGAGTGCAGTGGCGCAATCATGGCTCACTGCAGCCTCAACCTCCAGGGCTCAGGTGATCCTCCTACCTCAGCCTCCTGGGTAGCTGGGACTACAGGCACGTGCCACCATGCTCAGCTAATTTTTTGTATTTTTTGTAGAGATGGGGTTTCCCCATGTTGCCCAGGCTGGTCTCAAACTCCTGGGCTCAAGTGAGCTGCCTGCCTTGGCTTCTCAAAGTGTTGAGATCACAGGTGTGAGCCACTGCACACAGCCTAATTTGTTTATTTAAGCAGAATTGAGCAAACGTCTCCATTCAGCTCCCATGTGCTTTATTGAAAATTATGTCAACTTGAGTATATTAAAAAGCTACATAAAATAACCAGGTGGCAAGAAGACATCCTAAGTGGCCCCTACACTATGCGGGCCCAGCCTAGGTCTCCTTTGCTCCTTTACCAAATTCCCTTTGTCTTGCCACAGGCCCCAGGACCTCCAAGCAACTTCCTCTCCTTCATCAGCAGTTGCCAGCAGTCATCCTCTGGGCTCTGCCAGCAAGTTGGCAGCAGGGTAGGATTCACACCCCTTGGCTTCTACCTCACAGTTACCACCAAAGGCCTTTCCAATTTAAAAAAGCAATTTTAGAAATTGAACCAGAGGAATAACCACCATGTACAAATCAAAAAGCATAGAGGGGCTTATAATGAGAAGTCGTGCTCCTCTGTCCTACCTTAACTCCCTCTGAAATCCAGGCTCCCTATGATCAATCCCCTTGACCTTTCAGTTCTCTGGGTAGATTTCTTTTCTTTTCTTTTCTTTTCTTTCTTTCTTTCTTTCTTTTTTTTTTTTTTGAGACAGAGTCTTGCTGTTGCCCAGGTTGGAGTGCAGTGGTGGGATCTCAGCTCACTGCAACCTCCTCCTCCTGGGTTCAAATGATTTTCCTGCCTCGGCCTCCCGAGTAGCTGGGATTACAGGTGCCCGCCCTTACGCCTAGCTAATTTTTGTATTTTTAGTAGAGACAAGGTTTTACCATATTGGCCAGGCTGGTCTGGAACTCCTGACCTAACCGCCCACCTCAGCCTCCCAAAAGTGCTAGGATTACGGACATGAGCCACCATGCCCTGTCTGGGTAGATTTTTTTCTTTTGAGATGGAGTCTCGCTCTTGTCGCCCAGGCTGAAGTGTAGTGGTGTGGTCTCCACTCACTGCAACCTCCGCCTCCCACGTTCAAGTGATTCTTCTGCCTCAGCCTCCAGAGTAGCTGGGACTTACAGGCGTGCACCACCATGCCTGGCTAATTTTTGTATTATTAGTGGAGATGGGGTTTCACCATGTTGGCCAGCTGGTCTCGAACTCCTGACCTCAGATGATCCACCCGCCTTGGCCTTCCCAAGTGCTGGGATTACAGGCATAAGCCACCGTGCCCAGCCTGGGTAGCTTTCTTATACTGCTGTTTCTTGTTTTATCAACTTTCATTTAAGCCCTGTGATGGCAAATGAGAGCCAAGCTCACTTAACCATTTTCCCACCTCCGTTTTTGAGTCCAAGTCTTTTTTGTTTTGTTTTGTTTTGTTTTGTTTTATTTTGTTTTTTTTTGTTTTAAGATGGAGTCTTGCTCTGTCACCCAGGCTAGAGTGCAGTGGTGTGATCTCAGCTCACTGCAACCTCCACCTCCTGGGTTCAAGCGATTTTCCACCTCAGCCTCCTGAGTAGCTGGGATTACAGGCGCTCACCACTGCGACCGGCTAATTTTTGTATTTTTAGTAGAGATGAGGTTTCACCATCTTGGCCAGGCTGGTCTCAAACTCCTGACCTCGTGATACACCCGCCTCGGCCTCCCAAAGTGCTGAGATTACAGGTGTGGGCCACCGCACCTGGCTGAGTCCAAGTTTTATTTCCCTATAATTTAACAATTATATCATTCCATGCTTTGTCTGTAGGCTGATTCTAAAAGTTGAAAACCAATGTCATTATTTTTATTTTTATTTTTTTTGACACGGAATTTTGCTCTTGTGGCCCAGGCTGGAGTGCAATGGCATGGTTTTGGCTCACTGCAACCTCTGCCTCCTGGGTTCAAGTGATTCTCCTGCCTCAGCCTCCTGAGTAGCTGGGATTACAGGTGCCTGCCACCATGCCTAGCTAATTTTTGTATTTTTAGTACAGATGGGCTTTCACCATGTTGGTCAGGCTGGTCTCGAACTCCTGATCTCAGGTGATCCACATGCCTTGGCCTCCCAAAGTGTTGTGATTATAGGCATAAGCCACTGTTCCTGGCCCAATGTCATTATTTACATTATTACGACAATGTAAATATTTTTCTCTATACCACCTAGTCCTTTGCTAATAAGGCATTCTTTTTTTCTTTTTTTTTTTTTTTTGAGACAGAGTCTCGCTCTGTCGCCTAGGCTGGAGTGCAGTGGCACAATCTTGGCTCACTGCAACCTCCATGTCTCAGGTTTGAGCAATTCACTTGCCTCAGCCTCCCAAGTAGCAAGGATTACAGGTGCCTACCACAATGCCTGGCTAATTTTTGTATTTTTAATAGAGACGAGGTTTTGCCATGTTGTCCAGGCTGGTCTTAAACTCCCGACCTCAGGTGATCCGTCCACCTTGGCCCTCCAAAGTGCTGGGATTACAGGCATGAGCCACCGCACCTGGCCTTTTTTTTCTTTCTTTCTTTTTTTTTTTTTTTTTGAGACAGGGTCTTGTTGTGTCGTCCAGGCTGGAGTGTAGTTGCATGAACATGGCTCACTGCAGCATCTGTCTCCTGGGCTTAATCCTCCCACCTCAGCCTCTGGAGTAGCTGGGATCATGGGTGCACATCACCATGCCTGGCTAATTTTTGTATTTTGTAAAGATGGGGTTTCCTCATGTTGCCCGGGCTGGTCTAGAATTCCTGGGCTCAAGCATCCTCCTGCCTCAGCCTCTCAATGTGTTGGGATTACAGGCATGAACCACCATTCCCAGCCAACAGGCCCTCCTACACAACTTTTTGTTTTTAGTGGCGTTTCTAATTGCCTTTCATTTTTATCCCTGACATTCTTTGGCTTAATCATAGCCTTATGTTTTTCTGTCTTAAACAAATTATCTAATGCATGAGTCATTTTCTTGCCCTACTGACCCTCTGGGGAGTGCTCCATTCTCCTGCTAGGATTTGGACTGCTTACCGCACAGCCTGCTGTACAAATGTCACCTTGAGTAAGAGTAATTCTCATTGCTTTCCTGAACCTCTTGTTTTCTGAACCCAAATAAATAAAAATTTCTGGCCAGGCGTGGTGGCTCACATCTGTAATCCCAGAACTTTGGGAGGCCAGGGCAGGTGGACCACTTGCCTTGAGACCAGCTTGGCCAACATGGCAAAACCCCATCCCTACTAAAAACACAAAAATTAGCCAGGTGTGGTGGCAGGCGCCTGTAATCCCAGCTACTTGGGAGGCTGAGGCAGGAGAATCACTTGAACGCGGGAAGCGGAGGTTGCAGTGAGATGAGATTGCACCACTGCACTCCAGCCTGGGCAACAGAGTGAGACTCTGTCTCAAAAACACAAAACAACAGAAAAATTTCTAGCACAGTGCAGTGGCTCATGGCTGTAATCCCAGCACTCTGGGAGGCCAAGGTTGGCGGGAGGATCGCTTGAGCTCAGTTCAAGACTAGCTTGGGTCATATAGCAAGACCCTGTCCCTAATTAAAAAGATATATTATTAAAAAGAAAAAAATTTGTTTCCTTATTTTTGATAGCACACTTTTTTTTTTTTTTTTTTTTTTTCCTGAGCAGAGTCTCACTCTGACACCCAGGCTGGAGTGCAGTGGTGTGATCTTGGCTCATTGCAGCCTCTGCCTCCCTGTTTCAAGTGATTCTCATGCCTCAGCCTCCTGTGTGGCTGGGACTACAGGCATGTGCCACTATGCCCGCCTAATTTTTGTATTTTTAGTAGGGACGAGGTTTTGCCATGTTGACCAGGATGGTCTCGAAATGCTGACCTCAAATGTTCCATCCGTCTTTGCCTTCCAAAGTGCTAGGATTACAGGCATAAGCCATTTCGTGTCTGGCCAATAGCACACGCTTTTAAAAAATACCTGCCAAGAAAGGGTACCCTGAGTCCTTACATGACTGAAAATGTATTTATTCTGACTTTACTTGACTGTTTGGCTGCACATAGACTTCTAGGTTGAAAATCATTTTTTCTTAAACTTTTAGATTTATTCTTCCATAATCTTCTAGCACTAAATGTTGTAGCAGAAAAATCTGACACCAATCTAATTCTTGTTTTATAGATTGTCTGTTTTATCTAAAAGTTTCTTTTATTCTTAATGTTTGGAAATTTTATAGTGATGTATGTAGGAGTGAGTCTTTTTCCATTTGTCCACCTGATTTATAATGTTTATCAACTGACCCCTTGCTCCCCCCACCCCTCATAGAGTGCAGGGGCTTTAATTTATTCACTGCTAAATTCCCTGTATCTGGCACACATCAGGTTCTCAATAGTCATTTGCTGAGTGAATGAATTTATTCTGCTAGAATTTAAAGTCCTGTGACTCGCATCAGCTCAGAAAATTTTTCTTTTATTCTTGTCTTTTTTTTTTGAGACAGGGTCTCAATCTGTGATTCAGGCTGGAGAGCGGTGGTGTAATCACAGCTCACTGCAGCCTTGAACTCCTGGGCACAAGTGATCACAGCTCACTGCAGCCTTGAACTCCTGGGCACAAGTGATCTTCCTGTCATAGCCTCCTGAGTAGCTAGGACTACGGGTGCACGCCACTATGCCTGGTTAATTTTTAAAATTTTTGTAGAGACATGGTCTTGTTATGTTGGTAAGGTTGGGAATTTTTTCTTCTTCTTTTGTGAGAGTCTCACTGTCACCCAGGCTGGAGTGCAGTGGTGTGATCTTGGCACACTGCAACCTCTGCCTCCTGAGTTCAAGCAATTCTCGTGCCTCAGCCACCTGAGTAGCTGGGATTACAGGTGTGCATCACCACACCTGGCTAATTTTTGTATTTTTAGTAGAGATGGGGTTTTGCCATGTTGGCCAGGCTGGTCTCAAACTCCTGACCTCAGGTGATCCACCCGCCTCGGCCTCCCAAAGTGCTGGGATTACAGGCATGAGCCATCACGCCTAGCCTAGTTTTACAGATTTTGTAGTTTCTTGTTTTTGGTCTATAACCTGCTGCCTACTTTTCTTGCTTCCTTGCCTATATATATATTCATTTATTTTTTAATTCCTTTGCTGAGAATAAAAATTGGATACTTTAGCTGGGCTTGTCCTTCAGTTTTTTTGTTTTTGTTTTTGTTTTTTTTTGAGACGGAGTCTTGCTCTGTCTCCCAGGCTGGAGTGCAGTGGCGCAATCTCGGCTCACTGCAAGCTCTGTCTCCCGGGTTCATGCCATTCTCCTGCCTCAGCCTCCCGAGTAGTTGGGACTACAGGCGTCTGCCACCACGCCCGCCTAATTTTTTGTTATTTTTAGTAGAGACGGGTTTTCACCGTGTTAGCCAGGATGGTCTCGATCTCCTGACTTTGTGATCCGCCCCACTCGGCCTCCCAAAGTGCTGGGATTACAGGCGTGATCCACCGCACCTGGCCTCAGTTTTTTTTTTTTTTTTTTTTTTTAAACAGGCAAGTTCTTGTTGTGTCACCCAGGCTGGGGTGGAGTGGCTCGATCATAGTTCACTGCAGCCTCAAACTCCTGTACTCAAGTGATTCTCCTGCCTCAGCCTCCCAAGTAGCTGGGACTATAGGCACTCATCACCAAGCCTGGTTAATTTTTTTTTTTTTTGGTAGTAGAGACAAGGTCTCATACTGTGGCCCAGGCTGGTCTTGAACTCCTGGCTTCAAGCTATTCTCCCCACTCGGCTTCCCAAAGTACTGGGATTACAGGCATAAGTCACCTTGCCTGGCCTTTCACTTTTATTTTAGGTAAACTGCTTTTAAAATACCCTCTTAGAAACCATCTTCCTTGCTACAGAAGAGAGAAAGCACCCCGTGGCTTTTCCTCAAAGGAAGATCACTGTGGGGGCTGGGCGCGGTGGCTCATGCCTGTTATCCCAGCATTTTGGGAGGCCGAAGTGAGCGGATCACCTGAGGTCAGGAGTTTGAGACCATCCTGGCCAACATAGTGAAACCTCGTCTCTACTAAAACTACAAAAATTAGTCGGGTGTGGTGGCACGTGCCTGTAGTCCCAACTACGCGGGAGGCTGAGGCAGGAGAATCGCTTGAACCTGGGAGGCAGAGGTTGTATTGAGGTGAGATCACACCACTGCACTCCAGCCTGGCAACAGGGTGAGACTCCATCTCAAAAAAATAAAATAAAATAACCGAGTATGCACAATTCAACTGTAATAGATACTATCAATTTACCCTCCAAAGTGACCATACCAATTTATACCCCCAGCAGCCTTGCTAAAAGTATTCTAAGATATTAATTTTATGGTTAATAAAATATACACTGAGACTTCTGAAAAAACTTCAAATTCAACTCATGTGTACCCACAGGTTCCTTAATAACACCATAATAATCTGGTGCATCATTAGGGTCTACTGGTTCAAGGAAAGGCCGGGCCATCTTATGGGCCTATAATGAAAAAGTAGGCATTCTTATTGTCAGTGAAAACACTAATTCCATTTAAGATTCCCAGTTGAGTCACTACATCAATGAACCCAAAAGTCAGTTTTAAATGCGATACATGAAATACTTTATATTAGGTGATTTCTGCTCTAGTAATAAGTTACCTAAGATGAGCTTCCTCTGCAACAATGGTACTCAAAGCTTGGTCGGAAGACCTTGGTGTGGTGAAGGGGTGGGTTGCCCCTCCACACCGGTGGGTGTTTCTGGTTAAGTGGAACGAGAGACTTGGAAAAGAAAAAGACACAGAGACAAAGTACAGAGAAAGAAATAAGGGGGCCCAGGGTACCTGCGTTCAGCATATGGAGGATGCTGCCGGCCTCTGAGTTCCCTTCATATTTATTGATCATTCTTGGGTGTTTCTCGGAGAGGGGGATGTGTCAGGGTCATAGGATAATAGTGGAGAGAAGGTCAGCAGATAAACACATGAACAAAGGTCTCTGCATCATAGACAAGGTAAAGAATTAAGTGCTGTGCTTTAGATACACATACACATAAACATCTCAATGCCTTACAAAGCAGTATTGCTGCCCGCATGTCCCACCTCCAGCCCTAAGGCGGTTTTTCCCTACCTCAGTAGATGGAACATACAATCGGGTTTTATACCGAGACATTCCATTGCCCAGGGACGGGCAGGAGACAGATGCCTTCCTCTTGTCTCAACTGCAAAGAGGCATTCCTTCCTCTTATACTAATCCTCCTCAGCACAGACCCTTTAAGGGTGTCAGGCTGGGGGACGGTCAGGTCTTTCCCTTCCCACGAGGTCATATTTCAGACTATCACATGGGGAGAAACCTTGGACAATACCTGGCTTTCCTAGGCAGAGGTCCCTGCGGCCTTCCGCAGTGTTTGTGTCCCTGGGCACTTGACATTAGGGAGTGGTGATGACTCTTAAGGAGCATGCTGCCTTCAAGCATCTGTTTAACAAAGCACATCTTGCACAGCCCTTAATTCATTTAACCCTGAGTTGACACAGCACATGTCTCAGAGAGCACGGGGTTGGGGGTAAGGTTATAAATTAACAGCATCTCAAGGCAGAAGAACTTTTCTTAGTACAGAACAAAATGGAGTCTCCTATGTCTACTTCTTTCTACACAGACACAGCAACAATCTGATCTCTCTTTCTTTTCCCCACAGTGTGGGGGGTGGAACACAAGCTTAGAAGTCACAAAATCAGTATTCTGGGCCCTACATGATGAGCTGTCACTGAGTGATGCTGGCATTGCAACTGCTTCTGTAAACAGGTGGGATGGGTTCAAAGTGTGGAATCATTACCACAGCTGATTAATGATGAGGTGGCAGAGATGTGATGTTAGATAACATTCAACCACACATTGAGACTACGATTCCCTTTTTAGTTTCTTCAATTCTTGTGATTATGATAAAAATAGAAGAAAGTTTCAATCCAATGCACTATATCCTTTTATTTCCCCCCATTGTTTTGAGACAGGGTCTCGCTCTGTCATCCAGGCTGGAGTGGAGTGGCACGATCATAGCTCACTGTAGCCTCCTGTGCTCAAGTGATCCTCTCACCTCAGCCTCCCGAGTAGCTGGATAAACAAGTGCGTGCCAACATGCCCAGCTAATTTTTTATTTTTATTTTTTGTAGAGATGGGGTCTCACTTTGTTGCCCAGATTGGTCTCTAACTAATTGACTCAAGTGATCCTCCTGCCTTGGCCTCCCAAAGTGCTGGGATTATAGGTGTGAGCAACCACACTGGCCTTCTGTGTCTTCAATACATCTGTATCACTTGCTAATCCTGCAAACCATACCTATCCTGGTTTTCTTTTCTTTCCTTTTTTTTTTTTTTTTGAGACAGATTCTCACACTGTCACCCGAGCTGGAGTGCCATGGCTCGATCTTGGCTCACTGCAACCTCTGCTTCCTGTGTTCAAGCGATTCTCCTGCCTCAGCCTCCCTAGTAGCTGGGATTACAGGCTCACGCCACCACAGCCGGCTAGTTTTTTGTATTTTTAGTAGAGACGGGGTTTCACCATGTTGGCCAGTCTGGTCTCAAACTCCTGACCTCATGATTTGCCCACCTCAGCCCCCCCAAAGTGCTGGGATTACAGGTGTGAGCCCCCGTACCCAGCCACCTTTCTGTCTTTCATAAGGAAAATAATAACTATAATCTAATCATACTGTTTCTCAATCCATGGGAGTGAGAGGAAGTTTCTTTAAAAATAAAATGTATAAAGAAGTGAGTCACGTTAGATTATCTGAGTGTTAGATAAGCTGAGGTGGTGTGGGGATATGGTAAAGCTCATGACACTGGTATGTGAAGGACTGAAGTTTGTCAAGCCCTTCACTAGACTAGCTGAGACTCAGTAAATAATCACTCTAAGATTGGAAACTTGAAATCCTAACATTGGAAACTTGAAATCCTAGAAATGCTTCCAAAATTATGCCAGCTGATTTCATTTTCAAATGCTGCACACAGAGGGGCTCTCATCTGTAAGGAACGGAGCACCCTCTTCAACTCCTCATCATCCTTCTCTGTTAGTGGTGTGAGCACTGTCATGACATCCTCTGTTGACTGGCACTGTGGACAGACATACTCATCAATGAGCTCTGCCTCACTCTGCAAGATGCCAATGCAGCACCCATGGTACCAATTCTGACACCGATCATGGCCAATAAAAAATCTGCAAGATCCGAAATGGAAATGTGAGTTCAAAACAGATGGGATGATGTTACTTATAATAAAGCATGCACCTGAAAATTTGCTAAACCCTGGGATATAAAATAGTTTTAGTATTGTGGTTTTAATACTTTCAAGATTGACATTCCAGTACATTAATTTAGTATTTTTGATGTTATGAACAAGCAGTAAAAAAATTTATAAGAACACTGTAATTTTGGAGAACCAATTTAAAGATAAATATGAAACATTCAATTGATTTTAAAGCTGAAAACAAGTCACAAATCTTTCAACTAGTACTGTACCATGTGGGAGTTCAAAATCCTATAAGGTAATAACAGAGTCTCAAAGCTTATACCCAAATTAGTGTTTTTCTAACCTATAATAAAGCACCATTTCAAACACTGATAAAGTCCAAACAAGTCAAGCTATTTTAATCTCATTAATTTCTATGTTACATATTGAAGAATCAAATTTACCATTAAACCACATTTTCCCCAATGTGTCTCAAACATTCACTATGAAGCAAGATAAATTTTGAAGGGTAGGTAAAAAGGGAAAAAGAGAAAAAAAATGAAAAGGAATTTGTAATGTAAGTGTATAACAAATGTAGAAAAAATCTGCTTTTTATTTTAAAGTAAATAAGTAACCAGTCAGAGCAATTTGGCTTCCTAAATTATTAAATGTGATGCTCTTATTAGAACTCACTGTGACTGCAGGTGTTCTGCAGATACAGTACAATTCCTCACTGCTGCCCTCTTGTGCCCATTTACAATCATTACAGATGTACACATCCATTTTCTTAGCCTCCTTTTCTGCGATGCCAACACATTCTCCATAATAGCAGTTAGTACAAAGATCACAGCCAATATAGAACCTAGAAGTATTCACAACGAAAATGACAATGTAATTGTCGTTTTGAGCTGCATGGTACTTAAATCTGTCTTCCCTGCCTTGCTTCATTTTTTTACAGGATAACTTCCTGCTATGAGTCAGCTAAACATTCCTGAATCCAACCATTCTACCCCTGGCAAACTCCAGTATCTGATGCTCTATCACATGTGGAAACAAAGTCACTCACATGGGTTTCAACAAGTACACTGCTTAGTGAAATATGGGTCTTTAAAAATATACTGGAATTTGAAAAAATAAACCACACACTGATGGTAATGTCTTCCTCTGAATGAATGTGTGTAAAACTGTAACAGGCACAAAAACCAAAGCCAAAGAATCAAAGACTTACATCTGTCAAACCTATTCCACAGAAGCCATTTCAATATCAGGGCTATTTCTTAGATAGGTTTAAAAATGTATCTCACAATTTAAATTTGAAAACAAAGCAAAGCGCAAACACCAAGTAGAAGTTACACTACACGGACCATGCAGGTCAGCCAGGTGTAGAAGATAAATGGTCAAAATATGCTAAGAAGAAGAAAACTAAGAAAGGTACATAGAGCAATTCAATCTCTACCAGGTTTTCTGAATAAACATTGGAATTTAATCGAATTAAAAATAATTTCTCATAATGGAATATGGCATGGGCCAGTTTTTCAGTTAATATAATGTTTGTGACAATGTGGGCAGTGGCCTGGCTAATTAACGGGTAGGGAACGTGGAAGGAGCTGCTTCAGTTCAACATCGGGGACATGGTATGGGGAAGGATGCAAAGATAGTTATCCAGAATCTGTCTACACTGCTTGGCAGGGTCTACACTGCTTGGCAAGGCGGAGCTGTGTAAGTGTGTGATTGTGGAGTGCACAGTGGCCTCTGTAATAAAAGACGTAATGACAAAAGAAAAAGTAAATGTAACAAACGCTTATACAGTGTGTCTACAAGTGTTGATAGGCACAGTGTAGGAACATCATGTCAAAGTCATAGTGAGAATTACCATGAATCACAGGGAAGCAGGCTGGCCTTGCTGATACCATTGGCACTCCTAGCTCTACCAAGGCATTTCTTGGTAGATTCACCTAGAGGAATGGAAGTCGTCCTCAAGCTTCAAATTGACCTGCTTCATGAATGTGAAGGAATACTATATGGCTATGTAGTTTATCCTGTTACCACTAACTTTTTTCTTTTTTCTTTTGTCTCGCTGTATAACCCAGGCTGCAGGGCAGGGGCAGGATCACGGCCCCCTGCAGCCTGGACCTCCCAGGCTCACATGATCCTCCCACCTCAGCCTCCCGAGTAGCTGGGACTACAGATGTGCACCACCAGGCCCGGCTTTTTTTTTTTTTTTTTTTTGACGGAGCCTTGCTCTGTCTCCCAGGCTGGAGTACAGTGGCATGATCTCGGCTCACTGCAACCTCTGTCTCCTGGCTTCAAGCAATTCTCTTGCCTCAGCTTCCCAAGTAGCTGGGATTACAGGTGTGTGCCACCACATCTGGCTAATTTTTGCATTTTTGGTTGTGCCACGTTGGCCAGGCTGGTCTCAAACTCCTGACTTTAGGCGATCCACCTGCCTTGGCCTCCCAAAGTCCTGAGATTACAGGTGTGAGCCACAGGGCCCAGCCTCTTTTCATATTTTTTTTAAAAAGTTTTAATGAGCAGTGAGGACGACCAGAGGTCACTTTCGTCACCATCTTGGTTTTGGTCGGCTTCTTTACTGCATCTTTTTTTTTTTTTTTTTTTTTTTGAGACTGGGTCTCACTCTGTCACCCAGGTTAGAGTGCAGTGGCACAATCTCGGCTCAGTGTACCCTGCACCTCCCAGGCTCAAGTGATCCTCCCACCTCAGCCTCCCAAGTACCTAGGACCAAAGGCACGTGCCACCAAGCTCAGCTAATTTTTTGTATTTTTGTTAGAGACAGGGTTTCACCATGTTGGCCAGGCTAGCCTTGAACTCCTGACCTCAGGTGACCCACCTCAGCCTCCCAAAGTGCTGGGATTACAAGCGTGAGTCTCTGTGTCTGGCCAACATACTATTTCTCAATATGCATTTTGCCATACTTTTTAAGCGCATCTCTTCTGCTATCCTGTAGTACAACTTACTCTTGGAAATGATCAAAGCAAACTATATTACCCTAGGGACAAACCCATTGTGATTGGCATCCACGAAAAAATTTGGTGTAAAGAAATCATATCTATGACCAAGAGGATTTCTTTCTTATTTGGAGATAAGAGTCTCACTTTGTCACCCTGCCTGGACTGCAGTGACATAAACACGGCTTGCTATAGCCTTGACCTGCCAGGCTCAAGTGATCCTCCTGCCTTAACCCCTTCAAATAGCTACAGGTGCTCACCACCATGCCCAGCTACTTTTTTTTTTTGTAGAGATGGAGTCTTGCTGTGTTGCCCAGGTAACTTACCTCCTGAGCTCAAGAGATCTGCCTGCCTTTGCCTCCCAAAGTGCTGGGATGACAGTTATGAGCCACTTGTACCCAGCCATAAGAATATTTCTTAAAATCTGACTTAAAATTTTTTTAAAAAATTCTTTTAGAGATAGGGTTTCACCATGTTGGCTAGGCTGGTCTCGAACTCCTGACCTCAGGTGGTCTGCCCACCTTGGCCTCCCAAAGTGCTTGGATTACAAGTGTGAGCCACTGTGCCCAGCCAAAATCTGACACATTTATAAATTTCTACAATAATTTTAAATACCAAAAATATTCCCAAAACGTTTCATCATGATTATTTTTCTTCCTAAATCTTATAGTCTCTCAGAAAAATAACTTAGCCCACGTTTCCTTTAAAGAGTTTTTAATTTTTTTAATGAAGGGCCAAATTAATTTTATTTTTCCTTCTTTGAAAAAATTCATCCAGCACACTGGCTCACACCTGTAATCCCAGCAGTTTGGGAGGCCGAGGGCGGAAGATCACTTGTGTCCAGGAGCTCAAGACCAGCCTGACCACATGGTGAAACCCCATCTCTACTAAAAATACAAAAATGAGCCAGGTGTGGTGGCGCATGCCTGTAGTGCCAACTACTTGGAAGGCTGAGGTTGGAGGCTCCTTTAAGCCTGAGAGGTGAAGACTTCAGTGAGCTGTGATGGCACCACTGTGCTCCAATGTAGATGACAAAGTGAGACCCTGTCTTAAAACAAAACAAAACAAAACTTTTTTTTGGAGACAGGGCCTCACTTGATCGCCCCGGCTAGAGTACGGTGGTGCTATCATGGCTCACTGCAGGGTCGACCTCCTGGGTCAAGCAGTCCCCTGGCCTCAGCCTCGCCAAGTAGCTGAGACTACAGGTGTGCATCACAACACCCAGCAAATTCCTTTTTGTAGAAACAGGGTTTTGCCATGTTGCCCAGGCTGGTCTCAAAATCCTGGCCTCAAGTGATCCACCCACCTCAGCCTTTTAGAATGCTGGGATTACAGGCTGTGAGCCACAACTCTCTTGGCCTATAAATGATAATTTAAGTGAATCTCTGAAGCTACAGTTTTTTGTTTCGAGATGGAGTCTCGCTCTGTCGTGCAGTGGCATGATCTCGGCTCACTGCAACCTCCGCCTTCTGGGTTCAAGTGATTCTCCTCCCTCAGCCTCCCAAGCAGCTGGGATTACAGGTGCCTGCCATCATGCCTGGCTAATTTTTGCATTTTTAGTACAGACGGGGTTTCGCCCTGTTAGCCAGGCTGGTCTCGAACTCCTGACCTCAAGTGATCCTTTCACCTCAGCCTCCCAAAGTGCTGGGATTATAGGCATGAGCCATTGCGCCCAGCCTCTGAAGCTATAGTTTTATAGATTCTAAAGCAGAGACTTCATATAGATGTCTATGAAAAGCCAAAAACAAACAAAAAACCCACAGGAAAACCTGATTCCCCAGACCAAAATTTCAAGGATTTGCCTAAAGGTAAGGTCCATCTGTACCTGAAATAAAGTTTGCTGTGCCTCTTTTTCTGCAGGGTAACCCAGCCCTATGCACCAATCATTACATGACTACCTCAGGAAGCTTTTAAATATATCACAAATATTTTACCAAATAAACCTGAATGGCCCTGGTTTAATGAATCTGTTTCTCTGTCTATAGACTATCTAGTCTTATAAAGTCAAAAGAGAAGCAATGTGACAAATTATTCAACAGCCCTTCTCTATTTATAGAGAGAGACTGAACTTCTTCTTTGGTTAGAAAGAAAACCTTGAGTTTCATTTCCTAGTTCATATATTTTTATAACATCGTGGGACGGATTTTGGGAGAACCAAGATGGTATAGCGGGTGCACACTTTGATCCTCCCTCTCCCTTCAAGAACATACAAGTGAGAGTAAAATATAAAAAAGAGAAATTGAAAAGACATAGTCATGCTTAAATAAGTTACAACAATCTCAATGGAACAGACACAAAACTGTGAGCAGGACTAAAACTGCAGGCCTTCTAGACTCCAGATGCAGAAGGAGGAAGTGGTGGCTGAACACTAACAGTAAGAGTTTCTCGGGGGTAAGGGAGGCTAACATGCTGTGTGTGAGGCAGTGATAGGCTCCCTGCTGGAAGTTAAGGGTTGACTGGGCTACACTGGGCTTCAGGAGAGAAGAAAACAAAACTCCTCTCACTCAAAATACGCTTGCAAAATTCAAATGTTTGAAAATGAAAATGTGTAATATGAAAAAAAGACAACCAGGGCCCATACGGTGGCTCATGCCTATAATCCCAGCACTTTGGGAAGTCGAGGAAGGAGGATCACTTGCTTGAGCCCGGGAGTTTGAGACCAGCCTGGGCAACATGGCAAAACCTTGTCTCTACAAAAAAACAATGACAACAACAATAACAACAAAAAACACCCCAAAATTAGCCAGAGATGGTGGCATGGCACGCGCCTGTAGTCCCAGCTACTTGGGAGCCTGAGGCGGAAGGACTTACTGATCTGGGTAGGGGGAGGCTGCGATGGGGTGTGATTGCACCGCTGCACTCCAGCCTAGGAAAAAGAATAAGGCCTTGCTTCTCAAAAAGCAAAAAAAAAAAAAAAAAAAAAAAAACAAGCCAATAAAATCAATGGTCTAATCTGAATTCACTCCAAATGAAATTATAGAGCAATTTGACAGGCCGGGCCCGGTGGCTCACACCTGCAATCCCAGCACTTTGAGAGGCTGAGGAGGGAGGATCACTTGAGGTCAGGAGTTCAAGACCAGCTTGGCTAACATGGTGAAACCCCGTCTCTACTAAAAATACAAAAAAAGCTGGGCATGGTGGCAGGTGCCTGTAATCCCAGATACTCAGGAGGCTGAGGCAGGAGAATTGCTCCAACCCGGGAAGCGGAGATTGCAGTGAGCAGAGGCAGCCCTACGCCCTCCAGCCTGGGCAACAGAGCAAGACTCCATTTAAAAAAAAAAATTAACCCTATTTAAAAAAAGAGGCAGAAATAAAAATAGGTAGATGTAAAGAAGGAATCACATATCTTATAAACTAAAAAGAAAATAAAATGTATAATGTATTTTTAAAATATGCCAGTACTTATACATATTTGAAACTTCAGCAGAGACAGAGTTTCCTCATGTTGGTCAGGCTGGTCTCGAACTCAAAAGCAAATTACCTTAGCAATAATGTGTGTTTTTTTTTTTTTTTTGAGACAGAGTCTTGCTCTGTCGCCCAGGCTGGAATGTGGTGGCGCGATCTCGCCTCACTGCAACCTCTGCCTTTTCGGTTCAAGCGATTCTCTTGCCTGAGTCTCCGGAGTAGCCGGGACTACAGGTGTGCGCCACCACGCCCAGCTAATTTTTGTATTTTTGTAGAGATGGGGTTTTACTATGTCAGCCAGGCTGGTCTTGAACTCCTCCCTTGGCCTCCCAAAGTGCTGGGATTACAGGCGTGAACCATTGCACCCGGCTCCTTCTTTCCCAAAGTATAATTTTTCTTCCTCATTAGATTATTTTAGTATAAAATGTGTTTATATACGAACACATGCATTAAAACAATATATACAAGATATATTCTAAAGTTTAAAAATGATTGTCTTTGGGGTTTAGATTTAGAGATCACTTTTATTTGTTGGCTTTGAAGTGCAACTGACCTATTTATTTCCATATAAAGGATATAAACTACAAATATTTTCCCACTCTGTACAGAATGTGGAATGGAAACAGTGCATGGCACACCTTAAGTGTCAAATAAACATTTGCTGAGTGAATTGAATGGATACATCATACTATATATACACTAGTCTGTAATTTGGATTTTTTGTTCAAGCACTTGTCATTGGCAATTTCCTCCAAATAATTAAAAAACGAAAAACACCAATCCCACATTATTTTCTTAAAATGGAAGTACATTTTTTGGATATTCCAAAATGTATTCCAGTGGTTCTCAGCCGTAAGTGGTTCTGACACCTCCTAGAGAGTGTTTGGGAATGTATGGGGAGCGGGCAAGGTTATCTTTTTGGTTGTAAAAATGATGAGGCTGGTACTAGCCTTTGGTATCCGGGCCCAGAGATGCTAAACTTCTTCCTACAGTGTGTAAACTGGCTTGTCCAAAAGGCCAAAGCGCTTCTGTTGAGAAACACTGATGACCAATCTCCTCTATGTGGTCCTGTGAGACTGTGAGACTGTGAAACACGTATTTGATCTTCCTCCCTGGATCCTGGCGTACAATTCCTAAAACCCTCAGAATCTGCAAAATAAGTCTTTTTTTTATGCTAATGATTGACTGATTAGGCTTTCCTAGAGAGCCTCAGGATTGGGGCTGGTGGTCAAGGCTTTCAGTGCCACTCTCAACCTCTGAGAAATAGAGAGAGGCTGAAGGTTAAGCTGACCACCAACGGCCAACGGTGTAATCATTAATGACTCTGTAATGAAGCTTCCATAAAAACCCAAATTGAGGCCGGGCACAGTGGCTCACGCTTGTAATCCCAGCACTTTGGAAGACTGAGGTGGGTGGATTACTTGAGGTCAGGAGTTGGAGGCCAGCCTGACCAACATGGTGAAACACCGTCTGCACTAAAAGTACAAAAAATTATCCAGGCATGGTGGCACACGCCTGTAATCTCAGCAACTCGGGAGGCTGAGTCATGAGAATCGCTTGAACCTAGGAGGCAGGTTCAATGTTTATCTTGTAACTGACTATGTTACTGAATTATAATTTTTTTTTGAGACCTAGTCTCATTCTGTCACCCAGGCTGGAGTGCAGTGGCGTGATCTTAGTTCATTGCAACCTCTGCCTCCCAGGTTCAAGCGATTCTCGGGCCTCAGCATCCCGAGTAGCTGGGATTACAGGCATGCACCACCACGTCCGGCTAATTTGTTTGCAATTGCAGAAAAGACAGGGTTTCACCATGTTGCCCAGACTGGTTTGAACTCCTGGCCTCAAGTGATCTGCCCGCCTCGGCCTCCAAAGTACTGGGATTAGAGGTGTGAGCCACTCAGTCCAGACAACATTTATTTCTTTATTCATTTCACCAGTTGGCATGGTTTCCAGACTTTTCTTGATTTATTTTATTTTATTTTTTGAGGAGTCTCACTCTTGCCGCCCAGGCTGGAGTACAATGGCACAATCTTGGCTCACTGCAACCTCCACCTCAGGGATTCAAGCGATTCTTCTGCCTCAGCCTCCTCAGTAGCTAGGATTACAGGCACCCGCCACCATGCCCAGGTAATTTTTGTATTTTTAGTAGAATTTAGGAGTTTCCTAAATTCTGGGGGCGTGTCTCCCTGTTCCCCCACCCCGACTAATTTCCCTCGGTCGCTGCCGCTGCCCCGTCCCTTAGGTCGCTCGGGCCGCCCCACTCCGAGAGTTTTTTTTCTTTTGCTGGCTCTTTCAGCTTCAGTTTCCCTAGGGGGCGGGAGGGGAATATTTGGGGGCTCTCCTGCCTTCCTCTCCGAGCCGCGGAAGGGGAGACGCAGGGAGGAGGTCCGGCCGGCTTTGGGCTCCAGCCAGGGGTCCGCGGAGACTATGGTCTCCGAAGGCCTTAGACGCGGGGCATTTCACGAGCTGCGCGTCTCTCTCAACCGCGCCACCAAGCCCGGAGTCCAGCCGCGCCGCGCTGCGCCCAGCCCCGGCGCCCCAGGATCTCCGCCCCCGACTCAATGCTCCCGCGCTCCCCCTAGCGGCCGCCGCGCCACCTCGCCCCGTCCCAGGCTCGTAGGCAGCTCAGCTCACGTGACCGCGCTCCGTTAACGGAAGAAACAAAATGGCGGCTGAAGGCGATCCGCAGTGGGGCCCCAGCCATTCGGATTGAGCCTTCTCCCTCCAACCGCTTCCGCAGGCCAGCCCCCTCCTGCCCTGCCCCTCTGGCCTCCCCACCTGGCCCCGGCCGCCCCCACTGCGCCCGCCCCTTCCCAGCCGCTTTCCCTTCTCCCTCTGCCTCGGCTCCAACATGAGGGGCCGGCGGGGCAGGCCGACGAAGCAGTCCGCGGCTCCCTCTGCGGAGCGCTGCGCCCCGGCCCTGCCGCCGCCGCTGCTGCCCACGTCCGGACCCATCCGGGGTTCCGCTCGCGGCAACGCGGTAGCAGCCGGGGCAGGTGGGCCACCGCCAGGCTGAGGCGCCCAAGACACGGCTGAGCTCGCCCAGGATGGGCAGCAGTAGCCGGAGAAAGCCGCCGCCGCCGGCCCCACCCCAGCACCAGCGCCCCGGCCGGGGGGAGGCGGGGGCAGCCACCTGGCCCGGACGGCTGCGGTCCGGAGGGCTGTCAACAAAGTGGTGTAGGAGGACGCCAGTTACTGCACGGAAAGCAGCGTCAGGAGCCATAGTACCTACAGCAGCACTCCAGGTACCCACTCAGCCCAGTTGCTGCAGACTCCTTCCCCACCTTCTCTGCCCTCCCCCTTTGCTCACTCGTGTGCTGTGCATCCTGCTCCGATCTCCCCCCAACCCCGCCGACCCCCAGAGGGGAAATGCGAGGGCACATCAGGTGGCAAAAAACCAGATTTATAGGAGGAAAGAGGCGCATTGTTCAAAATGGAGATTGCATTGTTGCAGTTGGCAGGCCACACTCGCTCTCTCTTCCCGCCTCCCGCCAACCTCCTCTTTTTCCTCCTCAGAATTTGTACCAGTGTAGTGTCTCCACCGGGCAAGATTGAAACTTGGGCAAACACATATCCATTGCTTTCATTTTTTCCCCTTGTTTTGGTATAGTTTTCTGGAATGAAAGAAGCCTCTTGTTTTGCAAACCTCTTTTCATTTCTAATGTGGTTCCTTTCGGATTTTTATTATATATCTGTTCCTTAAAAGGGAATTAAGGATTTGGACAGATTGTGTGCCACAATCTGTTTTCACACCCCTAGCTGTGGTTTTAAAAATATGTTAAGGAAACGGATCATTTGGGTTAGTAGGGGAACCTTATCTGGTCTTGTGTGTTTGTTTTTATTCTTCGAGTGCTAACGGGCCCGTGCAACAGTTTCTGGTAAATGGCTGATTAAAAAGCAAAGCAGAAAGCCAAACAAGACCCAACCAAATTTGGTAATTCATCTGATTCAAAATTGTTTTGGTTAAATCAAAAATTTACAAGACCGCAGGAACGCGCGTCTTAACTCATTTGATCGCTTTGCCTTGCTTGGGAAATGCAGGTTCGTGTCACCTGTTGCAGAAGATGTGTAGTTGATCATCTAGGCATAATTGCCTAAGATGAACTTTTGGACAAACTTCTAAGTCACACAGTGTCAGTATCAGATTTATTACACAACAACTTATTCTTTTCACTCTATTTCTGAGGAAAAAGCCCTCCCGAAATCCGTAATGAATTTCTCCATGGTAACCCCTCTTCTGTTTACACACAGAAAAGTTTCTCTAGGCCGGTGCTGAGATGCATTTTGTTAACCACCCCGTGGCACCGCCCCGCCCCGCCCCGCCCAAAGGCTGCTTTGTATTAAATACGTAGTTGCAGTGTACTAAATTGTGAAATTAACATAACCGAAGCAACAACCGGCAAGACTTGTCCTTTATAATTTTGCAAATCTAGATTAATTAAATTAGAATCTGGTTTTAAAATCATTTTTAAAATAAAGTTTATGAGGAAGTATTTGTGAGGAAAAAGGACCCTTTTTTCCTTGAAGTGAGGTGTGTCATGTCTTTCTCAGAGAGACTAGGGTAGTAGAAGTGGTTAAATTGAAAAGTTTCTGTTTTTTAATAAATGCTTAAATACTTATTGGAGAAGTAGGGTAGTATTATATTAAGCCAAATGTAAACCCACGTAGGTTGTCCTAACATAAACTGAAAAAAGGTAATTTCTTTTGCCCGATGGTCAGAATCCTCGCCAGACTTGCCCTGGGAGGCTGGCTGGAGAATGAAGGGAATGAATCAAATGTCAGATATTTATGTCTTATATGTAAAAAGGAGTACATGTAAATTCTTGCCAACTTAATTTTAGTGCTTTTTTTTTTTTTTTTTAAAGGAGTCTTGCTCTGTCGCCTAGGCTGGAGTGCAATGGCGCAGTCTTGGCTCACTGCAACCTTCACCTCCCGGACTCAAGTGATTCTCCTGCCTCAGGCTCCCCAGCAGCTGGGATTACAGGCGCCCACCAGCGTGCCTGGCTAACGTTTGTATTTTTAGTAGAGATGGGGTTTCACCATGTTGGCCAGGCTGGTCTCGAACTCCTGACCTCATGATCCGCCCACCTCAGCTTCCCAAAGTGCTGGGACTAAAGGCGTGAGCCACCGTGCCTGGCCTAGTACATCTTTTATAGTAATAATTTTTACCTTAAGAAATCACATGTTGGTCTTTGTACCCAGAGCCGGTAATTGAAACATGGAGACTGGATTGCATACACCCCTGGAGGAAGTTTTTTCTGGTTAGACAGAGCTGAGACATTTTGGCAGGGCAGTTCAGCTAACTTTAAGTCATATTTGAAGGCCTAGCAAATAATATTTAGGATTGATGGCTGTGCATATGCTGACTTAAATTACAATTTGTAGCTAGGTGTTCTTTAAAAAAATGTGTTTACTTTTGATACTTTTGTGACATTTTTTCTTTTTTTGAGAAGGAGTTTTGCTTTTGGTGCCCAGGCTGGAGTGCAATGGTAGAATCTCGATCTTGGCTCACTGCAACCTCTGCCTCCCAAGTTCAAGCAATTCTCCTGCCTCAGCCTCCCAAGTAGCTGAGATTACAGGCATGCACCACCACGCCTGGCTAATTTTGTATTTTTAGTAGAGACGGGGTTTCTCCACGTTGGTCAGGGCTGGTCTCAAACTCCCGACCTCAGGCGATCCGTCTGCCTCAGCCTCCCAAGGTGCTGGGCCTACAAGCGTGAGCCACCATGCCTGGCCTGAGATTTTGTTTTTCTTAATGACACCTGTAGCCTACTGTGTGTCTACTTGTCCTATCCTTATATGAAATTATTAACTCTGTAGAGATAGGTATTGAGCTTATTCCCTCTGCAGCTCGTGTAAGTGTTTTGCACATAGCAAGTGCTCATCAAAGATTGGTTGGATAAATTATTGTTAGTAGATGAGAACTTGTAGTACATGAAGTTTCGATAATTCTACAGTGGGTGTCATAACCCCTAAATATTTTGGATTTAGGAAACTAAAAATCGTCCTAATTGGTTTTTTGTTGTTGTTGTTCTTTTCTAATTGGATTTTGATGGACAATTTGATCAGTGAATGTCTCGCTCTGTTGCCCAGGGAGGAGTGCAATGGCACGCACGATCTTGGCTCACCGCAACCTCCACCTCCCGGGTTCAAGCAATTCTCCTGCCTCAGCCTCCTGAGTAGTTGGGACTACAGGTGCACGCTACCACGCCCAGCTAATTTTTTGTATTTTAGTAGAGATGGGGTTTCACCATGTTGCCCACGCTGTTCTTGAACTCCTGAACTCAGGCAATCCACCCGCCTCAGCCTCCCAAAGTGCTAGGATTACAGGCATGTGCCACCTGGCCTGGCCCAGTGAATGTTTTTCATTGCAAGAGTTACTTTGTTTTTGAGTTGCTATTTCATATTGCTTGCCAGGCATTTTTCTTTATTGGCTGTGATGTTAATTTGGATGTTTTACCTTTTGCAACGCATTATTTCTTAAGATTATGGTAAAATGGATGTGACTTTTTTTTTCCTTATTTCTTCTAAAAACAAAATGGAGTACATGTGCAGAACGTGCAGGTTTGTTGCATAGGTATACGTGTGCCATGGTGGATTGCTACACCTATTGACCCACCCTTTAAGTTCCCTCCCCTCGCCCCCCACCCCCTGGATGTGAGTGACATTTTGAGTTCCAAACTTTTAGAACATGCCCACTTGCCTCGAATGAGTAACAACGCGTGACAGTGAGTTGTTTAGGCTAAGTACTAGTTTCATTGGTTTTATAGTCTGTACTTCCTGGGTGGAAGGCTGTCAGGTAAATGTGTAGATGGAAGAAAAAAATTTTAGAACTGGTTTAAGATATCTGAATAACACATAAAGAAGTATGATTGATGAATTTGAATCCTGTTGTACTGCGAAGGCTGAAAGAGGAATTTACTTTATTGGTAATTTAGAGTAATTTGATTAATTTTTATAGTTTACAGCGTTGGCTTAATTACTGACATGTGACATTCCTAACATAAGAAATAACTCCTAATATAAGAAATAACTCAGTATTTTGTAGGTAATATAACAATGCAGCAGCATTAATTGATATTACTAAAGTCATGAAAGGTTTATTTATTGAAGATTGTTTTCCTTTTATGGAAAAAATGTAAGGATGACATTGCAACCACCTAGTTTTGCTTTAGCCGAAAGCATATGGCTGAATAATGCTTTAATTTATTTTTACTTTTTAAATTTAGAATTACTTCAGCCTATAGATTTTATGACATTGCCGATATAATGAGAAGGACTGTATAGGAAGTGTTTTCAATAGGCATTTGGTAAAGTTCTGACAGCACTTTGAAATTAAGCATTTGCTAATTTTAAGAAATTGTATGTAAAACAGAATGGTTCTTGTGTTTCAGTCTCAGTCTTATGTGAGACTTCTGAGAATACTTACCTGGAATTTTAAAACTTGGAACCTCTGATGACTTCATAAAACAAAAGCCCTGGTGTTATCCTGGGACAGTTAGTGATTTATGTCCTCTAAGGATTGTGACAGTGGAGATCAGTGGCAGAGATGCCATCAATGAACCATAGATTTACCTCAAACAGAATTTGTCACTGGTTTGACAATATTATTCCCACCAGTGTCAACTTAATATCTTTTCAGTATAATTTCTGATCGTTACAAGTGAGGTACAAAGTGCAGTGGGCATTTAAAGGAGGGCGAGATTATATACCCTGTTTAAGGGGATTGGTGTGGGCGTAGGCTTCCTGGATGGGCATGTGGAGAGTAAGGACAGGCAGATTGAGGGAGGGAGGGGGAGAGAGCGGGAGGGAGCGGCAGGCACTGATAGTAAAGTGTGGGCAGTCTCAAGTAACTCGGTGTAACAAGAGCCTGAGTGTGTGAATAGGAAATTAATCAAAACTCCCTTGTATGTTGTGTTGGGCAGTACTTAGAGGATCAGGCTATAGCAACTGTACTTTCCCCCTCTTCTGTAGAATAGGGATTGGGCTGGATCGTGATCCTCAGGCCTTTTTCACTCCTGACACCCCGAGAAGATATGCTGTATTCCCAGCAGCACCATGCATGAACATGAAACAGAACCACATCAAATCACAGAGATGCTGTTGAACCACTGGTGTAGCCCTCTCTCTCAAATCTGTTTCGAATCTGTTTAATTTTGGGTATTGGGATGATCAGAAGATCTTGAAGCATAGCTTCTGTTCTGCAGGATGGATTGACAAGGACAAGATAGCTGGTGGGTTTTGTAGTCCTAAATGGAAGATCAGTCCAGGAGGTACTCTAGAGTTCTTCTGGCCTTGACACATAGAATGTAGAGAGAGGAATGCATCACCTACGCCTCCCTAAGAATGGTAGTACTTTCAGTAACAATAGGGAGGTCAAGATTATAAGGGAAATTAATGACATCTGTTTTCAGGTATCAGTACCTCAAGAGATTAAACATGAGAATTAAAGTGAGAGCCAAAAGGGTTTTGAAAAAGTTGGGCAACATGATTTGTGAGTAGTGGAGAGGCATGTCCTAGTTACGCAGTGATAAATAGTCTTGCATACAGTTCGTGCTGTTCTATTCTGCTCACCCATGGGCGTGTTTGGAAGTTTGTGTTGAAACATGCATATAACAGGACTGGGGATGTTAAGACCAGGAGCTCTGGTCTCTTCTGTTAGGTCCTCCTTTCCTCAGTCCTCAAGACCCTGTGTCTTCCCTTTGACTAAAGACCCTTAATGATGGAGACATGGGGGTGAGAGAGTGGTAGTCATGGTGAGCAAGTGGTAATCTGGGTGACACAGGAACAAATCCTAGCTGATGCCCTTTTCCCTTCCTGCTCCTTAGCCAGGCTCGAATCCCTCTTCCTGGGAGATCTTCCTTGAGTCCTGTTGCGCACCTTGTTCTTCCTTCTCTTTGAGTGCCTGTTGACAGTGGTTATGATCTCAGCACTAGCTTAACACTGACACTAATTATTCTATTTTTTTTTTCTTTTGAGACGGAGTCTCACTCTGTCGCCCAGGCTAGAGTGCAGTGACACAATCTCAGCTCACTGCAACCTCCACCTCCTGGGTTCAAGCTATTCTCCTGCCTCAGCCTTCTGAGTGGCTGGGACTACAGGCGCCCACCACCACACCCGGCTAATGTTTGTACTTTTTAATAGAGACAGGGTTTTACTGTGTTGGCCAGGCTGGTCTTGAACTCCTGACCTCGTGATCCACCTGCCTCGGCTTCCCAAAGTGCTGGGATTACAGGCCTGAGCCAACACGCCCGGCCTCTAATTTTTTTCATGCTTTTGGTTCTTTAACATAAGCATCAGGAGGCAGCATGTTTCTTAACTTAAAAAAAAATTATACATTAAAATACACTTTAAAAGATCGAAAGTGACCATATAGAAAGAATTAAAATGCGTGTAAATATAATGTTTCAATTGTTTTGTCTGCTGGTATATATCTACAATTTTTATGTTTTTCTTGATAGTTATATTCAAATATTATTTTGAGATTGTCACATTTTAAAAATAGCGACAGTAATAGTTAACATTTATTGAACATCTTTTAAATTGCAGAATGATTTTCAAGCAATATTTATGAAAATTCAGTTTTTAAAAGGTAACAGCTTTATGGAGATATAATTTACATACTGTAAAATGTACCCTTGTAAAGTATGCAATTTAGTGGTTTTTTTTAGTGTATTGACAGAGTTGTGCAACCATTAACACTACCTAATTCCAGCTTGTTTTTACGCCCCTGCAAAAGAAGCCCATGCCTATGGCGTCACTCCCTGTTCTTCACCTCCCTCCTGCTCTCCCCTGGCAGCCAGTAATTACGTTCATTTGCTGTTGATTTGCCTCTTACGGACATTTCTTATTAAGTGCAATCATATAATGTATGGCTTCTGTCATTTAGCCTAATGTTTTCAAGGTTTATGCGTATCATAGCATGTATCAGTACTATATTTGAATAACACTTCATTGTATGGCTATACCACTTTTTTTTTTTAAATGGAGACAGGGTCTTGCAATGTTGCCCAGGCTGACCTGAAACTCCTGGGCTCAGGCTTCCTGCCTCAGCCTTCCAGCCTCCAGAGTAGCTAGAGTTACAGGCACACACCTCTGTGCCCAGAGACCATGTTTTGCTTATCCATTTCGTAAGTTCATGGACATTTGAACTGTTTCCACTTTTTGGCTATTACGAATAATGCTGCTGAGCACATTCGTGTACATGTTTTTATCTATACATATATTTTCATTTCTCTTAGGTATATAAATAGGATTATTTGCTGGATTATTGCAAATTCAATTTTAATTTCTTTTCTTTTCTTTTTTTTTTTTTGACACAGAGTCTCACTCTGTCGCCCAGGCTGGAGTACAGTGGCATGACCTTGGCTCACTGCAACCTCTTCCTCGGTTCAAATGGCCAGGCTGGTCTTGAACTTCTGACCTCAAGTGATCCACCCGCCTTGGCCTCCCAAAGTGCTGGGATTACAGGTGTGAGCCACAGCACCTGGCAGAAAATAATTCAGGCATTAGAATGAATCCTTAATGAGATAGATTGGTTAGGCTGGGATGTGGTGAGCGGGAGAAAAGGAGTCAAGGATGAACTGACTTCTAAATCTCCTGTTTGAAATGCTTGTTCCCCGGTGCCGTGAAGAAACAGCACTTGAACATAAATTTAGTTTACTTAGTAAGGCCATTTTTACTTCCTGCAGAAAGGGTACACTCACAGGCAGTTTTGCCATGAGAGTACACCCAACAAAGGAGATAGGGTCATTTATAACCTGACGCATCTACCTTACTGCTGTTTCCGGTTTCCTTTGGCTGGAACGGGACCTCACATTCTGTATTTGTCCCGATTGGTTAGTAACTTAGAACTTTTTAAAAGAGGCAAAGGTAGAGGGGAACAAAGGAAGGAGGAAGTAACTTGTGGAATGTTGAGAAAGGTAAAAACACTTTTAAATAAGGAAGAGGAACAGGCTATGACCTAATGCTTGCTTGGACCAGCCTAAGCGTGCCAGGGCAAATATTTAGGCTAAATTGTGGGAGCTAAGAACATAAAGTACATTGATTTCTTTATTATGGCTAGCGGATATTTAAGAATGTTAGCACAGGTCTTTGAATAAATTTTGCTTCTAAGAGAAGTTACTATTTATTCTTAATTAGAGAGGAAAGTCTTGAAGAGGAACCTCTACTTTACTTTTTACATCCCCCTTATTTCTCTTTTCCTTGTTCACTCCTTATTTCTTCTCTTCATCTCAAATTGATCTAGTAATACTTATTTCTTTGTAGTTCTCACAGACCCACCTCCTAGTCACCCATCCATCACCTTCTCCAGCCTGCCTTCTCTGATCACCATTCCCTTTACCCCCAGGTGGGGCTAAGTTCCTTTGTTTTCCACCCCCTTAACCTCCAGGACCTTGTGCATTAATTGTTTTAGCCAAATATTTGGGGATTTTTTTTTAGGTATCTTTCAGTTACTGGTTTCTAATTTAATTTCATTTTGTTCAGAGAGCATACTTTGTATGACTTTAATTTTGTAAAACATTTTTAGAGGTTTTGCACCCCAAAATTTTGTCAGTCTAAGTGAATATTCCATATGTACTTGAAAAGAATTTTGTATTCTGCTCTTGTCGGGTGGAGTATTGCATAAATATCAATTACGTCAAGTTTGTTGATAGTGTTATTAAGATCTGTCTGACTTTCTACTTGTTTTGTTGATTACTGAGGGAAGTGTTGAAGTCTACAGCTATTGTGAAGGATTTGTCTGTTTCTCCTTGAAGTTCTAGCAATCTTCATGTATTTTGAGGCTCTGCATCTATGTATTTTGAGGCTCCTTCCTAAAGTCCATAAACCTTTAGGAAGGATTGTTTTATCCTCTTAATTATTTAACCCCTTTATCTATATCTATATCTGTTAAGAGGTGGAACTGAAATGGCCTTTTAATGATCTGGCCCTTCCTTCATTACAACCTACTTTGGGCAGGGAAAGTCCCATTCAGTCTCTGGAGTGCCTGGTTAAATCTCTTGAACGCAGTAGGCAGCACAGGTAATTGTGGAACTGAACGTTGAGTCAGATAAAGCCTGTGGGTTGTTTTCATCCTCTGTACTGTCCAGTATGGTAGCTACTAGCCACATGTGGAGAGTTAAATTAATTAAAACTAAGTAGGCCAGGTGTGGTGGCTCACACCTGTAGTCTCAATACTTTGGGAGGCTGAGGTGGGAAATCACTTGAGGCATCAGTTAAAGACCAGCCTGAGCAACAGGGTTTTGTAAAAACCCTGTCTTCACAAAAGAATTAAAATAGTTGGGCATAGGATGGCATGCCTGTAGTTCTACCTGCTTGGGAGGCTGAGGTGGGAGGATTGCTTGAGCCCAGGAGTTTGAGGCTCTAGTCAGCTATGGACTGTGCCACCACACTCCAGACTGGGTGACAGAGTGAGAACCCATCTCTTAAAAAAGAAAATTAAGTAAAATGAAAACTTCAGTTTCTCCAGTGGCACTAGCTGTTATACATTCATTTCAAGTGCTCTGTAGCCACGTGTATTGCACCACACAAAGGTAGAGCATTTGGGGCATTTCATATCATTACAGAAAGTTCTCCTGGACTCACTGTAGTCAGTCTGCCTCTGTTAGACCAGTGAGAATTTACCTAACATCTCCTTTTCTAGCCTTTTATTTGCCCTAAATCCTGCACAGCTTGGGTAGCCCCAGCGGTCTGGCTGAGTGAGGTCCTCCTTTGTGGAGACTCTGGGCCCAGCATTATTTGTGTATGTGATGGTATTGCATTTCTGCAGTAAGATTTGGGGTCATGTGTGAGATGACTTTCCATTATTTGTTGTTCTTGGTGGTAGGGTGAAGAGGCAGTCAGTTAACACATAGTTAGAAAATCTGCCACAGTCCTGGTAAAAGTAAGCTGAGAGTCATATATGTAGGCCAGAAGGGAAGGAAGGATTAGGATTCAGAGACTTTTGGTTGAGAAATTAAATTTGATAACTCAGAGAATTTCAGTGTTATAAAAGTGTAAATGTTGATATGCAAACTGAATTGTGAGATTTTAGTATGTCCTAGTGTTTCTGGGTTCTCCTATATAAAACCTCTTACGCAGGAGTCACTGGCCAAATTATTTGTCTATGGAACCCCCCTGAGATTTGCTAAGAAAGTTATGCTTAGACTCCTCTCTACTCATGGATATGTTCTGTAATTCCCACACTTGGGAAACGGCTTGGCCATGTGATTCATACCAAATGGCAACATTCAGTAGGTGCAGTTTATATGTTTTACTAGAAATATGGCTTCTTGCTCGATTTCACTATGTTCATAGTGCCTCTTTTGAGGTCTGTGTGTATATTCTATTTATGGAAGTTAAAAAGTATTTCAGAAATGCATATATTAATCTGTGTGGAATTTCTCTTATCCTTTTTCCTTTCCAATTCTTGCTTGGATATTTGTCTCAAGAGATGGTCCAACATTTAAAATAGCGAATAATATCTTAGCCCATCCAAAAACAATCCTTCTTAAAGGTTTATGAACTTAATAACAGAGCCTCAAAATACATGAGGAACTCATAGAACTCCAAGGAGAAACAGACACATCCTTAACAATATTGTAGACTTCAACACTCTTCTCACAGTAATCAAGACAACAAGTAGAAAGAAAGTGCAGTTTTCCCTGTTTTTGTAGACATCAAAACTATTTCACACACTTCTGAAAGTCTCATTCAGTAAGTTACTCATTTCTCCACCTTATGACTGTACTGTGCTTTCAAAGTGCTGCGCAAAGAATAAAAAGTTTTAAAGTGGCTTTACTGTAATTTCAGATAAATATTTGAACTTTTGAGTCTGAATTATCCAGGTGAAATGCATTGGATTTCTGATCCTCTGTAACTTGGAAGATTACCGTCTTCCAGGTATATTGGTTGTCCTTAACTGCCTTAATGGCATGAGTTGTGAATCTTCTCTGTCTTGGAAGAAACCTAACAGTGGAAATTGTTTATGGCAAGGGTCACAAATTTACATGCGCAGAAGGTCAGGACCCTCTGTAAGGTAAAGGCATGAAGTGCCCCCTTCTTTATTAACACATAACTGCATTTGCTGATAATATTTATTTGCCTAGAATTCAGGCCCTTTTTGCTTTTACAGACAGTGCTGTCTTAAATGTGCTAGAGATGTATCTTTAGTCACTTAAGCTGGTGTTTCTGTAGGGTAGGTTCCTAGGAGTGGGATTGGATTGTTGGGTTACAGTATGTGCTATTTAAAAGACTGAACCAGATTATACTCTCAGAATCTGTTTGTTTTTAAACCTTCCCTAGTCTGTGCTTATGTGTTTTGTTTGCTTGTTTGTTTTTTGTTTGTTTGTTTGTTTGTTTGTTTTTTGAGATGGAGTCTCCCTCTGTCACCCAGGCGGGAATACAGTGGTGTGATCTCGGCTCACTGCAACTTCCACCTCCCTGGTTCAAGCAGTTCTCCTGCCTCAGCCTTTCAGGTAGCTGGGATTACAGTCACATGCCACCATACCCGGCTTATTTTTTTGTATTTTTAGTAGAGACAGGGTTTCACCATGTTGGCCAGACTGGTCTCAAACTCCTGACCTCAGGCAATCCGCCCGCCTGGGCCTCCCAAAGTGCTGGGATTACAGGCGTGAGCCACTGCGCCTGGCCTGTGTGGTTTTTAAATTAACTTTTTCTAGTCTACTAAGGTTTACTCAGACCTTTAGCAGTTGTTCTTGGATACTGACTAGGCCCAAAGTCCTCTTCTCATCAATGTATTGGCAAATACACTCACTTGCGATGTGATATGAGACCCTGAGGTTTACCTCCCAAACAGCAGGATGTCTGTTTTGAGAGTTTCCTGGCCAAGTGGTGGAAAGTACCATGGAAATGGAGTCTTCCTTGCTTCTTACTTAACTTGAGTTTGGACCATAGAGAAGTCATTCTTGTGTGGACCTCAGTTTACTCACCTGTACAGTATAGGATGGACTAGATGATCTAATGATCAGGGGATTGGCAAACTTGTTCTTAGGGCACCAATTAGTAAATATTTTAGGTTTTGCAGGCCACCTGGCTATGTCACAGCTGCTCAGCTCGGCCCTGGTAGGATGAAAGCAGCCATAGACAATAAGTAAACAAATGAGTGTGGCTGTGTTCCAATAAAACTTTATTTACAAAAACAGGCTGTGGCCGGCCATAGTTTGTTCACCCCATTTTTGAGCTCTTGACATTCTTTAGTCTGTGATTTCGATAATTAGTTTAGGAAAAAAGCTTTGACTTTCATAAATAATGCTTCTGGAAATCTAGTAAAACCTTTAAATTTTGGCCAGGCATGGTGGCTCACACCTGTAATCCCAGCACTTTGGGAGGCCGAGGCGGGTGGATTGCCTGAGCTCGAGAGTTGGAGACCAGCCTGGCCAACATGGCGAAACCTCGTCTCTACTAAAAATACAAAAAATTAGCCGGGCGTGGTGGTAGGCGCCTGTAGTCCCAGCTACTTGGGAGGCTGAGGCAGGAGAATCGCTTAAACTCAGGAGGCGGAGGTTGCAGTGAGCCGATATCATGCCACTGCACTTCAGCCTGGGTGACAGAGTGAGACTTCATCTCAAAAAAAAAAAAAAAACCTTTACATTTTATTTTTGCTTTTTCCCTTTATCAGGAAAGTAATGTAGAAAATTTAGAAAACCCAGAACATTAATATTTTGGTTCCTCTCATTAGGTAACCATCTTTGGGTGGACATGTGTACATACATACATACTTTTTTTTTTTCTTTTGAGCAAAAAAGTACATACTTTTTCTTTTTTTCTCTTCTGTCACCCAGGCTGGAGTGCAGTGGCGCGATCTCGGCTCACTGCAACCTCCACCTCCCGGGTTCAAGCGATTCTCCTGCCTCAGCCTCCTGAGTAGCTGGGACTACAGGTGCTCGCTGCCACACCCAGCTAATTTTTTGTATTTTTTAGTAGAGATGGAGTTTCACCGTGTTGCCCAGGCTGGTGTCGAACTCCTGAGCTCAGGCGATCCGCCCGCCTCAGCTTCCCAAAGTGTTGGGATTATAGGCGTGAGCCACTGCACCTGGCACATGTATATGTATGTATTTTTTACAAAATTGGATGAAGTATAATTTATTTGCTAAATATTTTCACTTATGCCATGATATCTTATTTAATCTTTAATTTGTCTATGAAAATACCTGCTCTGCTAGGGGACTTCTAGTTGAAAACTCATTAATTTAAAAAATTAATTTTGAATTCAGCCACCTATTCTTTTTTCTAATTGTTTCTTGTAGCTTTTGCTTTGATTGGAATAACTTTATTCTAGGAATAAAGTTGTGTCATCTGCAAACACGAATCATGTACACATCTGATTTTCTTATATTTATGTCTCCTTTTTCTCTTCAAATTACATTGCCTTTACCATTGATGGGAACCTGGGTAATAAAGAAAAAAGAAAAAAATTGCATTCCCTACCACCTCCTCCAAAACAATGTCAAATGTTAGTTATAATGATAGGCATCTTAGTATGCTATCCCAATTTAATGGAACTGTTGCAGATATTTAATGGTTAACTGTTGGTTTGAGACCTTTAATGTGTTGAGTATATTCACCTATTTCAATTTTTTTTCTGTTTAAGTTTTTTTTTTTTAAATCAGATATGGCTATTATATTTTGTTAAATGACATCTTAGCATCTTTTAAGATGATCATATAGTTTTCCTCCTGCATGCTACATATTAATTACAGTAGTGTATATTCATAGAATTATATTAGTAGATCTTATATTGATTCACCCTTACATTCTTGCAGTGAACCTCTCTTGATCATATTATTTTTTCATGTACTGTTTGACTTTATTTATTTAGTTTTGAGACAGAGTTTCGCTCTTGTTGCCCAGGGTGGAGTGCAGTGGCGCGATCTCAGCTCACCACAACCTCCGCTTCCCAGGTTCAAGCGATTCTCCTGTCTCAGCCTCCTGAGTGGCTGGGATTACAGGCGCCCGCCACTACGCCTGGCTAATTTTTGGTATTTTCAGTAGAGACAGGGTTTCACCATGTTGGCCAGGCTGGTCTTGAACTCCTGACCTCAGGTAATCCGCCGGCCTCGGCCTCCCATGGTGCCGGGATTACAGGTGTGAGCCATCGCGCCCGGCCCGTTTGACTTTTAAATAGGTATTTTAATTTTTTAGTTTATACGTGTACAGTGCATAATGTATTTAAGATTCATCTGTGTTGTTGTATCAGTAGTTTCTTTATTGCTGAGTAGCAGTCCTTTATATGAGTGTATCACAGTGCATTTATCTGTTCAATAGTTGAATATTTCAATTATTTCTAGTTTGTGGCAGCTATGAATAAAGCTGCCGTAAACATTTCCATAATGTTTTTTGTCTGAACACAATTCTTGTTTCTCTTGAGTAAATACCTAGGAGTATGATTTCTGGGTTGTATGTTTATAAGAAACTGCCAAAACTGTTTTCCAAAGTAGCTGTACCATTTTGCATTCTTACCTGCAAATGTATGAAGAGTTCCGGTTGCTCTGTATCCTCCCTAGCACTTGATATTTTCAGGGTTTTGTTTTGTTTTTTTTTTTTTTTTTTGAGATGGAGTCTGGCTCTGTCACCCAGGCTGGAGTGCAGTGGCGCGATCTCGGCTCACTGCAAGCTCCGCCTCCCGGGTTCATGCCATTCTCCTGCCTCAGCCTCCCGTGTAGCTGGGACTACAGGCGTCTACCACCACGCCCGGCTAATTTTTTTGTATATTTAGTAGAGACAGGGTTTCACCATGTTAGCGAGGATGGTCTCGATATCCTGACCTCGTGATCCGCCCGCCTCGGCCTCCCAAAGTGCTGGGATTACAGACGTGAGCCACTGCGCCCGGCCTCAAGTTTTTTTTTTTTTTTTTTGGCCACCTTAATAAGTATATGGTGGTAGCTTCTTCTGGTTTTAATTTCCTTGTCCCTAATGACTAATGGTTCTGAGCCTCTTTTTATGTGCATCTTTTGATTTGCCATCTGTATATCATTGTTTATGGAAAAATACTAAAATCTTTTTTTTTTTTTTTGAGACAGAGTCTTGCTCTGTTGCCCAGGCTGGAGAGCAGTGGCACAGTCACCACTCACTGCAGCCGCCACCTTCTGGGTTCAAGCCATCCTCCCACCTCTCGGCCTCCCAAGTAACTGGGATTGCAAGTGCGCACCACCACACCTGGCTAGTTTTTTTTTTTTTTTTTAATAGAGATGGGGTTTTGATATGTTGCCCAGACTGATTTCGAATCCTGGGCTCAAGCGATCTGCCTGCCTCGGCCTCCCAAAGTGCTGAGATTACAGGCATGAGCCACCATGCCTGGCCAAGATACCAAAATCTTTATTTAAGATGTTTAATTGGGTTGCTTTCTTTATTGTTATTCTTCTTTTATTTTATTTTATTTATTTATTTATTTGAGACGGAGTCTCGCTGTGTCGCCAGGCTGGAGTGCAGTGGCGCGATCTTGACTCACTGCAAGCTCCCCCTCCCGGGTTCACACCATTCTCCTGCCTCAGCCTCCCAAGTAGCTGGGACTACAGGCACCCGCCCCCACGCCCAGCTAATTTTTTGTATTTTTAGTAGAGACGGGGTTTCACCATGTTAGCCAGGATGGTCTTGATCTCCTGACCTTGTGATCCTCCTGCCTCGGCCTCCCAAAGTGCTGGGATTACAGGCGTGAGCCACCACACCAGGCCTCTTTTATTTTTTTAGACAGAGTCTCGTTCTTTCACCCACGCTGGAGTGCAGTGGCATGATCTTGGCTCACTGCAGCCTGTCATTCCCCTCGACTCCAGGTTCAAGGTGATCCTCCCACCACCTCAGCCTCCGAAGTAGTTAGGACCACAGATGCATGCCACCATGTGTGGCTAATTTTTGTATTTTTAATAGAGATGGGGTTTCGCTATGTTGCCCAGGCTGGTCTTGAACTCCTGAGCTCAAGCAATCTGCCTACCTTGGCCTCCCAAAGTGCTGGGATTACAGGCATGAGCCACCATGCCTGGCCAATTTCTTACTGTTGGGTAGTAAGAGTTCTTTGTATATTTTGGATATAAGTGCTTTGTTAGGCTGTGTGATGTTCATACATTTTCCCCATCTGTGCCTTGTGTTTCATTGTCTTAGCGGTGTCTTTTTCCCAGAGCATAAGTTTTAAATTTTGATGAAGTCTGATTTACCACATTTTTTCTTTTACACATTTGGTGTTCATCTAACAGCTCTACCTAACCCAGACCTTGCCAGACTTTTTCTGTAAAAGGTCAGATAGTAAATATTTCAGCCTTGCTGTCCCTGTTGCAGCTCTGCCATTGTAGCAATGAAAGCAGTCATAGACAATATGTAAATGAATGATAATAGCTGTTCCAATAAAACTTTATGAACACTGCAGTTTGAATTTCACATAATTTACAAATTATCAATTATATTGTTTCGATTATTAGAAAAACAGGTAGTGGATTGGCCATGGTTTGCTGATTCCTGGCCTGACAAACCCAAGTTCACAAAGATTTTCCTCTTTGATTTTGTTGTGGTCGTTGTTCCACACCTTCTTTTTTCACTGTTTCCTTAAGGTAGAGTGTACATATTTATAAGGGTACATGTAATATTTTGATAGATTGATACAGTGTGTAATGATCAAATCAGGTTAATTAGGGTATCCATCATCTCAGATGTTTATCCTTTTTTTTGTATTGGGAAGATAACAAATGTTCTAGCTATTTTAAAATATACACTAAGTTATTGTTGACTCTAGTCACCCTACTGTGCAAATAAAAACTGAAACGTATTCCTTCTATCTTGCTGAGTTTTTATGCCCATGAATCAACTTGTCTTCATCCCTACCTGCTTCCCAGCCCCCGGTAACCATCATTCTACTGCCTATCTCCATGAAATCAACTTCTTAATCTCTCATATATGAATGAGAATATGTGATACTTGTCTTTCTGCCCTTGGCCTATTTCACTTAACATAATGTCCTCCAGTTCTATCCATGTTGCTGCAAACAGATTTTATTTTCCAAACCTTAAGCTTTATAGATGACTTCACTTTTTAAATGGCTGAATAATATCCTCTTGTGCATGTATACCTCATTTTCTTTGATTTTTCTTTCTTTCTTTTTAAATAGAGATGAGTTCTCACTATACTGCCCAGGCTGGTCTTGAATTTTTTTGCTCAAGCAATCCTCCTGCCTTGGCCTCCCAAAGTGCTGGGATTCCAGGCTAAACCACTGTGCTCCTTTATGCGTTTTTTTGTTTTTGTTTTTGTTTTTAGAGACAAAATCTTGCTCTGTTGCCCAGGCTGGAGTGCAGTGGTGCGATCTTGGCTCACTGAAGCCTCCACCTCCCAGGTTGAAATTATTCTCGTGCCTCAGCCTCCCAAGTAGCTGGGATTACAGGCACCCACCACCACGCCCAGCTAATTTTTGTATTTTTAGTAGAGATGAGGTTTCACCATGTTGGCCAGGCTGGTCTCGAACTCCTGACCTCAGGTGATTCGTCTGCCTTGGCCTCCCAAAGTGATGGGACTACAGGCATGAGCCACTGCGCCCAGCCCCTTTGTGCACTTTTAAAAACATATCTTAGAATTTGTGATACATGTTTTATTTTCATTTTCATTTGGTTCACAATATTGTAAAATTTCTACTATGACTTACTCTTTGACCCATGATTTGTTTTAAAACGTATTGTTTAATTTTCAAACATTTAGGGATTTCCCAGACATCTTTGTTGTTGGTTTCTAATTTAATTCCATTATGGTTAGGGAACATACTCGTTATGATGAATTAAAAAAAAATGTAGAGGTTTGTATATGGCCTGAAACATTGTTTGTTTAGGTCAATGTTCAGTTTGTAATAGGAAAGATGTGTTCTGCTGCCTTTAGGTAAAGTGTTTCATAAATAATAATTAGGTCAAGTTGGTTGATCGTGTTAAGGTCTTCCCTATCCTTGCTGATTTCCTGTCTGCTTGTTCTAGTGATTACTGAGAAAGGAGTGTTGAAGTCTGCAATGATTGTTATGGGTTTGTTCTCTTTCTCCTTAAAATTCTGTCTGTTTATGCTTCCTGTATTTTGAGGCACTGTTATTAGATGCAGAAACATTTACAGTTTTGTCCTCTTGATTATTTGACCCCTTTATCATTCTGAAATAACCTTTATTTCTGGTAATAATCATTATATTAAAAACCATTATTTGGCCAGACATGGTGGCTCATGCCTGTAATCCCAGCACTTTGGGAGGCCGAGGCGGGTGGATCACCTGAGGTCAGGAGTTCGAGTCCAGACTGGACAACATGGCGAAACCCCATCTCTACTAAAAAGAGAAAAATAGCCTAGTGTGGTGGCACACGTCTGTAGTCCCAGCTACTCAGAAGGTTAAGGCAAGATAATCACTTGAATCCGGGAGTTGGATATTGCAGTGAGCCGAGATCACGCCACTGCACCCCAGCCTGGGAAGCAGAGCAAGACTCCATCTCAAAAGAAAAAAAAAAAAAAAAAACCAAAACAGGCCAGGTGCCGTGGCTCATGCCTGTAAACCCAGCACTTTGGAAGGCCGAGGCAGGTGAATCACCTGAGGTCGGGAGTTCGAGACCAGCCTGGCTAAGATGGTGAAACCCCGTCTCTACTAAAAATACAAAAATTAGCCAGGCACGGTGGCAGCTGCCTGTAATCCCAAGTACTTGGGAGGCTGAGGCCAGAGAATTGCTTGAAGCCGGGAGGCAGAGGCTGCAGTAAGCCAAGATCATGCCATTGCACTCTAGCCTGGGTAACAGAGCAAGACTCCATCTCGGGGGAAAAAAAAAAAATTACTTAATATTAATATAAAATTAGTGTTTTATATTAGTAGTATAATACTGTTTTTGACTAGTGTTAAAATGACATATCTTTCTCTACCCTTTTGCTTTTAATCTAGATATCATGATATTCATTTATTTTTTAATTTGTAAAAATAGAGATGGGGTTTTGCCATGTTGCCCAGGCTGGTCTTGAATTCCTGGGCTCAAGCCACCTGCCCACCTCAACCTCCCAAAACGCTGGGATTATAGGCGTGAGCCACCATACTTGGCCATATCATTATATTTTCAAATGGTTTCTTGTTTTTTCGTTTTTCTTTTAAATGTAATCTGACAGCGTCTTTTAATTAATGTGTTTTGGACCATTTACATTTAATATGATTGATGATGATTGGATTTAGGTTTCCTTTTTATTATTTTCTGGTTATTTCTTTTTTGGGGGGTTTCTTCTGTTTCTTTTTTCTGCCTATTTTTGGATTAACTGAATATTTTTTAGTGTTATGTTTTATTAATTGGCTTTTGGTTATATCTGTGCTATGTTTTTGCTGTAGGAATTACAAAATATATACCTAACCTACCTACTTAGAGTTAGCATTTTACCTCTAAATAAAATGTAAAAGTATTGCAAACATATAGGTTTCTTTATTCTAGCCCCCCCTTATAATTGTATATATGTGTGTGTGTATGTGTGTATATATCTATATACACTTTCAATGTATGTAGATATGTATCTATACTTTCAGTGTATATTATATCTACATGCATACATTGTGTATGTATGTAGATGTATATCTACATACATTGAAAGATATATATCTACATACTATACAATGCATGTATGATACCTTTGGCTACTACATCCTTCTTAAATTTCCTGTTGCCACTTATGACCTGATTTCCTTGACCAGTTATTCCTCCTTCAAACATCCCTCTTACATGTGATAGTCCTCAGCATTTAGTTTCCCCAACTTTCCCCTAATTATCAGTTGACTCAATTACCACCAAAATATCAATGACTTTTTTGAGACAGAGTCTCACTCTGTCACCAGGCTGGAGTGCAGTGGCACGATCTTGGCTCAGTGCAACCTCTGCCTCCTGAGTCCAAGTGATTCTCCTCCCTCAGCCTCCCGAGTAGCTGGGAATACAGGTGTGTGCCAACACACCCAGCTAATTTTTGTATTTTTAGTAGAGACGGGGTTTCACCATGTTGGCCAGGATGGTTTCAATCTCTTGACCTTGTGATCAGCCTGCCTCAACCTCCCAAAGTGCTGGGATTACAGGCATGAGCCACCGCGCCCGGCCAAAATATCAATGACTTCTAGATCCATTTTCCTACCTAGACCTCTTTTCTAAACTCCAGATATATATTTCCAACTGCCTGTGCTGTCCGCCATAAACTCCACATTGTAGGAAATAGAAAGGAGTTATAAAAGTTTAGGTTCAAAGCAAAATTTAAAAACTCATAAATGAGACCAAATTTTGTGATGATAAAGGCTATGGTCCACAATGAAGATATGAAAGTAATGAACCTTTCTATAAAATGTATAGGTGATAGAGCTGGTCCCCAACTTTAAGCCTTTCAGCGATTCAAGTAACTACAGAACATCGTTAAAGTACTGAGAGAAATGTCAATCCAGAATTCTATATCCAGCAAAAATACCCTTCAACAATTAAGGCAAAAAGAAAAAGAAGAAAGACATTTTGGATGAAGAAAATCTAAGAGAATGTGTTGGCGGAAGTTCTGCTCTAAAATAAAAGTAAAAGAAGGTCTTTAGGCCAAAGGAAAATTATACCAGTGGTAATACTAGAACTTCAGAGATAAAGAGCAGCAGAAATGGTATCTGGGAAAATTTAAAAATGCAAACGGTTGTTTCTCCTCTTAAGCTCTTTAAAATATGTATAGTGGTTGAAAGCAAAAGTTAAAACACTGCTGAGACTTTCAATGTATGTAGATATACGTATATATATCTACATATATATACATATATATGTATATACATGTAGAGGTAATAATGGTAGCTATTTTATGGAGCTGATCTGAGGATAAAATGAAAGAATGCATTTTAAAGTGCTTAGCACAATGTCTGGCAAATAGAAAGCACTCTATAGGCCAGGCATGGTGGCTCATGCCTGTAATCCCAGCACTTTGGGAGGCCTAGGCAGGTGGATCACTTGAGGTCAGGTATTTGAGACCAGCCTGGCCAACATGGTGAGACCCCGTCTCTACTAAAAATATAAAAATTAGCCGGGTGTGGTGGTGGGCTCCTGTAATCCCAGCTACTTGAAGTGAGGCAGGCGAGTGGCTTGAACCTGGGAGGTGGAGGTTGCAGGGAGCCAAGATTGCACCACTGCACTCCAGCCTGGTCGACAGAGCAAGACTCCAGCTCAAAAAAAAAAAAAAAAAAAAAAAAGGGGGGGGGACAATGTTACTCTTCTTCCTTCTAGAAACATACATTTTATAGAAGTTGTTTTTTGAAGTCTAGAAGTCTGAAAACGCAGGAGTCAACTCTGAAAAATCTACAGTGGTTTCTGGGGTTCAATCTTGGCATGACTTTACCCCTGCATCTCTGCCCTCAGCAGGTAGTTTTGTTTATGGGTGTCATTGGTTGAACAAATAATTGTTTTAGTTGCTACAATAAATAAAACATGATCTGTGCTCTAAAGGAGTCAACAGATGAGCCAGGGGGGCATGAGTAATTGCCTGTAATTTAATTGTGCTCACGCTGTCATGGAGGACCGTACAAAGTGTCAGAAGCACAGTGCCAGGAGGCACAGCAAAGGGTAGTAGAGGTGACATTTGAGCCCAGCCTTGAAAACTGTCTAGGATTTCTCAGCATTTCAGCAAAGTAAGGCAATTTCTGTCTAAAATATATAGGCAAAGTTTTTATTAAAAATACGAGAAATTAATTAAATAACAGATTATGACCACAATGCAGATTTAAAAACTAAGGTATGATGAGTGCCGTTGACCGGTTCATCCAGACAGTTCAGAGAACAGAACATCCATGTAGATCCTTCTTGTATTACAGAATACAAAGGAGCGGAAAATTTTGCCTCAGTAACTGCCAGGTCATTCTAATTAAAGTACCTATACATTGTAATATAATTCCTCCATTAAGGTAACAGCCAATCAGGTGGTACAGAGTCTGTGCCATTCAGTCAAGAAATTCACTCCCTTAACCTAGACTGTGCTGGAAGTTCATTGACAAATTTTGTTCTTTGGTTCTCCATTTTTCTTCAGAATTCATGCAGACCACTTGACTTCCTTAGCATTTTCTTTTGTGGGCGTATATTAATGTCTTTGGTTAAGCTTCAGCTTCCGTTTGCATCAATCCTGTTGTAATCGTGCCTCCTGAGGCATCTTTTTTGCTTCCCTTGCATCAGTTTCCAAAATCCTACTTTCTGCTTGGTAAGGGGAGTATCCATTTTCTTTAAAGCAGTGGTTTTCAAACTTGCCTGCACATCAGAATTATTTGGGGAGAAGGATAAAAATACAGATTACTGAGCTTCACCTGGGATTCTGTAGATTTGAGTTGCATTTGGGATTACTTTAAACAATTTACCAGATGATTTTTGTGGCACCTCCACTTCAGTTTTAGGAAGGACTGTTTCGAGGCAGCTTTTCAAACTTTAATGACCATAGAAATCACCTGAAGATTGTGAGAAACTGCAGATCCTGATTTAGTAGGCCTGGGTTTAGGCCTGAGGTTCTGAATTTCTCTGAAATGTGATAATAGCAAATCCCTTGTTGAGTAGCAAGGTTGTTTTTTGTTTTTTTCTTTTTTTTCCAATATCTTCATGACATTCAATGAGTAGCAAAGTTTGAAGATAACTTCTGGAATTTCATCTAATGTGTATTAATTTTTACTCATCTGGATCTTAGGGGAAATAACCTATCAGATTATAGGGAAGTGTTTCTCAAAGTATGGTTCCCCAAACAGCACAACCTGGGAATTGTTAGAAATGCAAGTTCTGGGCCGGGCACTGTGGCTCATGCCTGTAATCCCAGCACTTTGGGAGGCTGAAGCGGGTGGATCACCTGAGGTGAGGAGTTTGAGACCAGCCTGGCTAACATGGTGAGACCCCGTCTCTACTAAAAATACAAAAAAAATTAGCTGGGCATGGTGGTGGTACTTTTTAAAATTTTTTTAGAGACAGAATATCCCTGTGTTGCCCAGGCTGGTCTGTAAATCCTGACCTCAAGCAATCCTCCTGCCTCAGCCTCTTAAGTAGCTAGGTACAAGCCACCATGCCCAGCTATATTGACTTGTTTTTGAGACGGAGTCTCTGTTGCCTAGGCTGGAGGGCAGTGGTGCGATCTTGGCTCACTGCGACCTCCGCCTCCCGGGTTCACGCGATTCTCCTGCCTCAGCCTCCTGAGTAGCTGGGACCACAGGCATGCACCACCATGCCTGGCTAATTTTTGTATTTTAGTAGAGATAGAGTTTCACCATGTTGGCCAGACTGGTCTTGAACTCCTGACCTCAAATGATCCACCCGCCTTCGCCTCCCAAAGTGCTGAGACTACAGGTGTGGGCCACCACGCCTGACCATATATTTACCTTTATGTGAATTTAAAATGTGTGGGCGTGACCAAGTCGTCTGCCGGCTGTTATATAAAGGAGACTTTATCATCAACATGCTCATCATCAGTCACAAACTGCCTATTTGGAACTCCCTTCAGTTCTCAGAGGATGGAAACATTCTTTAAGCGGCCTTGTAGAAATCCTATTCCATGTTAACATGCCAACCAATTTTACTTTCCCAGAGCCACAGAATGATATCTCATTGTATGCCTCAATTCAATCACCTTTCCATTTTCAAGGACCGATTTCAATTCCTGATTGGCTACTTGATCTGACTGCTTCCTGCTAATCTTGTTGCCTATTGTCTATATTCCATTTCTCATTGAATTAACCTTGATCAAATCTGAGAACTCTGCTTAGTAATGACTCCAGGTATACTATACCCACTTTTGTAGCTTATTCAACACCCTCTTCAATCCTGGTTCCACTTCCTGTGACTGAAATGATTACCTGTGAAATATTATTTAACTTTTGGACGATGATGTGTTTCTAACCTGTGACCATTTCACATAGCCACTCAAATATGGTAAAGGTATGGTAAAGATGATGAAACAGTTACTTGGCATCATTTTGTAAGTAATGAGTTTTTAGTGCGCTTTGGACCTTGAGACCACTTCATAAGCTTTAGATTTTGAGAATTTCACAGCATAAAGCTCATCGCTGATGCAGTAATGAAGGAAATGTTCTACAAGTTAATAGATGAGTGAGAGGAGAGGGCATTCATATTAGATTTATTTACTTACTGAACTCAGAGCCTTGGGTTACTACTTGACCCCCACTGTTATCTAGTTTAAGGGTCCTTTTATTTTTTGTTTTTTCGAGGTGGAGTTTCACTCTTGTTCCCCAGGCTAGAGTGCAATGGCCCGGTCTCTGCTCACTGCAATCTCTGCCTCCCAGATTCTCCTGTCTCAGCCTCCCAAGTAGCTGGGATTATAGGTACCCACCACCACGCCCTGCTAGTTTTTGTATTTTTAGTAGAGACAGGGTTTCACCATATTGGTCAGGCTGGTCTCGAACTCCTGACCTCAGGCAGTCTGCCCACCTCAGCCTCCCAAAGTGCTGGGATTACAGGCATGAGCCACTGCTCCTGGCCTTAAGTGTTCTTTTCTACTTTAGCACATACACCTAGTTGCTGTCTTTTTTGCTTTTTATAAATACAGAAAAGAGAATAATGTTTTAAAATCAAGGAAAGGCCTAAGGCACCTGTGAGGGTTTTTTGTTTTTGTTTTTGTTTCAGTGAAATGAAGGGAAATGGTCACCAGCAAGAACTGTGGCAATGTTATCCAAGGTGACAACTGTCTGTACCACCCAGGGGCTCAGAGCCCTTCTGAAGTTTCCTAGATGTTCCGAAAGTCTCCACTGTGACTCATGTTACAGGCTGGTCTCCGTGGTAGCACTCAACGTTTAAAAATTAGTCTTCATTGCCAGGCGTGGTGGCTCACGCCTGTAATCCCAGCACTTTGGGAGGCTGAGGTGGGTGGATCCCGATGTCAGGAGATGGAGATCATCCTGGCTAACACGGTGAAACCCCATCTCTACTAAAAATACAGAAAATTAGCCGGCAGTGGTGGGGGGCGCCTGTAGTCCCAGCTACTCTGGAGGCTGAGGCAGGAGAATGGCGTGAACCCGGGAGGCGGAGCTTGCAGTGAGCCGAGATCATGCCACTGCACTCCAGCCTGGGCGACAGAGGGAGACTCCGTCTCAAAAAAAAAAAAAAATAGTCTTCATTTCTCCTTCCCAACAAGCGTTTCTCTTTCTCTTCAGTGGGAAAAAGTAATTTCATTTTTTACTTGCTCATTGTTTTATTCATTCACTCAATCAACAGACCATCTATCCTGTATTGTATGCCAAGAACTGTGCTTTGTTCTGGGAATGAAAAAAGAATAAGATATGTTTTCCTCTGGCACTTATGGAGCTTATAAACCAGTGACAGAGGAAGGTGCATAAACAAATCAACAAAGAATTAACTTTACTATTCTTATTAATTTCTAATACAATAAATTTGACTATTTGTATCATTTGAGTTTCATGAATATAATCATATTCTACACTTACAAAATGAAATAGACATAAGAAAGAACTGGTGATGTAAGAAATTCACAGAAATGTGTAAAATATTTCAAGAATTAACACTCAGTAGATATTTGCATTGTCAAAGAAGCTTATACATGCAGATGAACCTCTAGTTGTTTTAGTTGCTTGTAAAATGTATAGAGGTATGTGTATTTCCTCTTTAAGCAGGGGTAACTTGGGGTGGGGGATGGGTGGGTTCATCTTATCTATTCTTCAGGTCATGTTCTCAAGAAGGAGCTACTGAATGGGAAGACTGAAACAATTTCTTTTCTTTGCACAGTTGGTATTGATAAATCTCAGGTGTATCCAAAATAAAATCTCTGGCAGGCTGTGATATTTGTGGGTCTGTCTCTTGTGACTTTAGGTTCCTCTTGGCAGCAGACATAAGGCAGTTGCACATCAGGCCCTTGCCTGAAACAGCTCCTGATGCCAAGAACTGGTGAATTACTACTTTGGTTTCAATGGATGGTCAGAAAGGATCATCAGGATAAACTTTGTGGATTTTCTCTCACTAACCACGCTCTCCTTTCAACATTGAAATTCTAGACTTTAGACAGAAGTATTGAACTGGGTTACAGGGAGGGGATGTGAGAGGCCCCCTGCCATTGAGGATAAGTGGACATGTCTGAATTGGCCTGCTACCTAAAATTAATAATCTCAATCACTTGGATGGTGGTGTCCATAATTTTCTCCACTGTTTGTGTGGCATATAATAAGTAATGGTTGCACCTAGCAATTCATTTACAAATCTTACTTGATTTTGAAGCCATAGAACACCTCAACTGTTAGCTTGAATGACTGGAGTTTAGTTTTTATTTCTCAGAACAAAACAGTTTGAAGCCTAATTAACATCCTCGGAAGGAACTTAACACTAAAACTCCTAACAGCTTCAGTTTTCTGACCTTGAAGAAAGGGAAAATGAAGAGACCATGGTGCCACTTCCGAAGCAAAGCCTGAAGTTCTGTGCTTTAGAGGTGGTGTTGCCATCCTATGATTGCAGGAGTCTGGCCTTGGCTTGGTGGAGGAGCCTGTGGATAAGGCGAAGGAAGGTCTGTTTTCATTGGGGGTAGAGGAGGGTAAGGAGTTGAAATGGGAAGGATCTCTTTTTTCTTGCTGTCTAAAACTTGTCTTTTCAGACACATATCAAGCCTTTCCCTCTCTGAGCTACTGAAGTCCTGGGCAGAGGTTTTCTGTCTTACAATACAGACTTTTACCTTAGGCAATACCTGACAGAGCCTTTAAATAAGTAAATAAATTGCTTTAATAAATTGATTTAATACATTGATTTATTAATTAATAAATTGATTTAATACATTGATTTATTAATTAATAAATTGATTTAATAAATTGATTTATTAATTAACTAATTTTGAGAGAGAGTCTTGCTCTGTCACCAGGCTGGAGTGCAGTGGCGTGATCTCGGCTCACTGCAACCTCCGCCTCCCGGGTTCAAGGCATTCTCCTGCCTCAGCCTCCTGAGTAGCTGGGATTACAGGCGCCCACCACCACACCCAGCTAATTTTTGTATTTTTAGTAGAGATGGGGTTTCACCATGTTGGCCAGGATGGTCTCGATCTCCTGACCTCGTGATCTGCCTGCCTTGGCCTCCCAAAGTGCTGGGATTACAAGTGTGAGCCACCCCACCCGGCCAGAACCTTTAAATTTAAAATTGTACAGTGTACTTCCTGCCAAGAAGCGTAGGAGGAAGAAGGAAGTAATGTTTTTCCAGTTTTCGGTTAAGAACTTGCTTTGTATTAAAATAGTCCTTCAAGTCTACAGCCATACCACCCTGAACGCGCCCAATCTCGTCTAAAATAGTCCTTCAAATATGTATCTCTTATAGCCTTCAGTTATCCCAACAAAATTATCTAAAGATTTGTTTATCTATTTATTATTATTTTTTAGAGACAGGGTCTTGCTCTGTTGCCCAGGCTAGAGTGCAGTAGCATGCTCATAGCTCATTGCAACCTCAAACTGCTGGGCTCAAGGGATCCTCCCACCTTAGCCTCCTGACTAGCCAGGACTACAGGCGTGCGCCACCACATGTGGCTAATTATTTTTTCTGGAGATGGGGTCTTGCTGTGTTGTCCTGCCTGGTCTCAAACTCCTGGCCTCAAGTGATCCTCTTGCCCCAGGATCCCAAGGTGCTGGAGTTATAGGCATGAGCCACCCACCATGCCAAGTCATCATGTAAAGATTTACAGAAAGTTTTGTGTAAACATTGTCTTTTTTTTTTTTTTGAAGCAGAGTCTTGCCCTGTCGCGCACGCTGGAGTGCAGTGGTGTGATCTCGGCTCACTGCAACCTCCACCTCCCAGGTTCAAGTGATTCTCCTGCCTGACACTCCTGGGTAGCTGGGATTACAGGCATGCACCACCATGCCTGGCTAATCTTTGTATTTTTAGTAGAGATGGGGTTTCATTGTGTTGGTCAGGCCGGTCTCAAACTCCTGACCTCGTGATCCATCTGCCTTGGCCTCTGAAAGTGCTAGGATTACAGGCATGAGCAACCGCGCCCGGCCCATTCAGCCTTTTTTTTACTCGTAGAAGGGCTTCAGTGGAACAAGAGTCTACTAGAGATACTAGAAAGGGTACTCAATTGATAACTGACGTTGAGATTTTTTTCTAGTATTCATGGCCCTCAGGCTTAGGGTTTGAAGTCAGAGGCAGGGCTGTAGGCTAATGGAGGGGAGTAGGCTTTCATGGATGATGCCCAGGGAGGAGCCAGATTATCTGTACCAAACCTTTTTTGTTTTTTTGAGACAGAGTCTTGCTCTGTCGCCCAGGCTGGAGTGCACCGGTGTGATCTCGGCTCACTGCAACCTCCACCTCCCAGGTTCAAGCAGTTCACCTCCCTCCTGCCCACCACCACACTCAGCCAATTTTTAATTTTTAAAAAATTTTTTAGTAGAGACAGGGTTTCATCATGTTGCTCAGGCTGGTCTCAAACTCCTGACCTCAAGTGATCTGCCCATCTTGGCCTCTCAAAGTACTGGGATTACAGATATGAGCCACTGTGCCTGGCCTCTTTTTGAAAATAGTCTTACTCTGTCACCCAGGCTGGAGTGCAGTGGAATGATCTCGGCTCACTGCAACCTCCGCCTCCCGGTTCAAGCTATTCTTGTGCCTCAGACTCCCAGGTAGCTGGGATTACAGGTGTGTGCCACCACACTCGGCTAATTTTTGTATTTTTAGGAGAGATGGGGTTTCACCACGTTGGCTAGGCTGTTCTTGAACTCCTGGCCTCAACCCGCCTTGGCATCCTAAAGTGCTGGGATTACAGGCATGGGCCACCGTGTCCAGCCAACAAAGCTTTTTTTCAGTGAGTGATTCCAGCCCTTGATGCATAGGAGGGTGGGGTCCATAGGAGTGTAGCCTTAACTGATGAATTAAATCTCTGGGTGATGTGAGATATGTGCCAGGTTCTTGGCTTGTGTCTCCCTCTAGTACTTTAGGAACTTCCCAACTAGATGGAGGCAGTAAAAATGGGCCCTGCCAGGATGTACCTATAACAGAGACGTTCAACCATACCCTTGTGCTGTCTGCCTTTAATCACGAAGATTATGAGCTAAGATTCGTGGATGCATTTTTATTTTTTAACCAACATGTAGCAATGATCACTCAGATAGGCATCTTAAATCCATTAGTTTGGGTTGGATTTAAGACCGTTGTCATTCCTATGAAAGGGAAGATAGCCCAGATTGCTATTGAGAAGGCTTTGTCAGATGCATTCCAGAAACTGTTGATTGTGGTTCTAGGTAAAACTTCCTTAATCGTCGTTGAAGTACTTCAGTTTCAGTGAGCAAATAAACTCATTTTGAAAAGTTAATTGGATAAAAATATCGATATCTAAAACACTCCCTAGGATGCTTTCATTTGCTAAGTTCTTTCACAGCGACAGGCTCAAATTTGTTCTTTGTGACATTTGTAGAAAAAATGACAGCAAATATTGTCCCTAGTTTATAGCTATAAAAGGACTTGCCTCAGGTCACACAGAAAATGTTTGAGGCAGGTCTTCTTTAATTGCATGCCTATCGTACAGAATAGTGATTATAAGCCCTGGACACATGGATTTGAGTCCTAACTCTGTCTCTTAGATTTTTGTATGCAGTTTTAGGTCTTATGGCCAGAGAGATTTGAAGATATTTAATATCTCTAAGCTGCAATCTTTATCTGCAAACTGGGGTTAGTAATCCAATCAACCTTATTGCGGATATTGTAAGAAAAAATGAGATGACAAGTGTAAAAACTCAGAACTATACTTACAAGGTAAGCAGACAAAATATGCTATTGTTGTGATTGTTTTCTCTCTGAATAAATAAACTCTGCTGAAGAATTTATTAGATTATGTTTCTCGAATCGAGAATTCAGTTCCAGCTCTCATTTCTGGCACTGACATATTGGCCAAATATGATTCTTATACAATAATCAGCTGCTTTGCTGTGAGCCTTGGAAGTGGTCATGCTGTTGAATGGCACTGCTTGTATTTCCTATTCAGTTCTACAGTGGCACAAATGTCATAGCCTGTGCCCAAAGGAAACCTGGTGTTTAACGAGTCCCTGAACAGAGTTGCCTTTCTGCTTCACAACCCTGAAGGCTTAGAGACTGAGATTGTAATTAAGTTACTACAGACCTTTATTTGCTTGTAAGAGGTGGCCCTGATTGCTCTCAGCTTTCCAACCTGGGCAGCCCTTCTAGTGAAAGTCTTACTTCCTTGGTCATCAACTGTCAAGTCTGAGTAATGACATTTAATAACCAAGCTAAATGTGTGGGTTGTCTACCCCTCCCTAGTATGCAAAGGTATCCCTTGCACACACTCACTTCTTAGACCAAAAGCCTTATAGTTCTAGTTTGCCTTGAAGGAAATTGTATTGTCTATAGAGTATGTGGGCCATTTTCTGCCCGTAAAATGTTCAAATGTTTTCTCTCTCTAAAGCTTTGTTCATTGTATCTGGTGGAATTTTGGTTCTCAGGGAGTAGACACCTAGCCATGCTTCTAATGTGAAGTGTCTACTAGCCCAGTGGTCTCTATTTTGGATTTGAACTTACTTCGACCCCCCACCTGGTGCCTTACCTTTTAATCATGTTATGACTGAACATTTTTATTTCCACATTTTTTATTTCTTACGTTATTATTCCTTAGTTCCTATCTGTAAGATCATAAAGTCCTTTGAACCAAACACAGTTGATATTTCATACATATGTTAAAAACTGAGCTGTGAGACCAGACATGATGACTCACGCTTGAAATCTCAGCATTTCGGGAGGCCAAGACAGAAGGATCACTTCAAGCCAGGAGTTCGAGACCAGCCTGGAAAACAAAGCGGGACCATGTCTCTAAAAAAGAGAATTAGACGGGCACAGTGATATAGTGCCTGCTACTCTGGAGGCTGAAGCAGGAGGATGACTTGAGCCCAGGAATTCCAGGCTACAGTGAGCTATGATAGTGCCACTGTACTCCAGCCTGGGTGACAGAGTGAGACCCTGTCTAAAAGAAAAAAGAAAAACAAAAATCGAAGTGTATGATGAAGAGATGAGGAAACTTTCAGGAAAATGCTTATTTCCTGCTTTTAGAAACTAAAAGAATGTCTCATTGTGGGTTGCTACCATTATATGCAGGAAGTTTTGGAATGAAAAAGATTCTGAATTCATCCTTGCTAACTTTATTTCAGAAAGTGGTAAAATAGCTATGGAGTACAGACCCAGTGAAGAGATTGTAGATGTCAGATGGGAAGAAGAACTACACGGTTTAATATAAGTATGTGGAGATAAAAACTCAAAGGTAACAGGGCCGGGCACAGTGGCTCACACCTGTAATGCCAGTGCTTTGGGAGGCTGAGGCGGGTGGATCACCTGAGGTCAGGAGTTCAAGATCAGACTGACCAACATGGAGAAATGGTGGCACATGCCTGTAATCCCAGCTACTCGGGAGGCTGAGGCAGGAGAATCGCTTGGACCCGGGAAGCGGAGGTTCCGGTAAGCCAAGATCACACCATTGCACTCCAGCCTGGGCAACAAGAGTGAAACTCTATCTCAAAAAACAAACAGGCCAGGCGCTGTGGCTCACACCTGTAATCCCAGCACTTTGGGAGGCCGAGGTGGGTGGATCATGAGGTCAGGAGTTCAAGACCAGCCTGGCCAATATGGTGAAACCCTGTCTCTACTAAAAATACAAAAATTGGCTGGGTGTGGTGGTGGGCACCTGTAATCCCAGCTACTTGGGAAACTGAGGCATGAAAACCACTTGAACCCAGGAGGCGGAGGTTGCAGTGAGCCGAGATCATGCCACTGCATTCCAGCCTGGGTGACAGAGCAAGACACTCTCTCGAGGAAAAAAAAAAAAAGAAAAGAAAAACAACTCAAGGGTTGGATAACATTGCCAGTATAACCATAATTCAAAACAAGCAGCAGAATTTGGAGGATAATTTGTTTAATTCTCAGGAAAATGTGAAACTCTGAAACTGCTTTTTGAGTGCAGGGTATTTCCGGGGCTTTTCCTAAAGTCTTAACCCTTGGCTCTGACCCCTTATTTGAAGTTTGGAGAGCAGAACCGAGGATTGTATTACTACAGTTGTGGACACAGGAGAGGGGTTAGTCTCCCCCCGCTCCAGGAGTAAGGGATGCTGGGCTGCTCGAACACAGGCCTTGTTAGAACTCCCTTCAAACAGGATCCCAGAGATGTGGGGAGAAGGTAACTGGCCTTAAGAATGATTGCGCTACAGCTTTTGAAAACTATAATGCCTTTCAAATATGGCTTATTGCTTGGATCTCAATATCTCCCACGTATCTTGGGTGGAATATTTTGCTGAAGATCTTTCTGTCAATCATTTACAATCATGTGCTGCAAAATGAAGTTTGGGTCAACAGTAGACCACATATATGATGGTGGTTCCGTAAGCGTATAATGGAGCTATCCCTATATAGGTATACCATTTTTATCTTTTTTTTTTTTTTTTTTTGAGATGGAGTCTCACTCTGTTGTCCAGGCTGGAGTGCAGTGGTATGATCCCAGCTCATTGCAACCTCCACCTCCCAGGTTCAAGTGATTCTCCTACCTCAGCCTCCTGAGTAGCTGGGATTATAGACACGCGTCACCACACTCAGCTAATTTTTGTATTTTTAGTAGAGATGGGGTTTCATCATGTTGGCCAGGCTGGTCTTGAACTCCTGAGCTCAAGTGATCCACCCACCTTGGCGTCCCAAAGTGCTGGGATTACAGGCATGAGCCACTGTGCCCAGGCCCCATTTTTATCTTTTACACAGTATTTTAACTATATATTTTCCATGTTTACATACACAAATACCTGCCATTCTGTGACAGTTGCCTTTAGTATTCAGTACAGTAACATACAGTACAGGTTTGTAGCCTAGGAGTCCTAAGCCATACCGTGTACCCTAGGTATGGTGGCTACACCACCTAGGTTTGTGTAAGTATACGCTATGATGTTAGCACAATGGTGAAATCACCTAGTGACCCATTTCTCAAGCTCCTCACGTGGGAAGCAATGCATGACTGCATATGAAAGCTCTTAAATAGGGATTGTTTCTAAATTAATCTCAAAACAGTCATTATTTACTATTTATGGAATTTTTTTTAAAAAAAGGAGCAAAAGTATCATTTCAGTGGGAACTTAACTTGGGGCTACAGTGTTTTATTTAACTTTTACCCCAAAGTTGCAAAGTGTTTTGAAATTTTTCCCTGTAAAATAATTATTTTAATTCAATTTAAATAAAACCCACCAAGGAGACTTCAAGCTTTAAGAAGTCTAGCTTCCTGTGAAATGTGAGAGGAAGTCAGCACTCATTTCAGAAATCTGATTATAACAATAGCTCCATCCCTAAATGAGGTGAATCTTGGAATCTCTTCCATTTTATTTTATTTTATTTTTTTGAGATGGAGTTTCTCTCTTGTTGCCCAGGCTGAAGTGCAATGTTGTGATCTCGGCTCACTGCAACCTCTGCCTCCCAGGTTCAAGGGATTCTCCTGCTTTGGCCTCCTGAGTAGCTGGGATTGCAGGTATGCACCACCACACCTGGCTAATTTTGTATTTTTAGTAGAGACGGAGTTTCACCATGTTGGTCAGGCTGGTCTCGAACTTCTGACCTCAGTGATCCCCCCACCTCGGCCTCCCAAAGTTCTGGGATTATGGGTGTGAGCCACCACACCCGGCCCCCCTTCAATTTTAAAGCCATCACTATGCACCCTATGTCTATGCCAGGCACTAAAATAAGATGAAGCACCTTCTTGGAGTTTACATGCTGGTAATTATGCCAGACAGTAATAAAATAGGTAAGAACGGCTGTGGGGGAAGTCAGCTGGGTTCTAGTTACAGTCGCATTTCAGGAAATGATTTAACATGCTGACTTTAACAACCTAAGCCTCTTCTCCATGTGTGCACACAGGGTAGATCTCTGAACACAGGTGACCCTAGAAGTGCTGTAACTTCTAGGGGAATGGCTGTGTTGAGTCAAGGCAGGATGACAGTTCAGCCTCCTCCCAGGCTAGTGCAAAGGGCTCTTCACTCGGATTAAAACCTTCTCTCCCAGACCGAATTGCCAACTCCCAACACCCCTCCTACAGAAAATTTGGAGTCCTCGCTTATTCCCTGGCAGCCCCTACCTAATAGGGTGGTGAATTAATTATCAAACATGCGACAGTTTAGCGAAAATGGCAACACTTTGGAATAAATGACTGTAATGTACATCCTGGCGCCCATTTTGCAGGTCAGTTGCTCTCCCTGGAAGGAAGAGTGTTCTCGGATTTCACCTTAAAGGAGGAAGGCTGCCAGAACTGAACTAGCACTTCTGAATATCCTGAGGCGAGGTCCGGTGACTTCCTTGGGAAGCTCTGCCGCACCCCCATCCCACCCTACCCCACCCTACCCCACCACAGCAGGCGCTGGAGTCCTGGGACCACCAGGATCTGAGGCCCAAATCCTTCCTCACTAAGGGGAGGAGAGGGGTGCTCCGGCAGGGCAGGATGGGAAGGCGTGCTTGGGCGGGATTGTGACATGAGTGCCCTGGTGACATGGAGCAGATCTGTGGCATAAATAAAGGTGTCATAAAGACAGGGCGGGACTCACGCTTACAAGGGGCACGAGCGTCTCGGAGCTGCCAGAATGACTTCCGCTCAGTGCCCGGCACTAGCGTGTGTCATGTCCCCGCTGCGTTTCTGGGGCCCATGGCCCCTCCTTATGTGGCAACTATTGTGGCTACTAGTCAAGGAGGCTCAGCCTCTGGAGTGGGTCAAGGACCCGCTCCAGCTGACCTCTAACCCCCTGGGGCCGCCTGAGCCCTGGTCTTCCCACTCCTCCCATTTCCCACGGGAATCTCCCCATGCGCCTACTCTCCCAGCAGACCCGTGGGACTTTGATCACCTGGGGCCCTCTGCTTCCTCAGAGATGCCAGCCCCACCCCAGGAATCGACTGAAAATTTGGTTCCATTCCTGGACACCTGGGATTCAGCTGGAGAGCTGCCCCTGGAGCCAGAGCAGTTCTTGGCTTCACAGCAGGATTTAAAGGACAAGCTGAGTCCACAGGAAAGGCTCCCTGTTTCGCCCAAGAAGCTGAAGAAAGATCCAGCTCAGCGTTGGAGCCTTGCTGAGATTATTGGAATTATACGCCAATTATCCACACCTCAGAGTCAGAAACAGACTTTGCAGAATGAATATTCCAGTACAGATACACCGTATCCCGGTAGCCTGCCTCCAGAACTCCGGGTGAAGTCAGATGAGCCTCCAGGGCCCTCTGAGCAAGTTGGACCTTCTCAATTCCATCTAGAGCCCGAAACTCAAAATCCAGAGACCCTTGAAGACATCCAGTCCTCTTCACTCCAGCAAGAAGCCCCAGCACAGCTTCCACAGCTCCTTGAGGAAGAACCTTCTTCAATGCAGCAGGAGGCCCCAGCTCTGCCTCCAGAGTCCTCTATGGAGAGTCTAACTCTACCGAATCATGAGGTGTCAGTTCAACCTCCAGGTGAGGATCAAGCTTATTATCACTTGCCCAACATTACAGTTAAACCTGCAGATGTGGAGGTTACCATAACTTCAGAGCCTACCAATGAGACAGAATCTTCCCAAGCCCAGCAGGAGACCCCAATTCAGTTTCCAGAGGAGGTGGAACCTTCTGCAACCCAACAGGAGGCCCCAATTGAGCCTCCAGTTCCTCCTATGGAGCATGAACTTTCCATCAGTGAGCAGCAGCAGCCAGTTCAGCCTTCTGAGTCTCCTAGGGAGGTCGAATCTTCTCCGACCCAGCAGGAGACCCCAGGTCAGCCTCCAGAACATCATGAAGTCACAGTTTCACCTCCAGGTCACCATCAAACTCATCATTTAGCTTCACCCAGTGTCTCTGTGAAGCCTCCAGACGTGCAGCTCACCATAGCAGCAGAGCCTAGTGCAGAGGTGGGAACTTCTCTAGTCCACCAGGAGGCTACAACTCGGCTCTCAGGGTCAGGTAATGATGTAGAACCTCCCGCCATCCAGCACGGGGGCCCACCTCTGCTTCCAGAGTCATCAGAAGAAGCTGGACCTTTAGCAGTTCAACAGGAGACTTCATTTCAATCTCCGGAACCTATTAATAATGAGAACCCCTCTCCAACCCAGCAGGAGGCTGCAGCTGAGCATCCACAGACCGCTGAGGAGGGTGAGTCTTCCCTAACCCATCAGGAGGCCCCAGCTCAGACTCCAGAGTTCCCTAATGTAGTTGTAGCTCAACCTCCAGAGCATTCACACCTGACTCAAGCCACAGTTCAACCTTTGGATCTGGGGTTTACCATCACTCCAGAATCCAAGACAGAGGTTGAACTTTCTCCAACCATGAAGGAGACCCCAACTCAGCCTCCTAAGAAAGTTGTACCCCAACTTCGAGTATATCAAGGGGTAACAAATCCAACACCAGGTCAGGATCAAGCTCAGCATCCAGTGTCACCCAGCGTTACAGTTCAACTTTTGGACCTGGGACTTACCATCACTCCAGAACCTACTACGGAGGTTGGACATTCTACACCCCCGAAGAGGACTATAGTTTCTCCAAAGCATCCTGAGGTGACACTTCCACATCCAGACCAGGTTCAGACTCAGCATTCACACCTGACTCGAGCCACAGTTCAACCTTTGGACCTGGGGTTTACCATCACTCCAAAATCCATGACAGAGGTTGAACCTTCTACAGCCCTGATGACTACAGCTCCTCCTCCAGGACACCCTGAGGTGACACTTCCACCTTCAGACAAGGGTCAGGCTCAGCATTCACACCTGACTCAAGCCACCGTTCAACCTCTGGACCTGGAGCTTACCATAACTACAAAACCTACTACAGAGGTTAAACCATCTCCAACCACGGAGGAGACCTCAACTCAGCCTCCAGACCTGGGACTTGCCATCATTCCAGAACCCACTACAGAGACTGGACATTCTACAGCCCTGGAGAAGACTACAGCTCCTCGTCCAGACCGGGTTCAGACTCTGCATCGAAGCCTGACTGAAGTCACAGGTCCACCTACTGAACTAGAACCTGCTCAGGATTCACTGGTGCAGTCTGAAAGTTACACCCAAAATAAGGCTTTAACTGCACCAGAGGAACACAAGGCCTCCACAAGCACCAACATATGTGAGCTCTGTACCTGCGGAGATGAGATGTTGTCATGTATTGATCTCAACCCAGAGCAGAGGCTCCGCCAAGTGCCTGTGCCAGAGCCCAACACCCACAATGGCACCTTCACCATCTTGTAAGAATCACTTTTCCTCAATTGTCCTCTGTGTCCTGCCTGACATGGCAGCCTTTTCCTGGAGGCCTTCCTGGGCCTTCTTTATCTCCCCAAGCCATATGGACAGCTGACTTTCTGCTTTCACCTTTGCTTGTCAACTCTCCCTTCTCCTCATTCTCTTTTAATGTTAGTCCCCTTCTCCAGTCTTTTCCTTTTACTCTGGTCTTTTACTCGTTTTTGTATCCATTTTTATTTAGCCCCATCACATCATTGCTTAACCGCTGCTCTCCTCCCATTTTCGCTTCACCCTCTTTACAGCAGCCTGTCCCTCTCCCGATCTCAGTGATGATGCTCTAAGTGGTTAAGAGTTGATTCCGGAGCCAGGCTGCCTGGGTTTGAACCCAGATCTATTTATTAGCTTGGTGACCCAGAGCAAGTTATTCTGCCTGTGACTCAATTTCCTCACCTTTAAACTGGGGATCATGCTAGTTAGCATTTCATAGGATTGTTGTGAAATTTAGGTGAGTGAATATATGAAACACTTCATCAGTGCTTAGCATATGTAGGAGAGTTGGCTGTTCACATGATTATTCAGTCCTTTAGTTTTGTCCAGAACTCATTTTTGTCCCTAGCTTTCTATATGTAGAACTAGTTTTATGTCAAACCCAGGGCCAAGTATGCTACTGTCTCCAGAACACGAAAATGATAGGAGGGAAGAGGCTGGGTGTGGTGGCTCACGCCTGTAATCCCAGCACTTTGGGAGGCCGAGGCGGGCGGATCATGAGGTCAGGAGATCAAGACCATCCTGGCTAACATGGTGAAACCCCATCTCTACTAAAAATACAGAAAAAAATTAGCCAGGTATGGTGGTGGGTGCCTGGAGTCCCAGCTACTCGGGAGGCTGAGGCAGGAGAATGGCGTGAACCTGGGAGGCAGAGCTTGCAGTGAGCCGAGATTGCACCACTGCACTCCAGCCTGGGCGACAGAGCAAGACTCCATCTCAAAAAAAAAAAAAAAAAAAAAAATGATAGGAGGGAAGAAAGAGAATAGGCATAAAAAGGGAGGTATATATAATTAAGTACTAAAAGATAATGCAGACCATTGGTGCTAGAATTTGCCAGAATCTGTGATCCTTGAGGTGTGGAGATGCTACATGGGTAAGCTAAAACTTTACTTGGGTCTTAAAGAGTAGCCATAATTTGTTAAATAGGAGAAAAATGGGAGTACAGTCTAGGCAAACGCATGGCTACAGGTATGGTTGGAATTTAGTAGACCAATGTGGCTACAAAGAATTAGGTGAGGGAGCAATGAAGATACGATTCTGTAAAACCTTGATTATCAGCTACAGGAGTTTGAAAGTTACACAATGAGGTATGGAAAGCCATTGAAAGTTTCCAAGCAAGAGAGATTACATGATCAAAACAGGAAGATTATTTTATTTTGTTTTTTGCATTATGTGCAAGTGTAGACATGCAGAGGATTGTTTTAGAATCCATATGTAAAGTGTCCAAAAGGAAAAGCTTAATTCAGGGAGACAAAATAGAAAGGTCTAGCAAAATCTAGGAGTGAGGTGTGAAGGGGCCAAATCAGATCAGTTGTAATAGGAGTGGAAAGAAAAAGCCTAGGATGTTTCAACAGAGGGCACTGGGCCAAAGCTTTGGTGTTACCTGGCATAGGGTTTCTTTCTTCTCATTTGTTGATAATGATAAGCTTTTGCCCATATTTCTGTGGAATTATTTACCATTTTGGTACTGATTTGTAGAAGTCTGTTTAGACACATAAGTGCTTTTAGATAAAATACTTACATTCAAAGTAATTAACTGGCATCATCTGTCCAAGAGATGGGATGGATAAGAAGTTAAGCTTCCAGGAGATGCCTCATCATTTGTGCCAGTGACCCCGCATAATTTCTTGATGAATTGTGCAAACTGGGAAGCTGATAGCTCTGGAAATGAGAAAGCAGGTGTTATTTTCTGTTTCTGAATATCCCCAACAAGGTTGCAATGATTCTTTTACTTATCGTGTTCATTGTTTTCCTACCTATTCAAGGATATAAACTGTGTTTCTTCACAGAAATTTCCAAGGAAACTATATTTCTTACATTGATGGAAATGTATGGAAAGCATACAGTTGGACCGAGAAACTGTGAGTATATTCTCTCCAAATATGACAAAAAGCTAACTGCATTGTAAGATCCTTCTTGGTCCAGAATTTTGAGGTCGGTACCTCTGAGGAAAGATATTTCTCCTCCACGCCCCAAATCAACCACTGTTGATTGCAATTGTATGGTTATTTTAAAATTAAATTTGGTAGGCTCTCTTTAAAATAAGAGGCAATTTAAATTTATTTTTTATCATACAAATAGTACATGGTTATATTCCTTTTTGTTCTCTTTTTTTTTTTTTTTTTTTTTTTTCAGAGACAGGGTCTTACTTTGTCCTCTGGGCTGCAGTGCAGTGGCACAATCACAGCTCACTGCAGCCTTCACCTCCCAGGCCCAAGTGATCCTCTCACCTCAGCCTCCCCAGTAGCTGGGACCACAGGTGCATGCCACCACACCCACCTAATTTTGTATTTTTTGTAGAGACAGGGTCTTCCTATGCTGCTTAGGCTGGTCTTGAACTCCTGGGCTCAAGTGATCCTCCCACCTTGGCCTCTTAAAGTGTTCATATGACAGGCATGAGCCACCACCCGCAGCCCATGATTCCATTTTTAATATATAAAAATGCAATAACAGATATAACAAAAACTCTCCTTGTGCCCTACTCCCTCATCCCTGAAGTAATGCTACTCTGCATTTAGTATACATGCTTCCAGACTTTTCCTCATTTACCTACATACATATTTACATAAAGCAAAATAGATTTGTTTTGTGGTTTTAAAATTTTTTCTTCGCATAAAGGGTAACATCTTGCAACTTGATTCTTTCACTTCATGATATGCCTTAGATTTCTTTCCTTCCCAGTACTGAGAGGGTCACCCCATTCATTTAAACTCCTGCATAATCCATAGTATGGATGCATCATGGTTTATTTAATAATTCCCCCATTGATGAATGTTTAGATTATGCTTAGTTTTCTTGTTACATGCATTGCTGCAATGAAATCCCTGTACATGCTTCTTTGTGAACATGTGCAAGTATTCCTGTAGCATAGATATCTGGAAATGGAATTCTTGGGGTGAAGACTATGTAGATATAAAATTTTAATTGCCTTCAAAAATTTTGTGCCAACTTACTCTATTGTCAGCAGAATATGACAGCATTCATTTCCCAACACCTTTTCACCGCTGGGTATTCTCCAACTTTTTGCTGAAGTTATGGATGAATAAAAGGGATTCCATCTAAATGTGAATTTTTCTGATTACTCATGAATTTAATTTAGTATCTTTATATGTTTATTGAACATTTGTGTTTCTTCTCTGAGTTTTCTGGCCTTTGTTCATTTTCCTGTTGAATTGTTTTATCATTTTCTTACTGATTTATAGAAGGAATTGGTTTAGACACATAAGTGATTTTGGAAAAAATGCTTACATTCAAAGTAACTGACATTTTTCACAACAGTTTGTGTGTCACATCATTATTTCAATGTATATAGACAAGCCACGATGAGTTCTAAATTAAAAATAAACATATGCTAGGCGCGGTGGCTCACGCCTTTAATCCCAGCACCTTGGGAGGTAGGCGGATCACCTGAGGTCAGGAGTTTGAGACCAGCCTGGCCGATAGGGCGAAACCCCATCTCTACTAAAAATACAAAAAGTAGCCAGGCGTGGTGGTGGGTGCCTGTAATCCCATCTACTTGGGAAGCTGAGGCAGGAGAATTGCTTTATTTATTTTTTCAGATGGAATTTTGTTCTTGTTGCCCAGGCTGGAGTGCAATGGTGCGATCTTGGCTCACTGCAACCTCCACCTCCCGGGTTCAAGGGATTCTCCTGCCTCAGCCTCCTGGGTAGCTGGAATTACAGGTGCCCTCCATCACACCCAGCTAATTTTTATATTTTTAGTAGAGACAGGGTTTCACCATGTTGGCCAGGCTGGTCTCAAACTCATGACCGTGGGTGATTCACCCACCTTGGCTTTCCAGAGTGCTGGGATTACAGGCATGAGCCACCACGCCAGGCCAGAACTACATTTTAAAAACAAGAAAATTATTACAAAGGTCAGGATAGTGGTTACCTATTAGGGTTAGAGAGAGGGATATGATTGGAAAGGGGCACACTGGGGCTTCTGGCATGCTAGCAATGATCTTTTGTAACGATGTTTACATGGGTATCTGCTTCATAATTATTAAACTGAATATTTTGGCCAGGTGAGGTGGCTCATGTCTGCAGTCACAGCACTTTGGGAAGCAGACACAGGAGGATCACTTGAGCCAGGAGTTTGAGACCAGTCTGGGAACAGAGTGAGACCCTGTCTCAAAAATTAAATTAAATTAAATATAAACAACATTTATGTTATGTGCACTTTATGCACATTATAGTTCTCCAGTTTTTTTGATGGGGGGAAAAAGGTTGAATGGCTTCACTTGCAGCCCTGACATGGTTCCATGTGGGGCTTTCATAATAAGGTTTGGGAAAAGAGAGGAGGAAATGGAGGTTCTGCTGATCTTGGTGCCACCCAGAGTTGGATTCTAAAAGGGATTTTGTGATCTAGAGAGGAGGCATGAAATAATAGAATTTGGTGGGAAGAAACCCACTCTTCAAGGGGTGTGCTTGAGTGTGTGTGTGTGTGTTTGTGGTGGTGGTGGAGAGAGATGGACACAAAAAGGAAAATATAAGAAAAGGTTTGAATGAAAGCAGAGCAGATCCCACCATCTTGAAGTGACCATGACCCAGCTTTCCTCCACATGCAGGAGATGGTTCTGTGTAGCAAATAGTTGTAGTTTGCATTTTAATCTAGAAATAACTTCTTCATTTTCCAGAATTCTCAGAGAAAATAACTTGACTGAATTACACAAGGATTCATTTGAAGGCCTGCTATCCCTCCAGTATTTGTAAGTTAGTTAATTATATTTATGAGTTTTTAGTCATATTATCTGTAAAATGAATAAGGGGTTCAAATTAGATAATCTCTCAGATTTCTTTGAGCAATAAAATTCTGCAATTCTGTAAGTTTGTATAGGGTCTCAGCCCATCTCTAGCACTAGCTACCTCCTGTGCATTTTCAGTTTTTAAGTTGTATAGACAAAATACAGACAAAAACATTTCACATGGTAAGAAAATCTGAGCAGTGACTGACACCCATATGAACCTTGTTTTATAAGGGTTCACATATCATTATTTTTCTATTCAGTCTACAACCAATAGATCCAATCTAATTTATGGTCTATTTTTAAATAGCCCATTAAGTTAAGAATGGGTTTTGCATTTTTAAAGGGACTGTGAAAGAAAAAGAAAAGAAACAAAGAAATATGCGAGAGATCATATGTGGCCCATAAAACCTAAAATATTTACTGTCTGACCTTCACCAAAAAAAATTTCAAAAAGTTGGTTTAGTAGGATGAAAGGAACTAAAGTTAACTTCAGATGGTTGCCTAAAGGAGAAGAAAATGGAGACCACCTGCATTCATTTGAACATCATTAATCCAGAATTTTTTGGTAATTTAATCGGAATTAAATTAACATTTAAATATTAAAAATAGCTGAATTATATCAATAATATTATCAAGAATATTAAGCTACCAAGAGAATAGACTGGTATTAAGGATTTCATTTCAGGAATTGTTATATTAAAACAGATGTTTAAAATGATGGTTAACTGGTAGAGCTAGAAGTGTTTACACTAAGAAGCACATCAGAAATGCCCCTAACTCTTCACTAATTACAAAATAACGATCGCCCCAGCCCTGTTACCAGAAAGGGATCCCTGTATTTCTGTCTGTTTAGAGACAAGAAGATACTATGTTCATTGCTATGAAAGCTTGATTCTTACCCTTTGTCCATAGAGGTCTGTATGTCATTAATCCTTATTAAGCTCATTAGTGATGCTCTTTTGCAAACAGATTCTTTCAAATATAGAAGGCTTAAGGAAAGTGGGTGTAAAGACCCTCAGGTGGATGCCAAAGTGCTACAGAGACCATGAAATAATAAAACTACATTTCCTTTAAAATAGTTATTTTCCTTCTACTCACTCCCCCAGCTATTCATTTATTTTACAAATATTTGAGTTTGCTTTATTTCCATGTGTCAGTTTTAAACATGGTGGGCAATGCAGATGAGCAAGACCTAGTCCATGCTTTCAGGGAGTTTATGCTCAGAAGAAATGGGATAAAAAATAACTACATTAAGAAGAAGAAATGGATGTGGGCACTAGGAGGGATAAATTGTTTCTCGAACATAGAAGAGGAAAAAATGCCTTCAATTTGGACCCAGGAGGATGTTACTAGAACAATGCCATTTGAATAGGACTTTAAAGGGCCATTGTGTAACACCAGACAGACATCTTGGGGAAAATACTCTAAACTTGCAAAAGGAAAATGGGAGGGCAAAACACAGGAAAGTATTCAAGGAATGCCATGAGTACCCGTAGAGTACAAGAAGGGAGAGTAGGAAAATGGAGCCAGATCTTCTAGAGCTTTGAATGCCAAGCTGAGGAGCCAACATGGGGAACCGTGTTACCACAGCAGCGCTGTAAGGTAGATCTGCATCACAGTCATTGAGAGGGCACGTTAGAACTCAGTTCTGGACTCCACCCTCGTAGTTACTGATTCAGTTGGTCTAGAGTGGGACCAAGAATTTGCATCTTCAGTAATTTCCCAGGAGATGCTGGTCTTTGCAAGCCACTTCTGGAGAGTTTATATGATGACTGTGTGCAGGATAGTTTAGGTAGGGAGAGACTAGAGATGGAGACATCAGCCAGACAACGTTACACCATCCAGGTAAAGAGGGAGGGACAAACTCCATCACTGTATAACTGAAGAAATTTTTTTTTATGAAATATTAAAGCAATACAAAACCAAAAATGAATTTCTATTAATATGATAGAAATTAATTCTATTAATATGATTTGAATTAGTTCAAAGTTACGTATTAGGTAAAGGGGTAGCTTCCTTTCAAATGATGTGAAAGGATGTCTTTTATTTCTTCTGATATTGAAGTGACTTAGGAAAACAGACCTAAACTAAGAAGGTGTAGAAATGTGAGACTTTGTTTGTTTGTTTGTTTGTTTGTTTGAGACGGACTCTCGCTCTGTCGCCCAGGCTGGAGTGCAGTGGTGCAATCTTGGCTCACTGCAAGGTCCGCCTCCTGGGTTCATGCCATTCTCCTGCCTCAGCCTCCTGAGCAGCTAGAACTACAGGCACGTGCCACTAGGCCCGGCTAATTTTTTATTTTTTTTGTAGAGACAGGGTTTCACCGTGTTAGCCAGGATGGTCTCGATATCCTGACCTCAGGATCCGCCAGCCTCGGCCTCCGAAAGTGCTGGATTACAGGCCTGAGCCACCGCACCCGGCCCGACTATTTTTTTTAATATTAGAAATTGTGTATATAGAGATAAAATCTTTGAGCTCATAATCTAAGATTTGATGACACTACAAAAGGGCATCTAATCAAGTCTACTGCTCTCAGGAAAAATTAATTCCAAAGTCTATTATGTTGTATATTTATTAAAACCATGAAGGTGAGACTCTAGGAGAGGTATGGGCAGGGTTAGGGGCTCTGGAATGTTCAAATACAAGTCCAAACGTTTAGAGTTGAGATGAAAAACAGGTATTCAGTATTATTCTAAACTCTTGCTGTTATTCATACCAATTGACATTTAATAACTAATCAAGGCAATATTTTCGTTTTCCTAGAGATTTATCCTGCAATAAAATACAGTCTATTGAAAGACATACATTTGAACCACTACCATTTTTGAAGTTTATGTAAGTTACAAATATAACTTGATTACATTTGGAATTTTTATAAAACTTAATTATAAACCTTTTTGCTATTCTTGAAATATGATTAAAATTTTACCAGTAGAAAGCTACTAAAATTATACAGCAAATCCTTTTTGTCTCTAGCAAGGATTATTGTGAGAATTATTACACAGATCTTAGTGAATCATCAGAGAGCAGTGGTTCTCAGGTGGTGTGATTTTGCACTCAGGTGGCATTTGGTAATGTCCGGAGACAGTTTTGGTTGACAAAACTGTGAGTGTGCTCCTGGCATCTGGTGGGCAAAGGCCAGAGATGCTGCTAAACATCCTTCAAGGTATAAGACAAACCCCCATGGCAAAGAGTTATATAGTCCAAAATGTTGATGGCACTGAAGTTGTGAAATCCTGTTCTAGAGAAATAAAGATCACTTAACACAGGTATTTACTGAGCATTCACTGTTTTGTATCTAATGCACCACATGTGCAGTGTTAAAGTATAAATCATAAGCCAGTATCTTCCACAGTCAGATTTCCTTAGTGCATAGAGAAAGGATTGAGGTTATGTTCCATCCTATATAAATTAGAATCATGGCAAATGATAAATGTTCTGAAATAATTTTTTTTTTCTTTGGCTTGTGTCTTTTTTTTTTTAGAAATCTTAGTTGCAATGTAATTACAGAACTCAGCTTTGGAACATTTCAGGCCTGGCACGGAATGCAGTTTTTACATAAGTTGTAAGTGAAATAGAAGATGAATACATGTAAACAACTATTTATGTACAAAAACTCATACAATTATTGGGTAGCTGGGTATAAGCCCATTATCAACTCTGAAAAGCGTGTCTTAAGATCCATTCATTTTTCTCAAATGGGGAAGCTAAGGTACAAAGAGGCCAAGAGACTTACGTAGCTTATATATGACCTCCTCTGCTTGTCCTAGTTCTGACCTATAGCATGGGCAAGAAAAGGCATCAAAGAAGTGACCCTCAAATTAGCCTTGTTGCTGGGCGGGGTGGCTCAGACCTGTAATCCCAGAACTTTGGGAGCCGAGGTGGGTGGATCACCCGAGGTCAGGAATTCAACACCAGCCTGGCCAACATAGTGAAACCCTGTCCCTACTATAAATACAAAAAAATTAGCTGGGCGTGGTGGTGCAGTTTTTTGCTCCCTGGAGGACTTTGTGTTAAGCTTCCTTCCTTGCAGCTAAATGTTGCAGACATTTAAGCAGTTAGAAACTCTGCATATGAGCAGGAATCAAATCCAAAGTTGTAGGGCCAGAATGGTGGCTCATGCCTGTAATCCCAGCACCTTGGGAGGCCAAGGTGGGAGGATCACTGGAGGTCAGGAGTTTGAGACCAGCCTGGCCAACATGGCAAAACCTCATCTCTACTAAAAATACAAAAATTAGCAGGTCATGGTGGCGGGCACCTGTGATCCTAGCTATCGGGAGGCTGAGGCACGAGAATGGCTTGAACCCGGGAGGGGGAAGTTGCAGTGAGCCGAGATTGTGCCACTACCCTCCAACCTCCCCTCCAGGCTGGTCTCGAACTCCTGTGACCTCAGGTGATCCGCCCACCTCAGCCTCCCAAAGTGCTGGGGTTACAGGTGTGAGCCACCATGCCGGGCCAAGATGGTGTTTATGTTAAGCTATTGTGCAAAAAAAAACTTTTGTAAAGAAAATATATCGCTGTATCTTAATTCCATATACTTTCCTGACTACTCTTCTACCATAATTGCAAAAATTCTATGATTTCTCTGTATAACATACCCATCAAATCAGAGTGGGTATATTCAGTGGCCTGAAGGGGACTCAAGGTGAAGATTCTCCTCTACATCTGACTTTAGAAAAGACGTTCCACCTGCCTTGTGGTTCAGAAATCTAGTTTCACACAGTTCATTTCAAGTTAGAGGGAGGCATTCAGGATGTGTCTGGACTAGAGCAGCAGTTTCTGCACATGCTCCCCTCTGTCCTCATTAATTTGCTGATGCATAACTTAGGAAAAGTACACTAAAGGTCTGTTTTTCTTTTGCCCTCACACCAGAGAACAGGCTCATTAGGTCCCTCCACCAAGAGGTTTAGGTAGCATCAATACAAATGTTTTAAACTCACCATCTTTACTAAGCACTTTATACAACTGGGAGTCCCTCATAAAAATCTGGTGGCCGGGAGCGGTGGCTCATGCCTGTAATTCCAGCACTTTGCTGAGGTGGGTGGATCACCTGAGGTCAGGAGTTCAAGACCAGCCTGACCAACATGGTGAAACCTGTCTCTACTAAAAATACAAAAATTAGCTGGGCATGGTGGCAGGCAACTGTAATCCTAGGTACTCAGGAGGCTGAGGCAGGAGAATCACTTGAAACCAGGAGGCGGAGGTTGCAGTGAGCCGAGATGGCACCATTGCACTCCAGCCTGAGGGACAGAGTGAGACTCTGTCTCAAATAATAATAATAATATAATAATAATAATAATAATCATCATCATCATCATCATCATCTAGCCAGCTTCACTACAATTATGTAGGCAACACCAGGAAAACACTGGAATCACAGTTGATAAAAATTAATGAATTCACTCAAAAACATTCAGAGTGTCATGTCCATTTGTGCCAGGTACTGTACTAAGTGCTGGGGCTACAAAATCCATCTCAAAGACACACCAAGATGAGGACTTTGTCCCCAGGGGACTTTCATTCCTCAAGGAGGAAGCGGATGCTGATGGGAAAACATATGAGAGCCATGTGGGGATCTGTACGGCAGGGTGACAAGGAGAGGACAAAGCAGGAATGGGGGCTGGGTTAAGAAAGACTTGAGAGACACTAACTTGCTTATCTTGAGTTTCTGTGTTCATCTTAAACAACAGAAAAAGGCATTTGCTTCATGGTGATGAAAAAATCAGAGCTAGCTGATATTGGAAACTAGCACTCATTTCATATAAACAGAATAGAGCTGTACCCTTCAAACTAAGTCACAGTTACTTTCAAAGATTGGCACAAGGGTCTCAACACACCAAGTGTATGTTAGGGGCTGGGCCCTTTTGGAGTCAAATCTTCCTGGTAAACAAAGCTACACTGCAGTCATATTTGGCATATGTGACATATAGGCCCACTGCATTTCCTTCCAAAGGCAAGATGCCAAGGGAAGGTGCCAGTAATTTTATGACCAATATGACACCATTTTGTGGTGTTTGTAAGTTGAAACAATATATTTCCCTGTATTACACAAGTTTATAAAAAACAAACAAAAAAAGAGGCCCCAGCTGTGGTTGATGGATGATGAATAGAGCCTAACCTTCCAGGCTTCTCACTTGCACAGGCCCTTCCAAGGTCGTGGGAGGGCCCCTGGAAATTTTTGTATTCATAATTTTTTTAATGTTTTTACTAGATAAGGCTCAGGCCCCACAAAATCCTGAAATCATCCCTGGGTTCCAATAGGTACAACCCAGTAAATCTCTTGAATGAAGCCTCTATGTTATTGACAAATACTGACTGGCCAAGTTAGCAGGGTGATAGGGTCTGTCTATTTTGAATCTGAAATCCATCTCAAAGACAGGCCAAGAGCTTATTCGTGGACTTAACTGGATTCTGCTGGCCCAAGCGCAGTAAAGTCAAACAACCATATCGAGGTTTTGCATTGGGGAAAGGAGGACATTTATTTGCAGGGCATCCAAGCAAGAAGGACCAGGCGGCTAACTATCAAAGTCCCTCACTGAATGGGGGCAATAATCATATCTCTTACAGATGAAATCATGAATGAAATGGTTTATGGAAAAGCAGCAATGGTTGATAATCCTAAATGTTAAGTATGTTTATATTTTTTCCCTGACTTTAAAGTGCTTCTCCTTCATTCCTATACACAGGTCCAGACTGATGGCTTATTTTTTAAAATTCTCTTAGTCACTTCATTGGTTCTAACAATAATTTTAGAAACTGGATGACTTTGCAATGTAGAAAGGCTATACTTTATTCAGATAGAGTACACTCACATATTGGCTTGTCTGTGGCACATCGATATCATGCCAAGAATGTAAGCACTAAGAGAGAATAAGAGGAAAATCCAGGCTTTATCCCTATTGAATTATTTATCCCACTATTAGAATATTAGTGAGGTAGGTGTGGCCACACTGTGATGGCAAATTGAGCTTCGGTCACAAACATGCCTTACTGTTCCCCCCAGTCTACTGACATCAGCTTCCTTTACATAGCGGTAGATGCACAAAAGTTTGCACAGTTGAGGGTATTGTCATCATGTTTTGGTATGTACTGGAATCCTGGCAGCTTCTTCTCTGATTCGGAGAGGCGCAAACATTAAAGACAAAAAGAACAACTCGAGTCTGTCCTTTGGGGTGATTTAGGGTGGCTGTTTAAATTTGTAGTGGTTGAAAAGTCTTGAGATTGTCACACCTAGCAACTCTTATACTTTTCTTCTCTCAGCTGCAGCTTGTTCTTTTCACCTGTGTAACAAGCTGTCTTCTCTTCTCACAGAAGCTTAGCATTTCTTCCTCTGCCCCATAGCATTTTTTCAATACTTAATTTACCAGGTGCTGTTTATGTTGTAGGCACCTAAGTACTTATACAAGTGAGATAACATGTCCGAAGTTCTTAGAACAGTGCTTGGCCTATGGTAAATGCTCCATACATGTTACCTCCTATGATACCTCATTTTCATTTTTCCAACAACTCTTGCGATGCGGTTATTATTATCATTTCTATTTTGTAGATGAGGAAGTTGAAACTCAGAGACGCTAGGTAATTTGCTAAGGTTCACACGGCTAATAAGTGGCAGAACCACTTACAAGCTTTGCAAATAATTTTCAATGCAGCTCTTAGTTCCCCTGTAATAGGAGCTGAATGATGACAATTTGGCTTTGTGTGCATTGTATCTTACTTTCTAACTTGAACAGGACCTGTAGAGCAGTGAGCTCCACTTCCCTCTGAGAATCCCACGCTTCTGGAGCTCCTGGCTGTACCAGCTCTGGGCATCCCCAGGGTTTATGCTCACCGGTCAGTGCTGGTGTGACATGATGGCTGAGCACCGGCACTGTGTCCAGCGCATTGCTAGGCACTAGACACGTGCTCTTTCATTTATTCCTCAAATTGCTTTGTGCTGTAAACGCTACCCAGAAAGGCTCATGTTCATTACTCAAGTCACTTCACCAGAAAGTGACAGAGCCAGAATTCAAACCCAGGTCTGCCAGATTCCAGGTCCCTTGCTTCTTCTGTTGTTGCTCATTGCAAGGGAGTCTTCTTCAAGGTTATTCTCAGGACTTTGATTAAGATACAGGCTCACAGCTGGGCATGGTGTCTCATGCTGTAATCTCAGCACTTTGGGAGGCCAAGGTGGGTGGATCACTTGAGCTCAGAAGTTCGAGACCAGCCTGGCCAACATGGTGAAACCCTGTCTCTACTAAAAATACAAAAATTAACCAGGCATGGGGACGGGCATCTATGATCCCAGCTACTCTGAAGGCTGAGGCAGGAGAATCACTTGACTCCAGGAGGTGGAGTTTGCAGTGAGCCAAGATCACACCACTGCACTGCACTCCAGCCTGGGCAACAGAGTGAGACTTCATCTCAAAAAAAAAAAAAAAAAAGGAAAAAGGCTCACCATTTCAGATTCTCTAGATTTTGCCCCTGAAAAAGCATTTACGTGATGCAGTCCGAGGTCTTGTATGGAGGAGCTTGGTGTGGGGAGATGTGTGGCTCACGAACCTATGTAGGTGAATAAAGGAAAGAGGTTACTTTCTCCCCAAGTACATCGCGCATATTGGGTGAGGGTCTAGGTCATCTGCTTATTTCTTTGACTACCTTCTTCCATGGAACCAGTTTTCCCTGACAGCCTTGGGATTCTAGCATAGATCATTTTGGAGTTTGTCATTTAAATTTATTTTCACGGCCTGCTTTGGACATTTTTTCAGCTAGAGCTGTTAGGATTTCAGTACATTTAAGACAGTGATGACATGCTCCAGTCCTTTCATCTCTCTCTCCTCAGTTAATAGAAAGGAAACATAGCTCATCTATCTGGACCTGTACAGAAGAATTTGGAGGGAAAAAAAAAAACAGGCAAGAAATGTTCCCTTATTTTGTGAGCTACCTTTATTCTGTCCCATTGTTCTACAGCAAAAGGCTTGTATAAAAATATTTCAGTTTTCCTCATCTAATAAGGCATATTTAATAAAATTATTTAGAGCAGTACTTCTTAAACTTTTACTCTGAGACAGTCTTTGAGGCTGAAAAAAAGCTTGCCACATTTTACTTCCATAAAGATACCAAAAAGGCGATGGACTGGGAGTCAGTGCACCTTAGTTTAATGTATAAAATGAAGGACTTGAACCAGAAATGGAAATGGTCATCTACTGTGAATCTAAAAACACTCGAGGCTGGGCGCGCTGGCTCATGCCTGTAATCCCAGCACTTTAGGAGGCCAAGACAGGCAGATCGCTTGAGCCCCTGGAGTTCAAGTTCAGCCTGGGCAACAAAGTGAGACCCCAATCTCTACAAAAAGACTTTTAAAAAGTGGAAACATAAATATAAATAAATAAAAACATTCATATCATTTGGTTTGTGGAAAAGAGTTGCTGTAGAGTCCTCAAACTTGAGCCGTTGAGCCAGTTCTCACTCAGTCTCTCCATGGCCCAGGCACAACCTTAGTCAAGAAAAGAATGCCTTAGAACAGGAGGAAAAGAGGATAATATCGAATGGCCCTATATTTTGATTTCATTAGGGACAAATGCAAAGATCCTAATGTCAGCTGGAGAAGAGCTTCCTAGTTCAGAGGTAATGCTGAGCTCAAGGCTATGGATGAGCTATCAAGAAAGAGGGAAGGTTGGAGAGTGAGAGAATTTTGGAGGAAAGATAACAAACTTTGCCAAGTTGTTTGGCTACATACTGCCTTACAGTCATTATTTTTGGTGTTTAGAAAAAAATAGAAACAGGGTCTCACTTTGTTACCCAGGCTGGTCTCAAACTCCTGGGCTCAAGCTTTCCTTCTGCTTTGGCCTCCCAAAGTGCTGAGATTACAGGCTTGAGATGCTGTGCCCAGCCTACATTCATTTTTAATAGCTGGGAGGAAAGTGGGCAGAGGAAGATATAGAATGAAGGGGTAGCCGACTTTGTACAGAGCCCACCAGTGGTCTTACAAGTTTTCATGCCAAAAAAAAATCACGAAGGATATTTAAAGCCCTAGTTTGAGAATCCATACTTAACCAGTCATGTGGCACTCACATTCTTTCTCTTTGTAACATCATCTTATTGAATATTAGTGTTACAAAACAAGTTAATGGCACTGAAAAACCATCTGGAATAGGAAGAGGAGGGGGATCACAAGGCAGGACAAGCTGTGTGGCTCCCAGCCTCGCCACTGACTCACTCTGATCTTGGTCAAGGGAGAGTGAATCTTCACTCCTCTTTTTTCCATCTGCCAGCATGTTTGGTCTTCTGGCACCTGGTGTTCTATACAGTACAACATGCTTCTTTGTGTTACATTGAGACTTGATCCACGTACCATCAACGCAGTATTATAAAGTGTACAATTCAGTGGTGGTTAGTATATTCTCAAGGTTGTATAGCAAACAATCACCATTATCTAACCCCAGAACATTTTCATCATCCCAAAAAGAAACATGGTACCCATTAGCCATCACTCCCCAGTGCTGTCTTCCCGCAGGCCCAGGTAACTACTAATCTACTTTGAGTCCCTATGGATTTGCCTATTCTAGATCTTTCATATAAACGAATCATACAGTATGTGGCCTTTTGTGTCTAGTTTCTTTTCACGAAGCATGTTGTTTCTAAGGTCCTCCCATGCTGCAGCATGGATCATTCCTTTGCAAGGCTGAGTGATATTCCATTGTATGGAGCCATCACTATATCCGTTCATCCATTCATCACTTAGTGGACATGTGGTTGTTTCTACTTTATTTTGGCTTTTATGAATAATGCTGCTATGGACATGCATGTACTACTTTTTGCGTGGACATGTTTTTAATTCTAGGGTGCATCCCTAGCAGAATTGCTAGATCGTATGGCAACTCTTATGTTTAACTTTTTGAGGACCTGTCAGGCTGATTTCCACAGTGGCTGCTCCATTTTACACTTCCATCTGCAATGTTTGAGGGTTTCAATTTCTCCGGGTCTTTGTCAACACTGTCGTTGTCTGTCTCTTCTCATAGCCATCCCAGTGAGTGTAAAGTAGTATCTCGCTGCAGTTTTTGATGGACATTTCCCTAATGATTTAAGACATTCAACATTTTTATGTGTATATGAGCCATTTATATATCTTCTTTGAAGAAATATTTATTCACATCCTCTGCCCATTTAAAAAATTGATTTGTCTTTTTATTGAATTATAGGAATTTCTCTATATCTTCTGGATACTCTGGATATTAGACCTTAACAGATAATTTGCCAATATTTTCTCTCATCCTGTGAGTTCTGTGACTTTCTTGCCAGTGTCCTTTGATGCACAAAAGTTTTTAATTTTGATAAAATCTAATGTATCTATTTTTCCTTTGGTTGTTTGTGCTTTTGGTGTCATGTGTGTGTATAAAATGTCTTATTCTTCTTTAAAAAGGTTCAGTGTTTGGTTTTAAATCAGGCTGTGTCCCTTTCATCTGTCTGACATTCTTGTCACCATGTCAGGCTGCCTTCAGCTAGTAATACTTCATTAAATTCAAAAGACAAAATTGTTTTAAAAGAAAAAAAATCCAGTTTGGAGAAGAAAAAACTGTTGTCTAATTTAAGGTCATGAAATTTACTCCCATGTTTTTGTGTAAGAGTCTTATCGTTTTGGCTCTTACATTTAGGTATTTGACATATTTTGCATCAATTCTTATAATCGTGTGAGATGTAGGGGGTCCACCTTCATTATTTTGCACATAGATGTTCAGGTGACGCCATTACACTCAAGCCTGGGCAACAGAGTGAGACTCCAATGGAGACGGGGTTTCAGCACGTTTATCAGGCTGCTCTCGAACTCCTAACCTCAGATGATCCACCTGCTTCAGCCTCCCAAAATGCTGGGATTACAGGCATGAGCTACCATGCCCAGCCAATAAATGAAAACTTTTTCACTCAAAAAAACAACAATTGTAGTGAAACCATAGATCAGTTTGGAGAATCATGCTATTATTATCTGCTTCATGTTTACAGAATACTCCGTTGAATTTGGTTTGCCAGATTTTGTCAAGCATTTTTCCATCTACATTCATAAGAAATACTGGTCTGTAATTTTTTGTGTGTGATGTCTTTAGTTTGGATACCAGGTTAATATCACCCTCATAGAATAAGTTAGGAAATGTTCTTTCCTCATCTGTATTTTGAAAGACTTTATGAAGGATTGGTGTTAATTCTTCTTTAAGTATTTGGTAGATTCACCAGTGAGGCTGCCTGCTGGTCTTCAGCTTTTCTTAGTGGAAAGTTTTTTGATTACTACCTCAATCTCTTTACTTGACATAGGTCTGTCTATTCAGATTTTCTGTTTTTTTCTCAAGTCAGATTCAGTAGTTCATATCTTTCTGGTAATGTGTCTTTCATCCAGCTTATCCAATTATTAGCATATATTGTTTATATGTATAATCCTTTTTATTCATATTATAATCCTTTTTATGTCTCTAAGAACAATAGTAATGTCCCCTCTCATTTCTAGTTTTAATAATTTGGTCTTCTGTATTTTTGCAGTGCAGTGGCTCACACCTGTCATCCTAGCACTTTGGGAGGCTGCGGTGGGAGGATTGCTTGACCCCAGGAGTTCGAGGCCAGCCAGGGCAACATACTGAGAGCTTATCTCTACAAAAAAAATTTAAAAGTTAGCTGAACGTGGTGGCACATGCCTGTAGTCACAGCTACTCAGGTGGCTAAGGCAGGAGGATCACTTGAGCCCGGGAGATCGGTGCTGCAGTGAGCCATGATTGTTCCACTGCACTCCAGCCTGGGAAACAGAGTGAAAACCTGTCTTGAAAAATGAACAGTAAGAAAACAAAATGTTTGTGGCCAGATGCAGTGGTGCATACCTATAATCCCTGTACTTTGGGAGGCCAAGGAAGGAGGATTGCTTGAGGCCAGGAGTTTGAGACCAGCCTGGGCAACATAGTGAGACCCTATCTCTAAAAATTTTTTTTAGTTAGCCGAGTGTGGTGGTGCGCACCTGTAGTCTCAGCTACATCTTAATTTTATAACGTTGTAGTTCAGATTAATTCCAACTTTGTTTCAATGGTATACAAAAACTTTGCTTCTCTAAAGCTCCACTCTCACCCCCTCCTTTATACTGTTATTGTCACACATTACATCTTTATATACCTTATGTTCATCAACTAGATTTATAATTATTGCATTATGTAAGTATCTTTTTCTTTTTTTTTTTTTTCTTTATTTTGGGACAGAGTCTCACTCTGTTGCCCAGGCTAGAGTGCAGTGGCACAATCTTTACTCGCCGCAACCTCTGCCTCCCAGGTTCAAGCGATTCTAGTGCCTCAGCCTCCTGAGTAGCTGGGACTGCAGGCACGTAACACCACACCCAGCTAATTTTTGTATTTTTAGTAGAGACAGGGTTTCACCATGTTTGCCAGGCTGGTCTCAACCTCTTGACCTCAAGTGATCCTCCAGCCTCAGCCTCCCAAAGTGCTGGGATTACAGGCCTGAGCCACTGCGCCCAGCCAGTGCTTTTTATTTCTTTGTGCAGATTCACGTTAGTACTCCTTATAGGGCAGGTCTTCTAGCAACAAAGTCTCTCAGTTTTTATTTATCTAGAATATCTTAATTTCTCTTCAATTTCAAAGGTAGTTTTGCCAGGTATAGAATTATTGGTTGACAGTTTCTTCAGCACTTTGAATATGCCATTTCATTGCCTTTTGTCCTCCAGTGTTGTGTGTGGTTGCTTTGTTTTTAGACAGGGTCTTGCTCTGTTACCCAGGCTGGAGTGCAGTGGTGCAACCACTCACAACGTTGCAGCCTCCACCTCCCAGGCTTAAGCAATGCTGTCACCTCAGCCTCCTGGGTAGCTGAGACTACAGGCATGCACCACCATGCCCAGTTTTTTTTGTTTTTGTTTTTGTTTTTGTTTTTTTTTAATTTTTTTTTATTGATCATTCTTGGGTGTTTCTCGCAGAGGGGGATTTGGCAGGGTCATAGGACAATAGTGGAGGGAAGGTCAGCAGATAAACAAGTGAACAAAGGTCTCTGGTTTTCCTAGGCAGAGGACCCTGCGGCCTTCCACAGTGTTTGTGTCCCTGGGTACTTGAGATTAGGGAGTGGTGATGACTCTTAACGAGCATGCTGCCTTCAAGCATCTGTTTAACAAAGCACATCTTGCACCGCCCTTAATCCATTCAACCCTGAGTGGACACAGCACATGTTTCAGAGAGCACTGGGTTGGGGGTAAGGTCATAGATCAACAGCATCCCAAGGCAGAAGAATTTTTCTTAGTACAGAACAAAATGGAGTCTTCTATGTCTACTTCTTTCTACACAGACACAGCAACAATCTGATTTCTGTATCTTTTCCCCACATTTCCCCCTTTTCTATTCAACAAAACCGCCATCGTCATCATGGCCCGTTCTCAATGAGCTGTTGGGTACACCTCCCAGACGGGGTGGCGGCCGGGCAGAGGGGCTCCTCACTTCCCAGAAGGGGCAGCCGGGCAGAGGCGCCCCCCCACCTCCCGGAGGGGGCGGCTGGCCAGGCGGGGGCTGGCCCCCACCTCCCTCCCAGACAGGGCGGCTGCCGGGCAGAGGGGCTCCTCACTTCTCAGACGGGGCGGCTGCTGGGCGGAGGGGCTCCTCACTTCTCAGATGGGGCGGCTGCCAGGCGTAGGGGCTCCTCACTTCTCAGACGGGGCGGCCAGGCAGAGATGCTCCTCACCTCCCAGACAGGGTCGCGGCCGGGCAGAGGCGCTCCTCACATCCCAGACGGGCATGCCCAGTTATTTTTAAATTTTTTGTAGAGACAGGGTTTTACTCTATTGCCAGTGCTGGTATCCAACTCCTGGCTTCAAGCAATTCTTGAGCCTCAAGCCTCCCAAGGTACTGGGAGTACAGGTGTGAGCAACCATGTCCAGCACCTGCATTGTTTTTGAAGAGAAATTAGCTATTAATCTTATTGAGGATCCCTTGTATGTGATGAGTTGCTTTTCTCTTGCTGCTTTCAAGATATTCTGTCTTTGGCTTCTGTCAGTTTGATTACAGTATGTTTAGATGTGGATCCCTCAGTTTTTCCTACTTGTAGTTCCTTGAGCTTCTTGAATATGCAGATTGTTTTTCATCATGTTTGGGAAGTTTGGGGCCATCATTTCTTCAAATATTCTTTCTCCTTTTTTCTGTTTTTCTTCTCCTGGGACGCTCATTATGTGTATGTTAGTAAGCTTGATGATGTGTTCCACAAACAGGTCTCTGAGATTCCATTCACTTTCATTCATTTTTATTTCTGTTCCTCAGAGTCAACAATCTCAATTAACCTTCAAGTTCCCCATTCTGTCTTCAGCCTGCTGTAATGTGCCATTGAGAACCTCTAATAATTTTTCCATTTCAGTTACCATACTTTTCAACTCTAGAATTTCTATTTGACTCCTTTTTATGGTTTCTATCTCTTTATTGATATTCTCTATTTGATGAGACATTGCTTTCATACTTTCCTTTAGTTCTCTAGTCTACAGAACTGAATCGTTTCTCTTATCTCTTTGAACATATTTTAAATAGCTGAATTAAATCCTTCTCTAGGCCAGGCATGGTCGCTCGTGCCTATAATCCCAGCACTTTGGGAGGCTGAGACTGAGGTTGAGGCTGAGGCCAGGAGTTCAAGACCACCCTGGGTAACTTCGCAAGACCCCACCTATAAAAAATAAAAAAATCTTTGTCTAGTAAGTCTAACATCTGGTCCTTCTCAGGGACAATTTCTGCTTATTTCTCCCCCAACCACGTGTTTGGGCCATACTTTGTTTCCTTGCATCTTTCATAAATGTTTGTTAAAAATTGAATATTTTAAATAATATAATGTAGCAATTCTGAAAATCAGATCCATGCTGCCAGGGTTTGGTGTTACTCCTGCTTGTGTTAGTAGTTGCTATTTATTTAGTGACTTTTCTGAACTTCTTCTGTAAAGTCTCGCATTATATGTCATGTGTTCCCACTAAAGTCCCTCCTCGGTTAGCTTACCGATCAGGTAATGATTAAATGAAGATTTACTTAAATTCTTGGAACTGATAAGTCTCCTAGTTTTTGCCAAGGGGCTCTGTGTACATGTTGGGGCATACCTTCAGCACTCAGCTAGACAATTTACAGCCATGCCTTAGCTTTCACTTCTTGCTTGTGCAGAACTTCAAGGTGTCAGCCAGGGGTGAGAGTTTATGAACTTAGTAGGTCTTTCCTGACCATGCTGACAGTCTGCCCTATGCATGCGCGTGACATTCCAAATTGCCAGGAATATGTCTTATGGACTTCTAGTTTCCCAAGCATATATCAGAGTGTTTCAAATTCCTGTGGACATCTTATTCCTCAGCTTTTCCTATTAAGCTTTTTGATTAGGCTTTTTTCCCCCAAACTGTTATTCATTGCCGAATACAGTTGCCATGTTAAAACACTTGTCTGTAATTGTTTTCCAAAAACACCCTCTGTGGAGAGGTTTTAGCACTAGACAGCTTTCATTCTGGTCAAATAAAGACAAACCTTTCAAATGAGGTCTTCCAGGGAACCACCAGACAGATGACATCATGACAGTTAACTGAGAATAAGGCTTTGAAGGAGCTCCAGCTCCATTCTGCTCCCTCTGGTTGGGGATGTGGGCTGTTTTCCAAGGCGACTACTGAGCTAGAGGGTGAGGAATGGTCTAAGGCAAGTTAACACAAATCTCACTGTTCTTACAGAAATTTTTCTTGAATAAATGCTCCTTGGGTTACTGCAAGACTTCGGTTACATTTCTAGAGTTCTGAAAAAGTTTATTGTGGTCAATTTTTTTTTTTTTTTTTTTTTTTTTTTTTTTTGCTATTTTTTTTGGTATTTGTTGCTTTTATGAAGGGATGAATTTTTGGATGTCTCTCTTTTTTTTTTTTTTTTTTTTTTTTTTTTTTGAGACAGAGTCTCACTCTGTTGTCCAGGCTGGAGTGTAGTGGCATAATCTCATCTCACTGCAAGCTCCACCTCCCGGGTTCACACAATTCTCCTGCCTCAGCCTCCCGAGTAGCTGGGACTACAGGCGCCTGCCACCACGCCCAGCTAATTTTTGTATATTTAGTACAGACGGGGTTTCGCTTTGTTAGCCAGGATGGTCTCGATCCCCTGACCTCGTGATCCGCCTGCCTCAGCCTCCCAAAGTGCTGGGATTACAGGTGTGAGCCACTGCGCCCAGCCTGCATGTCTTTATTCCACCATTTTCACTGATGTCACTTACGACATGATTTTAAATCTCTGAAGGCTCACTGGGCACATGCCTGTAGTCCCAGATACTCGGGAGGCAAAGGAAGAAGGATCCTTTGAGTCCAGGAATTCTAGGCTGTAGCATGCTATGCTGATTGGGTGTCCGCACTAAGTTCAGCATCAGTATGGTGACCTCCCGGGAAAAGGAGACCACCAGGTTGCCTAAAAAGGGGTGTACCAGCCCAGTTCAGGAATAGAGCAGGTCAAAACTCCCATGCTGATCACTAGTGGGATCATGGCTGTGAATAGCCACTGCTCTCCAGCCTGGGCAACACAGTGAGTGAGAATGTGTCTCTTAAAAAAAAAAAAAAAAAGTCTCATTGACCATAGACTAATAAACTATTTAATCATGGGAAATGATTAGGGGAAAGACATAAAAAGAGAAACTGTAATCCACTTTTTTTTGCTCTGTCGCCCAGGCTGGAGTAGAGTGGCTTGATCTTGGCTCACTGCAACCTCCGCCTCCTGGGTTCAAGCAATTCTCCTGCCTCAGCCTCTGAAACAGCTGGAATTACAGGCAAGCACTGCCGTGCCCTGCTAATGAGAAATTGTAATTCTCATAGAGGTCCTCCCAGAGGAGTAGAAGAAGGTTGAAAGGCACTTCTGTATTTAGTCTTCTCACAATTAAGGCTGGGCCCAGTGGCTCACACCAGCACTTTGGGAGGCCAAGGCAGGCGGATCACTTGAGATCAGGAGTTCAAGACCAGCCTGGCAAACATGGTGAAACTCCCATCTCTACTAAAAACACAAAAAATAGCCAGGCGTGGTGGTGCGTGCCTATAGTCCCAGCTATTTGGGAGACTGAGGAAGGAGGATTACCTGAGCTTGGGAAGAGGACGTTGCAGTGAGCCAAGATCACGCCACTGCACTCCAGCCTGGTCAATGGAGCAAGACCCTGTTTGGGTGGGGAGGGGAGGGGAGTGGAGGGGAGAGGAGAAAGGAAAGAAAGGAAAGGAAAGAAAATAGAAAGAAGGAAGGGGGAGGGAAGGAAGGAAGGAAAAAGAGAGAGGAAAAGAATGAAGAACAAAAATGAAAATTTTTTAAAAACCTAAGGTTAAAATAAACCCTTTTTCTTCATACAGATTAAACACGAGTTCAAATTACAGCTTTGCTGCTTAATAGCTTGGTGACCTAGGACAAGTTATCTAACCTCTCTGTGCCTCAGTTTCCTCATTTAAAAATAGGGCAATAATAATATCTACCACATAAGGTATTTGCTGATCACAAATACCTGGCAACCCAGTAGATACTCACTGTAATAATTATTATTTTTATAATTTCTGCCTAAGTACAAAGATGATTCTTGGGTTAACCTAAAGGTAGATTTTCTTTTATTTCTTCCTGTTTCTTTTATTTTTCTTGTTCACCTTAAAGAATTAAAAAGAAAATCGATTCCAGCATTTTGGAATAAAAATTTGCATCAAAATCAATTTATTCATTTTATTGACATATGAACAAAATGTCATTTGTTTATTCAATAAACATTTGTTAAATGCCTAATACATTTCAGACATCATGCCAGGCACGGGGATGACAGGGCATGGTGGCGGGCACCTGTAATCCCAGCTACTTGGGAGGCTAAGGCAGGAGAATTGCTTGAACCTGGGAGGCGGAGATTGCAGTGAGCCAAGATTGCACCACTGCACTCCAGCCTGGGTGACAGAGTGAGACTCCGTCTCAGAAAAAAAAAAAAAAAAAAAAAAAAATGTGGTCTCTGCCCTCAAAGCGCTCATAGTCCAGGAGCCTGACAAGTGGACAGGTGATTACATGCAATGTAAGAAAGGCTGTGATGTCATACAAGAAGACAAGTGGGAGTATGGTTTTGACCAGTTCCTCCTCTTAGATTTATTCCTTCTTCTTTGGCTATAAAGCAAAAGAATTGGTCCTATTTTTTTTTAACTGTGCAAATTAAACCATAAATTTTAAAAACTTTATAAAGATAAAAGACAAGCAGCCAGCCGCAGTGGCTCATGCCAGTAATCCTATCAGTTTGGGAGGCTGAGGCAGGTAGATCACCTGAGGTCAAGAGTTCAAAACCAGCCTGACCAACATGGTAAAACCCCGACTCTACTAAAAATACAAAAATTAGCTGGGCGTGGTGGTGGGTGCCTGTAATCCCAGCTACTCGGAAGGCTGAGGCAGAACAGGAGAATCACTTGAACCTGGGAGGCGGAGGTTGCAGTGAGCCAAGATCGAGCCATTGCACTCCAGCCTGGGCAACAAGAGCGAGACTCCATCTCAAAAAAAAAAAAAAAAAAAAAAAAAAAAATAGATGAACAACTTGAATTATGATGAGCAACTTGAATTATGGAGGATGCTAGAAATACTGTTTCCTCCACAGTCAGGGCTTCCTACCAACATAGTCACTTTTAGGGTTTTTGACCTGAAAAGTTCTGTGGCATATTTTTTCTTTGCTATCCACTTTTTTTTTCCTTGTAGTTCTTCCCCGCGTTCTATCCTTTATCTTCTAGAGACCTTGGTAGTTCCCATAGGAATAGTGCTTTACGGAGTCTAATGGTGATTTCTTAGGTAAAGACAGGAAACATTTTTTTCTTTTTTACCTACAAGTTCCATATCAAAAAATGAATGTAAACTTTTCATGCAGTTTTACACATTGAAAATGCAGGTTATTTTAATTCCATTCCATTTTTCAGAATTCTCAATCACAATCCTCTGACAACTGTTGAAGATCCGTATCTCTTTAAATTGCCAGCATTAAAATATCTGTAAGTACTATAGTACTCTCATGAGTCAAGAGATGATTTATGCTTTTTAAATTTTTCATCAAAGCTTAAGTATTTTGCATTTAGGCTAAAATGTCATAATTTAAATTTTAACTGGGTTATTGAAAAAAAGTTATTGGCGAAGAAAAAAATTAAGAGGATGTATAATGGTCAAGACAGCCAGCAGGGGAAGAGAACAGCATTGAAGAACCCATATAGATTTGGAACATGTAGACACATGGAGGAATATTATTTAACCAAGAAAGCAAAGGGGAAAAGGTGTTCATTATTCTAAAAATAAAGAAAAGAGTAAATAAGATGGTGAGTGCAATATGAAAATGAGAAGATAATGGTAAAAAAAAAAGTGTCAGTTCTGCTCTTGAGTATCATTAATTTGATGATGCAAATCAACTTTTAATTTCTTTAATAAGAGCTCCCTGGAATTCTACAGCAAATAAAGTCTTGAGCTGGCTTGTTTAATAGAGAAGCCAAAATTGAATTGTTAAGTACAGAATTTTTTATTGGGGCTCATATCATGAATGTTTCGGCTTTCTTCTTCAGAGACATGGGAACAACGCTAGTCCCACTTACAACACTTAAGAACATTCTCATGATGACTGTTGAACTGGAAAAACTGTAAGTTATTTTTTTCTGAGATTTATTTTTACTTAGTTGGTTCTTTAGGTTTGTTTTATTATTTTCTTAAGTCAGGTTCATTGAGGTATAATTTTCATATAGTAACATTCACGCTTTTTAAGTGTACAGTTTGATGAGTCTGACAAATGTATAGTTACATAACCACCACCACATTCCCAATATAAAGCATTTCTGATGCCTCAAAAAGGCCCCTACTGTCCCTTTGTAGGCAATCCCATCCTCCCACCATCAGCCCCTGTTAGCTACTAATCTGATTTCTGTTCCTATACTTTTGCCTTTTCCAGAATGTCTTATAAATGAAATCATATAGCACATAGCCTCTTGTGTTTGGCTCCTTTCACAAAGCCTAATTTTTTTTTTGTTTTTGAAATGGAATCTCACTCTGTCGCCCAGGCTGCAGTGCAGCGGCATGACCTAGGCTCACTGCAACCTCCACCTCCCAGGTTCAAGTGGTTCTCCTGCCTCAGCCTTCCGAGTAGCTGGGATTACAGGCGCATGCCACCACACCTGGCTAATTTTTGTATTTTTAGTAGAGACAAGGTTTCGCCATGTTGGCCAGGGTGGTTTCGAACTCCTGACCTCAAGTGATCCGCCTGCCTCAGCCTCCCAAAGTGCTAGGATTACAGATAAGATCCACCTTGCCTGGCCTCACTCAGTAGAATTTTTTTTGAGATTATGCTACCATCCATGTTGTTGCACCTATCACTACAGCTGGCCCTCCATATCTGCAGGTTCCTCATCCATAGATTCAACGAACCATGGATGGAGAATATTTGGAAAAAATAAAATATATAAAACAACAATACAACAATAAAAACAGTAGAAAATTTAAAATACAGTATAATTATGTACATACCATTTACACTGTATTAGGTACTTAGAGTATACCTGAGGCTGTATACAAACATTATGTCATTTCATAAAAAAGACCTCAGCATCTGTGGACTTTGGTATCTGCAGGGGGTCCTGGAGCCAATCCCCTGCAGACACCGAGGGACAACTGTTCACTCCTTTTTATTGCTGAGTAGTATTCCGGTTGTGTGGAAATGCCATCTCTACTAAAAATGCACAAATTAGGCAGGTGTGGTGGCACATGCCTGTAATCCCAGCTACTCAGGAGGCTGAGGCACGAGAAGTGCTTGAACTTGAGAGGTGGAGGTTGCAATGAGCCGAGATTGCACCACTGCACTCTAACCTGGGCGACAGAGTGGGACTCTGTCTAAAAAAAAAAGTAAGAAATAAAAATGTTTTCTGAAGAGCAGAAGTTTTTAATTTTGACCAGCTTTAAGTTAGCATTTTTTTCTTAAATGGCTTGTGATTTTTTGTTTCTTACCTAAGAAATCTTTAAGAACCTGTTGTCTAATCCAGCGTCTAAAAGATTTTCTCCTATGTCTTCTCCCAGAAATGATACACATTTAGGTCTATGATCCATTTTGAGTTAATTTGCATATGTGATGTATCTTTTTTATTTTTTATTTTTTTGTAGAAATGAGGTCTCAGTATGTTCCCCAGGCTGGTCTCGGACTCCTGGTCTCAAGTGATCCTCCTGCCTCACCTCCCAGAGTGCTGAGATTACAGGCATGAGACACCGTGCCTGGCCTTCTTTGCAGGATATATATATAGATATATATATATATATATATATAAATCAGCCAGGTGTGGTGGCACACGCCTGTAGTCCCAGCTACTAGGGAACCTGAGTCAGGAGGATCACTTGAACCCAGGAGGTGGAGGTTGCAGTGAGCCAAGATGGCACCACTGCACTCCAGCTTGGGTGACAGAGCAAGACCCTGTCTAAAATATATATATATTTATATATATGTACGTGTATATATGTATATGTATGCCTGCGGGGCCCTATTGTGAGTTTGTTACACAATTTACTGCAGCTTCAATTGTGCCACTAGCCCCCACAATATGGCAAGCTAAATAGAGACTCAGTTATGCTAGGGCTGGTTGAGGGCGTTTTGCAAGATTAGCATGGAAAGGGCCCTTCATTTAGCACTCTGCTCCGTTCATTTTTGTCAGGTCACTTTCTTATCTTGACCAGGTTGTCAGATCTCTTTTACTGCTCTAGCCTCACTTTCCTCAGCCTCCTGCAGCATCTTCCCCATCAGCTGGATCCCTTCCTCTCTGGATGAAGTCCCCTTCATCGACCAGCTTTCTCACTTAGTTCTCTAAGATAGCGAGGATCTGTCTGCTTTTTTCTTGACCATTATTGGATAGGAAAAATGCTCTCATCCTCTGTAATGATTTGTCACCAAGGCCATAAAGACATTGAACTAAATGTCTTATGGGAGTTCATTATTGGAAGTCTTCAGGAGTTTACACATTTATGTACAAAGTAAGTAGGCCAGCTCATTTGAGTCTTGGCTCATGTGTAATGATCTTTCATGTGTATTGAAAAATTATTCTCAAGTATACCTCAGGTCATTTACAGTCTCAAAGATTTGTCAGTATACTTTAAAACAATCCTGGGAACAGTTCTAGATTGAAGGAGACTAAAGAATCATGTACTAAGTGTAATGTCTGATGTTTGATTGGATTGTGAATTTTTTAAGCCATGTTATGATTGGAACAATTGTGAAAATGTGTATACGGACCGCATAGTAGACAATGATAATATGAAGTTCCATTGAGTGATGATAGTCCTCTGGTTATGTCAGAGAATGCCTTGGTTCTTAGGGGCTGCACACTGAAGTCTTCAATGGTGAAGGGTCATTATGTCTGCAACTGACTCTCAAATGGTTTTGTCCAGAAAATGTATAGACATACACACACGGAAAGCTAATGTGGCAAAGTATTAGCAACTACTGATTCCAGATGAAAGTTATACAGGTGTTCATTATACCATTTGAAAATGTTTCCCAGCCATCCTAAGGCTTAAAGGAAAAAAAGAAAATGTTTAAAATAAAAACTTGGGGGCAGAAAAAGAATACCAAAAATTTTGGGCTCATGCCTGTAATCCCAGCACTTTGGGAGGCCAAAGAGAGAGGGTTGCTTGTGCCCAGGAGTTCGAGACCAGCCTGGACAACATGGTGAAACCCCATTTCTACAAAATATACAAAAATTAGCCAGGTGTGGTGGCACACACCTGTAGTTCTAGGTACTCAGGAGGCTGAGGTGGGAGGATCACTTGAGCACAGGAGACAGAGGCTGCAGTGAGCCAAGATTGCACCACTGCACTCAGCCTGTGTAACAGAGCGAGACCCGGCCTCAAAATAAACAAAAGAAACACCTTTGTGGCAGAGGTAAGGTTGCTATACAACAAAATGCTGGGTTACGGTTCCGGGTCCATTCCATATGAAGATCAGAGGCTTCCACTGGACCCAAAGGAATACTACTAGTCACTTGTGATTGTTCCTTTATAGGTTTGAAAGATGTCTCAGGCCAACTTATTGGATGCAGTTTTAATCTAAAACTCTATACATTGTACCCCCAACTCACAGACTTCTTGTATCCATGAAACCCTCTTCTGTTTTCATAGTCTTAATATGGCCCCAATAAAGCCATCCTTTTGGAGGACTCAGAAAAGGCCCCCCACAACCTCTGCAACATAATAATTATAGTTAACTCTTATTGAGCACTGACTGTGCACCAGGCATTTTTCAGGTATTGATTCATTTGATCCTCAAAATTCATTAGAGGTAGGTACTATTATAATGACAAGGCCAAGGAACAGAGATTAAACAATTTGCCCAAATTCACATTATTAGCAGAGCTGAGATTGAAGCATAGTCTGGCTATGGAATCTGTATTCTTAATGACCATGCTATACTGCCTAAGATTAACCTTTTACTTCAGTTACAGGGATTGTTTTTATCTCTCCGAAAGTGCCCCCAATAAGCCACAACAATAAATTAATCAATTGTCTCGGTCACCTCTTTTGCCCAAATTTACGTATTGGAAAAAATTCAAACAAGCCAGAAAGATGAAAGAATAGTACAGAATCCAATCAAAGATCAGGCACTGCATGTCATGTCTTCATTTCCTTTAATCTAAAACATGCCTCTACTTTCTTTGATCTTTCATGACACTGGCATTTTTTAAGAGTCAAAGATAGTTGTCTTGTAAATTGTCCCACAATCCAGATTTGTCTGTTTCCTCATGATGAAATTCAAGTTAAGCATTTTTGGGAAAAATACTGCATAGGTGATGTATCCTTCCTGCCTCGTAACCGCAGATGGCCTGTAATACTAAGTTTGATCACTTGACTAAGGTGATCTTCCAGGTCTCTCCATTGTAATTATTTTGCTGGCTACAGTGGCTCCCACTTGTAATCCCAGCACTTTGGAAGGCCGAGGTGGGAGGATTGCTTGAGCCCAGGAGTTCTACACCAGCCTGAGCAACATGGGGAAACTCTGTCACTACTGAAAATACAAAAGTACAAAAAAAAAAAAAAATTAGCTGGGCATGGTGGTGCAAGCCTATACTCCCAGCTACTCAGGAGGCTGAATTTGGAGGATCCCTTGAGCCCAGGGGGGTTGAGGCTGCATTGAGGTATAATTTTGCCACTGTATTTCAGCCTGGGTGACAAAATAAAAATAAAAATAAAAAATAATAATTTTCCCCTTGGTAATTAATAAATAATCTGTGGGTTGTTACTTTGAGTTCAGTGAAGATCCTGTTCTCAAATGTTTTTTCACCCAAATGTGCATCAATGATAATCCTTGTCTGAATGAATTTGTATTACACTGACGGTTGCAAAGTGACACTTTTAAAAATTCTGTCATTCCTTCTACATTTACTAGCTGGCATTATTTCATTGAAGAAGAACTCCTCCTCTTTCTTTTTCAATATCACTCTTCGTGGATTCTTCTTTATATTAAATATGTTGTAACTTATTGTTGTTATTCTTTTGAATGCTCAAATTGTCCAGATTTGACCAATGCAGTCTTTGTTATTTTTTAACTCCGCAATCCAGGTTAAACTAAGCTATTTTTAATGCCCAGAGTAATTTATAATATTTCCCACTCCCAACAGGAATTGAGAAAGGGACTCCAGAAGTTGGGGGCTTATTCAGACTTCTTAAAAGTCTACCTTCTTCCTCTGTACTTTCAGCCCAAAGTGAGACTTTTGAATTGGGAAGAGATACTTCTGAAACTACTAATCACTGTCACCCAATTCTAATCCCAACCATCTTTATTCTAGGCATACCATACTCACTGCCATGCTTACCCTTCAGTTGGGCACTTTTGTCCTCCTTCCTATTGGCCTTCTGGTTCCTACCCAACTGTCCAGTCCATAGGCTTCAATGACACCTTTTTCCCACACCTGTGGTAGCGTTGGCTGCCTCCTTTACCTACTCAAGTAACCGCTTTACCGCTAATTTATTGCTCTCTGTTTTCATCTATAGGATCTTACCTAGCCATATGGCCTGCTGCCTCTGCCAATTTAAAAACAGCATTGAGGCTGTCTGCAAGACAGTCAAGCTGCATTGCAACAGTGCATGTCTGACAAACACCACACATTGTCGTGAGTCCAAATTGCGCGGTGATAAATTGTTACATTAAGTATTTGTTTTCAAACTTTTTATTTTTAATGATGATAAAATTTTAAGCTAATGACATAATTGCTTTATTTTTATTTACTCATTCAGAGTTAAACTCCCTCAATTTCCGAACTACTCCCTTGCTGAAAGTCAGGTTCTCAGTTACTATTACAAAATTTAATAATAGAACTGTTCCATATGCAGAAAGGACCAAGACAAAGGAATGGGAAGGCTAGGGAATAACATTAACATCCACACACTGTATACTGTGCTCTCTGCTTGATGCTTTGCCCACAGTGATAATTTCTTCATATAGTGCAATGTAGTTTGTAAGCTGGTTTTAAATCCATGAGATCTCAAGTACTCTCTGCCTTATAGGACAGATGTAGATACGGTTTTGGTCTTTCTGTTTTTACAGTTTTATAAGAGTACAAGTGATGCTGTTTTATTTGAAGCCTGAGAGCTTCTGGTTCCATAACCAGAAATTGCTACCTGGCTCTTCTAATGGAATGGAGGGCTTTTCCATTCTTAGACCATCCAACTCTGAACTTGCTCCGAATCTCAAACCTTTCTATTCACAGAACAAACGCTCAAGGGCTTTCAAGAGTGTTTCTGTAGATTAGGCTTATTAGCATCAACTTCATGACTTCTAAAATGTGACTGCTTTCATGTCCAGATAGCTTGAATACAGGTATCTACCAGTGATATGGGGTGGAGAATTAATAATGCTTGGTTACATAAAGTCAGTGTTGCTTATTTTTCAAAACTTTTTTTTTTTTTTTTACCAATTATGTTATTCCCTTCTCCCCAAGAAGTGGGCAGAAAAGCTTTGTTAACCTCCTTTTACAGATGAGGAAAAACAAGATCAGAGGTGCTAAGTGCTGTAGCCTAGTGCCAGGTCTTCTGGCCCCAATTCTGGGTTCTCCCCAAGCCCATGTTTCTTCCCCTTTCTCACAATCTTTACTTCTTCCTCTGACCCTCACCACCACCCAAAGTACTTTTAATTCTAGAAAAGAAACCCAGCTGCACACTGGCACACCTGACCTTCATGCAGTCAGAAGCTTTGGATGATTCCCCATCCAAAATATTAGAGATGAAATGAAAGCAAAGTAGGCATCTGACAAAAGTTGCTTTTTCCCTTCTGCATTTTAGGACCTCAAGTAATGTTTATCCAGAAACTGCTATCATACCAGGGATTCATTGTGTATTTAACAACATAGGCATGCAATCTGGCAAATTTGAAAAACTCTTAACATACACCCCAAATCCCTGCCCAAATTTAAGAACTAGGGTGGACACAGTGCGTTTTTCCATGTCGCATCTTCTGTGATGGGGCTACGATACGTGGGAGCAGAGAATGGGGAGGGTGGAGCGCATGCCAGATGAGGATCTATCAGCAATGGGACGGGGCCTCCACTTTAGCATCTCCACCCTGCTCCTCTCAGAGGACCGCCTTTCATTGCATTCAGCTGTGATGGTAGCACGAACACAGGTGCACCGAGGACGAGGAGAGCAGGAGCCTTGTGCTCTCTCTGCATCTGAGGCAGGACAGCACAGGGTACGGAGCAGTCTGCAGAGAGGCCAGCTCATCAGGGAAGCACTTGTCTTCCACCTTGGGCTTTGACTGAGCACTGGGCAATTGGCCTCTGGGGATCAACGAAATAATCCTAAACAGAGTTACTCTATGTCACACTATGGAATGTTCCAAGTAGGTGGCCGTGTTTTCAAAAGATGTATTTTCTCCTTTTGTTGTTGCCATTTCATAGGTTTAGGATTGGGTGTGTGTTTCTCCTCTCTGAATGGCACTCGAATGTTTGCTGACTCCTACTCTGTGTGACTGGGGTGTACAGCTATGGACTGATGCATCCCATCCCATCATCTTTCATGATCAAAGCAGTCTCTTCTTTTTTGACAGCTGAAGAAGCATCGGTAGGGAATCCAGAAGGAGCGTTCATGAAGGTGTTACAAGCCCGGAAGAACTACACAAGCACTGAGCTGATTGTTGAGCCAGAGGAGCCCTCAGACAGCAGTGGCATCAACTTGTCAGGCTTTGGGAGTGAGCAGCTAGACACCAATGACGAGAGTGATTTTATCAGTACACTACGTTACATCTTGCCTTATTTCTCAGCGGTAAACCTAGATGTGAAATCACTGTTACTACCGTTAATTAAACTGCCAACCACAGGAAACAGCCTGGCAAAGATTCAAACTGTAGGCCAAAACCGGCAGAGAGTGAAGAGAGTCCTCATGGGCCCAAGGAGCATCCAGAAAAGACACTTCAAAGAGGTAGGAAGGCAGAGCATCAGGAGGGAACAGGGTGCCCAGGCATCTGTGGAGAACGCTGCCGAAGAAAAAAGGCTCGGGAGTCCAGCCCCAAGGGAGGTGGAACAGCCCCACACACAGCAGGGGCCTGAGAAGTTAGCGGGAAACGCCGTCTACACCAAGCCTTCCTTCACCCAAGAGCATAAGGCAGCAGTCTCTGTGCTGAAACCCTTCTCCAAGGGCGCGCCTTCTACCTCCAGCCCTGCAAAAGCCCTACCACAGGTGAGAGACAGATGGAAAGACTTAACCCACGCTATTTCCACTTTAGAAAGTGCAAAGGCTAGAGTTACAAATACGAAGACGTCTAAACCAATCGTACATGCCAGAAAAAAATACCGCTTTCACAAAACTCGCTCCCACGTGACCCACAGAACACCCAAAGTCAAAAAGAGTCCAAAGGTCAGAAAGAAAAGTTATCTGAGTAGACTGATGCTCGCAAACAGGCTTCCATTCTCTGCAGCGAAGAGCCTCATAAATTCCCCTTCACAAGGGGCTTTTTCATCCTTAGGAGACCTGAGTCCTCAAGAAAACCCTTTTCTGGAAGTATCTGCTCCTTCAGAACATTTTATAGAAAAGAATAATACAAAACACACAACTGCAAGAAATGCCTTTGAAGAAAATGATTTTATGGAAAACACTAACATGCCAGAAGGAACCATCTCTGAAAACACAAACTACAATCATCCTCCTGAGGCAGATTCCGCTGGGACTGCATTCAACTTAGGGCCAACTGTTAAACAAACTGAGACAAAATGGGAATACAACAACGTGGGCACTGACCTGTCCCCCGAGCCCAAAAGCTTCAATTACCCATTGCTCTCGTCCCCAGGTGATCAGTTTGAAATTCAGCTAACCCAGCAGCTACAGTCCCTTATCCCCAACAACAATGTGAGAAGGCTCATTGCTCATGTTATCCGGACCTTGAAGATGGACTGCTCTGGGGCCCATGTGCAAGTGACCTGTGCCAAGCTCATCTCCAGGACAGGCCACCTGATGAAGCTTCTCAGTGGGCAGCAGGAAGTAAAGGCATCCAAGATAGAATGGGATACGGACCAATGGAAGATTGAGAACTACATTAATGAGAGCACAGAAGCCCAGAGTGAACAGAAAGAGAAGTCGCTTGAGGTGAGGACCACACAGAAACATGAGACCCAGATTTCCCATCATTTAGCATATCCCAGGAAAGTGCCCACACAGAAGAGTCTGGGACTCCCAGGCCATAGCTTATCTTGGCCATGTAACTTTGGTCATGACAGTGATCTCCCACTTTGCTCATGTAGAGAGAGAAATAGATTAGGGCACAAGATGAACTGTAGGCCGGGGGTGGTAGCTCACGCCTGTAATCTCAGCACTTTGGGAGGCGAAGGTGGGTGGATTACTTGAAGTCAGGAGTTTGAGACCAGCTTGGCCAACATAGTGAAAGCCTGTCTCCACAAAAAATAAGAAAATTAGCTGGGTTGATGACACGTGCCTGTAGTCCCAGCTACTTGGAAGGCTGAGGTGGGAGGATCACCTGAGCCCAGGGAGGTCGAGTCTAGTGAACGGTGATTGCACCACGGTACCCCAGCCTGGGTGACAGAGTGAGACCCTCTTTCAAAAAAATAAAAAAGAACCTGTCAGCTACTCACCTGGAATACTGGGGTTTTGAATAGTTAGCTCTCATTCTGGTTTTTTTTTGTGTGTTTTTTTTTTTAGCTCAAAAAAGAAGTTCCAGGATATGGCTATACTGACAAACTCATCTTGGCATTAATTGTTACTGGAATACTAACGATTTTGATTATACTTTTCTGCCTCATTGTGGTAAGGACAATAATTAATTCAGGTTTTCAGAATGCAGTCCTGTCTTTGTGTGGATTCAGAGCTCACAAACTGAAAACCAAAGCCACTTTCCCACCTGCTGCTACTTGACATACTTCTTCAGTCATTTAAGGCTGAGGTGTATGCTTTGTTCTTTTACTGCAGTGTATATTTCAGGATTTTTAAAGGATCCTCGCTTTCAGATCTCTGTGAATTGAAACCATGTGAATCCCACTAGACTATTTTAAGAAGTCGATATAATAGCAAAATTTCTCCCACCCAAAACTATGTCAACAATTGGATGTACTCATCAAGTCACCCTTACTCTGCCACTAATTTATTTCCTTGGTGCTGAAATGATGAGAGAGGTATAATCTCCACCCTCACGGAGTTGTCATCACCCTGGAGAGGAAGGAGAGAGCCAAAAGACATACGTATTGTCTTGTAGACTTATTAGATTTACACAGTATCGTCCTCCAGTGTGTAAGGCATTGTCTAAATAGGTCCAGTTAAAGCACTACAGAGTAGCCATCTTTTACAAAAATTTTTGGCCACATTTTTAAGTTCACTGGTGAGGGGGAACGTCTCATACTCTAGCCCTCCTGAGCCTAGACCCTCTGTGAGATGTGTCACCATTTCTTGGACACCATGTGAGACATTCCCCCTCAGATTAGAGATGCTCAGCTTGCATCAACTTACCTAAAGCCTACATCTGGCTACTCTGGGACAAGTCCTGTTTACAGTGCCCATTCCTGGAGCTTGCCTCTGTCTTTTGTTCGATTACATGATGTATTACTTTTCCCAACAGGCCAGTGCTAGCATATTGGAAGAGTGATTTAATAAAGCTGGCAACCTTGACGCTATGCCACCAGTCCAACCTTACTTGCCTCATTTACCATTTCCATTATTGTGGCAGCCCTCCATTCCAGCCACAGCAGCCCCTCACCAAACCCCAGTCACACCACCCACATTTCTGCTTTTGTCTGTGTGTTTGTCCATCTAAAATGCCCTTATTTCACTCTGCCTGTGGGAGTCCTATGCATCTCTCAAAAGCCAACTCAAGTTCATCTTTCTTCTTGACACCTTCCCTGAATATTCCAGCCCTGCTGAGCCTAGTCCCTTTGTGAGATTTGTCACCATTTCTTGGACACCATATGAGAGACTTCAGAGGCTGAAGTGGGAGGATCGCTTGAGCCTGGGAGGTCGAGGATGCAGTGAGCTGTGGTCGTACCACTGCACTCTAGCCTGGGCAACACAGCTAGGCCCTGTCTTAAAAACAGCCACCACCAAAAACTATCTTGGGATTTGAATAGGATTACGTTAAATTTGTAGATTAATTTGAGAATTTACATCTGTATGACATTCTAGGAACGTGCTATCTCATGTCATGTATTCATTTCTTGTTAATGTCTTTCAGAAGAGCTTTAGTGTTTCCATATATAGATCTTATACATCTTTTGTTAGATAAAAGATCTTTGTATTTTTGTTCCTAAATTCTTCATACATTTGTATTGCCATTGTAAATGGGATCTTTCTTCCATTTTCTAATTAGTTATTGGTGGTACATGGGAAAAGTATTTGAGGTTTGTGTGCTGATTTCTTGATTTTGTAGATAGCCACTGTATTGAATTCTCATTACTTCCAGTAAAATCTTAGTTGATTCTCTTAGGCTTCTTTGGCTAACATTTATCATTTAATATGCAAATAATGATAGTTTTGTCTCTTCCTTTCCAATACTTCTACTCTTTCCTTCCTTTCCCTTTTCCTTTTTCCTTTCCTTTCCTTTCCTTTTTTTTCCCTTCTCAGGGCCTTGTTGTCACCCAGGCTGGAGAGCAATGGTGTGACCTAGCTCACTGTAACATCAAACTCCTGGGCTTAAGGGATCCTCCTGCCTCAGCTTCCTGAGTGGCTGGGACTACAGGCAGGCAGCTAATTTAAAAAATGTGTTCGTAGAGACAAGGTCTTGCTATGTTGCCCAGGCTGGTTTTCCTGCCACTTCAGAGGAAGGACTCAGGTTTCCTTTTTCTCCTACTTTTAAGAGTTTTTATTAGGAATTGTCTGTTGAATGTTATCTAAAACAGTCAATAAAATGTATTAAGTGCCAGCTGCATGCAAGACCCTAAGTTAGATACAGTCAGCCCTCTTCATCAGCAGGTCCACATCTTCAGATTCAACTAGATCAGGCTGAATATTTGAAGAAAAAAAAACCAATAAAAATACAAACAGAAAGTACAATATAACAACTGTCAACAATGTACAATATGTATACATTTTATTAGTGATGACTTAAATTACATGGGGCCAGGCATGGTGGCTCACACTTGTAATCCCAACACATTGGGAGGCCAACCTGGGCAGCATAGTGAGACCTTGTCTTTATTAAAAATTAAAAAAAAAAATAGCCAGGTGTGGTAGTATGCACCTGTAGTCTCAGCTACTCAAGAGGCTGAGGTGGGCGGATCACTGGAGCCCAGGAGGTTGAGGCTACAGTGAGCTGTGATCGTGACACCGCACTCCATCCTGAGTAACAGAGGATGACACTGCACTCCAGCGTAAGCAACAGAGGGCAATCCTGTCGCTAAGTAAATAAAGTATAGGGGGGATGCGTGTTGGTTATAAGCAAATATTACACCATTATATGTAAGGGATTGAGCATCCACAGATTCTGGTATGGTGTGGGGGCGGTATCCTAGAACCAATCCCCCGCAAGATAGCAAGGATGACTGAACTATGGAAGAATCAAAGCAGTGTTACACAGCATACAATTCCTGTCTTCAAAAAAGTTACCTCATCAGGTAGATGAGACTTATAATGAATAAAAGGAATCAATACAGATTTGGAGACGGTGGTTGTTGTCATAGATAATCTTAATTGCGTTTTCTTCTAAAACAGATATGTTGTCACCGAAGGTCATTACAAGAAGATGAAGAAGGATTCTCAAGGTAAATATTAGTCTGGTGATTTTTTTTTTCTTCTCTTTTGAGACGGAGTTTCCCTCTTGTTGCCAGGCTGGAGTGCAGTGACACGATCTCGGCTCACGGCAACCTCCACTTCCCAGGTTCAAGCGATTCTCCTGCCTCAGCCTCCCGAGTAGCTGGGATTACAGGCATGCACCACTAGTCTCGCGACGTTTTAATTAGAATTTTAGAATTAGAGGAGGGCTTAGAACTCTGCCCTCATTTTTCAGTGAGGAAACTGCCCAAGACAGGACAAATACTTACCCTAATGCTTAGCCTGGCTCCAGTGAAATTAGCTCCCCAGCCAAAGCTGAGCTGGATGGAACTAACAAGGACACACCTGCTGTCCCCAGCCCTTTCGGGAGGTGGGGAGGGATAGGAAGGAGAAAGGTTTTGGTGCCTATTGCTGCTGATGGTGGGCATCAGGCCAGGCCAGGGGCCTTCTTGGAGGCTCTGGGAAAGGGGAAGGGAAGGCCACCGGGTGTGAGAGAGAGGGCACTTGTCTCCTTCAAGGCTGATGGAAGGTAGGATATGTGAGTCCTTCCTCTTAAGTGGCAGGAAACAGTATTTTCTCTTTTATTTCTTTTTTTTTCCCCTGGATCCTAGAACTGAGGAAACACTATTTTCTCATCTTACTGGTTTTTGGGCCCCTACTCTATTCCTTTTATGCAAACCTCACAGAATTTTAACCAGAAAGGCCAGGCAGGATGGCTCACGCCTGTAATCACAGCACTTTGGGATCACTTGAGGTTAGGAGCTCGTGACCAGCCTGACCAACATGGTGAAACCCCATCTCTACTAAAAATACTAAATTAGCTGGGTGTGGTGGCGCAGGCGTGTAATCCCAGCTACTTGGGAGGCTGAGGCAGGAGAACTGCTTGAGCCCAGGAGGCGCAGGTTGCAGGGAGCCAAGATAGCACCATTGCACTCCAGCCTGGGGAATGAGCCAAACTGTCTCAAATAAAAAAAAAACAACAAAAAAGAATTTTAACTACGGAGACCTTAGATAGTAGTTTGTCCTTTTATGACAGGAAAACTGAGAAGGAGAAAGGGAGAGTGTCTTACTTACCCCATGGTCACACAATGCACTCTGCCTTTTCCTATTTTATTCAAATTCAAAAATAACATGTTGTGCTTTAAGCTGATTTCGTAGCTCACTCACTCATCAGCGACAGCCAGCCATATGAAGACTGTGAGATAGAGAACTTGGCTAGCTGCACTCACGCATTTGCTTGAGGTGATCCAACTTATAGAATAAAGTATCTAGAAAACGAAGAACCACTTCATCTCCCATCCCCCATCAAATGATGCCTGTGAGACTAAGTCCGAAGGGGACTGATATAAAATGCTTCTGCCCAGCATGGTTGTGCAGTTTGTTCACTGCACAAGGGCACTTGGCCAAGGGAGTGAGTGGGACTGAAAATCCTGCCCCTGCTCCATGCTGAGCCACATACAAAGTCCCCCCAGTATATTGTGGGGCCCTTCTGGGCAGACATGGAGAGCTTCTGAAAGTCCCACATGCATGGAATTATTTTCAAGACCCCGGGTATGTGGTCTGTGGTGGTGGTTCTCCCTGTGATTATGGACTGAGATACTCATTTAGTCCTAATAAGACCAGAGAAGTACATTGTGAGATACGTGGGAAACGGCTGCATCACTCACTGTCTTGTGCATGTGTCTCCCCAGGGGCATTTTCAGATTTCTGCCACGGAGGGGATGCTCTTCGCGAAGGGAGAGTCAGGTACATTGGAGGATTCATTGCTGTGGCCAGGGAAAGCAGAGGACATGCAAAATTAATATTTCCCTTTCTATCTTCTAGGATGGACTTTCCTCATTTGGACAGCCGCTCTGGTTTAAAGATATGTACAAACCTCTCAGTGCCACAAGAATAAATAATCATGCGTGGAAGCTGCACAAGAAGTCATCTAATGAGGACAAGATCCTCAACAGGGACCCTGGGTAAATGATGGGGCCCTCACAGTTCCCATCTAAAATGAGGAGGGGGTGAGAAGCTTAATTGCTCCTTTCAAGAATGAAAACCTTGGCATTGTTATTCTTATCCCAGGGACAGCGAAGCCCCAACGGAGGAGGAGGAGAGTGAAGCCCTGCCATAGGAGGAGAACACAGCCCACCTCAGGCCTCCTGCAAAAATACATAGAATAAACAACAACAGTTACTAAATAAATGAAAATTGTGATTCCGATGAAGCCTGCCAGAGAAATAAAGCATTTTTTAAAAGAGGAAATAAGGTGATATCTGATTAGGGCAAACATGATGCAGACAAGAAATGCACCGGTTCAGAGGAGGGAAGGTCAGGCCGCCTGGGGAGAGTCCATGAAAAAGATGGAACGTGCCAGATGCTGTACCTGGTGCTGGGAAAGAGTTGACTAGGCCAGCATCCCTTTCCTCAAAGGGGGGGCTCCTAGACTGGGGGGAGGGCTGGACATCTGAATACATCCTGAGGAGACAGTGTGGGACAGCATGGTGGCAGTGGAACCAGCCGTGGTTCTGCTCTTGGTCGGCTGGAAAGGAGTAGATGTAAGGGATGGTTTAGAAGAAGGGAAGTGGAAGAGAAGTTTTCTGAGCTGACAAGAGGAAGGAAAGGCCGCCTAGAAGGACACTAAAAAGGCAAGAGAAGCCCTAAGCAGAGTGAGCACCAGACTCCACAGATTAAGGGCTCAGTCACACAGGACCATCCGCATGTCAGACCCCAGGTGCAAGGCCAAGCATCACCTATGCATCTGACCAACTGGCTGTAAATTGGAGGTCCCCACAACTCCCTCCTCAGGTTTGAACATTTGCTAGAACAGCTCATGGAACCCAGGAAAACAGTTTTCTTACTAGTGCTGATTTATTACAAAGGATATTTTAAAGGACACAAATGATGAAGCCAGTTGAAGAGATACACAGGGTGAGGTTTGGAAGGGTCCTTGTGGAGTTGGGGTGCACCACTCTCCTGGAACATGGATGTGTTCGCCAACCTGGAAGCTCTCCAAGTCCTGTCTTTTAAGGAGTTTTCTGGAGGCTTTATCACATAGGCATGATTGAGCTCCAGCTCTACTCCCCACGCCAGAGGATGGGGAATGGGGCTGACAGCACAACGCTTCCAACCATAGGTCTTTTTGGTGACCAGTCCCCAAATAAGGAGCCCACCAAGAGTCACCTCATGAGAACAAAGGACGCTTCTATCACCCAGAAAATTCCAAGGGATTTAGGAGCTCTGTGTCAGGAACCAGGTTTAAGGACCAAATGTTAGAACAAAAGATGTGCAACCATAAAAAACAGCGAGATCATGTCTTTTGCAGGAACACAGATGGAGCTAGAGGCCATTATCCTCAGCAAACTAAGACAGGAACAGAAAACCAAATACTGTATGTTCTTTTAAGTGGGAGCAAAATGATGAGAACTCATAAACAACAGACACTGGGCCCTACCTGAGGGTGGAGGGTGGGAGGAGGGAGAGGAGCAGAAAAAACTATTGGGTACTAGGCTTGGTACCTGGGTGATGAAATAATCTGTACAACAAACCCCCATGACACAAGTTTAGCTATATAACGAACGTGCATATGTACCCCCTAACCTAAAAGAAAAGTTTAAAAAGGAAAAAACACCTAGGAGAAAAGAAAAATGATAAATTAACAAAGGACAATGCTCTTAGCACCGCCATCATTCAGGAATTTCCAAGGGTTTTAGGAGCTTTGTGTTAGGAACTGGGGGCAGAGACCAAATATATATTTCTTCTTATGTTACACTACCCCAGATAGGAAAACAGAAATTACTCTAGATATTTCAAACAAAAAAGGGTTGTATATAGGCAATTAGTGCTTATCACTGGAGGTGCTAGAGGTGGTGAAGGTTGTGGGGATGGGGTTGCACCACTGGCTTTCAGGCTACTTTACCACAGCTGATTTCCAGAGGATGGAAGAAGTCAGGAAACTTGGGAAACCGCTGCTGAGGTCCTTGCAGCCCCACGGTCCCCAGGCTGGTGACTGGTGGGGGAGTATGGAGTCCAGCTGACCACCAGAGCCTGCACACCTGCTGCTATGGGGAAGGAAAGGATGACTTCTACCTCCTTTCCACATTCCAAATTCCACGTGACTACATTTTATTGGCAGCACCCCGCTGGCAAGTGAGCCTTGATGTGTGCTTCCTGGGCTTCTGGCACCTGCACAGAAAGGGGTGAAATGAGTGTCACGAGCAGCCACCACTCTGCATCACACCTCCACATCCAGGTGTGCTGGAGAGCCCCACTTACACTTGGAGTGTCCTGGTGCCCTACCCACTTTTGGTAGGTGTTTGGGTGTCTGAGGCTTTGCAAAAGAAGAAGGTGGGGAGTCTATGGTGGAGTCACATGGTGGAGACCTAGCTAAGTCAGAGGCCTGGAGAGGTGTCACTGGCTGGGCAGCAGGTAACACACAATCATCCTGAGCTGATTGGAGAAACACCTGGGATTGATTCAGAGTTTTTTCTGGAATGTTTTCACTGGAATGAAAGCTGAGCGGTCTGCAGGCCATATAGTATTGGAGAAAACTTAGCCCTCATTGAAAAAGGCTGCCAGAGAAAAGGTATCCACAGGGAAATTCAGGAGTTTTGTTTGTTTTTTTTTCTTTTAAGGTGGAGTTTTGCTCTTGTTGCTCAGTCTGGAATGCAATGGCACGATCTCAGCTCACTGCATCCTCCGCCTCCTGGGTTCAAGCAAGTCTCCTGCCTCAGCCTCCCTAGTAGCTGGGGTTACAGGCATGCACCACCATGCCCGGCTAATTTTTGTATTTTTAGTAGAGATGGGGTTTCACCATGTTGGTCAGGCTGGTCTCGAACTCCTGACCTCAGGTAATCCACCCGCCCTGGCCTCCCAAAGGGCTGAGATTACAGGTGCGAGCTACCGCGCCTGGCTTGTTTTGGGTTTTGGGGTTTTTTTTGTGTTTTGTTTGTTTGTTTGTTTTTGGAGACAGTCTCTGTCACCCAGGCTGGAGTGCAGCAGCGTGATCTCGGTTGACTGCAACCTCTGCCTTCCAGGTTCAAGTGATTCTCCTGCCTCAGCCTCCCGAATAGCTGGGATTACAGGCACCCACCACCATGCCCGGCCAATTTTTTTTTTTTTTTTTTTTCTAAAAACAGTTTCACCATGTTGGCCAGGCTAGTCTTGAACTCCTGACCTCAAGTGATCCGCTCACCTTGGCCTCCCAAAGTGCTGGGATTACAGGCATGAGTCACTGTGCCCCGCCAGGAAATTCAGTTTCTGAAAATACACCTGTGGATCTCTAGCCTTGAACACCCTTGGATGCTGCTTTAAATGACTGATCCTCGATGCCTCCCTTCTAACTCACACTCCCCTATATCAATCTCCCAGAAAAAGGGACCTCTTTTATTCTTTTTTTTTTTTTTTTTTTTTTCAGAGACGGGCCTCACTTTGTTGCCCAGGCTGGTTTTGAACTCCTGGCCTCAAGTGATCCTCCCGCCTTGGTCTCTCAACGTACTGGGATTACAGGTGGGGGTCCCCGCGCCCGGCAAAGCCTATATTAAACCCTTTTATGCACACTCGGCGGTACTGCAGAGAGGGCAGGGAGGAAGCAGAGGTGCCCTGGCATCTTCAGCTGGAGGTGAGCAGGGCGCTGAGGGTGGGAGAGGCCCGGCGCCTGGGGATGGGAGGCAGGACTGCACCTTCACAGGGACGCTTCCACCCTACCCCGGAGGTCAGGGCCTCTCGCCCAGCTCTGGCTCTGAGGTCCTGGAGGGAGGGAGATGCTGTTGCGACTCAGAAGATTGGGGGAGGGCCACCCCCATTCGAGAAGAGTGAAAATCCTGAGCCTGAAGAAGTGGAACCGGTTGGAGCCGAGGCTTTAGAGGATGGCGTTCGAAAGAGGGTCTGGCGCCGCCCTGTGGACTGTTCGGGCTCGCAGGGCCGAAGGCTCCGAAGACTGAGACCTGTGAACCATGGGGAGGCTCCATGCGGATGGGGGCCACAGCCCCCGCCGGAGCCCCCACACTAGCCCTGGACTTCTCCACTGGCTTACGACATGAGAGCTCAATATGCTCCTTATTTAACGCACTGTTGTATCAGGTCCCTGTGGGAGCCACTGGCTCTATAGCCTAATAAAGGAGCGGGTGCACGCACTGGATTGGTGAGCTACCGCCACTGCAACGCGTCCTAATCAACCATCCTAAACGGCGGCTGGAACAAGGTTCTCGCAGGCCTGTGCTTGGGCTTGAACGCTGGTCCAGCCGCTGCGCTCTGTGGCTCCCTGTAGGCCTGCGGATCGGCCAGGGGGCTCCGTTCCTTTTGGGCGGAGGCTGAAGAAGCAGCGGCTGCACCAGAGAAGGCCCTCTGGGTGAAGGTGGGAGCGCACGGGGCCCGCGGAACCACCTAAGGCGACTTCAGACGTGGGCTCGGAACTGGCAGCCTTTCGTTTCTGCTTCATTCCAAGGCCAGAGCAAGCCACGTGGGCAAACCCAAAGCCAGGGGACAGGAAAGTATCCTCCACCCACAACGAAACCATGGCAAGCGGTGGATGCAGGTACGGCCAATAGTCTATCTATCCCGGTGAGTGAGGAGACCTGCTTTGAGGGTTGCACAACCTGGATCTGCTTTTACAGTGGTGTCTGTCACTATGAAGACTCCACCATGGGTCGCCATCAGGTCAGGGACCCTGACAAGGCAAGAACTGCATCTTCCTCTGCACACAGCTCTGCTCCCTTCCCCGCCATGCCTAACACCAAGCCTAGCCCTGAGGGATGACTCAGGAATATTACTGAGAGCATTTTAGGCCATTCCTTCATTATCCCCATGTGACTTGTTATGAAATATAGACTGACTTCCTGAAGATCAGCACATAGTGCTAAGTATTTGGCTTGTAATCTGTAGAGACTCTGCCATTTGGAGCTGGGATCTGTCCCCAGAGCTGTCAGACACCAAATCCCGTATCTACTGCCACCCAAAGGGACCTCCAGAAGAAAGGGGTTATACAGGGTCAAACACCAAGGCAGGTTAGTGAAATTTCTCTAGAGGCCATTTAAAGCTGGAGTCTCACCACCTGAACTGCCCTCAGAGGAAGGCTGTCTAGGGCACAAACCTAGTCAGGGGTCCACATGGACTTAAGGACAATTTTTTTTTTTTTTTTTTTTTTGAGACAGTCTCATTCTGTCATCAAGGCTCGAGTGCAGTGGTGTGAACTCAGCTCACTGCAAGTCTCAACCTCCTGGGCTCAGGTGATCCTCCCACCTCAGCCTCCCGAGTAGCGGGAACCACAGGCTCGTGCCATGATGCCCAATTAATTTTCTTTTAAATTTTTTGTAGAGATGAGGTCTCCCCGTGTTGCTCAGTCTAATCTTGAACTCCTGGACTCAAATGATCCTCCTGCCTCTGCTCCTCAAAGTCCTGGGACTACAGGTGTGAGCCAATGCACCTGGCCTCTTATGAATAATTTTAAAAACAATGAGGTTCACCGTCAGAGCCCCTGCTGCTCTACCAAGTCCCTTGGCCCCTCTCAACAGGGCAAAAGCAAGATGAGCCCCAGATGTTCTGCTTAATGACCACCTTTCCCAGGAGACTTTGCTCTTTAAAGGAGAACCACTTAGAGATATGAGCAACCTTAAAGAATGCCACCAGCACTAGTGAATGCCAGGCACGGGCCACGTGGGTGGAGAGTATACTTTAGGGCAATCACTCATGGTAAATTATTTCCACCAGCCCCCAGAAGTGACTATTCAATGTCCAACTATGTCAGGCCCAGGCTAATAAAAGTAGAGGCATGAGGAACCTAGGGTTGTTCTGAAGTGCCTTGATTATGGTACATGTGGAAGATTTTAGAGCTTGTTGTAAAAAGTGATGACCCATGGCCCCCCAGGCTGGGTCTGGGATTCCCTTTGTGGATTACAAGAGGATATTATGCAGCAGTTTTTAAAAATGAGGCAGACTGGGACAATCTATCTCCAAGATGCATAGGTGCTGTTAAGGGAACAAAGCAAGATTTAGTAGGGCGTGTATAGTATGCTACTGTGCGCTGTGCGTTATCTGTACAGAACTGTGAGGTCTGATACAGTAGCCACTAGCCACATATGGCTATTTACATATAAATTTAGGTTGGCCACAGTGGCTCATGCCTGTAATCCTAGCACTTTGGGAGGCCAAGTGGGAGGATAGCTTGAGGCCAATAGTTCAAGAACACCCTGGGCAACATAGTGAAGCCCCTTTTCTACAAAAAATTTATTTATTTATTTATTTTTATTTTTTTTGAGACGGGTCTCACTCTGTCACCCAGGCTGGAGTGCAGTGGCGCAGTCTCAGCTTATTACAACATCTGCCTCCTGGGTTCAAGCGATTATCGTGCCTCAGCCTCCAAGTAGCTGGGACTACAGGCACGCACCACCATACCCAGCAAATTTTTGTATTTTTGGTAGAGACAAGGTTTTGCCATGTTGGCCAGGCTGGTCTTGAACTCCTGACCTCAGGTGATCTGCCCGCCTCAGCCTCCCAAAGTGCTGAGATTACAGGCATGAGCCACTGCGCCCAGGCAAAAAATTTAAAATTGTAAAAATCAGCCAAACATGGTGGCATTCATCTGTAGTCCCAGCAACTTAGGAGGCTGAGGTGGGAGGATTTCTTGAGCCCAGGAGGTCAAGGTTGCAGTGACCTATGACTGCACCACTGCACTCCAGCCTGGACAACAGAGTGAGGCCCTGTCTCAAAAAATAAATAAATAGGAGTTTGAGGCCATGTTCACACATCACTGCAGTCCAGTCTGGTAAACAGAGCAAGACGCTGAGTCTTTAACAAAAAAAAAAAAATTTTTAAAGTCAGCTGCTAAGACACACTAGCCACATATCAAGTGCTCAACTGCCCCGTGTGGCTAATGGCTTCCAAACTGGCAGCACAGGCAACTGTTTTCATCACTGAAGTTCTGTTGGACAAGAATACCTCTGGAAGCACACACGAGAAACTGGTAATGGCGGTTGCCTTCCGGGAGGGAAACTGGGAGAGTGCAGGGCTGTATGCCCTTTTGTACCTCTTGAATTTCATATCATGCGTTTGTACTAGGTGTTTACAAATTATTTTAAAAACATACTGGGAATTAGGAATCCCCATATGGAATCACTGCAGTGGGACACTGATTCCCAAAAAATTACTTTGCAATTTGCCTAAAACAAATTAAGCTAATAGCTATCATGATTTCATATTTAATATTTTTTCACAGCTTAGAGTTTTTTTAGCTCCTGTTGCTATCTCTCTGCTCTTATGAGCTCACAGGGTGACAAAGTGAATTAGTAAGTAGCAGGAGAACATTAAAGGAAAAACTCCTGGGCAACAGGGCAAAACGCCGGCTCTACAGAAAATACAAAACATTAGCCAGGCATGGTGGCATGCACCTATGGTCTTAGCGACTTGGGAGGCTGAGGTGGGAGGATCGCTTGAGCCCGGAAGGCGGTAACTCAATCCCAGCAGAATCCCAGGGAGCGAAGGTGGCTCATCCCAAAAGAAAAACAAGAAGGAAATTCTATTACCAGAAGACAAAGGGATGAAATGAGGGATGGAGAATCAAAGACTGAAGCTACTAGGGTTTGTTTTTATTAATATTTAATTTTTTCAGAGGCGAGGGTCTCAGTATGTTGCCCAGGCTGGCCTTGAACTCCTGGCCTCAAGCAATCCTCCTGCCTGAGCCTTCCGAGTTATTGGGATTACAGATATGAGCCACTGCATCCAACTTTGGTTCTTGTTTGTCTGTTTTGTTTTGTTTTGGTTTGTTTTTTTGACAGAGTTTTGCTGTGCCACCCAGGCTGGAGTGCAGTGACTCAGCCTCGGCTCACTGCAGCCTTGACCTTCTGGCCTCGAGTGATCCTCCCACCTCAGCGCCACCCCCCACTGCCCTCCAATATCTGGGACTACAGGTGCGCGTGACCGCACACAGCTAATTTTTAAATTTTTTGTAGAGATAGGGTTTCACTATGTGGCTCAGGCTGGTCTCCAACTCCTGGACTAAGCGATCTGCCTGCCTTGGCCACCTCCCAAAGTGTGAGCCACCATGCCCACCCATTGAACATTGAAGCTAGACTGGGCAAACCCTTAAGCCTAAACCAGTAACAGTTTTTCACAAGTTCATAGATGTTACTGTGGTTAATAACACACAAATTCATTTAAAAGCATGTGTGTCCACATAGTAATTTTTGGTCCTTATTTTTATTTTTATTTTTCAGTTAATGGATATTAAAGATACAACTTTATTTTGTTTTTTTTTGAGACAGGGTCTCACTCTGTCACCCAGGCTGGAGTGCAGTGGCATGATCAGAGCTCATTGCAACCTCCACCTCCTGGGTTCAAGAGATTCTCCTCCCTCAGCTTCCTGAGTAGCTGGGATTGCAGGTACATGCAACCACACCTGGCTAATTTTTGTACTTTTTGTAGAGATAGGGTTTTACCATGTTGCTCAGGCTGGTTTTGAACTCCTGAGCTCAAGTGATCCACCTGCCTCGGCCTCCCAAACTGCTGGGATTACACAAGTGAGCCACCACACCCGGCCTAAAGATATAATTTCTATCATGAGGAGGTCCAAGAACTATTCTCTTTTTCTTTTTTTAATGTTAGAAAGGGATTAACTGGGTATGTGCTGCAGCAAAGGGAGGGGAAATTAAGCAAGAAGAGAAGGGAGCCAGGAAATAAAGGCCCCAACCCAGGAAGCAGTTAAGCAAAGTTCCAGGATGACCCATGTGACAAGTTTAGGGGATAACTTGAGCACATGGAGGACAGAACTTGGAGAGGGCACTGTGGGCCTGGGCGCCACCTGCTCCGCCAGAGCACTGGAAGAGAACGAGGGCACGATAATGGCAGATGGCACTGAAAGAAAAGGAGAGAGCTTGAGGCACCCTTGGGGGAAGCAGCCATCATCAGAGTGTATTTTATTTTTATTTTATTATATTTTGAGATAGAGTCTCACTCTGTTGCCCAGGCTGGAGTGCAGTGGCATGATCTCGGCTCACTGCAACCTCCACCTCCCAGGTTCAAGTGATTCTCTGCCTCAGCCTCCCAAGTAGCTGAGACTACAGGGGGGCACCACCACACCCGGCTAATTTTTGTATTTTTAGTAGAGATGGGGTTTCTCCATGTTGGCCAGGTTGGTCTTGAACTCCCGACCTCAGGTGATCCGCCCACCTTGGCCTCCCGAAGTGCTGGGATTACAGGCGTGAGCCACCATGCCTGACCTCACAGCACATTATTAAGCTCTGTGGTGAATAATATTTATATAGTCACAATTCTGTAAACACTGTTCATTTTCTACAAATTGTGGCAAACCCAAACCTCAAGAATGGACAGGGCTAGGGTGTAAAAGAGCTAAGTCCTTGCCAGGTTTACCAGGAAGGCAACAGACAGTGTCTAAAACTATGAGACAGCTGGGCGCGGTGGCTCACGCCTGTAATCCCAGCACTTTGGGAGGCCGAGGCGGGTGGATCACGTGAGGTCAGGAGTTTGAGATCAGCCTTGACAACATGGTGAAACCCCGCGTCTACTAAAAATATCAAATTAGCTGGGCATGGTGGCAGGTGCCTGTAATCCCAGCTATTAGGGAGGCTGAGGCAGGAGCATTGCTTGAACCCAGGAGGCGGAGGTTGCAGTGAGCCAAGATGGCACCATGCATAGGTTTTATGCCAATACTACACCATTTTATATCAAAGCCTTGAATATCCAAGGATTTTGGTATCTATGGGAGGTCCTGGAACTAATCCCCCACAGATACCAAAGGATGAGTATACACCTTTCCTTACTTTCGAATTTTGAACCAGACAGATACGCTGCAATTCAACAAATTAAAATAACTGAACCTACAATCAAGGAGAAAAATATTTATCCCTAATAACTAATGGACCATCTTACGCCGTCTATAAAAATATCAATTAAGAAATCACGGCCGGGCACAGTGGCTCACGTCTGTAATCCCAGCACTTTGGGAGGCCGAGGCGGGCAAATCACTTGAGGTCAGGAGTTTAAGACTAGCCTGGCAAACGTGGTGAAACCCCATCTCTACTGAAAATATAAACAAATTAGCCAGGCATGGTGACGGGCACCTGTAATCCCAGCTACTCGGGAGGCTGAGGCAGGAGAATTGCTTGACCCAGGAGGTGGAGGTTGCAGTGAGCCGAGATCACACCACTTCACTCCAGCCTGGGTGACAGCAAGACTCCGCCTCAAAAAACAACAACAACAACAAAAAACGCGGTGATACACGCCTATAATCCCAGCACTTTGGGAGGCCAAGGCGGGCGGATCACAAGGTCAAGAGATCCAAGACCATCCTGGCCAACATGGTAAAACCCCATCTCTACTAAAAATACAAAAATTAGCTGGGCATGGCGCGCACCTGTAGTCCCAGCTACTTGGGCGGCTGAAGCAGGAGAATCGCTTGAACCTGGGAGGTGGAGGTTGCAGCGAGCCGAGATTGCGCCACTGCACTCCAGCCTGGCGACAAAGCGAGACTCCGTCTCAAAAAAATAAAAAAGAAATCAGAAACTGTTCAAATTCCAATCTATACAAGTGAAACCTACACAGTTAAATGTCTTAATAGAGAGCTAAAAGCATTAAGTTCTGTCATACTCAACATACTGATGAAAAAAATTTGAACTAAAAGACAGCCTGATCTTTAGAAACTGGCAGAAAAAATAGGGGCTGCATCCAAGACCACTCACGGCACGTCCATTCTTCCAGCAGCTCCCAACTGCTATTTTATGAAAAGTCCAAATTTCCCACCCCAAGGTCCTAGAGTACAGCCAGCTCCCTACCATCAAAAACAATAGCTACCAAAACTCAGTAAAATTAGGCTTGTTATGAAGAGAAGATTGAAGAAATAAAGGTATTTATTTCATCTTGGTATTTGAATGTGGAAACTCCCAGTAGGGTAAGAAAAAAGAATTCTGCCAGAGAAATGATGAAGTGAAACCTCAAACAATTTGGGCTTTTGAGTGCCTACTGTCATCCAGCCACGAAATGAAGCATTTTACATAAGTAATTTAAGCCCAGTGATGCAGGCAGTAAGTATTATCTCCATTTTAAGATGAGGAAATTGAGACAGACGAGATTACCTAACTCTCTCAAGGTTTCACCACAGAGCTGTGGTTCAAACCCATGTGTTCTAGTTTTATTACAGTTAAGAAACTGCAAGAGTTTGCCAATTTGTCAAGTGCCAGTCCAAGATAAATGGACACTCTGAGTATCAAAAAAATACATAATCTGCAGATCAAAACACGAAGATACAAACATCTAAGAGTCACCATGGAAGTTGCGGGGCATCCAGTGGTTTTTCTGAAAATCCATGAAGGAAAAGAATAAAGCATTTTTCCAGCCTTTCTTCTACAAACTATATTTCAGGGAAACCAAATATTTGATGAGGGAATTCTTTGTTTAGAAGGATTTTAGCTAATAAATGCAGAGGAATAACAAGATTTAGGAGGGGGGAGAAATCACCATTTTGTGACTTCTAATAAAATAATGGGTCTAGGCAACAGTTTTCAATGGATGCTAAAACGATTAGGTGAAAAGTTGATGGAGAATTTTAATTCAGGGGAATTAGGCTGATACCATCTGAAACCATTTGGCATCATTAAAAATGTGACAACCTGGTGGCTGCCAGGGAGGAAGGGGAGAGGGTGGGGGAAGAACAGAAGTTATAGTTTATGGGCACAAAGTTTTGGTTTTACAAGATGAAAATAGTTACAGAAATGAATGGTGGTGATGGTTGCAGAATATTATGACTGACTATACACTTAAAAATGTTTAAGATAGAGCTGGGTGCAGTGTTGCACACCTGTAGTCCCAGTTATGCAGGAGGCTGAGGTAGGAGAACCACTTGAGCCCATGAGTTCGAGACCAGTCTGAGTAACATATAGAGACCTCATCTCACAAAAACATCACTACCACAAAACAAAACAAAACAAATTGTTAAGATGCTAAATTTTAAGTTATGTGTATTTTACCACAATAAAAAAAAATGAGGCCGGGTGCAGTGGCTCATGCCTGTAATCCCAGCACCTTGGGAGGCCGAGGCGGGTGGACCACAAGGTCAGGAGTTCGAGACTGGCCTGGTCAATATGGTGAAACCCTGTCTCTACTAAAAATACAAAAAAACTAGCCGGACGTGGTGGCTCACGCCTATAGTCCCAGCTACTCGGGAGGCTAAGGCAGGAGAATCACTTGAACCCAGGAGGCTGGGGTTGCAGTGAGCCGAGACTGCACCACTGCACTCCAGCCTGGCCAATAGAGGGAGACTCCGTCTCAAAAAAAAAAAAAAAGAAAAGAAAACATAGTTACCCAGCAATTCCACTTCTAGGCATATACCCAAAGAACTCAAAGCAGGGACTCAAACAGATACTTGGACATGAATCTTCATAGCAACACTATTCATAATAGACAAAAAGCAGAAGCAACTCAAGAGTCCATCGATAGATGAATGGATAAACAAAATGTGGTATATCCATAAAATAGAATATCATTCAGCCATAAAAGGAATTAAGTTCTGATACATACTACAGCATAGATGAACCTTGAAAACATTGTACTAAGTGAAAGAGGCCAGGCAGCTAAACTTCCAAAGACTAATATACAATTCCACTGAATAGGCAAATTCATAGACAGAGGATAGAATAAAGGCTAATGAGGGGTGGGGGAGAAGAGAATGGGCAGTTATTGCTAATGGATACAAAGTTTCTGTTGGGGATGATGAAAAAATTGTGGAACTGGACAGTGGTGATGGTTGTAAAACACGGTGAATGTACTTAATGCCACTGAATTGTACACTTAAGAATAAACTTGTAAATTTTATATTATATATACTTTGCCACAATAAAAATTTTTTTAAAAATGTCTAAGTGTGACAACCGAACTTCTGTGTTAGGATAGGAAGAATACTTATGAAGTATTCTTGCCCCTGAAATGAACCAAAATCTAATCAAGTCTCTAGAATAAACAACCAGTTCACAGGAAATCCACAGATAGCCAAGCAAGTTAGATGGCACTATAATAAAGTAATCAACCAAATCCAGAATGTGGAATAAGCAGTTAAAAAAAAAAAAAAAAAGGGGGGGGGAGGCCAGGCGAGGTGGCTCACACTATGGTCTCAGCACTTTGGGAGGCCAAGGTGGGCAGATGCTTGAGCCCAGGAGTTTGAGACCAGATTGGGCAACATGGTGAAAATCCATCTCTATAAAAAGTACAAAAAAATTTGCTAGGTGTGATGGTATGCACCTGTGGTCCCAGCTACCTGGGAGGCTGAAGTCAGACAATCGCTTGACTCCAGGAGGCAGAGGTTACAGTGAGCCAAGATTGTGCCACTGCACGAGACCCTGTCTCAAAAAAAAAAAAGGAAAAAAAAAGGCATAGAAAAAGAACAACTGCTGTAGAATAAAAGACTAAAGAGGCAAAACAACAAAATGCACTGTGCGAACTCTGATCCAGATGCAAACAAAGCAGATGTAGAAAAGATGTAGAAAGGATACTTTTTTTTTCTCTTTTTTTTTTTTTTTTTGAGATGGAGTCTCGCCCTGTCGCCCAGGCTGGGGTGCAATGGCGCAATCTCGGCTCACTGCAACCTCCGCCTCCTGGGTTCAAGAGAATCTCCTGTCTCAGCCTCCCGAGTAGCTGGGATTACAGGCATGCACCACCAAGCCTGGCTAATTTTTTTTGCATATTTTTAGTAGAGACAGGGTTTCACCATGTTGGCCAGGCTGGTCTCCAACTCCTGACCTCAGGTGATCCACCAGCCTTGGCTTCCCAAAGTGCTGGGATTACAGGTGTAAGCCACCACACTCAGCCAGGATACATTTGATACAACTGGAGAAATTAGAATAAGGACTAGGTGCTAGATATTAAAGAATTATTATTAATTTTGGAGATGTTATAATAGCATGAAGATTTTATATATATATATATATGCCTTATCAGTTGGAAATGAACACTAAAGGACATGTGAATAAAAGGCATCATGTCTGGGATGGGCAAAATGCTTATAACTGTTGAGGCTTGGTGATGGGTACATGGGGGTTCGTTATGTTATCCTCTCTGTCTTTGTATTTGTTTTAGATTTTCCACTAAAAAAGTTAAAAAAATAAATGCACTACTTTGAGAAAAAACATTCTAAAATCTATAGCCTGGAAAAGATAACTGCAAATAGAGTTAATTGCCAAAGGTAACAGCTAAAACAATGATATAAAATATAAAGGGACAGTCGACTTGGGTATTTCATCTGGAAAGACTGACGAATATGTAAGTCTTTACTATCAAGTACATGCAGGAGAATCTTCAAAACAAACAGACTCCAAATAAATTCTAAAATGAGAAATTTGTAGATTCCATATGGTTAATATTTTACATGAAAATCGGGGTGTAAAAACTATAGTCAGCCCTCTGTATCCACAGATTCAACCCACCTTGAACCAAAAATATTAAAAAGTAATAACGCAGGCCGGACACGGTGGCTCACGCCTATAATCCCAGAACTTTGGGAGGCCGAGGCGGGTGGATCACCTGAGGTCGGGAGTTCGAGACCAGCCTGACCAACATGGAGAAACCCCGTCTCTACTAAAAATACAAAATTAGCCGGGCGTGGTGGTGCATGCCTGTAATCCCAGCTACTCAGGAGGCTGAGGCAGGAGAACCACTTGAACCCGGGAGGCGGAGGTTGTGGTTAGCCGAGATCGCGCCATTGCACTCCAGCCTAGGCAACAAGAGTGAAACTCCGTCTCAAAAAATAAATAAATAAGTAAATAAATAAAAATAATAACGCAACAGTAAAAAAAAAATACAAATAATACAGTCTAACTATATAGCATTTACATGCTAGTAGACATAAGAAGTAATCTAGTAGTGATTTAAAGTAGACAGGGGGGCTGGGCACAGTGGCTCACGCCTATAAGCCCAGCACTTTGGGAGGCCAAGGTGAGCGAATCACCTGAGATCAGAAGTTCGAGACCAGCCTGACCAACATGGTGAAACCCCATCTCTACTAAAAATACAAAAATTGGCCAGGCGTGGTGGTGCATGCCTGTAACCCCAGCTACTTGGGAGGCTGAGGCAGAAGAACCACTTGAACCTGGGAGGCGGAGGTTGCAGGGAGGCAAGATCACACCACTGCACTCCAGCCTGGGCAACAGGGCAAGACTCTGTCTCACAAAAGAAACCTCCCCAGTAAGTATAAAGAGACCCTAAGAGAGGAAATGGCTGACAGTGTAAATAGAGCAGAGCACCAGAAGGTATCACTTCAAGCATCCGTCTTTAGAGACATTTCACAGAAACAGTATCGAGGCTACAAACCGAATAATCTTTACCTTTTGTGTTCTGGAAAAAATGCTGCCACAGAGGTCTGATTTTGAAGTGGCTGCCAACATCCCAGACAGCGAAGGTGTTATTTTTATATTCTACTGTCTCCACACAGAAACCTAAATGAAACATGGGGAAAACATTTAATTATGATTTGTGCTGGTTGAACAATTCAAAATAATTTCAACATGCGGACAGTACTTTTAATTTACAAAGCAGCCTGCTAGTCAAAGATCTATAGCCTTCAAAGAGAATGTGCTGGCCCCCTCGCCCATTCATCAGGACAGGTGTCTCAAACCTTCTCTACTCTCCAATCTCTAGCCACGCACCTGCCCTTTCTCTCAGCAGGAGACTATCACAGTGTACTTCAGAGCAGAGAAGCCGCCGATGGGAATGACTTCCACTTCCACCATACAGTGTAAAAGCCAGTCTACATCTTTACCCATGCTTTTCTTCCTCCCTCTTGGAACAACAGAAGAAGGTAACTCTCTTCCACCAACTCCCTCCCTCTATGAGCCAGATCCACCCTACCCAGACTGTCTGGAACTTTTTACTATTCCTATTCTCTCCCATATCTGAATATCTCCAATCTGTTCACCTTGGCATGCTTAAGCCTTTTACATCTTTAAAAACAACAAAACAAACCTTTCCTTGATCCCCACATCTTCATCGCACTCTCTTCCTTCACATCTTCACCCTCTATTTGCTTTTTTTTTTTTTAAGAGACAGGGCCTTGCTGTGTTGGCCAGGCTGGAGCACAGAGGTACAATCATAGCTCACTGCAGCCTCAAACTCCTGTGCTCAAGGGATCCTCCTGCTTCAGCCTCCCAAGCAGCTAGAACTATAAGCATGAGCCACCATACCTAGCTAAATTTAAAAAGTTTTTGGTAGACACAGGGTCTCACTATGTTGTTCAGATTGGTCTAAAACTCCTGAGGTCAAGCAACCTGTCCACTAAGCTTTCTTTGGTCCTCTCACGCAACAGCACCTTAGCTCTGCTCCACCATTGGGTAGCTGGTTTTCAGTAAGGTCAGCAGTGATCACCAGGTCAATAAATCTAACACAGGCCTTCTCAGTTCTTCCATAATTTGATCTTCTATCTGACGCTACTGCTCACTCCCTCCTTGACACCCTTCCCCAGCTTCCCTTTTCCTTCTATCTCTATGGCCGTACTGTCTCAGTCTCCTTAGTGAACTCAGCCACGTTTAACTGATCCTGCAATGATGGGAGTCGCCCTGGCTCTCACTGGCCCCATCCACTCTCCTCTTTCTGCACCCCTCCCTAGGCAATCTCACTCACTCCCACGACTTCATTCCTATCTCTGTACTAACTCTGAGATTTATATCCCCCAACCTAGCCCTCTCTCCTGAGCTTCAGGCTCATAATCTAACAGCTTTGGCAAATGTCTTCAAGGCCCCAAAACAAGGTGATCAGTCAAAAAATGGAATTTAAGGTCCCTACCCCCAACCTCCTCCTCTGCTAGTTATCCCATCATTGACTTCGTTCCACAAGCTGATAGCCTGAGAGGTGCCCTGGTAACATCCGATGCTCGCACCCCTAGAACCCTACTACCACACCTTATCAATTCAACCCCTTCAACAACTAATAGTCACCCTAACCCAACAGACCATCATTTCTAGCCTCAATTCCTGAAACCATATAACTAATTTCACCTCAGCCACTCTCCCTCTCTCCATCCGGTCACCATCTTCTAAACAAAGCAATAGCTTAAAAACACATAGTGTGGTCACGTCATTTCTCTACACATTTATGTTTGATTGGAATATTTTCAAACTTAAAAAAGAAAGAATAATCGCCCCAAAAAATAAAATTAAAAATTAAAAAAAAAAGAAAGAATAGGCCGAGCACAGTAGCTCACACCTGTAACCCCAGCACTTTGGGAGGCTGAGGTGGGCAGATTGCTTTGAGCTCAGGAGTTTGAGACCAGCCTGGGCAACATGGTGAAACCCTGTCTCTACAAAAAAACACAAAGATTAGCCAGGCATTGGTGCCGTGTGCCTATAGTCCCAGCTACTTGGGAGGCTGAGACAGGAGAACTGCTTGAAGCAAACATTGCAGTGAGCTGAGATCACACCACCGCACCCCAGCCTGGATGACAGAATAACATCCAAGAAAGAAAAGAGGAAGAGAGAGACAGAGAGAGAGAGACAGAGATGGGAGGGGAGGGGAGGGGAGGAAGGAAAGGACAGAAAAGGGAGGAAGGGAGGGAGGAAGGAAAGGAAAAGAAGGAAAGATGTCCCCTTAGCGGCTTCCCACACCCAAATCCCAAACATGACTGTCAAGACCCAAGCAAGCTGGGTCTGCTCACCTTCCAAACCTCAATTCTAGTCATGCCTTATTTTAGTGAGAGACACTCGTTACATTGCAACAATCTAAATTCTTGCTAAATAAATAAATACAATGCCATTCCAATCCTATAATGATGGTAGGGGCAGGGGCAGGAAACTTAGCAAAATTATCTAAAATTTAACCTGGAGAAATAAACAAGTAAGCATAACCAGGAAATCTCTGAAAATGAGTAATGAATTATTTTTAAGGATATGCCAAGCCCTAGTAACACTTGAATAGAGTTCAAATATAAATGCAACAGGTACTTGCCCAAAAAAAGACACACATACCAGTGAGAATTTAGTATGTAACGAAGGCATTTCAAATCAGCATGGAAAAATTATTCAATAAATGACATTGAACAACTGTCTACCCCAGCACCGTCCAATACATAGTCACTAGCCATTTGTGACTATTTGTTTATGTTTTTGTTTTATTTTGTTTTGTTTTTGAGACAGAGTCTCGCTCTTGTCACCCAGGCTGGAGTGTATGGTGCGATCTCGGCTCACTGAAACCTCCGCCTCCCGGATTCAAGTGATTCTGCTGCCTCAGCCTCCCAAGTAGCTGGGATTACAGGCGCCTGCCACCACGCCCATTTTGCAATTTTAGTAGAGACGGGGTTTCACCATGTTGGCCAGGCTGGTCTCGAACTCCTGACCTCAGGTAACCCGCCTGCCTCAGCCTCCCAAAGTGCTGAGATTACAGGCGTGAGCCACCATGCCCGGCCTATTTATTTATTTTTTGAGACACAGTCTTGCTCTGTAACCTAGGTTGAAGTGCAATGGTGCGATATCAGCTCACTGCAACCTGTGCCTCCCGGGCTGAAGTGATTCTCCTGCCTTAACCTCCCGAGTAGCTGGGATTACAGGTGCATGCCACTACTAATTTTTGTATTTTTAGTAGATATGGGGTTTCACCACGTTGGCCAGGCTGATCTCGAACTCCTGGTCTCAAGTGATCTTCCCACCTCAACCTCCCAAAGTGCTGGGATTATAGGCATAAGCCACTGCGCCTGGCAACGTGGCTATTTAAACTTAAAGTTAAAATCAAAAATCAATCAATAAATAAAAATAAATAAAAAATAAACTTAAAGTTAAATACAATTAAAAGTTCAGTTCCCGGCTGGACACAGTGGCTCATGCCTGTAATCCCAACACTCTGGGGGGCCAAGGTGGACGGATCACCCGAGGTCAGGAGTTCGAGACCAGCCTGGCCAACAGGGTAAAACTCCGTCTCCACTAATAATACAAAAATTAGCCGGGTGTGGTGGCGTGCACCTGTAATCCCAGCTTCTCAGGATGCTGAGGCAGAAGAATGACTTGAACCCAGGGGGCGGATGTTGCAGTGATCTGAGATCGCGCCACTGCACTCCAGCCTGGGTGACAGAGCAAGATTCCATCTCAAAAAACAAAAAAGTTCAGTTCCTCAGTTGCATTAGCCACATTTCAAGCACATGAACAGTCACATGGCTATTGGCTACGACACTAAACAGCACAGACACAGAACATTTTAATCACTGCAGAAAGTGCCTCCTGGGCAGCACTGGCTTATCCATTTGAAAAATTTAACCAAATTACTACCTTACACACAACCATCTCATAACTCGAACATTCTCCTCGGTTTCCCACTCCTCAATCGATGCAATCTCTGCAGCTACTGCCCAAGTTGAAAGTTGATCATTTGGAGACCAGGTGCGGTGGCTCACGCCTGTAATCCCAGCACTTAGCTGGGCAGATCATTTGAGGTCAGGAGTTCCAGACCAGCCTGCCCAACATGGTGAAACCCTGTCTCTACCACAAATACAAAAATTAGCCTTGCATGGTGGTGAACGTCTGTAATTCCAGCTACTCAGGAGGCTGAGGCATGAGAATCGCCTGAACCCAGGAGGCGGAGGTTGTAGTGAGCCGAGATCGCGCCACTGTACTTCAGCCTGGGGTGACAGAGCGAGACTCTATCTCAAAAAAAAAAAAAAAAGAAAGTTGATCATTTGAGTCCTGTGCCTAATTCAATATTCAGAACAGAACAGTAGTAATGTTCACATGCCACCTGTGGGGTGTGTCCTCAGTCAGAAGTTTGGATCTAGAGGCAGTTCACAAGGCAAAGATTCAGTTCTGTCAAAACTCGCTTTGTAAATCTCTTAACAAGCCCGTAAAACACAGTGCTGGTTCACAGTAAGAGCAGTGCAGCCAGCTTGTCTATTTCTCTAGTTGGACATCATCTCAAGCAGTTGGTTTGAGCCAGAGTGAAGAAAAGAAATCACACTCCATCTCTAAGCACTGGGAGCGTACTTGGTGTAGAGATGAGATGCTGCCACTAAGGAAGGCCAGCTGGAACAGAGGCTGACTGAGGAGGCACCAGCAGATTCCCAGCTCCCACCTCAGCCTTCTGCTGGGACACTAGCTGCGAGGAATGAGGGGCAGAACTACCCTCCCTGTTTTGCCCATTATCTTTTTCTTTTTTGCCAAGCAAATGGGGTTAAATTTGCTTAGCCTCCATGTGTTCACATGTCTCCCTTGTGAACCTAAGAATGTGCAAGCCACTAGAAAAGGATACATAACCTGGCCAGGCGCGGAGGCTCATGCCTGTAATCCCAGCACTTTGGGAAACCATGGCGGGAGGATCGCTTGAGCCCAGGAGTTCAAGACCAGCCTAGGCAACATGGCAAAACCCCGTCTCTACTAAAAATACAAAAATTAGCTGGGCATGCTGGTGCACGCCTGTAGTTCCAGCTACTCAGGAGGGAGATGGAAGGATCACTTGAGCCCAGGAAGTTGAGACTGCAGTGAGCAGAGATGTACCACTGCACTCCAGCCTGGGTGACAGAGTCAAAAAAAAAGAAAAGGATATATAATATAACCTGGTTTTTGGCCTCTAAAAATGTATGCTCATGGAGTAGACAAGATTTTTAAAAAGAATTATTCAATAACATAAGAAGCATGTAAAAATAAAACATATTTCTCTGGTGAAACAGAACCTAAAAAATATATATAACATACTAAATTGTAAACTGGAATTGCCACAGGTCTTTCATTAACTTACCTACTGTAGGGACGGCAGGCACAGTCTCCCCCAGCTTCAATTTATACAAGATGGTGGTTTTTCCAGCTGTATCCAAACTCAATATAAGAATCCGCATCTTTTTTTTCCCAAGTAGACTTTTAAAGAGCTTTTCAAAAATGTTTCCCATTGTAATTTAATCGAATTCTGTAACATGACAAGAAAAGCAAGCCAAATAATTGTTCTCTGCAGAGATATAGAAGCAACACGCAGAAAATACAAGTGTCAATTAGAAATGGCTCCCAGGAAAAATTCAACAATTTTAGGTACACTTTGGCCAATGAGTAGTGAGTCTTGTCTTCAAAGGGAAACTCAACTAAACCTTTCCATGCCTTACCAGAAAATTCTATTTTCCACTGCAGCATCCAAGTGGGATATGCAACATAGCCTCAGCACTGCTATGACAGTGGCAGCCTTTAGTCATTTAGTACAGAAGTACAAGGCCAGGCGCGGTAGCTCACGCCTGTAATCCCAGCACTTTGGGAGGCCAAGGTGGGTGGATCACCTGAGGTCATGGGTTCAAGACCAGCCTGGCCAACATGGTGAAACCCCGTCTCTACTAAAAACACAAAAATTAGCTGGGCACGGTGGTGCACGCCTGTAGTACCAGCTACTCAGGATGCTAAGGCATAGGAATCACTTGAACCTGGGGAGGCAGAGGTTGCAGTAAGCCAGGACCACGCCACTGCACTCTAGTCTGGGCAACAGAGCAAGACTGTCTCAAAAAATTAATTAATTAATTAATTTTTTTTAAAAAACAAGTACAGAAGCAATGATACAACAAATACAACTATACCTCATTCTAAACTCTACTGAAATGAGAATTTATGAAACAGAGAAGCTTTTTATTTTATGCACTATAAAACAAAGTCTTTAAGACAGGTTAAACAACAATATCCCTTGGAAACGTAGTAGTTCCTTATGGCTAGCAGACACCTTGGAAATAACCTAAGAAATTTCAGAGGCAAAGAAATTCAGCGTTGGGAAGCTTCACTGCCAAGAGAGATAACTTGGCAGAGTTGAGGAGGCACCACAGCATCCAGTTTTCGTTTGAGTTTTTTGTTTTGTTTTGAGACAGGGTCTCGCTCTGTCACCCAGGCTGGAGTGCAGTGGCACAATCACGGCTCACTGCAACCTCAACCTCCCCATCTCAAACAATCCTCCCACCTCAGCCTCTGGAGCAGCTGCGACCACAGGCATACGCCACCTCGCTCAGCTAATTTTTGTATTTTTTGTGGAAATGAGGTCTCACTATATTTCCCAGGCTAATCTCGAACCCCTGGGCTCAAGTGATCTTCCCACCTCAGCCTCCCAAAGTGCTGGGATTACAGGCGTGAGCTACCAGGCCCAGCCAGTATCCAGTGTTCTATTGCTGTAACTATCACCTTACTCTCAACCAGTTCTTAGAACTTTTTATTTAAGTATAATTTACATACAGATATAAACATACATGATAACTGTAAAGTTCAATACATTTTCATGAACCAAACACACCTATGTAACCAAATCAAGAAAAGATGATTTATCGGGCTGGGCACAGTGGCTCATGCCTGTAATCCCAACACTTTGGGAGACCAAGGTGGGTGGATCACCTGAGGTCAAGAGTTCGAGACCAGCCTGGCCAAAATGGTGAAACCCCGTCTCTACTAAAAATACAAAAATTAGCTAGGTGTAGTGGCACACACATGCAGTCCCAGCTACTCAGAAGGCTAAGGCACAAGAATCACTTGAACCTGGGAGGTGGAGGTTGAAGTGAGCCAAGATTGGGCCACTGAACTCCAGCCCAGGGCAACAGAGTGAGACTCCATCTCAAAAAAAAAAAAAAAAAAAAATGATTATCAGACCAATTCTCCTTGTGCCTCCTCCCAGTCATTACTCCATAAAAGGTAATCACTATATTGACTTCTAACAGCATAAATGTTCAATATTTTATTTTTCAGTAGAAATCATGGTAGGTTATATAAAGTAAGTCAATAGTAAAGTCAGACTAACTTACAGAAATTTACAGTCTCTTTGAGATCAGCCTACTTGAAATGTGAGCTTGACATTCTAAGTAAAGACTTACAAGCAGTGCTGGGTCTACACCTCTAACTAAGCTCTTGGAAGTCTGTAAAGATCTTCAGACCAGGCAGGGTGGCTTACCCCTGTAATTCCAGCACTTTGGGAGCCTGAGGCAAGAGGGTCACTTTAGTTTTTGCTTACTGAGATAACAGAAGACAAGGGAGGATTGCTTTAGGCCAGGAGTACAAGACCAGCCTGGGCAACATAGCGAGACCCTGCCTCTATTTTTAAAAATAATAAAACAAAAAAAAATTCAAAAAGAAAAAGACATACATCCTTGTTCCAGAGACTGTGATTTATTTTCTTTTTAAATTGCTAACCAAAGAAAGCTTTACTCCTGGGCAGGGGAGGAGGAAGACACAAGGAGGATAGCCAATCTCCCATTCATTCGGACTCTGGTAACCACAGAGCGGAGGTAACCAAATTCCACAGGCCTCACCGCTGAAATTCAACAGTGGCCAGCAGTAGCTTAATATCATGGATTACGCCCAAGTACACAACATTCCTTTCTAGGATGAGAGAAAGCGAGCACAGAATTTATCCTGTTCACAAATGTGGCGTAAGTGACCAAAGAATGATAAATGTTTTAATCATTCAAAGAAAGTCCATTATAGGTCTATAAAAGTCCAGTGCATTGCAGCACTCAAAATCTTGCCGGGCGACAAAACTAGAGATTCCTTTTCTTTGTTTCGAAAAACAAATCTCACAGATGAGGAGACTTTTCAGGAACATGCTGGGGGAGGGAAGGTACTTCCCGCTCAGATGCCCCTTGAGGCAGCTAGTCCCAATTCCCCCTGCCAACCGCACAGACACACCACCTTGACCTCCCTCTCCCTTCTCTTTCCTCTTATTGCTACTCATGTGCCCCAGGCGCCCGTGGTCCTGACACCCCTGCGCCGCTGGAGACCCCTCTAAGGTAAGATGGCTCCGACTACAGGGCCTTTTTGGCACGCTCAGTCTCCCAGCCCCAAGCGCCAAAAGTGCATTAGGGAGAAACGTCGGCACGACGTCAAGGGCGCGAACAAGCGTGGTGGCCCAGGTGAGCGTGCGCGGCAGCCAGGCACGCCCGGCTCCCGGGGAAGGACGCCCCTTTTTTGCCCCGGCTGCCAGGCCGCTCCTTCTCAACTTGTGCGCCCCTGGAAGAGCAAAGAGAGGGCCCTGCGTGGAACCTATGAAGCCTCCTTCGGTTCCTCGCTGCTCCGGCCCTACAGAGGGCGAAGAAGGAACAGCGGAGCCCAATCCCTTTCCGAAAGCCACCGCCGCCCTCCAGTTTCTGGCCCGCAGACGAAGTGGAGATCCAGCCAGGTCTTGAGTGCTGCCGCCCCATCCCTGCAGCCGGAGACTCACCTGTTGCCACTCAAGGTACCGCTACCTACAACACCGCCGACTCCGCGGCCTTTAGGATTTCAGCTCAGTTCAGCTAAACCACGACAGGCGTGGGGGCAGGAACAGCAACCAACCAATCACCCACCGCCTCCTGGAGCTTTTGCACCAATGAGCTCGAAGTTTTGTGAGTGACGACATATCTGGCCAATGCAAAGAAGAGTAAGGGCCTGGGAGGGAGGGAGCGCCGTAGGCGACGCCATGAAGCTCTGGCAATACCATGTTCATCTTCAAATCACAGTTAAACGAATTCTGGCGAGACACGCCCACGTCCCCCACCCCCGATGCCATGTGCGACCAATCAGAAAAGCAAAAGGATTGTCTATTTGCACGGCCAATCAGCTGGGAAAATCGCCGAGGTTTGAGCTAACCTCGGAGCGTTCACACCAACCGGGAGGGGACATGTGGGCCGGGCCAAGTTAATAGTGCCATGGAAGGAAATTTACCGCGGTTGAGTTAAACGTAGACATTAGTTTGGGCCGGTGTTCCGCGTAGGAAATACCACACACTGACACTGAAATTAGGCATAAGGAAGTTTTCCTATTCCGCCTGAGGCTAGACTGCCCTCCCACCTCTACACAGATTTTCAAGTTGGGGAAAATACTGGCCACCCGCACCTCGTTAAGACGTCGCAGAACCAGTCCTCGTTTCCGAGAAATGCTTTCTATAGTCAGTTCCCTAAATGCCCAACTTGTTAGCTAAAAAGGTTACAAACGCCTGTAAATGGTACATAACTGAAATCATCAGAACAACAAACATCTATTAAACATATACTATGTGCCAGAAACTATATCAAGAACTTCAGCAGGCCCGGCGCGGTAGCTCACGCCTGGAAGGCCAAGGCTTTGAGCTAGGAGTTCGAGACCAGCCTGAGCAACATGGCAAAACCCCATCTCTGCAAAAAAAAAAACAAATTTAAAATTAGCCGGGCATGGTAGCGGCTGTAGTCCCAGCTACTCGGGAGGCTGAGGCAGGAGGATCACTTGAGCCCAGGAGGTAGAGGCTGCAGAGAGCCGTGATCACGCCACTGCACTCCAGCCTGGGTGACAAAGCGAGACCCTGTCTCAAAAAACACGAACAAAAAAAGTTAGAAGATACTGCTAGAATTGACTAAATAAATAAATAAATAAATAAGAAAAACAATGTTACCTGCAGGACCGTAACGCCCAGTGAATTACAAACTATTATCCCTGGCCAGACGTGGTGGCTCACACCTGTAATTCCAGCACACTGGGAGGCCGAGGCGAGCAGATCACCTGAGGTTGGGAGTTCGAGACCAGCCTGACCAACATGGAGAAACCCCATCTCTACTAAAAATATAAAATTAGCCGGGCGTGGTGGCACACGCCTGTAATCCCAGCTACTTGGGAGGCTGAGACAGGAGAATTGCCTGAACCTGAGAGGCAGAGGTTGCAGTGAGCCAACATCGTGCCACTGCACTCCAGCCTAGACGATAAAGCAAGACCCTGTCTCAAAAAAAAAGAAAGAAAAGAAACTATTATCCCTGCTGTTTTACAGAAAAATATTAAGTAGCCTGGGTCTGTCCCACTCCCACACCTTAATCTTTTTCTTTCTTTTTCCTTTTTTTTTTTTTTTTGAGACAGGGTCTCACTGTCGCCCAGGCTGGAGTGCAGTGGTGCGATCTCGGCTCGCTGCAACCTCTGCTTCCCAGGTTCAAGTGATCCTCCTGCCTCAGCCTCACAAGTAGCTGGCATTACAGGCATGTGCCACTGCGCCTGCCTAATTTTTGTATTTTTAGTAGAGACAGGGTTTCACCATGTTGGCCAGGCTGGTCTTGAACTCCTGGCTTCAAGTGATCCACCCACCTCAGCCTCGCAAAGTGCTGGGATTACAGGCATGAGCCACCGCGCCTGGCCACCTTAATCTTTTTAAGCAAATACAGAATGGAAACTGCCCTCACAGGATTAAGGAGAGTTACAAGCCAGGCTTTAGGCAGCATTATATATAGTTAGCTGTTATCCAGGGTGCACAAGTGTACTTTGACCCACTTCCCTGCAGCTGCTAACTCACTGAACATCACTCCACGTGCTAGACCACCTCCTACCTGTTTCTCCATGGTTCTTACCATGAGTAAGAATTTCTGACGCTAGACTCATAAGATCGTTTTGCCCAAGAACGGGTTGTTTTTCAGATCCTGAATTCTGACGTCCCCAACCAAGGAACCCACTCAGCACAAGAATGAGGTTTCTTGGTCTCCCTGTCTCATGACTTCGCCCTTCACTTCTTGACCAATCATCGATCCCCACACTGCAGCCCCTGTCCAGAGGACTTAAAAACCCTGCCCCCCAAACCTCTCAGGGAGGTGGATTTGAGGCTTCTTCCCATCTCCTCATTCAGATGCCCTGTGATTATTAAACTCTTTCTTTGCTGCAGCCAGGTGTCTCTGTATGCTGACTCACTGTGCATTGAGCAAACAAAACTATTAAATTACAGTACTACTTACTCTTCTAATTACAGTGCTTATATGTATGAGGGTTAATATAAATACATATGACTCCTTAAAAATTAAAGTATGTTTTTTCTGACTATAAAAATTATACATAACCGGGTGCAGTGGCTCACACCTGTAATCCCAGCACTTTGGGAGGCCGAGGCGGGCAGATCATGAGGTTAGATCAAGACCATCATGGCCAACATGCTGAAACCCCGTCTCTACTAAAAATACAAAAATTAGCTGGGCGTGGTGGTGCATTCCTGTAATCCCAGCTACTTGGGAGGCTGAGGCAGGAGAATTGCTTGAACCCGGGAGGCGGAGGTTGCAGTGAGCCGAGATAGAGCCACTGCACTGGGTGCAGAGCCTGGGTGACAGAGTGAGACTCTGTCTCAAACAACAACAACAACAACAAAAAACTCATGCTAGTTTAATTTTCATTTATTTGATGACTTGCTATTTTTCCAAATGTTTACTAGTATTTTTATTTCATCTATTAGAAATGATATATTCATGTCCTACTGACTTCCAAGGGAAAGATAGAAAGTTGTTTTGCCAGGAACTATGAAGGTTGTTTGAATGGAGTCATCATAACCTAAAAAAAAGGTGAAATAACGAAGGTGAGATTTTTACTTACCATTGTTTGTTCCTACAGAAGGAATGCTGGAGCTGATAATTATGAGAATTTATCCTTCCATCCCTCATAGCCTAAGAATATTCATTATTTTCCCAATATCTGCACTGAGCCTGTAAACCAAAATGTATCTGAGACATGTCTCAATCAATTTACAAGTTTATTTTGCCAAAATTAAGGATGCTTACCTGGGAGACAGGCCTGTGCCTTTTTCCAAAGGTGATTTTGAGGGATTTAGTTTTGTTTGTTTGTTTGTTTTTGAGCCAGAGTCTCACTCTGTTGCCCAGGGTGGAGTGCAGTGGTACAATCTTGGCTCGCTGCAACCTCCACCTCCCAGGTTCAAATGATTCTCATGCCTCAGCCTCCCAAGTAGCTGGGATTAACAGGCGCGTGCCACCACTTCTGGCTAATTTTTGTGTTTTTAGTAGAGACGGGGTTTCACCATGTTAGCTAGGTTGGTCTCCAACTCCTGACCTCAGGCGATCCGCCCACCTCAGCCTCCCAAAGTGCTGAGATTACAGGTGTGAGTCACCGCGCCCGGCCAGAAGGATTTAATATTTTATTTATTTATTTATTTATTTATATTTTTTTATTTTTGAGACAGAGTCTTGCTCTGTCACCCAGGCTGGAGTGCGGTGGCACAATCTCGGCTCACTGCAACCTCCGCCTCCTGGGTTCAAGCCATTCTCCTGGCTCAGCCGCCCCAGTAGCTGGGATTACAGGCGCACACCACCATGCCCAGCTAATTTTTGTTGTTTTTAGTAGAGACGGGGTTTCACCATGTTGGCCAGGCTCGTCTCGAACTCCTGACCTTATGATCCACCTGCCTCGGCCTCCCAAAGTGCTGGGATTACAGGCGTGAGCCACGGTGCCCGGCAAGGATTTAATATTTAAAATGGAAAAGCAGGCTGGAAGGGAAAGAAGGAGAGTATGGTCACATTACTGAATTCACATGTTGCAAGAGACAAGGAGCAAGTAGGGGAATAGTCAATTATGTATTACTCTCGTGCTTACCATAAGATAAGGTGGACATAGAGTAGTTAGCTGCAGTCAGTCCTGCTTAGGAATGAAAGGAAAGGCAACTTCTTGCATGACTCAGCTTTCAGCTTAATTTTTTTTCTTTTGGCAGAATGAATTGGGTTCCCAAGTTTTTATTTTCCTTTCACAAGCCTCTGAATAAACAAAGTTCCTGCCCACATGGCATTCAATTGCTAAACAATTATAATCACATAAATACATACACATATACGTATATGTTTTTTATATATATATATATATATAATATATATTTAATACATACGTCCGGGTGCAGTGGCTCACACCTGTAATCCTAGCACTTTGGGAGGCTGAGTTGGGTAGACTGCTTGAGCCAAGGAGTTCAAGCCCAGCCTGGTCAACATGGTGAGACCCCATCTCTACAAAAAATACAAAATACAAAAATTAGCTGGTCATGGTGGTGTGCACCTGTAGCCCCAGCTACTCAGAAGACTGAGATGAGAGGACTGCTTGAGCCTGGAAGGCAGAGGTTGCAGTGAGCCAAGATAGTGCCACTGCACTCCAGCCTAGGAGACAAAGTGAGACTCTGTCTCAAAAAACAAACAAACAAAATACATTCATATAGAGAGAGAAAAAGAGGGAGAATTTTATAATGATATGCATGAGGAATGTATAGGGGAAGAGGCTAAAAATAGGCCGAACTTACTAGTGAATATATTCAGGAGGTAGGACTGTGATTGTTTTTAAGTGATCGAGGGAAAATAGTGTACTGATTTTAAAATGGAAAACTCAACTTATTTTTTAAAAATTAAAACTCTGACAAGAGGGAGGTTTAATTGAAATCACAGTGGCTGCTCAGGGAAGTTTATAAATCTCGAACTGCAACGACTCAATAAGCATGAATTGCTTGTGATGATATTGACTTAATAGAGTTATTTTTTCCTTAATAGAAAACACATCTTATCAATATAATGTTATTTGTAAAGCATGGAAAGGACAAAGTGCTCTTGGGAGAAGTAGAAAGAGAATTTCACTCTGAGAAACCTATTTGGAGAAAGCTCCTCATCTCTGGCTTAGACTTTAAAATTAGTTAATAGTGTAATTAGGGATAGTTGTAGTAATAGTGGTATTGGTATGGTAGTTACAGTTTAAATGTCACACAGAATACCCAGACCACCTTCCCCCAAGTGCCACTAAACTTATTCTTCTAATCAAACCTCTGCTCAAGGGATGTCTTCTTCCTCTCTTGGAAAGCTGTGTTCCTTACCTCAGAAACAGCCCTCCATAAACCTGCCCTTAAGAGAATCCTTGGCCAGGCACAGTGATTCACGCTTGTAATCCCAGCACTTTGGGAGGCCAAGGCGGGTGGATCTCTTGAGGTCAGGAGTTCGAGAGCTGTCTGGCCATCATGGTGAAACCCTGTCTCTACCAAAAAATAAACATTAAAAATAAAAAAATTAGCCAGGTATGGTGGTGCGTGCCTGTAAATCTCAACTACTTGAGAGGCTGAAGCAGGAGAATTGCTTGAACCTGGGAGGCAGAGGTTGCAGTGAGCTGAGATCGTTCCACTGCACTCCAGCCTGGGCAACAGAGCAAGACTCCATCTCGAAAAAAAAAAAAGAGAGAGAGAGAGAGAATCCTTAAGACACACCTTCTTGGATGCCCTCTGGAGAAATGTCAAGAGTAGCCAATATAGTCACCCCAGTCGGCTGTGGTGTGTGGGCCTCTAGTGTTTTAAGGTTCTAGGCAACTTAGCCCCTCCCAGGAGATGCTGATTTACTTTTCTCAAGGTGCATAAAGTCTCATCACACCAATATCTGAAAAATCTCTTTTCAAAGAGATGCAGGCAGCCTTCCAGCCCCATGATGTTAATACACAGGGTTAGGCAGCCTGGCAAGTGCACTGGGGCCCCCACTGAAGGATCATCTGGTTTCCATAGCAACAGTCCTTCCTTTCCACGGAGGATTCTATCATCTCTCCTGCTCACTCAGGCTTTCCAGAATGAATTGTTTTTTGTGACTATAGGTGTTTGTCCTTGATCCTGCAAAGAGAAAAGACATATTCATTTAAAACAAACACCCCCCGCCCCGCCCCGCAACTGACTGCAGCTAGAATACTGCATTGCATCAGCTGGTCTTCCTTTCATTTAAAAATTCCATGTCCTTTCTCCATTTTGCTCCGTTCTCTAGCTTTATCCATCATTTTGGAAAACAGGTTTCTCTGACAGAAAACAAACAGATGGCAACTCCATCATCCTAAAACTGGCTGTGACGGGGCTCTAAAATTAAGTGTTCATGGGGCTCCCAGAAAGCCTAGGCTTGCATGGTATGTGTGGCTGACCTGTGAGTTACGATTGGAGGGGCAAGAGAAGGCTTTCTATACACAGATGGCTCCCCATACAGTGTCACAGTCTCTGAAGTGTTGCCTTTTGAGGTTTGTTTTCTTAGGTCAGGCACTGCTGTCCTGTCAGTATTTTCCTAAATTGCCAATACTCCTGGGAAGAGTAATACGTTAGGTTACTAATACTGAAAGAACTTGGGAAAGAGAGGAGGGGGTGCAGCGGGAAGGGAATAAAAGGGGCTCTGAAGACCACCTTTGTGTGCTTCACAGTGACATCTTCTGCAAGAGGGGAAGTGCAGGTCTTCATCTCTCTGTCTCTCTCTGTCACACACACACACACACACACACACACACACACACACACACACACTGCAGGACGCCTTCTGACAATTACAATACAGTAGTGAATTCACCGAACAGGACTGTTCCCTGAAACACCTACATACAATCCCGCTGGAAGACCTTTGAAACAGCCCTGCAGTGACTAAAAACTCTGTCCCCAGTGCCACTTGTTTAACCCTACAGTTTCCACAGACTAAAGGTAGTTTTCCTTTGGTTAATATGAAAACACCAAATAGTCAGATTGCTTTGTTAAATAAAGTGGATTACGGTGAATCTGTTCACTTCTATGTTTTATATTGCCCTCACTCCACAAATCACAGAAGATATTTATTTTTCCCCCAGTTAAATTCTGTTACCACAACCATTACAAACAAATGTCTATATAACCAAAATGTTAGTCAGCCCCATTCCAATAGAGCACATTTTAAGTGATGTTTAATGGGACATAATTTGAACATAAAATTCTATCTGTGCACTGTTTTCAAGTCTTTGAATCAGGCCTCCACCTATAGATGTTGGTTACCTATCAGGGAGCAACAGGTGATGCTAAGGATCACTTTGTAAAAACCAGGAATCACATCCCTGTAACTGACAGGAAACTGACTATATTCATCAGGGTTCTCCAGAAAAATAGAACTAACAGAATGTGTATATACATAGGAGGAAATTTTGTTTAAGGAATTGACTCGTGTGATCGTGGAGGCTTTGGGAGCCCAAAATCTGATGGGAGAAGCTGGCATGCAGGAGGCCCAGGGAAGAGTTACAGTTCTAGTCCACAGGTAACCTGCTAGAGAATTCCTTCTTGTTCTGGATGAGTTTGGCCTTTTGTCTATTCAGGCTTTCAAGTGATTGGATGAGGCCCACCTACATTATGGAGGGCAACCTTCTTTACTCAAAGTCTACAGATTTAAATGTAAATCTCATCCAAAAACACCCTCACAGAAACATCCAGAATAATATTTGATCAAGTATCTGGGCAACATGGCCAAGCCAAGTTGACACAGAATTAACCGTCACACTGGATCACAAGGGCTGTGTTCAGCAAGAACTGACCTTGGTCAAACCCTGCCCCTGCCCTTATGCCCCACTCTTCTTCATTCTGGGTCCTGCTATTTCCATTTTATCATGTCTTCATCTTCTTTCCCCACCTTTCAGGTACCTTTCCTCTCTGACCCTATCCCTAGACTCACCTCCTACCCCCCACTCAAAGCCCTTCCTTCCTTAAAAAATGATGTTAGTCATTACACTTTAGGATTTAAATTAATCATTCTGTTAGCCGTCTTACTAACTTTCTCACTGTGAAAGGAAAGCATATTAAAAGAATTTCAGGGATCGACGAAGAGCTGAGGGAGGTATTTTTCTAGGAAGAGAAAGTGACTAACAGAAATCAAGACAAAGGGGGACAATCAGATTTTTCAGATGACAGAAAGCAGGTAAACTCTAGAGATCTAGAGAACTAGCAAATGGTCTCTTCAGGGTGTCATCATTGCAGTAAATGAGCTCTAGCTATTTCTGTCTTTATTCTTCAGGGTATTCAAGATTGCAGTTACTTAGGAGAGACAGAGCATCTGACTGATTGAACTTGGGTTCTGTATTCACTCCTGGGCCAGGGGGAGGCAGGGTACCTGGTCTGACAGTCCTTCCAAGGCTGCATGAACCAGAGGAGCTGTTACCAGAAAAGGGCAGAGTGAATTTGGGGCAGCAAAAACATTTATTGCTTATCGACTATCACTGCAAGGATTACTCAGAGGGTGATGCAGAATCAGCACCCCTCTATTTCTAAGATGACCTTGAATGTCAGAGCAAGGCACAAACAGGTTGCAGAGACATGTGGAGTATCTGGAGCACTGTCTCAGGATCCTTCCTCTCCTGCTGGATGCTAAGGACCTTAAGGACAAGAGCTATCTTTGCTTGCAATTTATTTGGCAGGCCCTGCAGGGCTGTGCAAATGATTCTATTTAATTTTTACTACTTGTGAGAAGGCACAGAGGGCTTTGAGAGGGCACAGAGGGCCTCTTATAATGGGTAGATATGCACATTAGCTGATACACTGGAAACTTTCCAGCAGGCATATCCTTCCAAGATGATAAATATTCCTCCTTGTTGGAGAAATTGAAGACATTTGTACTTGCAATCTAGCTTATCTAGTAAAACAAGACAAACTAACCAGTGATAGGGAGAAACATGTTTGCATTATTTTCCAACCTTGAAAATAATGTCAGATTATTGGACTGAGAACCAATGTCATCTTCTGGATCTGGTAATTATTTGGACAAAATCTCTTTGATTCTAGGTTCAAAGTCAAGGTGTCAAAAAAAAAAAAAGGATACAACTGTTAAGCTTATTTAATTATACCTCTCACTGTACAAATAAGGAAACTAGGCCAGGCGTGGTGGCTCACTTCTGTAATCCCAGCACTTTGGGAGGACAAGGCCAGTGGATCACCTGAGGTCAAGAGTTCGAGACCAGCCTGGACAACATGGCAAAACCCTGTCTCTACTAAAAATACAAAAATTAGCTGGGTGTGGTGGCAGGCGCCTGTAATACCAGCGACTTGGGAGGCTGAGACAGGAGAATAGCTAGAACCCGGGAGGCGGAGGTTGCAGTGAGCCGAGATCATGCCACTGTGCTCCAGCCTGGGTGACAGAGTAAGACTGCGTCTCAAAAACAAACAAACAAAAACAAATAAGGAAACTGGGCTCAGAGAGATGAAGGTACACAGGTGATGGGTAGATAGGGACAAAGAAAAGAACCTAACCCTTTGGACTCCCCAAGCCATTCTAATATTTGTTTTTGTAAGTTAGTAGCTTCTGCACGTTAGTATGTCAGAACTCAACTAGTTTCCTATCTTTCCTGATAACCTCTCCGACCCACCCATGATTTAGCTAACATCTGATTTGGTCAACCAAGCACCCTGGTCCTCAGGTTCAATGTGAGACTTAATGAAATAGGCGTGAATTTTTTTTTTTTTTTTTTTTTTTTTAGACGGAGTCTCGCTCTGTTGCCCAGCCTCGCAATCTCAACTCACTTCAACCTCTGCCTCCGGGGTTCAAGCGATTCTCCCACCTCAGCCTCCTGAGTAGCTGAGATCACAGGCGCCCGCCACCACGCCCGGCTAATTTTTGTATTTTTAGTAGAGACGGGGTTTCACTATATTGGCCAGGCCGGTCTGGAACTCCTGACCTTAGGTGATCCACCCAAAGTGCTTGGATTACAGGCATGAGCCACCGCGCCTGGCTGGCATGAATTTTTTCTTCTGTCCCTAGTTCATCTTCAGGTCACTGTCTGATTTTATTAGTTCTCAAATTTAAATCACTATGCATGCTCAGCTCTTCTAGTTATTTCCCTTCTTTCCTCATGTTGGGAAAAAAACCCCGATTTATTCTAATTGTGAGAAATGAAAGCGAACAAATCCTATCATTCCCTATTGTCTTGTGCAAATATGAAGAGAGATATGATAGTGGGGTAAATAAAAGCATCAGGGAATCCATTCGGCAGAATCTTTCTCCTCTCAGCGTGCTTGCAGTTAGATATTCTGAGATTCCAGTGGAGAAATGGTATGGTGGAAACATTGAGGTTCAACAAGGCTCAATTTAGGGCATATTTTATTCAGATTCTACCATATATATTGTCTAAAATGAAACAACACTGGGGAATGAAAAGGTTGGTCGAAGATGCAAGTTGCCTTTATTAAATAAAGACAAATATTTAATAAAAATAATGTATAAAAATAATCACAATTCACTTTCAAATCTGAAAATACTGAGTTTTCCAGGCTACACATAAATAAAACTGCCAACGATGACAATTCCAGCAACTAGGAAAACAAGTACGCCTACAAAGAAAAGTGAGAAAATTCATGGAGAATTTGAACTCAGAACCAACTCCTCGGAGCTGATCTTTTTTGGGGGAAGCCAGGGAACGCGCCGGGCGCTCTCATCAGCAAGACCATGTTTAAAGAGAGTGTGGAAGCACAGACCAAAATGGACATTCGAGGGCGAACAGCAGCTGGCAAAGGGATAAGTGATCCGAAGCATTAAAGCCCTTGAGACAAATTCCGGCGCGAACCGCCAGTGGGGGATGAGACTCGCAGGCGCAGCCCTCCAGGCCCCGGCGGACTGACACGCACGTTGGAAACGGAGTCACCCACCACAGCCCCGCAGCTCCAGCCAAAATGGCGCCGCCGCTCTGCCCACCCCGCGCACCCCAGGCGGCCGCCGAGCCCGCGCGCGCGCCCTGTGGAGCGAGGACGCCGGGGACGCGGCCAGGGACGCGCGCGTCCTCACGGCGGTTGCACGCCTGCGCGAGGGCGGGCGGCGGGGGCGCGCGCGCGGCGGGGGCGGGCTTTGCCGAGCGCAGAGCTGCAGCCGCCGAGCCGGACGTGTCCGCGAAGATGGCGGGCCGGGTGAGTGCCGGTCTGGGAGCCCAGGCTTGAGGCAGGGGCGCCGGGCTCGCGGGCACTCTGGGGTCCAGGCGGCCCCAGAGGAGTGGGAGTGAATCCGAGCAATGGGGCGCGAGGCCAGAGCGGGACTTGAGGGTAGCAGGGGAGCGGTGGCAGGGGATTAGCCCTCCTCAACAACTCCACCCCCCTCGAGGGGAGATGACCCCTCGTTACACGCGTCTGCTGCGCCTCCCGTCATCCTCCCTTCCCATCCCTTGGGGCTTGTTCCCTCGTCCTCCACACAGCCGCAGGGTCGCGGTCGCCGAAGCCCCCTCTGACGGGCTCTGGGGGTCTTTCCGCACCCCCTTGCGAGGGCTTATTAGGGGGCGCCGGAGTAACTGCCGGGAGCACCTCTGCTGCATTCGGGGCAAGGGGTGTAGGAAGGATCTTCAGGAACCCATGTCTGGCTCTTCACAAATTAAAGGTCGTTGGGAAAGAGGAGGGGGTGCCAATGACTTTTAGTGTTAAAGCCCGGCCATCTGGGGGACCTGTCAACTGTCGGGTCAGGCAGGAATTGGCTTTAGCTTGGAGTGAGGATGGATTTGGGGTGTCACGTTTTGTTTTTATGGATGACACTCGCTTCGAATGCAGCAGGATATGCTGTAGTTTCAGGGTTTTAAATTTACTTCCTCCTTTAGCCTTTAGGATCGTTGGGTAGGATGGGTTTGGCGAGGAGAGAGAGCTGGTTGAGTGCTGTATTGCAGTCTGCCTTGAGCTAAAAGCTCTCAAGGGATGAGTCCTGCCCGGAGATTACACTGGTCATAAACCTGAGGACATTAACTGCGTCATTGGGGGTGAAAGATGTGATTGACTGATCTATTTATAACAGAATTTTTGAATAAGTTTGCATAGATTTATGCATATATGCAAATGCCCTATCTGAAGGGACTTGTAGGTCATGAGATTCTAGAGTAAGAAGGGATCTTAAAGGTCATTTAGTTTGGCTTCTTTCTCTTCCTTTTCCCCATGGCCTCTCCTTTTAAGGCTAGTCCTTCTGCCAGTACTTCAGACCCTATCTGTATATTCACCTGCTCCTTCTTAACATAATCAAGCTTCTCTATCTTAAACCCTTCCCCCACCCCCACAGCTGTCACCTTTTCCCGTCCCAGTTTACAGCAGGAAATTTGATAGAGTTGTCTATATTTATTGTCTTCCATTTGCTTACCACCTACTCACCCTTCAACCTACTGCAGTCTGATTTCTGCCCCATCATCCCACTGAAACCTGTCCCTCAACTTAATTGATACCTTTCAATCCTTATCTTATTTGATATCTCAGCAGCGTTTGACGTTGTTGACCATGGCTTCCTTGACGGAAAGCACTCTTCACATGTGTTCTGGAATGCCTCGCTCCTGGTTTGACTCAGACCTCTCTTTTGCGGCCTCACCCTCCTCTACTTTGTTATTCATTGCTGGTATTCCTCAAAGGCCGTCTTCTCACTCTCAATTTCCCGCTCAGGCAATTTCTTCTAAGCCCATAGCTACAACTGTCTATATGACAGTGATTCTCAATATTTTACCCCCAGTCCAGACCTGCCCTTTAAGTTTCAGGTTAATATGTCCAACTGCTTATTTAAAATCAAGGTCCCGAAACGCAGCTTTTTCAACTCCGAACCCAGGATCTTAGCCCACCTAACTTGTGTAGATACTCCTCGACTTAACGATGGGGCTACCTTCCGATAAACCCATTGTAAGCTGAAAGTATCAGAAGTTGAAAATGCATTTAATACACCCGATCTACCGAATATCATAGCTTAGCCTAGCCTGCCTTCCTTACACATGCACAGAACACTTACATTAGCCTACAGTTGGGCAAAATCATCTAACATAAACCTATATTATAAAATGTTGAATACCTCATGTCATTTATTACTGTGCTGATAGTGAAAAACAGAATGGTTGTGTAGGTCTTCAAAGTACAGTTTCTGCTGAATGCCTATCACCTTTGCACTATTGTAAAGTTGAAAAATGTTAAGTCAAACCATTGTAAGTCAGGGACCATCTGTACCTATCCAGTGAGATAGGAATATCTCACTGAATGATACCATCATCCACCCAGTTATATAGGCTGGGAATCTGAGGGAGGGAGAGGGTGGGTAACCCTTTATGTCTCTCTTTTGCTGTACCCATGTCCTCTGCCCTATCCCCCGGTAAAATTTGTCAGAGTTCTGCTCCTGCCCCCCATAAAGGTATTTAATTAGGGCCAAAGACTCTGGTTTGGGGGAATGGTTGCTTTAGACTAGTTCCAAGTCACCCACTGGACTATCTGGATTGGTCACATGGGTTCTGTCATTTTAACCTAAAAATCTCCAGTCTGTCCACCTTTCCACATCTTCATTTTTACCTCCTTTTCCCAAACTACCATCATTTCTGGTCTGGACTACTGCAGGAAGCTTCCAAGTATTTTTTTGTTCGTTTGTTTGAGATGGAGTTTCGCTCTTGTTACCCAGGCTAGAGTGCAATGGCGTGATCCCTGCTCACTGCAACTTCCGCCTCCTGGGTTCAAGCCATTTTCCTGCCTCAGCCTCCTGAGTAACTGGGATTACAGGCGCCCACCACCACACCCGGCTAATTTTTGTATTTCTAGTAGAGACGGGGTTTTACCATGTTGGCCAGGCTGGTCTCGAACTCCTGACCTCAGGTCATCCACCTGCCTTGGCCTCCCAAAGTGCTGAGATTCGTGCCCGGCCTCCCAAGTAGTCTTCTTAGAGCATGTGGCCCACCTCCAATTCATTCTTGACCTTCATTGTTCCTTCCCGTGCCTATTACTACTTAAACCCCTCCTCAGCAGCATCCCATTACTTTTGGGAGAAAACCAAATCCTTAATGAGGCCTTCAGGACTCTTTGTGGTTCTGCTCCTGCTTCTTTCCACTCATTCTCTTACTCTGTGTGCTCAGGTTATATGGTAAACGAGCCTTTCAATTCCTTGAACCTGTAGTTTCTCTTACCACAAGGTCTTTGCGAGTGGTGTTTCCTTTCTTTGTAACGTTCTTCCCCCCAACCATTTACCTCCTACTCAGACATCACTTAGCTACTCAAGGGAGGCCTACTCTGACCCCACATTATAAGTCAGGATCCTTTGTTATATACTCTTGAAGAACTGTATTCCTCTCCTTAGAGATTTATCTTTTTGTTACTTTGAGTGTGTGTTATTATTTGCTTCTACCACTTCACCTCAGTGAAAAGCAGAGAACATACAAGTTATTTAGTCATTATCAACTGCGCTTTGTGTACCTTGTGGGACTTAGGTACTCAATACATTTTTGTTGAAAATGAATCAGTCTCTGAACACTCTGGTGATAGATGGTATATTACCCTAAAGCTTGCCTGTAATGTCATACAGCTATGTTAGGTCTTTGTTATCTGGAGTTCATGTAACTTTTATACGTAGTTACTATTTCTGCTGTTTCAAGCCATACGGAACTAAACACAATTCTTTTTCCATGTAATAGCTACTCAAGCTACTCATTTACTTGAATACAGGTTACATATCTCCTCAGATTTTCGATTTTGCAAGTTAAACATCCCCCAATTCCTAGCATATTTCATATTCCAAACCCTTCATCATTTAGGCTACCTTCCTCTGGAAGTAACCTAATGTTACTGTTTTGTCAACCTTTCTTCTAAAATGTGCCCAGAGTGGAACACAGTGATCAGAGAAGAATGTACTTAAGCTATTATTGTCTTGAGATGGACACTACCATTATTCATACCAGATAAAATTGTATTAGCGTTTTTTCTATAGTAAATCACATTCTTGGCTCATACTGAGCTTGTAGTCAGTGAAAACTCATGTTCTTTTAAAATCAGCTCCCTAGCTCCATTCTAGGTTTAGAGCAGTTTTATTGAACCTAAATCAAGACCTTATCCTTTTACAATTCATTTTTTTAGGTCAGTGCATGTCTGCTGTTTGTTGAGGTAATCTGGATTCTTAGTTCTTTCATGTTAGGAAACATAATAGCTGTCTCTTCCAGTTTGGTTAGATCTGTAGGTTTAATCATGACTTCTGTTTCTACGTTTGAGTTATTGGTAAAGGATAGAATAAGACAGGGTCAGAAATAACCCTTGGACATGCTGCCAGTGACATGCCTCTAGACTGATACCCATTAATACACTTGGGCACTGTTGCTTAAATACAGATGTGTCTCATTTAATTCCAACAAAACAACCTGCAAAGTAGGTAGTATTATCTTTGTTTTTTTGCAGAGAGAAAGAGAGAGAGATTTAGTAACTTGAGAAGTTCACATAGCCAGCAAGAAGCAGGGTCAAGATTTGAACTCAGATCAGCCTGGTACTGTTACCTAGTTCACCAGCTTAGTTGCAAGAGTGTAGTAAAGACTAGGTTTACCTCACCTAGAACTTTTTGGACATAATAATGTTCAGAAACTATCTTCTACCTTTTGGAAAATCTGAAAAACTTTGGCCCATCTGATTGTCTATCATTTCTTCTGATAGCCTTTATTTTCTAGTAACTACTGAGTGATTTTTAGCAAAAATAGTTCACCTTGTTGCAATACTTTTATTTGTGCATATTTATGGAGTACATGAAAATTTTTTTACATGTGTATAATGTGTAGTGATCAAGTCAGGGTACATGAGTCCAATGTATTAAGTATAGTCATCTACTCAGCTATCAAACATTGAATTTATTCCTCCTATCACTGGATCTTTTTTTTTTTTTTTTGAGACGGAGTCTTGCTCCGTCACCCAGGCTGGAGTGCAGTGGTGTTATCTTGGCCTCACTGCAACCTCTGCCTCCCAGGTTCAAGCGATTCTCCCGCCTCAGCCTCCTGAGTAGCTAGGATTACAGGCATGTGCCACCACGCCCAGCTAATTTTTGTATTTTTAGTAGAGACAGGGTTTTACCACATTGGTCAGGATGGTCTTGGACTCCTGACCTGGTGATCCACCCGCCTTGGCCTCCCAAAGTGCTGAGATTACAAGTATGAGCCACCGCGACTGACCTCATTGGATCTTTTTACCTTTTAACCCACTTCTCTTCAGCCTTTCTCTCCCTTACTCCGCCTTCCCAGTCTCTGTTATCTATTTTTCCACTCCCTGCCTCCTTGTGTTCAAATTTTGTAGCTCCTACATATATGTGAAAGCATGCAATATTTGTCTTTTTGTGCCTGGCTTATTTCACTTAAGAGAATAACCTCCAGTTCCATCCACATTGCTGCAAATGATATGATTTCATTCTTTTTATGGCTGAATAGTATTCCATTGTGTACATGTATGACATCTTCTTTATCCATTCATCTGTAGATGGACACTTAGGTGGTTGATTCCATATTTTTGCTATTGTGATAGTACTGCAATAAACATGCAAGTGCAGCTATCCCTTTGATACATTGATTTCTTTTCCTTTGTGTAGATACCCAGTAGTGGGATTGCTGGATGGAAGGTAATTCTATTTTTAGCTTTGAGAAATCTCCATACAGTGTTCCTTAGTGGTTGTACTAGTTTACATTCCCACCGACAGTGTATGTGAGAGTTCCCTTTTCTCTGCATCCTTACTAACATCTGTTACTTTTTGTCTTTTTAATAATAGCCATTCTGACTGGGGTAAGATGATATCTCATTGTGGTTTTGATGTGCATTTCTCTGATAGTGGTGTGGAACATTTTTCCATGTCTTCTTTTGGCCATTGTATGTCTTCTTTTTTAATGGGATTATTTGTTATTTTCCTTTTGAGTTGTTCGAGTTCCTTGTATGTTCTGGATATCAGTCCTCTGCTTGATGAATACTTTGCAAATATTTTCTCCCATTCAACAGGTTGTCTCTTCATTCTGTTGATTATTCTTTTGCTGTGCAGAAGCTTTTTAGTTTGCTTAAGTCCCATTTGTTTAGTTTTCTTTATGTTACCTGGGCTTTTGATGTCTTAATCATAAATTCTTTGCTTACACCAATGTCCAGGAGTGTTTTCCCTAGACTTTCTTGTAGTATTTTTATAGTTTTGGGTCTTAAAATCTTCAATCCATTTTGAGTTGATTTTTGTATATGGTGAGAGATAGGGGTCTAGTTTCACACTTCTGCATGAAGTTATGCAATTTTCCCAGCATCATTTATTGAAGACAGTGTCCTTTCCTTAGTGTGAGTTCTTGTCAGTGTTGTTGAAGATCATTTGTCTATAATTATGTGGTTTTATTTCTGGATTCTCTATTCTGTTCCATTGGTCTACATGTCTATTTTTATACCAATACCATGCTGTTTTGGTTACTATAGCTTTATAATATATTTTGAAGTCAGATAATGTGATGTCTGCAGCTTTGTTCTTTTTGCCCAGGTTTGGTTTGGTTGTTTGGGCTTTTTTCTTTTTCCTTTTTTGGTCCCATATGAATCACATTGGTATTTTGATAGGGATTTCATTGAATCTGTAGATTGCTTTGGCAATATGGTCATTTTAGTGATATTAATTCTTTCCACAAGCATAGGATGTTTTTTGATTTATTTTCTTTCATTGGTGTTTTGTAGTTTTCTTTGTAGAGATCTTTCACCTCCTTAGTTAAATGTATTCCTAGGTTTTTGTTTGTTTTCGGTAGCTATTGTAAATGGGATTGCCTTCTTAATTTCTTTCTTGGCTAGATCCTTATTGATGTATAGAAATGCTACTGATTTAAAGGTTTTCTAAACCTACAGATATATAATCAGCAAAGAGACAATTTGACTTTCTCTTGTCCAGTTTGGATGCCTTTCATTTCTTTCTCTTGTCTGATTGTTCTGGCTAGGATTTCCAGTACTGTGCTGAATAGGAGTGGTGAAAATGGGCATCCCTGCCTCATTCCAGCTTTTAGAAGAAAGATCTCACCTCTCCTCATTCAGTATGATGTTAGCTCTGGGTTTGTTGTGTATAGACTTTATTATTTTGAGATATATTCCTTCTATGCCTAATTTGTTGAGAGTTTTTTTAATCATGAAGGGATGTTGAATTTTATCAAATGTTTTTGTTGTTGTTGCAATACTCTTTTTTTTTTTTTTTTTTTTTTTTTTGAGACAGAGTCTTGTTCTGTTGCCCAGGCTGTAGTGCAGTGGCGCGATCTTGGCTCACTGCAACCTCCACTCACTGGGTTCAAGCAATTCTCCTGCCTCAGCATCCCTAGTAGCTGGGATTACAGGCCTGTGCTACCACACCCAGCTAATTTTTCTATTTTTAGTAGAGACAGGGTTTTGCTATGTTGGCCAGGCTGGTCTCGAACTCCTGACCTCAAGTGATTTGCCTGCCTTGGCCTACCAAAGTGCTGGGATTACAGGCGTGAGGCACTGAGCCCGGCTGTTGCGATACTCTTAATGGGTTTTATATTTCCTTTTTGTGGGGGACAGTTTATTTTGCATTCTTACTACTTTTGATATTCTGACATCATCTTATAAGTGGGATTTATATTCACTATGTAATTGAAGTTTTTTCCAATGAAGCACCGTATATAGTTTATCTGGGAAATTGGCTGAAGAATAAAATGTGTGATGTTATTCAGTGTACAGTTTCTAGGTCATCAGAAGATACCACTACCTTCCCACTACTGGAAAAGAAAAAAGAAAAGTTTTCCACAGTGCCTGAACTGTTTTGTATGCTTATCTTTTAAAATTGCCAGAAATCTCACTTACTGGAGATTCAGCAGTCCCTTTCTGAAAATACACATACTTTAGTGCAAATAAAGCCAGTGGATCTCTTTCTTCATAAGTCCTTAAACCTAGTCGAGGTCATCTGTTTGGCAGAGATAGGAGTAAGATAATGTGAAATAGGAACCAACGAGAGAGAACTTGCTTAGGAGTTGAAAGGGGTATGGAAAGATGTTAGAGGTAAAATTTGTCGAATCTAGTGTTTTGACTAGGGCAGGCCAGAATATTCAGTATCAGTATCAATATCAGAAGCTTTTGTAGCCTTTGTTTAGAAACCTAGTCATTTATAACATTTTGTGGGTGAATGACATCATTACCAAACAAACTTTCAGATGAAACTTTGGAACTCAAGCTGTAAATTGTGGATAGCTCATGTGCAGTACTACAAATCAAAACAAATACTATAAAGTGTTTGGTAGTCCATTTCCTGAATGAAAGTTTGTCCAAAGTATATCAACTTTCTGCAGTCTTACATGCAGTAGTTATTAGTTTTGTGTATCGCTTTAGTGGATATTTTTAAAAGTATCTTCAAATGCAATGAATTTTAGGAAACAAAACAATTCTTTAAAGCATCATTAGATAGCTTCTTCTTTCTGAAACCCAGAGGAATTTATGTATAGGATGACTCTTTTTTTTCAAGTAGTTAAGTTAAGGTGCAAAAGTATAAGGTAAAGTATATTATCTTACCATTGAAAATTTTGGCAGTGGCAGAAGAGCGAACCCTTACAAATACCTTCATTGGGCAATACACTAAGCACTTGCTGTAATGCTTTTTAAAACATCTATACTCTGGCTGTGGTATTTTAAGTGAAAATCTCTCAGTGAGATACTCTTTCGTATTTTAGTACTGATATCCTTAATATTGCTCTGAGAGCTACCTTATACTGACTTCAGTTTCCTAGTGATTTAAACTACTAATTTCCAACTTATTTTTTTTTATAGTGAAAACTAAATATTCCTTTTGTAGATGTAACCATTTCTGGAAGCCCTAAGTATTTTTGAATGAGTATAATTCATGCACACTTTAAGAGATTTCAAGCATGACAAGTACAGTGAATAACATATATCCATGTGATTACCACTGAGGTTTAAGAAATGTTAACATATGATATCTGCTTCAGATATTTATCTTTTTAAAAATAGAACATTACAGCTGGGCATGGTGGCTCACACTTGTAATCCCAGCACTTTGGGAGGCTGAGGCTGGTGGATCACCTGAGGTCGGGAGTTCGAGACCAGCCTGGCTGACATGGAGAAACCCCGTCTCTACTAAAAATACAAAATTAGCCGGGCGTGGTGGCACATGCCTGTAATCCCAGCTACTCGAGAGGCTGAGGCAGGAGAATCGCTTGAACCTGGGAGGCAGAGGTTGCGGTGAGCGAGATCACAACTCCAGCCTGGGCCACAAGAGTGAAACTCAGTCTCAAAAATAATAATAATAAATAAAAAATAGAACATTACAGATCCAATTGACTCTTCTTTGTATTGCTCCTTTTTTTTTTTTTTTTTAGTTTTATTTAAAAATTTTTTTTAGAGGCTGAGTCTCACTTGGTGGCCTGGGCTGGAGTGCAGTGGCGCAGTCATAGCTCACTGCAGCTTCACACTCCTGAGCTCGAGCAATCTTCCTGCTTCAGCTTCCTGAGTAGCTTGGACTAGCAGAGGTGTGCCACCACATCTGGCTAATTAAAAAAAAGTTTTTAGAGATAGGATCTCTCTGTGTTGCTCAGGTTAGTCTCAACACCTGGCCTCAAGTGATCCTCCCACCTCAGCCTCCTGAGTAGCTGTGGTTGTAGGTGGCAGCCACCACACCTGGCAGTATCCCTTCTTGAGACCACTGACCTTTCCCAGAAGTAATCACTGTCCTGAAGTTGGTATAGATTCTTTCTGTCTACATCTATGCATGTTTATGCTCAAAAACAATATATTGCTTTGTGTGTCTTTAAAATGTATATAATGGTTTTATGCTATATCTTTCTTTCTGCAACCTGCATTTTTCACTTAAAATAATTTTGAAATTTAGTCCTGTGGATATATAGTGAGCCAATTAATTCTGCTTAGCTACTCTGTAGTCTGTTTTGTGAATATACCACAATCATCTACTTTCTTATTAGAGGACAATTTAGGCAGTTCCAATTTTATTTTTCCCGGAATGTACATTATTTTAGTCGAGTGCCATTGCCACATTAGCGATATTTTGGTTAGTGAGGGACTGCAGATAGGAAGGTGATCCCAAAAGATTATAATGCCATATATTTACTCTACCTTTCTATATTTACATATGTTTAGTTACACAATTACCCATTATGTTACAGTTGCTTACAGCATTTGGTGCTGTAACATGCTGTACAGGTTTGTAGCCTAGGAGCAATAGGCTATACCGTATAGGTTTGTGTAAGTACGCTCTATGATATTCATATAACGATGAAATCACCTAGTGACACATTTCTCAGAATGTATCCCTATTGTTAAGCAACACATGAGTGTGTGTCTCCATGCATATATGTGTAAGAGTTAGCATGTGTGTCCAGAGGTAGAATTGCTGGGCGATAAGTCATACTCATCTTTACCTAGTTATGCCAGTTTATACTGTCACTAGCAGTATATGAGTACCTGTTATTTATATCCTCTCCAACACTTAATATTGCTGACATTTTAACTTTTACAATATAATAGGTGTAAAACTATTGTTTAAATTTGCATGTTGTCCTCATTACTAGTGAGATTAAGCATTTTTCATATTGGTCATTGGGATTTCCCCTTCTGTGAATTACTTTTGTATATTTGCTCATTTTTTCTGTTGGGCTGTGTATTTTTTTAGTGATTTGTATAATTTTTCGTTTTTTGGGGGGTAGGGTATGCTTTGGATTCTAATCCTTTGTTGTAAATAGCTTCTCTCAGACAGTGATGGTCTTTTCATGATGTTTATAGAGTGTTGGATTTAAATTTTATAGTTATAATTACCCTTTTTTTTTTTTTACCTTGGTGATTTGTGCTTTTATGTGTTTTTCAGGAAATCTTTCTCCACCCTGAAGTCATTTTCTTATAAAAGTTTTAAAATTTTGCCTTGCACATTTTGGTGATTGATCAGGAATTTATTTTTGTGTTTGGTGTGAATTATGAACTAATTTTATCTTTTCCATATGTATAACCAGTTGTCTCAATATCATTTATTGAGTCCATTTTTTTCCTTTACTGATTTGCAATGCTATCTCTGTATTATATCCAGTTCCCATATATGTGTGGGTCTAAGTGTCGACTCTATTCCGTTTCATAATTCTTTTTGTCCATATTTGCATCAATAACACTGTTTTAATTGCTGTAGCTTTAAAATTATTCTTGTTATTTCATAGGGCGTACTTTCATTACCTTTCTTAATTTGGCATTTCTTGGCTCTTTTCCGTATGAATTCTGGGAACAACTTAATCCCCACTCCTTTAAAAAAAAAAAAAAAGACACTTTGGCCTGGCATGGTGGCTCACACCTGTAATCCTAGCACTTTGGGAGGCTGAGGCGGGTGGATCACTTGAAGCCAGGAGTTCAAGGCCAGCCTGGACAACATGGCAAAACCCTGTCTCTACCAAAAATTAGCGGGCATGGTGGCACACGCCTGTAATTCCAGCTACTTGGGAGGCTGAGGCATGAGAATCAGCTTGAACCCAAGAGGTGGAGGTTGCAGTGAGTTGAGATCGTGCCACTGCACTCCAGCCTGGGCAACAGAACGAGACAGTTTTTTGTTTGTTTGTTTTAAAGACACTTTTAACCTTCCGCTATGGATTTTTGACCTACATTTTTCCTCTTGTATTTTATAAGAGTAGACACAGAGAGCACTTCAATAAAATTCAGCTCAATAACTTTATTAACCTGATCTCCTTTTCTTTGACTTTAAGCTGAAAGTGTTAATTTCTCACAACTTGTGCTCTATAGATTTGAAACCAAATCAATTAGCATCAGCTGTTTATGAGTAATGCAGGGTATTTTGGTCTTTTGCTAAATTCAGAAAGAAATGTTAAAGTGCTGATGGATTTGCACTAGCTGTATAGATCTTTGGTGGAGGAGGAAATGGGAAAATTATTAATTTCAGGTAAGAAGTCATTTTTGAAATGCAAGATTCATTTCTTTTTAAAATCACCACATAATAAAAACTTTAAGGGCTGCATTGGTGGGTTTTTAAAAAAAATTGTGAAGTGTTTTTAGTGTTATGTGCTGACAAATATTTTTGTAGTTGCTTTGACAAGCAATGAAACTACCAATTATCACTAATTCTGAGTCTTCCAATGAACCTCTGTGTCAAATTTTTAAATTTAATTATCCTGACTATTTTTCTCCTAGAGAATAATATTGATATAATTTTGTGAACCATAGCAGACAGTTCCCATTGCTGAGAATAGAGCCTGGTGTGGGGATATTATGATTCTTGAATGGTTGAACAAGACATTTGCTTCTGAACATCTTAGTAAATTATCACTTCTGACAATGTCTGTAGTTTGAATTTTGATATTCTCTGCCAAGGTATTGAATACTCTAAATAATGTTGTTTATTCTATTATTTAAATCATTAGTATTATAGATCTAGCTTTAAACAGCTGCTGCACTCCAGTCCTTTTTCTTCACCTGCAGATATTGAGTCTGATAACTGTTTTGTATACATAGCCTTTCAGTAAATCTACTTATCAGTCATCAAATTAACTTAATTATAAGTTAAATGATGAGATGGACCAAGAGTGTTATTGAAATCTCATTTCCACACATTTCTTCTCTTCTTTTGTAGAAGGTAATGAAATGAACCTGTCAGTGTTCCTGTTTTTATGAAGTTTATTTCTCTTAGTACAGTGATTCTGATAGTGGGTTCTGCAGACCAGCAAATTAGCATTATCTGAGAACTTGTTAGAAAAGCAAATTCTCAGTTCCCACTTCAGGCTGACTAATTTAGAAACCCTGGGGTAGGGCTTAGCATTCTCTTTCAATAAATTCTCCAGGTGATTCTGATGTATGTTAAAGTTGAGAAGCATTCACTTAGTGTTTTGAGCTCTCCAATTTAGTTCCTTATAAATTGTCGAAGATATTTTTTCCAGATTTCTTTCCAAATATGTGCTCAACCTTGTTACTGATAGGTTTCAAGGTTATCGTCTTCTTCCCATTAATACCTTCATCTATATCCAATTTTCAAACTTTTAAGAAAGCATGGCTATTTTGCTGCAGTATGGTGAATTAGGTACTCTGACTGACCTTCCCAGATAAACAATTTAAAATTCTAGATAATTTTTTTTTGGAGGGAGGACAGGGTCTTGCTCCGTCACACAGGCCGGAGTGCAGTAGTGTGAACATGGCTGACTGCAACCTCGACCTGTTGGGCTCAAGCGATCCTCCCACCTCAACCTCCCGAGTAGCTGGGGCCACAGGTGCACACCACCATGTCCAGCAAATTTTTTTATTTTTTGTGCAGATGGGGTCTTGCCTTGTTGCACAGACTGGTCTCGAACTCCTGGGCTCAAGCAGTTTTTCCACCTGGGCCTCTCGAAGTGCTGGGATTACAGGTGTGAGTGACTGTGCCTGGCAGATGAAATATTTTTTAAGTAAAAACCTTATGTGCATGGAGATAGCTGGCTGAAAAGTAAGGAATAATCAGGCCAAAAACTATGTGAAGGTGAAAACCCAGAGATATAAGCCAAGTACTGCTGCCTTGAGGACATTATTTGCAAATGACATTACTTGGAAAACCTAGTTAACTTGTGCTTGTGCCTCAAGAAGCTCAGAGAACGGAAGATAAAAGTAGTTTTCTGGTAGAACGTCCCACCTCTCCTGGTAAAGATGGTACCCCAAGGGTCTATACATCATAATAAATGAGAACTAGTAATAAACGTACCTTGTCTAAGGATCGGAAAGAAAAATTTCCTGCCTCAAACTTTGGTGGTGATGGGAAGGGTACAGAAATTCCCTGAGAAGTTTTACCCACAAGCTGACCTTCATGCAGGTTTGAATCCTGATTTTATATTACCTGGATGGTATGAAAATCTTAAGCCAGTAATTAAATATAAAAGTGGTACAAGAGTGACGATGCCTTAAAATGCCTAAGAATGCCTAAAAAGCAGCAAATACAAAGCTTCTTGGGAGAACCCATCTTGATCTTAGGATTTAGAAAATTCCTAAACATAAAGCTGTAAGAAATATGAACTCACATTCACAAAATGCAGAAAGAAATAAGATGCAATGAATGAGAGGAAGCAGAAACAATAAAGAGCAGAATCAGAACCTGCAAAGAGTTCACATATTGGAGTTAGCAGACACAGATTATAAGTACATATATTTAATATGCTTATAGAAAAAAAGAAATTTAAAATAGGAATGAGGAGCAAGTATACAAAAATGACCAGTGTACAAATTTAATAACAGATTAGACACAGCTAAAGAAAGATTTAGTAAAGTGGATCTGAAAAAATTGCAGTATAGAGGCAAGAAAATGAAAAGTAATAAAAGAGTTAAGAGAATACAGAGGGTAGAATAAGAAGGTTCAGTCTAGTCAGAATTCTGGGGCAGGGGAGCAGGGGCATGGAAAAGAATGAGGCAGAGGCAGTATTTGAAGAGATAATGACAGAGAACTGATGAAAAACAACCTACAAATTTAGGAAGCTAAAGAATCCCAGAAAGGATAAAAAGAAAAAAAATTCACACATAAACATTTTTTAAAGAAACTACATGATACCATAGAGAGGTCTTAAAAGCTGTCAGAGGCTGGGCATGGTGGCTCACGCCTGTAATCCCAGCACTTTGGGAGCCCGAGGAGGGTGGATCACCTGAGGTCAGGAGTTCAAGACCAGCCTCAACGTGGAGAAACCCTGTCTCTACTGAAAATACAAAATTAGCCGGGCGTGGTGGTGCATGCCTGTAATCCCAGCTACTCAGGAGGCTGAGGCAGGAGAATTGCTTGAACCTGGGAGGTGGAGGTTGCAGTGAGCCGAGATCGTGCCATTGCATGCCAGCCTGGGCAACAAGAGCAAAACTCCATCTCAAAAAAAAAAAAAAAGCTGTCAGAGAAAAAAGATATTACCTTCAACAAGTATTTGGCTGTCAGCTGTTTTCCTGTCTATAATAATGAAAGCCATAAGACAGGGAGTAATATTTTCCACATGCTTAGAGAAAATAATTGTCAACCAAGAATTGTATATCTTGTGAAGAATGGGGGCAAAATTAGACACTTTAAAACAGACAAACACTCAATGTTGTAACCATCAAACCTTCCCTACTAGTGGAAATTCAGATCAATTTCCTGAAGGCTAAAAAAAAAAAAAAAAAGTGACCACTGATGTAAAGTCTGAGATTTAAGAAGGATTGAAGAGTAAAGAATAATGGTAAATCTGTGGATATATTGAAATAAATATTGGCTTTATAAAATGATGTATGCGGAGGTTTTAAAAATAGAACTAAATAGGCCAGGTGTGGTGGCTCACGCCTGTAATCCCAGCACTTTGGGAGGCTGAGGTGGGCGGATCACCTGAGGTTATGAGTTGGAGATCAGCCTGACCAACATGGAGAAACCTCGTCTCTACTAAAAATCCAAAAAAAAAAAAAAAAAAAAAAAAAAAAAAATTAGCCGGGTGTGGTGGCGCATGCCTGTAATCCCAGCTACTCAGGAGGCTGAGGTAGGAGAATTGCTTGAACCTGGGAGGCAGAGGTTGCAGTGAGCCGAAATCACGCCATTGCACTCCAGCCTGGGCAACAAGAGCAAAACTCCGTCTCAAAAAAAAAAAAAAGAACTAAATATATGATAACAACATCCAAATCAAAAGAGTGGTTAAAGTATTTTATGATCTTTATACTGTTGAAGAGAAAGGTAAAGCTATTCAATTAACTTTAGATTTTGATAGGTATGTGTATTAGTATTTTCAGAGTAACTACTAAAATAATATAAATATTAGGAATAATTTATAGCAGAAAAAACAATTTTTAAAAGGCAAGGAAGAAGTGAAAAACATAGAAAAGGTCAGATAAAGAGGAAACAATAAAATATAGAAATCAAATCAAATATATGGTAGACTAAATGCTTCATTCAGACAAAGAATGTCAGATTGGATTATTTAAAAGCAAGCAGGCCGGGTGCAGTGGCTCACGCCTGTAATCCGAGCACTTTGAGAGGCTGAGACGGGTGGATCACTTGAGATCAGGAGTTCGAGACCACCCTGGCCAACACGGCCAGCTGGCCATGGCCAGCTAATACAAAAATTAGCTGGGTGTGGTGGTGCACACCTGTAATCCCAGGTACTTGGGAAGGTGAGGCAGGAGAATCACTTGAACCCAGGAGGCGGAGATTGCCGTAAGCCAAGATCATGCCACCGTACTCCAGCCTGGGCAACAGGGTGAGACTCTGTTTCAAAAATAAATAAATAAATAAATAAAAGCAAGCAAACAAACTTACTGAAACAACACAAAATCCAGCTATAATTTTCAAGAGAGATAGCTAATACATATGAATGTAGAAAGATAGAAAGCAAAAGGATGGAAAAAGTCTATCAGGCAAACTCTAACCAAAAGGGAGGTAAACTAACTATATTAGCATCAGACAATATGATCTTTCAGACAAAAGAGACAGCTAGAGATAGGTCCCTCAACAATGAGAAAAGGTTTATTTATCCATAAAGGTAAAAACAATTCCAAACTTGTGTGAACCTAATAATTGCCTCAATATACAAAGAACAAAATGACACAATTATAAGATGAAATAGACAAATCTACCATGGTGAGGAGTTTCAAAACTCCCTAATTGAAAAATTAAAAAGACAAAATGGTTACAGCTGAAAATTAAAATTAAAAATTCATTTTCTCGGTTGCAATAGCCATTTTTCAAGGGCTTACTAGTGACATGTGACAATGGCTGCTGTATTGGACAGCACAGAAAGTACTTTTGCACTGCATTAATTTAGAAGACTTAATATAATTAACAATATTAATAATTGAGTATTGAACACCACATCCAAGGTGCAGATCTCTGAATAATATCTGATCATAATGTGGGCAAGTTAGAAATTAATGACAAGAAAAGGCAGAAACATGGGAGACAGGTGAAGATTTCTTAAACAGAATATAAAAAGCACTAGATACAAAGGAAAAAAGTGATTAATTGGATTTCATCAAAAGACACTGACTTAGTTTGCTTAGGCTGCCATAACACAATACTATAGACTTGGTGGCTTAAACAAAAGAAATGTATTTTCTCACGGTTCTGGAAGCTGGAAGTTTGGGACCGGGGTGCCAGTATGACTGCGTTTTGGTGAGCACTGTCTTCGTGACTTGCACACAGGCTTCTTGCCACGTGTCTGTGTGGCGGAGAGACAGCAAGATCTCACCATCTCTCTTCCTTTTCTTATAAGGCCACAGTCTTGTCAGATTAGGGCCCTTCGCTTATGACCTAATTTAGCCTCAATTATCTCCCAAAGTCCCTATCTCCAAAATAGTTGGGGTGGGGGAAGTGCCTTGACTAATGAATTTTGTTGGGGGCAGTGGGGAGTGCACATTTCACTCCATAGTAGACACCATTGAGGAGAAAGACCAGAGTGGAAGAAGGTATTTGAAATACATGTATTTGACAGCCAGGCACGGTGGCCCACACCTGTAATCCCAGCACTTTGGGAGGCCGAGCCGGGCGGATCACGAGGTCAGGAGATCGAGACCATCCTGGCTAACACAGTGAAACCCCGTCTCTACTAAAAATACAAAAAATTAGCCAGGCGTGGTGGCGGGTGCCTGTAGTCCTAGCTACTTGGGAGGCTGAGGCAGGAGAATGGTGTGAACCCAGGAGGCGGAGCTTGCAGTGAGCCGAGATTGCGTCACTGCACTCCAGCCTGGGCGACAGAGCAAGACTCTGTCTCAAAAAAAGAAAAGAAAAAAAGAAATACATGTATTTGACAAGGACTTGTACCTGGAATATATAAAGAACTACAAATCAAGAATAAAAAGAAAGGACAGAAAGCCAATGGAAAAATGAACAAAGGATTCAAACAGGGATTTCACAAAGAACTTACCTGTAACGTATGTTAAATGCTCAACCTCATTAGTCATCAGAGAAATACAAGTTAAAACCTCAGGGAGATATTACTACACACCCACCAGAAAGTTAAATTAAGAACACATTTGTCATGACAATTCTGGGTTTGATTTTGTTTTGTTTTTTGAGATGGAGTCTTGCTCTTGTCGCCCAGGCTGGAGTGCAGTGGCATAATCCCAGCTTGTTGCAACCTCTGCCTCCTGGGTTCAAGTGATTCTCCTGCCTCATCCTCCCGAGTAGCTGGGATTATGGGCACCCACCACCACGCCTGGCTAATTTTTGTATTTTAGTAGAGATGGGGTTTTGCCATGTTGGCCAGGCTAGTCTTGAACTCCTGATCTCAAGCGATCCACCTGCCTTGGCCTCCCAAAGTGCTGGGATTACAGGCATGAGCCCGCGCACCTGGCCTGTCATGACAATTCTAAGTGGTGATGAGGATGTGCAGCAGCTGGAACTGATGAAAATGCATGAGCACAACCTCTTTGGAAAACTAGCAGAATTCCCTAAAACTGAATGTAGGCATGATGCCCATGACCCAGCACTTATAGTCCTGGGGGTGGGAGGAGTGAATATATTTCTATTCATGATTTCTATCTCTGATGACAGAAATTAAGCTAGTGGGTATCTGTGGTTGAGTAGAAGGATAGTGACTAGGAGCGGGCAGTATGGGATGCTGGTAATGTCCTCTTGACCTAACTGTTGGTTACCCTGGGTGTGTTCACTTGTAGAAATTCATTGAGCCAAACACGTACAATGTATGCATTTTTGTGTATATATGTTCTTCTTCAATAAAAACTTGATTTAAATAATGTTCTTTTTCTTAAACTGGGTAGTAGGTTTATGGTGTTTTATGTGTTGCCTGTGTTTTATACATATTTTATTCCTGTTCAGTGTCCAAAAAATATAAAAAGTAGTCACTGCTTTGTTGTTAATTTGAGCATCTCCTGCACCTAGCACAGTGCCTGGGACATTATAGATATTTATTAAATATTTGTTCTATGGAAAAGAAGTAGGCTAGTAATTTCTTTTTGCTTTCCAACAGCCAGTTTTTGATTCAATTATTTGTAAATATGATTTCTACTCAGTTGTTTCTAAATAATAAAATATGTAAATACTATTATGTTTATATTTATTAGTAAGCTGAATTTATTAAATGAGAAACCTCTCAATATTAAGGACACATCATAAATTATTAGCATGCTGTGTTATAATGACTAAAAGTAGTATCAACAATTTAGATAAGTATAGTGTGGCCTTACGGATGTAAGTCCGTAAGATCATGCAGCATTGAAGATGTGCAGTTTACTAGATCTTCTAATATTCTCGGGTGTCTCACTGTTTCTTTTTTCTTTTTTTTTTTTTTTTTGAGATAGGGTATCACTTTGTCACCCAGTCTGGAATGCAGTGGCGTGATCAGGGCTCACTGTAGCCTTGACCTCCTGGGCTCAAACCTCTCACCTTAGCCCCCTGAATAACGGGGATTACTGATTTGTGCCACCAAGCCAGGCTAATTTATTTTCTTTCTTTCTCTCTTTCTTTCTTTCTTTCTCTCTCTCTCTTTCTTTCTTTCTTTCTTTCTTTCTTTCTTTCTTTCTTTCTTTCTTTCTTTCCTTTCTTTCTTTCCTTCTTTCTTTCTTTTCTCTCTTTCTCTCTCTCTCTCTCTCTCTCTCTTCCTTTCTTCCTTTCTTTTTGTAGAGTTTGGGTCTCACTATATTGCCCAGGCTGGTCTTGAACTCCTGGCCTCAAATGATTCTCCCTCCTTGGCCTCCCAAAGTGTTGAGATTATAGTTTTCAGCCACCGCACCCAGCCTCACTGTTTTCTTCAGTTGTTTCTGAACAACTGGAATCTCAGCTGTCTTTTTCCATTAAATCCCGTGTTCGTTCCTCCATACCATGCTGCCTCTTGCCCATTTTTGCATTTCTCCTTTCTGCTTTCCTGAACATCCTGAGTCTTACTGGGCTGGCATTCCCTTGTTGGGACAGGGGAGAGGCTCTAGGCCTTGGATCCTTGTTCTGATTCCTTCTCCAAAGAGTTTTCCCTTTTTCTTCCCCTTTCAAAACAACATAAGTGCAAAAGCTTTGTCAGGATGTTGGGAATTAAAAAAGCTTCAGAAACATTTTGATTCATTTAACAACATTACTCTGAAACTTTTTAGAGTAAGAGTACCAAGTCACTGAATAAGACGATCTTGAAATTAAACGATATTTTACAGTTTTAAAAACACCTTCACAGATCTTTTCTTATTAGATTCTCAGCACAACCTTATGAGTTGGCACTGTCAAAATTCAGTTCAACAAACAAAATCCAACTAACAGGAAAACTCACAGCTAACATCATACTTAATGGTTGAAGACTGAAAGCTTTCCCCCTTAAGATCAGAACAAGACAAGGATGCTCTTGCCACTCCTATTCAACACTCTATTGGTGGTTCTAGGTGGGGCAGTTAAGCAGGAAAAAGAAAAGACATTTATATCAGAAAGAAATAAAACTATATTTACCGATGACATGATCTTACATGTAGAAAAATCCTACAGAATTTACCAAAAAAAATTGGAACTAATAAATGAGTTCAGCAAAGTTGCAGGATACAAGATTATTATCTAAAAATCAGTTGCATTCCTATATGCTAGCTATGGATAATCTGAAAATGAAATAGAAAAAATTCCATTTATAATAACATCAGAAAGAATAAAATACTTATGAATAAAGTTAACCAAAGAAGTACACTAAAAAGTACACTAAAAAACAGAAAACATGTTGAAGGAAATTAGAGATCTAAATAAATTGAAAGACGTCCTGTGTTCATGGCTTGGAAGACTTAATATTGTTAAGATGACAGTGCTACCCAGATTTATCTACAGGTTTAATGCAATCACTATCACAGTTCAACTGCCTTTTTCCCGGAAATGGACAACCTGATCTTATAATTCATATGGAATTGCAGAGCCATATTTGCCACAACAGTCTTGAAAAAAAGAGAACAAAATTGTAGGACTCATACTTCCTGATTTCAAAACTTATTACAAAACTACAGTAATCCAGATGGCATGTCACTGGCATGAGGAGAGTCTTGTAAACCAATGGAATGCAATTTAGAGTCCAGAAATAAACCCATACATTTATGGTCAGTTGATTTTGACCAGGGCGCCAAGATCATTAACTGGGGAAAGAATAATCTTTTCAACAAATGTTGCTGGGGCAACTGGATATCTACATGTAAAAAAATAAATTTGGATCCCTGCCTCACATCACATATGAAAATTAACTCAGAATGGATCAAAGACCTAAACCTGTTAAGTTCTTCGAAGGAAACATAGGTGAAAATCTGTATGACCTTGGATTAAATGGTGATTTTTAAAGATATAACACAAAAACACAAGCAGTGAAAGAAAAAGGTAGATAAACTGGACTTTGTTAAAGTTAAAAACTTTCATGCATCAAAGGACACTGTAGAATGAAGACAACTCACAGAATGGGGGAAAATATTTGCAAATTATATCTCTGATAAGTATATATATTTTATATATATGTTGTTTATATCCAGAATATGCAAAGAACCCTTTCAACTCAACAAAGATAAGACAATGGAATTTAAAAATGGGCAAAGCATTTGAATAGAATAGACATTTCTCCAAAGAAGATGTACAAATGACCTATAAGCACATGACAAGATCTTCAACATCATAGTCCATAGGGAATTACAAATCAAAACCACAATGAGAGATAACACTTTACACCCTCTAGGATGGTCATACTTTTTTTTTTTTTTTTTTTTTAAAGACAGTAACAAGTTTTGATAAGGAAGTAGAGAAATTGGAGCCCTCATTGCTGATGGGAATGTAAAATGATGCAGCTACTGCACAAAAGTTTTGCAGTTCCTTAAAAAACTAAACATAGAATAACTCAGCAATTCTACTCCTGGGTATAGACCCAAGATAATTGAAAACATATGTTCATACATTAACTTGTACATACATTAACATGTGGCATTATTCATAGTTGCCAAAAAGTGGAAGCAACCCAAATGTCCATCAGCTGATGAAATGATAAATACAATGTGGTATATCCATACAATGAAATCTTATCCAGCTGTAAAAAGGAATGAAGAAGCCAGGTGGAGTAGCTCACAACTGTAATCCCATTGCTTTAGGAGGCCACGATGGGAGGATTGCTTAAGGCCAGGAGTTCAAGATTGGCCTGGGCAACATAGACCCAGTCTCTACAAAATAAATAAATAAAAAGAATGAAATACTATTACGTGCCACAACATGAACCTTGGAAACATTATGCTAGGTGAAAATCCAGTCACCAAGATGACGAATTGTATGATTCTGCTTACGTGAAATGTCCACAATAAGCAAATTCATAGAGACAGAAAGTAGATTAGTGGTTGAGAAGGAGTGAGAGAAGGGATGAATTGAGATTAACGGCTAGTAGGGACAGAGTTTCTTTTTGGGGTGATGGGACTGTTCTGGAATTAGATAGTGATTATGGTTGTACAACATAGTAAACATACTAAAAACCACTCAAAGGCTGGGTGCAGTGGCTCATGCCTATAACCCCAACACTTTGGGAGACTGAGGCGGGAAGATTGCTTGAGGCCAAGAGGTCAAGACCAGCCTGGGCAACACAGCAAGACCTTGTTTCTACAAAAAAAAAAAAAAAATTGTTTTAATTACCTGGGTATGGTGGTGTGTGCCTGTAGTCCCAGCTACTTTGGAGGCTGAGGTGGGAAGATCACTTGAGCCTGTGAATTTGAGGTTACAGTGAGCTGTGATTGTGCCACTGTGATCCAGCCTGAGTGATAGAGCATGACCCTGTCTCTCAAAACAAAACCCTCCAAAAAACAAAAACCACCCAAGTATACATTTTAAATGATTAATTTTATATGAAATATATCAGCTGGGCGTGGTGGTTCACACCTGTAATCCCAGCATTTTGGGAGGCAGAGGTGGGCGGATCATGAGGTCAGGAGATGGAGACCATCCTGGCTAACATGGTGAAACCCCGTCTCTACTAAAAATACAAAAAATTAGCCAGGCATGGTGGCACATGCCTGTAGTCCCAACTACTCAGGAGGCTGAGGCAGGAGAATTGCTTGAACCCGGGAGGCAGAGGTTAAAGCAAGCCGAGATCATGCCACTGCACTCCAGCCTGGGCGACAGAACGAGACTCTGTCTTTAAAAAAAAAAAAAAAAAAAATCTCAAAAACGGCAATGAGAACTCAATTAATATTTATCATACTGTATATTCCCTGAGTGGTGCAGGAGAATCAGAGCTTAGAATCTTGTGAGGAAGGCATGGTACTTAAATAAGTCTAGTGTAAGGCAGCTTGTAATAAGTAGTACTAAGACTGCTGAAGAAGCACAAATAAAGGAGATATTCTATCTTACTAGGAACCAGGGAGTTTCACAAACTTGGCTTTGCAAGGTGGGAAAGATTTTCACAGGTGGAAGGGGTTTGAAATAGGGAATTCAGTCAAAAGGAATAGTGTGAGTGAAGGAATGGAGTTTGGAATGTGGGGTACATGGGGTTGGGGTGGGGTATTGAGGTAGATGACGCAGAAAAATAAGTTAAAGATAGATCTTGCATAGGTGGCTGTGAGTAGCATGCTAAGGAGTTTGGGCTTTATTACTTATGAATCATATTTTTGGTTTCAGGTCATGTCTGGTGGCAGAGGGAAGGCTGAATTGGAGGAGAACAAAAGCTAGAACCAGGGACAACAATTATTACCATTGTAGTTTTTTAGGAGAGGTGATATGGCTGAACTAGGTTATGGTTGTGAGGCTGGAAGGGAGGCACATCCAAGTGACAGTGCAGTAGACTTAGTAGACTCTTGATTGTTTATGTGTGCATTCCAGGGATAGGCAGTGAAGGGAAGAATGACCCTGAAATCTTGAATTTAATGACTTGAAAGGATAATGATGGTATTAACAGATGAGGAACATAGCAAGACAAACAAATGAAAAAGTGAATACTGAGGAGAAGGAGGTACCACTGAATTTGGCATTTAGTCATTGGTGATTTTGAAGACAGCAGTTACAGTAAAGTGGCTGCTGGAAAGGATTTCAAAGAATGGTTGAAGAAGATAGCCATAGGATGAGAACATGGAAGGCAAGGAAGGGAGACTTGAGAGATTTGGTAATAAAGAGAAGAGAGAAAAGGGTGCTAGTTTGAAATGAGTTAAAAGAACTACAGAGTAGAATTAAAATAAAGTAGAATTATGGGATTTTTGCTTTTTAAGTGACCCATGAGAGGCTTACTGGCAGTGTGCCAAGATTCAAGAGAGCAAAGATTGGCAGGGTGGGATTAAGTGATGGGATAGCCGGGTGCAGTGGCTCATGCCTGTAATCCCAGCACTTTGGGAGGCTGAGGTGGGTGGATCACTTGAGGTCAGGAATTCGAGATCAGCCTGGCCAACATGGTGAAACCTGTCTCTACAAAAAATACAAAAATTAGCCGGGTGTGGTGGTGGTTGCCTGTAATCCCAGCTATTTGGGAGGCTGAGGCAGGAGAATTGTTTGAACCTGGGAGGTGGAGGTTGCAGTGAGCCAAGATCGAGCCACTGCACTAACTCCAGCATGGGTGACAGAGTGAGACTCCATCTCAAAAAAGAGAAAACAAAAAACAAAAAAAAACGACGGTAGGGAGCCTTCTGCCTCTTTAAACATTTGAGATGCATGTCCTGAGATGCTTCTGTGAAGTTAAGAATATTAATTTTTTGATACGAATCTGACAAAACTAGACATCAAAATATGCCATATATGGTAATTAAAACAATGTGGTATTAGTATAGAAAGCAGACAAATAGTTAATGAAGTAGAACAACCAACCCAGAAATAGAACCAGATACACCTGAAAACTTCATATATGAGGTTTAAAATCAGTGTGGAAAGCTGGAAATCACCCATAGTTTCGTTATCCAGTCAGTTGTTTTTCACATTTTGGTGTGTTTCCATTTAGTTGGTTTGCCATACTTTTTTAAAAATAATGCTTTAAGGCTGAGCGTGGTGGCTCACACTTGTAGTCTGAAGCAGGCAGATCACTTGAGGTCAGGAGTTCGAGACCAGCCTGGCCAATCTGATGAAACCCCATCTCTACAAAAAATACAAAAATTAGCCTGGTGTGGTGGTGCTTGCCTGTAGCCTCAGCTACTTGGGAGACTGAGGTGGGAAGATGGCTTGAGCCAGGGAAGCAAAGGTTGCAGTGTGCTGAGATGGCGCCACTGCACTCCAGCCTGGGTGATAAAGCCAGACCTTGCCTCACAAAAAAAAAAAAAATGCTGTAAAGTAAAAGTTCTGTATACAATTCTGTGATATGAACCCTACCTTAGTGTGTTATGAGGATTTTGATCCTTATATGATATGATATATATAATCAAGTGCGGGTACGTTGTAGTTTACAGAACCATTACTTTGAAACAAGACCTTTAGGTTACTCCTAATTCATCACTGTTAAAATAATGCTGTAGGGAAAAAATTACACATAAAAGTTTTCTATATTTAAAATGATTTTTGTGAGACAAAGTTTATTTATTGTAAAAACAGTTCCAGCAGTTCAGAATTGTAAAGAGTTTTACAGAATTGTAAAGAGTTCAGAATTGTAAAGACATTTTCTTGTCTTTCTCCTTGGTGGTAACCACTGTTAACAGTTTAGTGTGTATCTTTTTTTTAAGTTTAGTTTTTATTTTTTTGTAGAGACAGGGTCTTGCTTTGTTGCCCAGGCTGGGGTGCAGTGGTGTGATCATAGCTCACTGCAGCCTCATACTCCTGGGCTCAAGCAGTCCTCCCACCTCAGCCTCCCAAGTAGTTGGGACTACCGGCATGTACCACCACGCCTGGCTAATTTCTGTATCTTTTGTAGAGACAGGGTTTCACCATGTTGCCCAGGCTGGTCTGGAACTCCTGGGCTCAGGCGATCCCCCTGCCTCGGCCTCCCAAAGTGTTGGGATTACAGGCATGAGCCACTGCACCTGGACTAGTTTCTTTTTAATTTCTGAGTAGTAGTCAATTGTATGGCTCTCCTATAATTTCTTCATTCATTCATCTTTTGGTAGACATTCGTGTTGTTTCCATTTTTAGGCTATTATGAGTACAGCTGTTGTGATCATTTGTGTGCGAGTCTTTGTGTGGATATATTTTCATTTCTTTTGACTAAAAACCTAGGGGTGCACTTGTTGGGTCACATTAACTTTGTAGAAACTGCATTGCATCTTTGCCGATATTGAAAGTTGTCAGCCTTTTATATTTTTCTGTGCATGCTTTTCCCCCCAAAAGACCAAAATGGGAATTGTTTTTCTTTTCATTATAAACTTGTAAAGGAATTTTAAAGTTCTAAGGGATGCCAGGCAGGAGGTTCATCTATGTGAACAGTTATTAGTTTGAGATAGATAATGTCAAGGATATCCCTAAAGGCTTTTCAAGAGATAACTATAGGACATCTACCCCATCACTTCTAGTCACATGTGACTTCAGAATTTTAACAGAAATTATTATTATAGGAATATGTAGCACAGAGGGATTCCATAGGCCTGAAGATTAGTACTGATGGCCTTTCTTACATTATTCTAGGCTGGTGCTATCCGATGAAACTTTCTGCAGTGATAACCACTAGCCACAGGTGGCTTTTGAAACGTAGGGCTAGTTCAACTGAAGAATTGAATTTAACTTTAAATTAATTTGAATAGTGAAATATGTCTAGTGATTACCGAACAGTGTAGTTCTGAAATGTTATTTTTCAGGAAAGATCCTCTAGCAAGAAGTAGTTGAGTGAGACCTGTTAGCTGAGCTGGCCCTGGGGCAGGTTTGTGTTTTCAGTCCTTCCCTTTCCCGTGGGAGAAATGAAACCAAAGCCTAGAGCACCACAGAAGAAGAACCAGTGGATTCATAAGGGTGACAGTTCAGGTAGGGGAAGCTGTTTGGTAATGAGCTCTTTTGGTCAGATGCCACACTATTTTTCTTTCTGTTTATTTTGCCCTATTAAATTATTTAGTAAATAGTAAAGCGTACTTTAATCCAGTTTTTAAAGTGGATGTTTGGATGAAAGTATGTGATTTAAATTCCAAAACTGTGCAGTGTTGTCCAGAAGAGTCCTGATTAAATCACCCCAGTTTCTTTGATGAAGATAAGCAAATAATTTTATTTTTTGCTGTAATCCCAGCTACTCGGAAGGCTGAGGCAGGAGAATCGCTTGTACCAGTCCGGAGGCTGCTGCCCTCTCACAGGGCTTCCTCCTCTTGCACAGACGCACCAGTGCCTTCAGCCCCACTGGTCTCCCTCTTCTCCTTTCCTGGCCCCTGCTGGCCCAGTAGATGGGCCACTGGAGGCCACTAGATGGGGACTGGGGAATGTGATGTTGGCGATCTGCGGTATCTTCAGGGTGACAGCCATACCCAACGCGTGGGACCTGGCTTCCACATCTATAGACCTGACCTAAGGAAATATGTGGGCGTGTGCATAAGGATGCCATCTCAGAACTGCATATTAATAAAAAGCTGAATCAAACAGTGTCCAACAAGGGTGGCTGTTCCAGCTGGTCATCTACAATCTCAGCTCACTGCAACCTCCGCCTCCTGGGTTCAAGCAATTCTGCCTTAGCCTCCCGAGTAGCTGGGACTACAGGCACACACCGCCACACCCGGCTAATTTTTTGTATTTTAGTAGAGATGGGGTTTCACCATGTTGCCCATGCTGGTCTTGAACTCCTGAGCTCAGGCAGTCCTCCCACCTTGGCCTCCCAAAGTGCTGAGATTATAGGCGTGAGCCACCGCACCTAGCCTGTACTTTCATTTCTTAATAACTGCATGACTGTAGTGGTTGGCTTTCATTATTGTTTCCTAGGGGCAAGGTCAATGTTAGAAAAATTGTGGAATTTTCCCTTGGCATTGCTGTGGTGAGTAGACAGCTACTATTTATAGAGACTTATACTTCGTTGAAAAAATGAGATACCATGCTTGGCTTACCATAAAAACACAGATGTTTCTGGATTCCAGTAGGGAGGCCTTTTGTTCACAGCATCTGTTTTGGTTGGCCAGCCAGATGACTTCTGTGGATTTTTTCACTCCTTTTGAAGGACACTTGACAAATAAACAAGTTTATAAATGAAAGAGTTAACAGCATTTTGTAAATTTATTTTATTACTTTAGCTATATCGTTCTGTATATTTTGAACTATCAGATCATTTTAGCTCAATTTTATCACTTCCTAAATAACCTTGAGACGATCAGTCCTTTGTTACATGTTCTTTGGATTGTTTATTCTGCAGTTGAGACAGATTTTTATTGATCTATAAATTTTTGTGTTCAACAAACATTTAATGAGTATTCACTGTGTACTAGGCCCTGTACTAACACTGGGAACTACATATGTGAGCAAGATATAGTCTCAGTCTTTGAGAAGTTTAGTGTCTTATATGCAGTGCAAACATGTAGACAGAATAAAATTATAGTTGAGTGCTTCCATTTGAAGTTTATTTCATCAGTTTAGTGGGGAGGGGTAGGTGTCTAGGAATGCCTTCCAGAAAAAGTAGTGTCTAAGTGGAGAATTGTAGAATGAGTGGGAGTTGTCCAGGGATGGAACAGGGGTTAGTGGCGGAGATTATATAAAAGAAAGAAGCTTGCAGGTGAAAATGACCCTGGGAAAGTGGGAAACTGAAAAAGTTCAGTACATTTCTGTCATATGGCTGATCAAGCTGTGACTGGGCAAAATGCTGTCAGCATTTGTTGAACACATAAATGCTGTCTCATTCACAAAGGAGACTTGTGACCTAGACTTTATTCATCTTGTGCTAAATTAGTGATTTCCAAACATTTGATCATGAATCTCATAAGTAAAAAATGTTTTGATTATGTATCCTCATATATTGATTATATGCCAATATTTGTTTATAGATGATATGTAGTACTAAAAGTTATATACGCAGTAGAACATGTATAGAAAACAAAAAAAATTAAAAGGATGAGCTAAAGATGGCATGTACAATATTCTCACAGTGTTAATTTTACTGAAAATACGGAAAGTAGGCTGGGTGCAGTGGCTCACGCCTGTAATCCCAGCACTTTGGGAGGCTGAGGGAGGCAGATCACTTGAGGTCAGGAGTTTGAGACAAGCCTGACCAATATAGCGAAATCCCATCTCTACTAAAAAATACAAAAATTAGCTGGGCATGGTGGCACACGCCCGTAATCCCAGCTACTCGGGAGGGTAAGGCAGGAGAATTGCTTGAACCCGGGAGGCGGAGGTTACAATGAGCCGAGATCATGCCACTGTACTCCATCCTGGGCGACAGAGCAAGACTCCATCTAAAAAAAAAAAAAAAAAAAAAAAAAACCCAGAAAGTAAAGTGGTACATCATTATTTAAAATCTTCGTTTAATATTATGTGATACAGCTGCTCAGAGGGCTGTTTCTAAATTCAGTTTATTTTGATACTTTAATGGCAGTCAAAGCCTGGATCAAAATGGAAGAATTTGGCTGCACTTTCTAAATCATATTCTTTCTTTCTCCAAACTTATTCACTATTTATGGAAAGGCTTTATTGAAATGTGGCTGGTAAATATCCATCTATTAGTTTTTCTTGCAGATTAATAAAAATATATTATACTTTTATTGTGTTAATAAATGGGTTCCAAAAATCACTGTTAAGTCTTCATTTGGAAGATATTTTAAAAAGTTTTAGAATATTCTGTTTCTGACTTTATAAAGCATGAAGATACGAGTTTTTGGTGTCTTTATTTTTTAGATTTTGTATATATTGTTTCAACAGCAGAATAACTTAGCAATGGAAATGTTTCCAATTATCCAATTTTGAAATGCTCTATTAGGAAAGATTTTTTTTTCTCTCGCTCTCTTTTTTTTTTTTTTTTTTTTTTTTAAAGATGAAGCCTCTCTCTTGTCCCCAAGGCTGGAGTACAATGGTGCCATCTTGGCTCACTGTAACCTCCGCCTACTGGGTTCAAGCGATTCTCCTGCCTCAGCCTCCCGAGTAGCTGGGATTACAGGTGCCCGCCACCACGCCCAGCTAATTTTTGTATTTTAAGTAGAGATGGGGTTTCACCATGTTGGCCAGGCTAGTCTCAAACTCCTGACCTTAGGTGATCCGCCTGCCTCATTCTCCCAGAGTGCTGGGATTACAGGCGTGAGCCACTGCACCCGGCCGATTTTTTTCTCTTTTTCTTTTTTCTGGAAAAGCTGAAAATAATTCTGACATGTTGCTAAACATTTTTATTTTGTAGGGGCAGAGTGAGTTTTTTTGTTTTTTTAATATCTTCTTGGTAGCATACTACTTATAACCTCCTCAGAAATATTTAGCAAGTTTGGAACTCTAGTCTTTTTATTTTTAAAAAATTGTGTAACTCATCTACATTTAACAAATCTTTTAAATACATTTCTTGTGGTAACTAGTGAATCTGTGTGGATTTAAAAACAAAAAAAAGATTATGAGGCCAAGGCAGGTGGATCACTTGAGGCCAGGAGTTTGAGACCAGCCTGGCCAACATGGTGAAACCCCATCTCTACTAAAAATACAAAAATTAGTCAGAAGTGGTGGTACACAACTGTAGTCCCAGCTACTCTGAGCTGAGAATGCGCCACTGCATTCAATTCTGGGCGACAGAGCAAGACTATCTCTCAAAAAAAAAAAAAAAAAAAAAATTCAGTGGCTACTCTCTATCTCCCAGAGTATAGGAAGATTCTATATTCATACAGTTAACCTCAGTGACATCTGAGGTACCTTGTTCTGACTTAATTGCAGCAATAGTTTACCTGTGAATGAAGCCGTTAAAGGCTTTTGTATCAGATGCTATCACTGTAACTTTGTTCTGGAATTTTTTTTTTTTTTGAGATAGGGTCTCGCTCTGTTGCCCAGACTGGAGTACAGTGACACGATCTCAGCTCACTGCAAGCTCCGCCTCCCGGGCTCACGCCTTTCTCCTGCCTCAGCCTCCCGAGTAGCTGGGACTACAGGTGCCCGCCACAACGCCTGGCTAATTTTTTGTTATTTTTTAGTAGAGACGGGGCTTCACCGTGTTAGCCAGCATGGTCTCGATCTCCTGACCTCATGATCCACCCACCTCGGCCTCCCAAAGTGCTGGGATTACAGGTGTGAGCCACCGCAGCTGGCCAGAATTCTTTTTTAAAATTCCAGTCAAAGCAGTCATTTCATCAGTGGTTACAGTTTTCCCATAAAGCACCTTGTTTCATTTACAGTTAAGAATACCTCCCTTTTAATACATTGTTCCTTGGTATCTTACAAAGTTGTATTTCCTGTATATTTCATAATTACCCAGCAAATACCCTAAGATGAAAGAATCATCTGTATTTTTATCCAATTGTATAGCAAACCCCACACACTGTATTTGTCCTGATATCTTCAAGTCTTTAGGGTTTTCTAAGAGCTTTTGACTATACTTACCAATAAAAGAATACATTTAGTTTGTCACCACTTTTATTTCTGTGTATAATTTCAGCTATGGTCCTTGGCTTTTTTTAGGGAAACCTTAGCAGTTTCGACACTAACTTTCGTACAATTTTGTGAAGTGTCACATTAAATAGCCTGTGACTTTAGACATAGGTGGAAAAATTATAGACGTTTAACTCTTGCAGTGAACACTTAAAAGCCTGGTGGATTATGAGGACTTTGTTCGTGCCATCAGATTATATCTTAAGGTAGAGTAGACATGTAGAGTGAGGTTCATCTTTAATAAAAAATGGGCTGGGTGCAGTGGCTCACACCTGTAATCTCAGCACTTTGGGAGACCGAGGTGGGTGGATCACAAGGTCAGGAGATCGAGACCAGCCTGGCTAACACGGTGAAACCCTGTCTCTGATGAAAATACAAAAAAATTAGCCGGGCGTGGTGGTGGGTACCTGTAGTCCCAGCTACTTGGGAGGCTGAGGCAGGAGAATGGCGTGAACCCGGGAGGCGGAGCTTGCAGTAAGCCGATATCGCACCAGGGCAGTCCAGCCTGGGTGACAGAGTGAGACTCTGTCTCAAACAAATTAAAATAAATAAATAAATAAATAAATAAATAAATGGTGTGGCTGGACGCAGTGGCTCACGCCTGTAATCCTAGCACTTTGGGAGGCCGAGGCGGGCGGATTGCCGGAGCTCAGGAGTTCGAGACCAGCCTGGGCAACGTGATGAAACCCCCGACTCTACCAAAAATTCAAAAATTAGCTGGAGCATGCCTGTAACCCAGCTACTTGGGATGCTGAGGCATGAGAATCGCTTGAACCAGGGAGGCAGAGATTGCAGTGAGCTGAGATCCACCATTGCACTCCAGCCTGGGCAACAGAGAGAGACTGTGTCAAAAAACAAAACAACACATAAATAAGAAATTGTGTAAAGTCAATATAAATACCAGTACTAATATTTTATTTTTATACCCCAAAGGATTATCGTATAATACAAACACCCTTCAAGTACACATATCCCACTTTGGAGACTAATGCCCTAAACAACAGGGATAATGATATTGAAACTGGCCTTTTAGTTAAAATAAAAGCAAAGCCAAAAATAATTCACTTTCCTCTATAAATTTATATTTGGGAGACACATTTAAGAATAATCGTCCTGGCCAGGTGCAGTGGTTCATGCCTGTAATCCCAGCACTTTGGGAGGCCAAGGTGGGCGGATCGTGAGGTCAGGAGATCAAGACCATCCTGGCTAACACGGTGAAACCCTGACTCTACTAAAAATACAAAAAATTAGCTGGGTATGGTGGCGGGCACCTGTAGTCCCAGCTACTCAGGAGGCTGAGGCAGGAGAATGACATGAACCCGGGAGGCGGAGCTTGCAGTGAGCCGAGATCACGCCACTGCACTCCAGCCTGGGTGACAGAGTGAGACTCCATCTCAAAAAAAAAAAAAAAAAAAAAATCAGCTTTGGCTTGAGGTTTGAAGAATGAACCCTTCAGTCATAGACTATGACTACCTGTCATAGCTCACTAGGAAACCCTAGGGAATCATGGAAGGGTTATTGGTTAAATATATTATATAAAGGAACATTTTGCTAGTTGCTATTGACCAAAAAGGCTGTTTTTTTTTTTTTAAATATAGTCTGTAATTATTTTTGTTGAAAGATATTTGGAAGATGGTTTTTCTCAATCTATAGGAGATACAGTTCGTAGCCACCTGGGATCTCTTATAAAAAGATACTTTTTCATAGTATACTCTTTATAATATGCATAACATTTCATAATATACTTTTGATAATATACATAAAATTTGATACATAAGTTTACCAAATTTATTGAATTTACTTCAGTGCATTTTTATTAGTCAAGATTCTTTGGAAGATATGGAAAGCTAATTCAAAAAAGCTTGAGCAAAAAAAATTTGTTGGCTCGTAACTAATGTTCAGGACTGGTCTCAAGAACTTGGTTGCCAGATCTGTGTTTCCAGGTTATCTATTAGCTTGTCTGTGTCTCTGTGATAGTTTTACCCTTTTAGAGTGGAAAATCTTCCTCCTTGTGGTGCTCTGGCTTGCAGAAGAATGCCTTTGGTCTAGCGCCAGCATATATAAAATCCTGTGGGTGGGATAGAGTAGATGTGGTTGCATGTGTGCTGACTGGCAGTCTCACTAAACCACATGGAATGGGAAAGGAACAGTTTCCCAAAGGAAGGGTTTGCTCTTAATGCAGAGGAAGGGATGCTGGGAGTCAAAAATAATAGATGTTCATTATAGCAATGAGTGATGAAGAGAGGACAGAAAGGCATAAAATATTCTTTAAGGGAATAGAACATGACTTAATTTGATTTTCCTAATCATTGATTCTTACAGAGCATGCAAGCGGCAAGATGTCCTACAGATGAATTATCTTTAACCAATTGTGCAGTTGTGAATGAAAAGGATTTCCAGTCTGGCCAGTGAGTATCTGACTTTGTTTTCTTTTAACCTGCTAAGTGGCATTCGGGAAACTTCCAGAGAGTCATTTTTAGGAAACGTTGGAAAATATTTTTAAAAAATTCTTGCTGAGTTGGAAAATGGAGAAGATGAGAAAAAGTTATGTATTTGAATCATTACTGTGTCAAACTTTGATAAATACTGTATAATGTTTTAAAAATGTTTTATGTATAAAACTCTAGTTTTCATCAGTTTTCTTAGTAGAGCTAAACATACTGGTTGTATGAATCATATATGGCAGAGTTGTTAGGTGTTTGGTTCTGGCAAACTCAGATTGTTTGAGTTTTCCTGGCTCTACCAATTACAAACTGTGTGACCATTTCTGTACCTCTATGTCCTGATCTGTAAAATGGAGATGATCTCTTCCTCAAGGTAGCTATGAAGATTGAGTTACATAAATAAAGCACTTAGAACAGTTCCCAACATGTTAACAATCCCTTAGTAAATATTAGCTGTTATGATTATTATTACCATGATAATCCAAGAGACATGAACATTGGAAGATGGGCTGGGTATGGAGGCTGACGCCTGTAATCCTAGTACTTTGGGATGCCAAGGCAGGCTGATTGCCTAAGCTCAGGAATTTGGGACCAACCTGGCCAACATGGTGAAACCCCATCTCTACTAAAAATAAAAATTAGCCAGGCATGGTGGTGTGCGCCTGTAGTCCCAGTTTCTCAGGAGACTGAGGCATGAGAATCACTTGAACCCAGGAGGCAGAGACTGTAGTGAGCCGAGATCGCGCCACTGCACTCCATCCTGGGTGACACAGCGAGACTCTGTCTCAAAAAAAAGTAAAGGAAAAAGAAAATTGGAAGCTGCAAAGCAAATGTAGAATCCTTAAAGGCATTTTGCACTGTAATTTATTTTAACTGATCCATATCACCGCACTGCCAGGACTTCTAAAGACCCTGCTGCAAGTTCAGTGCCATCCATATGCTTCTGAGATTGGTACAGATAAGGAGATGAAGGGGCTGTAGGGAAATAAGAGGCAAGGTGGTAGGGTTTTAACTGAGCATTTTTCTTAAAATGTTATCTGTGAAATACCTGAGTTTCACAGAGTTAGAAATGCTAATCATCTTTGGTTTCCAGCTTCAGAGTAAGAGGCTGTACTATATGGTGATATTAACATTGTTTCCAGTGCTAAACATTCTGTGATGCTAAATTGAGCACAGGATTTTCAACAGATAAACTGAAGTATAGATAATCAACGTGAGAATTTGTGGAATTCTTTTACATATGTTAAATGTTCACTGTACTCATGGTGGGGTTACTCAAAATGTAGTTGATATAAGGAACATGTGTTCTAGTGGCAAAAAAAATACGTATAGAAACATTAGCCATTGATGTGAAAAATTACAGCATTCTGAAAAGATAATGTTTAAAAAGATAGTGAGCTAGGCATGTTAGGGCATGCCTGTAGTCCCAACTACTTTAGAGACTGAAGCAGGAGAATCTCTTGAGCCCAGGAGTTTGAGGCCAGCCTGGTCAACATAGCAAGACCACATGTATTAAAAAAAAAAAAAAAAAAAAAAAAAAAGATACTGCTGCTGCATAACAGGATTTGAAGCTTCTATCTTACACATAGTACTTTTTAGTTACCTGGTATAGGAGATTATCATGAGAGGACTGTTTTTTTTTTTATTTACAGGTAATTTCTGAACAGGGAATTAGCACAAAATTTTTTAAAACAGTAAATATTGATATCTACATGAAAGCTGATGTATTTTAGGAATTTTTTAAATCTTTTTTTTTTTTATTTTGTAGGTTGTTTTTGTTTTAGCCTGTTGAGAGAGTCTGCAAATAAATTTAATGAGTAGTCTAAAAACTAACTTTTTTTTGATTGCTATATCCTAGCTCTTTTATCTTTGGCTCTCTTCTCCTTATTAGGATGTGAAGTAATTCTCAGGAGAGGAAATGCATCTAGTTTTTACTTGATATCAAGGACTCTAAATCACTGGCTTCAGTTTTATGTAAACTGGAAATGTAAGGAAGTTGGTATTTTGGATGGTATTTTGGCTGGATTCTACTTGATGAGTGTTTGACCCAAGGTGCTCCTTATATCTGGAAAACATTTGGGATTGCTGATAGTTTGGGAAACTAAATTTGTGGTTCTATTTCTTCAAGACACAGATAGTGTCGTTTCCACCTGATACTCATTAAATATCAGTTTGACAAGAAATACATTTTGAAATTATGTTCTTCATTTCCTTCAATGTGGAGTACTAACTGTGTTTCTGTCCTTTAGGCATGTGATTGTGAGGACCTCTCCCAATCACAGGTACACATTTACACTGAAGACACATCCATCGGTGGTTCCAGGGAGCATTGCATTCAGTTTACCTCAGGTAACTCAGATGTTAATTTGTTCTCTTCTGTTTTTGAAAGTCATAGAATATGAATAATCTGTTCATTTTAAGCAAGCATCACCCTGTGACTGTATTGATTCATATTGAAGAAAAATATCTAAGTATTATATAAGGAATTTAAAGATACAGTCTTCTTTTTTTTTTTTTCTTTTTTTTTTTTAAGACAGGGTCTCGTTCTGAGACCCAGGCTGGAGTGCAGTGGCACGATCATGGCTCCTGGTCTCAAGCAATTCTCATACCTCAGTCTCCCGAGTAGCTGAGACTACAGTCTTGTACCACTGTGCCTGACTAATTTTAAAATTTTTTGTAGAGATGGTGTCTTAACTGTGTTGCCCAAGCTGGTCTTTAACTCTTGGGCTCAAGTAATCCTCCCACCTTGGCCTCTCAAAGTGCTGGGATTATAGGGTGTGAATCATCATGCCCAACCTAAAGACAGATTCTTTTTTTTTTTTTTTTTTTTTTTTTTTTTTTTTTTTTGAGACGGAGTTTCGCTCTGTCGCCCAGGCTGGAGTGCAGTGGCGCGATCTCGACTCACTGCAAGCTCCGCCTCCCGGGTTCACGCCATTCTCCTGCCTCAGCCTCCCGTGTAGCTGGGACTACAGGCGCGCGCCACCATGCCCGGCTAATTTTTGTATTTTTAGTAGAGACGGGGTTTCACCGTGTTAGCCAGGATGGTCTCGATCTCCTGACCTCGTGATCCGCCCGTCTCGGCCTCCCAAAGTGCTGGGATTACAGGCGTGAGCCACCGCGCCCGGCCAAGACAGATTCTTAATTGCCAGTTTTTGCTATGGCTGCCTTCTTTTGGCTTGATTTTTTTTCCCTAATTTTTAAAGATTTTGCAGTAAAATCAGTCAGCTATCACATAAAGCGTCAAGTTATTTTAATGTTAACTGCCAGGGTAATAGAAAAGTAGAAAACATTTTATTTGTGAAGTTGATATCTAAGAATGGTGATTTTATAATGTGATGGCGTTATACTAAAGAATTTGGAAAGAGTCTCAAATTACAACATAATTTGCTAGGCTCCCATAACAACTGGATGGGTTGTGATTACAGTTACAACTGTTGATGGATTCTGTGGAATCCAGAGAATTAGATTGCTTAGTGCTGTCCCAGGCACATCATACATAATATAAAGCACCAAGAATACTAGTCTGTATCCTCTTCTCCCTTATCATTTTACTCAGGCTGCTGACTGTCCCCAGTCCTAAGTAATGTAAATGGAATTCCTACCTCCTCCTAGTATGCTAATGAGCATTGGTTGACTTCCCTGAAGGTTTAGAGAAAGAGCTCAAACACTCATTTAAGAACTATTAGGCTGGGTGCAATGACTCATGCTGGTAATCCCAGCACTTTGGGAGGCCAAAGCTGGTGGATCACTTGAGTCCAGGAGTTCAAGACCAGTGGGCAACGTGGCGAAACCCCACCTCTACTAAAAATATAAAAATTAGCTGAGTGTGGTGGTGCATGCCTGTAGTCCTAACTTCTTGAGGGGCTGAGGCAGGAGGATCACTTGAGCCCGGGAAGTTGAGGCTGCAGTGAGGCGAGATAGTGCCACTGTACTCTAGCCTAGGTGACAAAGTGAGACCCTGTTTAAAAAACTAAAAAACAAAAACAAAAACTATTAGATGGGCCAGGTACCTCACGCTTGTAATCCTAGTGCTTTGGGAGGTGGAGGAGGATCGCTTGAGACCAAGAATTCCAGATCAGCATAGCGAGACCCTTGTCCCCCGCACTAGTCTCTACAAAAAAAAAATTTTTTTTAATTAGCTGGGCATGGTGGCACATGCCTGTAGTCCAGGCTACCTGGGAGGCTGAGGTTGGGAGGATCACTTGAGCCTAGGAAGTCGAGGCTGTAGTGAGCTATGATTGTGCCACCATGCTCCAGCCTTTGCTCCAGAGTGAGATTCTGTCTCTTAAAAAAAAGGGAAAAAAAAGGAACTATTGAAGATCTCTTGAAGCCCTCAAAAATTACAGGAAATTTTCACTTACTATTCCACCTGTCTGTTTGATGCCTCTTCATTATCCAGACCACTTTCACGTTTGTTTCTATAGATTAAAAGTTTGGGATATTCCAGGGTTCTCCAGCTTTTACAGAGTTCCATTTGGGATTCTGATTGTTAGCAATAGCTTGAGGTGTGACAGTTTCTCCTTGTCTCTGTTTTGTAAAAAAAAAAAAAAAAATTTCCCCGACATTCACTGTAGGCCAGCCTCTATTCTAGGTACTTTGGCATGTGTTAGCTCATTTAATTCTCCAAACAACCTTATACAATAGCTACTGTTGTTATCCCTAAGGACTGTTGTATTAGTCCATTTTCATACTGCTATGAAGAAATTCTGGAGACTGGATAATTTATAAGGAAAAATGAGATTTCATGGACTCACAGTTCCACATGGCTGCAGAGGCCTCACAATCATGGTGGAAGGCGAAGGAGGAGCAAAGTCATGTCTTACATGGCGGCAGACAAGAGAGCGTGTGCAGGGGAACTGCCCTTTATAAAACCATCAGATCTTCTGAGACTTACTCACTATCATGAAAACAGCATGGGAAAACCCACACCCATGATTCAGTTACCTCCCACTGGGTCTCTCCCATAACACATAGGGATTATGGAAACTACAATTTAAGATGAGATTTGGGTGGGGGCAAAGCCAAACCATATCAGCTGTCTTTGGGATTGAAGTACAGAACCTAAATGTGGCTTCCTTGTGACTTAAAGTCTAAGCTTAACGAGCATGGTGCTAAATTTCAGGTTGGCCAGAAGTGGGATGGGGTTTTACAGAAGAGGTCTTCTGGGGGAGGTGAAGGGCAGAGTGGAGGGAAACAGGATGTGGTAAGAAAGCCACAAGGGAGAGCACTTGTTGCACATATTCACAGTTCAGTGTCTTCTAAATTACCCGCCACAAAGTCTGCAGTGTTTGGATGGGCAGGTGAACTACTGATTTTCAACCAAAAATTGTTTTTCTCATTGTTCTTTGGAGTGTTATCAGTAATTACTAATTTTGAATCTATACCAAGCAAACCCCAGATTCCTGCCTAAACACAATCTGGCCTGCCTTCATACTTCTTGCCATTGTAAACAGTAGGGATTTGGGAAAGCCTGAAATCTAGCTGTAAATGTCTAAAAATCTTCTGGCTAGTATACAAAGAGTAGCCATGACCATCTAATGATTTCAGTCCCTGACTGGGTTTCAAAATAGATTTTCTGACCAGTTTTAATTTAGTCTTCATGAATTGAATGTCTTCCTTTTTGAGATACTGTAACAAACAGTAAAACTAACTGCAGCAGTACATTTAGAACACTGAAGTGTGATCTGATACAGTGAAGACCTTCTGTAGCATCATATTGTGCAAAGGAACATCCTCCTCAGTGGTGCCAGCTTTACTGCAAAAGGCAAGCTTTGCACGTTTTGAAACAGATGTTCAGATGTAAACTGTAGCACATGCTTTACTTTCCTAGGGTAAGTAACAAAGAACCATTACTGGGTAGCTTAAAACAACAGAGATTTATTCTGTCACCGTTGTGGAGGCCGGAAGTCTGAAATCAAGCTGTCAGTAGAGCTATTCCCTCTCTGAAGGCTCTAGGGAAGAACCTGTTCTGTGCTTAGCTTCTGGTGTTGCCGGCAATCCTTTGGTGTTCCTTGGCTGTAGCTGCATCATTTCAATTTCTGCCTCTGCTATCACATGATGGCATTCTGTCTGTGTGTCTATGTCTCTTTCTTAGAAGGACACCAGTCATATCGGCTTAGGGTTCACCCTAATTCATTATGACCTCATGTTAACTTGATACATTTGCAGAGATTGTATTTCTAAATAAAGTCACATCCACAGGTGTTGGGGGCTAAGACTTCAACATACTTTGGAGGGGGAGAGCACAGTTCAACCATAATAGCATACCATGTTTTGATCTTTGAGTGTATTCCTAAAATTCATTAAAATTCCTCTTTTTCTCTTGTCTAATTTTGATGGCTTTGGTTTTAAGTATCTTTTTTTCTCCTTTACAGAGAAAATGGGCTGGGCTTTCTATTGGGCAAGAAATAGAAGGTAGGTATATTTTTTAGCCACCTGATAAAGATTTTCTATGTGATTTTCTCACAGTTATTGAGATCTGTACAATTTTCTATTACTAGTGGTCAGATCTTAAACATTCATTGTATCAGAAGACTGGTTACATCTATGAGAATGGGAAGGAAATAGTTATGGTACCTCTGTTCCTATATCTTTTATGAAGTGTGTGATAAGGTCGTCATAGTTCAAGGCAAGGAAAGCAATTTATGACTTCCAGTTGGGGGCGTGGCGGGGTGGAAAGACTAAGCTGCTAATAGATAATAAGCCAAAGAACTAATAAGCAAAAAGTGGCATTGTCTCAGGCAATGTGGCAAAGTTAGGAAATGGAGTATGAGTCGTCTTTAGTCAGATGATTTTATGTCAACTTCATGGATACAGTAGGGGAAGGAAAGAAAATGCAAGTGTAATTAAACCAGCTTTTCTTCTGCTTGTCTTTAAAACTTAAAAAAAAATTGTATTTATAGAAAGGTTGCAAAAATAATACGAAGAATTTCTGTATACTACCTTTACCCAGCTTTACCAGTTGTCATATTTTCTTTATCATTCTGGCTCCCTGTCTTCCTCTCTGGGTCTCTGTCTCTCTCTGTACACACACACACACACACACACACACACACACACACACACACACATCTTTTATCCTACTCCTCATTTAGGAACCTGACAACTTGTAATTTTTTCTAAGTTAGATGGAATTTAAACATTGGGGTTATTTTATTTTATTTTATTTTTGAGATGGAGTCTCGCTCTGTTGCCAGGCTGGAGTGCAGTGGCGCAATCTCGGCTCACTGCAACCTCTGCCTCCAGGGTTCAAGCGATTCTCCTGCCTCAGCCTTGCAAGTAACTGGGACTACAAGCACTTGCCACCACACCCGGCTAATTTTTGTATTTTTAGAAGAGATGGGGTTTCACCATGTTGGCCAGGCTGGTCTCGATCTCTTGACCTCGTGATCCACCTGCCTTGACCTCCCAGAGTGGTGGGATTACAGATGTGAGCCACCACGCCCAGCCAACATTGGTGTTATTTTTAGTTAGCTTTTTCTTTGTGGAAGTATGAACACTTGTTAAATTTAATGAGAAAGTGGGGTAGTATGTAGCTTAGGTTTCTAATTTTCATAAATTAATTTTTCTAAATATGAGGCTAAGAGTACTTAAAACTTTGAATCTAGATATTTTCTATTGTGACAAGATACAGAAATTCAAGATTATAAATTTTGATGAGTTGAGAAATGTGTTTTGCGGTTTAAGTTATAAAAGCATTCTTCTGCTAACAGAAATGCTTATCTGGATTGTAAAGTCAGATCTTTAAAGAAGTGGCTCAAACAGACTTAATAAGCAAAATTGTAAAACCCAGTGATAGGTGGGACTAAAGTGGAGTAAGCTTGAGGGAAGGTAGGGTTTTGGGGCCCAAGTGATGTGGATGATGTAGCCATAAAGATAGAAAACTGGTTTGGTTTAAGTAGTGATGTAGACCAAGATAGGATAGGAGGTGTGGTTTGAAGGAGTGCTCAAGTATTCTGGAATGGGAGTTCCGTAAGGTGAAACATTTTAGTCAAATCAGTGATTTTAGTCTGAGGGAATCTTCTGGAGGAATCATTTAGTCGGTCTTCTTTCCATCTGGCAATGCCATATTTTAAGTGTTACAGGCTAATGTTTTGACCACTATATATACACCTATTATTGTAAAGTCCAAGTTTATTCAAAGAACTGGATACACTTATTTTTTGCTTATAAAATCTTTCTTATTAGTCTTTTATATTAAATTACTATTAGCCGTAAAATAAGAAAACATTCTCAATCTTCTTTGATCCAGGATGAAATCTTCAGGACTCTTGTCCCTTTGGGACTGACCATGGTGCTGACTGTGGTGCTGCCTGGGATACTGTCCATGGTGCTGCCCATAGCACTTGAAATTGTAACAGTTTGGTCTTTTCTATTTAGGAACATTGGCCTTAAATTAAAATGCATTTGAAAACTACAGTCAGTGCATTACTACAGTCAGTAGTAATTATATTTTTATTTATTTATTTTTGAGATGGAATCTCGCTCTGTCGCTGAGGCTGGGGTGCAGTGGCATGATCTCAGCTCCCTGCAACCTCCTCCTCCCCAGTTCAAGCAATTCTGCTGCCTCAGCCTACTGAGTAGCTGGGATTAGAGGCATGTGCCACCACATCTGGCTAATTTTTGTATTTTTAGTAGAGAAGGGGTTTTGCCATGTTGGCCAGGCTGGTATCGAACTCCTGACCTCAAATGATCCACCTACCTCAGCCTTCCAAAATGCTGGGATTACAGGCATGAGCCACCACGCCTGGCCAATATTTTAAATATACTTATTCAAATTTCTCAGTATGAAGATGACATGAATATATGTATATACACACATATATATGCATTATGACATTATGATATTGTTTTGGTGTCTTTAATGCACAAAATGGTATTATACTGTACAAACCTTTCTGCAGTAGACTTTTGTCACTCAATATTATGTTTTCAAGGGCCATCCACCTTTTTTTGAGATGGAGTTTTGCTCTTGTTGCCCAGGCTGGAGTACAGTGGTGTGATCTTGGCTCACTACAACCTCTCCTCCCAGGTTCAAGCAATTCTCCTGCCTCAGCCGTCTGAGTAGCTGGGATTACAAGCACTCACCCCCACGCTGGCTAATATTTTCTATTTTTATTAGAGATGGGGTTTCACCATGTTGACCAGGCTGGTCTTGAACTCCTGACCTCTGGTGATCCACCCACCTCAGCCTCCCAAAGTACTGGGATTACAGGTGTGAGCCACCACGCCTGGCCAGGCCGTCCATCTTTAATAAATATACATAAAGTTGGTTTTTGTTTTTTTGTTTTTTTTTTGTTTTTTTGACAGGGTCTCACTTGGCTGGAGTGCAGTGGTGCAGTCGTGGCTCACTGCAGCCTCAGTACCTGGCTAATTTTTTAATTTTGTGTAGAGATAGGGTTTCACTGTGTTGCCCAGTCTGGTCTCTAAATCTTGGACTTAAGTGATCTTCCCTCCTTAGCCTCCCAAAGTGCTGGGATTGCAGGTGTGAGCCACCGTGCCTGGCCAAGTTTTAATTTCAATAAAAATTGCTGTAAAGTATTCTACATTATGAATATACTACATTTTATTCATTGTTCTCCTACTGATAAACATTTTTCAATGTTTAAGTACTATAAATAATGCTGCAATGAACCTCCCTGTAGATGTGTTGTTAGACAAATGTTCTAGCATCTTTCTGGGACAGACATCTAGAAATGGAATTGCTGAATCATCATATTCATTTTTACATTAATATTTCAACCTATAAATGTTTTCAAACTACATGAGGGAAACAACTAAGCTCTTTTGCCTATCAAAGTTACTCAGCATATAACCTGTACTTTCTAGGATTTTTTTTTTTTTTTTTTTTTTGAGACAGAGTTTCACTCTTGTTGCCCAGGCTGGAGTGCAATGGTGCGATCTTGGCTCACTGCAGCCTCGCCTCCCAGGTTCAAGCGATTCTCCTGCCTCAGCCTCCTGAGTAGCTGGGATTACAGGCATGCACCACTGCGCCCGGCTAATTTTGTAGTTTTTAGTAGAGACGGGGTTTCTCCACGTTTGTCAGGCTGGTCTCGAACTCCCGACCTCAGGTGATCCGCCCAACTCAGCCTCCCAAAGTGCTGGGATTACAGGCATGAGCCACCGTGCCTGGCCATTCTAGGAAATGTTAAGAAGGAGCAAGCCATCCAGAATTGGAGACAGGAGAGTATTCTGAAACTTTTAGCCAAAATTTGAACTTATTATTTGATCTTCAGTGAGTTTTATGTTCCTTCCTCAGGCTTTGTTATTTTGCTTTTGAAGTAGTTAAAATAGGTATATGTCCCCCTTTAAATACAGAAATCTGATTATACAAACAATTTCATTTAAAGAGTTTACAGAAAATCGGCCGTTCGTGGTGGCTCACGCCTGTAATCCCAGCACTTTGGGAGGCCAAGGCAGGCAGATCACTTGAGGTCAGGAGTTCGAGACCAGCCTGGCCAACATAGTGAAATCCTGTCTCTACTAAAAATGCAAAAATTCGCTGGGCATGGTGGTGTGCGTTCGTAATCCCAGCTACTTGAGAATCTGAGGCACGAGAATCACTTGAACCCGGGAGGTGGAGGTTGCGGTGAGTTGAGATCGTGCCACTGCACTCCAGCCTGGGTGACAGAGCAAGACTCTGTCTCAAATATAAAATAAGAGTTTACAGAAAATCCTTGTACATAACTCAAGGGTCTAGAATTTAAGAAATAAGTTTAGAACAGAATTTAGAGTGTGAAACGACCATAAAGACTTATCTAGTTCAGTCTTGATTTATAGATGTGACAAATCAAGGCACAGACAACTTAAATTATTTACTTGGATTCTTCTGATTGCTAGCAGAATCTGTTGAAACACACATACTCAAAGTCCCTTTGAAGAAAACAGCTTTGTTTGTAAACCACTAGAATCTTTGCAACAGACATTTAATACTGCACAGTGACTTCTTTTGTTTACCTCTTGCTATTTGACCTCAGTAACTCACAGAAATGCCATGCCTGTTGTTCAAAGCAAGTGTGAAAAAACAGTCTTTGTTTATAACCTGCTTTTGTGGTGAGAACTGTAGAAGCTCACTTACCCAATGTGACTTGGACTGGTAATTAACTGAAAAGTTGGTTAAAGGCTTTTTCTTGGAGGTGTGGTCCATGGATTGGAGTTCTGTATTATCTTTTGTGCATACACTTTACCCGTAATTTCCAGGTGGATTTCTTTGAAATGGCTGGAGAACTTAGACTTTGTAGAGCATCTGAGAGTGCCAAAACCTCTTGGATTTTTGTAGAGTTCACTCCCAACCTTTTCTAATTTTAATGCTTATACCTAGTTAGCAGTATTTTTTTTTTCTAGAAGAAACACTTCATTTAAAAAATTTTCCCAAAGCTTTCAACTTATAATATCTATTCTAGAATGTCAAAGTCATTGTAATAACAGTTCAACAACCAGGCCTTCAGAAGTTTTTATACTATTTAATTATATTTCATAATTAACTGTAACGAGTGTAACTAGCACAGACAGATACCAGAATGAACTTGGTTGACCCATGATGTGTAGCAACTCCTGTCTACAAGCTCTGAGCGTTAGGCAAACCATAGGCTGATGGGTATATGTTGGAGGGATAAAAGTTGGTCAGCTTTCTGATGACTCAGCTCAGTGGAGGTTGCTTAAGAGAGCTGCTACTGTATCCTTAAGGGGCCATTGGTAAATTTTAGGACAAGTATCTTCAGGGAACCTAAAGGGAAAATAAATTGTGTGTGTGTGTGTGTGTGTTTGTGTGTGTGTGTGTGTGTGTGTGCGCGCGCGCGTGTGTGAAGCCTTATTGAAGAGTAGCAATAGACTCTTTCTTACTAGGCGTAATCAAGTTGCCCTCCTGGGGAAACTCAAATGCAAAAATCCTCTTGAACTTTTCTGGGTAGCCTACTCTACTCTTTCCTAATAGTACCACTACAGTATACAGCACTGTAAAATTTTTTGCTTTAAAAGTTTGTTTATAAACTGGCATTTATAAGTATACTTTTTGAGCTGATTTAAGAATCAAGTTTTTTTTTCTAGGGAAATGCTTCTTTGTAATTATCTGTCACTAGCAAAATTTGTTTTAACATATATTTTTCTAAAAATATGATATGTAAACTGTGTTGTAGTTGTACAATTAAAGGTTTTTGGTCGAACAGTTATTACATGATGTAAAATCATGTGTAACACTTTAATATTAATTACATTGTAACCTAAAATTCATTTTAAAACTTTTTATGTGGCTTGAACAGGAATTTTCTTATCCAAAGCTTTGTATGTATGCTTTATTGCCTCCTTTGTTATTAGCATGGAGACCATGGGTTTTCTGTTATTGTTGTTTCATTTAAACAGTTCATGAATATATTAAGCACCTGAAAGAAACTGTTAGATGCTGTTAATAGGAAGAGGAGTTAAAAACCTCGTCCTTGCCCTTATCTACATGTGTACATGTAGAACTTACTGTAGTTCCCTAGATGTAGCAGGTGCTCAGGAAACATTTTTGTAGTAGTAAAAAAGAAATGTCAAACTCTAACTTGCTCTGGAGCAAATTCCGCTAGTAAACATTGTTTTTCAAGCTTCTTTTTTTTGCCTTGCGTCCTACTTTCTTAGGCCAAAATAATTCATCCACATCCCACCTTAGCTGTTTTTTTGTGTCAAACAAAAATCTTATTTGGAAATAGCATGTTACGCCAACTGTGTTGGGGCATCCCATACTGTATTGCATTAAATGAGGAGAAAGATGCAGAGGCCATGTGGGGAGGATTGTGATCCTGATAAGAGTGGGATGAGGGATAACAACAGAGAGACTGCCGTTCAATATTTCTTTCTTTCTTTTTTTTTGAGACGGAGTCTGGCTCTGTTGCCCTAGGCTGGAGTGCAGTGGCGTGATCTTGGCTCACTGCAAGCTCCGCCTGCCAGGTTCACGCCATTCTCCTGCCTCAGCCTCCCAAGAAGCTGGGACTACAGGCGCCCGCCACCACGCCCGGCTAATTTTTTGTATTTTTAGTAGAGACGGGGTTTCACTGTGTTAGCCAGGATGGTCTCAATCTCCTGACCTCGTGATCCGCCCGCCTCGGCCTCCCAGCGTGCTGGGATTACAGGAGTGAGCCACCGCGCCCGGCCTGCCATTCAGTATTTCTAATTAATTCAGATGGGGAAGAAAATCTCTAGTGACTATTATTTTTTAAACCTGTACCTGTGTGTCCCTCCAGTGAAGGCCATTTAAACCCCATTTTTGGTGAAGTAGTTTATGATTCATTTATGTGAAACTTTTAGTTACTAGAAACACTACAGGTATTTTGTACTCCTGTGATTTTTAAAAAAATGCTTCTTTTTTTCCCCTAGTCTCCTTATATACATTTGACAAAGCCAAACAGTGTATTGGCACAATGACCATCGAGATTGATTTCCTGCAGAAAAAAAGCATTGACTCCAACCCTTATGACACCGACAAGATGGCAGCAGAATTTATTCAGCAATTCAAAAACCAGGCCTTCTCAGTGGGACAACAGGTAGTTTTTAATTTTCTTTCATTCCTTTAACTTTATAGGTATTCTAATTTCTGCAGTTTTCCAAAATTAATTCCACCTTTTAAAAAGTGAGAGGGGCTTTGCGTATCAACTCGTATATCCAAGGTGAGTGATAAAAGTGAGGGAGATGTATTTACTGAACTTCAAGGAGTCTGTTCAGAAAAATTCTAAAGTAGCTTTTAGATTAAAATGTCATGTATAATTATAGCAGCTTTTCCCTCAGCAAATTTGGGAACCCTGTGGACATATATATCTGAAATTCCTTTTTATATCATAGGACATTTGTTTTGCCTCTGGAATGTCTGTCTCTTTCACTAATATAGTTCTGTAGAAAATGTAGCTCTTGGCCAGACATGGTGGCTCATGCCTGTAATCCCAACACTTTGGGAGACTGAGTTGGGAGGATCGTTTGAGCCCAGGAGCTCAAGATCAGCTTGGGCAACAAAGTGAGACCCTGTCTCTACAAAAATTTTTTTAAAAGTAGCTGCGTGTAGTGGTCTCAACTACTCAAGAGGCTGAGGTGGGAGGACGGCTTGAGCCTGGGAGGTTGAGGCTGCAGTGAGCCATGATTGTGCCACGGCACTCCAGCCTGGGTGACAGATCGAGATTGTCTCAAAAAAAAAAAAAAAGTTCTTATTTTGGTTATGGGCTTATTTGAGAATCTTAAAAAACTGAATTCCTGCTAGATAGGAAAAGGATATAGTACATTATTTTAAAAAGAGTACTAGAATTGGAATGAACCTCAAGAGATTACCTTATGTAACTCCACATATACAAATGAGGAATTTTATTTTTTTATTTTTTAAAATTTTATTTATTTATTCATTTATTTTTTGAGATGGTGTGTTACCCTGTCATCCAGGCTGGAGTGCAGCGGCACCATCTCAGCTCACTGCAACCTCCGCTTTCTGGGTTCAAGTGATTTTCCTGCCTCTGCCTCCCGAGTAACTGGGATAACAGGCATGCGCCACCACACCCGACTAATTTTGTACTTTTAGTAGAGATGGGGTTTCACCATGTTAATCAGGCTAGTCTCGAACTCATGAGCTCAGGTGATCCATCCGCCTTGACCTCCCAAAGTGCTGAGATTACAGGCATGAGCCACCATGCCCAACCATTTTTTTTTTGTATTTTTAGTAGAGATGGGGTTTTGCCATGTTGGCCAGGCTGGTCCTGACCTCAAGTGATCCTCCCACCTCGGCCTCCCAAAGTGCTGGGATTACAGGTGTGAGCCATCACGCCTGGCCAAATGAGGAATTTAAGATCTAAAGAAGGTAAATGGTATGCCCATGGCTACACAGCTAAGGGACATAGTTGAGATAAGAATTAATTAAACACATATTTGATAGTACCTAGTGCCTAGTACCAGTCACTGTTTTAGACACTGCAGATCGGCAGTGAACAAAATAGATATGATCCCTGCTGTCATAGAACTTACTTTCTAGTTGAAGAAAACAGAAAATAAGACAGGAATACCATGTACAGTTAGGTCTCTGATGAAAGTAGATCAGGACAATTCACCAGAGAGCTATTGCGGTGCTGTTGTGTATTGGATGACCAAAATTGTGCTCAGATTGCCTAGCTAAACTTGATGGTTTTTACCTTTGCTTTTAGTTTTAGTATCCTAATAGAAAATGTTTAGGAGAATGTTTAATAGAAAATGCTTTGGTATTTATAATAATTTAAAACTCAGTAGCATGTAGAAGTCAGTAAATCCATGAAAGAGAATCTTTCGTAATTCAGAGAAGAAGTAAATATCTTACTCCAGATCACTGTCCTTACTGTTTCTTCTCATTTGTGGTATCTCGTAGTAGCAGAATGGACAGACAGCCCAACCTGTAATATTTACCATTATACCCCAGCACATAGAAGAAGACCAAACTTTTAGAAGGGACTCAGCAAAGATTTGGTGAATGAGTAATTGAGCATTCAGAAGCTGTCTCTGCACTTGTAGGGCAAGCATTTTGTACTAGTGATAGAAAAGCAGGAATTGTAGAGTCACAGACCCAGGGTTGACTTCTGGCGCTCTCATTTACTGTGACTTTGAGCCTTGTTGCATAGCCTGTTTCTGCATCTCAGCTTCCTCACTAGTAAAATGGAGTCGTAGTTTCTGCTTCCAAGAGTGTTTGTGAATATTATATAACTGGCTGTAGTGTTTGAATAAAATACTAAGAAACTTTATTCTTTGTTAGAAATAGTAAATGTGGTACTCTTGAATTACTTTAGGTGGCACTCTGACATTTAAATTAGATATTTTTTATCCATGTGGAAGAAATTTTAAACATGAGTTTTGCAGTCATTTTGTAAACACTGATCGTAAGTGCTAATTCCCTTTTCTTCATTGGCTATGAGTAGTTTGTTTGAGGAGCAGATTGGAGAGGAGTATATAAGATAAACTGGTTTTCTGCATTTGAAAAACATTGGTGATGATCTGAGGATCAAACCATTATATTATGAAGTGATTTTTCTCCCCTTACCTCTTTTCTACATAGCTTGTCTTTAGCTTCAATGAAAAGCTTTTTGGCTTACTGGTGAAGGACATTGAAGCCATGGATCCTAGCATCCTGAAGGGAGAGCCTGCGACAGGGAAAAGGCAGAAGGTAGCTTTTATTTCTGATCATCTTTACTAGATCATCTTTATAATGTAATTTGTGCAGATTGATTATAATTTTCCTATCTGTTGCTTAGTGATTTTTTTCATATTGTGTACCCTTTTAAGATAGTAGGGAGAAAAAATTGCTTTCGTAGCCATCATTGTTATTAAAATATAGCTTAAAATGTATTTATTTGCAGACCTAATATTAATGTAAAATGTAGACATATATGTACATATAATTTGCTTGAATGCAGATATTTATTGTAAATAAATAATAAGAAACGCATTATTGGAAAGATATAGGCATGGAAATAAGGCATGTAAGAATTGTAGAAGAAAGTTATGAGAAAAGTAAAAGTAGCTCAGATGATAGTCTGGAAGGTTTGCTTTGCCCAGAGAGACCTCATTTCCCCCTCACTTTTGGCCTTGCTTTGAGAAGTCCAGAAGTTTGCTATTAGACTACTAATTATTGTCTTTCTCTACAGATTGAAGTAGGACTGGTTGTTGGAAACAGTCAAGTTGCATTTGAAAAAGCAGAAAATTCGTCACTTAATCTTATTGGTAAGATTTACAGTTTTTAGAAGATTTGAAATGAAGTGGGCCTATTTCTATATGTAACTCAACTACAGTGATTTCCAAATGGGGAAAGGAAAGAGGGGCATCTCTCTTGAGAGAGTTTATCACAGAAGCATGGGGTATTTCCTGTTGGTCAGTTTGCTGATGAAAACGTTTAAAACCTTCATCTGGATCAACTTTGTCCAATAGAAATAGAGTGTGAGCCACATGTGTAATTTTTAATTTCCTAGAAATTGCACTAAAATAAGAAACAAATTAATTTTTTAACTTTTAATTTTGAGATAATTTTAGGTTCACAGATTTGCAGAAATAGCTCAGAGAATTTCTGTATGCCCTTTACCAGCTTACCCTGATGTTAATGTCTTATTTGACATTTTCAAAAGTACAATGATAAGAAATGAACATGGTTTCATTTCTGCTAACTAAACTACAGATTTTATTGAGATTTCACCAGTTTTTCCATTGTGTCCTTTTCTGTTCCAAGATCTAATTTAGGATCCCATATTGCATTTAGTTGTTCTGTCTTTTGAGTTTTCTTCAGTCACTGACAGTTCCTCAGACTTTGTCTTTTATGACTTTGAGAACTGGTCAGTTATTTTGTAGAATGCCCCTCACTTGGTTTTGTGTTAAATGAGATAGCATCATCATTTCTTTTAGTGATTAAGTGATGAATGTGCAGGTCAAGTCTTCCCAGCAGATTCATGGTTCAGTCCTACTCTTGTACTCTAGCACAATTTTTGTCATATTAAAACAATTGCAGCTTATTCTCTGAGAATAGTAACTCACCAGAATAATGTGACATTAACTGGGCATTAATTCTTATTTTTGGTTGATTTAACTATGTTGATGTCTACCCTACTAGAGAGTAGAGGGTTTTCATTGGTTGCACATCATCATGTCCAGGGTCACTTAACAGTCTTTGAGTGCGTGGCCTTTATTTCCTGGTCCACAAATTACCATTCCCCCTTATTGTTTTTTGTTAATTATAAAATATTTTATTTATAAAATATGGATAGGCATTCGAAAACAATTCACACACTGTAAAATTTGGTTCTGTTTTCATAGTTTTGTAATTTGCTTTTTTTGCTTAGCATGTTTCAAACATCTTAAATATACACCTATAACATGATTTTTAATGCCTGTATGTCATTTTATGAAGGTAGGATGTATTTTCCTGTTATTGATCTAGTACATTTATGAAGTGATTTCTTTGTATTTTATTTTTGTGTACCTTTTGTTAAGATATCCCAAGGGAGTTGCATAACTTTCATAGGTATTTCTAAGTAATCCATGGGAAAAAAATTGTGTAGTTAATTGGCATTCAGTAAATTTTGCCCACAAGAGGGCAGTAGAGTGTAAGAAAAAAATATTTTTCATCGCTTTCCAAAGGAAATCTTAAGGCCTCAAAACTCTAACCATAAAATTATCATCTAGTATAAACTTTTAAAAAGCGTTACTTTATTTTTAATTGACAGATAATAATTGTATATATTTATAGGGTACAATTTGATATTTTAATACATGTATACATTGTAGAATGATCAAATCAGGCTAATTAACATATCACCTCAAATATTTAGCATTTCTTAGGATAAACTTTTTTTAATGTGACATTTTCTTCCCTGGTTTTATAAAAACCATATTATTACTTTATTTTTTGTTTATAATAGAGCATACTAAGGTACTTAATTTATTCTTTGTTTGAAATAGTAAATGTGGTTCTCTTGAGTTACTTTAGGTGGCACTCTGACATTTAAGTTAGATAATTTTTGTCCTCTTGAGAATTTTTAAACATGAGTTTTGTAATCATTGAAGTCTTTAGGATGATTTCAGACTTTTGTGTCCAAGTGAAGAGAAAGCAAAGAAGACATCAAACTTGTTCAGTATATTTCCTTAGGCTGAGGGGTTATATGCCCAATTACCTGTATAAGCTTAATCTGGATAAATATATGTATTTTAAAATAAACTTGCGTTAGGAGACTTCAGTGACTGCGAGATTTCAGTTGCATTTCTGCCAGCTAGTGTTGTCTTCATCAGATATGGCATTTCTTCTGATCAACCGAGTTAGTTAATTTAGTTAGATTGAAGGTTAATAAAACTAAGTTTTATGGACTGATACAAATAGACTACAGCATAAGTTTAGCTAGTCATTTTGACAGTGTGTTACCATATATGGAGATCAGACAAAGTAGATAGCATAGCAAAACTTACCCTTCTGACTGTAAAATCAGCTAAGATTATATTGTTCGTTTTGTATATGTAAGGGTAGCTTTTCTTTATTCATTTAGGATGCTCAGGGAGTTCTGTCTGTCTTTTTAGACTTAGTGATAAAGTCCTTGTTTCACATTTGATAATATTCGTTTGACATAGGCAAAGCTAAAACCAAGGAAAATCGCCAATCAATTATCAATCCTGACTGGAACTTTGAAAAAATGGGAATAGGAGGTCTAGACAAGGAATTTTCAGATATTTTCCGACGAGCATTTGCTTCCCGAGTATTTCCTCCAGAGATTGTGGAGCAGATGGGTAAGTTTAAAAAGGAAAATGTTATAAAATCTTGTGTTGTTAAAAAAATTAATGCAATGAAGAATCTCTTTTCAATAGTTTTGAAATTATTTTTCAGACCCATTATTTTTGTCTTTTTCTTTAAAAATGAACAGATAAATTTTCTGAAAAACTTTATAATACCAGAACTTTTAAAATTACATTTTAATTTTATGGGGAAATCATAGAAATAAGACTTGTGGTGGCTCCATTTTGTTTATTTATTTATTGAAGAATGCTTTTCTATGGGGCATATTTAGAAACTTCCCCTGACAGTAATAATACTAGTAGTGACTCCATTTTATTTATTTATTTGCGTAAGAATGTTTTTCTATAGGGCATATTTAGAAAGTTCACCTGACTCTAAAGATCACTATGGGTCAGATGTACCCTGCTGAATAATAACTATCTATTAGGCTGTGTGCATTGTTCTGACATTAGCTGCCGTTCCTTTTTATTGTACTGTTGCATTACCCAGTTAGTACATCTTCATACCTAATAAATGGGTACTTGCATATTTTTAAATTAAATAAGTTTGATCCCAAAAGACAAATGCAGGATATACATTGGAGTTTCTATATTGCATACAAAGAAGTGCACTATTCGTTTACCACTTTCTTCTTGAAGGTTTATTTAATTTATCTGTGTGAAGTGACTTTATTTGCCCAGTGGAAATGCTGTCATGACTGTTTTCATGTCCATATCATTCGTTGGATTGGAATGTGAGCAACAGAATATCTGAGAAAGGAATGTATAACATAACAGCTTCTGGCAGACTATTAGTGTAAAAACAGCATCCAAAAAAAAAATGGAAGGAATATGAATATATTACTCCGCTCATCCCCATCATTCTTTATCTTTAAATTGCTACTGGAAGATAAAAGTATATTTATTATAGTGGGGATAAGAACTGCTTTCTAGGCACTAAGTGCTTGGATTGTATTAGCCTTCTATTGTTGGTAGCCTTTCTGCCTGGTCGCTCACTCTGATAAATTACAGGCACGGCACACACCTGTTCACTGAGTAAAGGTCGAGTTTGGAATTGGATTAAGAGAAAATGACAGAGACCCTCATCACCTGAGTTTTATACACCTTGAAATGGCAATAGCATACTTTTTATCTCAAAGATACAAAGGCCACGTCCATTAAAAGCAGAATTTTAATTGGGAAAATATTTTAAAATGTGGTAGTTCACTATCTTGGTAATGTGTATTTTCGATCAAGACATGAAAATATTGTTTAAGTGTATTTTGGGTAAAAGCAGGGATAAAAAGATGATTCCAAATGTTCTAAGTTATTCTTGTGGAATGTTTTTACTGGTTTTCAGAACTGAGATCTAGTGCAGGAAGAGTCTAATGATTCTGTTTCTTAGAACATTTATACTGTTTAGCCAAAAAGTAGAAAAATAACTGCATTGGTAGTAAGCCGTCTCTTTTAATTATAAATGTTTTCTCACTGTTTGGAAGCTATTGAAGATAACAGTTATTCAGATACTAGTTTGCTATTTGTGCATTATCTAGATCCTGCACTTGAAGCTACGCGCAACGTCAGTATGCGTTGGGTAGATAATGCGTAAAGGAGTTGGTCTCACATTGGTCAGTTTGTGACCTTGCCAGCTGTTGGAGAGTTTTAAATTAAATCAGAACAGATTTGGAATTTGTTAGTGAATTTCATCTGTTTCTGATATCCGTATTGAAATGAGCTGAATTACAGTAGTGTGCTTTTTGTTGTTTTTGATGTGTTTTTTGACTAAGCACTATGGATTTGAATTTTGTGAGTGCCACTGTCCAGAACCTTTTTTATGGATTTATTTTTCTAATATTTTTACACTAATTTAATTAGACAAAAAATGAATTCTATCCTTTTGGAAAAGTTTTTTTTTTTTTTCTCTTTATGGCTTTTTGCCATCAGGAAGCATTTGTTACCAATTTCATTGAAAAGACAAACTAGTATAAAGCTGTCCTGGCTTTTGAGCTGAATTGAAAAACTTATTTTCTTTATTCTGGATGAAGTTTCTGGGTATCTAAAAAAAAGTAAAGCTTCTTCTTTTTTTTTTAATGGTTAAATGGCTGAGAAATAATTCTTTTGTAATGCATGTATAATTCCCTGTCTTCCAATAGAGGCTTCTTTTTTCCTTTGAATTTTGGGGGAATTATATAGTAAAATCCTTTCTTGCACTCCAATTACAGTGTGGTTATAAAGTTCTCCTTAGGCTTTGGTAAAGGTATATAAATAAAAATGGTTATATTTTGACAGAATATAAATAAAATTATACAAATTATTTTTATGCATATTCTGTGTTGTTTTTTTTTTTGACATGTCAGGTGGGAACAACATGGATTTTTTTCCCCCACTCTTTGTTAACTAAATAGACAGATCTATATGGTTTGGGGATTCAGCTGGACACTGAGTATGACTGGTTAAATCAGTTCTAATTTTTAAAAAAGATTAGAAAAGAATAATTTATGTAGGTTATGGGGCTTTTTTGTTTTAAGCAGAAAACTTTACTTTTGGCTTGAGACCAAATTACTGTCTTTACCATGGAGTCTAAAGTGATGTCTACTTCGTAAACAGGAATCTTAACTAAGTGGATTTTTTGCCTATATATCAATTTTCAAATTTACAAAGTGATAAATTTAGAATATTCTTCTCTTCTGTCATTATGTTCATCAGACTGATAATTATGCTTCTAGGTAACAGAGTTCTTTCTTTTTGTCTATAAAACTTCATGTTGCCTTTTCAAAATTGAAAAATATAGTTTAGCTACGAACAGAATGTTGCTGATGAGATATAGGAGGACTAAAGGACTTAATGAGAGGCACACAATTAAGCAGTAAAATTAGGGAACCAATGAGGTAATATACTTGAAAATAACTGTCATGGAGTTTCCAATCTGTTAGTTTCTCTCTTGAAGGTCTTTCAAATAGGTAGTGTATACCTTAGGCCGGGTGCGGTGGCTCACTCCTGTAATCCCAGCACTTAGGGAAGCCGAGGTGGGCGGATCATGAGGTCAGGAGATCGAGACCATCCTGGCTAACACGGTGAAACCCTGTCTCTACTAAGAACAGAAAAAATTAGCCGGGCGTGGTCGCGGGCGCTTGTAGTCCCGGCTCCTCGGGAGGCTGAGGCAGGAGGATGTGTGAACCCGGGAGGCGGAGCTTGCAGTGAGCCGAGATCGCACCACTGCACTCCAGCCTGGGCGACAGAGCGAGACTCCATCTCAAAAAAAAAAAAAAAAAAAAAAAAAAAAAAAGAAGAAGATAATGTATGCCTTTCTGCTTTTGTACTTTTGTTATATTTTTGTAGAATTAAAATCAAGGAAACCCTTAAAGGAGAAAGGAAGTCACATAAAGCTCTCTAGACTGAGGGATAAAGGAAAAGGGATTATTTAGGGGAATATCAATTTAGACTTTTGTTTTTGTTATTGTTTTAATCAGAGTAACTGTTGAGTTTTCCCCTTGTCTGAAGCAGTTGAGCTCACCCAAACCCAAGTGGGGCAGCCCTTCCTTGGAAGGATATGAGAGCAACGAGCGAAGAAAACTAAACCTATACCTTGCACTTAGTAAATACCAAATAGATATTTAGTTAGAATGCCTTCCAACCCCCCACAAAACAGATTTTTAATTAAGAATTACCTTAAATCCATAATTTTATGGGCTAATAGAAGCCACATTTGAGTCCCAGGGTAGAAATGTGAACATCAAAGCTGGTATCTGGAAGTATGGGTGAATAAATTCAACAGCTGATTGCTGTCTTTCAGCATATTCAGGTGTTAACTGAATAGATACTGAATACTTGTGTTCGGACATTTACCACACTTATTCCCCTGTATGCAGTTTTGTGGACAGTGTTCAGGATAAATAAATGATTGATTACCTCAGTTCTCACTGTAGCTATTTTGTTAGCAAAGATAGCGTTTCTGCCAAGAAACTTCATTTTTTCAGCATCCCTGGCAATTCTCTCTAAATTATAAATGTCAAAGCAAAAAAACACATCGTTTTCAATGAACAGTGGAATAATTGTTAAAGAATTAGTCAGCGTCTCTTAATGTAATCCTGGGAATAGGTTCACATCTACCCAAGGAAAGATCTAGAAGGAAAAGGATGTAAAGAGGGAAGACCTCAGCCTCACACTGTCTTTCAGTGGATCTGTGGGGTGTAGATGTTCAGGCCACCTAGTGGGGAGGAAAGCCACTTGTTATGGTCTTGTGCCCCCATTCTTTGAAACTGACACTGTGTTCTTTTTGGTCTCCTTTCCCCAGTGTCTCCCTCTGTAAGCCCATTTTCAATCGTATTTTTAAGGTTTCTTTTGAAATTCAAGAGGAAAGCAACTCTTTTCTGATATCATAAGTGAAATTGTAGTTACTCTATGAAACAGAACTGCTGAGAAGATAAGGAACCTTTCAATCACACAGACATCTTTCACATACTAAAAACAGTGCAAATAAAACATAGTGGAAGAAAGGGCACTAAGGTTTTGTGCATGCCATATTTTGGAGAGAGGGAGTTCTTGCTAAGATTAACATAAACACTGACACTCTTAAAATGCATTTTCACACCCCCACTCATGAGGAGAGATTGCATTTTAAATGGGGGTTAAGACATCCAGGCGAACTCCAGGGCTCTGTAAAAGGAACCCTAAGGCTAAAGAGCTTATCTGAAATTTGAAAAAAAGAAAAAAAAATGAAGCCTTCTGACATTCATCTTTTTTTCTTGTATTAGTCATAACTTGCTTTTCAGCTATATTTTAGGTTTTGAATGCCAACCTGACATCTGTTCAAGTCTGCCTGTAATTTATTAGCAGAGGAAAAGACAGCAGTTGCTCACTAGTTAGAGATGCAAAATTTCTGCCTTCCTGTTCTCCACTAAGTACTTATAGATGATACCTGGATACGAAGAATGTAATAATTTACTGAAAACTTCAGGTCAGGAAATTTATAAAGATTTTTTTTTAATTAGAAGAATAAAATGGCTTAAGACCATGTGATTTCAAAAATCTCTAGATCAGGATTTAGAGACAAAACATAGACCCTAAAAAATACTTTAGATAACTTTCTATAAATTGTAATTTTTTTAACCTTGAATTAATTTTTCCATTGGTTTTAAATTTTTAAGTTAAATGTATATTTGAACAGTAGTTGTGCTTATATCTGAAAGTCAAACTGTATGTAAATTCACCTGGCATTTTGCATTTATAGACAGACTTTAAGAAACAAATCTTTTGGAGAGGTAGTGCTGTCTACAGAGTCACCAAATGGATTAGATTTCCTGGCAACTACAGTTGAGTTACTTACAGATCAACAGTTGGGTCACTACAAAGTTGAGATCTAAGTGTTAACCTGAGTGCCCACCAGTAAGAAACCGGTTAGAGGCAATCTTAAAATGATATAGCTCCAAATGTAGAGACATGTTTGTGTTAATAAAAAATATATAAAAGCAAATGCATTCTAAAAATCTCTAAGGACATACATTAAATTGAAAAAAGGTTTATGGCTGAATGTGGTGGCTCACACCTGTAATCCTAGCACTTTGGGAGGCTGAGATGGGAGGATCACTTGAGCTCAGGAGTTCAAGACCAGTCTGGGCAGCATAGTGAGACCTTGTCTCATTTATTTATTTTTTTAATTTAAAAATTTAATTTAAAAATTAAAAAAAGTGTTTACTTCCATGGAAGGGAAGCTAAGATGGGGAATAAAGGGAAAGTTTTGTTCTTTTACTCAATTTTACCTTTATGTCTGAATGTTTTATTGTATTTCTAATGTGTGATTTTAAAAGCCAACAGACAAAAGATAATATCACAGTATGTTTCTTGGGGTGACTCTACCATCAGCATGGAAAGTCAGCAGGAAACAGGTACATCCTTCCGCCTTCATGAAGTTTTCTGTGGAGGAGGAGAGTGCAGGGTAAAAGGCCTGGATTCCAAGGGCTTTGCTGGCAGCCCCTTAGAGGGTAGACAGAACACCTATCCTATTTGGTCAAGAAGAGAAAAAGTTTCTCCATATATAACAAACTGCTTTCCCCCAGAATGTTCTGCATTATAGTAATGGTGTAAGTAGTCTGCCCTTCAAACATGAGAACATTTGCATCCAGGCCTTTAGGCAGCCAAGGCAGCATTAAAGAAGAAAGAGTGGGAGCAGAGCGAGCTGAGGGAGAGCAGAGCTTCTGACATTTGAGGAACTGGGCGTGAATTTGTTTTTAGTCTTCAAAAACCATTCTCTTGAGGAATCGAATTCCCATGACTCCTGAAGTGAAGCGGTTGGTGTTTTCTCCTGCGTTACTCCCATACGTAAGTTGGTGATTATAATGAGGGTGGTGGCTAATACTTATATAATGCCAGACGCTGTTCTGTGTGCTTTATTATTGTGTTTATTAATCCTCACAACAACCTTCAGAAGTAGACACTGTATTGTCTCCATATTATGGAGCAGGAATCTCTGTCTCAAAAAGGTGAAGTAATGGGTCCAAGACACACAGCTAGTAAGTAGTAGAGTCAGATTTGAACCCAGGCAGTTGAGCCCCAGATTTCATTTCCTTAACCATTACATGTTATTCTCCCATGAAAGCCCATCGTGTAAAACCATTTTAATGGGCTTTCTAGCTTCACTTTTTTGGGGACCTTTGAAGCAATCATTGAGGCAGCCTTTGTTCTAGCCAAGGGCCAACCATGGCACCATTGAGATTTTGAGCTGTATAATTATTTGGTCTGGGGACTGGGTGTCCTTTGCATTGTAAATAACTAACTTTTCTAGTAATCTGATGTGTTCAAATTGTCATGAGCTCAAGAGACATGAAGATTTGGTGGTAGGCTGTAATACCTAATGCCACTTTTTTCATGTGTTTTTTGTCACGTGTTGTAGCAGAATACAGGAAGGAAGGAACTGGAATGGGTGTGTCAGAGAAGCTGTCTTAAACTGTCAACCTGGAGAGGGAACATAAATGTTAAAATTAAATAATCATTAAAAAATTAAGCAACGTAACAAGTGATATCAAAGGCCAGTATTTGATTAAGTGCCAGATGAGCAGTACAATTGATAAGCCCTACAGGAACTGAAAGGGAATCACATCGAGAAGACTTCATAGAAGAGGCAGAGCTTGAGTAAGGCCTTAAATGCTGAGCGGTTTTGGATAGCAGGAGGGAAGGGGATAGTTGTCCATATCCTGGGAAGAGTGACAGACTAAACACGGTATAGACTTCATGACTTAGACCAGTCTAACAGAGCTGTTGTTTGGAAGAAACAGGAAATAGGATTAAAAAGTTAGTTTTGGGTTGGGTTGTGGAAATCTGTGAGGAGATGTGGACTCTTTTTAAAGTACTGTCCCTGTTTAAGCTTCCAGACAGACTCAGAACCTTCCAGACAGACTCAGGTGCTTCTCCTGTGTTTCCCTGCACCTTGTATATACTTAGAATCCAGCTGTGTTCTTAATGTAATTATTCATTTGCATTACACTCCTAAGGCAGAATTTCTTAACCTTGGCACTATTGACATTTTAGGCTGGATAATTCTTAGTTGTAGGGCGCCTGACCTGTGCATCATAGGATGTTAAGCGCCATCCCTGGCCTCTACTTGATGTCAGTACTTCCCTTCCTCACCACTCCGAGCCCCAGTGACGATTAAAAGAAATGTGATGAAACTGTCCTGTGTTGAGAACCATTGCTCAAAGGCCTTTGAAGGCACAACTGTAATGTCTTCTTATCCATGTATTATCAACATCAGGGGTGTTGGGATGTAGGTTGCAGGTCATTGTTGGACCATGAACCACTGTTACCAGTCCACAATAAGACAAATATTGGAAATTAAGAATAAGTAATTACAAATGTTTATAGCAATTTGACATTATCACAATTTTTTTAAAATTATATTTTACAAAAATGTTGGTCTGCAATGGATTGGAAATTTAGAAGGAAAAAAAATACAGCTGGACCTTAGCATACATAGTTTGAGAAGCACTGGCCTATGTAAATATTTGCAAAATGAATGAAATTTTTTGAACAGATGCCTTAGAGAAAAGGTGAGGCGAATAGTCTTAGAGACCAGTAGACTATTGCTGTCCAGTGTGTGGTACTTAGAATCTGGATTGGGGTGAAGGCAACAGGAATGGAATGGGAAGAAAATACATGAAAAAATTGCAGACATGAAACTGGCAGAATTTGGCAATAGTTATTGTGGGTGACAGAATTGGAGGTGAGACTCAGGTCTTGTGAGAAAATGTTGGAAATGAGAAACTCAGGAGAACATAGTTTTGGAAAAGTAGAGAATATCATTGCACATATTTTCAATATCGTGAAAGGAAACTGGAAGCTGAACTGAAGAGAGGAAGAATTACTGGCATTTCAATTTATTGAAGCCTAGCTTCAATCAGTCTGCACGTGTTTAGGAAACACACTGTTGACTACTTTTGCTTGAAATACCCTCTTTACTTGGCTTTTCTCACTCCAAGCATTTCTGGTTTTCCTTTTACCTCTCTGGCTGTCTCTTTTCAACCTCTTTTGTGTCCCTTAAAATGTTGGGGTTCCTCAGGAGTCTGTCTTTGACCTATTATTTTTCTCTAATTATTCTCCTCCAAATTAATCACATCTGTTTCATAGCTTCAATTAGTATCTTTATGCTGCTAACTCTCAAATATGCATATGCCACCTCGGTCTCAGTTTAGAACTCTGGATTTGTACCAGCATAATGTGTTGGGTATTTCATGATCACATAGTAAGCTTGAAATTAAACACATTCAGTTGCCCCCTCAGTCCTCTCTAAACATGCATCTATATCTGTGTTTTCTATCTCTGGCAATACTCTAGCCAAAAATCTGGACACCTTTAACTCCTCTCTTTCCCTCACCTCCCACTTCCAGTAAGTCGCAGAATAGACCGTCAATTCTGCAATCTCCGCAATCTCTCTGAAATCCCTCCAGTTCTCTCTACCTCGCCCTGCCACTCTTCCTTCAGGACACCATTATCTCTTGCCTGAATTGCTCCATAAGCCCTCAGCCTTGCCCTTCTCTAATCCATTCTCCACACTGTAACTGGAGTGATTTTTATAAAAAGGCAAGTCTGATCCTGTCACTGCACTGGTTCAAACTCTTTAGCAGCCCGCCTTAACTCCTTACATGGTTTACAAGCCCTGTGTGATCTGGCTCCTGCTAAACTTTCTTGCTTCGCCTCTCAGCCCGTGCCCCTCCCCCATACTCTGGGTTCCAGCCAGCCTGTGCTATTTTCAGTTCCTCTAATTTGCCATGCTACTTTCTCTTACCTCTATATCCTAGGGTTATTTTTTTTTGCTTTTTTTTTTTCTTAACCATCTTTTCATCCAATTCCTGTTCACTCTTCAGGCCAAAGCTTTGAACTCACTGTTTCTAGAATGAGTAGGCTTTAATGTTCCTCATGTGTGTTCTAATAGCTCCATGTTATTTTATGCATTATTACATTGTATTATAATTGCTTATTACATGTCTGTATTCCAAGTCCTCTCTCCATGTCCCTGCCCTCACAAACATAGTATACCTTCAGTAAGGAATAGGCCTTGTTTATTTTGGTCACTGTCGTATTCTCTCCTCCCGGCATGGTGTCTGGCTTATAAGTTTTCAGGAAATAAATAAATGCCAGGAACTTGATTAATCTTGATTAATTAAATAGAACACTTAGACAGTTTGATCCAAGCCCTGCCCTCATGATACTTACAGTCTGTGTGGGAGTAACACTGTATTTGCACATCCCAAAGCAGTACTGTGTAAAACATAAGGTGCATTGTGAACCAGATTAGCAAAGTAGGCCACATGGAGAAGCAGCAGATGCATTTAAAGAGCAAGACTGAGCCATATCTTTAAAAGTCAAAGCAGATATGATGTTTATAATTCATTACTAAATCCATGTAGATCCTCTTAGATTCTGAATTTAGGAAAGACCTCTTGGATTGGTCCTGAATGGCACTAGGCTCCAGAAATAAGAAAAGGAAGAGTATTTTCTTGGGTACTTGTGAGCTACCATTTGCTTCATTGGGAACTGCCATTCTTATGTAAGGGCACTATAACAAGAGTGTTCACATTTAAGGGCATCAGGTCAATATTGCGTCTGTGTGAGTTTGTGTGCATGTGAATGCACACATGTATTTTCTATTTTTAAATAGAAACACATTATAAAAATAATGCATCCTCATAAAACAGCACAGATAGAGTAAAAAGTGAAATCTCCCTTCATTCTACCCACTCCAGTTTTACTCCCTCTCTTAGAGGTAGACACTGTAAAGAGATTGGTATGAATTTTTCAAACCCTTTCCTAAGTATTTATACAATAATATATAATCAATCCATTCATTCATTTATTGAGACAGGGTCTTGCTCTGTTGCCCAGGCTGGAGTGCAGTGGTGCAATCATACTCCGTTGCAGCCTCGCACTCCTGGGCTCAAGTAGTCCTCCCACCTCCACCTGCCAAGTAGCTGGGACTACACCCAGCTAATTTGTGTGTGTGTGTGTGTGTGTGTGTGTGTGTGTGTGTGTGTGTGTGTGTGTGTGTTTGTGTAGAATTGGAGTCTCACTATGTTGCTCAGGCTGGTCTCAGACTCCTGGCCTCAAGCAGTCCTCCCGCCTCAGCCTCCCAAAATGCTGGGATAACAGGCATCAGCCACTGTGCCTGACTTTTTTTTTTTTTTCAACCTAGTAGTGTATCTTGGGTTTTTTTCTGTGATAAAGCACACAGATAACATTTTATTTTTTAAAAAGTTAAATAGTATTAGCAGATCTGCATCCACACAAGTCCCGTCATGGTAAGTTAGCGTCTCTTCCTCAGCAGTAAGAAGGCTCCTAGGCACACACCAGAACAAGGTTGGCATTGCGTCTCCTTTCTACTCACTTGTATGGCCCTAGGCTTCTCAATGCGGCAGGGCCCTGGGCGCTCAGCTACTTGAGCCTTGGTACCCTTGCCTGAAAAATTGTTTATTGGTAGGTAACATTAATGTGTGTAAGTTTTCTAACACAGTACCTGGCTGACTGTCAAACACTCCATGGATGATAGTTACTTGGTATGATTATATTGCCAAGAGGCACTTTTGGAGCTCTGTAAAAGGCAAAAATTTATAACCCAATCCCTTTAATCTAATGTTAAGATGTGTTTTCTTCTTATCTTAAATTTTGTTGCTGTTGAAAATAGTTAACACCTGAGATTTTCCTCCTATGCTGTTTTATAATTACCCATTTTGAACAGTGTTTGTTGATAAGGTAGTCAAGGGGACACTTCGAAATATTTTTTCTTTATTTGTGAAGTCATACTTTGGCTGATTTATATTTAATTTTTATCACATTACATCGGAGAGGAGCAGATAAATTTTCTATCACCTCTATAAATTTTCTATCACATATAAGAAAGTGTATCTTATATGTGATACACTAACTTGGAAAAACAACAGCTATCTTGATAGACACAATAGAGAATAGGATGTCAGAGGAAGAGAAGAATTAGAATGTTAACAATAATGCTAGTAAAAAGCTACCCAGGACTTAAATGGTATTATTTGAGAGTACTTCTACCATGATTCAAATAAGACTTGCCTTGGAATTCCATATGATTTGTTACTTAGAGCAGTCTACCTTTAATATGTTTAATATGGTCATACTTTAAAAAAAAAAACCTGCAAGAAACTTGGGTTTCACGTTTTTGCTTTTTAAAGAATTAACATAATGTTATTTCAGGTTTGTAAAGGAAGTTACAGAAGATAGCAATAAATCCCTTCCATATATCATTTTAGTCATAGTGCAAAATTAGGCATTGAAAATTATTATGGGTACTGTATTAGATATTCAAAGATTTATTTGTGGCTTTGACTTCTTTACCAACACCTCTGGCTTTAATACAGTATCTTTTATCAGAGCAAGTAATAGTTTGAATCCTTTTCTTACAAATCCTCTTTTTACTCAAGTGACTGCAAACTTATAAAGATGCACACATCTGTAGCTTGAACGTCTATGCTATTTGCTCAAGTATTTACTTGAATTTATCCTCGATGATATGATTTTTTTAAGTGCTTTGATTTTAAATTCTATCTAGAATCCCATCATGAGGGAGAAATCTTAGCAAGACTTAAGCACCTTTTCATAATGACTGGTTACTGTAGGATAAACCTATAATTAGTATATTGCTAATCCACACGTTAGATATATCCCATCAAATTTCAAATATACACAGGAGAATTATTCACATTGAAGGTTATTAGTGCATTCCAGGGACATTTCCATGTTGATTCACAACTACCCCTTTACCTTACACTTTCCTGTGTTACTAGACGTCTCTTTCTGTAAAACTTCTCTTTGTTGTTACTTTTTACTTTTGTATGTGTTACCTGATTACTTTGGCTTCCTCTGTGACTACTGAGGGAGCCAATTGTGGCTGTGATGAGCTTAGAGAAAGGGAGATGGGGAAGACTCACTTAAATGAGTTACAAATTCTCTGTAGTCTGATCTTTATCTGGCTATTGCAGTATGACCATGGGTGATACTAAATGAAATAGAACTCAACTCTCCAAAATTTGGATTTGTCTTATAAGTCGTAATGGCTCCAGGTGGGATACTGTGTCAGACCAAGGATAGGCAGATGATAGTTTATTGCCACAGTCAAAAGATCGAACCCTTTTTTTTCATGTTATCTAGAAATGAATCTTTAAAAAAAAAAAAAGGAATGGGTTGAACTTATAATATTTTAGCAACTCATAAAATAACTTGAAGAAAAAGATCATTTGGAAGGAGAGACAAAACAGACTGAAAGACATTGTTTAAATTTATGACTTTTATTATCTTACTTGAGTGCTATTTTTGCCCCTCTTGCTATTATTAAACCCTTTGCTTCCTGTTTTCAGTTGCTCCTGTCAAGGTATGAATTTTTCTTTGGATGATTGTCATCTATTTCATATTATCTAGTATTCCTCTCTATTATGAGAAAATCAAAAGTAGACAGTGTATCTATAGCTATAGATTTAAATGCACTAAGGTAATTATATATTTGAATCAGAGACCTAAGGAATAATCTAGTGTAGCATTTACCAAATTTATTTAAACTTAACATGCTTACATGAAGACAGACCTATTTATGTTTCCAAGGAACACCAGTTTGAGAAATGCTGATCTTACCTGTGTCATTCTTATTTTGTAGATGAGGACATTGGGACCTCAGAAGAATAAGGCAACTTATTTAGGCTAAAGTCACTGCTTGTCTACTGGGGCTGGAATCCAGGTTGCTTAGTCTGGTGCCCTTTAGGCTTCATGATTCAGCCACTTAAGACAATTTGATTTATTGTTGGGCTTTTTAATTCTAGATTTCATAACTTGGATATGAAACTGTACTTCCCAGTCTCCAAAATAAGCTTCACTGTTTTCTGGAACGTGAATTAGATTCAGAAAGCCCCTTACTGCCTTTAGATTATTGCAGCCTCCCCAGTGGGCCCCAGGGATCCAGGAAAAATATCTTTGTTTTTCACCTAGTCCTCTCCTCAGCTTTTAGAGGGACTCTTAGATCTATGTTTATGAAAAGACTTTTATTAGTTCTTATAGTTGTAGTAATGCATGTTTATTGTAGAAAATTTCAAAAATGTAGATGAATAAGAAGAATAAAACAATCACTCAGTGTAAAAAACAAAAAACCCTGAAAAAGTACCATTAATATTCTGGAGTATATCATCCAGCTAGTTTTAGCTGTATATACATAGAGCCAAAAAAAAAAAAAAAGCATTTTGCTGTTTTATAACTGGTTTTCTCCCCACTCAGTAAGTTAACAGTTTTTCTTAAATATTCTCTACAACATTCTTTATTTTGTAGAATGATAATGCTGTGGTTTGTTTAATCAATCCCCTCTAGTTAGAAATTGTATTCAGTTTTTTACTATTATACACTATGTTTAACAAGCACCTTAGAAACTAAATATTTCTACACATTCATATTTCTTTAAGATAAATTCCTGGAAGTAGAATTGCTGAATCAAAAAGGATTCACAAGTGTAAATGTTTTTGACATGCACTGCCAAATTTAGACTTCCTTTTTGAAAAGTCAAATGTTAAGGAGATCAAAGCAATCACTAAGCAGGTACTCTGGAAGAGAAATAGAAATATAAAAAATATAATGGTTTCATGAGAAACTAATAGACAAGGTTTCAAGAGACTTGGAGTCTAGTTTTGGATTTGTCATTGAATGGCTGTGACTTTTGGGTCTTAGTTTCCTCATTATAAAAATGGGAAGATAGACTAGAAATAGAAACTTTTTCAGAATAGTCACCTTATGAATGTTGTTTCAGTGAAATATAAAGGTCTGTACATAAGTTCTGCAGGGAAGATGCCATGTATTTGCTCATTCTTCAAGTTTCAGCTTGATTGCCTTTGGAAGGTCTGTCACACTTAACGTCCTCCTAATAGAAGTAATTGTTTTACTTTTTGGCTCCTCATAGCCCTTTTTAAATGTTGGTTCTGTATAGTTGTATCTTTGATTTTTAATATTGAGGTATTTGTAACAGAGGTTATCTTACTCATCTCCTGAAAGCACTTGGCTTAGCATAGTTCTTGGGTATATAATAGAGACTCAGTAAGTATCTGTGGAAGTTGAGAGTGATACCTTGTTCCCCAGTGTATAACAGCAAAGCCTAGCCTCCTCCTGTTGAGCATTGTCTGTTCTCGCTTTGAAGAGCTCACCACATTTCTTCAGTTTGTTTTTGTTTTTATTTTATTTTATTTATTTATTTTTTTTTTTGGCGGGGTGGGGTCTTTCCTATTCAGTAACACAGTGGTTCTCAGTCTTTGGTGTGTATCAGAATTTTTTTTTTTTTTTAGAGTTTTGCTCTGTTACCCAGGCTGGAGTGCAGTCGTGTGATCTCAGCTCACTGCAACCTCTGCCTCCCAGGTTCAAGCGATTCTTGTGCCTCAGCCTCCCGAGTAGTTGGGATTACAGGCACATGCCACCATGCCTGGCTAATTTTTGTATTTTTAGTAGAGACAGGGTTTCATCATGTTAGCCAGGCTGCCCTTGAACTCCTGACCTTAAGCGATCCACCCACCTTTTCTGGTATTACAGGTGTGAGCCACCCTGCCTGGCCCAGAATTTTTAATGTTAAAAAAAATACAGATTTCCAGGCTCTCAAGTACACTGAATGTGAGTGTCAGGCACAAAGCCGAGACACAGCGCTGTCAATAGCTGAGCTCTCCTTGGGGTTTTAGCTTTGTCAGGCAAATTGATATTCAAGTTCCAGGTCTGCCACTTACCAGATGTGTCTTCCCCTTACCAGGGGAAGGTCACTTTACCACTGTAAGCCTCAGTACCTCTTCCTTAAAAAGAGGGTAAAAATAATACCTTAGCTCATAGTTTTAAAAATGATTACGTAAGAGAACATATTAAAACACGTAGTATAGCCCTTCCCATATCTGCAGTTCTGGCCTTGATCTGTAACTTCTTGGATCTTATATGCATTTATTATTTATTTGTTTCTTTTTAAAATAACATTTATATTTTTTCAACTTTTAGAGGTTAATATGTTCATTATAGAAAACTGAAAAACACAAGAGGCATATAACTAAAAAATCATCCATAACAGAATCAGTTTACATTCTGATGTATCTTTCCAGTCCTTGTATGTGTATACATATATACATAACTGAGTATACCTTTTTACATGGTTACACTTATATAGTATGTGCCATGCTTTCTTGCATATCATGAGTACTTGAGTATCAAAATACTCAGGGCTTTAGGATTCAGACATTGGTAAATATTCACGATACATTTTCTTATCTTTTGTGGGGACAAAAATATCTTAAAAAACAAAATGGCAACAGGTCTCTGGAAATGCATATTGGCAGGTTTATAGTTAAATACTGTGTTCACTTAATACCCAATATAAAATGAGATACAAAGCAGTCAAGTAAGTATAATGCTTCTTAGATAGTTCAGTATGAGATCTGCACTATTAAAATATTACCAGAAATGATGTTTCTACTTAATTATTTAACAATTCATATAGTATTCACAAAGTATACCAAAAAAAAAGCACACATATGTCAGTGGTTATAATCAGATTGTAAATATGGACATATCTATATATATCTCTTCCCTTACCTTTCTTTCTGCCCCTTCCTTAGCAATCCAGTACGTACTGATGTATACTGCTCATAGGTGGTTTAACATTGCCATTTCCAAGATGCTTCTTTTCTAATGAAATTAATTTACTATCTAGTTAATTCACTAGCTCTATTTTATACATTGTCACCTCATAACATCTAGAAAGCTTAGTGTTGTGAAGTAAGGACTGATAAACAGAGGCACTTTACTAAAAAATCACTTCCTAGAACTGTGGCTACAATATGAAACTATCTTCTAGATATGAACATACTTGCAAAGAACCTTCCTTTTGCCTTTCTTCTTCCTTCTTCAGCTCAATGAATAAGTACAGAAATGCATATAGCTCTACGAGATGGGTTAACAACAGTCACTCCCAGACAACAAGCCTTGCTAAAAACTCTAACAAGAGGACATTTATCAAAGAATCATTTTACTTCTTAAACTTTCAGCATACTTTGGGCACTTCTCAGCATTGGGGCCTTGTTTGTCCTTTGCATACTCAACAATGCTAAGTAAATGCACTTGCAGAACGACGAGTAGATAATCTGCATTTATCTCAAAACACACTGGCACAGAACTCTTCCACCGTCACTTCCTGTCTCTCCCACCTCCTTTACTACCCAATGAGCAAAGAATATGTAGCTCAAAGAGATAAAAGTTTAACAGTTCCATTCTAAAGACAGTCATTCCTGTTAATTGACATAAACTTACTTAAAGTGTGTTATTTTGTGAAGACTACATGTTTCAAACGTCTACTGTATAATGATAGCATTGATTAAATTGTGTGCATATAACAAAGGCTATAATCTGAAAGTATCTTCTAAATATGAATATTATAGCCAAGTACACTTCACCTTCTCACTTCCTTCTTATCATTATCAGCCCAAAGGACAATATCAGCGTTCCAAAAGTTGTTTTCAGAAGATAGTCTTACCTATGAAGTTTTCGGGCATACAAGAAAAGTATATAATATGTTTTAGTTCATCATCTCTTCTTTTGTCAAACATTAGCAACCTCTTTATCATCTAGACAACAAGATGTAAAATTAGGACTTGCTTGTTCATTGTACAGATAACCCTCAATGGGTTATGTCTCAGCAAACCCATCGTAAGTTGAAAATATCCTAAGTTGAGAGTGCATTTTTGACTTACAGTATTTTCAGTTGACTATGGGTTTATCTTGTCGTAACTGATTGTAAATCGAAGAGCATTACCAAATGCATATTGCTTTTATACCATCATAAAGTAAAAAAAATTGTTAAAAGTCAAACCAGTTTAAGTCGGGGACCATGTGTATACACTATGTGCACAGCAAAGTAAAATAAAATGCACAGAACATGCAGGTAATCTTGCCTAACTACAAACACATGGTATAGAACCCTTTATTCCTTCCTACACTTCCTTTGCCTTCCTCCTCCCTCAGTCCACAAGCACAGATCTGTACCACTCAAAGAGGAGGTCTAATAATCCCATTTCCGAAAGACAGTATTTCATTAAATTTATTAATTCCTTTTATCCAGGCATTTAGTGGTCATTTTTAGATGACCTTTACCACATATCTTCAGATGCTTTCACCGTCCGCCATAGGAATTTTTACTGAAATGAATTCTTGAAATGTTTAAAACTTTGTTACATTCTTTCTCGTTCCACAAGTAGTTATCCCTTCCCAGTTACCTTTCTTTTTTAGGTCTGTGGAGTCATGATACATCTATCCCCTTTTCCTTTGTTTTTCATGCATTTGTCAAATTTATTATTGAATACTCCTAAATTTTTTCTGCCTTTATCATTTGTTTTTTCTTTTTCATTGCTTTAGTCAGTTACCCTTGCACTACAGCAGTAGCCTCTTTATTATCTTCCTTGCCTTTAGTCTTCTTCCTTTCCATCCTGGAATATTTATTTCAGAGCTTACTGTACAAAAATACCAGATTCTATCAGAGAACATCAAAGGAATCACAGAATCTCAGTATTGCAAAGGATCTTAGCCATCTAGTGCACACACCTGTTTTTTATTTGAATCTCTTCTACATTTCTTTTTATTATTATTATTATTATTATTATTATTATTATTATTATTTTTGAGATGGAGTCTCACTCTAATGCCCAGGCTGGAGTGCAGTGGTATGATCTTGGCTCACCGCAACCTCTGCCCCCCTGGTTCAAGAGATTCTCCTGCCTCAGCCTCCCAAGTAGCTAGGATTACAGGCGTGCACCACCATGCCTAGCTAATTTTTTGTTTGTTTGATTGTTTGTTTGTTTGTTTTGAGATGGAGTCTGGCTCTGTCGCCCAGGCCGGAGTGCAGTGGCATGATCTCGGCTCACTGCAAGCTCCGCCTCCCGGGTTCACGCCATTCTCCTGCTTCAGCCTCCCTAGTAGCTGGGACTACAGGCGCCCGCCACTATGCCTGGCTAATTTTTTGTATTTTTAGTAGAGACGGGGTTTCACTGTATTAGCCAGGATGGTTTTGATCTCCTGACCTTGTGATCCGCCCGCCTTGGCCTCCCAAAGTGTTGGGATTACAGGTGTGAGCCACCGTGCCTGGCCTTTTGTATTTTTAGTAGAGACGAGGTTTCACCATGTTGCCCAGGCTGGTCTCGAACTCCTGAGGTCAGATGATCCACCCGCCTCAGCCTCCCAAAGTGTTGGGATTACAGGCATGAGCCACCGTGCCTGGCCTTTTGTATTTTTAGTAGAGATGAGGTTTCACCATGTTGCCCAGGCTGGTCTCGAACTCCTGAGGTCAGGTGATCCACCCGCCTCGGCCTCCCAAAGTGTTGGGATTACAGGCGTGAGCCACCGTGCCTAGCCTTTTGTATTTTTAGTAGAGACGAGGTTTCACCACGTTGCCCAGGCTGGTCTCGAACTCCTGACGTCAGGCGATGCACCCGCTTCGGCCTCCCAAAGTGCTGGGATTACTCATGCCTGGCCCTCTTCTGCATTTCTGCTGAGTAACTTCTGCCAGGTTCCTTAGGCTAAGCTTAAGTTCCTCCAGTGACAGGAATCTCACTCCCTCCTAAGGCTACATTCCTCTTTTGGACAACTATAGGTTTAAGTTTAGTCTTCCTTATGTTAAGGTAAGATGTATTTGCTTGTATCTTCTCCTACAAGCTCTGGTTCTTCCCCTGAAACTACACAGAACAAGCATGATACTACTTCTTTATGAACACTCTTTAGGTATGAAGAAAGCTATTGTCCAGACTTCCCTGCAGATTCCTCTTTTCTCTAAGCTAATTCTCCTAAGCTTGGTTGGTTTTTTCTAGCCAGTCTTTTTAGCCCTTTACCATCCTATTCACGTTTCTGTGAACTTTAACATTTATGTATATTAATGTTAAGCTGTGAAACCTAGAATTTAGTGGAGTAATGCAAATGTGGTCTCTGTTGTAAAATAGATCAGAACTATTTATTCTTTATTTAAAACACTAGTCCTTTAATGTAGGCCGAAATTGTGCTAACATTTTTGACATCGACATTCTATCTTAATGCTTATCTAATTTACTAATGAATGAAATTCCCAGTCATCTCTCACAAAACTGTATCTCCCCCAGCTGTACTCAAGTACAGAAAACATCTATTCTTGATAACTTTTATCTTGTTAGAATAGCTCTTTTCTCTTCTATAGCTACAACTTGTCAGTGTGTCCTTATCAGCTTATGATTTAATTGAGGCTATAGAACATATACACTTAAAAAAAATAAGCTAAGAACTCTTAGAATAAAACAACATAATGTATTGTCAGTTGTAACCATGAATGATGTTTTTCAAAGTGTGTCCTCTGGCCTACATTAGAGTTACTTAGGGCGCTTGTTAAATATTCAGTTTCACTCCAGACTTAATGAATTCAGATTTCTAGGAGTGATGTCTGGAAATCTGCATTTTAACAAGCTCCATTGGACATTGGTGCATATTAAAGGTTGACAGCTGCTACTCTAAGTACTGAAGGATTGAGCCCAAAGATATGATCAGAATTAGGTGGCATTAATAAAGGAGGTGATTTCTGGGGACAGAAGAACATGAACTGTTAGAGTAGGTAGAAATTCCAGGTGTAGTAAAGAAGAAATAAATTGTCTGCTAGGGAAGATATTTGCTAGGCTGAATTAGGGGCCCAATAGAACAGCACATAAAAGGAGTTAAAAGCTAAGGGACAGAAGGAAAAAAAACAAAGAAAGAAAAAACTATAAAATTCTGAAACCAGTAAAGATACATGCTGCCATTTGGCAGCAAGGCAGACCTGCTATAGAAGAAGCATGATCTTTGTCATCAAGAATTCATGAAATACCAGGCAACACCCTATGAGGGAATGTAAAAGGGTGGGGGTGTCAGCAAAGATTAGTTTGGAGCATTGCTACACACATCTCATCTTTAGTTCTAGGCTATCTAATGAGAAAATCTATATTAAATCTAAGTTGACTGATTTGGATATAGACCAGTCGGATGGTAGACAGCTTGCACAGCTGCTTGGTGCTCAGGAAATAGGCTGTTTTCACTAGCATAGCAAAACTCAGAGTGCTCTTGGCATTTTGAAGTTGGTGGGACAACAGCAAGTCTCTACCAGACAGAATAGTGCCACGAAAATGGATGGTCAAAGTCCTGACTGCCCAGATGGTATCAGGAGTAGTGGTCTTGGTCTTAAGTATTTCCATTTCTTAAAGATTTCATAAGTGCACAGATAAACAAGTGTAGATGACAACCTATTTTAGATGTTGATTGAGAGTCTTAAGGCCAGGCGTGGTGGCTCACACCTGTAATCCCAGCACTTTGGAGGTCGAGGAGGCTGATCACTTGAGCCCAGGAGTTTGAGACCAGCCTGGGCAACATGGTGAAACCCCATCTCTACAAAAGAATACAAAATCAGCCAGGCATGGTGGCATGCACCTGTGATCCCAGCTACTCGGGAGGCTGAGGCGGCAGGATGGCTTGAGCCTGGGAAATGGAGATTGCAGTGAGCTGAGATAGTGCCACTGCCCTCCAAAGCCTGGGCAACAGAGTGAGACCCTGTCTCAAAAAAAAAAAAGGTTTTTGAAACAAAAGGCCCTCCTATATAATGAGTCAATGAAAGTTATGCTCTTAGAGTAAATAATTATATTGTACTACTGAAATGGTAAGTCAAGTAGAACTAAGAAAATACTCATGACTCTAGTTCCAATTTACAATTTTCAACAGAACCATAAGAGAAGTTGTAATTATGGAAACTTAAATGATCAAATATTAATTTGTGTCCAGGCGCAGTGGTTCACACCTGTAATCCCAGCACTTTGGGAGGCTGAAATGGGTGGATCACCTAAGGTCAGGAGTTCAAGACTAGCCTGGCCAACATGGTGAAACCCCATCTCTACTAAAAATACAAAAATTAGCTGGGCATGGTGGCACCTGTAATCCCAGCTACTCAGGAGGCTGAGGCAGGAGAATTGCTAGAACCTGGGAGACGGAGGTTGCAGTGAGCCGAGATTGTGCCACTGCACTCCAGCCTGAGCAAGACTCTGTCTGAAAAAAATATAATAATAATAATTATGATTATATTTAAAAGATGAAATATTAATTTGTGATTATATTTTCTACAAGGGCATGCACTATTTAAAATTGAGCACTCAAATCTGGTTTGCACAACTGCACAGAGAAGCTTGCAAGACTGCCGAATATGTCCTGACTTGCTACTAGTCTTTTGATAGCCTCCTTCTTTGGCAAACATGGCTAGTCTGCATTTGTACTGGAAGCCACTTGGGATTCCTCTTTAAACATCAGTCATTGTTCAAAACCCACTTCGCACTTCTTTCTCTCTTTATAGATCATGTTGCCCCCAAAATGAACTGAACACTCTTATCTTAATGCTAATTTGACAGAGACCACTTCTAATTTATTATCATCCTGCTTACTCTTATATAAAATTAGTGTTTGCTATAGTTTTTTCTCCCTTTGAATACCTCAAAGTTGACTGACAGTTTTTCCTCAACGCAGCTTGCCTCTGATAACATCCAGAAAAAATGAAGAAAATATACTGCTTTGTAAAATAGAAGAGCTTAACAAGTACAAATTTGTCACTTTTTTCGGGTGTTTCGAAAGAGTGTAAACAGTAAACATTGCTGTTTATTTCTTGTGTTTCAGAAGTAAGGCTATGTATTTTTATCGAGCTATTTACAATTTACATATAAGATGTAAGTATTTTCATGAATCATTTTCATCAGTGGGGTGGATATACCTATCATAGTGGATACGGTCCTATTCTGACTTTTAGATCAGAAATCACTTTCAGTTATTTGTAGCACACACCTTAAAGCCTATTAAAGTTCTCCCCACCAAAATTTGTATTATTATAATCACTGGATGTCAACACCTGTGGCTCAAACAGTATCCAAATTTTGTATATTGTTGGAGGATTGCTGATTTAACTGAGAGTTGTAGCTAGAAATAAGGTGAGAAAGAATATACAGGTAATACTAATCCACCTCAAACTAAGAAGCAAAGGATGGTGGATGGGCTATGTTGATCTAGCGTTGCAAAAACACTTTTGGATGAAGTGCCCAGAAATAGCCCCAGTTCCTTTCACTAGAATCAGCTTGTCCCAGGTGAATGCCGGCAGAGCAGGGTGTGTGCTCCCCAAGAAAGGGCAGTGACCGCTTTCCAATGTCTGGCAGTTAGGGGCGATGAGAGTAGTTGCAATTGGCAAGATAAAGGGGAACTTTGGAAAATAAATATACTTATGATAGAGGAGGCAGGAGAAAAGGTCAAGGGCTGTACACATGTGGAACTGATAATCATGGTAGCTTGGCTTCTATGAATGGGTACATGTTGACCCTTAAGTGAGCTTAGAAAGCTTGAGAAATCAGTATGCGTGAACTGTTTGAGGCATAAGAAAGGCAGGATTTTAAAACTTTTTTTTTAATTTGTGCAAATTTATGGGATACATGAGAAATTTTTTACATGTATGTAATATGTAGTGATCAAGTCATGGTATTCAAGGGATCTGTCACCCCAGTACAATATATTCTTATTAAGTATAGTCATCCTACCCTGCTATCAAACATTGAATTTATTCCTCCTATCTTACTGTACGTTTGTACCTTTAGCCTACTTCTCCTTAGCCTCCCTTCATCCCCAGTCACCCTCCCCAGTCTCTGTTGTCTACTTTTCCACTCTCTACCTCCATGTGTTCAAATTTTTTACCTCCTACATATACGTGAGAACATCTGATTTTTGTATTTTTGTGTTTGGCTTATTTCATGTAAGATAATGATCTCCACTTCCATCCATGTAGCTGCAAATGACATAATTTCATTGTTTTTATGGATGAATTGTATTCCATTGTGTAGAAGCAGGCAGAATTGACTCTGATAGTAGTCTAGCTGGAAGAGAGGCTATAGCTACAAAGAATCTTGACTTACCAAAACACTAGTAACATGTCTGTGAAACTGCTGTAGTCTAACTCATTTACTACTATGTTAATTTGGAGCGTGAAGTTCATCAGTGGAATGGGTACTATAATTTGCGAAGTTCAAGTGACAATTCTGGTAGATAAAGTTTTAAGGAGCAGATGGTCACAACTGTCAGTCTCAGAAGTAATTTGGTAAGTAAAATAGTCATTTATTTGGAAGTTTTTTGGTAACCTAATTGTGATCTAATTGTCACCAGTTGGGAGTCTAATTCCATTTTCATCACTCATCTGCAGAAAGGTGAGAGAAATAAGCTATTAATTAATAGCCAATATTTACGAGCTCTTACTATCCACCATAAAGTATGCTAAGTGCTTTATGTGCATTATACTTAATTATAGTAACTTTCTGAGGTAGTTACTATTATTATTTCCAGCTAGTTAGTGGAAGAACCAGGATTTGAATCCAGGCAAACTGACTGCAGAGCCCTCACTTTTAACACTACACATAAAACTGAGTTTATTTAACAGAAAACACTGTCCTTTAACCTGAGATTGTGTCTACCTTTCAATACTAAAATGTACTTTTTATATGAAATGGTGGTGATAGACGATGTCAGGTTTGATTTTCTTTTTTTTTTTTTTTTTTAAGAAATCTTTACCTTGCAAAACTAAAACTAAAACAACCCAATGACAGCACTGCTCTCCAGTTTAAAGAAAACAAACGTTCTTTTGCTAGTTGTGAAATCTAAATTTGAGAACCACTGACTAGAAAAGTGGGACTCTTAGTAATTTTTAAAGTTCTTTAGAGATTTTTCACCTGATTTATTTTCTGATTTCAACCTCCTTGTTTTCATTAACCTTTTCCTTAAGTCCACCTCAGCCACTCATTCTTCGATTATACACAAGACTTTGTTTGCCATTACCAGCAACCACACCACTTTGGGGATCTCAGATGTAAGCATCTTGCTCTCGCGCTGCCTCCCATTTTTCCTTGCTTACTCCTAGCATTTCTCCTGTTACCAACTCCAGCAACTTGGACCCCACTGGAACCTCCAGTATAATTTATTCTATCAGTTCCCAATCTTTTTGTTCTCTCTCTCCTCTTTCCCCAGCTTAACCTCCATGGTCTATCACATATATCCTCTTTGTATACACCCTTAGCAGCCTTGCTCCTCATCTTCTGTTGTCAAATCCACAAGTGTTTCTCAGCTACCTGCCTACTCTGTGCCAGTATTCTCGCTGTTAAGCATGGCTTAAGAAAAACACAAAACCACAGTGTCTGATCTCACTTTAAATTTATGAACCAAATCTCAAGTGAGCCCTCAGTATTTCTTGGAACAGATATTCCTAGTATTCCTTCTGTATTTCCCTAGTCCAATCCATTTATTCTCCTATTCTCTGAGATGACTAGTTCTTCTTCTCTATTTGGCTCAACCCCCAAGCACCACCTCTTCCATCTTTACCAGCAGCTGATGACCTGGAATCTTTACTTCACGGAGGAAATAGAGGCAAACAGAAGAGAACTTCTTCATCTTCTTCATCTTCCCACCACAAGATGTATGATTGGTTGAATGAGAGAAAGACTGTGATGTCCTAGAACTTCAGTTGCTCCTATATCCAATGTAATTAGCAACTTAAATTCCAAAACCATATATAAAAATCGATTTTTGGCCATTTGAGATTATACTCTTTACTACCACTTTCCTTTCTCTTATTATAACCAAGAGTTGTTACTATGTTTGTGCCTCATCCAAATAAAAAGTAGGTATTTTTTAGAAAATGATTAACGGGAGCAATTAGTAAAACAAGCAGTAAAATACCCGGATACAGGAAATTGAGCCAGGCTTGCTGGTATGTGCTTGTCCCAGCTACTCGGGAGGCTGAGTTGGAAGGATCGCTTGAGCCCAGGAGTTCCAGGTTATAGTGAGCTGTGTCACACCACTGAACTCTGGCCTGAGTGACAGAGTGAAACCCTGTCTCTAAAAAAGTACTTGACATAGGATATTGAGAGAAGAAATGCTTTGGAACTATGTTTGATTATACCCTTAGCCCACCTTAGTTCTTACTTAAGTAAGTTATAGATGAAGGAGAAAAGATGGGAATCACTTTGAAGATTAAGGCCTCAAACTTTGTGGAAAATGGAGGAAAAAATGTTGAAAACAGTCATGTGATAGTTTTTACCTTACACTTTTGATGGGAAAATTAGATAATAGAATTGAGCTATACGTATGTTGACTGCACATTACATTAATTTAATCCTGTTATTTACCTCATATTGCTAACCTTTAAAATTAAGATTTGAAAAAAAAGAGATGGGTAAAACCAAAAAGGTCAAAATTTGTATGCCAGCTTAGATGAAATTTGTATTTATAGAACTGAATAAGAATCTACACCTTACCTAATACTGTGAATTGCTTATGTAAATACAACAAAGGATGGTCCCTCGATGACCTGAATCTCATATGCTGAGTTCACTTAGTAACAGCGTCCGTCTGCTCAGACACATTTTCCCAACTCCCCATGTGCTTTCCAAACCTTTACCATGTTTCCCAGTATCCTCTCTTCATCCCTCATTTTGTTGATGACCTAGTTCCTGCTTCACATAGTCAACAGAACCCAACAGGAATAACCTCAGCTTTCTTCCTCCTTGTCCCTTTATTTAACTGGTCTCAGAAGGAGAGGTGTCTTTACAAGCTCTCCCTCTCCATTCCTCCTCTGTTGCCAAAGTTCCTGAAAGTGTGGTCTCCATATCTGCTTATGCTACTTAGTTTTCTTCTAAGTGAAAGGTAGGGACTCAACCCCAAATGCTCTGACCCTGTTCGAAGACCCTGTGGCCTAGAGCGGCATGTATTTCCTGATTTCTAAACCTAGTGCCCTTTTTCCAGGCCTCATCCTCTATCACTGCAGCATTTATCTCTGTTGTCACATTCTTCTGCTTAAAACTTTTCACAGCTTTTCACGTACCCAGGGCAGGCATTCAAAAATATTGAAGCAGTAGTTTTGATGTCTTTTCTGAGCTTTCACCAGTATTTTTAATAGGCACTACTGCCTAAATGTCAAATGCCTTATAGCCAAAAACAAGTAATGATTTCCTGTAATCTCCAAACTGATTCCTCTTCCTCTTGCTATGTCTTGGTATCCCTGAGGTTACCATCATTTTATCCATGTACCCATGCTAGATGCCTCAAGGTCATCCTTGACTCCTCTTCCTTCTCTGGTTTCCATTTGGTTTCTAAGCTTTGATGAGTATCTCCCGCATCTTCTTTTCTTTTTCTACTATTTCCTATGACTCTTGCCTCTTTCTGTTTATTGTCTTTTGTCTGGATTATTTCAGTAATATGTTCAGGAGTTTCTAATTTGGATTCCATGGATGGACCTCAAAGGATTAAAGAACTCTCTCAAATTTGTATGCAAATTTTTTGTGCATGTGCATTTTCCTGGGGAGGTCCATTAGACTGTTCTGTGGGAAAGAGAGGAATAGAATGAGAGACAATGACAATTTAAATCAGGTCCACTGATTTCTCGTTCTATACCTGGCCTTTGTTATTTAGGTCACTAACCTAAGGCACTTATCTCTGAGGAGTGAGGTGGCATGTAAGATATTAAGAATAAAACAGCAGCATTAGTCAGTCCAGCTGGGCAGTCAGTCCAGCAGCCAGAGATCAGAGGCTCCTCAATATCAGATCCAGGCTTTAATATCCTAGAGAAGCTCAGGAGAAAGCTGGGGCATCAGCAGGAGCAGAGGGTGTCCTCCCGAGGCCCCTGGACCCATTTGTTCCTGTGCTTCCAAAGGACTTAGAGGGATATGAAAACTTAACTGGCAAGAATCCAGAGTGAGTTGGTATCCCCAGAAAAAGGTTCAGAACATTCCCCCAGCTAGCCTCCCCTCCTTTGCCTGTTTGGTCTCTCGTTCTTTCTCCACTCTGCCAACACAGTTAGCTTTTAAATACATATCTCCTGGTGTGCCTTCCGTGATTGTCACTTACACCTAAGGGTGATTAGACTAATCACCCAAAAATGTGGGGTTTTAATCACCTATGAAACAAGTTAAAAAATCATGGTCATGGTTTCAAGGCCTGCCAGTTAGGAGCCTGCCAGCCTCGTCGCCAGGCACTGCCCTCTCCTCACTTCCAGGGCTCTGGCTACAGCAGGTTACTACTGGCTGTTTCGAGAGAACAGTGTCTGTGTCCATATCCCTATGCCTTTGATCATGCTAGTCTCTCTCTTTGGGGTGGCATTTCCTCTCCATTGCCTGTGAACCTCCTACTCATTCTTCCAGGCCCACAATGGATGTTAGCTCTTCACCTGAGTCCATTCTTAATTTTCTGCCATCACTCTGGCAGAATCAGTATCTCTTGGCTAGAGTCCAAAAACATTTCATACATATCTCTGATAATGTCATATTATATTGTAGATAGCCTATTTTTATTTCTGTCTTTCCTACTAAGCCAGAAATGCCCTACAGCTAGGGACTGTCTTTTTCATGTTTGTATCCCTAACAGCTACCTTTGCATCTAGTCTAAACATGAGCTTAGTACACTTTTGTTGAATGGAATTAGTTATAAAGAGTTTTTATGACTCATTTAAAATTAGAGACCAATGCTTACTTAATAAGTCAGAATAGGCTGTAATAATAATAGTAATAATAAAGTCCCATTTCCACTGCTTATTCAAGTAACAGCTTCCTTTGTGGAAGTACATTTTGAAAGACTTCACATGTCAGTGTATATTTTTGATGTGCTCATTTGAGATCCTAAAAGAATTATAGTTCTAAAGCAGACTAGAGCTTCTATTACATTCCTGTTGAAGTTATATTAAATATATTCTATCGTTTCACATATCTGTATTATATATAATAAGTTGCATGGGTAAACATTTTATCTCTTTTAAACTTCATGGTAATAATTTGTGAATTGTTTATTTTATAATATCTGAGTAAATTTAGTTCAAAACACATTAATTTGAGCATTTTCTGTGTACAGAAGCATAGTTGCAAAGTTAAGATTCTTGTGTTTATGTTGTTTTGTTAAATTCGGAAAGTCTCAGTCATTGCAAATGTATTTTTTTTTTAAGTATTTAAATTAGCTCAGCTATGAGAATAAGCACAGTCCATAAATTAAGAGCTTCAAATAATTTTTTAAAATCCTTCATATTCTTTGAGTTTTGTAGGAAAAGAATCAACAGTTTACTTATTCAGCCTTTCCTGAAGTCCATAGTAGGTGCTGGGCATTATGCTGGGTGAATGAGATAGTACTTGCATTTGAATAGTTTACAGTCTTATAGCGAAGAAGCCATGTAAACAGAGAATTGCAATATAAACCTTGGAGGAGAGGAAGGAAGACTACTTTGAGAACCGAGATTAGGTTGAGAATGGATGAGTCTGCTGATCAATTTATAGATAAAGAAGCAGAGAGGTGAAGTCTTTTTTTTTTTTTTTTTTTTGATATGTGAAATAGGAACCTAGGTTATCTCTAAGAATTCATAGCAGGGGGTAGCTCTTGAGAAGAACAGTGAAGATCTGGATAATTAATAAGGAGAATTAGAGATGAGCTAACAAAGACAAGTAAAGAGTGGCATGAGAAAGCAGTGAGCATAGAACTGAAACTGGATAGCATGAAATTCTGGAGGTATCAGTCAGTAGCACAGTGGTATAATTTTCTCCAGCTGTGCTATGGAGAAATTATACACATTGTGGCCAATGTGTAGTGAATAAAGCCATATTGTATTCAGGGACTATGGGGTGGTTATAACAGAAATTTACAAAGAATAAATAGTTAAAAGTCCTTCAAAGAAAGCATGGCTTACTAGGGAAGGCAGTATGGTTAAGAGGAAGTTGATAAACTTGGAGAAAATGTAGAAGTCAAGAAGTTGGAGATCAGAAGGGCTGGTGCTTTGTAGGAACTCAGAAAATCTTCATTTTCTTCTTTCTGGATGTCCTCTCCCTATGAATGTTTCACCACCACCACCTGCCTCAGCTACAGTTTATACATATGAATAGTTTCAAATCATGATGGTAACAGTTGGCTCAGAGGGCAAGATTAGGAGCCAGACTTCAACGTGCTGCTAATCCAGCGTGTCCCTGTAACTTAGATGCTGGTAGTGCTTGGTGGTATTGGCCTCTAGGAGAAGCTCAAGGCTTCTCCTGTTATCTCCCTACCACTCATACTTGGAGGGTGAGTCAAAGGCCAAAAAGCATTTTATTGGGCAGTGGTTCTTAGGGAAGGGATTTACTCTGTGATGCAGAGGGTTAAGACTGTAAGCCATCAAGTGTTTCCCCTCCCTCTCCATGTTCAACCAAAGGCACAGTTCTTATTACTTTCAAGGATTTAAAAAGGAGTCTTTTCTCAGCATAAAGGAGGAAGTGAAGACCAATTTTGACAGCCCAAAGGGTCTTCCTCCTCAGAATCTAAAATTTCTAATAGAGTTGTTTGCATCTTGTGATTTTACTTGAGTCATCAAATGTATTGTACTTTTTTTCTTAAAGATATACTTTTTAATGCTTTCATTTCAGATAAGGACAAACCATTTTCCATGGCGACACACTATTTATATTGCATTTTCAGAAATTTCCCTTTTTACCCATACTTAGGAGTGTGACACTGAAACCTGATAATCTATTATTTCACAGAGTGCTTTTTTGGGTGTAATATAAAGATATTATATAATTTTAATAACCTTTGAGGTACAAGTGGTTTTTGGTTACATGGATGAATTATATAGTAGTGAAGTCTGAGATTTTAGTGCAGGACCCATTGTCCAAGTAGTGTAAACTGTACCCAATATTAGTTTTTTATTCCTCACTCCCCTCTCACTTTCCCCACTTCTTAATTTTCTGCCATCACAATGTGTTGCCCAGGCTGGTTTCATGCCCTCACTTTCCCCACTTCTGAGTTTCCAAAGTCTATTACTCTGTACACCTTTGTGTACCCATAACTTACCTCCCTCTTGTAAGTGAAAACATATGGTATTTGATTTTCCATTCTTGAGTTACTTCACTTAGAAAAATGGCCTCCAGCTCCATCCATGTTGTAGCAAAAGATGTGACTTCGTTCTTTGTTATGGCTGAATAGTATTCCATGGGATATGTGTGTGTGTGTGTGTGTGTGTGTGTGTGTGTATACACATATATGATATATAATAATTATATATAATTTATCGTTATATGTAAAACAAAGCAAATTTTTTATTTTTATAGAGACAGGGTCACAAAGTATTGCCCAGGCTGGTTTCATGCTCCTGGGCTCAAGTGAGCCACCACACCCAGCCAAAAATAAGTAATATTTCCCAGTTAGACATTTTCAGAGTAAAAAGTATTTGTTCAAAATCATAGCATGAATGGACTCTTCCAGAGACCTTTAACTGGCAGCAGTTCCCCCTCAAACTTTAGTACAGTTATAGGAATTGTTTCTGGATTTTTGGCTGTATATTCTTGTTCATGGCTCATGGACATTAACATATGTGAATGGCATCACTGTGTTTTTCCTAAAGTGCATACGAAGAAGAAAGAACACTTTCCTTTAGAGTCTTACTTAGATTCTAGTTAGCTGATATAAGACTGTTTTCTTTTCCTTTTCAGGTTGTAAACATGTTAAAGGCATCCTGTTATATGGACCCCCAGGTTGTGGTAAGACTCTCTTGGCTCGACAGATTGGCAAGATGTTGAATGCAAGAGAGCCCAAAGTGGTCAATGGGCCAGAAATCCTTAACAAATATGTGGGAGAATCAGAGGCTAACATTCGCAAACTTTTTGCTGATGCTGAAGAGGAGCAAAGGAGGGTAATGTGAACATAAGTGTGATTTAGTAAAAGTTTATCACTCGCTATACGATGAATGAGACCCAGAGTTATGGAGACAAACTTGTTGCTTTGATTTATATTTTGAAGCAACTTACAGGTAAATTTACCTAGTACCTAGGTTATATATGGCACTGCACCAGGGACTGTGGAAGATTTACGTGATGAGCAGATGTTGTTGCCCACATATTCCTATAAACAAAGGTAGGTGATTGTGTAAGCCAGAGGTTTTGCAAAAATAGGTCATGAATATATTTTCAGGTGACACTTTTATTCCATATTGCTTCCAGAGACTTGTGCTCATTTATCCTTTGGAAGAAAAGGGGAAATTAAATCCATAAATAGACTTATGAAATCGTATTATGTAAGGTTCATATGCAAAAAGCTATCTTACTTAACACTGAGTCTTGCTCAGTTATAGAGTGACAGGATTGAGTTGTCAGAGCTCAAAGGAAAGCTTGATTTGCGTCTCAGAAATGAAATTATTTAAAAATCAAGCTAGAATTTACTAATTCTGATAGTTTTACATGTCAACTTGACTAGGACATAAAGTGCCTAAATATTTGGTAAAACATTTCGGTTGTGTCTGTGAGGATGTTTCTGGATGAAATTAGCGTTTGAGTTGATAGACTGAATAAAGCAGATTGCCCTCCCTAATGTGGGCAGGCCCCATTCAATCAGTTTAAGGCCTGAACAGAACAAAAAGGCTTACTTTCCTGCAAGTAAGAGGGAATTTCGACTTGCCTGGTTGCCCTGAGTTGGGACATTGGTTTGGATGCACACCGAAACATCAGCTCTTCCTGGCTTGGAGGCCTTTGGGCTGGAACTAAATAATGCGTATTAGCTCTCCTGGGTCACCAGGTTGCTGACAGCAGATCTTGGGACTTGTCAGCCTCTGAAATTGTAGATTTATCCCAAGGAATTGGCTAAAACGATTATGGAGGCTGACATATATATGTGGGTGTATATGCATACATACATATTCATAGAGATTTATCATAAGGAAAACACACACACACACACACACGAACATTCTATTGGTTCTGTTTGTCTGTTCTGATTAATTATCCTAATACTAACATATTTTTTTCATTGACAGTTTAAGAACAATGCCATGAGATTTCTGGTTCTAGCAATACAGTAGACTAGGTAACCAGAAAACCTTCCTTCTATAAACACCTTCAAATGCTAGGTATACACTGTACCCCTTAAATATGCACAGTTATGTGCCAATTAAACACAAAATAAAACTTTTAAAAGTTCTGGGTAAAACATAACTGAAATCATTTTAAATGCATAATTGAGCTCTTCAGAAAGAAAACTGGATCTCCAGGAAATTAGAGTCGTAAGATACGGGCTGCAGCTTTTGGTTTCATAATATATGGGTTTGGGTTTTAGTACCCACTAGGGAACAGAACATGAGTCCTTGAATCCATTTACAGTGTGGACTAGGAACTGGTACCTTCAAAGGGGTTGTGTCTATGAAAAGAGTGGACTAGAAAATATCTGCTGCCACCACAGGGAAATTAACAAAAAATATTTAACTGCCTGGGTTCTGGAATGGAAGCTGGGAAATCTCCTATGGGAATTCTTCTTCTTCTTTTTTTTTTGAGATGGAGTTTTGCTCTTGTTGCCCAGGCTGGAGTGCAATGGCGTGATCTCGGCTCACCACAACCTCCGCCTCCCAGGTTCAAGCAATTCTCCTGCCTCAGCCTCCCCAGTAGCTGGGATTACAGGCATGCACCACCACGCCCAGCTAATTTTGTATTTTTATTAGAGATGGAGTTTCTCCATGTTGGTCAGGCTGGTCTCGAGCTCCCAACCTCAGGTGATCTGCCCGCCTTGGCCTCCCAAAGTGCTGAGATTATAGGCGTGACCCACCGTGCCCGGCCTCCCATGGGAATTGTAAACCATGGATCCTTGTTCATGCTGGTTTAGAATTTGAATGAATGTATGCTACCTATGTGGCTTGAAACCCGAAGCTGAGAAATTAGTTAAAAAAATTATTCAGGTGCAGTGGCTCATGCCTGTAGTCTCAGCTACTTGGAAGGCTGAGATGGAAGGGTCACTAGAACCCAGGAGTTCTAGGCTGCAGTGAGCTCTCATTGTGCCATTGCACTCCAACCTGGGTGACAGTGCAAGACCCTATGTTAAGGAAGAAAAAAATTAGTCCTGGGCTAGTGATAGCATAGGTTGTCAGATATAAGCAAACCCCAGGGGGTGCTCCAACAACCTAGGCTGAAAGGAATAGAAAAAGTAGTCATGAAAATTTAAAACTCAGCAACCAAGTTTAAGATAAGACAACAAATTTCAGCTGAAGAGAGAAGTGGTAAACAGAAGAATAAACCTAAAGAAATCACCCAGAATGTAGCACAGAGAGATAAAGGGATGGAGAAGATGAAAGTTGAGATGAGAGAGTTAAAACAAGAAGTCCAGATAGAATAGTGTAGAGGCATTATTCAAAAAGAGAATGACTAAGAATATTCTAGAATTAATAAAGACATAAGTACTCAGATTCAGGTAGCACCATGAGCCTATATGGGATAAATGAAAATTAACTTATTTCTAGACTTGTTATAGGAGAATGCCAAAGAAAAAAAATCTTAGTAACAAAAGAAAGACATGGAGATGACTTACAAAGGGGTATCCATTATGTTGATAGCAAACTTTTCCATGACAGAGAGAGAGAACAAAAAACAGTAGAATAATATCTTCAGAGAGCTAAGTGAAAATAACTGTCAACTTAAAAGTTAATACCCAGCTTAATTCTCATTCAGGAATGAGGGTGAAATAAAGACTTTTTTTCTTCAGGCAAAGGATAATAGAATTAACTAGTTGCAGAAGCTTGTTGGAAGATTATGAAGCAAGATGTACTGAGACTGAAGGAAGTTGAACCCAGAAGGAAACAGTAGAGCCAAGAAACAATGATGAGCAATGAAATTGGTGAAAATATAGATAAAGTCTGGGAGTTCTACTTCTAGTAGTGGCAAATTAGGTCATTTGAGTCATGTGTTCCACTGAAGACTACCAGAAAAGCTCAACACAATATTTAAACATGTTTTGCTTGAAGGTATCAAAGAAGAAAAATGGAGGCCTAGAACAAAGGTCCTCCTGGTATACTGGGTCACTGTTCCTCTCGAGATATTAGCCAGTTCTGCAGGAAGCTGCTAAAACCTAAGCAGCCCTTTTGACAGGCTAGTGGGAGTAATGGGGGCAGAGATTAGTGCCCATGGCCCCTAAGGAGGGGACACCTGATGAACATAACTCATTTTGAGTCAAGACCCTGAAGGGCTACATCATAGGAGCAAGGGTTAACCAGGAGTAGACATACTCTCACTGGGGCTGCAGATCAGCTTTGAATCATGTCAGTCCCTAAAATTAGATTGAGGGTTCCTAAATTGCTAGTGCCCCTAGGCATCTGGCAGAATTGTAAATCCTTCCTGGAAGAAAGTGGTATCATGCAAGGTCACAAATTGTTTCTAGTTTGCAAATGCAATGTCTGGCTTATAATCAAAAGCAACTGGAAACAGATACACAAACAACATCAAGAAAAAGAAAAGATGGTTCAAACAGCCTCTAGATATTGGAATTCTCAGATACAGACTTTTGAAATAATTATACTTACCACATTCAAGGGGATAAAAGACAAGACAGATTTTTGGCAGAGAACTGGAAACTAAAAATAAACAAATATAAATTCTAGAACTGAGAAAATCAGTAAGTCAAATTAACTCAAGTGAATGAGTTTAAATAGCAGGTTAGACACATCTGAAGAGAGAATTAGTGTACTGAAAGATATAAGATGAAAATAACCAGAGACAAAGAATGAAAGGAATTAAGAGAGAGTAAGAGAGAGAGAGAGAGAATACCGTTTAAAGGTCTGGTGCGTGTATTTAAAGTTCCAGAAAGGCAAGAGAAAGAGGATGAATCAAAATCAGGATTTGAAGAGAAAATGGTTTAGAACTTTCTAAAACTGATGGAAAACATTAGTCCATAAATTGCAGAAATGATATGAACCCTGAGCAGGAGAAATACCAAAGAACTCTACATATATAGGCATTATTGTTAAATTGCTGAAAACCAAAAATGAGAAAAATCTTAAAAGGAGCTAGAGAGCAAAGGAAAATTACCTTCAAATAAGCAACAACTAGCTAGTAGCTGTCTTCTCAATAGAAATGATGGAAACAAAAAGTCAACCAAAGGCCATTTTTAAAGAGCTGAAAGAAAATAACTGTCAACTTAGAATTTTATATCCAGTAAATGGATGAATGATCATAGAAATATATAATGGAATACAAGGCAGTAATGAAAATAAATAGCCTACAGCTATATACAGTTGTGAATCTCACAAATAAATTATTGAGCAAAAGAAACCAGATTTCAAAAAGAACACATACTGTGTGATTCCATTTATAGAGAGCTTACCTAAAGTATAGTGTTTAACAACACATGCTTGGGTGGTAAAACTATAAAGGAAAATGAATTATTACCATAAAAATCAGATTGTGGTTACCTATGGGGAAAGGTCAGGGAGGAGTGCTTGGGAGGGGTTGTGAGGAGGTGCTCCCAGGATGCTAGCAGTATTCTGTTTCTTATGATTACGTAGGCGTTCATTTTGTGACAGTTCATTGAGGCATATATTCACATTTTGTAACTTTTCTCTATGTGTGATGTATTTTGCAATTAAAAGTTTTAAAAATAAATTTTAATAGCATTCACTGAGAAAAACAATAATGATATGAATATTTTTAAAGGATAGAACTAAAATATGGAAAAAAACGTTTGGGAAGTAGATTAAATTCATGTAAGCTCCTTATATTATTGGGGAAGATGGTAGGGAGTTTGAGACCAGCCTGGTCAACATGGTGTAACCCCATCTCTACTAAAAAAATACAAAAATTAGTTGGGCTTGGTGGCGCACAGCTGTAATCCCAGCTACTCAGGAGGCTGAGGCAGGAGAATTGCTTGAACCCGGGAGGCGGAGATTGCAGTGAGCCAAGATCGTGCCACTGGATTCCAGCCTGGGTAACAAAAGTGAAACTCCATGTCAAAAAAAAAAAAAGAAGCTAATAATGTTAGTTAACATTAAGTCAAATGTGCATGTGAAAGTTGTACATTGTGCCCAAACTTTTCCAAAGCATAGGGAGGAGCTGGGAAAGAAACAGTGGAAACTCAAATACTTTAGAAGGCAAGAAAGAAATAACAAGACTCAAAGACAATGTGATGATAATAAAAAGGTAATTTTAAAAACAATTTCATTTATAGCAGAAATCAGAATGTAAAGTGCCTAGGATTCGATCTAGCAGGAAATGTGCAAGACCTTTAAGGAGAAAATTCTAAACATTTTTGAAAATCTTTTTTTAAGCAGCTAATAAATGGTAAGATATAACATGTTCATGTATGGGAGAACTGACAATGTCATAAAAATGAGTTCTGCCCATCTTGGTCTGTAAGTTGAGTGTATTTCCAGTGAAGCCTAATAGGAATTTTTTAACATTTGACAACTTGATTCTAATTTTTTTTGAGGCTTGAAGAGTTATGAGAATTTTGAAGAATAATGAAGATTTACTTTTATCACATATCAAGACTTACTAGAAAGCAATAGTAATTGAAACAATGTTATATATTCATGCAAAAACAGACCAAGGAAACAATAGAACACAGGAAGGAAGAGCCTGCTCTATGACAAGTGATGATACAGATCAGAGGGGAGTAATAGGCTGGCTGTGCCTTAAACGGAGCTGAGATAATTGACTACCTATTTGGAAAAAGATAAAATGCAATTCCTACCTCACAGCATACAAAATTGCAAATGGATTTACAAAAAAACAAAAACATAAAAGCCTACTAAAATTTATAGGAGGAAAACTTATTTAGAAGAAAAATAGGCAAAAATGTTTTAAGATTTGAGGCTAGGGAAGAATTGATACAGAAAGTAAATCCATTGGAAGTGTTAATTTGGCTACATTAATATAAAGAAAATTCTGTATGACAAATTACACTGAATACAAATGTCTCAAACTGGGAGAAGATATTTGCAGTGTATATAATCTACAAAGAATTGGCATCCTCTATAATAAATTCTCTATAAAAAGTCTTGTATAATAAGAAAAATATAAATACCACAATTTAAAAAAACTGTCGAAGGATTTAACACGTAGTTCTCAGAGAAAGAACACAATTGAAGAAAAGCAAATGAAAAGATATTCAGGAAAATGTATAATAAAAGAGGGATTATTTCTTAAACAACCTGGCAAAATTTACAACAGCTGGTAAAACCAAGAGTTTGTGGGGTTATGGAGAAACAAGGTCTCATATACATTGCTAGTTGGAGTATAAACTAGAAGAATATACCAAGTGGGTAGTATCTTGCAAATAAATTTGACATCTTACAAAAATGAAAATGCACAAACCCCATGAGTTCTACTTCAAGACCACTACCTATGATAAACAACATGACATGTACCAGGATGTTGATTGTCATGCTATTTGTAATAGAGGGAAAAGAAACATCATTACTCTTCCTTAGTAGGAAATGGAATAGCATACAGATATTAAAATGAATATGCTGAGCACAGTGGCCCACGCCTGTAATCCCAGCACTTCAGGATGCCAAGGCAGAGGATCATTTGAGCCCAGGAGTTGAAGACCATCATGGGCAACATAGTGAGACCCCACCTCTACAAAAATTAAAAATTAGCCAGGCATGGTGGCACATTCCTGTGGTCCCAGCCACTTAGGAGGCTGAGGTGGGATGGTCACTTGTGCCGGGGAGGTCAAGGCTGCAGTGAGCTGTGATAGTGCCACTGCACTCCCGCTTGGGCAACAGAATGAGACCCTGTCTCAAAAAAATAAAATGAATAATAGATTTACATAGATCGACATGAATAACACTCAGAAATATAACATCCCGTCTTCAAAAAAAAAAAAAAACCTAGTAAGCTGTACTGAATTAATCTATCCTACCATTTAAAATTTTTGTTGAGGGTAAAATAATATTAAATATTCCCTTTATAGCAATCCTCTTAGTGCTTTAAGTCTGCTTGTTGGGTCCTTAATTGTTTCAATTTTATACAAGGTCGTTTCCTTTCCTGCTTTCCAGCATTTCATTAAGTTCTTGTTCAGGTCTCCAGCTAGATCAGTCTCATTGGTTCTAGCAGGTGTGGGTCTTGGTGGGTTGGTGCAAGTCCATTCACTATTTCAACTCTTCAGAAAGTCCCGGAACCAGTCAGTTTTGCAGTTCATTCCTAATACTAAGATTGTTTCTGCTTCACTTATCTTTTTAACTTACCTCAGTGTACCAAGAAAAACAGTCATCACCATATACTATCTAGGTTGAATAAACTCCGCTTAAAAATTATTTTAGATTATTTTCCAAATAATTTACAAAATACAAGAATAAAGAGATAAAAAACTATTAAAAATTAAATAAGAACTTAAATATATAAATAAAATTTTTATACCATGTTTCCCTGGTCTTGAGGTGTTTTGGATTTTGGTTTTTGGAATATTTGCATATACATTAAGATATCTTGGCGTTGGGACTCTGGTCTAAACATGAAATCCATTTATGTTTTGTATATACCTTGTACACACAGCCTGAAGGTAATTCTGTACAATATTTTAAATAATTTTGTTACTGAAACAAAGTCTGTGTACATTGAACCATCAGAAAGCTAAGGCATCACTATCTCAGCCACTAGATGTGGATGGTCTGTGGTTGGTTGGCATCACCATTGTTTCTGAGTGTAAATTTATATACCTGATAAATAATCGTTTTCATACATGTATTGAGACACAAGTACTTAACAGTAAAAAATATGACACACCATTAATACAGTGAAAAAATAGTGAGTTTAGGGTAACTAAGCAGCACAATGGCATCACCAGAATACCTGGATAAGCTGTTAAACAACAGCAACACCAAACAGCAACAGTTTCAGTCACCACCTACGATGTTGTGGGGGGCTTTTGTTTTGGTTTGGTTTTTTGAGATGGGGTCTCACTCCATCGCCTAGGCTGGCATGCAGTGGCACCATCATGGCTCACCGCAGCCTCAAACTCCTGGGCTCAAGCCGTCCTCCTACCTCAGCCTCCCGAGTAGCTGGGACTACAGGTGTGCACCACCATACCTGGCTAATTTTAAAAATCTTTTTGTAGAGACAAGGTCTCCCTAGGTTGCCCAGGCTGGTCTCAAACTCCTGGGCTCAAGCGATCCTCCTGCCTGAGCCTCCCAAAGTGCTGAAATGACAGGTGTGAGCTACCATGCCCAGCTGATGTTGTGTTTTGATTAAAAGATTATCATACAGTAACCCCCTGTGTGTGGTGCACCTTTCAGATTTTGGAACATTTTGGATTTTGAATTTTTGGATTAGGGATACTCAACCTGTATACCCCAAATGGGCAGGAGCCTCTGAATGCAGTAACTGTTCATCAGCTGTCCTGCATGAACTTACAAATACTGATTCTAAGTTTCAAATACATCTTTGTTGGCTTCTAAATTATTATTACTTCTGGTTCTTCTTGCACTTACAGCATCAAAACATAATGCTTTAAGAATTTTTTTGAGATCTTTGGCTCCTAATTTTGTTGAAGAGAGGATGACCATTATATGTTCCACAGTTGCAAAACATTTTTATTTTTAGATTTGTAGATACCTTTCAGAATGATCAATTCTGTTTTTTATGGTCAATCCAATTTTTTAATGTCTACTTCATCTATTTCTTCTGGCTATCTCTCTGTAATACCTGCCTTCAGCATCTGTCTACTTTTAAACTATATCAAGAAAATTTGGTGCACAAATGAAATAAAAGATGAAAGAATACTGTCATGTGTCCTTTTAGCAAAATGGGATGGCCTCATTTCTTGTCACAAGATATTCCACAAAGAAGACTTTCTATTGAATAAGTAACTGAATGAAAATGCTTTGTCCTTAGATTAAAAGTATATTATTCACTCATTGATTCTTGAGTTTGAGAAAATGTATGTAGGGCATCATCATCTGAAGACACATAGACTGAGATTTTACTTATAATCATCAATTTCAGCATCTTTATTAGAGTCCTAAGTGCTCCTATCTTATTCTTTGTGTTCAACTTCTGACTCATCTAATAATTCTAAAACAGTTTCCTCAGATTTTCTTCGTCATTCTGGCTAGAGAACTTACAAATGTTAATGCTTAATCGTATTCAATAAAATGTAGAATGAGGTCACAAAAGATGTTAGCTCCAGACTTCTTTTATGCCTTCTTGAAAGATAACACATATCTTGCACAACACAGTAAGAAAACTGAAGAGTGATGTCATAGTGATACTTGTTTCACTGTTTCTAAGTAATTTAGTCATTTTTTATTATACTTTAAGTTCTGGGATACATGTGCAGAACTTGCAGGTTTGTTACATAGGTATACACATGCCATGGTGACTGGCTGCACCCATCAACCCGTCATCTACATTAGGTATTTCTCCTAATGCTATCCCTCCCCTAGCCCCCCCACCCACTGACAGGCCCCAGTGTATGATGTTCCCCTCCCTGTGACCATGTGTTCTCATTGTTCATTTCCCACTTATGAGTGAGAACATGTGGTGTTTGGTTTTCTGGTCCTGTGTTGGTTTGCTGAGAATGATGGTTTCCAGCTTCATCCATGTCCCTGCCAAGGACATGAACTCATCTGTTTTTATGGCTGCATGGTATTCCATGTGCCACGTTTTCTTTATCTAGTCTATCGTTGATGGGCATTTGGGTTGGTTCCAAGTCTTTGCTATTGTGAACAGTGCCTCAATAAACATGTGTGCATGTGTCTTTATAGTAGAATGATTGTAATGGGATTGCTGGGTCAAATGGTATTTCTGGTTCTGGATCCTTCAGGAATCACCACACTGTTGAAACAGCATGGTACTGGTACCAAAACAGATATATAGACCAAAGGAACAGAACAGAGGCCTCAGAAATAATGCCACACATCTACAACTATCTGATCTTTGACAAACCTGACAAAAACAAGCAATGGGGAAAGGATTCCCTATTTAATAAATGGTGTTGGGAAAACTGGCTAGCCATATGCAGAAAATTATACAAAAATTAACTCAAGATGGTTTAAAGATTTAAATGTAAGACCTAAAACCGTAAAAATCCTAAAAAAAACCGTAGGCAATACTTTTCAGGACATAGGCATGGGCAAAGACTTCATTCTTCTATTTTCTTATTTTAATCCTTTTTAAGCATAGTTGAGAATAATTGATGAGTAATGATGTAATTTCTAGTGTGATGAAATAGCATAATGTGTCTTAGATTCATAAAAAGATCTAGTAGATCCAAATGGCAATTGTAAGATAGAATTTTATTCTATTTTTTTAAATATTGGGTTTTTTGTTTTGTTTGTTTGCTCTTTGGAAAAAGGAAAAAAGTCATGAGATATCAATTTTTATAAATAGTACTACTTAAAACAGAAACTCAGAAACTGAGATTGGGTCTAACGGACCCTAATGAGATACTGAGGATTAAACACTAGGCAGAAGTGAGTTAAAATGCCATATGGAGAAGCATTTTATAACATCTCAGTTGTGATAGTTACCACATGGCTACATAGGTAACTTTGGTGCTGTTTTTAAAGTTGCAAGCAATTTAAATATTAAACTACTGATGATAAAATTGAGTTAGCAAAGAATTTCCAGTTCGATATTAATTATAGCCAGCCTTTTCAGTTATACCTTTCTCACATCCAGAAATGGCTTGATGTACTCAGCTAATGACCTCATGCAGGATATATATGTGTGTTACATGATAAAGAAAAACATCACTTCTGTAATTTTGGACAGTCCACACTGACGGAGATGAACACTTGCATATAGGTCAAACTAGTTAAATACAGAACAGCCGCTTTTGAAAGCTGTTGCCAGGGCTCAACAGCGTCAGCTCTGTTTCTATGGAGAAAGACTTTGCAGATGTTAAAAACAGAGCTAGAAGCCAATGAATGGAAGAGGATTGTGCTGTGGAAATTTAATTTTTTTGATAAAGGGTTTATTGATGAATCAGCTATATTAGTCTGTGAACGTTAATCTTGACATCTTCTTTACCCAATTCCCAATTTCTTGGAATAAGATCTTGCTTTTATTTAAGTAACACACAATGTAAAATTTGATGTTATTGTACTGACTAGGTGGGGTAAGGGACCTGATGACAGGTAACAAGATTAGTAAGGTTCTGAAAAGGTCAGAATTGTACTGAATTATGTTTAGAACAGATTGCCTCCGTGATCATTTAATCAAACAGTGTTCGTATTGTCTTTGTCCTTGTCCACATACGTGATTTTTGAGGTTGGGCTGAGAAGGAAATCATGATTCCATCAACAACATAAGGCACATTGACAGTAAAACTCATATATTATAGCAGCTTTTTGTTTCATGCTGTATAGGGCAGACAACCTTGAAGAAAAAAAAAACTTTAAAAAATAATGTAAAATTTCACAGTTTTTCAGTCACAAACAGAAGTATCCTTGTTGTCACTGAAGATGACAAGAATTAATATCCTGCTGTATAGAAGTACTTTGGCAAAGTTAAGGTTGTAGTTCCAATTCCTCATTTCCAATTTTTTCTCCAGATGGAAAGATGAACAGTTTTTGGTATTGAATTTTTTTTTAGGAAGCAAGTTATTTATCATTAGATATCTATTCAGTAAATGCAATGATACAGAAAAATGAAGTTTTTTTCCCTCAGATTTGAAATTAGGTTTTAAAATATGGAGGGAGAACAATTTGTAAGTAATGTTCAGGAACAAAAATAAAACCTAATGAAACTTTAGAAACTTTGATGGACATCTGTCATCCTACATACAATTGCATTAAAGAATAGAATTTATTATTATTTTATCTGGTTTATTATGCTGTAAAATGAATTTTTCTCTTTTTGTATGTAGTTTTATGAAATTTCATACATGTATAGATTCATGGAACCACTGTAAAAATCAGGATGTAGAACATTTGCATCACCCCCAAAAACTCCTTCATGCAGTCCCTTACTGGTCACCCTTTCTTTTTAGTAACCCTGGTAACTACCAATGTGTTCTCCATCCCTGTAGTTTTATCTTTTCAAGAATGTCATATAAATGGCGTCATACACTATGTAACCTTTGGGGACTGGCTGTCTTCAGCATAATGCCTTTGAGATTCATCCAAGTTGTTGCATGTGTCAAACATCCCTTTTTATTGTTGAATAGTATTTAATTGTGTGGGTGTACTATCATTTGTTTATCTCTTGACCCACTGAAGGCCAATTGGGTTGTTTTCTAGTTTGGGGCAATTATGAGCAGAGCTGCTATAAACCAAGTAGTGGAATTTTTAGGTCATATAGCATTTTATCTATTTTTTATTTAAAAATATATATTCAGGGTTTGTTTTTGACCCAGTTGAATTTCCTTCAGGTCATTTTTGGAACTCTTTCTTCCTATGTCTGATGTAACATTTCATCTTTCATCTTTGTCATTTTTTTATTCCCCCTTTTCTTCAGATTACTATAGGTATATTCTGGTATTGTAGCCCAGAATCTGTCCTGCTTTTATATTCCTCCAGCTTAATTATATGATCCATCTTCTTACGGTATCTACGGCTTGCTACAAGACTATTCTTTACTATTTGCAGAAGACGTTCAGATGTATCTTGCTATCCTTTTTTATTCAGTTGTGTATATCTTGTTCTCTATTTGGAGGCCTTTCCAAATAGATGTCTTGTTAACTCTTTAATCTTATCATGCTAGAAACAAACAAACAAACAAAAAAAATTCCCTTGTATCTTTTCCCTTCTGCAGCTTCCTTATCATACTACAGGGTAATTTCTTTTCTTCACCGTCAGTCTTCCACCCTACATGCAAGCAATAATCAAATCTAGCATTTGCTGTTTGGTCATCACCACTCCTGTCACCAAAATTCTCATTCTGTTTAGATTCTGCTTGCCTCATTTATGTACCATTATTTGTTTCTCAGTGACCTTCCAAGTGCATACTCCTTTTCATCCTAAAGCCAAGAATAAAATCATTTTATATAAAGAGCATTCTACTTTGCAGTTCATTTACTGATGTCCTCTGTTTCAGTAGGAAGGCCTAATTCTAGATTTCAGTCTGTCATGATAGTACTATAACTTCTGCTTCTCACATTAGGTAAATTTTATTATCCCTTTTATAGGACCTTGACTGCCTCTGGGCCTTCTGTTCAGTTGAACCCACATGCTTCTAACTTCTTAGCTATTAGACCCTCTCTTTCCCCTTTTATATGTCTTTGTTTTGGTACAGCTTCTCATACCCAAAAGCAGGTATACCTGTTAGTAAGGAGGATACAAGTTGTATTTGTAGGTGGTATGATTGTCTACCTAGGAAATTCAAAAGAGTCAGATTTTTTTAAAAACTTAGATATTATAAATAAGAGTAAAGTAGCCATATATAAAATAAATACATAAAAATATATTTCCTTCATACTTCTATACTGTTTCTGAAATATAATAGAAAAATCCCATCACAATTGCCACCAAAAAACATAGCTAGGAATCTTTATGAAGGAATGAAGGAATTTAAACAACAAAAACTATAAAACTTTATTGGGAAGCTGGGCCCAATGGCTCACGCCTGTAATCCTAGCACTTTGGGAAGCCAAGGTGGGAGGATCACTTAAGTCTAGGAGTTGAAGACCAGCCTGGGCAACATAGTGAGACCTTATCTCTAAAAATAAAAATAAAAATAAATTTTAAAACTTTACTGAGAGACGTAAAAGTGTTGAATAATTGGAGAGGCATTATTCTTCTAAAAAACCAAATATGCTATACAGATTTTAGTATTTCCTAAACTTAGATATTTAACCTAATTTCAGTCAGAGCTTGGGTTTTTGTCTGTTCTTTATTTTTTTATTTTTAATTGGTGGAGGTTATTCCGCCTCATAAGAATGATTCTGATGTTCATTTGGAAATACACATGGTTGGAAATAGCCAAGATAGTTATGAAAAAGAAGAATGTATAGAGGAGAAGAGCTTCTTCAATGTACTACTGTAAAGTTATGGAGATAAAAACATGAATGAATCCATTGAGCAGAGTAGACAGGCTGGTAATAACCTAGCATACATCAAAGTCCAAACCTTGGTATGATGGCAGCTCAGTCAACGAAGAAAGGAGGGATAATTTAGGGAACAATGCTGGGTCGGTTATTTGAAGAAGAATTAGTTGGCTTCTCACTTTTCTTGTACCATACACAAAAATAAAACACCAGATAAAGAATTATATGTAAAGCAAAAATTTAAGAAAAGAAAATATGTGACCATCAGTGTCTGTAATGGGGAACAATTTTAAGGATAAAACTAATGAAAATATCATAAAAATAAAAATTGTGCTGGCTGTTTAGTAGAAACAGAAAACGCCTTCCACTTACCGAAAATATACCATAAATAGGCTGGGCACAGTGGCTCTCGCCTGTAATCTCAGCACTTTGGGAGGCCGAGGTGGGCAAATACCTGAGGTCTGGAGTTTGAGACCAGCCTGGCCAACGTGGTGAAACCCTGTCTCTACTAAAAATACAAAATTAGCCAGACTTGATGGTGCACGTCTGTAATCCCAGATGTGAGAGGCTGAGGCACGAGAATCGCTTGAACCTGGGAGGCGGAGGTTGCATGAGCAGAGATCATACCACTGCACTCCAGCCTGAACGACAGAGCGAAAGTCCATCTCAAAAAAATATATATACTTATATATATGCACACATGCCATAAAGAAAAGACAACTGGCAAACTAGAATAAAGTAGTTACAAGTATAATAATGGCCCTAATGTATAAATCATTTTTTAATCAATAGGAAAAGCTCTTGAATTTCAACAGAAAAGGGTATAGAAGACATATCAAATACTAATAAAATTACCAATGGTAAAAACATGATTTTTTAACAGCACCAGCCCCTTCAGTAATTAGATAAATGTGATTTAAAAACAACAGAAAGATACTATTGTCCATCTATCAAATTGAGAATTACTTTTAAAGTGTTTCTAATATTCATTACTTGTGGGAATATACCAAGATAGGCACTATCAGGTACTGTGCTGGGATTATAGATTGATAAAACCTTTCTGGAAAAGTGTTTCTACTTTTTCAAGTGTTCCTATTTCAAGGGCCTTAAAATACTTAACACACCTTTTAACCTAACAATTTGCCTTTAGCAAGTATTCATCTATATTGTCAAGCGTTTAAGTATAAAAGTGTTCATTGTAGGCTGGGTACAGTGGCTCACATTTGTAATCGCAGCACTTTGGGAGGTTGAGGCAGGAGGATCACTTGAGTCCTGGAGTTCAAGACCAGCCTGAGCAACATGGCAAAACCCCATCTCTACAAAAAAAAATAAAATATTTTCCAGGCGTGGTAGCACGCATCTGTAGTCCCAGCCACTCGGGAGGCTGAGGTGGGGGATTGCTTGAGCCCAGGAGTTTGAGGCTGCAGTGAGCTTTGATCGCACCACTGCACTCCAGCCTGGGCAACAGAGTGAGATCCTGTCTCTACAAAGAATGAAAAAAGAAAATGTTTATTGCAGCAACATATATAATACTAAAAACTTAGAAATAATTAAATATCTAACAGTAAGGAATGAATATGGAGTAGGAGAGTTAAACTGTGAAACCATTCATATGATTAAATATTATAGAGCTATTAAAAATCATATCATCGGCCAGGCGCGGTGGCTCACTCCTGTAATCCCAGCACTTTGGGAGGGCAAGGCAGGCGGATCACAAGGTCAGGAGATCGAGACCATCCTGGCTAACACGGTGAAACCCATCTCTACTAAAAAAAAAATACAAAAAAAAAATTAGCCGGGCATGGTGGTGGGCGCCTGTAGTCCCAGCTACTCGGGAGTCTGAGGCAGGAGAATGGCGTGAACCCGGGAGGCGGAGCTTGCAGTGAGCCAAGATCACGCCACTGCACTCCAGCCTGGGCAACAGAGTGAGACTCCGTCTCAAAAAAAAAAAAAAATATATATATATATATATATTGTATAGGGATGGGAAAGGGTTTAAAATAATACCTGTACTGAAAAACAGGATGCAAGGTATTACATAGCTCCATTTTGGCTGAGTTTGAGATGATTGTGATTTCTTTATTTTTTGCTATTTTCCCACATTTTTTATAATTATATATTTTGCAATTGGAAGCAAAAATAACCATTGAAAATCGTTTTCAAAGAATAATATTCAAGAGAATACAAGGTGCAGTAAGTTCTTAATATTTAGTTAAAATATAGAAATCTGTGGACCATTAACAGCACTTATCTTTAGGTAATGTAATGATGTTTTATAGATGGGTCTTTATTGATGGGATGTCACTATGTTGCCCAGGCTGGTCTTGAACTCCTGGCCTGAAGCAGTCTTCCCACCTCTGCTTTCCAAGTAGCTGGGATTACAGGCACAAGCCATGGCAAATGTAGTATATTTTAATTTATGTTTTTAGTGATGGAATCTCACTGTGTTGCCCAGGCTGGACTCCAGCTCCTGGGCTCAAGGATTCCTCCAGCCTCAGCCTCCAGAGTAGCTGGGACTATAGGCACGTACCACTCTGCCCAGCTTTATTTTTACACTTTATTTGTTTTACAACTTTTGCTCTGTTAACAAATCTACTACTCCTTTAAAAAGTTAAAAAACATTCTCTTATTAAAACAAAGATTAGGCTGGGCATGGTGGCTCACGCCTGTAATCCCAGCACTTTGGGAGGCTGCGCTGAGTGAATCACCTGAGGTCAGGAGTTCGAGACCAGCCTGGCAAACATGGTGAAACCCCGTCTCTACTAAAAATACAAAAATTAGCCAGGAGTGGTAGCACATGCCTACAATCCCAGCTACTCAGGAAGCTGAGACAGGAGAATCACTTGAACCCGGGAGGCAGAGGTTGCAGTGAGCTAAGATTGCGTCATTGCACTCCAGCCTGGGCAGCAGAGCAAGACTTCATCTCAAACAAACAAACAAAACAACGATTATATCCTTATCAGAGATTTAATGGATACTAACCATATTTAATCCTCAGTCTCATTATGCTCATTTAATTTTTATTATCCGTATGTTGTCATATTTAGGTTATGTTCATTTTTTACCAGTTTTGTTAATCCCTAGTGTTTTTTGTTTTTGAGACGGAGTCTCACTCTGTCGCCCAGGCTGGAGTGCAGTGGTGCAGTCTCGGCTCACTGCAACCTCTGCCTCCTGGGTTCAGGTGATTTTCCTGCCTCAGCCTCCAGAGTAGCTGGGATTACAGGCACCTGCCACCACACCCAGCTAACTTTTGTATTTTTAGTAGAGATAGGGTTTCACCATGTTGGCCAGGCTGGTCTCGAACTCCTGACCTAAGTTGATCCATCCTCCTCTGCCTCCCAAAGTGCTGGGATTACAGGCAGGAGCCACCGCACCCGGCCGTGTTTTTTGTTTATAAAAGAAAAAATTTCCAGAGTGCACTTTACTCCCTGATAGGAGACTAAATTACTTAAATATAAATTTTAGAAGGTACGTGTTAAATTAACCTAATGAATTAGTAGCATTCAGAAGTGTTTGTATCTGTTAAAGATTCAAAATATACAAACTAATTTCTTTTAATGGTGATTCTATTTCTAGTAAACTAAGGCAGAAATCATTATGCAGAAGAAACAGCACCCTGTTAACCATGTTCTTTTTATAAACCGTCTCTGTTCTCACTTTATTGTTAGGAAGGCGTAATCTGTTTTCATGTAATATAAGTACATGTGAGTCATGTTGAGTTTCTTCACTCATTTGTCCAATTCCCAGTCAACCTGTAGGTGGAGTTAACCTTTAGTTACATAATATAACGAAACAAACATTAAACCTACTGCTTCTGGGACAGTCTTCTCACCAAAACTCAGGGAAAATGGGAGGGTGTTGCCACTGACTGACTTAATGAAAGTATCTGACAAATGTAAGGTCTTTCAAATAGTGAGATAAGAAATGTATATAAATTATTTGATCGACTACTTACTTTCTATCTATACACACACACTATCAGTATATAATGTGTATTTTCATTTTATAGCTATTAAATATGAGGTTCTAGAATGAGTTTTCAGTTTGCAGAATTCTGAGAATCTAGTTCCAACACCTTTGAGAGGACAACAACCACAATTGCACTTGCCATATTTATTAGTCAAAATGAAGCGAAGTCAATCTGTTGAAAGCTTTGTTTTGTTTTTCTGATTAGTTTGTTTAATAAGACATTCAAATTATGATCTTTAATATAATTTCTTCCCCTAATAGCTTGGTGCTAACAGTGGTTTGCACATCATCATCTTTGATGAAATTGATGCCATCTGCAAGCAGAGAGGGAGCATGGCTGGTAGCACGGGAGTTCATGACACTGTTGTCAACCAGTTGCTGTCCAAAATTGATGGCGTGGAGCAGCTAAACAACATCCTAGTCATTGGTATGTTTACTTTTTAAAAAAGTACTATTCATTCAAAAACGTTAGCCATAAGTTCTGAATTAAGATGTGTGTAGGTTGTGATTAAACTGTTTTGCCAGTGTTTCCAAATTAGAATCCAGTGATATTGAAGAATCTATTGTAATGCCTAGGCTTAATAGGAAAAATAAAAGATGGATTTCAGTCACTTGTAGGTTTAAGCTTATAGCTCACCCACAGGTGAAAAAGATGTAGGTTGAAGCTTATAGCTCACCCAAAAATGAAAAATACACATGAAACAATGGAATGCAGTGGTTTTCAAACTGGGTCTTGCAGGCCTTCGGGGGTCCTCAGAGGTGCTTTCAGGGTCAGTGAGGGCCCGGGAGTGCGTTTCAGATCCTACATCACTATTATAACTTCCTCTTTTAGCTGTTTTATGTACTGAGGTGCTTCTGAAGATGACTTCTGGGGAAAAAAAAAAAAAAACACCCTGCTGTTTTATGAAGTCTGAAAACCACTGGCCTGTAAAAAAGAGAAGGAACTTTGGAGTCAGAGAGATCGTGTCACATTGCCCCTCTGTCACTTTGACAGATTATTTACCCTTTGAATCTTAAATTTTCTTTTTAAATACTGGAAGTTTTCATAACACTTATATTCCATTGGCTTATACAGTAGTGAAATAGTAAAGCAAAGTCTCCTTAGCTTGTTAGGGAAATTACTATTCTTACATATACTAAAAGGACATTTGATTTTATTTTTGAACTCTGATCATTTGTTGTTTTGTTTTAACATCTGTGTTCAGGAATGACCAATAGACCAGATCTGATAGATGAGGCTCTTCTTAGACCTGGAAGACTGGAAGTTAAAATGGAGATAGGTAAGGAGATCTGTCACTGATTGGGTGTGTGGTGGGGGGAGTGGAGGCATTTAGAGTTCATTAACAGGAACAATGTCATATGGTGTAGTATTTTTTAGAAAAGGTTTATATCATGAGAAGTAGATGTTTACATGCTTGAGTACCTATAAGGAAAACATTAGGATCATAATAATCTCCTCTAGGCTGGGCGCAGTGGCTCACACCTGTAATCCCAGCACTTTGGGAGGCTGAGGCAGGTGGATCACTTGAGGCCAGTTGTTCGAGACCAGCCTGGCCAAGATGGTGAAACCCCTTCTCTACTAAAAATACAAAAAACTTAGCCGAGTGTGGTGGTGTGCACCTGTAATCCCAGCTACTCGGAAGGCTGAGATAGGAGAATCGCCTGAATCCAGGAGGCAGAGGTTGCAGTGAGCTGAGATCGTACCACTGCACTCCAGCCTGGGAAACAGAGCGAGACTCTGTCTCAAAATAATAATAATAATAATAATGATAATCTCCTCTGATGGTGCTTTCGAGACTAGGAAAATGCCTATTTTATTTTTAATTTCATCAGGCTTGCCAGATGAGAAAGACCGACTACAGATTCTTCACATCCACACAGCAAGAATGAGAGGGCATCAGTTACTCTCTGCTGATGTAGACATTAAAGAACTGGCCGTGGAGACCAAGAATTTCAGTGGTGCTGAATTGGAGGGTCTGGTGCGAGCAGCCCAGTCCACTGCTATGAATAGACACATAAAGGTCAGGAAAATCAGCTAAACAGATTATAAACATTATGCCAGTATTCTTTCTCTTTCCTTTCAAGCATATCAAGGGGTAGGGAAATGCTGACTTTTGGTGGAGAAGAGATGGTAAAAGGAATAAGAATTAATTGTCAACTGCTAAATCTTCAGAGTAGCAGGAAGGAAGATAATGTTTGCATCTGCCCTGTAGTAACCACTGACTCATCTACCTTAGGTCATCACCATCTGACACAGACACGTAAAGTGAAAATTTTGAAGAAGTGTTTTTAAATCTTTGTATTGTATTAAAAGTTGTAATATGGCCAGGCATGGTGGCTCATGCCTGTAATCCCAGCACTTTGGGAGGCTGAGGCGGGCGGATCACAAGGTCAGGAGATCGAGACCATCCTGGCTAACACGGTGAAACCCCGTCTCCACTAAAAATACAGAAAATTAGCCGGGCATGGTGGCGGGCACCTGTAGTCCCGGCTACTCGGGAGGCTGAGGCAAGAGAATGGTGTGAACCCAGGAGGCAGAGCTTGAAGTGAGCTGAGATTGCGCCACTGCACTCCAGCCTGGGTGACAGAGCGAGATTCCGTCTCCAAAAAAAAAAAAAAAGTTGTAATATGTCAGAGGAAGTGGTAGTTTCCACGTACTAGAATTTTGGGGGCTGCTTTATTCAGCAAATATATTGAATAGTTGATGTGTTCAAGCTATTGGGCTGGAGACATAAAGATAATTGTGAACTCTTCCCTCAAGGAGTTCAGAGTCAGGAAGATGGACATATTTTCAAATTAGTACAATAATATTGTAGTTACCATGGTAGAAATACGTACTAGGATACTTTTATTTTGATAAAGTGCTCTTGATCTTCCATCTCTTCTCTCCTTTAGGTTTTAGTTACCACCTGTAGACAGATTTACTGAACATATCTGTCTCCTACTTTCAGATTTGTACTAAATACCCTCACCTAGATGTTTTATCAGGTCTCAGATTTAATATTGCAAAACCAAATTTATTGTCTTTTTTACTACTTTCCTTTCTGCTCGCATTTCCCTGTTTATCCCAATTTCCCAGGCTTAAAACATCAGGATTATCTTTGATTCCTGACACTCTACTGTGCCCTAGGTCAAGTCACTTGCCAAATTTTTTCAGTTCTGTCTTGGCAGTGCCTTTTAGTTCTCACTGCCACTACCCACCTTCTCTTTGATTAACCTTCCTGTATCATATCATTCAACCATTCAGACACTTTCAGTGATTCCCCATCATTTACAAAACAAAGTACAGGCTTCTTTTGGGTCTTTTGGGTCCTCTAGATCTGACCCTAACTGGCCTTTCCAAATGTGCTCCTGATTATTCTCCACATACTTCAGCCAAACTTAAATAATCACCGGTCATCAGACATTAATTTATTTTTCAACATCTCTGCTTTGGTTTTGTTTTTTTTGCATCACTGAGGATCTTCATCCTCTACGTTTACCTGTCTTTTCAAAACCTGGCTCATATGCTACCACTGTCCTCACACCTTTTCACATTTTCCCTTTCAAGAATGTTATACCCGTTTCCTTCTTGAAATAGTAATGTATCATTTATGGTACTGTCAGTTGACTTTGGTTCACAGTAGATTTATTCGGCATCTACTGCATGCTAGACCCTGTGCTAGGAGTTAATACCCCAACTGCAAAGAAGTAAAGTACCTACCATTAAGCTGCCCTCAGTCTAACCCTCCACGTGCAGTAACAGAAAGTACATGCAAGGCAAGAGAGTGAACGCATGTCAGATATGGTCAACTTGTGGGGTGAGAGAAACCTTCATATGCATGTCTGTTGGTAGAGCAGGGCCTTTTAGGTAGAGGGAACAACATATGCAAAGAAGCAGAGACACAGAATAGCATAGTGCGTTGGAGTAGTTTAGTATTGCTTCAGCATGGAAGTTAGGGGAGGGATGGTAGAGAGATTGTGGGGGATAAGTCAGGAGACTAAAGTAGGGATGGAGCACAAAGAGCCTTTTATACTCTGCTAAGAAGTATGGACTTTTTTTCTGTGAGTAGTGCTAAGCCATTGAGTTTTAAGAATAGCAGTGACATAGTGTTAAAACATAAGATCACTCTGGCAGCTCTGTCGAGTGGAGTAGTTAGAGGAGTGGAGTTGGCGACACAGGACAAGAGGGGGAGCTTTTATAACAGTTCAGGCAAGAAATAAAAGCCTGAACAGTTAGGTTGAGTATGTAGATATTTGGGTATATCCTATCACTGGTTCTAGACCAGGAATCCAGCCAACTACCAGTTTTTATAAATAAAGGGCTTTTTTGGAACAGTACACATTAATTTGTGTACTGTCTATGGCTGCCTGCATGCTACAGTGGCAGAGTTGAGTATTTGCAATAGGGGCTGCATGGCCCACAAAGCCTATTTTAGTGCTTTTATTTTAGGTACTATCTGCCACTTTACAGAAGTTTGCTGGCCCTTGTTCTAGACTTTAAATCCTTATCTTATTCACCTCAGAGTCTCCCATAGTACCCCAAATAGATCTAAATAATGAGCACATGGTAGGTGTCCAGTAAATTATTTTTCTTTTTTTTTTTTGAAACAGAGTCTTACTCTGTCGCCCAGGCTGGAGTGCAGTGGCACAGTCTTCGCTCACTGCAACCTCTGCCTCCTGGGTTCAAGTGATTCTCCTGCCTCAGCCTCCCAAGTAGCTGGGACTACAGGCATGTGCCACCACGCCCAGCTAATTTTTTGTATCTTTAGTAGAGATGGGGTTTCACCATGTTGGCCAGGCTGGTCTCAAACCCCTGACCTCGTGATCCGCCCGCCTCAGCCTCCCAAAATGTTGGGATTACAGGTGTGAGCCACCATGCCCAGCCAATATTTTTTAAATGAGTAAACTTACGTAACTATTCTGAATCACGCTCTATCCATAAGTCATAATTTCCCTACATAATAGAGGTGGATTTGTTCTAGCTCAAGAATGCCAAAGGTTTGGATGGTGTGGGAATATTGTATTGGGTCTTTATATAATGGATCCATTCAGGGACTATGTTTTTATTCTTCCTTGTTTGTTTGTTTTGAGACGGAGTCTCACTCTGTCGCCCGGGCTGGAGTGCAGTGGTGCAATCTCGGCTCACTGCAAGCTCCACCTTCCAGGTTCAGCCATTCTCCTGCCTCAGCCTCCCAAGTAGCTGGGACTACAGGCACCCACCATCACGCCTGGCTAAGTTTTTGTATTTTTAGTTGAGATGGGATCACCGTGTTAGCCAGGATGGTCTCGATCTCCTGACCTCGTGATCCGCCTGCCTCGGCCTCCCAAAGTTTTGGGATTACAGGCGTGAGCCACCATGCCCGGCCATGCTATACTGTTTTAATAAGAAGAGATGGCAACTTCAAGAAAAATGATGTAAACAGTGTGAAAACTGGTCCCTACCATACTGATCTTTCATCTCAGACCACATGGGTGCATCTTGATGTAATCCACAGTAACTAGTTTACTAGTTGTCATATTTTTCATATGTGTTGGCCATGGAATTTTTCTCTTATTTAGTCATCTGTCATTTTAACTACAATAATCCTATCCCAAAATTTCACTTTAAGCCGTTGTCTCAGTAAGAAACATGCTTTCTTCAAGCATATATTGGGTTTATCTACATATGAGGCAATGAGGGATGGTGGGAAGATCGCAGATATCGTAGTCAGAAGGTGTGGTTATGCATTATATTTCTTCCACCTTTTTGTTTCTGACCTGTCAAGGGGAGACACTACCTATCTAATCAGATTTTTATGAGAATGAAAGCAAATACTTTATATAAAAGTGCCTTGTAAACTCTATAAATGCTAGTTATCTCCATTTTTTTAATTGGCTGATTTGAGAGGATATCAGTACTTTTCAATATATGAATTTCTGATTTTTATTGACTCTTTGTAGTTACACATTTTCTAATTGTAAAGCTAAAATGTTTGTCACCCTTGTACATAATATATTATCCTTCTGATTTGCAAGTAAGCAGTAGTGCAAATAGTTCATGTTTCCATCACTTTTTTCCACATGATAGAATTATCTGTAAGCTTCAGGTGATATGTATTGACTTGCGATCATTGCTCCTTGTACCAAACAGCTCCTAACTTTTCACCATATCAATGGAATAACTATGTAGGCACTTTAGGGATGAGAAAGCTATGTAAGACACTAACCTTACCCCCAAAAAGAAATATTACTAACATTTCATCTTCTGCATTTTAAAAAATCTGCATTGTCAGAAGGTCTTTAAAGACTATTTTTCCAATGACTCGTCCTTGGCTAAACAAAAGAAGTACAGTTTTAGTCTTCCATTGCTATAGATGTTTGTAGCTTTAATAGTGATTGATGAATAAATATTTAAATTGAAACTTATAAAGTTGTTACTGAACTTTAAAACATTCAAAACGTACAAGTGTTATGATGTTCTTTCTTTGTATTTTAAAAATCCATTATTGGTGTTATTTTGCTTCCTTTTCAAAAGATTGAGGCCTAAAGAAAGATTTAGTCAGGTGGACTAAACAGGTCTTTCCTGTTAAACTGTTTTTTCAGGTTTTCTGAGACAAGTGGAAAATCTGGTCAGAAACACCTGTTGTTCATGTCATTTATACTTGAACCTATGATTGCGGTCAACTAAAATTCATGTGACATTTGGTTGTTTTTATCTTGAAAGGAATTTCTGCTTCAGGTTGAGAAGATTCATAACCCAAATTTTTTCTCTAATCTGTTGTGAGGAAATAAACTGAGGACACACACACACACACACACACACACACACACTTTCTCTCACATACACTTTCCACCTGAGTCAAAGCTCTAAGTTATGTTCACAGAATTTCATAAAATTATTTCTTATTTTTTTGCAGAATTTTTGATTGATTAAGGTCATTCTACCCTTAATTTAAGAGGAATGATAAGAACTTTGAAAGGTCAGATTTAAAAGGTTATGAAATTTAAGGGTGACCACTTGATATTTGCTAGTGTTGAAATACAAGTTTATTAGTTTCTGCAGGTATAAGCTGAAAGATGCTGCCTCTTCTATATTGATTAGCTGTTATAAATAAAATGCAGGAAAAATGTTGCTAATTCAAACAAATGAGAAAAGGTTTTCTGAAAAAGTAAAAATTCAGAATTATAGACTTTTTAAAATTTTACAAATTTTGATAAAATGCTAAAAGTCAGCTAAGAGCAGTCCTTAGAAAATTTATTTTAATGAGCAGGTAGGAATAATTGACAATTGGAATATTGATGGCTTACAATTATGTAACTTACAGAATTCCTTATGTGCCTGAAAACAGTTTGTTTTGAAATACTTCTTCCCCACACCCATCTTAATTCACTTTTAAGAAAGGACTCAGCAATTAATTGGGTGAGTCTTTTCTTAATAATTAGCAAAATGACAAGTTTTATACCAGCTTCAGTCCTAAAATCTATTGTATTTTTTGGCAAATTTTGAAAGATGGGCAAGATTTTTCTTTCATACTGCTGTATGTATCTATCATTTGAATTCGGTTTTACTGTAAGAGAATCAGAATGCAAAATATTATGGTAAAAACCTAGGCCTGTGTAGGAAAGAGGTGTTTAAAGTGAGGCTGGTAGCTTTGTTGAGATTTTAATGTTTCGGTCAGAGCTCTTGTCTTCCCTTTGGCCTGAGAGTTTGTATCTTGTAGAATCCTTTCAGATGTATCAAAAAGTTTGAATCCGAGTTAAAACTTTTATATAAGGGTATCTAGGAAGGAAGTCCTGTATCTGCCTTTTATAACTTATGGAAACCCCCAGGTTTGTATAAGTATAAAATGAGATAATGTGATATGGTGAAATGAGATAGTGTGTATGAACATACTTTATAAACTATAAAGAACTGTAGACATTTGTATATTATTAATTATCATAATTCTTTCACGGATATGCTTGTTTCCTGTGACACCATTTTTCTTTTTTTCTTTTTTTTTTTTTGGAGATGGAGTTTTCTTCTTGTTGCCTAGGCTAGAGTGCAATGGCGTGATCTCGGCTCACCACAACCTCCGCCTCTCGAGTTCAAGCGATTCCCCTGCCTCAGCCTCCAGAGTAGCTGGGATTACAGGTGTCCACCACCATGCCTGGCTAATTTTGTATTTTTAGTAGAGACAGGGTTTCGCCATGTAGGTCAGGCTGGTCTCGAACTCCCGACCTCAGGTGATCCGCCTGCCTCGGCCTCCCAAAGTGCTGGGATTATAGGTGTGAGCCACCGTGCCAGGCCCATTTTTCTTTTTTTAAACTTAGAAATGCCAAATAAATGCGATTAATATTTATCAAACCTCATATGTGCCAATATAAGCCCTATTAATAATTTAAATGTTTATGTTTTTTTGTTTGTTTGTTTTTGTTTTTGAGACGGAGTCTCACTCTGTCGCCCAGGCTGGAGTGCAGTGGCGCCATCACAACTCACTGCAAGCTCTGCCTCCCGGGTTCACGCCATTCTCCTGCCTCAGCCTCCTGAGTACCTGGGGCTACAGGTGTCTGCCACCACGCCTGGCTACTTTTTTGTATTTTTAGTAAAGACAGGGTTTCACTGTGTTAGCCAGTATGGTCTCGATCTCCTGACCTGGTGATCCTATTGCCTCAGCCTCCCAAAGTGCTGGGATTACAGGCGTGAGCCACCATGCCCAGCCCAATAATTTAAATGTTAATTGTTCTATTGAAGTAAAATATTTGTCTCTTTGTTACTTTTTACTTTATTTTTAAAAGTATAGAAGTTATAGATGATGGCTTTCTTTTTGTAAAAGATTCAAGAATGTCAAAGCATATAGGGAAAAATGAGAAAGGCCATCTCTAACACCACTTTCCTTTCCCTCTCCAGAGTTAGCCAAAATTTGGGATATATCTTTGAAGTTTGTTTTCTTTATATAATATTTACATTCATATACGTATGTGCTTTTTTAAAAAAATGAACATTAATGGAATTATACTGCAGTTTACATTTTTCACTTGCAAATATTCCTTGGATAGCTTTCTGTGTCAGTGTATGTAAGTCCCCTTCATTATTTTGGACAAATGCAGAGTATTCTAGAATATTGCCACATAATGGAAAATATAAGATCCATGAACACAGGGACCTTTTCTGTTTTATTTACTGCTATGACTCCAGTTCCTCAGATAGTGCTTGGTGTCTGGTAGGTATTCAGTAAATAGAATTAATGAATAATTTATTTAACATATGGATTATTTCTGGTTGTGGCTGTTGAAAAAATACTGTTGTGAAAATGCTTACTTGCCTCCCTGTGCACACAAGGAATCATTTTCTAGGGTAGCCATCCAAATGTCTTTTCAAAGACATGGTTTCATTGTCTTCTAGTTTCTAGTGTTGCCAGTGAGAGTTATCATACCAATCTCGTTCTGGTTTCTTTGCAGGAAACCTGTTTTGTCCCTCAGAAAGGTTCTAGGACTTTCTCTTCACCTTTGGTGCTCTGAAAGTTTACAGCAGTGGGTCTGGACAGATGTGTGCTTCTTTTCATTTATCCCGATCATCACTCACTGAACCCTTTAAACTGCAGAGGCACACCTTTCTTCAGCTATAGGAAATTTTTTTCTCTTCTGTCTTTTATTGTTTCTTCTCTATGACTCTTTCTGTTCTCTCCTTCTGAGACTCCTGTTAGATCACAGTTAAAACTTATGGATATTTCTTTCATGCTTTGTAGCCTTTCTGTCTCACTTTCTGTCATTTTGTGGGATTTGGGGCGGAAGGGAAGATAAATAACTGTGTTCTGTTTGCCATCTTCACCCAGCTTCCTGCCATAGTTCTTTTTATCCCACAAGGATGACTTTTTTTTATATCTGTCACTTCATTTGTCTCACAGTCTCTTCCTAAAAAAAATATGACTCATATTTCATAATAATTGATGGAAGGTTGATATTTATTTAACATGCGTTTGTTTTATAGTCAGCTTTTTTTGAAAATGCTTTTTTTTTCAAAGCCATGATACCAATTTAAAAATTAGGCTGTGTTGTTTTGTGCTATTGGTAGTGAGCCCAGTCGCTTTAAAACACGTGTTGGTATCTTAATCACTCATCTGGTCCAGGCAGCTCCAAGTGCTGATAAAGGCCTTGATGCTTCTCCAGATGTCTAAATGCTAGCTCCAGGTGCAGTAAGCAGACTATTTGGAGCTGGCACATAGATTCTGAAGCACAATGTATTAATACAAATGAAAGTTTTAGGTTCTTGGTCTCCTAGAGTAATGGTTCTTAAGCCTGGTTCAGTACCAGAATCACCTGTGGTACTTGGTAAAACTATAAAGACCCTCTAATAGGCCTGTTAAATCAAAATCCCGTGGGGAATGGGACTGAGCGCCTGTATATCTCTGAAGGCTCTGGAGGTTATTCTGATATGCAGCCAAGTATGGCTGTGTTTTCATTTCTGTATATATTTTCTTTTTGTATGGATTTTTCACTGTTCTTACTCTCTGTATGTATTTTTTCTTACTCATGCCTCATGAGTTAAAATGGCTATACAGTGTCCCTTGGTACAGATGTGTTCTAATTTACATAACTGATCCCCTCTTGGTAGACATTATTAATATGCTTCCCATCTTTTTTCATAACAAGTTACTTTAGTAGATATACTTGTACATATAACTTTGTACACATTTGTGAATATATTTAGGGGATAAATTACTAGAAGTGGACTTGTTCAGAGGATATATATATTTGTGAATTTGAGAGATGTGTTTTCTTTGATTCCAATTTTTAAAATTGTTTTAAAATGCCCATAAAATTGTCCGGGCGTGGTGGCTCACGCCTGTAATCTCAGCACTTTGAGAGGCCGAGGCGGGTGGTCACAAGGTCAGGAGATCAAGACCATCCTAGCTAATATGGTGAAACCCTGTCTCTAGTAAAAATACAAAAAATTAGCCGGGCGTGGTGGTGGGCACCTGTAGTCCCAGCTACTCGGGAGGCTGAGGCAGGAGAATGGCGTGAACCTGGGAGGTGGAGCTTGCAGCGTCCGAGATCGCGCCACTGCACTCCAGCCTGGGGGACAGAGTGAGACTCCGTCTCAAAAAAAAAAAAAAAAAAAAAAAAAAAAACAGAAAACCATAAAATTTACCGTGTAACCATTTTAAATGTACAATTCAGTGGCATTAAATACATTCTTAATGTTGTGCAACCATCACTACCATTCATCTCCAGACCTCTTTTCATCTTGTAAAGCTAAAACTCCATACCCATAAACAGTAACTCCCCATTCCTTCCTCTCCCTATCCCCTGGCAGCCACCATTTTACTTTCTGTCTCTTGGATATCAGCTACTCCAGGAACCTCATATAAGTGGATTGTACAGTATTTGCTTATTTAACTTAGCGTATGGTCCTCAAGGTTCATCATGTTGCAGGATATCAGAATTTTCTTTCTTTTTAATGCTGAATAATATTCCATTGTATGTACGTAACACATTTTGTTTATCCATTCCTCTGTCAATGGTCATATGGATTTCTTCCACATTTTAGCTATTGTGGGTAATGCTGTCATGAACAAGGCTGTACAGATATCTCTTCAAGACCCTGTTTTCAGTTCTTTGGGGGTATATACCCAGAAGTGGAATTGCTGGATCATATGATAATTCTATTTTTAATTTTATGAGGAACCACCATATTTTTGTTTTCCACAGTGACTCAACCATTTTACTTATGTTCCCACCAACAGTGCATAAGGGTTCTGATTTCTCCGCATCCTCACCAACACTTCTTATTTTCTGCATTTTTGTGGTAGTAGCCATCCTAATGAGTATGAAGTGAAATCTCTTTGTAGTTTGGATTTGCATTTCCCTAATGATTAGTGAGGTTGAACATCTTTTCATGTGCTTATTTAAGGCCATTTGTATATCTTCTTTGGAGAAATGTTTGTTTAAGTTCTTTGCCCATTTTTTATTTAGTTTTTTGTTGTTCAATTTTGGCAGTTCTCTATGTATTCTGGATATTAATCCCTTATCACATATATGGTTTGCAAATATTTCAGATTTTTTTATGTGTGAAAATATGCTTTTAAATCCTCAAGAGTTACGTTCTTAAACTGAATATATTCTTAACTATTCTTAAATCTTGGAAGTCCTTACATTTTGTTTTTATCTCTTCTTAGGCCAGTACTAAAGTGGAAGTGGACATGGAGAAAGCAGAAAGCCTGCAAGTGACGAGAGGAGACTTCCTTGCTTCTTTGGAGAATGATATCAAACCAGTGAGTGTATGCCCATTGAGTGATATATAGGCCAAAAAGTAATGATAATAATAACTCAGGGGAAAAGTAAGTGCCATTTACTCAGTATTATGGAAGGTTATAGCATATGCAGTTTCATAAAATGAGAAAATTTTAGTATTGGAAATGTTCAGTATGAGAAACATCTGTACAATAATCCTAGTGGCTGGTGATATTATTTACTGAAATATTTTCATGATAGGAAGCTTACCATCTTGTAAGGCAGGCCATTCAATTTTGAGACTTTCCAGTTATTGTTTTACTTTATATTGAACTAGAACTAATTTTCTTATTGGTTCTTATACAATCCCAAGCTACAGAAACCTAACTTCAGTCCATCTTCCATATGTCAGTTATTAGGATATTTAAAATTAACTCTCATATCCTCCTCTGTCTCTCTCTCTCTCTCTCTCTTTCTCTTCCTTTCCTCAGCCTCTTCCAAGGCATCCCTTTTTCTTGCTCAGTACATTTAGTTTCTCTGACTACTATAGTTTCTAAGACTTAAAAAGTGTCAGTTTTCTTAAAACGCATTCAAAATGGTCATAGTTGGAGCTTTAGAATACAGTTTAAGGTTATTAACCCATTTTCCTATAAAACAACTACTAACATTTGAGTAACTTTTGTTTAGAGTCCTGTGTTAATACAAAAACAAATTGTAGAAAGTCCCAGTTCTTAAAGAAGTGTGTGCTTTTCTTTCTTAAATGGACCTCAGGTCCATTAAGATTAATCTTAATCTTTATGACACACTGTTATTAGTCTGTATTTTCATGGCGTGTAAAATAACATATGGTATATGTAGTTTTCTGGGACTTGCTATTTATTAAATATTTTATTACCAAGAGTCATCTATATCAGGGATCCCCAACCCTCAGTACTGGTCCATGGCCCGTTAGGAACTGGGCCACACAGCAGGAGGTGAGCAGCAAGTGAGTGAGCCTCATCTGTATTTACAGCCACTCCCTATTGCTCGTGTTACCACCTGAGCTCCACCTCCTGTCAGATCTGTGGCGACATTAGATTCTCATATGAGTATGAACCCTATTGTGAACTGCATATCTGAGGGATCTAGATTGCACACTCCTTATGAGAATCTAATGCCTGATGATCTGTCACTGTCTCCCATCACCCCCAGATGGGACCATATAGTTGCAGGAAAACAAGCTCAGGGCTCCCACTGATGCTACATTATGGTGAGTTGTATAATTAGTTCATTATATATTACAATGTAATAATAATAGAAATAAAGTGCACAATAAATGTAATGTGCTTGGGCTGGGCATGGTGGCTCGTGTCTGTAATCCTAGCACTTTGGGAGGCTGAGGCGGGCGGATCACGAGGTCAGGAGTTCGAGACCAGCCTGACCAACATGGTGAAACCCCATCTCTACTAAAAATACAAAAATTAGCTGGATGTAGTGGTACGTGCCTGTAATCCCAGCTACTCACGAGGCTGAGGCAGGAGAATCGCTTGAACCCAGGAGGCAGAGGTTGCAGTGAGCCAAGATCGCACCACTGCACTCCAGCCTGGGTGACAGAACGAGACTCTGTCTCAAAAAAAAAAAAAATGTAACGCACTTGAAACATCCCGAAACCACCTCCTCCCCCAATGGAAAAATTATCTTCTATAAAACTGGTCCCCGATGCCACAAAGGTTGGGGACTGCTGATGTATATGATTTCTTGTAGCTAGACATCATTCATTTTCATGCTGAATAGCATTCCATTGTGTGAGTACCACAATTTATCTATTTTCCTGTCAATTGTGAATGTTACCAGTTTTTTGTTATTAAAAAAAGATTTGTCGTAAGAATTCTTGAATGAATTTCTCTTATTTAGGAATAAAATTATTAGGTTGTTGGATATATGAATGTCCCGCTTTAAAAAAACATTTCCCAGTGGTTGAACCAACACTGCCCCCAATACTGTGAAACATATCCTCTTGTTCTGTATCCTCTCCAACACTTGGTATTATCAGATTTATTTTTTATTTATTTATTTTTTTTGAGATGGAGTCTCACTCTGTCGCCCAGGTTGGAGTGCAGTGGTGTGATCTCAGCTCACTGCAACCTCCATCTCCCGGGTTCAAGCAATTATCCTGCCTCAGCCTCCCGAGTAGCTGGGATTACAGGTGCTTGCCACCATGCTTGGCCGATTTTTGTATTTTTAGTAGAGACGGGGTTTCACCATGTTGGCTAGGCTGGTCTCGAACTCCTGACCTCAGGTGATCTGCCTGCCTCGGCTTTCCAAAGTACTGGGATCTCAGCATCTGTTTGTTTTTAAACCTTCCCTAGTCTGTGCTTATGTGTTTTGTTTGCTTGTTTGTTTTTTGTTTGTTTGTTTGTTTGTTTGTTTTTTGAGATGGAGTCTCCCTCTGTCACCCAGGCGGGAATACAGTGGTGTGATCTCGGCTCACTGCAACTTCCACCTCCCTGGTTCAAGCAGTTCTCCTGCCTCAGCCTTTCAGGTAGCTGGGATTACAGTCACATGCCACCATACCCGGCTTATTTTTTTGTATTTTTAGTAGAGACAGGGTTTCACCATGTTGGCCAGACTGGTCTCAAACTCCTGACCTCAGGCAATCCGCCCGCCTGGGCCTCCCAAAGTGCTGGGATTACAGGCGTGAGCCACTGCGCCTGGCCTGTGTGGTTTTTAAATTAACTTTTTCTAGTCTACTAAGGTTTACTCAGACCTTTAGCAGTTGTTCTTGGATACTGACTAGGCCCAAAGTCCTCTTCTCATCAATGTATTGGCAAATACACTCACTTGCGATGTGATATGAGACCCTGAGGTTTACCTCCCAAACAGCAGGATGTCTGTTTTGAGAGTTTCCTGGCCAAGTGGTGGAAAGTACCATGGAAATGGAGTCTTCCTTGCTTCTTACTTAACTTGAGTTTGGACCATAGAGAAGTCATTCTTGTGTGGACCTCAGTTTACTCACCTGTACAGTATAGGATGGACTAGATGATCTAATGATCAGGGGATTGGCAAACTTGTTCTTAGGGCACCAATTAGTAAATATTTTAGGTTTTGCAGGCCACCTGGCTATGTCACAGCTGCTCAGCTCGGCCCTGGTAGGATGAAAGCAGCCATAGACAATAAGTAAACAAATGAGTGTGGCTGTGTTCCAATAAAACTTTATTTACAAAAACAGGCTGTGGCCGGCCATAGTTTGTTCACCCCATTTTTGAGCTCTTGACATTCTTTAGTCTGTGATTTCGATAATTAGTTTAGGAAAAAAGCTTTGACTTTCATAAATAATGCTTCTGGAAATCTAGTAAAACCTTTAAATTTTGGCCAGGCATGGTGGCTCACACCTGTAATCCCAGCACTTTGGGAGGCCGAGGCGGGTGGATTGCCTGAGCTCGAGAGTTGGAGACCAGCCTGGCCAACATGGCGAAACCTCGTCTCTACTAAAAATACAAAAAATTAGCCGGGCGTGGTGGTAGGCGCCTGTAGTCCCAGCTACTTGGGAGGCTGAGGCAGGAGAATCGCTTAAACTCAGGAGGCGGAGGTTGCAGTGAGCCGATATCATGCCACTGCACTTCAGCCTGGGTGACAGAGTGAGACTTCATCTCAAAAAAAAAAAAAAAACCTTTACATTTTATTTTTGCTTTTTCCCTTTATCAGGAAAGTAATGTAGAAAATTTAGAAAACCCAGAACATTAATATTTTGGTTCCTCTCATTAGGTAACCATCTTTGGGTGGACATGTGTACATACATACATACTTTTTTTTTTTCTTTTGAGCAAAAAAGTACATACTTTTTCTTTTTTTCTCTTCTGTCACCCAGGCTGGAGTGCAGTGGCGCGATCTCGGCTCACTGCAACCTCCACCTCCCGGGTTCAAGCGATTCTCCTGCCTCAGCCTCCTGAGTAGCTGGGACTACAGGTGCTCGCTGCCACACCCAGCTAATTTTTTGTATTTTTTAGTAGAGATGGAGTTTCACCGTGTTGCCCAGGCTGGTGTCGAACTCCTGAGCTCAGGCGATCCGCCCGCCTCAGCTTCCCAAAGTGTTGGGATTATAGGCGTGAGCCACTGCACCTGGCACATGTATATGTATGTATTTTTTACAAAATTGGATGAAGTATAATTTATTTGCTAAATATTTTCACTTATGCCATGATATCTTATTTAATCTTTAATTTGTCTATGAAAATACCTGCTCTGCTAGGGGACTTCTAGTTGAAAACTCATTAATTTAAAAAATTAATTTTGAATTCAGCCACCTATTCTTTTTTCTAATTGTTTCTTGTAGCTTTTGCTTTGATTGGAATAACTTTATTCTAGGAATAAAGTTGTGTCATCTGCAAACATGAATCATGTACACATCTGATTTTCTTATATTTATGTCTCCTTTTTCTCTTCAAATTACATTGCCTTTACCATTGATGGGAACCTGGGTAATAAAGAAAAAAGAAAAAAATTGCATTCCCTACCACCTCCTCCAAAACAATGTCAAATGTTAGTTATAATGATAGGCATCTTAGTATGCTATCCCAATTTAATGGAACTGTTGCAGATATTTAATGGTTAACTGTTGGTTTGAGACCTTTAATGTGTTGAGTATATTCACCTATTTCAATTTTTTTTCTGTTTAAGTTTTTTTTTTTAAAATCAGATATGGCTATTATATTTTGTTAAATGACATCTTAGCATCTTTTAAGATGATCATATAGTTTTCCTCCTGCATGCTACATATTAATTACAGTAGTGTATATTCATAGAATTATATTAGTAGATCTTATATTGATTCACCCTTACATTCTTGCAGTGAACCTCTCTTGATCATATTATTTTTTCATGTACTGTTTGACTTTATTTATTTAGTTTTGAGACAGAGTTTCGCTCTTGTTGCCCAGGGTGGAGTGCAGTGGCGCGATCTCAGCTCACCACAACCTCCGCTTCCCAGGTTCAAGCGATTCTCCTGTCTCAGCCTCCTGAGTGGCTGGGATTACAGGCGCCCGCCACTACGCCTGGCTAATTTTTGGTATTTTCAGTAGAGACAGGGTTTCACCATGTTGGCCAGGCTGGTCTTGAACTCCTGACCTCAGGTAATCCGCCGGCCTCGGCCTCCCATGGTGCCGGGATTACAGGTGTGAGCCATCGCGCCCGGCCCGTTTGACTTTTAAATAGGTATTTTAATTTTTTAGTTTATACGTGTACAGTGCATAATGTATTTAAGATTCATCTGTGTTGTTGTATCAGTAGTTTCTTTATTGCTGAGTAGCAGTCCTTTATATGAGTGTATCACAGTGCATTTATCTGTTCAATAGTTGAATATTTCAATTATTTCTAGTTTGTGGCAGCTATGAATAAAGCTGCCGTAAACATTTCCATAATGTTTTTTGTCTGAACACAATTCTTGTTTCTCTTGAGTAAATACCTAGGAGTATGATTTCTGGGTTGTATGTTTATAAGAAACTGCCAAAACTGTTTTCCAAAGTAGCTGTACCATTTTGCATTCTTACCTGCAAATGTATGAAGAGTTCCGGTTGCTCTGTATCCTCCCTAGCACTTGATATTTTCAGGGTTTTGTTTTTTTTTTTTTGAGATGGAGTCTGGCTCTGTCACCCAGGCTGGAGTGCAGTGGCGCGATCTCGGCTCACTGCAAGCTCCGCCTCCCGGGTTCATGCCATTCTCCTGCCTCAGCCTCCCGTGTAGCTGGGACTACAGGCGTCTACCACCACGCCCGGCTAATTTTTTTGTATATTTAGTAGAGACGGGGTTTCACCATGTTAGCGAGGATGGTCTCGATATCCTGACCTCGTGATCCGCCCGCCTCGGCCTCCCAAAGTGCTGGGATTACAGACGTGAGCCACTGCGCCTGGCCTCAAGTTTTTTTTTTTTTTTTGGCCACCTTAATAAGTATATGGTGGTAGCTTCTTCTGGTTTTAATTTCCTTGTCCCTAATGACTAATGGTTCTGAGCCTCTTTTTATGTGCATCTTTTGATTTGCCATCTGTATATCATTGTTTATGGAAAAATACTAAAATCTTTTTTTTTTTTTTTGAGACAGAGTCTTGCTCTGTTGCCCAGGCTGGAGAGCAGTGGCACAGTCACCACTCACTGCAGCCGCCACCTTCTGGGTTCAAGCCATCCTCCCACCTCTCGGCCTCCCAAGTAACTGGGATTGCAAGTGCGCACCACCACACCTGGCTAGTTTTTTTTTTTTTTTTAATAGAGATGGGGTTTTGATATGTTGCCCAGACTGATTTCGAATCCTGGGCTCAAGCGATCTGCCTGCCTCGGCCTCCCAAAGTGCTGAGATTACAGGCATGAGCCACCATGCCTGGCCAAGATACCAAAATCTTTATTTAAGATGTTTAATTGGGTTGCTTTCTTTATTGTTATTCTTCTTTTATTTTATTTTATTTATTTATTTATTTATTTGAGACGGAGTCTCGCTGTGTCGCCAGGCTGGAGTGCAGTGGCGCGATCTTGACTCACTGCAAGCTCCCCCTCCCGGTTTCACACCATTCTCCTGCCTCAGCCTCCCAAGTAGCTGGGACTACAGGCACCCGCCCCCACGCCCAGCTAATTTTTTGTATTTTTAGTAGAGACGGGGTTTCACCATGTTAGCCAGGATGGTCTTGATCTCCTGACCTTGTGATCCTCCTGCCTCGGCCTCCCAAAGTGCTGGGATTACAGGCGTGAGCCACCACACCAGGCCTCTTTTATTTTTTTAGACAGAGTCTCGTTCTTTCACCCACGCTGGAGTGCAGTGGCATGATCTTGGCTCACTGCAGCCTGTCATTCCCCTCGACTCCAGGTTCAAGGTGATCCTCCCACCACCTCAGCCTCCGAAGTAGTTAGGACCACAGATGCATGCCACCATGTGTGGCTAATTTTTGTATTTTTAATAGAGATGGGGTTTCGCTATGTTGCCCAGGCTGGTCTTGAACTCCTGAGCTCAAGCAATCTGCCTACCTTGGCCTCCCAAAGTGCTGGGATTACAGGCATGAGCCACCATGCCTGGCCAATTTCTTACTGTTGGGTAGTAAGAGTTCTTTATATATTTTGGATATAAGTGCTTTGTTAGGCTGTGTGATGTTCATACATTTTCCCCATCTGTGCCTTGTGTTTCATTGTCTTAGCGGTGTCTTTTTCCCAGAGCATAAGTTTTAAATTTTGATGAAGTCTGATTTACCACATTTTTTCTTTTACACATTTGGTGTTCATCTAACAGCTCTACCTAACCCAGACCTTGCCAGACTTTTTCTGTAAAAGGTCAGATAGTAAATATTTCAGCCTTGCTGTCCCTGTTGCAGCTCTGCCATTGTAGCAATGAAAGCAGTCATAGACAATATGTAAATGAATGATAATGGCTGTTCCAATAAAACTTTATGAACACTGCAGTTTGAATTTCACATAATTTACAAATTATCAATTATATTGTTTCGATTATTAGAAAAACAGGTAGTGGATTGGCCATGGTTTGCTGATTCCTGGCCTGACAAACCCAAGTTCACAAAGATTTTCCTCTTTGATTTTGTTGTGGTCGTTGTTCCACACCTTCTTTTTTCACTGTTTCCTTAAGGTAGAGTGTACATATTTATAAGGGTACATGTAATATTTTGATAGATTGATACAGTGTGTAATGATCAAATCAGGTTAATTAGGGTATCCATCATCTCAGATGTTTATCCTTTTTTTTGTATTGGGAAGATAACAAATGTTCTAGCTATTTTAAAATATACACTAAGTTATTGTTGACTCTAGTCACCCTACTGTGCAAATAAAAACTGAAACGTATTCCTTCTATCTTGCTGAGTTTTTATGCCCATGAATCAACTTGTCTTCATCCCTACCTGCTTCCCAGCCCCCGGTAACCATCATTCTACTGCCTATCTCCATGAAATCAACTTCTTAATCTCTCATATATGAATGAGAATATGTGATACTTGTCTTTCTGCCCTTGGCCTATTTCACTTAACATAATGTCCTCCAGTTCTATCCATGTTGCTGCAAACAGATTTTATTTTCCAAACCTTAAGCTTTATAGATGACTTCACTTTTTAAATGGCTGAATAATATCCTCTTGTGCATGTATACCTCATTTTCTTTGATTTTTCTTTCTTTCTTTTTAAATAGAGATGAGTTCTCACTATACTGCCCAGGCTGGTCTTGAATTTTTTTGCTCAAGCAATCCTCCTGCCTTGGCCTCCCAAAGTGCTGGGATTCCAGGCTAAACCACTGTGCTCCTTTATGCGTTTTTTTGTTTTTGTTTTTGTTTTTAGAGACAAAATCTTGCTCTGTTGCCCAGGCTGGAGTGCAGTGGTGCGATCTTGGCTCACTGAAGCCTCCACCTCCCAGGTTGAAATTATTCTCGTGCCTCAGCCTCCCAAGTAGCTGGGATTACAGGCACCCACCACCACGCCCAGCTAATTTTTGTATTTTTAGTAGAGATGAGGTTTCACCATGTTGGCCAGGCTGGTCTCGAACTCCTGACCTCAGGTGATTCGTCTGCCTTGGCCTCCCAAAGTGATGGGACTACAGGCATGAGCCACTGCGCCCAGCCCCTTTGTGCACTTTTAAAAACATATCTTAGAATTTGTGATACATGTTTTATTTTCATTTTCATTTGGTTCACAATATTGTAAAATTTCTACTATGACTTACTCTTTGACCCATGATTTGTTTTAAAACGTATTGTTTAATTTTCAAACATTTAGGGATTTCCCAGACATCTTTGTTGTTGGTTTCTAATTTAATTCCATTATGGTTAGGGAACATACTCGTTATGATGAATTAAAAAAAAATGTAGAGGTTTGTATATGGCCTGAAACATTGTTTGTTTAGGTCAATGTTCAGTTTGTAATAGGAAAGATGTGTTCTGCTGCCTTTAGGTAAAGTGTTTCATAAATAATAATTAGGTCAAGTTGGTTGATCGTGTTAAGGTCTTCCCTATCCTTGCTGATTTCCTGTCTGCTTGTTCTAGTGATTACTGAGAAAGGAGTGTTGAAGTCTGCAATGATTGTTATGGGTTTGTTCTCTTTCTCCTTAAAATTCTGTCTGTTTATGCTTCCTGTATTTTGAGGCACTGTTATTAGATGCAGAAACATTTACAGTTTTGTCCTCTTGATTATTTGACCCCTTTATCATTCTGAAATAACCTTTATTTCTGGTAATAATCATTATATTAAAAACCATTATTTGGCCAGACATGGTGGCTCATGCCTGTAATCCCAGCACTTTGGGAGGCCGAGGCGGGTGGATCACCTGAGGTCAGGAGTTCGAGTCCAGACTGGACAACATGGCGAAACCCCATCTCTACTAAAAAGAGAAAAATAGCCTAGTGTGGTGGCACACGTCTGTAGTCCCAGCTACTCAGAAGGTTAAGGCAAGATAATCACTTGAATCCGGGAGTTGGATATTGCAGTGAGCCGAGATCACGCCACTGCACCCCAGCCTGGGAAGCAGAGCAAGACTCCATCTCAAAAGAAAAAAAAAAAAAAAAAACCAAAACAGGCCAGGTGCCGTGGCTCATGCCTGTAAACCCAGCACTTTGGAAGGCCGAGGCAGGTGAATCACCTGAGGTCGGGAGTTCGAGACCAGCCTGGCTAAGATGGTGAAACCCCGTCTCTACTAAAAATACAAAAATTAGCCAGGCACGGTGGCAGCTGCCTGTAATCCCAAGTACTTGGGAGGCTGAGGCCAGAGAATTGCTTGAAGCCGGGAGGCAGAGGCTGCAGTAAGCCAAGATCATGCCATTGCACTCTAGCCTGGGTAACAGAGCAAGACTCCATCTCGGGGGAAAAAAAAAAAATTACTTAATATTAATATAAAATTAGTGTTTTATATTAGTAGTATAATACTGTTTTTGACTAGTGTTAAAATGACATATCTTTCTCTACCCTTTTGCTTTTAATCTAGATATCATGATATTCATTTATTTTTTAATTTGTAAAAATAGAGATGGGGTTTTGCCATGTTGCCCAGGCTGGTCTTGAATTCCTGGGCTCAAGCCACCTGCCCACCTCAACCTCCCAAAACGCTGGGATTATAGGCGTGAGCCACCATACTTGGCCATATCATTATATTTTCAAATGGTTTCTTGTTTTTTCGTTTTTCTTTTAAATGTAATCTGACAGCGTCTTTTAATTAATGTGTTTTGGACCATTTACATTTAATATGATTGATGATGATTGGATTTAGGTTTCCTTTTTATTATTTTCTGGTTATTTCTTTTTTGGGGGGTTTCTTCTGTTTCTTTTTTCTGCCTATTTTTGGATTAACTGAATATTTTTTAGTGTTATGTTTTATTAATTGGCTTTTGGTTATATCTGTGCTATGTTTTTGCTGTAGGAATTACAAAATATATACCTAACCTACCTACTTAGAGTTAGCATTTTACCTCTAAATAAAATGTAAAAGTATTGCAAACATATAGGTTTCTTTATTCTAGCCCCCCCTTATAATTGTATATATGTGTGTGTGTATGTGTGTATATATCTATATACACTTTCAATGTATGTAGATATGTATCTATACTTTCAGTGTATATTATATCTACATGCATACATTGTGTATGTATGTAGATGTATATCTACATACATTGAAAGATATATATCTACATACTATACAATGCATGTATGATACCTTTGGCTACTACATCCTTCTTAAATTTCCTGTTGCCACTTATGACCTGATTTCCTTGACCAGTTATTCCTCCTTCAAACATCCCTCTTACATGTGATAGTCCTCAGCATTTAGTTTCCCCAACTTTCCCCTAATTATCAGTTGACTCAATTACCACCAAAATATCAATGACTTTTTTGAGACAGAGTCTCACTCTGTCACCAGGCTGGAGTGCAGTGGCACGATCTTGGCTCAGTGCAACCTCTGCCTCCTGAGTCCAAGTGATTCTCCTCCCTCAGCCTCCCGAGTAGCTGGGAATACAGGTGTGTGCCAACACACCCAGCTAATTTTTGTATTTTTAGTAGAGACGGGGTTTCACCATGTTGGCCAGGATGGTTTCAATCTCTTGACCTTGTGATCAGCCTGCCTCAACCTCCCAAAGTGCTGGGATTACAGGCATGAGCCACCGCGCCCGGCCAAAATATCAATGACTTCTAGATCCATTTTCCTACCTAGACCTCTTTTCTAAACTCCAGATATATATTTCCAACTGCCTGTGCTGTCCGCCATAAACTCCACATTGTAGGAAATAGAAAGGAGTTATAAAAGTTTAGGTTCAAAGCAAAATTTAAAAACTCATAAATGAGACCAAATTTTGTGATGATAAAGGCTATGGTCCACAATGAAGATATGAAAGTAATGAACCTTTCTATAAAATGTATAGGTGATAGAGCTGGTCCCCAACTTTAAGCCTTTCAGCGATTCAAGTAACTACAGAACATCGTTAAAGTACTGAGAGAAATGTCAATCCAGAATTCTATATCCAGCAAAAATACCCTTCAACAATTAAGGCAAAAAGAAAAAGAAGAAAGACATTTTGGATGAAGAAAATCTAAGAGAATGTGTTGGCGGAAGTTCTGCTCTAAAATAAAAGTAAAAGAAGGTCTTTAGGCCAAAGGAAAATTATACCAGTGGTAATACTAGAACTTCAGAGATAAAGAGCAGCAGAAATGGTATCTGGGAAAATTTAAAAATGCAAACGGTTGTTTCTCCTCTTAAGCTCTTTAAAATATGTATAGTGGTTGAAAGCAAAAGTTAAAACACTGCTGAGACTTTCAATGTATGTAGATATACGTATATATATCTACATATATATACATATATATGTATATACATGTAGAGGTAATAATGGTAGCTATTTTATGGAGCTGATCTGAGGATAAAATGAAAGAATGCATTTTAAAGTGCTTAGCACAATGTCTGGCAAATAGAAAGCACTCTATAGGCCAGGCATGGTGGCTCACGCCTGTAATCCCAGCACTTTGGGAGGCCTAGGCAGGTGGATCACTTGAGGTCAGGTATTTGAGACCAGCCTGGCCAACATGGTGAGACCCCGTCTCTACTAAAAATATAAAAATTAGCCGGGTGTGGTGGTGGGCTCCTGTAATCCCAGCTACTTGAAGTGAGGCAGGCGAGTGGCTTGAACCTGGGAGGTGGAGGTTGCAGGGAGCCAAGATTGCACCACTGCACTCCAGCCTGGTCGACAGAGCAAGACTCCAGCTCAAAAAAAAAAAAAAAAAAAAAAAAGGGGGGGGGACAATGTTACTCTTCTTCCTTCTAGAAACATACATTTTATAGAAGTTGTTTTTTGAAGTCTAGAAGTCTGAAAACGCAGGAGTCAACTCTGAAAAATCTACAGTGGTTTCTGGGGTTCAATCTTGGCATGACTTTACCCCTGCATCTCTGCCCTCAGCAGGTAGTTTTGTTTATGGGTGTCATTGGTTGAACAAATAATTGTTTTAGTTGCTACAATAAATAAAACATGATCTGTGCTCTAAAGGAGTCAACAGATGAGCCAGGGGGGCATGAGTAATTGCCTGTAATTTAATTGTGCTCACGCTGTCATGGAGGACCGTACAAAGTGTCAGAAGCACAGTGCCAGGAGGCACAGCAAAGGGTAGTAGAGGTGACATTTGAGCCCAGCCTTGAAAACTGTCTAGGATTTCTCAGCATTTCAGCAAAGTAAGGCAATTTCTGTCTAAAATATATAGGCAAAGTTTTTATTAAAAATACGAGAAATTAATTAAATAACAGATTATGACCACAATGCAGATTTAAAAACTAAGGTATGATGAGTGCCGTTGACCGGTTCATCCAGACAGTTCAGAGAACAGAACATCCATGTAGATCCTTCTTGTATTACAGAATACAAAGGAGCGGAAAATTTTGCCTCAGTAACTGCCAGGTCATTCTAATTAAAGTACCTATACATTGTAATATAATTCCTCCATTAAGGTAACAGCCAATCAGGTGGTACAGAGTCTGTGCCATTCAGTCAAGAAATTCACTCCCTTAACCTAGACTGTGCTGGAAGTTCATTGACAAATTTTGTTCTTTGGTTCTCCATTTTTCTTCAGAATTCATGCAGACCACTTGACTTCCTTAGCATTTTCTTTTGTGGGCGTATATTAATGTCTTTGGTTAAGCTTCAGCTTCCGTTTGCATCAATCCTGTTGTAATCGTGCCTCCTGAGGCATCTTTTTTGCTTCCCTTGCATCAGTTTCCAAAATCCTACTTTCTGCTTGGTAAGGGGAGTATCCATTTTCTTTAAAGCAGTGGTTTTCAAACTTGCCTGCACATCAGAATTATTTGGGGAGAAGGATAAAAATACAGATTACTGAGCTTCACCTGGGATTCTGTAGATTTGAGTTGCATTTGGGATTACTTTAAACAATTTACCAGATGATTTTTGTGGCACCTCCACTTCAGTTTTAGGAAGGACTGTTTCGAGGCAGCTTTTCAAACTTTAATGACCATAGAAATCACCTGAAGATTGTGAGAAACTGCAGATCCTGATTTAGTAGGCCTGGGTTTAGGCCTGAGGTTCTGAATTTCTCTGAAATGTGATAATAGCAAATCCCTTGTTGAGTAGCAAGGTTGTTTTTTGTTTTTTTCTTTTTTTTCCAATATCTTCATGACATTCAATGAGTAGCAAAGTTTGAAGATAACTTCTGGAATTTCATCTAATGTGTATTAATTTTTACTCATCTGGATCTTAGGGGAAATAACCTATCAGATTATAGGGAAGTGTTTCTCAAAGTATGGTTCCCCAAACAGCACAACCTGGGAATTGTTAGAAATGCAAGTTCTGGGCCGGGCACTGTGGCTCATGCCTGTAATCCCAGCACTTTGGGAGGCTGAAGCGGGTGGATCACCTGAGGTGAGGAGTTTGAGACCAGCCTGGCTAACATGGTGAGACCCCGTCTCTACTAAAAATACAAAAAAAATTAGCTGGGCATGGTGGTGGTACTTTTTAAAATTTTTTTAGAGACAGAATATCCCTGTGTTGCCCAGGCTGGTCTGTAAATCCTGACCTCAAGCAATCCTCCTGCCTCAGCCTCTTAAGTAGCTAGGTACAAGCCACCATGCCCAGCTATATTGACTTGTTTTTGAGACGGAGTCTCTGTTGCCTAGGCTGGAGGGCAGTGGTGCGATCTTGGCTCACTGCGACCTCCGCCTCCCGGGTTCACGCGATTCTCCTGCCTCAGCCTCCTGAGTAGCTGGGACCACAGGCATGCACCACCATGCCTGGCTAATTTTTGTATTTTAGTAGAGATAGAGTTTCACCATGTTGGCCAGACTGGTCTTGAACTCCTGACCTCAAATGATCCACCCGCCTTCGCCTCCCAAAGTGCTGAGACTACAGGTGTGGGCCACCACGCCTGACCATATATTTACCTTTATGTGAATTTAAAATGTGTGGGCGTGACCAAGTCGTCTGCCGGCTGTTATATAAAGGAGACTTTATCATCAACATGCTCATCATCAGTCACAAACTGCCTATTTGGAACTCCCTTCAGTTCTCAGAGGATGGAAACATTCTTTAAGCGGCCTTGTAGAAATCCTATTCCATGTTAACATGCCAACCAATTTTACTTTCCCAGAGCCACAGAATGATATCTCATTGTATGCCTCAATTCAATCACCTTTCCATTTTCAAGGACCGATTTCAATTCCTGATTGGCTACTTGATCTGACTGCTTCCTGCTAATCTTGTTGCCTATTGTCTATATTCCATTTCTCATTGAATTAACCTTGATCAAATCTGAGAACTCTGCTTAGTAATGACTCCAGGTATACTATACCCACTTTTGTAGCTTATTCAACACCCTCTTCAATCCTGGTTCCACTTCCTGTGACTGAAATGATTACCTGTGAAATATTATTTAACTTTTGGACGATGATGTGTTTCTAACCTGTGACCATTTCACATAGCCACTCAAATATGGTAAAGGTATGGTAAAGATGATGAAACAGTTACTTGGCATCATTTTGTAAGTAATGAGTTTTTAGTGCGCTTTGGACCTTGAGACCACTTCATAAGCTTTAGATTTTGAGAATTTCACAGCATAAAGCTCATCGCTGATGCAGTAATGAAGGAAATGTTCTACAAGTTAATAGATGAGTGAGAGGAGAGGGCATTCATATTAGATTTATTTACTTACTGAACTCAGAGCCTTGGGTTACTACTTGACCCCCACTGTTATCTAGTTTAAGGGTCCTTTTATTTTTTGTTTTTTCGAGGTGGAGTTTCACTCTTGTTCCCCAGGCTAGAGTGCAATGGCCCGGTCTCTGCTCACTGCAATCTCTGCCTCCCAGATTCTCCTGTCTCAGCCTCCCAAGTAGCTGGGATTATAGGTACCCACCACCACGCCCTGCTAGTTTTTGTATTTTTAGTAGAGACAGGGTTTCACCATATTGGTCAGGCTGGTCTCGAACTCCTGACCTCAGGCAGTCTGCCCACCTCAGCCTCCCAAAGTGCTGGGATTACAGGCATGAGCCACTGCTCCTGGCCTTAAGTGTTCTTTTCTACTTTAGCACATACACCTAGTTGCTGTCTTTTTTGCTTTTTATAAATACAGAAAAGAGAATAATGTTTTAAAATCAAGGAAAGGCCTAAGGCACCTGTGAGGGTTTTTTGTTTTTGTTTTTGTTTCAGTGAAATGAAGGGAAATGGTCACCAGCAAGAACTGTGGCAATGTTATCCAAGGTGACAACTGTCTGTACCACCCAGGGGCTCAGAGCCCTTCTGAAGTTTCCTAGATGTTCCGAAAGTCTCCACTGTGACTCATGTTACAGGCTGGTCTCCGTGGTAGCACTCAACGTTTAAAAATTAGTCTTCATTGCCAGGCGTGGTGGCTCACGCCTGTAATCCCAGCACTTTGGGAGGCTGAGGTGGGTGGATCCCGATGTCAGGAGATGGAGATCATCCTGGCTAACACGGTGAAACCCCATCTCTACTAAAAATACAGAAAATTAGCCGGCAGTGGTGGGGGGCGCCTGTAGTCCCAGCTACTCTGGAGGCTGAGGCAGGAGAATGGCGTGAACCCGGGAGGCGGAGCTTGCAGTGAGCCGAGATCATGCCACTGCACTCCAGCCTGGGCGACAGAGGGAGACTCCGTCTCAAAAAAAAAAAAAAATAGTCTTCATTTCTCCTTCCCAACAAGCGTTTCTCTTTCTCTTCAGTGGGAAAAAGTAATTTCATTTTTTACTTGCTCATTGTTTTATTCATTCACTCAATCAACAGACCATCTATCCTGTATTGTATGCCAAGAACTGTGCTTTGTTCTGGGAATGAAAAAAGAATAAGATATGTTTTCCTCTGGCACTTATGGAGCTTATAAACCAGTGACAGAGGAAGGTGCATAAACAAATCAACAAAGAATTAACTTTACTATTCTTATTAATTTCTAATACAATAAATTTGACTATTTGTATCATTTGAGTTTCATGAATATAATCATATTCTACACTTACAAAATGAAATAGACATAAGAAAGAACTGGTGATGTAAGAAATTCACAGAAATGTGTAAAATATTTCAAGAATTAACACTCAGTAGATATTTGCATTGTCAAAGAAGCTTATACATGCAGATGAACCTCTAGTTGTTTTAGTTGCTTGTAAAATGTATAGAGGTATGTGTATTTCCTCTTTAAGCAGGGGTAACTTGGGGTGGGGGATGGGTGGGTTCATCTTATCTATTCTTCAGGTCATGTTCTCAAGAAGGAGCTACTGAATGGGAAGACTGAAACAATTTCTTTTCTTTGCACAGTTGGTATTGATAAATCTCAGGTGTATCCAAAATAAAATCTCTGGCAGGCTGTGATATTTGTGGGTCTGTCTCTTGTGACTTTAGGTTCCTCTTGGCAGCAGACATAAGGCAGTTGCACATCAGGCCCTTGCCTGAAACAGCTCCTGATGCCAAGAACTGGTGAATTACTACTTTGGTTTCAATGGATGGTCAGAAAGGATCATCAGGATAAACTTTGTGGATTTTCTCTCACTAACCACGCTCTCCTTTCAACATTGAAATTCTAGACTTTAGACAGAAGTATTGAACTGGGTTACAGGGAGGGGATGTGAGAGGCCCCCTGCCATTGAGGATAAGTGGACATGTCTGAATTGGCCTGCTACCTAAAATTAATAATCTCAATCACTTGGATGGTGGTGTCCATAATTTTCTCCACTGTTTGTGTGGCATATAATAAGTAATGGTTGCACCTAGCAATTCATTTACAAATCTTACTTGATTTTGAAGCCATAGAACACCTCAACTGTTAGCTTGAATGACTGGAGTTTAGTTTTTATTTCTCAGAACAAAACAGTTTGAAGCCTAATTAACATCCTCGGAAGGAACTTAACACTAAAACTCCTAACAGCTTCAGTTTTCTGACCTTGAAGAAAGGGAAAATGAAGAGACCATGGTGCCACTTCCGAAGCAAAGCCTGAAGTTCTGTGCTTTAGAGGTGGTGTTGCCATCCTATGATTGCAGGAGTCTGGCCTTGGCTTGGTGGAGGAGCCTGTGGATAAGGCGAAGGAAGGTCTGTTTTCATTGGGGGTAGAGGAGGGTAAGGAGTTGAAATGGGAAGGATCTCTTTTTTCTTGCTGTCTAAAACTTGTCTTTTCAGACACATATCAAGCCTTTCCCTCTCTGAGCTACTGAAGTCCTGGGCAGAGGTTTTCTGTCTTACAATACAGACTTTTACCTTAGGCAATACCTGACAGAGCCTTTAAATAAGTAAATAAATTGCTTTAATAAATTGATTTAATACATTGATTTATTAATTAATAAATTGATTTAATACATTGATTTATTAATTAATAAATTGATTTAATAAATTGATTTATTAATTAACTAATTTTGAGAGAGAGTCTTGCTCTGTCACCAGGCTGGAGTGCAGTGGCGTGATCTCGGCTCACTGCAACCTCCGCCTCCCGGGTTCAAGGCATTCTCCTGCCTCAGCCTCCTGAGTAGCTGGGATTACAGGCGCCCACCACCACACCCAGCTAATTTTTGTATTTTTAGTAGAGATGGGGTTTCACCATGTTGGCCAGGATGGTCTCGATCTCCTGACCTCGTGATCTGCCTGCCTTGGCCTCCCAAAGTGCTGGGATTACAAGTGTGAGCCACCCCACCCGGCCAGAACCTTTAAATTTAAAATTGTACAGTGTACTTCCTGCCAAGAAGCGTAGGAGGAAGAAGGAAGTAATGTTTTTCCAGTTTTCGGTTAAGAACTTGCTTTGTATTAAAATAGTCCTTCAAGTCTACAGCCATACCACCCTGAACGCGCCCAATCTCGTCTAAAATAGTCCTTCAAATATGTATCTCTTATAGCCTTCAGTTATCCCAACAAAATTATCTAAAGATTTGTTTATCTATTTATTATTATTTTTTAGAGACAGGGTCTTGCTCTGTTGCCCAGGCTAGAGTGCAGTAGCATGCTCATAGCTCATTGCAACCTCAAACTGCTGGGCTCAAGGGATCCTCCCACCTTAGCCTCCTGACTAGCCAGGACTACAGGCGTGCGCCACCACATGTGGCTAATTATTTTTTCTGGAGATGGGGTCTTGCTGTGTTGTCCTGCCTGGTCTCAAACTCCTGGCCTCAAGTGATCCTCTTGCCCCAGGATCCCAAGGTGCTGGAGTTATAGGCATGAGCCACCCACCATGCCAAGTCATCATGTAAAGATTTACAGAAAGTTTTGTGTAAACATTGTCTTTTTTTTTTTTTTGAAGCAGAGTCTTGCCCTGTCGCGCACGCTGGAGTGCAGTGGTGTGATCTCGGCTCACTGCAACCTCCACCTCCCAGGTTCAAGTGATTCTCCTGCCTGACACTCCTGGGTAGCTGGGATTACAGGCATGCACCACCATGCCTGGCTAATCTTTGTATTTTTAGTAGAGATGGGGTTTCATTGTGTTGGTCAGGCCGGTCTCAAACTCCTGACCTCGTGATCCATCTGCCTTGGCCTCTGAAAGTGCTAGGATTACAGGCATGAGCAACCGCGCCCGGCCCATTCAGCCTTTTTTTTACTCGTAGAAGGGCTTCAGTGGAACAAGAGTCTACTAGAGATACTAGAAAGGGTACTCAATTGATAACTGACGTTGAGATTTTTTTCTAGTATTCATGGCCCTCAGGCTTAGGGTTTGAAGTCAGAGGCAGGGCTGTAGGCTAATGGAGGGGAGTAGGCTTTCATGGATGATGCCCAGGGAGGAGCCAGATTATCTGTACCAAACCTTTTTTGTTTTTTTGAGACAGAGTCTTGCTCTGTCGCCCAGGCTGGAGTGCACCGGTGTGATCTCGGCTCACTGCAACCTCCACCTCCCAGGTTCAAGCAGTTCACCTCCCTCCTGCCCACCACCACACTCAGCCAATTTTTAATTTTTAAAAAATTTTTTAGTAGAGACAGGGTTTCATCATGTTGCTCAGGCTGGTCTCAAACTCCTGACCTCAAGTGATCTGCCCATCTTGGCCTCTCAAAGTACTGGGATTACAGATATGAGCCACTGTGCCTGGCCTCTTTTTGAAAATAGTCTTACTCTGTCACCCAGGCTGGAGTGCAGTGGAATGATCTCGGCTCACTGCAACCTCCGCCTCCCGGTTCAAGCTATTCTTGTGCCTCAGACTCCCAGGTAGCTGGGATTACAGGTGTGTGCCACCACACTCGGCTAATTTTTGTATTTTTAGGAGAGATGGGGTTTCACCACGTTGGCTAGGCTGTTCTTGAACTCCTGGCCTCAACCCGCCTTGGCATCCTAAAGTGCTGGGATTACAGGCATGGGCCACCGTGTCCAGCCAACAAAGCTTTTTTTCAGTGAGTGATTCCAGCCCTTGATGCATAGGAGGGTGGGGTCCATAGGAGTGTAGCCTTAACTGATGAATTAAATCTCTGGGTGATGTGAGATATGTGCCAGGTTCTTGGCTTGTGTCTCCCTCTAGTACTTTAGGAACTTCCCAACTAGATGGAGGCAGTAAAAATGGGCCCTGCCAGGATGTACCTATAACAGAGACGTTCAACCATACCCTTGTGCTGTCTGCCTTTAATCACGAAGATTATGAGCTAAGATTCGTGGATGCATTTTTATTTTTTAACCAACATGTAGCAATGATCACTCAGATAGGCATCTTAAATCCATTAGTTTGGGTTGGATTTAAGACCGTTGTCATTCCTATGAAAGGGAAGATAGCCCAGATTGCTATTGAGAAGGCTTTGTCAGATGCATTCCAGAAACTGTTGATTGTGGTTCTAGGTAAAACTTCCTTAATCGTCGTTGAAGTACTTCAGTTTCAGTGAGCAAATAAACTCATTTTGAAAAGTTAATTGGATAAAAATATCGATATCTAAAACACTCCCTAGGATGCTTTCATTTGCTAAGTTCTTTCACAGCGACAGGCTCAAATTTGTTCTTTGTGACATTTGTAGAAAAAATGACAGCAAATATTGTCCCTAGTTTATAGCTATAAAAGGACTTGCCTCAGGTCACACAGAAAATGTTTGAGGCAGGTCTTCTTTAATTGCATGCCTATCGTACAGAATAGTGATTATAAGCCCTGGACACATGGATTTGAGTCCTAACTCTGTCTCTTAGATTTTTGTATGCAGTTTTAGGTCTTATGGCCAGAGAGATTTGAAGATATTTAATATCTCTAAGCTGCAATCTTTATCTGCAAACTGGGGTTAGTAATCCAATCAACCTTATTGCGGATATTGTAAGAAAAAATGAGATGACAAGTGTAAAAACTCAGAACTATACTTACAAGGTAAGCAGACAAAATATGCTATTGTTGTGATTGTTTTCTCTCTGAATAAATAAACTCTGCTGAAGAATTTATTAGATTATGTTTCTCGAATCGAGAATTCAGTTCCAGCTCTCATTTCTGGCACTGACATATTGGCCAAATATGATTCTTATACAATAATCAGCTGCTTTGCTGTGAGCCTTGGAAGTGGTCATGCTGTTGAATGGCACTGCTTGTATTTCCTATTCAGTTCTACAGTGGCACAAATGTCATAGCCTGTGCCCAAAGGAAACCTGGTGTTTAACGAGTCCCTGAACAGAGTTGCCTTTCTGCTTCACAACCCTGAAGGCTTAGAGACTGAGATTGTAATTAAGTTACTACAGACCTTTATTTGCTTGTAAGAGGTGGCCCTGATTGCTCTCAGCTTTCCAACCTGGGCAGCCCTTCTAGTGAAAGTCTTACTTCCTTGGTCATCAACTGTCAAGTCTGAGTAATGACATTTAATAACCAAGCTAAATGTGTGGGTTGTCTACCCCTCCCTAGTATGCAAAGGTATCCCTTGCACACACTCACTTCTTAGACCAAAAGCCTTATAGTTCTAGTTTGCCTTGAAGGAAATTGTATTGTCTATAGAGTATGTGGGCCATTTTCTGCCCGTAAAATGTTCAAATGTTTTCTCTCTCTAAAGCTTTGTTCATTGTATCTGGTGGAATTTTGGTTCTCAGGGAGTAGACACCTAGCCATGCTTCTAATGTGAAGTGTCTACTAGCCCAGTGGTCTCTATTTTGGATTTGAACTTACTTCGACCCCCCACCTGGTGCCTTACCTTTTAATCATGTTATGACTGAACATTTTTATTTCCACATTTTTTATTTCTTACGTTATTATTCCTTAGTTCCTATCTGTAAGATCATAAAGTCCTTTGAACCAAACACAGTTGATATTTCATACATATGTTAAAAACTGAGCTGTGAGACCAGACATGATGACTCACGCTTGAAATCTCAGCATTTCGGGAGGCCAAGACAGAAGGATCACTTCAAGCCAGGAGTTCGAGACCAGCCTGGAAAACAAAGCGGGACCATGTCTCTAAAAAAGAGAATTAGACGGGCACAGTGATATAGTGCCTGCTACTCTGGAGGCTGAAGCAGGAGGATGACTTGAGCCCAGGAATTCCAGGCTACAGTGAGCTATGATAGTGCCACTGTACTCCAGCCTGGGTGACAGAGTGAGACCCTGTCTAAAAGAAAAAAGAAAAACAAAAATCGAAGTGTATGATGAAGAGATGAGGAAACTTTCAGGAAAATGCTTATTTCCTGCTTTTAGAAACTAAAAGAATGTCTCATTGTGGGTTGCTACCATTATATGCAGGAAGTTTTGGAATGAAAAAGATTCTGAATTCATCCTTGCTAACTTTATTTCAGAAAGTGGTAAAATAGCTATGGAGTACAGACCCAGTGAAGAGATTGTAGATGTCAGATGGGAAGAAGAACTACACGGTTTAATATAAGTATGTGGAGATAAAAACTCAAAGGTAACAGGGCCGGGCACAGTGGCTCACACCTGTAATGCCAGTGCTTTGGGAGGCTGAGGCGGGTGGATCACCTGAGGTCAGGAGTTCAAGATCAGACTGACCAACATGGAGAAATGGTGGCACATGCCTGTAATCCCAGCTACTCGGGAGGCTGAGGCAGGAGAATCGCTTGGACCCGGGAAGCGGAGGTTCCGGTAAGCCAAGATCACACCATTGCACTCCAGCCTGGGCAACAAGAGTGAAACTCTATCTCAAAAAACAAACAGGCCAGGCGCTGTGGCTCACACCTGTAATCCCAGCACTTTGGGAGGCCGAGGTGGGTGGATCATGAGGTCAGGAGTTCAAGACCAGCCTGGCCAATATGGTGAAACCCTGTCTCTACTAAAAATACAAAAATTGGCTGGGTGTGGTGGTGGGCACCTGTAATCCCAGCTACTTGGGAAACTGAGGCATGAAAACCACTTGAACCCAGGAGGCGGAGGTTGCAGTGAGCCGAGATCATGCCACTGCATTCCAGCCTGGGTGACAGAGCAAGACACTCTCTCGAGGAAAAAAAAAAAAAGAAAAGAAAAACAACTCAAGGGTTGGATAACATTGCCAGTATAACCATAATTCAAAACAAGCAGCAGAATTTGGAGGATAATTTGTTTAATTCTCAGGAAAATGTGAAACTCTGAAACTGCTTTTTGAGTGCAGGGTATTTCCGGGGCTTTTCCTAAAGTCTTAACCCTTGGCTCTGACCCCTTATTTGAAGTTTGGAGAGCAGAACCGAGGATTGTATTACTACAGTTGTGGACACAGGAGAGGGGTTAGTCTCCCCCCGCTCCAGGAGTAAGGGATGCTGGGCTGCTCGAACACAGGCCTTGTTAGAACTCCCTTCAAACAGGATCCCAGAGATGTGGGGAGAAGGTAACTGGCCTTAAGAATGATTGCGCTACAGCTTTTGAAAACTATAATGCCTTTCAAATATGGCTTATTGCTTGGATCTCAATATCTCCCACGTATCTTGGGTGGAATATTTTGCTGAAGATCTTTCTGTCAATCATTTACAATCATGTGCTGCAAAATGAAGTTTGGGTCAACAGTAGACCACATATATGATGGTGGTTCCGTAAGCGTATAATGGAGCTATCCCTATATAGGTATACCATTTTTATCTTTTTTTTTTTTTTTTTTTGAGATGGAGTCTCACTCTGTTGTCCAGGCTGGAGTGCAGTGGTATGATCCCAGCTCATTGCAACCTCCACCTCCCAGGTTCAAGTGATTCTCCTACCTCAGCCTCCTGAGTAGCTGGGATTATAGACACGCGTCACCACACTCAGCTAATTTTTGTATTTTTAGTAGAGATGGGGTTTCATCATGTTGGCCAGGCTGGTCTTGAACTCCTGAGCTCAAGTGATCCACCCACCTTGGCGTCCCAAAGTGCTGGGATTACAGGCATGAGCCACTGTGCCCAGGCCCCATTTTTATCTTTTACACAGTATTTTAACTATATATTTTCCATGTTTACATACACAAATACCTGCCATTCTGTGACAGTTGCCTTTAGTATTCAGTACAGTAACATACAGTACAGGTTTGTAGCCTAGGAGTCCTAAGCCATACCGTGTACCCTAGGTATGGTGGCTACACCACCTAGGTTTGTGTAAGTATACGCTATGATGTTAGCACAATGGTGAAATCACCTAGTGACCCATTTCTCAAGCTCCTCACGTGGGAAGCAATGCATGACTGCATATGAAAGCTCTTAAATAGGGATTGTTTCTAAATTAATCTCAAAACAGTCATTATTTACTATTTATGGAATTTTTTTTAAAAAAAGGAGCAAAAGTATCATTTCAGTGGGAACTTAACTTGGGGCTACAGTGTTTTATTTAACTTTTACCCCAAAGTTGCAAAGTGTTTTGAAATTTTTCCCTGTAAAATAATTATTTTAATTCAATTTAAATAAAACCCACCAAGGAGACTTCAAGCTTTAAGAAGTCTAGCTTCCTGTGAAATGTGAGAGGAAGTCAGCACTCATTTCAGAAATCTGATTATAACAATAGCTCCATCCCTAAATGAGGTGAATCTTGGAATCTCTTCCATTTTATTTTATTTTATTTTTTTGAGATGGAGTTTCTCTCTTGTTGCCCAGGCTGAAGTGCAATGTTGTGATCTCGGCTCACTGCAACCTCTGCCTCCCAGGTTCAAGGGATTCTCCTGCTTTGGCCTCCTGAGTAGCTGGGATTGCAGGTATGCACCACCACACCTGGCTAATTTTGTATTTTTAGTAGAGACGGAGTTTCACCATGTTGGTCAGGCTGGTCTCGAACTTCTGACCTCAGTGATCCCCCCACCTCGGCCTCCCAAAGTTCTGGGATTATGGGTGTGAGCCACCACACCCGGCCCCCCTTCAATTTTAAAGCCATCACTATGCACCCTATGTCTATGCCAGGCACTAAAATAAGATGAAGCACCTTCTTGGAGTTTACATGCTGGTAATTATGCCAGACAGTAATAAAATAGGTAAGAACGGCTGTGGGGGAAGTCAGCTGGGTTCTAGTTACAGTCGCATTTCAGGAAATGATTTAACATGCTGACTTTAACAACCTAAGCCTCTTCTCCATGTGTGCACACAGGGTAGATCTCTGAACACAGGTGACCCTAGAAGTGCTGTAACTTCTAGGGGAATGGCTGTGTTGAGTCAAGGCAGGATGACAGTTCAGCCTCCTCCCAGGCTAGTGCAAAGGGCTCTTCACTCGGATTAAAACCTTCTCTCCCAGACCGAATTGCCAACTCCCAACACCCCTCCTACAGAAAATTTGGAGTCCTCGCTTATTCCCTGGCAGCCCCTACCTAATAGGGTGGTGAATTAATTATCAAACATGCGACAGTTTAGCGAAAATGGCAACACTTTGGAATAAATGACTGTAATGTACATCCTGGCGCCCATTTTGCAGGTCAGTTGCTCTCCCTGGAAGGAAGAGTGTTCTCGGATTTCACCTTAAAGGAGGAAGGCTGCCAGAACTGAACTAGCACTTCTGAATATCCTGAGGCGAGGTCCGGTGACTTCCTTGGGAAGCTCTGCCGCGCCCCCATCCCACCCTACCCCACCCTACCCCACCACAGCAGGCGCTGGAGTCCTGGGACCACCAGGATCTGAGGCCCAAATCCTTCCTCACTAAGGGGAGGAGAGGGGTGCTCCGGCAGGGCAGGATGGGAAGGCGTGCTTGGGCGGGATTGTGACATGAGTGCCCTGGTGACATGGAGCAGATCTGTGGCATAAATAAAGGTGTCATAAAGACAGGGCGGGACTCACGCTTACAAGGGGCACGAGCGTCTCGGAGCTGCCAGAATGACTTCCGCTCAGTGCCCGGCACTAGCGTGTGTCATGTCCCCGCTGCGTTTCTGGGGCCCATGGCCCCTCCTTATGTGGCAACTATTGTGGCTACTAGTCAAGGAGGCTCAGCCTCTGGAGTGGGTCAAGGACCCGCTCCAGCTGACCTCTAACCCCCTGGGGCCGCCTGAGCCCTGGTCTTCCCACTCCTCCCATTTCCCACGGGAATCTCCCCATGCGCCTACTCTCCCAGCAGACCCGTGGGACTTTGATCACCTGGGGCCCTCTGCTTCCTCAGAGATGCCAGCCCCACCCCAGGAATCGACTGAAAATTTGGTTCCATTCCTGGACACCTGGGATTCAGCTGGAGAGCTGCCCCTGGAGCCAGAGCAGTTCTTGGCTTCACAGCAGGATTTAAAGGACAAGCTGAGTCCACAGGAAAGGCTCCCTGTTTCGCCCAAGAAGCTGAAGAAAGATCCAGCTCAGCGTTGGAGCCTTGCTGAGATTATTGGAATTATACGCCAATTATCCACACCTCAGAGTCAGAAACAGACTTTGCAGAATGAATATTCCAGTACAGATACACCGTATCCCGGTAGCCTGCCTCCAGAACTCCGGGTGAAGTCAGATGAGCCTCCAGGGCCCTCTGAGCAAGTTGGACCTTCTCAATTCCATCTAGAGCCCGAAACTCAAAATCCAGAGACCCTTGAAGACATCCAGTCCTCTTCACTCCAGCAAGAAGCCCCAGCACAGCTTCCACAGCTCCTTGAGGAAGAACCTTCTTCAATGCAGCAGGAGGCCCCAGCTCTGCCTCCAGAGTCCTCTATGGAGAGTCTAACTCTACCGAATCATGAGGTGTCAGTTCAACCTCCAGGTGAGGATCAAGCTTATTATCACTTGCCCAACATTACAGTTAAACCTGCAGATGTGGAGGTTACCATAACTTCAGAGCCTACCAATGAGACAGAATCTTCCCAAGCCCAGCAGGAGACCCCAATTCAGTTTCCAGAGGAGGTGGAACCTTCTGCAACCCAACAGGAGGCCCCAATTGAGCCTCCAGTTCCTCCTATGGAGCATGAACTTTCCATCAGTGAGCAGCAGCAGCCAGTTCAGCCTTCTGAGTCTCCTAGGGAGGTCGAATCTTCTCCGACCCAGCAGGAGACCCCAGGTCAGCCTCCAGAACATCATGAAGTCACAGTTTCACCTCCAGGTCACCATCAAACTCATCATTTAGCTTCACCCAGTGTCTCTGTGAAGCCTCCAGACGTGCAGCTCACCATAGCAGCAGAGCCTAGTGCAGAGGTGGGAACTTCTCTAGTCCACCAGGAGGCTACAACTCGGCTCTCAGGGTCAGGTAATGATGTAGAACCTCCCGCCATCCAGCACGGGGGCCCACCTCTGCTTCCAGAGTCATCAGAAGAAGCTGGACCTTTAGCAGTTCAACAGGAGACTTCATTTCAATCTCCGGAACCTATTAATAATGAGAACCCCTCTCCAACCCAGCAGGAGGCTGCAGCTGAGCATCCACAGACCGCTGAGGAGGGTGAGTCTTCCCTAACCCATCAGGAGGCCCCAGCTCAGACTCCAGAGTTCCCTAATGTAGTTGTAGCTCAACCTCCAGAGCATTCACACCTGACTCAAGCCACAGTTCAACCTTTGGATCTGGGGTTTACCATCACTCCAGAATCCAAGACAGAGGTTGAACTTTCTCCAACCATGAAGGAGACCCCAACTCAGCCTCCTAAGAAAGTTGTACCCCAACTTCGAGTATATCAAGGGGTAACAAATCCAACACCAGGTCAGGATCAAGCTCAGCATCCAGTGTCACCCAGCGTTACAGTTCAACTTTTGGACCTGGGACTTACCATCACTCCAGAACCTACTACGGAGGTTGGACATTCTACACCCCCGAAGAGGACTATAGTTTCTCCAAAGCATCCTGAGGTGACACTTCCACATCCAGACCAGGTTCAGACTCAGCATTCACACCTGACTCGAGCCACAGTTCAACCTTTGGACCTGGGGTTTACCATCACTCCAAAATCCATGACAGAGGTTGAACCTTCTACAGCCCTGATGACTACAGCTCCTCCTCCAGGACACCCTGAGGTGACACTTCCACCTTCAGACAAGGGTCAGGCTCAGCATTCACACCTGACTCAAGCCACCGTTCAACCTCTGGACCTGGAGCTTACCATAACTACAAAACCTACTACAGAGGTTAAACCATCTCCAACCACGGAGGAGACCTCAACTCAGCCTCCAGACCTGGGACTTGCCATCATTCCAGAACCCACTACAGAGACTGGACATTCTACAGCCCTGGAGAAGACTACAGCTCCTCGTCCAGACCGGGTTCAGACTCTGCATCGAAGCCTGACTGAAGTCACAGGTCCACCTACTGAACTAGAACCTGCTCAGGATTCACTGGTGCAGTCTGAAAGTTACACCCAAAATAAGGCTTTAACTGCACCAGAGGAACACAAGGCCTCCACAAGCACCAACATATGTGAGCTCTGTACCTGCGGAGATGAGATGTTGTCATGTATTGATCTCAACCCAGAGCAGAGGCTCCGCCAAGTGCCTGTGCCAGAGCCCAACACCCACAATGGCACCTTCACCATCTTGTAAGAATCACTTTTCCTCAATTGTCCTCTGTGTCCTGCCTGACATGGCAGCCTTTTCCTGGAGGCCTTCCTGGGCCTTCTTTATCTCCCCAAGCCATATGGACAGCTGACTTTCTGCTTTCACCTTTGCTTGTCAACTCTCCCTTCTCCTCATTCTCTTTTAATGTTAGTCCCCTTCTCCAGTCTTTTCCTTTTACTCTGGTCTTTTACTCGTTTTTGTATCCATTTTTATTTAGCCCCATCACATCATTGCTTAACCGCTGCTCTCCTCCCATTTTCGCTTCACCCTCTTTACAGCAGCCTGTCCCTCTCCCGATCTCAGTGATGATGCTCTAAGTGGTTAAGAGTTGATTCCGGAGCCAGGCTGCCTGGGTTTGAACCCAGATCTATTTATTAGCTTGGTGACCCAGAGCAAGTTATTCTGCCTGTGACTCAATTTCCTCACCTTTAAACTGGGGATCATGCTAGTTAGCATTTCATAGGATTGTTGTGAAATTTAGGTGAGTGAATATATGAAACACTTCATCAGTGCTTAGCATATGTAGGAGAGTTGGCTGTTCACATGATTATTCAGTCCTTTAGTTTTGTCCAGAACTCATTTTTGTCCCTAGCTTTCTATATGTAGAACTAGTTTTATGTCAAACCCAGGGCCAAGTATGCTACTGTCTCCAGAACACGAAAATGATAGGAGGGAAGAGGCTGGGTGTGGTGGCTCACGCCTGTAATCCCAGCACTTTGGGAGGCCGAGGCGGGCGGATCATGAGGTCAGGAGATCAAGACCATCCTGGCTAACATGGTGAAACCCCATCTCTACTAAAAATACAGAAAAAAATTAGCCAGGCATGGTGGTGGGTGCCTGGAGTCCCAGCTACTCGGGAGGCTGAGGCAGGAGAATGGCGTGAACCTGGGAGGCAGAGCTTGCAGTGAGCCGAGATTGCACCACTGCACTCCAGCCTGGGCGACAGAGCAAGACTCCATCTCAAAAAAAAAAAAAAAAAAAAAAATGATAGGAGGGAAGAAAGAGAATAGGCATAAAAAGGGAGGTATATATAATTAAGTACTAAAAGATAATGCAGACCATTGGTGCTAGAATTTGCCAGAATCTGTGATCCTTGAGGTGTGGAGATGCTACATGGGTAAGCTAAAACTTTACTTGGGTCTTAAAGAGTAGCCATAATTTGTTAAATAGGAGAAAAATGGGAGTACAGTCTAGGCAAACGCATGGCTACAGGTATGGTTGGAATTTAGTAGACCAATGTGGCTACAAAGAATTAGGTGAGGGAGCAATGAAGATACGATTCTGTAAAACCTTGATTATCAGCTACAGGAGTTTGAAAGTTACACAATGAGGTATGGAAAGCCATTGAAAGTTTCCAAGCAAGAGAGATTACATGATCAAAACAGGAAGATTATTTTATTTTGTTTTTTGCATTATGTGCAAGTGTAGACATGCAGAGGATTGTTTTAGAATCCATATGTAAAGTGTCCAAAAGGAAAAGCTTAATTCAGGGAGACAAAATAGAAAGGTCTAGCAAAATCTAGGAGTGAGGTGTGAAGGGGCCAAATCAGATCAGTTGTAATAGGAGTGGAAAGAAAAAGCCTAGGATGTTTCAACAGAGGGCACTGGGCCAAAGCTTTGGTGTTACCTGGCATAGGGTTTCTTTCTTCTCATTTGTTGATAATGATAAGCTTTTGCCCATATTTCTGTGGAATTATTTACCATTTTGGTACTGATTTGTAGAAGTCTGTTTAGACACATAAGTGCTTTTAGATAAAATACTTACATTCAAAGTAATTAACTGGCATCATCTGTCCAAGAGATGGGATGGATAAGAAGTTAAGCTTCCAGGAGATGCCTCATCATTTGTGCCAGTGACCCCGCATAATTTCTTGATGAATTGTGCAAACTGGGAAGCTGATAGCTCTGGAAATGAGAAAGCAGGTGTTATTTTCTGTTTCTGAATATCCCCAACAAGGTTGCAATGATTCTTTTACTTATCGTGTTCATTGTTTTCCTACCTATTCAAGGATATAAACTGTGTTTCTTCACAGAAATTTCCAAGGAAACTATATTTCTTACATTGATGGAAATGTATGGAAAGCATACAGTTGGACCGAGAAACTGTGAGTATATTCTCTCCAAATATGACAAAAAGCTAACTGCATTGTAAGATCCTTCTTGGTCCAGAATTTTGAGGTCGGTACCTCTGAGGAAAGATATTTCTCCTCCACGCCCCAAATCAACCACTGTTGATTGCAATTGTATGGTTATTTTAAAATTAAATTTGGTAGGCTCTCTTTAAAATAAGAGGCAATTTAAATTTATTTTTTATCATACAAATAGTACATGGTTATATTCCTTTTTGTTCTCTTTTTTTTTTTTTTTTTTTTTTTCAGAGACAGGGTCTTACTTTGTCCTCTGGGCTGCAGTGCAGTGGCACAATCACAGCTCACTGCAGCCTTCACCTCCCAGGCCCAAGTGATCCTCTCACCTCAGCCTCCCCAGTAGCTGGGACCACAGGTGCATGCCACCACACCCACCTAATTTTGTATTTTTTGTAGAGACAGGGTCTTCCTATGCTGCTTAGGCTGGTCTTGAACTCCTGGGCTCAAGTGATCCTCCCACCTTGGCCTCTTAAAGTGTTCATATGACAGGCATGAGCCACCACCCGCAGCCCATGATTCCATTTTTAATATATAAAAATGCAATAACAGATATAACAAAAACTCTCCTTGTGCCCTACTCCCTCATCCCTGAAGTAATGCTACTCTGCATTTAGTATACATGCTTCCAGACTTTTCCTCATTTACCTACATACATATTTACATAAAGCAAAATAGATTTGTTTTGTGGTTTTAAAATTTTTTCTTCGCATAAAGGGTAACATCTTGCAACTTGATTCTTTCACTTCATGATATGCCTTAGATTTCTTTCCTTCCCAGTACTGAGAGGGTCACCCCATTCATTTAAACTCCTGCATAATCCATAGTATGGATGCATCATGGTTTATTTAATAATTCCCCCATTGATGAATGTTTAGATTATGCTTAGTTTTCTTGTTACATGCATTGCTGCAATGAAATCCCTGTACATGCTTCTTTGTGAACATGTGCAAGTATTCCTGTAGCATAGATATCTGGAAATGGAATTCTTGGGGTGAAGACTATGTAGATATAAAATTTTAATTGCCTTCAAAAATTTTGTGCCAACTTACTCTATTGTCAGCAGAATATGACAGCATTCATTTCCCAACACCTTTTCACCGCTGGGTATTCTCCAACTTTTTGCTGAAGTTATGGATGAATAAAAGGGATTCCATCTAAATGTGAATTTTTCTGATTACTCATGAATTTAATTTAGTATCTTTATATGTTTATTGAACATTTGTGTTTCTTCTCTGAGTTTTCTGGCCTTTGTTCATTTTCCTGTTGAATTGTTTTATCATTTTCTTACTGATTTATAGAAGGAATTGGTTTAGACACATAAGTGATTTTGGAAAAAATGCTTACATTCAAAGTAACTGACATTTTTCACAACAGTTTGTGTGTCACATCATTATTTCAATGTATATAGACAAGCCACGATGAGTTCTAAATTAAAAATAAACATATGCTAGGCGCGGTGGCTCACGCCTTTAATCCCAGCACCTTGGGAGGTAGGCGGATCACCTGAGGTCAGGAGTTTGAGACCAGCCTGGCCGATAGGGCGAAACCCCATCTCTACTAAAAATACAAAAAGTAGCCAGGCGTGGTGGTGGGTGCCTGTAATCCCATCTACTTGGGAAGCTGAGGCAGGAGAATTGCTTTATTTATTTTTTCAGATGGAATTTTGTTCTTGTTGCCCAGGCTGGAGTGCAATGGTGCGATCTTGGCTCACTGCAACCTCCACCTCCCGGGTTCAAGGGATTCTCCTGCCTCAGCCTCCTGGGTAGCTGGAATTACAGGTGCCCTCCATCACACCCAGCTAATTTTTATATTTTTAGTAGAGACAGGGTTTCACCATGTTGGCCAGGCTGGTCTCAAACTCATGACCGTGGGTGATTCACCCACCTTGGCTTTCCAGAGTGCTGGGATTACAGGCATGAGCCACCACGCCAGGCCAGAACTACATTTTAAAAACAAGAAAATTATTACAAAGGTCAGGATAGTGGTTACCTATTAGGGTTAGAGAGAGGGATATGATTGGAAAGGGGCACACTGGGGCTTCTGGCATGCTAGCAATGATCTTTTGTAACGATGTTTACATGGGTATCTGCTTCATAATTATTAAACTGAATATTTTGGCCAGGTGAGGTGGCTCATGTCTGCAGTCACAGCACTTTGGGAAGCAGACACAGGAGGATCACTTGAGCCAGGAGTTTGAGACCAGTCTGGGAACAGAGTGAGACCCTGTCTCAAAAATTAAATTAAATTAAATATAAACAACATTTATGTTATGTGCACTTTATGCACATTATAGTTCTCCAGTTTTTTTGATGGGGGGAAAAAGGTTGAATGGCTTCACTTGCAGCCCTGACATGGTTCCATGTGGGGCTTTCATAATAAGGTTTGGGAAAAGAGAGGAGGAAATGGAGGTTCTGCTGATCTTGGTGCCACCCAGAGTTGGATTCTAAAAGGGATTTTGTGATCTAGAGAGGAGGCATGAAATAATAGAATTTGGTGGGAAGAAACCCACTCTTCAAGGGGTGTGCTTGAGTGTGTGTGTGTGTGTTTGTGGTGGTGGTGGAGAGAGATGGACACAAAAAGGAAAATATAAGAAAAGGTTTGAATGAAAGCAGAGCAGATCCCACCATCTTGAAGTGACCATGACCCAGCTTTCCTCCACATGCAGGAGATGGTTCTGTGTAGCAAATAGTTGTAGTTTGCATTTTAATCTAGAAATAACTTCTTCATTTTCCAGAATTCTCAGAGAAAATAACTTGACTGAATTACACAAGGATTCATTTGAAGGCCTGCTATCCCTCCAGTATTTGTAAGTTAGTTAATTATATTTATGAGTTTTTAGTCATATTATCTGTAAAATGAATAAGGGGTTCAAATTAGATAATCTCTCAGATTTCTTTGAGCAATAAAATTCTGCAATTCTGTAAGTTTGTATAGGGTCTCAGCCCATCTCTAGCACTAGCTACCTCCTGTGCATTTTCAGTTTTTAAGTTGTATAGACAAAATACAGACAAAAACATTTCACATGGTAAGAAAATCTGAGCAGTGACTGACACCCATATGAACCTTGTTTTATAAGGGTTCACATATCATTATTTTTCTATTCAGTCTACAACCAATAGATCCAATCTAATTTATGGTCTATTTTTAAATAGCCCATTAAGTTAAGAATGGGTTTTGCATTTTTAAAGGGACTGTGAAAGAAAAAGAAAAGAAACAAAGAAATATGCGAGAGATCATATGTGGCCCATAAAACCTAAAATATTTACTGTCTGACCTTCACCAAAAAAAATTTCAAAAAGTTGGTTTAGTAGGATGAAAGGAACTAAAGTTAACTTCAGATGGTTGCCTAAAGGAGAAGAAAATGGAGACCACCTGCATTCATTTGAACATCATTAATCCAGAATTTTTTGGTAATTTAATCGGAATTAAATTAACATTTAAATATTAAAAATAGCTGAATTATATCAATAATATTATCAAGAATATTAAGCTACCAAGAGAATAGACTGGTATTAAGGATTTCATTTCAGGAATTGTTATATTAAAACAGATGTTTAAAATGATGGTTAACTGGTAGAGCTAGAAATGTTTACACTAAGAAGCACATCAGAAATGCCCCTAACTCTTCACTAATTACAAAATAACGATCGCCCCAGCCCTGTTACCAGAAAGGGATCCCTGTATTTCTGTCTGTTTAGAGACAAGAAGATACTATGTTCATTGCTATGAAAGCTTGATTCTTACCCTTTGTCCATAGAGGTCTGTATGTCATTAATCCTTATTAAGCTCATTAGTGATGCTCTTTTGCAAACAGATTCTTTCAAATATAGAAGGCTTAAGGAAAGTGGGTGTAAAGACCCTCAGGTGGATGCCAAAGTGCTACAGAGACCATGAAATAATAAAACTACATTTCCTTTAAAATAGTTATTTTCCTTCTACTCACTCCCCCAGCTATTCATTTATTTTACAAATATTTGAGTTTGCTTTATTTCCATGTGTCAGTTTTAAACATGGTGGGCAATGCAGATGAGCAAGACCTAGTCCATGCTTTCAGGGAGTTTATGCTCAGAAGAAATGGGATAAAAAATAACTACATTAAGAAGAAGAAATGGATGTGGGCACTAGGAGGGATAAATTGTTTCTCGAACATAGAAGAGGAAAAAATGCCTTCAATTTGGACCCAGGAGGATGTTACTAGAACAATGCCATTTGAATAGGACTTTAAAGGGCCATTGTGTAACACCAGACAGACATCTTGGGGAAAATACTCTAAACTTGCAAAAGGAAAGTGGGAGGGCAAAACACAGGAAAGTATTCAAGGAATGCCATGAGTACCCGTAGAGTACAAGAAGGGAGAGTAGGAAAATGGAGCCAGATCTTCTAGAGCTTTGAATGCCAAGCTGAGGAGCCAACATGGGGAACCGTGTTACCACAGCAGCGCTGTAAGGTAGATCTGCATCACAGTCATTGAGAGGGCACGTTAGAACTCAGTTCTGGACTCCACCCTCGTAGTTACTGATTCAGTTGGTCTAGAGTGGGACCAAGAATTTGCATCTTCAGTAATTTCCCAGGAGATGCTGGTCTTTGCAAGCCACTTCTGGAGAGTTTATATGATGACTGTGTGCAGGATAGTTTAGGTAGGGAGAGACTAGAGATGGAGACATCAGCCAGACAACGTTACACCATCCAGGTAAAGAGGGAGGGACAAACTCCATCACTGTATAACTGAAGAAATTTTTTTTTATGAAATATTAAAGCAATACAAAACCAAAAATGAATTTCTATTAATATGATAGAAATTAATTCTATTAATATGATTTGAATTAGTTCAAAGTTACGTATTAGGTAAAGGGGTAGCTTCCTTTCAAATGATGTGAAAGGATGTCTTTTATTTCTTCTGATATTGAAGTGGCTTAGGAAAACAGACCTAAACTAAGAAGGTGTAGAAATGTGAGACTTGTTTGTTTGTTTGTTTGTTTGTTTGAGACGGAATCTCGCTCTGTCGCCCAGGCTGGAGTGCAGTGGTGCAATCTTGGCTCACTGCAAGGTCCGCCTCCTGGGTTCATGCCATTCTCCTGCCTCAGCCTCCTGAGCAGCTAGGACTACAGGCACGTGCCACTAGGCCCGGCTAATTTTTTATTTTTTTTGTAGAGACAGGGTTTCACCGTGTTAGCCAGGATGGTCTCGATATCCTGACCTCAGGATCTGCCAGCCTCGGCCTCCGAAAGTGCTGGATTACAGGCCTGAGCCACCGCACCCGGCCCGACTATTTTTTTTAATATTAGAAATTGTGTATATAGAGATAAAATCTTTGAGCTCATAATCTAAGATTTGATGACACTACAAAAGGGCATCTAATCAAGTCTACTGCTCTCAGGAAAAATTAATTCCAAAGTCTATTATGTTGTATATTTATTAAAACCATGAAGGTGAGACTCTAGGAGAGGTATGGGCAGGGTTAGGGGCTCTGGAATGTTCAAATACAAGTCCAAACGTTTAGAGTTGAGATGAAAAACAGGTATTCAGTATTATTCTAAACTCTTGCTGTTATTCATACCAATTGACATTTAATAACTAATCAAGGCAATATTTTCGTTTTCCTAGAGATTTATCCTGCAATAAAATACAGTCTATTGAAAGACATACATTTGAACCACTACCATTTTTGAAGTTTATGTAAGTTACAAATATAACTTGATTACATTTGGAATTTTTATAAAACTTAATTATAAACCTTTTTGCTATTCTTGAAATATGATTAAAATTTTACCAGTAGAAAGCTACTAAAATTATACAGCAAATCCTTTTTGTCTCTAGCAAGGATTATTGTGAGAATTATTACACAGATCTTAGTGAATCATCAGAGAGCAGTGGTTCTCAGGTGGTGTGATTTTGCACTCAGGTGGCATTTGGTAATGTCCGGAGACAGTTTTGGTTGACAAAACTGTGAGTGTGCTCCTGGCATCTGGTGGGCAAAGGCCAGAGATGCTGCTAAACATCCTTCAAGGTATAAGACAAACCCCCATGGCAAAGAGTTATATAGTCCAAAATGTTGATGGCACTGAAGTTGTGAAATCCTGTTCTAGAGAAATAAAGATCACTTAACACAGGTATTTACTGAGCATTCACTGTTTTGTATCTAATGCACCACATGTGCAGTGTTAAAGTATAAATCATAAGCCAGTATCTTCCACAGTCAGATTTCCTTAGTGCATAGAGAAAGGATTGAGGTTATGTTCCATCCTATATAAATTAGAATCATGGCAAATGATAAATGTTCTGAAATAATTTTTTTTTCTTTGGCTTGTGTCTTTTTTTTTTAGAAATCTTAGTTGCAATGTAATTACAGAACTCAGCTTTGGAACATTTCAGGCCTGGCACGGAATGCAGTTTTTACATAAGTTGTAAGTGAAATAGAAGATGAATACATGTAAACAACTATTTATGTACAAAAACTCATACAATTATTGGGTAGCTGGGTATAAGCCCATTATCAACTCTGAAAAGCGTGTCTTAAGATCCATTCATTTTTCTCAAATGGGGAAGCTAAGGTACAAAGAGGCCAAGAGACTTACGTAGCTTATATATGACCTCCTCTGCTTGTCCTAGTTCTGACCTATAGCATGGGCAAGAAAAGGCATCAAAGAAGTGACCCTCAAATTAGCCTTGTTGCTGGGCGGGGTGGCTCAGACCTGTAATCCCAGAACTTTGGGAGCCGAGGTGGGTGGATCACCCGAGGTCAGGAATTCAACACCAGCCTGGCCAACATAGTGAAACCCTGTCCCTACTATAAATACAAAAAAATTAGCTGGGCGTGGTGGTGCAGTTTTTTGCTCCCTGGAGGACTTTGTGTTAAGCTTCCTTCCTTGCAGCTAAATGTTGCAGACATTTAAGCAGTTAGAAACTCTGCATATGAGCAGGAATCAAATCCAAAGTTGTAGGGCCAGAATGGTGGCTCATGCCTGTAATCCCAGCACCTTGGGAGGCCAAGGTGGGAGGATCACTGGAGGTCAGGAGTTTGAGACCAGCCTGGCCAACATGGCAAAACCTCATCTCTACTAAAAATACAAAAATTAGCAGGTCATGGTGGCGGGCACCTGTGATCCTAGCTATCGGGAGGCTGAGGCACGAGAATGGCTTGAACCCGGGAGGGGGAAGTTGCAGTGAGCCGAGATTGTGCCACTACCCTCCAACCTCCCCTCCAGGCTGGTCTCGAACTCCTGTGACCTCAGGTGATCCGCCCACCTCAGCCTCCCAAAGTGCTGGGGTTACAGGTGTGAGCCACCATGCCTGGCCAAGATGGTGTTTATGTTAAGCTATTGTGCAAAAAAAAACTTTTGTAAAGAAAATATATCGCTGTATCTTAATTCCATATACTTTCCTGACTACTCTTCTACCATAATTGCAAAAATTCTATGATTTCTCTGTATAACATACCCATCAAATCAGAGTGGGTATATTCAGTGGCCTGAAGGGGACTCAAGGTGAAGATTCTCCTCTACATCTGACTTTAGAAAAGACGTTCCACCTGCCTTGTGGTTCAGAAATCTAGTTTCACACAGTTCATTTCAAGTTAGAGGGAGGCATTCAGGATGTGTCTGGACTAGAGCAGCAGTTTCTGCACATGCTCCCCTCTGTCCTCATTAATTTGCTGATGCATAACTTAGGAAAAGTACACTAAAGGTCTGTTTTTCTTTTGCCCTCACACCAGAGAACAGGCTCATTAGGTCCCTCCACCAAGAGGTTTAGGTAGCATCAATACAAATGTTTTAAACTCACCATCTTTACTAAGCACTTTATACAACTGGGAGTCCCTCATAAAAATCTGGTGGCCGGGAGCGGTGGCTCATGCCTGTAATTCCAGCACTTTGCTGAGGTGGGTGGATCACCTGAGGTCAGGAGTTCAAGACCAGCCTGACCAACATGGTGAAACCTGTCTCTACTAAAAATACAAAAATTAGCTGGGCATGGTGGCAGGCAACTGTAATCCTAGGTACTCAGGAGGCTGAGGCAGGAGAATCACTTGAAACCAGGAGGCGGAGGTTGCAGTGAGCCGAGATGGCACCATTGCACTCCAGCCTGAGGGACAGAGTGAGACTCTGTCTCAAATAATAATAATAATATAATAATAATAATAATCATCATCATCATCATCATCATCATCATCTAGCCAGCTTCACTACAATTATGTAGGCAACACCAGGAAAACACTGGAATCACAGTTGATAAAAATTAATGAATTCACTCAAAAACATTCAGAGTGTCATGTCCATTTGTGCCAGGTACTGTACTAAGTGCTGGGGCTACAAAATCCATCTCAAAGACACACCAAGATGAGGACTTTGTCCCCAGGGGACTTTCATTCCTCAAGGAGGAAGCGGATGCTGATGGGAAAACATATGAGAGCCATGTGGGGATCTGTACGGCAGGGTGACAAGGAGAGGACAAAGCAGGAATGGGGGCTGGGTTAAGAAAGACTTGAGAGACACTAACTTGCTTATCTTGAGTTTCTGTGTTCATCTTAAACAACAGAAAAAGGCATTTGCTTCATGGTGATGAAAAAATCAGAGCTAGCTGATATTGGAAACTAGCACTCATTTCATATAAACAGAATAGAGCTGTACCCTTCAAACTAAGTCACAGTTACTTTCAAAGATTGGCACAAGGGTCTCAACACACCAAGTGTATGTTAGGGGCTGGGCCCTTTTGGAGTCAAATCTTCCTGGTAAACAAAGCTACACTGCAGTCATATTTGGCATATGTGACATATAGGCCCACTGCATTTCCTTCCAAAGGCAAGATGCCAAGGGAAGGTGCCAGTAATTTTATGACCAATATGACACCATTTTGTGGTGTTTGTAAGTTGAAACAATATATTTCCCTGCATTACACAAGTTTATAAAAAACAAACAAAAAAAGAGGCCCCAGCTGTGGTTGATGGATGATGAATAGAGCCTAACCTTCCAGGCTTCTCACTTGCACAGGCCCTTCCAAGGTCGTGGGAGGGCCCCTGGAAATTTTTGTATTCATAATTTTTTTAATGTTTTTACTAGATAAGGCTCAGGCCCCACAAAATCCTGAAATCATCCCTGGGTTCCAATAGGTACAACCCAGTAAATCTCTTGAATGAAGCCTCTATGTTATTGACAAATACTGACTGGCCAAGTTAGCAGGGTGATAGGGTCTGTCTATTTTGAATCTGAAATCCATCTCAAAGACAGGCCAAGAGCTTATTCGTGGACTTAACTGGATTCTGCTGGCCCAAGCGCAGTAAAGTCAAACAACCATATCGAGGTTTTGCATTGGGGAAAGGAGGACATTTATTTGCAGGGCATCCAAGCAAGAAGGACCAGGCGGCTAACTATCAAAGTCCCTCACTGAATGGGGGCAATAATCATATCTCTTACAGATGAAATCATGAATGAAATGGTTTATGGAAAAGCAGCAATGGTTGATAATCCTAAATGTTAAGTATGTTTATATTTTTTCCCTGACTTTAAAGTGCTTCTCCTTCATTCCTATACACAGGTCCAGACTGATGGCTTATTTTTTAAAATTCTCTTAGTCACTTCATTGGTTCTAACAATAATTTTAGAAACTGGATGACTTTGCAATGTAGAAAGGCTATACTTTATTCAGATAGAGTACACTCACATATTGGCTTGTCTGTGGCACATCGATATCATGCCAAGAATGTAAGCACTAAGAGAGAATAAGAGGAAAATCCAGGCTTTATCCCTATTGAATTATTTATCCCACTATTAGAATATTAGTGAGGTAGGTGTGGCCACACTGTGATGGCAAATTGAGCTTCGGTCACAAACATGCCTTACTGTTCCCCCCAGTCTACTGACATCAGCTTCCTTTACATAGCGGTAGATGCACAAAAGTTTGCACAGTTGAGGGTATTGTCATCATGTTTTGGTATGTACTGGAATCCTGGCAGCTTCTTCTCTGATTCGGAGAGGCGCAAACATTAAAGACAAAAAGAACAACTCGAGTCTGTCCTTTGGGGTGATTTAGGGTGGCTGTTTAAATTTGTAGTGGTTGAAAAGTCTTGAGATTGTCACACCTAGCAACTCTTATACTTTTCTTCTCTCAGCTGCAGCTTGTTCTTTTCACCTGTGTAACAAGCTGTCTTCTCTTCTCACAGAAGCTTAGCATTTCTTCCTCTGCCCCATAGCATTTTTTCAATACTTAATTTACCAGGTGCTGTTTATGTTGTAGGCACCTAAGTACTTATACAAGTGAGATAACATGTCCGAAGTTCTTAGAACAGTGCTTGGCCTATGGTAAATGCTCCATACATGTTACCTCCTATGATACCTCATTTTCATTTTTCCAACAACTCTTGCGATGCGGTTATTATTATCATTTCTATTTTGTAGATGAGGAAGTTGAAACTCAGAGACGCTAGGTAATTTGCTAAGGTTCACACGGCTAATAAGTGGCAGAACCACTTACAAGCTTTGCAAATAATTTTCAATGCAGCTCTTAGTTCCCCTGTAATAGGAGCTGAATGATGACAATTTGGCTTTGTGTGCATTGTATCTTACTTTCTAACTTGAACAGGACCTGTAGAGCAGTGAGCTCCACTTCCCTCTGAGAATCCCACGCTTCTGGAGCTCCTGGCTGTACCAGCTCTGGGCATCCCCAGGGTTTATGCTCACCGGTCAGTGCTGGTGTGACATGATGGCTGAGCACCGGCACTGTGTCCAGCGCATTGCTAGGCACTAGACACGTGCTCTTTCATTTATTCCTCAAATTGCTTTGTGCTGTAAACGCTACCCAGAAAGGCTCATGTTCATTACTCAAGTCACTTCACCAGAAAGTGACAGAGCCAGAATTCAAACCCAGGTCTGCCAGATTCCAGGTCCCTTGCTTCTTCTGTTGTTGCTCATTGCAAGGGAGTCTTCTTCAAGGTTATTCTCAGGACTTTGATTAAGATACAGGCTCACAGCTGGGCATGGTGTCTCATGCTGTAATCTCAGCACTTTGGGAGGCCAAGGTGGGTGGATCACTTGAGCTCAGAAGTTCGAGACCAGCCTGGCCAACATGGTGAAACCCTGTCTCTACTAAAAATACAAAAATTAACCAGGCATGGGGACGGGCATCTATGATCCCAGCTACTCTGAAGGCTGAGGCAGGAGAATCACTTGACTCCAGGAGGTGGAGTTTGCAGTGAGCCAAGATCACACCACTGCACTGCACTCCAGCCTGGGCAACAGAGTGAGACTTCATCTCAAAAAAAAAAAAAAAAAGGAAAAAGGCTCACCATTTCAGATTCTCTAGATTTTGCCCCTGAAAAAGCATTTACGTGATGCAGTCCGAGGTCTTGTATGGAGGAGCTTGGTGTGGGGAGATGTGTGGCTCACGAACCTATGTAGGTGAATAAAGGAAAGAGGTTACTTTCTCCCCAAGTACATCGCGCATATTGGGTGAGGGTCTAGGTCATCTGCTTATTTCTTTGACTACCTTCTTCCATGGAACCAGTTTTCCCTGACAGCCTTGGGATTCTAGCATAGATCATTTTGGAGTTTGTCATTTAAATTTATTTTCACGGCCTGCTTTGGACATTTTTTCAGCTAGAGCTGTTAGGATTTCAGTACATTTAAGACAGTGATGACATGCTCCAGTCCTTTCATCTCTCTCTCCTCAGTTAATAGAAAGGAAACATAGCTCATCTATCTGGACCTGTACAGAAGAATTTGGAGGGAAAAAAAAAAAACAGGCAAGAAATGTTCCCTTATTTTGTGAGCTACCTTTATTCTGTCCCATTGTTCTACAGCAAAAGGCTTGTATAAAAATATTTCAGTTTTCCTCATCTAATAAGGCATATTTAATAAAATTATTTAGAGCAGTACTTCTTAAACTTTTACTCTGAGACAGTCTTTGAGGCTGAAAAAAAGCTTGCCACATTTTACTTCCATAAAGATACCAAAAAGGCGATGGACTGGGAGTCAGTGCACCTTAGTTTAATGTATAAAATGAAGGACTTGAACCAGAAATGGAAATGGTCATCTACTGTGAATCTAAAAACACTCGAGGCTGGGCGCGCTGGCTCATGCCTGTAATCCCAGCACTTTAGGAGGCCAAGACAGGCAGATCGCTTGAGCCCCTGGAGTTCAAGTTCAGCCTGGGCAACAAAGTGAGACCCCAATCTCTACAAAAAGACTTTTAAAAAGTGGAAACATAAATATAAATAAATAAAAACATTCATATCATTTGGTTTGTGGAAAAGAGTTGCTGTAGAGTCCTCAAACTTGAGCCGTTGAGCCAGTTCTCACTCAGTCTCTCCATGGCCCAGGCACAACCTTAGTCAAGAAAAGAATGCCTTAGAACAGGAGGAAAAGAGGATAATATCGAATGGCCCTATATTTTGATTTCATTAGGGACAAATGCAAAGATCCTAATGTCAGCTGGAGAAGAGCTTCCTAGTTCAGAGGTAATGCTGAGCTCAAGGCTATGGATGAGCTATCAAGAAAGAGGGAAGGTTGGAGAGTGAGAGAATTTTGGAGGAAAGATAACAAACTTTGCCAAGTTGTTTGGCTACATACTGCCTTACAGTCATTATTTTTGGTGTTTAGAAAAAAATAGAAACAGGGTCTCACTTTGTTACCCAGGCTGGTCTCAAACTCCTGGGCTCAAGCTTTCCTTCTGCTTTGGCCTCCCAAAGTGCTGAGATTACAGGCTTGAGATGCTGTGCCCAGCCTACATTCATTTTTAATAGCTGGGAGGAAAGTGGGCAGAGGAAGATATAGAATGAAGGGGTAGCCGACTTTGTACAGAGCCCACCAGTGGTCTTACAAGTTTTCATGCCAAAAAAAAATCACGAAGGATATTTAAAGCCCTAGTTTGAGAATCCATACTTAACCAGTCATGTGGCACTCACATTCTTTCTCTTTGTAACATCATCTTATTGAATATTAGTGTTACAAAACAAGTTAATGGCACTGAAAAACCATCTGGAATAGGAAAGAGGAGGGGGATCACAAGGCAGGACAAGCTGTGTGGCTCCCAGCCTCGCCACTGACTCACTCTGATCTTGGTCAAGGGAGAGTGAATCTTCACTCCTCTTTTTTCCATCTGCCAGCATGTTTGGTCTTCTGGCACCTGGTGTTCTATACAGTACAACATGCTTCTTTGTGTTACATTGAGACTTGATCCACGTACCATCAACGCAGTATTATAAAGTGTACAATTCAGTGGTGGTTAGTATATTCTCAAGGTTGTATAGCAAACAATCACCATTATCTAACCCCAGAACATTTTCATCATCCCAAAAAGAAACATGGTACCCATTAGCCATCACTCCCCAGTGCTGTCTTCCCGCAGGCCCAGGTAACTACTAATCTACTTTGAGTCCCTATGGATTTGCCTATTCTAGATCTTTCATATAAACGAATCATACAGTATGTGGCCTTTTGTGTCTAGTTTCTTTTCACGAAGCATGTTGTTTCTAAGGTCCTCCCATGCTGCAGCATGGATCATTCCTTTGCAAGGCTGAGTGATATTCCATTGTATGGAGCCATCACTATATCCGTTCATCCATTCATCACTTAGTGGACATGTGGTTGTTTCTACTTTATTTTGGCTTTTATGAATAATGCTGCTATGGACATGCATGTACTACTTTTTGCGTGGACATGTTTTTAATTCTAGGGTGCATCCCTAGCAGAATTGCTAGATCGTATGGCAACTCTTATGTTTAACTTTTTGAGGACCTGTCAGGCTGATTTCCACAGTGGCTGCTCCATTTTACACTTCCATCTGCAATGTTTGAGGGTTTCAATTTCTCCGGGTCTTTGTCAACACTGTCGTTGTCTGTCTCTTCTCATAGCCATCCCAGTGAGTGTAAAGTAGTATCTCGCTGCAGTTTTTGATGGACATTTCCCTAATGATTTAAGACATTCAACATTTTTATGTGTATATGAGCCATTTATATATCTTCTTTGAAGAAATATTTATTCACATCCTCTGCCCATTTAAAAAATTGATTTGTCTTTTTATTGAATTATAGGAATTTCTCTATATCTTCTGGATACTCTGGATATTAGACCTTAACAGATAATTTGCCAATATTTTCTCTCATCCTGTGAGTTCTGTGACTTTCTTGCCAGTGTCCTTTGATGCACAAAAGTTTTTAATTTTGATAAAATCTAATGTATCTATTTTTCCTTTGGTTGTTTGTGCTTTTGGTGTCATGTGTGTGTATAAAATGTCTTATTCTTCTTTAAAAAGGTTCAGTGTTTGGTTTTAAATCAGGCTGTGTCCCTTTCATCTGTCTGACATTCTTGTCACCATGTCAGGCTGCCTTCAGCTAGTAATACTTCATTAAATTCAAAAGACAAAATTGTTTTAAAAGAAAAAAAATCCAGTTTGGAGAAGAAAAAACTGTTGTCTAATTTAAGGTCATGAAATTTACTCCCATGTTTTTGTGTAAGAGTCTTATCGTTTTGGCTCTTACATTTAGGTATTTGACATATTTTGCATCAATTCTTATAATCGTGTGAGATGTAGGGGGTCCACCTTCATTATTTTGCACATAGATGTTCAGGTGACGCCATTACACTCAAGCCTGGGCAACAGAGTGAGACTCCAATGGAGACGGGGTTTCAGCACGTTTATCAGGCTGCTCTCGAACTCCTAACCTCAGATGATCCACCTGCTTCAGCCTCCCAAAATGCTGGGATTACAGGCATGAGCTACCATGCCCAGCCAATAAATGAAAACTTTTTCACTCAAAAAAACAACAATTGTAGTGAAACCATAGATCAGTTTGGAGAATCATGCTATTATTATCTGCTTCATGTTTACAGAATACTCCGTTGAATTTGGTTTGCCAGATTTTGTCAAGCATTTTTCCATCTACATTCATAAGAAATACTGGTCTGTAATTTTTTGTGTGTGATGTCTTTAGTTTGGATACCAGGTTAATATCACCCTCATAGAATAAGTTAGGAAATGTTCTTTCCTCATCTGTATTTTGAAAGACTTTATGAAGGATTGGTGTTAATTCTTCTTTAAGTATTTGGTAGATTCACCAGTGAGGCTGCCTGCTGGTCTTCAGCTTTTCTTAGTGGAAAGTTTTTTGATTACTACCTCAATCTCTTTACTTGACATAGGTCTGTCTATTCAGATTTTCTGTTTTTTTCTCAAGTCAGATTCAGTAGTTCATATCTTTCTGGTAATGTGTCTTTCATCCAGCTTATCCAATTATTAGCATATATTGTTTATATGTATAATCCTTTTTATTCATATTATAATCCTTTTTATGTCTCTAAGAACAATAGTAATGTCCCCTCTCATTTCTAGTTTTAATAATTTGGTCTTCTGTATTTTTGCAGTGCAGTGGCTCACACCTGTCATCCTAGCACTTTGGGAGGCTGCGGTGGGAGGATTGCTTGACCCCAGGAGTTCGAGGCCAGCCAGGGCAACATACTGAGAGCTTATCTCTACAAAAAAAATTTAAAAGTTAGCTGAACGTGGTGGCACATGCCTGTAGTCACAGCTACTCAGGTGGCTAAGGCAGGAGGATCACTTGAGCCCGGGAGATCGGTGCTGCAGTGAGCCATGATTGTTCCACTGCACTCCAGCCTGGGAAACAGAGTGAAAACCTGTCTTGAAAAATGAACAGTAAGAAAACAAAATGTTTGTGGCCAGATGCAGTGGTGCATACCTATAATCCCTGTACTTTGGGAGGCCAAGGAAGGAGGATTGCTTGAGGCCAGGAGTTTGAGACCAGCCTGGGCAACATAGTGAGACCCTATCTCTAAAAATTTTTTTTAGTTAGCCGAGTGTGGTGGTGCGCACCTGTAGTCTCAGCTACATCTTAATTTTATAACGTTGTAGTTCAGATTAATTCCAACTTTGTTTCAATGGTATACAAAAACTTTGCTTCTCTAAAGCTCCACTCTCACCCCCTCCTTTATACTGTTATTGTCACACATTACATCTTTATATACCTTATGTTCATCAACTAGATTTATAATTATTGCATTATGTAAGTATCTTTTTCTTTTTTTTTTTTTTCTTTATTTTGGGACAGAGTCTCACTCTGTTGCCCAGGCTAGAGTGCAGTGGCACAATCTTTACTCGCCGCAACCTCTGCCTCCCAGGTTCAAGCGATTCTAGTGCCTCAGCCTCCTGAGTAGCTGGGACTGCAGGCACGTAACACCACACCCAGCTAATTTTTGTATTTTTAGTAGAGACAGGGTTTCACCATGTTTGCCAGGCTGGTCTCAACCTCTTGACCTCAAGTGATCCTCCAGCCTCAGCCTCCCAAAGTGCTGGGATTACAGGCCTGAGCCACTGCGCCCAGCCAGTGCTTTTTATTTCTTTGTGCAGATTCACGTTAGTACTCCTTATAGGGCAGGTCTTCTAGCAACAAAGTCTCTCAGTTTTTATTTATCTAGAATATCTTAATTTCTCTTCAATTTCAAAGGTAGTTTTGCCAGGTATAGAATTATTGGTTGACAGTTTCTTCAGCACTTTGAATATGCCATTTCATTGCCTTTTGTCCTCCAGTGTTGTGTGTGGTTGCTTTGTTTTTAGACAGGGTCTTGCTCTGTTACCCAGGCTGGAGTGCAGTGGTGCAACCACTCACAACGTTGCAGCCTCCACCTCCCAGGCTTAAGCAATGCTGTCACCTCAGCCTCCTGGGTAGCTGAGACTACAGGCATGCACCACCATGCCCAGTTTTTTTTGTTTTTGTTTTTGTTTTTGTTTTTTTTTAATTTTTTTTTATTGATCATTCTTGGGTGTTTCTCGCAGAGGGGGATTTGGCAGGGTCATAGGACAATAGTGGAGGGAAGGTCAGCAGATAAACAAGTGAACAAAGGTCTCTGGTTTTCCTAGGCAGAGGACCCTGCGGCCTTCCACAGTGTTTGTGTCCCTGGGTACTTGAGATTAGGGAGTGGTGATGACTCTTAACGAGCATGCTGCCTTCAAGCATCTGTTTAACAAAGCACATCTTGCACCGCCCTTAATCCATTCAACCCTGAGTGGACACAGCACATGTTTCAGAGAGCACTGGGTTGGGGGTAAGGTCATAGATCAACAGCATCCCAAGGCAGAAGAATTTTTCTTAGTACAGAACAAAATGGAGTCTTCTATGTCTACTTCTTTCTACACAGACACAGCAACAATCTGATTTCTGTATCTTTTCCCCACATTTCCCCCTTTTCTATTCAACAAAACCGCCATCGTCATCATGGCCCGTTCTCAATGAGCTGTTGGGTACACCTCCCAGACGGGGTGGCGGCCGGGCAGAGGGGCTCCTCACTTCCCAGAAGGGGCAGCCGGGCAGAGGCGCCCCCCCACCTCCCGGAGGGGGCGGCTGGCCAGGCGGGGGCTGGCCCCCACCTCCCTCCCAGACAGGGCGGCTGCCGGGCAGAGGGGCTCCTCACTTCTCAGACGGGGCGGCTGCTGGGCGGAGGGGCTCCTCACTTCTCAGATGGGGCGGCTGCCAGGCGTAGGGGCTCCTCACTTCTCAGACGGGGCGGCCAGGCAGAGATGCTCCTCACCTCCCAGACAGGGTCGCGGCCGGGCAGAGGCGCTCCTCACATCCCAGACGGGCATGCCCAGTTATTTTTAAATTTTTTGTAGAGACAGGGTTTTACTCTATTACCAGTGCTGGTATCCAACTCCTGGCTTCAAGCAATTCTTGAGCCTCAAGCCTCCCAAGGTACTGGGAGTACAGGTGTGAGCAACCATGTCCAGCACCTGCATTGTTTTTGAAGAGAAATTAGCTATTAATCTTATTGAGGATCCCTTGTATGTGATGAGTTGCTTTTCTCTTGCTGCTTTCAAGATATTCTGTCTTTGGCTTCTGTCAGTTTGATTACAGTATGTTTAGATGTGGATCCCTCAGTTTTTCCTACTTGTAGTTCCTTGAGCTTCTTGAATATGCAGATTGTTTTTCATCATGTTTGGGAAGTTTGGGGCCATCATTTCTTCAAATATTCTTTCTCCTTTTTTCTGTTTTTCTTCTCCTGGGACGCTCATTATGTGTATGTTAGTAAGCTTGATGATGTGTTCCACAAACAGGTCTCTGAGATTCCATTCACTTTCATTCATTTTTATTTCTGTTCCTCAGAGTCAACAATCTCAATTAACCTTCAAGTTCCCCATTCTGTCTTCAGCCTGCTGTAATGTGCCATTGAGAACCTCTAATAATTTTTCCATTTCAGTTACCATACTTTTCAACTCTAGAATTTCTATTTGACTCCTTTTTATGGTTTCTATCTCTTTATTGATATTCTCTATTTGATGAGACATTGCTTTCATACTTTCCTTTAGTTCTCTAGTCTACAGAACTGAATCGTTTCTCTTATCTCTTTGAACATATTTTAAATAGCTGAATTAAATCCTTCTCTAGGCCAGGCATGGTCGCTCGTGCCTATAATCCCAGCACTTTGGGAGGCTGAGACTGAGGTTGAGGCTGAGGCCAGGAGTTCAAGACCACCCTGGGTAACTTCGCAAGACCCCACCTATAAAAAATAAAAAAATCTTTGTCTAGTAAGTCTAACATCTGGTCCTTCTCAGGGACAATTTCTGCTTATTTCTCCCCCAACCACGTGTTTGGGCCATACTTTGTTTCCTTGCATCTTTCATAAATGTTTGTTAAAAATTGAATATTTTAAATAATATAATGTAGCAATTCTGAAAATCAGATCCATGCTGCCAGGGTTTGGTGTTACTCCTGCTTGTGTTAGTAGTTGCTATTTATTTAGTGACTTTTCTGAACTTCTTCTGTAAAGTCTCGCATTATATGTCATGTGTTCCCACTAAAGTCCCTCCTCGGTTAGCTTACCGATCAGGTAATGATTAAATGAAGATTTACTTAAATTCTTGGAACTGATAAGTCTCCTAGTTTTTGCCAAGGGGCTCTGTGTACATGTTGGGGCATACCTTCAGCACTCAGCTAGACAATTTACAGCCATGCCTTAGCTTTCACTTCTTGCTTGTGCAGAACCTCAAGGTGTCAGCCAGGGGTGAGAGTTTATGAACTTAGTAGGTCTTTCCTGACCATGCTGACAGTCTGCCCTATGCATGCGCGTGACATTCCAAATTGCCAGGAATATGTCTTATGGACTTCTAGTTTCCCAAGCATATATCAGAGTGTTTCAAATTCCTGTGGACATCTTATTCCTCAGCTTTTCCTATTAAGCTTTTTGATTAGGCTTTTTTCCCCCAAACTGTTATTCATTGCCGAATACAGTTGCCATGTTAAAACACTTGTCTGTAATTGTTTTCCAAAAACACCCTCTGTGGAGAGGCTTTAGCACTAGACAGCTTTCATTCTGGTCAAATAAAGACAAACCTTTCAAATGAGGTCTTCCAGGGAACCACCAGACAGATGACATCATGACAGTTAACTGAGAATAAGGCTTTGAAGGAGGTCCAGCTCCATTCTGCTCCCTCTGGTTGGGGATGTGGGCTGTTTTCCAAGGCGACTACTGAGCTAGAGGGTGAGGAATGGTCTAAGGCAAGTTAACACAAATCTCACTGTTCTTACAGAAATTTTTCTTGAATAAATGCTCCTTGGGTTGCTGCAAGACTTTGATTACATTTCTAGAGTTCTGAAAAAGTTTATTGTGGTCAATTTTTTTTTTTTTTTTTTTTTTTTTTTGCTATTTTTTTTTGTATTTGTTGCTTTTATGAAGGGATGAATTTTTGGATGTCTCTTTTTTTTTTTTTTTTTTTGAGACAGAGTCTCACTCTGTTGTCCAGGCTGGAGTGTAGTGGCATAATCTCATCTCACTGCAAGCTCCACCTCCCGGGTTCACACAATTCTCCTGCCTCAGCCTCCCGAGTAGCTGGGACTACAGGCGCCTGCCACCACGCCCAGCTAATTTTTGTATATTTAGTACAGACGGGGTTTCGCTTTGTTAGCCAGGATGGTCTCGATCCCCTGACCTCGTGATCCGCCTGCCTCAGCCTCCCAAAGTGCTGGGATTACAGGTGTGAGCCACTGCGCCCAGCCTGCATGTCTTTATTCCACCATTTTCACTGATGTCACTTACGACATGATTTTAAATCTCTGAAGGCTCACTGGGCACATGCCTGTAGTCCCAGATACTCGGGAGGCAAAGGAAGAAGGATCCTTTGAGTCCAGGAATTCTGGGCTGTAGCATGCTATGCTGATTGGGTGTCCGCACTAAGTTCAGCATCAGTATGGTGACCTCCCGGGAAAAGGAGACCACCAGGTTGCCTAAAAAGGGGTGTACCAGCCCAGTTCAGGAATAGAGCAGGTCAAAACTCCCATGCTGATCACTAGTGGGATCATGGCTGTGAATAGCCACTGCTCTCCAGCCTGGGCAACACAGTGAGTGAGAATGTGTCTCTTAAAAAAAAAAAAAAAAAGTCTCATTGACCATAGACTAATAAACTATTTAATCATGGGAAATGATTAGGGGAAAGACATAAAAAGAGAAACTGTAATCCACTTTTTTTTGCTCTGTCGCCCAGGCTGGAGTAGAGTGGCTTGATCTTGGCTCACTGCAACCTCCGCCTCCTGGGTTCAAGCAATTCTCCTGCCTCAGCCTCTGAAACAGCTGGAATTACAGGCAAGCACTGCCGTGCCCTGCTAATGAGAAATTGTAATTCTCATAGAGGTCCTCCCAGAGGAGTAGAAGAAGGTTGAAAGGCACTTCTGTATTTAGTCTTCTCACAATTAAGGCTGGGCCCAGTGGCTCACACCAGCACTTTGGGAGGCCAAGGCAGGCGGATCACTTGAGATCAGGAGTTCAAGACCAGCCTGGCAAACATGGTGAAACTCCCATCTCTACTAAAAACACAAAAAATAGCCAGGCGTGGTGGTGCGTGCCTATAGTCCCAGCTATTTGGGAGACTGAGGAAGGAGGATTACCTGAGCTTGGGAAGAGGACGTTGCAGTGAGCCAAGATCACGCCACTGCACTCCAGCCTGGTCAATGGAGCAAGACCCTGTTTGGGTGGGGAGGGGAGGGGAGTGGAGGGGAGAGGAGAAAGGAAAGAAAGGAAAGGAAAGAAAATAGAAAGAAGGAAGGGGGAGGGAAGGAAGGAAGGAAAAAGAGAGAGAAAAAGAATGAAGAACAAAAATGAAAATTTTTTAAAAACCTAAGGTTAAAATAAACCCTTTTTCTTCATACAGATTAAACACGAGTTCAGATTACAGCTTTGCTGCTTAATAGCTTGGTGACCTAGGACAAGTTATCTAACCTCTCTGTGCCTCAGTTTCCTCATTTAAAAATAGGGCAATAATAATATCTACCACAAAGGTATTTGCTGATCACAAATACCTGGCAACCCAGTAGATACTCACTGTAATAATTATTATTTTTATAATTTCTGCCTAAGTACAAAGATGATTCTTGGGTTAACCTAAAGGTAGATTTTCTTTTATTTCTTCCTGTTTCTTTTATTTTTCTTGTTCACCTTAAAGAATTAAAAAGAAAATCGATTCCAGCATTTTGGAATAAAAATTTGCATCAAAATCAATTTATTCATTTTATTGACATATGAACAAAATGTCATTTGTTTATTCAATAAACATTTGTTAAATGCCTAATACATTTCAGACATCATGCCAGGCACGGGGATGACAGGGCATGGTGGCAGGCACCTGTAATCCCAGCTACTTGGGAGGCTAAGGCAGGAGAATTGCTTGAACCTGGGAGGCGGAGATTGCAGTGAGCCAAGATTGCACCACTGCACTCCAGCCTGGGTGACAGAGTGAGACTCCGTCTCAGAAAAAAAAAAAAAAAAAAAAAAAAATGTGGTCTCTGCCCTCAAAGCGCTCATAGTCCAGGAGCCTGACAAGTGGACAGGTGATTACATGCAATGTAAGAAAGGCTGTGATGTCATACAAGAAGACAAGTGGGAGTATGGTTTTGACCAGTTCCTCCTCTTAGATTTATTCCTTCTTCTTTGGCTATAAAGCAAAAGAATTGGTCCTATTTTTTTTTAACTGTGCAAATTAAACCATAAATTTTAAAAACTTTATAAAGATAAAAGACAAGCAGCCAGCCGCAGTGGCTCATGCCAGTAATCCTATCAGTTTGGGAGGCTGAGGCAGGTAGATCACCTGAGGTCAAGAGTTCAAAACCAGCCTGACCAACATGGTAAAACCCCGACTCTACTAAAAATACAAAAATTAGCTGGGCGTGGTGGTGGGTGCCTGTAATCCCAGCTACTCGGAAGGCTGAGGCAGAACAGGAGAATCACTTGAACCTGGGAGGCGGAGGTTGCAGTGAGCCAAGATCGAGCCATTGCACTCCAGCCTGGGCAACAAGAGCGAGACTCCATCTCAAAAAAAAAAAAAAAAAAAAAAAAAAAAAATAGATGAACAACTTGAATTATGATGAGCAACTTGAATTATGGAGGATGCTAGAAATACTGTTTCCTCCACAGTCAGGGCTTCCTACCAACATAGTCACTTTTAGGGTTTTTGACCTGAAAAGTTCTGTGGCATATTTTTTCTTTGCTATCCACTTTTTTTTTCCTTGTAGTTCTTCCCCGCGTTCTATCCTTTATCTTCTAGAGACCTTGGTAGTTCCCATAGGAATAGTGCTTTACGGAGTCTAATGGTGATTTCTTAGGTAAAGACAGGAAACATTTTTTTCTTTTTTACCTACAAGTTCCATATCAAAAAATGAATGTAAACTTTTCATGCAGTTTTACACATTGAAAATGCAGGTTATTTTAATTCCATTCCATTTTTCAGAATTCTCAATCACAATCCTCTGACAACTGTTGAAGATCCGTATCTCTTTAAATTGCCAGCATTAAAATATCTGTAAGTACTATAGTACTCTCATGAGTCAAGAGATGATTTATGCTTTTTAAATTTTTCATCAAAGCTTAAGTATTTTGCATTTAGGCTAAAATGTCATAATTTAAATTTTAACTGGGTTATTGAAAAAAAGTTATTGGCGAAGAAAAAAATTAAGAGGATGTATAATGGTCAAGACAGCCAGCAGGGGAAGAGAACAGCATTGAAGAACCCATATAGATTTGGAACATGTAGACACATGGAGGAATATTATTTAACCAAGAAAGCAAAGGGGAAAAGGTGTTCATTATTCTAAAAATAAAGAAAAGAGTAAATAAGATGGTGAGTGCAATATGAAAATGAGAAGATAATGGTAAAAAAAAAAAGTGTCAGTTCTGCTCTTGAGTATCATTAATTTGATGATGCAAATCAACTTTTAATTTCTTTAATAAGAGCTCCCTGGAATTCTACAGCAAATAAAGTCTTGAGCTGGCTTGTTTAATAGAGAAGCCAAAATTGAATTGTTAAGTACAGAATTTTTTATTGGGGCTCATATCATGAATGTTTCGGCTTTCTTCTTCAGAGACATGGGAACAACGCTAGTCCCACTTACAACACTTAAGAACATTCTCATGATGACTGTTGAACTGGAAAAACTGTAAGTTATTTTTTTCTGAGATTTATTTTTACTTAGTTGGTTCTTTAGGTTTGTTTTATTATTTTCTTAAGTCAGGTTCATTGAGGTATAATTTTCATATAGTAACATTCACGCTTTTTAAGTGTACAGTTTGATGAGTCTGACAAATGTATAGTTACATAACCACCACCACATTCCCAATATAAAGCATTTCTGATGCCTCAAAAAGGCCCCTACTGTCCCTTTGTAGGCAATCCCATCCTCCCACCATCAGCCCCTGTTAGCTACTAATCTGATTTCTGTTCCTATACTTTTGCCTTTTCCAGAATGTCTTATAAATGAAATCATATAGCACATAGCCTCTTGTGTTTGGCTCCTTTCACAAAGCCTAATTTTTTTTTTTGTTTTTGAAATGGAATCTCACTCTGTCGCCCAGGCTGCAGTGCAGCGGCATGACCTAGGCTCACTGCAACCTCCACCTCCCAGGTTCAAGTGGTTCTCCTGCCTCAGCCTTCCGAGTAGCTGGGATTACAGGCGCATGCCACCACACCTGGCTAATTTTTGTATTTTTAGTAGAGACAAGGTTTCGCCATGTTGGCCAGGGTGGTTTCGAACTCCTGACCTCAAGTGATCCGCCTGCCTCAGCCTCCCAAAGTGCTAGGATTACAGATAAGATCCACCTTGCCTGGCCTCACTCAGCAGAATTTTTTTTGAGATTATGCTACCATCCATGTTGTTGCACCTATCACTACAGCTGGCCCTCCATATCTGCAGGTTCCTCATCCATAGATTCAACGAACCATGGATGGGGAATATTTGGAAAAAATAAAATATATAAAACAACAATACAACAATAAAAGCAGTAGAAAATTTAAAATACAGTATAATTATGTACATACCATTTACACTGTATTAGGTACTTAGAGTATACCTGAGGCTGTATACAAACATTATGTCATTTCATAAAAAAGAACTCAGCATCTGTGGACTTTGGTATCTGCAGGGGGTCCTGGAGCCAATCCCCTGCAGACACCGAGGGACAACTGTTCACTCCTTTTTATTGCTGAGTAGTATTCCGGTTGTGTGGAAATGCCATCTCTACTAAAAATGCACAAATTAGGCAGGTGTGGTGGCACATGCCTGTAATCCCAGCTACTCAGGAGGCTGAGGCACGAGAAGTGCTTGAACTTGAGAGGTGGAGGTTGCAATGAGCCGAGATTGCACCACTGCACTCTAACCTGGGCGACAGAGTGGGACTCTGTCTAAAAAAAAAAGTAAGAAATAAAAATGTTTTCTGAAGAGCAGAAGTTTTTAATTTTGACCAGCTTTAAGTTAGCATTTTTTTCTTAAATGGCTTGTGATTTTTTGTTTCTTACCTAAGAAATCTTTAAGAACCTGTTGTCTAATCCAGCGTCTAAAAGATTTTCTCCTATGTCTTCTCCCAGAAATGATACACATTTAGGTCTATGATCCATTTTGAGTTAATTTGCATATGTGATGTATCTTTTTTATTTTTTATTTTTTTGTAGAAATGAGGTCTCAGTATGTTCCCCAGGCTGGTCTCGGACTCCTGGTCTCAAGTGATCCTCCTGCCTCACCTCCCAGAGTGCTGAGATTACAGGCATGAGACACCGTGCCTGGCCTTCTTTGCAGGATATATATATAGATATAGATATATATATAAATCAGCCAGGTGTGGTGGCACACGCCTGTAGTCCCAGCTACTAGGGAACCTGAGTCAGGAGGATCACTTGAACCCAGGAGGTGGAGGTTGCAGTGAGCCAAGATGGCACCACTGCACTCCAGCTTGGGTGACAGAGCAAGACCCTGTCTAAAATATATATATATTTATATATATGTACGTGTATATATGTATATGTATGCCTGCGGGGCCCTATTGTGAGTTTGTTACACAATTTACTGCAACTTCAATTGTGCCACCAGCCCCCACAATATGGCAAGCTAAATAGAGACTCAGTTATGCTAGGGCTGGTTGAGGGCATTTTGCAAGATTAGCATGGAAAGGGCCCTTCATTTAGCACTCTGCTCCGTTCATTTTTGTCAGGTCACTTTCTTATCTTGACCAGGTTGTCAGATCTCTTTTACTGCTCTAGCCTCACTTTCCTCAGCCTCCTGCAGCATCTTCCCCATCAGCTGGATCCCTTCCTCTCTGGATGAAGTCCCCTTCATCGACCAGCTTTCTCACTTAGTTCTCTAAGATAGTGAGGATCTGTCTGCTTTTTTCTTGACCATTATTGGATAGGAAAAATGCTCTCATCCTCTGTAATGATTTGTCACCAAGGCCATAAAGACATTGAACTAAATGTCTTATGGGAGTTCATTATTGGAAGTCTTCAGGAGTTTACACATTTATGTACAAAGTAAGTAGGCCAGCTCATTTGAGTCTTGGCTCATGTGTAATGATCTTTCATGTGTATTGAAAAATTATTCTCAAGTATACCTCAGGTCATTTACAGTCTCAAAGATTTGTCAGTATACTTTAAAACAATCCTGGGAACAGTTCTAGATTGAAGGAGACTAAAGAATCATGTACCAAGTGTAATGTCTGATGTTTGATTGGATTGTGAATTTTTTAAGCCATGTTATGATTGGGACAATTGTGAAAATGTGTATACGGACCGCATAGTAGACAATGATAATATGAAGTTCCATTGAGTGATGATAGTCCTCTGGTTATGTCGGAGAATGCCTTGGTTCTTAGGGGCTGCACACTGAAGTCTTCAATGGTGAAGGGTCATTATGTCTGCAACTGACTCTCAAATGGTTTTGTCCAGAAAATGTATAGACATACACACACGGAAAGCTAATGTGGCAAAGTATTAGCAACTACTGATTCCAGATGAAAGTTATACAGGTGTTCATTATACCATTTGAAAATGTTTCCCAGCCATCCTAAGGCTTAAAGGAAAAAAAGAAAATGTTTAAAATAAAAACTTGGGGGCAGAAAAAGAATACCAAAAATTTTGGGCTCATGCCTGTAATCCCAGCACTTTGGGAGGCCAAAGAGAGAGGGTTGCTTGTGCCCAGGAGTTCGAGACCAGCCTGGACAACATGGTGAAACCCCATTTCTACAAAATATACAAAAATTAGCCAGGTGTGGTGGCACACACCTGTAGTTCTAGGTACTCAGGAGGCTGAGGTGGGAGGATCACTTGAGCACAGGAGACAGAGGCTGCAGTGAGCCAAGATTGCACCACTGCACTCAGCCTGTGTAACAGAGCGAGACCCGGCCTCAAAATAAACAAAAGAAACACCTTTGTGGCAGAGGTAAGGTTGCTATACAACAAAATGCTGGGTTACGGTTCCGGGTCCATTCCATATGAAGATCAGAGGCTTCCACTGGACCCAAAGGAATACTACTAGTCACTTGTGATTGTTCCTTTATAGCTTTGAAAGATGTCTCAGGCCAACTTATTGGATGCAGTTTTAATCTAAAACTCTATACATTGTACCCCCAACTCACAGACTTCTTGTATCCATGAAACCCTCTTCTGTTTTCATAGTCTTAATATGGCCCCAATAAAGCCATCCTTTTGGAGGACTCAGAAAAGGCCCCCCACAACCTCTGCAACACAATAATTATAGCTAACTCTTATTGAGCACTGACTGTGCACCAGGCATTTTTCAGGTATTGATTCATTTGATCCTCAAAATTCATTAGAGGTAGGTACTATTATAATGACAAGGCCAAGGAACAGAGATTAAACAATTTGCCCAAATTCACATTATTAGCAGAGCTGAGATTGAAGCATAGTCTGGCTATGGAATCTGTATTCTTAATGACCATGCTATACTGCCTAAGATTAACCTTTTACTTCAGTTACAGGGATTGTTTTTATCTCTCTGAAAGTGCCCCCAATAAGCCACAACAATAAATTAATCAATTGTCTCGGTCACCTCTTTTGCCCAAATTTACGTATTGGAAAAAATTCAAACAAGCCAGAAAGATGAAAGAATAGTACAGAATCCAATCAAAGATCAGGCACTGCATGTCATGTCTTCATTTCCTTTAATCTAAAACATGCCTCTACTTTCTTTGATCTTTCATGACACTGGCATTTTTTAAGAGTCAAAGATAGTTGTCTTGTAAATTGTCCCACAATCCAGATTTGTCTGTTTCCTCATGATGAAATTCAAGTTAAGCATTTTTGGGAAAAATACTGCATAGGTGATGTATCCTTCCTGCCTCGTAACCGCAGATGGCCTGTAATACTAAGTTTGATCACTTGACTAAGGTGATCTTCCAGGTCTCTCCATTGTAATTATTTTGCTGGCTACAGTGGCTCCCACTTGTAATCCCAGCACTTTGGAAGGCCGAGGTGGGAGGATTGCTTGAGCCCAGGAGTTCTACACCAGCCTGAGCAACATGGGGAAACTCTGTCACTACTGAAAATACAAAAGTACAAAAAAAAAAAAAAATTAGCTGGGCATGGTGGTGCAAGCCTATACTCCCAGCTACTCAGGAGGCTGAATTTGGAGGATCCCTTGAGCCCAGGGGGGTTGAGGCTGCATTGAGGTATAATTTTGCCACTGTATTTCAGCCTGGGTGACAAAATAAAAATAAAAATAAAAAATAATAATTTTCCCCTTGGTAATTAATAAATAATCTGTGGGTTGTTACTTTGAGTTCAGTGAAGATCCTGTTCTCAAATGTTTTTTCACCCAAATGTGCATCAATGATAATCCTTGTCTGAATGAATTTGTATTACACTGACGGTTGCAAAGTGACACTTTTAAAAATTCTGTCATTCCTTCTACATTTACTAGCTGGCATTATTTCATTGAAGAAGAACTCCTCCTCTTTCTTTTTCAATATCACTCTTCGTGGATTCTTCTTTATATTAAATATGTTGTAACTTATTGTTGTTATTCTTTTGAATGCTCAAATTGTCCAGATTTGACCAATGCAGTCTTTGTTATTTTTTAACTCCGCAATCCAGGTTAAACTAAGCTATTTTTAATGCCCAGAGTAATTTATAATATTTCCCACTCCCAACAGGAATTGAGAAAGGGACTCCAGAAGTTGGGGGCTTATTCAGACTTCTTAAAAGTCTACCTTCTTCCTCTGTACTTTCAGCCCAAAGTGAGACTTTTGAATTGGGAAGAGATACTTCTGAAACTACTAATCACTGTCACCCAATTCTAATCCCAACCATCTTTATTCTAGGCATACCATACTCACTGCCATGCTTACCCTTCAGTTGGGCACTTTTGTCCTCCTTCCTATTGGCCTTCTGGTTCCTACCCAACTGTCCAGTCCATAGGCTTCAATGACACCTTTTTCCCACACCTGTGGTAGCGTTGGCTGCCTCCTTTACCTACTCAAGTAACCGCTTTACCGCTAATTTATTGCTCTCTGTTTTCATCTATAGGATCTTACCTAGCCATATGGCCTGCTGCCTCTGCCAATTTAAAAACAGCATTGAGGCTGTCTGCAAGACAGTCAAGCTGCATTGCAACAGTGCATGTCTGACAAACACCACACATTGTCGTGAGTCCAAATTGCGCGGTGATAAATTGTTACATTAAGTATTTGTTTTCAAACTTTTTATTTTTAATGATGATAAAATTTTAAGCTAATGACATAATTGCTTTATTTTTATTTACTCATTCAGAGTTAAACTCCCTCAATTTCCGAACTACTCCCTTGCTGAAAGTCAGGTTCTCAGTTACTATTACAAAATTTAATAATAGAACTGTTCCATATGCAGAAAGGACCAAGACAAAGGAATGGGAAGGCTAGGGAATAACATTAACATCCACACACTGTATACTGTGCTCTCTGCTTGATGCTTTGCCCACAGTGATAATTTCTTCATATAGTGCAATGTAGTTTGTAAGCTGGTTTTAAATCCATGAGATCTCAAGTACTCTCTGCCTTATAGGACAGATGTAGATACGGTTTTGGTCTTTCTGTTTTTACAGTTTTATAAGAGTACAAGTGATGCTGTTTTATTTGAAGCCTGAGAGCTTCTGGTTCCATAACCAGAAATTGCTACCTGGCTCTTCTAATGGAATGGAGGGCTTTTCCATTCTTAGACCATCCAACTCTGAACTTGCTCCGAATCTCAAACCTTTCTATTCACAGAACAAACGCTCAAGGGCTTTCAAGAGTGTTTCTGTAGATTAGGCTTATTAGCATCAACTTCATGACTTCTAAAATGTGACTGCTTTCATGTCCAGATAGCTTGAATACAGGTATCTACCAGTGATATGGGGTGGAGAATTAATAATGCTTGGTTACATAAAGTCAGTGTTGCTTATTTTTCAAAACTTTTTTTTTTTTTTTTTTTTTTTACCAATTATGTTATTCCCTTCTCCCCAAGAAGTGGGCAGAAAAGCTTTGTTAACCTCCTTTTACAGATGAGGAAAAACAAGATCAGAGGTGCTAAGTGCTGTAGCCTAGTGCCAGGTCTTCTGGCCCCAATTCTGGGTTCTCCCCAAGCCCATGTTTCTTCCCCTTTCTCACAATCTTTACTTCTTCCTCTGACCCTCACCACCACCCAAAGTACTTTTAATTCTAGAAAAGAAACCCAGCTGCACACTGGCACACCTGACCTTCATGCAGTCAGAAGCTTTGGATGATTCCCCATCCAAAATATTAGAGATGAAATGAAAGCAAAGTAGGCATCTGACAAAAGTTGCTTTTTCCCTTCTGCATTTTAGGACCTCAAGTAATGTTTATCCAGAAACTGCTATCATACCAGGGATTCATTGTGTATTTAACAACATAGGCATGCAATCTGGCAAATTTGAAAAACTCTTAACATACACCCCAAATCCCTGCCCAAATTTAAGAACTAGGGTGGACACAGTGCGTTTTTCCATGTCGCATCTTCTGTGATGGGGCTACGATACGTGGGAGCAGAGAATGGGGAGGGTGGAGCGCATGCCAGATGAGGATCTATCAGCAATGGGACGGGGCCTCCACTTTAGCATCTCCACCCTGCTCCTCTCAGAGGACCGCCTTTCATTGCATTCAGCTGTGATGGTAGCACGAACACAGGTGCACCGAGGACGAGGAGAGCAGGAGCCTTGTGCTCTCTCTGCATCTGAGGCAGGACAGCACAGGGTACGGAGCAGTCTGCAGAGAGGCCAGCTCATCAGGGAAGCACTTGTCTTCCACCTTGGGCTTTGACTGAGCACTGGGCAATTGGCCTCTGGGGATCAACGAAATAATCCTAAACAGAGTTACTCTATGTCACACTATGGAATGTTCCAAGTAGGTGGCCGTGTTTTCAAAAGATGTATTTTCTCCTTTTGTTGTTGCCATTTCATAGGTTTAGGATTGGGTGTGTGTTTCTCCTCTCTGAATGGCACTCGAATGTTTGCTGACTCCTACTCTGTGTGACTGGGGTGTACAGCTATGGACTGATGCATCCCATCCCATCATCTTTCATGATCAAAGCAGTCTCTTCTTTTTTGACAGCTGAAGAAGCATCGGTAGGGAATCCAGAAGGAGCGTTCATGAAGGTGTTACAAGCCCGGAAGAACTACACAAGCACTGAGCTGATTGTTGAGCCAGAGGAGCCCTCAGACAGCAGTGGCATCAACTTGTCAGGCTTTGGGAGTGAGCAGCTAGACACCAATGACGAGAGTGATTTTATCAGTACACTACGTTACATCTTGCCTTATTTCTCAGCGGTAAACCTAGATGTGAAATCACTGTTACTACCGTTAATTAAACTGCCAACCACAGGAAACAGCCTGGCAAAGATTCAAACTGTAGGCCAAAACCGGCAGAGAGTGAAGAGAGTCCTCATGGGCCCAAGGAGCATCCAGAAAAGGCACTTCAAAGAGGTAGGAAGGCAGAGCATCAGGAGGGAACAGGGTGCCCAGGCATCTGTGGAGAACGCTGCCGAAGAAAAAAGGCTCGGGAGTCCAGCCCCAAGGGAGGTGGAACAGCCCCACACACAGCAGGGGCCTGAGAAGTTAGCGGGAAACGCCGTCTACACCAAGCCTTCCTTCACCCAAGAGCATAAGGCAGCAGTCTCTGTGCTGAAACCCTTCTCCAAGGGCGCGCCTTCTACCTCCAGCCCTGCAAAAGCCCTACCACAGGTGAGAGACAGATGGAAAGACTTAACCCACGCTATTTCCACTTTAGAAAGTGCAAAGGCTAGAGTTACAAATACGAAGACGTCTAAACCAATCGTACATGCCAGAAAAAAATACCGCTTTCACAAAACTCGCTCCCACGTGACCCACAGAACACCCAAAGTCAAAAAGAGTCCAAAGGTCAGAAAGAAAAGTTATCTGAGTAGACTGATGCTCGCAAACAGGCTTCCATTCTCTGCAGCGAAGAGCCTCATAAATTCCCCTTCACAAGGGGCTTTTTCATCCTTAGGAGACCTGAGTCCTCAAGAAAACCCTTTTCTGGAAGTATCTGCTCCTTCAGAACATTTTATAGAAAAGAATAATACAAAACACACAACTGCAAGAAATGCCTTTGAAGAAAATGATTTTATGGAAAACACTAACATGCCAGAAGGAACCATCTCTGAAAACACAAACTACAATCATCCTCCTGAGGCAGATTCCGCTGGGACTGCATTCAACTTAGGGCCAACTGTTAAACAAACTGAGACAAAATGGGAATACAACAACGTGGGCACTGACCTGTCCCCCGAGCCCAAAAGCTTCAATTACCCATTGCTCTCGTCCCCAGGTGATCAGTTTGAAATTCAGCTAACCCAGCAGCTACAGTCCCTTATCCCCAACAACAATGTGAGAAGGCTCATTGCTCATGTTATCCGGACCTTGAAGATGGACTGCTCTGGGACCCATGTGCAAGTGACCTGTGCCAAGCTCATCTCCAGGACAGGCCACCTGATGAAGCTTCTCAGTGGGCAGCAGGAAGTAAAGGCATCCAAGATAGAATGGGATACGGACCAATGGAAGATTGAGAACTACATTAATGAGAGCACAGAAGCCCAGAGTGAACAGAAAGAGAAGTCGCTTGAGGTGAGGACCACACAGAAACATGAGACCCAGATTTCCCATCATTTAGCATATCCCAGGAAAGTGCCCACACAGAAGAGTCTGGGACTCCCAGGCCATAGCTTATCTTGGCCATGTAACTTTGGTCATGACAGTGATCTCCCACTTTGCTCATGTAGAGAGAGAAATAGATTAGGGCACAAGATGAACTGTAGGCCGGGGGTGGTAGCTCACGCCTGTAATCTCAGCACTTTGGGAGGCGAAGGTGGGTGGATTACTTGAAGTCAGGAGTTTGAGACCAGCTTGGCCAACATAGTGAAAGCCTGTCTCCACAAAAAATAAGAAAATTAGCTGGGTTGATGACACGTGCCTGTAGTCCCAGCTACTTGGAAGGCTGAGGTGGGAGGATCACCTGAGCCCAGGGAGGTCGAGTCTAGTGAACGGTGATTGCACCACGGTACCCCAGCCTGGGTGACAGAGTGAGACCCTCTTTCAAAAAAATAAAAAAGAACCTGTCAGCTACTCACCTGGAATACTGGGGTTTTGAATAGTTAGCTCTCATTCTGGTTTTTTTTTGTGTGTTTTTTTTTTTAGCTCAAAAAAGAAGTTCCAGGATATGGCTATACTGACAAACTCATCTTGGCATTAATTGTTACTGGAATACTAACGATTTTGATTATACTTTTCTGCCTCATTGTGGTAAGGACAATAATTAATTCAGGTTTTCAGAATGCAGTCCTGTCTTTGTGTGGATTCAGAGCTCACAAACTGAAAACCAAAGCCACTTTCCCACCTGCTGCTACTTGACATACTTCTTCAGTCATTTAAGGCTGAGGTGTATGCTTTGTTCTTTTACTGCAGTGTATATTTCAGGATTTTTAAAGGATCCTCGCTTTCAGATCTCTGTGAATTGAAACCATGTGAATCCCACTAGACTATTTTAAGAAGTCGATATAATAGCAAAATTTCTCCCACCCAAAACTATGTCAACAATTGGATGTACTCATCAAGTCACCCTTACTCTGCCACTAATTTATTTCCTTGGTGCTGAAATGATGAGAGAGGTATAATCTCCACCCTCACGGAGTTGTCATCACCCTGGAGAGGAAGGAGAGAGCCAAAAGACATACGTATTGTCTTGTAGACTTATTAGATTTACACAGTATCGTCCTCCAGTGTGTAAGGCATTGTCTAAATAGGTCCAGTTAAAGCACTACAGAGTAGCCATCTTTTACAAAAATTTTTGGCCACATTTTTAAGTTCACTGGTGAGGGGGAACGTCTCATACTCTAGCCCTCCTGAGCCTAGACCCTCTGTGAGATGTGTCACCATTTCTTGGACACCATGTGAGACATTCCCCCTCAGATTAGAGATGCTCAGCTTGCATCAACTTACCTAAAGCCTACATCTGGCTACTCTGGGACAAGTCCTGTTTACAGTGCCCATTCCTGGAGCTTGCCTCTGTCTTTTGTTCGATTACATGATGTATTACTTTTCCCAACAGGCCAGTGCTAGCATATTGGAAGAGTGATTTAATAAAGCTGGCAACCTTGACGCTATGCCACCAGTCCAACCTTACTTGCCTCATTTACCATTTCCATTATTGTGGCAGCCCTCCATTCCAGCCACAGCAGCCCCTCACCAAACCCCAGTCACACCACCCACATTTCTGCTTTTGTCTGTGTGTTTGTCCATCTAAAATGCCCTTATTTCACTCTGCCTGTGGGAGTCCTATGCATCTCTCAAAAGCCAACTCAAGTTCATCTTTCTTCTTGACACCTTCCCTGAATATTCCAGCCCTGCTGAGCCTAGTCCCTTTGTGAGATTTGTCACCATTTCTTGGACACCATATGAGAGACTTCAGAGGCTGAAGTGGGAGGATCGCTTGAGCCTGGGAGGTCGAGGATGCAGTGAGCTGTGGTCGTACCACTGCACTCTAGCCTGGGCAACACAGCTAGGCCCTGTCTTAAAAACAGCCACCACCAAAAACTATCTTGGGATTTGAATAGGATTACGTTAAATTTGTAGATTAATTTGAGAATTTACATCTGTATGACATTCTAGGAACGTGCTATCTCATGTCATGTATTCATTTCTTGTTAATGTCTTTCAGAAGAGCTTTAGTGTTTCCATATATAGATCTTATACATCTTTTGTTAGATAAAAGATCTTTGTATTTTTGTTCCTAAATTCTTCATACATTTGTATTGCCATTGTAAATGGGATCTTTCTTCCATTTTCTAATTAGTTATTGGTGGTACATGGGAAAAGTATTTGAGGTTTGTGTGCTGATTTCTTGATTTTGTAGATAGCCACTGTATTGAATTCTCATTACTTCCAGTAAAATCTTAGTTGATTCTCTTAGGCTTCTTTGGCTAACATTTATCATTTAATATGCAAATAATGATAGTTTTGTCTCTTCCTTTCCAATACTTCTACTCTTTCCTTCCTTTCCCTTTTCCTTTTTCCTTTCCTTTCCTTTCCTTTTTTTTCCCTTCTCAGGGCCTTGTTGTCACCCAGGCTGGAGAGCAATGGTGTGACCTAGCTCACTGTAACATCAAACTCCTGGGCTTAAGGGATCCTCCTGCCTCAGCTTCCTGAGTGGCTGGGACTACAGGCAGGCAGCTAATTTAAAAAATGTGTTCGTAGAGACAAGGTCTTGCTATGTTGCCCAGGCTGGTTTTCCTGCCACTTCAGAGGAAGGACTCAGGTTTCCTTTTTCTCCTACTTTTAAGAGTTTTTATTAGGAATTGTCTGTTGAATGTTATCTAAAACAGTCAATAAAATGTATTAAGTGCCAGCTGCATGCAAGACCCTAAGTTAGATACAGTCAGCCCTCTTCATCAGCAGGTCCACATCTTCAGATTCAACTAGATCAGGCTGAATATTTGAAGAAAAAAAAACCAATAAAAATACAAACAGAAAGTACAATATAACAACTGTCAACAATGTACAATATGTATACATTTTATTAGTGATGACTTAAATTACATGGGGCCAGGCATGGTGGCTCACACTTGTAATCCCAACACATTGGGAGGCCAACCTGGGCAGCATAGTGAGACCTTGTCTTTATTAAAAATTAAAAAAAAAAATAGCCAGGTGTGGTAGTATGCACCTGTAGTCTCAGCTACTCAAGAGGCTGAGGTGGGCGGATCACTGGAGCCCAGGAGGTTGAGGCTACAGTGAGCTGTGATCGTGACACCGCACTCCATCCTGAGTAACAGAGGATGACACTGCACTCCAGCGTAAGCAACAGAGGGCAATCCTGTCGCTAAGTAAATAAAGTATAGGGGGGATGCGTGTTGGTTATAAGCAAATATTACACCATTATATGTAAGGGATTGAGCATCCACAGATTCTGGTATGGTGTGGGGGCGGTATCCTAGAACCAATCCCCCGCAAGATAGCAAGGATGACTGAACTATGGAAGAATCAAAGCAGTGTTACACAGCATACAATTCCTGTCTTCAAAAAAGTTACCTCATCAGGTAGATGAGACTTATAATGAATAAAAGGAATCAATACAGATTTGGAGACGGTGGTTGTTGTCATAGATAATCTTAATTGCGTTTTCTTCTAAAACAGATATGTTGTCACCGAAGGTCATTACAAGAAGATGAAGAAGGATTCTCAAGGTAAATATTAGTCTGGTGATTTTTTTTTTCTTCTCTTTTGAGACGGAGTTTCCCTCTTGTTGCCAGGCTGGAGTGCAATGACACGATCTCGGCTCACGGCAACCTCCACTTCCCAGGTTCAAGCGATTCTCCTGCCTCAGCCTCCCGAGTAGCTGGGATTACAGGCATGCACCACTAGTCTCGCGACGTTTTAATTAGAATTTTAGAATTAGAGGAGGGCTTAGAACTCTGCCCTCATTTTTCAGTGAGGAAACTGCCCAAGACAGGACAAATACTTACCCTAATGCTTAGCCTGGCTCCAGTGAAATTAGCTCCCCAGCCAAAGCTGAGCTGGATGGAACTAACAAGGACACACCTGCTGTCCCCAGCCCTTTCGGGAGGTGGGGAGGGATAGGAAGGAGAAAGGTTTTGGTGCCTATTGCTGCTGATGGTGGGCATCAGGCCAGGCCAGGGGCCTTCTTGGAGGCTCTGGGAAAGGGGAAGGGAAGGCCACCGGGTGTGAGAGAGAGGGCACTTGTCTCCTTCAAGGCTGATGGAAGGTAGGATATGTGAGTCCTTCCTCTTAAGTGGCAGGAAACAGTATTTTCTCTTTTATTTCTTTTTTTTTTCCCCTGGATCCTAGAACTGAGGAAACACTATTTTCTCATCTTACTGGTTTTTGGGCCCCTACTCTATTCCTTTTATGCAAACCTCACAGAATTTTAACCAGAAAGGCCAGGCAGGATGGCTCACGCCTGTAATCACAGCACTTTGGGATCACTTGAGGTTAGGAGCTCGTGACCAGCCTGACCAACATGGTGAAACCCCATCTCTACTAAAAATACTAAATTAGCTGGGTGTGGTGGCGCAGGCGTGTAATCCCAGCTACTTGGGAGGCTGAGGCAGGAGAACTGCTTGAGCCCAGGAGGCGCAGGTTGCAGGGAGCCAAGATAGCACCATTGCACTCCAGCCTGGGGAATGAGCCAAACTGTCTCAAATAAAAAAAAAACAACAAAAAAGAATTTTAACTACGGAGACCTTAGATAGTAGTTTGTCCTTTTATGACAGGAAAACTGAGAAGGAGAAAGGGAGAGTGTCTTACTTACCCCATGGTCACACAATGCACTCTGCCTTTTCCTATTTTATTCAAATTCAAAAATAACATGTTGTGCTTTAAGCTGATTTCGTAGCTCGCTCACTCATCAGCGACAGCCAGCCATATGAAGACTGTGAGATAGAGAACTTGGCTAGCTGCACTCACGCATTTGCTTGAGGTGATCCAACTTATAGAATAAAGTATCTAGAAAACGAAGAACCACTTCATCTCCCATCCCCCATCAAATGATGCCTGTGAGACTAAGTCCGAAGGGGACTGATATAAAATGCTTCTGCCCAGCATGGTTGTGCAGTTTGTTCACTGCACAAGGGCACTTGGCCAAGGGAGTGAGTGGGACTGAAAATCCTGCCCCTGCTCCATGCTGAGCCACATACAAAGTCCCCCCAGTATATTGTGGGGCCCTTCTGGGCAGACATGGAGAGCTTCTGAAAGTCCCACATGCATGGAATTATTTTCAAGACCCCGGGTATGTGGTCTGTGGTGGTGGTTCTCCCTGTGATTATGGACTGAGATACTCATTTAGTCCTAATAAGACCAGAGAAGTACATTGTGAGATACGTGGGAAACGGCTGCATCACTCACTGTCTTGTGCATGTGTCTCCCCAGGGGCATTTTCAGATTTCTGCCACGGAGGGGATGCTCTTCGCGAAGGGAGAGTCAGGTACATTGGAGGATTCATTGCTGTGGCCAGGGAAAGCAGAGGACATGCAAAATTAATATTTCCCTTTCTATCTTCTAGGATGGACTTTCCTCATTTGGACAGCCGCTCTGGTTTAAAGATATGTACAAACCTCTCAGTGCCACAAGAATAAATAATCATGCATGGAAGCTGCACAAGAAGTCATCTAATGAGGACAAGATCCTCAACAGGGACCCTGGGTAAATGATGGGGCCCTCACAGTTCCCATCTAAAATGAGGAGGGGGTGAGAAGCTTAATTGCTCCTTTCAAGAATGAAAACCTTGGCATTGTTATTCTTATCCCAGGGACAGCGAAGCCCCAACGGAGGAGGAGGAGAGTGAAGCCCTGCCATAGGAGGAGAACACAGCCCACCTCAGGCCTCCTGCAAAAATACATAGAATAAACAACAACAGTTACTAAATAAATGAAAATTGTGATTCCGATGAAGCCTGCCAGAGAAATAAAGCATTTTTTAAAAGAGGAAATAAGGTGATATCTGATTAGGGCAAACATGATGCAGACAAGAAATGCACCGGTTCAGAGGAGGGAAGGTCAGGCCGCCTGGGGAGAGTCCATGAAAAAGATGGAACGTGCCAGATGCTGTACCTGGTGCTGGGAAAGAGTTGACTAGGCCAGCATCCCTTTCCTCAAAGGGGGGGCTCCTAGACTGGGGGGAGGGCTGGACATCTGAATACATCCTGAGGAGACAGTGTGGGACAGCATGGTGGCAGTGGAACCAGCCGTGGTTCTGCTCTTGGTCGGCTGGAAAGGAGTAGATGTAAGGGATGGTTTAGAAGAAGGGAAGTGGAAGAAAAGTTTTCTGAGCTGACAAGAGGAAGGAAAGGCCGCCTAGAAGGACACTAAAAAGGCAAGAGAAGCCCTAAGCAGAGTGAGCACCAGACTCCACAGGTTAAGGGCTCAGTCACACAGGACCATCCGCATGTCAGACCCCAGGTGCAAGGCCAAGCATCACCTATGCATCTGACCAACTGGCTGTAAATTGGAGGTCCCCACAACTCCCTCCTCAGGTTTGAACATTTGCTAGAACAGCTCATGGAACCCAGGAAAACAGTTTTCTTACTAGTGCTGATTTATTACAAAGGATATTTTAAAGGACACAAATGATGAAGCCAGTTGAAGAGATACACAGGGTGAGGTTTGGAAGGGTCCTTGTGGAGTTGGGGTGCACCACTCTCCTGGAACATGGATGTGTTCGCCAACCCGGAAGCTCTCCAAGTCCTGTCTTTTAAGGAGTTTTCTGGAGGCTTTATCACATAGGCATGATTGAGCTCCAGCTCTACTCCCCACGCCAGAGGATGGGGAATGGGGCTGACAGCACAACGCTTCCAACCATAGGTCTTTTTGGTGACCAGTCCCCAAATAAGGAGCCCACCAAGAGTCACCTCATGAGAACAAAGGACGCTTCTATCACCCAGAAAATTCCAAGGGATTTAGGAGCTCTGTGTCAGGAACCAGGTTTAAGGACCAAATGTTAGAACAAAAGATGTGCAACCATAAAAAACAGCGAGATCATGTCTTTTGCAGGAACACAGATGGAGCTAGAGGCCATTATCCTCAGCAAACTAAGACAGGAACAGAAAACCAAATACTGTATGTTCTTTTAAGTGGGAGCAAAATGATGAGAACTCATAAACAACAGACACTGGGCCCTACCTGAGGGTGGAGGGTGGGAGGAGGGAGAGGAGCAGAAAAAACTATTGGGTACTAGGCTTGGTACCTGGGTGATGAAATAATCTGTACAACAAACCCCCATGACACAAGTTTAGCTATATAACGAACGTGCATATGTACCCCCTAACCTAAAAGAAAAGTTTAAAAAGGAAAAAACACCTAGGAGAAAAGAAAAATGATAAATTAACAAAGGACAATGCTCTTAGCACCGCCATCATTCAGGAATTTCCAAGGGTTTTAGGAGCTTTGTGTTAGGAACTGGGGGCAGAGACCAAATATATATTTCTTCTTATGTTACACTACCCCAGATAGGAAAACAGAAATTACTCTAGATATTTCAAACAAAAAAGGGTTGTATATAGGCAATTAGTGCTTATCACTGGAGGTGCTAGAGGTGGTGAAGGTTGTGGGGATGGGGTTGCACCACTGGCTTTCAGGCTACTTTACCACAGCTGATTTCCAGAGGATGGAAGAAGTCAGGAAACTTGGGAAACCGCTGCTGAGGTCCTTGCAGCCCCACGGTCCCCAGGCTGGTGACTGGTGGGGGAGTATGGAGTCCAGCTGACCACCAGAGCCTGCACACCTGCTGCTATGGGGGAGGAAAGGATGACTTCTACCTCCTTTCCACATTCCAAATTCCACGTGACTACATTTTATTGGCAGCACCCCGCTGGCAAGTGAGCCTTGATGTGTGCTTCCTGGGCTTCTGGCACCTGCACAGAAAGGGGTGAAATGAGTGTCACGAGCAGCCACCACTCTGCATCACACCTCCACATCCAGGTGTGCTGGAGAGCCCCACTTACACTTGGAGTGTCCTGGTGCCCTACCCACTTTTGGTAGGTGTTTGGGTGTCTGAGGCTTTGCAAAAGAAGAAGGTGGGGAGTCTATGGTGGAGTCACATGGTGGAGACCTAGCTAAGTCAGAGGCCTGGAGAGGTGTCACTGGCTGGGCAGCAGGTAACACACAATCATCCTGAGCTGATTGGAGAAACACCTGGGATTGATTCAGAGTTTTTTCTGGAATGTTTTCACTGGAATGAAAGCTGAGCGGTCTGCAGGCCATATAGTATTGGAGAAAACTTAGCCCTCATTGAAAAAGGCTGCCAGAGAAAAGATATCCACAGGGAAATTCAGGAGTTTTGCTTGTTTTTTTTTCTTTTAAGGTGGAGTTTTGCTCTTGTTGCTCAGTCTGGAATGCAATGGCACGATCTCAGCTCACTGCATCCTCCGCCTCCTGGGTTCAAGCAAGTCTCCTGCCTCAGCCTCCCTAGTAGCTGGGGTTACAGGCATGCACCACCATGCCCGGCTAATTTTTGTATTTTTAGTAGAGATGGGGTTTCACCATGTTGGTCAGGCTGGTCTCGAACTCCTGACCTCAGGTAATCCACCCGCCCTGGCCTCCCAAAGGGCTGAGATTACAGGTGCGAGCTACCGCGCCTGGCTTGTTTTGGGTTTTGGGGTTTTTTTTGTGTTTTGTTTGTTTGTTTGTTTTTGGAGACAGTCTCTGTCACCCAGGCTGGAGTGCAGCAGCGTGATCTCGGTTGACTGCAACCTCTGCCTTCCAGGTTCAAGTGATTCTCCTGCCTCAGCCTCCCGAATAGCTGGGATTACAGGCACCCACCACCATGCCCGGCCAATTTTTTTTTTTTTTTTTTTCTAAAAACAGTTTCACCATGTTGGCCAGGCTAGTCTTGAACTCCTGACCTCAAGTGATCCGCTCACCTTGGCCTCCCAAAGTGCTGGGATTACAGGCATGAGTCACTGTGCCCCGCCAGGAAATTCAGTTTCTGAAAATACACCTGTGGATCTCTAGCCTTGAACACCCTTGGATGCTGCTTTAAATGACTGATCCTCGATGCCTCCCTTCTAACTCACACTCCCCTATATCAATCTCCCAGAAAAAGGGACCTCTTTTATTCTTTTTTTTTTTTTTTTTTTTTTCAGAGACGGGCCTCACTTTGTTGCCCAGGCTGGTTTTGAACTCCTGGCCTCAAGTGATCCTCCCGCCTTGGTCTCTCAACGTACTGGGATTACAGGTGGGAGTCCCCGCGCCCGGCAAAGCCTATATTAAACCCTTTTATGCACACTCGGCGGTACTGCAGAGAGGGCAGGGAGGAAGCAGAGGTGCCCTGGCATCTTCAGCTGGAGGTGAGCAGGGCGCTGAGGGTGGGAGAGGCCCGGCGCCTGGGGATGGGAGGCAGGACTGCACCTTCACAGGGACGCTTCCACCCTACCCCGGAGGTCAGGGCCTCTCGCCCAGCTCTGGCTCTGAGGTCCTGGAGGGAGGGAGATGCTGTTGCGACTCAGAAGATTGGGGGAGGGCCACCCCCATTCGAGAAGAGTGAAAATCCTGAGCCTGAAGAAGTGGAACCGGTTGGAGCCGAGGCTTTAGAGGATGGCGTTCGAAAGAGGGTCTGGCGCCGCCCTGTGGACTGTTCGGGCTCGCAGGGCCGAAGGCTCCGAAGACTGAGACCTGTGAACCATGGGGAGGCTCCATGCGGATGGGGGCCACAGCCCCCGCCGGAGCCCCCACACTAGCCCTGGACTTCTCCACTGGCTTACGACATGAGAGCTCAATATGCTCCTTATTTAACGCACTGTTGTATCAGGTCCCTGTGGGAGCCACTGGCTCTATAGCCTAATAAAGGAGCGGGTGCACGCACTGGATTGGTGAGCTACCGCCACTGCAACGCGTCCTAATCAACCATCCTAAACGGCGGCTGGAACAAGGTTCTCGCAGGCCTGTGCTTGGGCTTGAACGCTGGTCCAGCCGCTGCGCTCTGTGGCTCCCTGTAGGCCTGCGGATCGGCCAGGGGGCTCCGTTCCTTTTGGGCGGAGGCTGAAGAAGCAGCGGCTGCACCAGAGAAGGCCCTCTGGGTGAAGGTGGGAGCGCACGGGGCCCGCGGAACCACCTAAGGCGACTTCAGACGTGGGCTCGGAACTGGCAGCCTTTCGTTTCTGCTTCATTCCAAGGCCAGAGCAAGCCACGTGGGCAAACCCAAAGCCAGGGGACAGGAAAGTATCCTCCACCCACAACGAAACCATGGCAAGCGGTGGATGCAGGTACGGCCAATAGTCTATCTATCCCGGTGAGTGAGGAGACCTGCTTTGAGGGTTGCACAACCTGGATCTGCTTTTACAGTGGTGTCTGTCACTATGAAGACTCCACCATGGGTCGCCATCAGGTCAGGGACCCTGACAAGGCAAGAACTGCATCTTCCTCTGCACACAGCTCTGCTCCCTTCCCCGCCATGCCTAACACCAAGCCTAGCCCTGAGGGATGACTCAGGAATATTACTGAGAGCATTTTAGGCCATTCCTTCATTATCCCCATGTGACTTGTTATGAAATATAGACTGACTTCCTGAAGATCAGCACATAGTGCTAAGTATTTGGCTTGTAATCTGTAGAGACTCTGCCATTTGGAGCTGGGATCTGTCCCCAGAGCTGTCAGACACCAAATCCCGTATCTACTGCCACCCAAAGGGACCTCCAGAAGAAAGGGGTTATACAGGGTCAAACACCAAGGCAGGTTAGTGAAATTTCTCTAGAGGCCATTTAAAGCTGGAGTCTCACCACCTGAACTGCCCTCAGAGGAAGGCTGTCTAGGGCACAAACCTAGTCAGGGGTCCACATGGACTTAAGGACAATTTTTTTTTTTTTTTTTTTTTTTGAGACAGTCTCATTCTGTCATCAAGGCTCGAGTGCAGTGGTGTGAACTCAGCTCACTGCAAGTCTCAACCTCCTGGGCTCAGGTGATCCTCCCACCTCAGCCTCCCGAGTAGCGGGAACCACAGGCTCGTGCCATGATGCCCAATTAATTTTCTTTTAAATTTTTTGTAGAGATGAGGTCTCCCCGTGTTGCTCAGTCTAATCTTGAACTCCTGGACTCAAATGATCCTCCTGCCTCTGCTCCTCAAAGTCCTGGGACTACAGGTGTGAGCCAATGCACCTGGCCTCTTATGAATAATTTTAAAAACAATGAGGTTCACCGTCAGAGCCCCTGCTGCTCTACCAAGTCCCTTGGCCCCTCTCAACAGGGCAAAAGCAAGATGAGCCCCAGATGTTCTGCTTAATGACCACCTTTCCCAGGAGACTTTGCTCTTTAAAGGAGAACCACTTAGAGATATGAGCAACCTTAAAGAATGCCACCAGCACTAGTGAATGCCAGGCACGGGCCACGTGGGTGGAGAGTATACTTTAGGGCAGTCACTCATGGTAAATTATTTCCACCAGCCCCCAGAAGTGACTATTCAATGTCCAACTATGTCAGGCCCAGGCTAATAAAAGTAGAGGCATGAGGAACCTAGGGTTGTTCTGAAGTGCCTTGATTATGGTACATGTGGAAGATTTTAGAGCTTGTTGTAAAAAGTGATGACCCATGGCCCCCCAGGCTGGGTCTGGGATTCCCTTTGTGGATTACAAGAGGATATTATGCAGCAGTTTTTAAAAATGAGGCAGACTGGGACAATCTATCTCCAAGATGCATAGGTGCTGTTAAGGGAACAAAGCAAGATTTAGTAGGGCGTGTATAGTATGCTACTGTGAGCTGTGCGTTATCTGTACAGAACTGTGAGGTCTGATACAGTAGCCACTAGCCACATATGGCTATTTACATATAAATTTAGGTTGGCCACAGTGGCTCATGCCTGTAATCCTAGCACTTTGGGAGGCCAAGTGGGAGGATAGCTTGAGGCCAATAGTTCAAGAACACCCTGGGCAACATAGTGAAGCCCCTTTTCTACAAAAAATTTATTTATTTATTTATTTTTATTTTTTTTGAGACGGGTCTCACTCTGTCACCCAGGCTGGAGTGCAGTGGCGCAGTCTCAGCTTATTACAACATCTGCCTCCTGGGTTCAAGCGATTATCGTGCCTCAGCCTCCAAGTAGCTGGGACTACAGGCACGCACCACCATACCCAGCAAATTTTTGTATTTTTGGTAGAGACAAGGTTTTGCCATGTTGGCCAGGCTGGTCTTGAACTCCTGACCTCAGGTGATCTGCCCGCCTCAGCCTCCCAAAGTGCTGAGATTACAGGCATGAGCCACTGCGCCCAGGCAAAAAATTTAAAATTGTAAAAATCAGCCAAACATGGTGGCATTCATCTGTAGTCCCAGCAACTTAGGAGGCTGAGGTGGGAGGATTTCTTGAGCCCAGGAGGTCAAGGTTGCAGTGACCTATGACTGCACCACTGCACTCCAGCCTGGACAACAGAGTGAGGCCCTGTCTCAAAAAATAAATAAATAGGAGTTTGAGGCCATGTTCACACATCACTGCAGTCCAGTCTGGTAAACAGAGCAAGACGCTGAGTCTTTAACAAAAAAAAAAATTTTTTTTAAAGTCAGCTGCTAAGACACACTAGCCACATATCAAGTGCTCAACTGCCCCGTGTGGCTAATGGCTTCCAAACTGGCAGCAAAGGCAACTGTTTTCATCACTGAAGTTCTGTTGGACAAGAATACCTCTGGAAGCACACACGAGAAACTGGTAATGGCGGTTGCCTTCCGGGAGGGAAACTGGGAGAGTGCAGGGCTGTATGCCCTTTTGTACCTCTTGAATTTCATATCATGCGTTTGTACTAGGTGTTTACAAATTATTTTAAAAACATACTGGGAATTAGGAATCCCCATATGGAATCACTGCAGTGGGACACTGATTCCCAAAAAATTACTTTGCAATTTGCCTAAAACAAATTAAGCTAATAGCTATCATGATTTCATATTTAATATTTTTTCACAGCTTAGAGTTTTTTTAGCTCCTGTTGCTATCTCTCTGCTCTTATGAGCTCACAGGGTGACAAAGTGAATTAGTAAGTAGCAGGAGAACATTAAAGGAAAAACTCCTGGGCAACAGGGCAAAACGCCGGCTCTACAGAAAATACAAAACATTAGCCAGGCATGGTGGCATGCACCCATGGTCTTAGCGACTTGGGAGGCTGAGGTGGGAGGATCGCTTGAGCCCGGAAGGCGGTAACTCAATCCCAGCAGAATCCCAGGGAGCGAAGGTGGCTCATCCCAAAAGAAAAACAAGAAGGAAATTCTATTACCAGAAGACAAAGGGATGAAATGAGGGATGGAGAATCAAAGACTGAAGCTACTAGGGTTTGTTTTTATTAATATTTAATTTTTTCAGAGGCGAGGGTCTCAGTATGTTGCCCAGGCTGGCCTTGAACTCCTGGCCTCAAGCAATCCTCCTGCCTGAGCCTTCCGAGTTGTTGGGATTACAGATATGAGCCACTGCATCCAACTTTGGTTCTTGTTTGTCTGTTTTGTTTTGTTTTGTTTTTTTGACAGAGTTTTGCTGTGCCACCCAGGCTGGAGTGCAGTGACTCAGCCTCGGCTCACTGCAGCCTTGACCTTCTGGCCTCAAGTGATCCTCCCACCTCAGCGCCACCCCCCACTGCCCTCCAATATCTGGGACTACAGGTGCACGTGACCGCGCACAGCTAATTTTTAAATTTTTTGTAGAGATAGGGTTTCACTCTGTGGCTCAGGCTGGTCTCCAACTCCTGGACTAAGCGATCTGCCTGCCTTGGCCACCTCCCAAAGTGTGAGCCACCATGCCCACCCATTGAACATTGAAGCTAGACTGGGCAAACCCTTAAGCCTAAACCAGTAACAGTTTTTCACAAGTTCATAGATGTTACTGTGGTTAATAACACACAAATTCATTTAAAAGCATGTGTGTCCACATAGTAATTTTTGGTCCTTATTTTTATTTTTATTTTTCAGTTAATGGATATTAAAGATACAATTTTATTTTGTTTTTTTTGAGACAGGGTCTCACTCTGTCGCCCAGGCTGGAGTGCAGTGGCATGATCAGAGCTCATTGCAACCTCCACCTCCTGGGTTCAAGAGATTCTCCTCCCTCAGCTTCCTGAGTAGCTGGGATTGCAGGTACATGCAACCACACCTGGCTAATTTTTGTACTTTTTGTAGAGATAGGGTTTTACCATGTTGCTCACGCTGGTTTTGAACTCCTGAGCTCAAGTGATCCACCTGCCTCGGCCTCCCAAACTGCTGGGATTACACAAGTGAGCCACCACACCCGGCCTAAAGATACAATTTCTATCATGAGGAGGTCCAAGAACTATTCTCTTTTTCTTTTTTTAATGTTAGAAAGGGATTCTTAACTGGGTATGTGCTGCAGCAAAGGGAGGGGAAATTAAGCAAGAAGAGAAGGGAGCCAGGAAATAAAGGCCCCAACCCAGGAAGCAGTTAAGCAAAGTTCCAGGATGACCCATGTGACAAGTTTAGGGGATAACTTGAGCACATGGAGGACAGAACTTGGAGAGGGCACTGTGGGCCTGGGCGCCACCTGCTCCACCAGAGCACTGGAAGAGAACGACGGCACGATAATGGCAGATGGCACTGAAAGAAAAGGAGAGAGCTTGAGGCACCCTTGGGGGAAGCAGCCATCATCAGAGTGTATTTTATTTTTATTTTATTATATTTTGAGATAGAGTCTCACTCTGTTGCCCAGGCTGGAGTGCAGTGGCATGATCTCGGCTCACTGCAACCTCCACCTCCCAGGTTCAAGTGATTCTCTGCCTCAGCCTCCCAAGTAGCTGAGACTACAGGGGGCACCACCACACCCAGCTAATTTTTGTATTTTTAGTAGAGATGGGGTTTCTCCATGTTGGCCAGGTTGGTCTTGAACTCCCGACCTCAGGTGATCCGCCCACCTTGGCCTCCCGAAGTGCTGGGATTACAGGCATGAGCCACCATGCCTGACCTCACAGCACATTATTAAGCTCTGTGGTGAATAATATTTATATAGTCACAATTCTGTAAACACTGTTCATTTTCTACAAATTGTGGCAAACCCAAACCTCAAGAATGGACAGGGCTGGGGTGTAAAAGAGCTAAGTCCTTGCCAGGTTTACCAGGAAGGCAACAGACAGTGTCTAAAACTATGAGACAGCTGGGCGCGGTGGCTCACGCCTATAATCCCAGCACTTTGGGAGGCCAAGGCAGGTGGATCACGTGAGGTCAGGAGTTTGAGATCAGCCTTGACAACATGGTGAAACCCCGCGTCTACTAAAAATATCAAATTAGCTGGGCATGGTGGCAGGTGCCTGTAATCCCAGCTAGTAGGGAGGCTGAGGCAGGAGCATTGCTTGAACCCAGGAGGCGGAGGTTGCAGTGAGCCAAGATGGCACCACTGCACTCCAGCCTGGGTGACAGAGTGAGACTGTGTCTCAAAAAAATAATAAAATACAAACAATGAGACGTGCAGGAGATGTGGGGAGAAGCACCAGAAGATTCTGCTGAAAGCCTGCTCCCCAGAAGGGTGGGAACAATGGGGACAATGAACTGCTGTTGTTCGTTATGTTTCATCCCCATTCCGTTTCATTTTATTGAATTGTAAACCGTGTGTATAACAACACTTTTTAATCAATTTTTTAAAAAAGAGAGAGTGGAAAGAAACCGCTTCCTACAACAGAACTGAAGAGCACACCAGTGATTCCAGTGTCCAGAGAGGAGGGTGCATTAACACTAGTTTTATTATTTCAATCAGATGCCAAGCAAGAATATATCTGGGGTTCAGACAAGAAAGGCTCTCATTCAAGTGCTTACAAGAGCAATGGAAGGCAAGGACCTGCCCAATTGGCAGGGTGAAAATTAGCCACAACTAGAATAGTAACAACTGTTCATCTTTGAGCACTTACTACAGGCCAGAACTTGCATTAAGGATATCATCTTTTTCTTTTCTTTTTTTCTTTTCCTTTTTTTTTTTTTTTTTTTTTGTTGTTGTTGTTTTGGAACAGAGTCTCACTCTGTCATGTAGGCTGCAGTGCAGTGGCGCAATCTCAGCTCACTGCAACCTCAGCCTCCCAGGTTCAAGCGATTCTTGTGCCTCAGCCTCACAAGTACCTGGGACTACAGGCATGAACCACCATGCCTGGCTAATTTTTGTATCTTTGGTAGAGATGGGGTTTCACCATATTGGCCAGGCTGGTTTCGAACTCCTGGCCTCAAGTAATCCACCCACCTCAGCCTCCCAAAGTTATGGGATTACAGGCGTGAGCCACTGTGCCCAGCCAGGATATCATGATATTTACTCCTCACATCAACTGACATTAGCCCCTATTTACAATGAGGAACTGAGGCTCAGAGAGGTTTTGGCACTTGCCTGAGGTCACACACTCTGGGCTCTCTGCTTGGGGCTGAGGGCGAAGGGGCGTTGTGACTTACTTCTCTTTCCTGAACATCAATAAAATTCAATTTAGAAATTTCTGTCTTCAGTGCGATCTCAACGGGCCTGTGAAAAATGCTGACTCGGTGGCAGCTGTCAGCTATCTTAGCCCCATACTCATTGGGTTGCCCTGGGCCCCACACTGTTTTAAGGAAGTCCCAGCAAACAATATGGGATAGAGATGAGATTCAAACCTAAACAGCCCTGGCTCTAAAATCCACTGAACAAAGCTGAAACTAGAATCAGAAAGAACTAGGTAAGAATCCTACTTCTAGCACTTACTACTTCTGTGGCTGTGGCCCCCCCGCAAGTTACTTAACCTCTTTTTTTTTTTTTTTTTAAGAGATGAAGTCTCGCTCTGTCACCAGGCTGGAGTGCAGTGGCGTGATCTCGGTTCACTGCAACCTCTGCCTCCTGGGTTCAAGCGATTCTCCTGCTTCAGCCTCCCAAGTAGCTGGGACTACAGATGCGTGCTACCACGCCCAGCTAATTCTTTGTATTTTAGTAGAGACAGGGTTTCACCATGTTGGCCAGGATGGTCTGGATCTCTTGATCTCATGATCCACCCACCTCGGCCTCCCAAAGTGCTGGGATTACAGGCATGAGCCACCGCACCTGGCCACTTAACCTCTTTTAAGCCTATTTTCTCATCCATACAATAGAGATAATGGCAGCACCCACCTTTCAGGTGGCTGGTAAGGAATATTAGGTGAACACAGGTGCCTATGTATGTTCTTCCATTTTCCATAAATGTTAATTCCCTTATCCCTCATCTCCTAGGTTAGTCCCGGAGGACAGACTTGAACTTTGAAAACAGAAAGTAACTGCCAAAAGGGATTATTTAGGGCACAGATTTCCCCCTTTCATTATCCTTTAGGTCCTCAGTGGTGAGGGCAGGGGACAGGAGAGGTGGGGTGAAGCCCAAATTCTTGGACCTCATCCTAGAGTGACTCTTTAGGGTTAGTGTGGGGCTTAGGAATCTGCATTTTGGACCTGTCCCCAGGGCATTCTGATGCCTACAGTTCTCCTGTGTGGCTTTGAATAACGCTGGGTAGTGCTTTAAATCCAAGCTGACAGACCAGTGGGATGTGAACCATCCTTGCAAATGGTTTGAGCCCTTTCTGCACTGGCCTCCAACTTTGCCTTGCTCAGTCTTCAGCTCCCCTTCCATTCTGGCCCTCTCCCCTTACCCTTTCCTTTTTCACTTCCTTTTATTTTTATTTATTTTTATTATTATTTAAAAAAAATTTTTTTTGAGACAGGATCTCACTCTGTCACCCAGGCTGTAGTGCAGTGGCATTATCTTGGCTCACTGCAATCTCCGCCTCCCGGGTTCAAGCAATTCTCATACCTCAGCCTCCTTAGTAGCTGGGACTACAGACACACACCACCACACCTGGCTAATTTTTGTATTTTTAGTAGAGATGGGCTTTCACCATGTTGGCCAGGCAGGTCTCGAACTCCTGACCTCAAGTGATCCACCAGCTTCAGCCACCCAAAGTGCTGGGATTACAGGCATGACCCACCGTGCCCAGCCTCCTTTTTCACTTCCCACCTTCCTCCCCACCTCTGGGTGCACCCTTCCCTGAGCTCAGCCTGTATTCCTATGTGCTGGCCACTTACCAGCCAGTCCCTTCAGCTGCAATACCCTTTACTCACCTAGAAAGCTCATATCAAAAGTCGCCTCCTCCAGAATACCTCTCAAGTTCTCCTCTCTGGTCCCTTGGCCCTTTGCAGGTACCTTTTTTCTTGCGCAAGTCACATGATAATGTAAGGGTTTTTTTTTTTTTTCCCCCCATCTGGAGCCTGCCTGGTGGGCTCAGGGTCCATTTGTGCAAACATGCATTTCCCTCTCCTCTGCGCCCCCTCCTTCATGATCCATGCTTTATGCAGCTTCCCCAAGGCATGCAGAGCAAGCTGAGAAGAGGTAGGCAAGCCTGCAGACTTTTCAAAGAAGCAGGGTAGCTTGGGAAGTAAGAGAAGACCAGGAGATAGGGGCTCCTAAAAAGCAGACAAGAGATTACCGAGGGGTTCCCCACAGCTCCAGCACACAGCCGCTGCACAAAAATGCAGTGGAATTACTGAGGGACATTATGTGCTTGATGGGGGACAGGGAATGCTTGTGCCAAGCCACCAAGGATTATGCTGTGCCAGTTGTATACTATCGTTTTGCCAAGGTGAAAGGATTTCCCTACTAAATCCCTTACTTTCCACTTTGTTTAAAATGAGTTTAACACCGAGAGAATAGTTTGTCTCTGTGTCCTTATTTCTAATCTTCCTGCTCAACCATTAACTGCAGTAAACACACTCAGACCCATCTAGTCTAAAATTGAGAAGGGGAGGTTCTCACTCCTGGAGAGAGAATTACTGAAAGGGCGGCCCTCATACAGTCCAGGATCATACCCCCAAGTGCTGGTTTTATACTTGAAAGCAGACAGTGGGACTCTGAACTTTGCAGAGATAAGAGGGACACCTTCCTACCCAGAGAAGCCAAAAGAGCACAGGACGCCCAGGCCGAGGGCAGTGAAGCTTGCTTCCAAGAACTGGCCCGTTCCCCAGCCAACCCCTGTGCCCACTTAGGACTGGCATGTAGCAGTACCTCTCCTCATCCACACTCAGGCCCTAGGCTCCCAATTGACCAAAGCCTGCAAGTATAAAGTGTCCAGAGCATGGGTCCCTGCCAACACTCCCTGCCCTGCTCTTCACTACCTGTGGCCACCACTTATGACATTTTGTTCCGAGTTCATCTGAAAGAGAAATGTCACTTTTGCGTTAGAAAGAAGATATACAGGCCAGGTGTGGTGGTTCATGCCTGTAATCCCAGCACTTTGGGAGGCCGAGTCAGGAGGATCGCCTGAGGCCAGGAGTTGGAGACCAGGTTAGGTAACACAGTGAGACCCCTGTCTCTACAAAATAAACAATTTTTTTTAAAAATGAAAAGATTGGCCGGGCGCGGTGGCTCACGCCTGTGATCCCAGCACTTTGGGAGGCCGAGGCGGGTGGATCACCAGGTCAGGAGATCGAGACCATCCTGGCTAACACGGTGAAACCCCATCTCTACTAAAAACATAAAAAAATTAGCCAGGCGTGGTGGCGGGCTCCTGTAGTCCCAGCTACTCGGGAGGCTGAGGCAGGAGAATGGCGTCAATCCAGGAGGCGGAGCTGCAGTGAGCCGAGATCGCGCCATTGCACTCCAGCCTGGGCGACAGAGCCAGACTCCGTCGCAAAAAAAAAAAATAAAAGAAAAAAGAAAAAATTAGCTGGGCGTGGTGGTGCACGCCTGTAGTCCCAGCTGCTTGGAGGCTGAGGTGGGAGAACCACTTAGTCCGTGAGGTCAAAGCTGTGGTGAGCCGTGATCGTGCCACAGCACTCCAGTCTGGGCGACAGAGTGAGACCCTGTCTCAAAAAAAAAGCAGAAAGGAAGAAAGAAATCCTCTACACGGGCTAGAAGAGAATAACCAGACCCCTAAGCTTCAAGCCAGGCGGTGCTAATGGGCGAGTTACACACGGGAGAGTGCCCAAGGGGACCTCAAGGCGTTCCCTTGGGATAAAGTGTGGTCAAAACAGCTATGTTTATCCTGAAAGCGCAAGGCGGAGGCTCCAATTTGGGCCCGGGCTCCGCCCCACGGGCTGCACTGCTGCCCTCGGAGAGGCAAAGATAGGGCAGGCGTTATTAGTCCCACTCACAAGTGGGAACTCTTCAGCTGAGGGAGGCGAAGTGACAGCCCCAATGTTGCACAGATGGTTCTGAGGCCAAACGAGGTCAGGAACCCAGAAGCCAGGATCTAGTTTGACGCAGACCTGCGGGAGGCGGGCGGTAACGGATGCGTTCTCCCTGACACCGGTGCCTTCGCCTCTCTGCGCCCTGCAGGCGCCCCCAGTTCCTCCTCAGCCTCCCAGACCTCGCATCTGCCCCGGGGCTCAGCTCCCAGGGACTTCCGGGAGCAGCTGGCCCCGCCCCAAGGCTCCTTCGGGCTGCGCGATTGGCACCGCGGGCCGGGGCAGGGCCGGAGCGCCGAGCCAACGTGATGGCGTCAGGGGCCGGGGCGCCGCTTCCTGTTGTCAGTGGCCGAGAGACCGCATCGTCGGCTCGGAGGCTGAGGGGCTGCCGCGGCCGGGAGCGCCCCTCGCCTCGCTCCTCGCTCCGCTTGGTGAGTTAGGGGGTCAAGATGCGAGGAGGGCGGCGGAGTGGTGGGAGGGCCGAGGCGCGAACGGGCGGTGGGCCTCCCGCTCCCTCCGCGATTCCCAGCCCCTGGTTACCCTGAGACTGCCCGGCTTCAGGGCCCTCAGCCCTGTCCAGCCCGCGCCCGCTCCTCTCCGACCCAGCCTTCCCCCTGCACCGCCGCTGTGGCCCCGTCCCCTCCGTCTGTCCAGCCCCCAGCCCGCGCCCGCATCCCCTCACCAGCGGTCTTGCTTAAATGCAGCTTCACTCGTGACCCCACTTTACCCCAGTTCCAACACCGATCTCGGCCACGTCCCTTCGCCCCGCCCTGACACACCTCATCCTCTCTCCCCACCCCTCTGGTAATCCCGATGCTCCGCGCTTACCTCCCCGAGACCCACCATTCAGGTTTCCCCTTTTCTGGCTCAGCTTTCTTATCCCAGTCACCCCCATCCCCCGTCCAGCTCCCCAAGATCTGCTCATCCCAAACATTCTACCTCCGCCCTCTCATCTAAGACCCACCCCCAAAGTAGGTGCCCTGTTGAGCTCACCGCTTTCTTCTGGATAACTCCGATCTCAGCCTTATTCCAAGTCTTAACTGTGTCTTCTCGTCCTTAGTCTCCTAGCCACTGTATACCTTCCTTTGCGTCTCCTGCCGTACTGAGGACACCCCATCCCTAAGTCTTTGCCAAACTGTCCCGAACTCTTGCTGCCTCCTTTCCTACCACCCTCACCCAATCTTGTTAAAAATGACATCTCCATGTCCTTTCACCCCCGCTGACCCACCGCAACTCTTCACCCCAACTCTGCGTCCATTGCTTCCCTCGACCCCACTCCCATTCAACCTGAGAACTTAGTGCAGAGTCGCCTGCCAACTCCACCAGCTGCCCCTCAACAGCCAAATGTAGGTGCTCACTCAGACCCGCAGTTACAGACTGAGCAGCATGATTGGCGGGTGCAGGGGCTCAGGTGGTAAATAAGGGTGGAGGAGCAGTGGGCTCTCCCCAACTCTTGGGTGGGGCCGGGGTTTTTCCTGGCATCTGGTCTCCTGCACCTGTCCTCAGGGATTGTGTTTCTGGCATTCATATTAAATGACTTGTGCTGGCTGCTGGAATGGTAGGTATCATTCAAATATCTGGAAGGTGAGAGACGGCCACTCACTCAGCTCACTTAGCACAGAATGATGGAAGCTGTCACTTCCTTCTGGTTGGTGTTCTCGCCCTGGAGAGCTTCTGGGAAGTTCTGTGTGGTGTTGGCTGTGGTCACAGAATATTGTTCGTGTTCCTTTTCTTGGCACTTGTAAGGGCCTCTCCCTGCCAGAGCTGATGGCAGATCAGTCCTGATGCTGAATTCAGGGGATATGATGGGTGCCAGAGGCAACGTTACCTGTTGTGAAGAGTATAGGTGAGTAGGTCCTGGGGAGGCTGAGGCCTAGGTGGGTACAGAGGCTCTTGAATCGCTTTCTTTTCTTTTAAGTGCTGGATCATTGACTTTTGGCCATCTGGGTTCCATGAACACAGGGAACCATGTTATCTCAGAGTAGCTGAGGCAGAAGGACATTCCAGAGGCACCCAAGTCCCATGCTCAGCATTTATAGTTTCCTGGGGGCTTTTTGGTACACATTTTCTCTGAATCCTGAGGACCCGGCATCAGATGGGTGGGCCATTTGATTGCAGCTTTTTTCTTTCTTTCTTTCTTTTTTTCGACGGAGTTTACTCTTGTTCCCCAGCCTGGAGTGCAGTGGCATGATCTCGGCTCACCGCAACCTCTGCCTCCCAGGTTCAAGCGATTCTCCTGCCTCAGCCTCCCGAGTAGCTGGGATTACAGGCATACACCACCATGCCCGGCTAGTTTTGTATTTTTAGTAGAGATGGGGGTTTCTCTGTGTTGATCAGGCTGGTCTCCAACTCCCGACCTCAGGTGATCCACCCACCTCGGCCTCCCAAAGTGCTGGGATTACGGGCGTGAGCCGCCGCACCTGGCTGATTGCAGTTTTAAAGGGCCCCAAAGAACACTGTCTCTGCTTGCCACTTATAGTCGTATTCCTTTGAAAAGTGAATGCTGTTTACCTTCAATGTCCTCCCATTAATATGCAGTATATTTAAGTTGTTTTCAGCCTTATTGGCAGCTTGGCTTAATGACAGGAGCTCCACAGTTGCCCCAGCATTTAAGAGTTGTATACCCCAACTTCCCACAGTGTGTGAAGTGGAGGTACTTACCCCGTGCCTTGTTTTTATTTTATTAATCAATTCATTCAACAGCTTATTTTTTGAGCACCAGTGTGTGACAAACACTGTTCCAGGTACTAGAAATACAATGGTGAATGGGTCAGGCAACGGTCCTGTTTTCATTCATTCAGAGTTTGGTCCTTGTTAGAATCCTCTGGGATATGGGACAAGAATACAGGGAAGCTGGGTGATACTGGATGGAAGGAAGGAGGGAGGAAAGAAAGATAGCTAGTGTTCACTGACTCCACAATTCTGCCCTCATCCACTAGCCCTGAGTCTGGGAATCACAAGCTAAAAGTTTCTCACCCTTCATCTGGTATTTAATTGCTTCAAAGCTCCAACCCCCACCACTCCACCCATCACAGAAATCCAGCTTTCCTCAGGTGGACAGAGGTGCAGTTTCCTCAGTCAGCACTCACATGCCTGAAAGATCAGCTGCCTTTCTGAATCAGAGGATAACTTTGTCATTCTTTTCCAATTGAAAAAACATGACTCATCAATTGGTACAGCAGTTGGATGGCTTAAAGCCAGGCTGTGGCTCTGAACAGCCAGTTACACAATTCAGGCAGTGGAGAGAAGGCCGTGGGGAGTGGCTGAGGAGTCCCTCAAGAGAAGAGGTTGCTGTTCACTGATGGTGGAGTGTTTTGAGAGTGGTGGAACCAGGTTATCCCTTTCTTCTTTTAACGTAAGTCTCATCCAAGTCATTCTCTTTTTTTGCTTCCTTGATCTCTGGAGGAAGTGAAATTGGACATATAGAGAAGGCCAGGCAGTATAATGCAGGAAACCAACCGGAACTGTTCCTTCCTAACTATGTTGGAACATTTAAGAAAGTATAGCTCTGAGACTTTAGGAGCATTGGTAGGACCTGGTCTCAGCTGGTTGGGGCTATAAACCTGATTGGCAGAACTGTTTCTTGTTGGTTTCAGACCTTCTGTGATGAAATGGAGCTTCCGAGTACCTCTAAAGAAGAAGTAATAGTTTGTCTGAATTTGAGCCAAAGACCTGAGGCCTTTTGGTCCAGGGAAAGATGCAGGAGTTGGGATGAAGAAACCAGAGAGTTCTGTCCCTTACCCGAGACCCATTGCTACTGAGCCTCAGTTTTGTCCTCTGTAAAACAGGGATAATCACTCTCTCACGGGATTGCTGTGAGAATTAAATGAGGTTAGAGAGGGACATCAGAGAAGCTTGCTTTCTGCACTCTGGAGAGCTATGTGAAGGCGAATGAATACACAGGGTGGCAGTAGACTTGGTGTGGTTTGGGGCTTCCTAAATGGCACCAGTCACCTTTCCCCTGCTAAGATTTCACCCGTCATGTTCAAGAGCCCTTTGGTACTGTTGCCCAGCTTTGCCTCACTCCCTTCAGGTAGGTCTCCTTGAAGCCACACCTCTCTTCACTTTGGTTCTTTGTGTCAATGAAGAGCATTTTGAGGACAGAAAGTGGAACCAGTTCCATAGGATGGTAGATTCAGAATCTGGGCCACCAGGGTGGGTGACGCAGTACTGTCCCCACAGTCAAGAGACACAAAGCCTCCTTCTGATTCCCGCCGTGAGTTCTTCTGTCACTGACCATCTGAGCCCTGCCTCCCTGAGCATGATGGAACAGATACAGATAGGTGGGGTGCTATGGCTGCCTACAAACAGAGGTGTCCTGCATTGTGGCTGGAACCCCAGAGGCTCAGTCCTGTCTTGTGAATTTTCAAGTGGCTCTTCTGCTGGATTTCTCTGAGCTCTTGTCAGTCATTTTGTGGCATTTCTGACTCTGTTTTAGGCCAAGTGACCCTTCTCTTGTCTGGCCCTGTCTCTCTTAGCTTCAGTTTATTATTATTAATTTTTTTTTTTGAGATGGAGTCTCGCTCTGTTGCCCAAGCTGGGGTGCAGTGGCACGATCTTGGCTCACTGCAAGCTCCACCTCCTGGGTCCACGCCATTCTCCTGCCTCAGCCTCCCAAGTAGCTGGGACTACAGGTGCCCGCCCGGCTAATTTTTTGTATTTTTAGTAGAGATGGGGTTTCACCGTGTTAGCCAGGATGGTCTCGATCTCCTGACCTCGTGATCCACCCGCCTCGGCCTCCCAAAGTGCTGGGATTACAGGCGTGAGCCACCGCGCCCAGCCAGCTTCAGTTTATTATTTATTTATTTATTTGAGACATAAATTATTATTATTATTATTATTATTTTTTTTTTTTTTTTTTTTTTTGAGACGGAGTCTCTCTCTGTCGCCTAGGCTGGAGTGCAGTGGCGGGATCTCGGCTCACTGCAAGCTCCGCCTCCCAGGTTCACGCCATTCTCCTGCCTCAGCCTCCCGAGTAGCTGGGACTACAGGCGCTCACCACTGCACCCGGCTAATTTTTTTGTATTTTTAGTAGAGACGGGGTTTCACCGTGTTAGCCAGGATGGTCTCGATCTCCTGACCTCGTGATCCGCCGGCCTTGGCCTCCCAAAGTGCTGGGATTACAGGCGTGAGCCACGGCGCCCGGCCATAAATTATTTATTTATTTATTTATTCTTGCTTTGCTGCCCCGGCTGGAGTGCAGTGGCATGATCTCGACTCACTGCAACCTCCGCCTCCTGGGTTCAAGTGGTTCTCCTGCCTCAGCCGGTATGGTAGCTGGTAATACCAGTAGCTGGTATTACAGGCATGGGCCACCATGCCTGGCTAATTTTTGTTTTTTTTTTTAATTAGAGACAGGGTTTCACCATGTTGGCCAGGCTGGTCTCAAACTCCTGACCTCAAGTGATCCTCCTGCCTCGGCCTCCCAAAGTGCTGGGATTACAGGTGTGGGCCACGGCACCTGGCCTATTTTGTCTTCTTAGCATACTGTTACTTGGCCAGAGCACTCACTTACCAATGGCCTGCTCCTCCCAGTGAATACTCTGTGAATACTCTATCACTCTCAGCTAATTAGTTAATGAGGTCTTAATGGGCCTGGGCTATAATTCAAATTATTGGGTCTAAGTCCTTAGGGTCCCGGCCCTGTAGCTGGTTAAGGGAAGGGCAACTTTGGGGCTTCGGGCTCTCTCTAGAAGGGTGGGCCTGAGGGCCTCAGGCCACTGGAAATTGTGGACTGGGATTGGAGCCCAGGGTTTCGGAGCCAGAGAAGCTGGACGTGGCCTGCTGAGCTGCAAAAGGGTAGCCTTGATGGAGCCTGACCTCAAGACCAGGCCTGTTTCTGGAAGTGACCCTAGATGCAGAGTCACTGCAGCATACAACCCCCTTTTCCTGTCACCCCGTGGCCAGAATGTGGAACTGGTCTCCAGAGGAGGGCTCTGAGAATCCCTGGGTAGCTGGGAGCAGACTATGGTGAAGGGTGAGGCAGTCAGATGGGGCTGTAGTCAGGACTGAGGGCTCTTCTGGCCATCTGCAGCACCCGGCCTGTTACTGGGTCTGCAGGAACCATCCTCCATACATGCCTGCTTCCTCCTGAGGGACCTGACTTAGGGAGGTTGGCTCTGGGTCCTGACTCCCTGTGTCCTGTTTGCCCTCTGCTATCCCCAGAAGCCAGAGATCCAATCAGAGCACCTTCCACCATTTAGGGCCAGCCTGCCTGTCTGCTTTCCAAACCTCATGCTGCTCCAGGGCTGTCCAGGAAACCTTTCCTGCCACACTGGCCTTAATGTTCCCCTGCACCCCCTGTTCCCGGCCCCCAGCGAAAGGGTCTTCCCAGACCACCCCTGGAATCCTAGCTCTGAGGTGATGGCACTGTTGATGAAAAAGCCAAACTCTGTTAAATATTCGAAGAGGTTTATTCTGAGCCAAATGTGAGGGCCATGACCTGTGACATAGTCCTGGGAGGTCCTGAGAACATGTGCCCAAGGTGATTGGGGTACAGCTTGATTTTTATCCAAGTTACAGGCAGAAGTTACAGGCAAAGACATAAATTGATATATGTAAGGTATACATTGGTGGGGACAGGGTAAGGTGGATTAAAAGATTTTCCTGATTGGCAATTGGCTGAAAAAGTTAAACTTTGCCTAAAGAGTTAAAAGTCAGCAGAAGAAAAGCTTGGGGTTAAGATAAGGTGGGTTGTGAAAGCCAAGGTTCATGTAACGTAGATGAAGCCTTCAAGAGAATAGATGGTAAATGTCTCTAAGGTGTCAGACTCTTAGTTAAATCTCCTCTAAATCAGGAAAAGGCCTAGAAAGGGAAGGGAATCTCTGCAGGACATAAATTTTCCCAACAAGAGATGGCTTTGCAGGGCCATTCCAAACTATGTCAAAAATATACTTGGGGGTAAGATACTTTGATTTCCTTAGGGCCTGTTATCTCCCATGTGATGTTAGACCAGTCAGGTTGGAGTTGGTATCTTAATTGCTGAGAGTCTGTTCTGTCAGTCTTAGGAGTCTGTTTTAATGTTAATGCTGGTCAGTTGTGTCTAAGCTCCAAAAGGGAGAGGCTAGGATGAGGCATGGCCCACGCCCCACTTCGTGTCATGGCCTGAACTCAGTTTTCAGTTTTTTTGAAATCCCTTTGGCCAAGGGGGGCCCATTCAGGCAGTTGGGGAGCTTAGAATTTTATTTTTGGTTTACAGCACTCACTCAGGAATCGGGTTTTCCTAGGGCTGGGGTTGGCTTCCTCCTGGGGGCTGGTGGTGGAGTCAGGCCGCTTATCAGCCCTGGGACCTCAGGAACTTCCTTGACCTGGGTCAGCTGCCATTTCCTTATCTGTCAGGTGGAGACAATAAAACAGCACTCCTAGGGTCCTTAGGAGGAACATAAATTAGGCAATATATGTAAAGAGAACTGAGCCCATTTAACTTTTCTTGGTTTTGTTAACTTCTTTGTGCGGTGATTGAGAGCTGAGACAGACATCACCTTTCCCTTTCCCCTGATGCTCAGCCAGGAGTTGGCTAGAGATTTGTTTACGTGTGAATGTGCCTGCCTGGCCCAGGTCTGTCCAAGTTGCTGTGGTGGGGCCAAGCCAGTCAGCAGCCCCCTCAGGCTCAGGCTAAAGTCCCCACCCCACCCGCCCCACCCCACCCCACCCCACCCCACCCCACCCACTTCCAGGAGGAAGCTGGCAGCCCTGAGGGATTTAACCACTCACTGACTTCAGCTCTTCCTGCATACTCATTTAGGTGATGACATTCTTGGTCTGTAGGTTTAGGTGGCCACATCCACTGGGATGACAGATGCCAGGTACAACATATCAGGTACAGGTACATATCAGGCCCCGTGACAGGCATTTTACACATTCTCCATCTGAGAGGTCTGAGCATGCCTACCTGGTTAGTGGCAAACTGCGATGAGACCTCATGGTCATCCCGGTTAGACACGTCCCTGTCTGTGCTGCTCAAGCCAGACCCTCGAAGCCCAAATGAGGAGCAGAAGTGTAGCAAGGGAGCCCTCCCCTTTTGAAGCCGTTCCAGTGGTACTTTTTACTGCTGAGCTGGCAGATGTTGGACTGGGACAGGAGTGAGGGGTGGGGGCAGGGTGTTGCAGGACCCAGCCCCTGAATGTGATGTGTGAGCCTGTGAGCCCCTGCTTCCTGGTCCCAGTGGGTTCCTGCCACCTTCAGCTGCAGCCTCCCCCTCGAACCTGCAGCTCCGTATCTGAATCAGCCTGTCGTTCCCTGCCTACAGGTTTCAATCCTACAGGGCCTTGGCTTTCTGGGCAGCATTTGATGTGAAGCGCCCTTACCACCTACTCCTTGGGGTGGACCCACCCCTGGCACCCAGGACTCCTTGCCTCCCAACGACTAAGCCCCCTGGGCTTTCCTTCCTTGTTTCTTTCCTTCAAATCTATTATCAGTTTTTACTTTTGTGTTCTGCAAAGGCCTTTTTGGTTGCAGTTTGAGTAAGAGAGGCTGACCTCCTGCTGCTTGCTGGGAATGGACTCTGGCTGGGGGAAAGTTCCCTGCCCATTCATCTGGCTGCCATCTGTCTCTTCAGGTGTCATGTGATTCTCTGAGGGAGCAGCTGCGTGAGTGGAGATGCTTTCAGTGGTGGAGAATGGACTGGACCCCCAGGCTGCCATCCCGGTAGGTGGGTGAGGGAGGATCAAGGGCGGGGAAGGGCTGCAGGGGACAGTTGTATCATCGGCTTGGCTCACTTCGAAATGAATGGGCACTGTCCTGCAAGAGAGACCAGGTTGAGAAAAAGTTACAGCACAAGCAGGCTCTGAGGAGACCCTGTCTTTTCTAGATCACCTTATTGGTGATAAGATGGAGATTTATGAAAAGCAGTGGGAATTTAAGATCAGTAACCTGAAGACCAAGGATTTCCATTCAGCCCTTCAGCCCTCTGCCCTTAGGCCATGATTTGGTCACAGTCTGGCCAAAGCACTGAATGGGTGGGAAACAGATATTCCCAGGCACTGGTTTGTTGTTTCAGTAATGGGGGTAAATTGGTAACTTACATGTATCTGAACACTTACCATTTTCTAGGATATTCTAAATGTAATTATTTGTGAGCAGTTCACTGGAGCCCCCTAGGACCTTTTCTTGGACAGCCCTTTGCACCCTCCTGGGCTATCTTGGGTACTCCAGATAGAGCTCTCTGTTCTCTTGGAGAGGCAGGAAGTCAGGTAGCTTTGGGGCTGGTCCCTTAGCAGCATCCTGAGATGGCTTTCGGGGAGAAGCCAGGATTTCCTTTCCTCCCCACTGCTGCTTCCCAGCTCAGAGAACTCTGCTTGAAAGAAACTGTAGCTCTCAGAGACGTGCCTTTCCCCGTCCTGGCCACAGGAGAGTCCAGCTCCACCTGTTTCCCAGCTGGCTTTCATGCAGAGGCTCTTCCCTCCCCTCTGCACCCCCACTCTCCCACCCCCAGTGCCTGCCGAATCCCACCCCAGGACCCTCCAGAGCTAGGGCAGAAGCCTGGCCAACCCAGCCTTCTAACAACAGCTGCACAAACTGACTCCATGAGGGTATGCCTTTCTTGAGGGTATGCCTTATTTCTCCCTGTATACCCTAACCCAACACCTAGTAGGTGCTCAATTGAACGAAGTATGTATGTACTTTTTAAATATAATATACAAATAACATCTTGCTTTTAAAAGAACATTTAAAATTAGACTATTTCAAGATTAAAAACTTTTGAGCTTCAAAGGATACTACCAAGAAAATGAAAAGACAACCCACAGAATGGGAGAAAATATTTGCAAATCAAATATCTGATAAGGGTCTAGTATCCAGAATGTATAAAGAACACTTATAACTCAACAATAAAAAGACAAATAATCCAGTTATAAAATGGGTAAAGGATTTAAATAGACCCTTCTCCAAAGAAGATACACACATGGCCAATAAAGATGCTCATTATCATTAGACATCAGGAAAATGCACATCGAAACCACAGTGAGATACTACTTCACACCCCCTAGGATGGCTGTAATAAAAAAGGCAATAACTAGTGCTGGCAAAAATGTGGAGAGATTGGAACTCATATATTGCTGGTGGGAATGTAAAATAGTGCAGCCACTTTGGCACACAGTTTGGCAGTTCCTTGATAAGTTAAACATAGGGTTATGTGTACAGTTCCACTCCTAGATATATACCCAAGAGAACTAGAAATATAAGTCCACTCAAAAACTTGTACATGGATGTTCATAGCAGCATTATTGATAATAGCAAAAGAGTAGAAACAACCCAAATGTCTATTAACTGATGAATGGATGAATAAAATGTGGTATATCTAGGCAGCGGAATATTTTCTGGCAATAAAAAGGGATGAAGTCCTGATACATGCTACAACATGATAGAAAATATGCTAAGTGAAATAAGTCAGATTCAAAGGGTCATATGCTGTATTGATATCTATTCATGTGAGATGTACAAAATATGCAAAGCCACAGAAACAGAAAATAGATTAGTGACTGCATTCACTTCGTATTCCCCTTTCTCCCAGCCCCTGGCAATCACTAATATACAGTATTTCTTTTTGGGGTGATGAAAATCGTTTTTTTTGTTTGTTTTTTTGTTTTTTTGTTTTTTTGAGACGGAGTCTCCCTCTGCTGCCCAGGCTGGAGTGCAGTGGCATGATCTTGACTCACTACAAACTCCACCTCCCAGGTTCAAGTGATTCTCATGCCTCTGCCTCCCAAGTAGCTGGGATTATGGGTGTGCACCACCATGCCCGGCTAATTTTTGTATTTTTAGTAGAGATGGGGGTTTCACCATGTTGGCCAGGCTGGTCTCGAACTCCTGACCTCAGGTGATCCACTCGTCTTGGTCTCCCGAAGTGCTGGGATTATAGGCGTGAGCCACTGTGCCCGGCCAGAAAATCTTCTAAAATTAGGTAGTGGTGATGGTTGCACAATTGTGTGAATATACTAGAAACAATTGAACTGTATACTTTAAATGGGTGTATTTTATGGTATATGAATTATATCTCATTAAAACCGTTATATTTTTTCAAATTTAACTTTTCAAAGAATGTTAACATTTAGTGTTTTGGCTGAAATCAAAATAAAAGATTAAAATATGTAGCCATAATCCTATCACCCAACAATTCAAACCAGTTTTTCTGTAATCCCTTCCAGTCCTTTTCCAATCACTTATGTGATTTTCACATGCTTATAATTATGCTCAATTTTTACTCTATATTTCCAAAAGACTCTATGTACATTTTGTGGTGTATCATTTAACAAACATTTATTGAGTATTTCTATGTGCCAGGCACAGTGCCAAGTGTTGACACAAGGATGAATAAAACACTAGTCTTAGTGCCACACTCAGCTCTTTTATATATATGTTTTTTGTTTTGTTTTGTTTTGTTTTGTTTTGTTTTGTTTTGTTTTTCTGAGATGGAGTCTCACTCTGCCACCCAGGCTGGAATGCAGTGGCACGATTTTGGCTCAGTACAACCTCTGTCTCCTGGGTTTAAGTGATTCTCCTGCCTCAGCCTCCTAAGTAGCTGGGATTACAGGCACTCACCACCACACCTGGCTATTTTTTTTTTTTTTTTTTTGAGGCGGAGTCTCGCTCTGTCACCCAGGCTGGAGTGCAGTGGTGCGATCTTGGCTCACTGGAAACTCCGCCTCCTGGGTTCACGCCATTCTCCTGCCTCAGCCTCCCGCGTAGCTGGGACTACAGGCGCTGCCACCACGCCCAGCTATTTTTTTGCATTTTTAGTAGAGATGGGGTTTCAGCCTGTTATCCAGGATGGTCTCGATCTTCTGACCTCGTGATCCGCCCACCTTGGCCTCCCAAAGTGCTGGGGTTACAGGCGTGAGCCACCGTGCCCGGCCCACACCTGGCTAATTTTTGCATTTTTAGTAGAGACAGGGTTTCATCATGTTTGCCAGGCTGATCTCAAACTCCTAACCTCAAGTGATCCGCCTGCCTTGGCCTCCCAAAGTGTTGGGATTACAGGTGTGAGCCACCACACCCAGCCTCTTTTTAGAATTTATCTAGTAGGTTTTCTGGTTTTCACCAGAAACCACTTCCCAAAAAAAAAAGAAAAAAAAAGGTAGTCCTGTCCTCAGGAGAATCCTCATAGTACTATAAATCAGAAAGTATTATTTCCACTTTAACAGATAAGGAAATTGAGGCTCAAAGCGGTTAAGTGGAATGTCTGAGGAGGCCCATCTGGTTACTGGCAGCTAGGACTGAGCCTAGTCCTCTGGCTTCCAGGCCTAGGATCTTTCTTTTTTTGAGACAAGGTCTTGCTATGTTGCCCAGGCTGGAGTACAGTGGTGTGATCACAGCTCACTGCAGCCTTGAACTCCTGGACTCAAGCAGTCCTCCTGCCTCTGACCTCCCAAAGTTCTGGGATTACAGGTTTGAGCCACCACGCCCAGCCTAGGATCTTTCTTAAAGTAAACCATGCTCCTGTTCTCCTCATGTTTTTATTGTTCTAAAGCAGTGTGGGTGTTTATTGTTTGTTTGTTTTTGCCTCTTGGCTTATTGATTCTCTACAGAAGCTTGTCCATGTAAAAAAGGTGGGAAGCCCCACCCTTGTCCTAGATGGATTTACCCAAGCTCCCATCACTGCAGCTATGATGGGGCCAATATTTAAACACAAGATTATATGGCTCTAAGTTCACTTAAGTTTGGTCTAAAAAACAAAAAGTATCTATACTAAAGGACATATGAAACAAACAATAACAGTAATTATCTCTGGGTAGTGTGTGTGATTTTCCTTTTCTTCTCTATGCTTTATCTTTCTTTGCTGTAGTTAACAATGTGCTAATTTTGCAGAAGGAATCTACAGACACACACATAGATGTGTGTGCATGTGGTTGCACACGTATTTGGCACCAGCTAAAGGATTACACTCTAGGGACTCTCCATAGGATTTTCCGCTAAAGGCCTGTGTTCTGTGTGGTGCTGCCTAGGTCATCAAGAAGAAGCTGGTGGGATCCGTGAAGGCCTTGCAGAAGCAGTACGTGTCCCTGGACACGGTGGTCACTAGTGAAGACGGAGATGCCAACACCATGTGCAGCGCCCTGGAGGCCGTATTTATCCATGGCCTGCACGCCAAGCACATCCGAGCTGAGGCCGGAGGAAAAAGGAAGAAAAGTGCCCACCAGAAGCCTCTGCCCCAGCCTGTCTTCTGGCCCCTCCTGAAAGCTGTCACCCACAAGTGAGATTTAGCCGGAGAGGTTTTGCTTTGCGGAGGAGCAGCAGACTATGGGACACTTGGCTTTTCCTCCCCAGCTGTTCAGGAAGCCAACAGAGGTGCCCTGTGTTCTAGCATAGAGAGAGGGTGAGGTAGGGGTTGAAAGTGTCTTCTAGAAAGGCTTATCTCTAGACCAAGCTTCCCAGCCAGTGTGCCAGCAGATCTTGAGACCCTCAGCACTCAGGCAAGAGCCTGTGGCTGCTTTGAGACTGGTCACAAAAAGCAGGTGAGACTGGCCACCTTTAGCAGGAACAGCCTTTTTTGCCACACTGGGGCAGAGTTACATAGTTACAACAGAGGTTGTGTGGCCTGCAAAGCCTGAAGAATTTACTATCTGGCCCTTTACAGAAGGGCTGACCCTGCCTTGGATTTGCTGACCCTGCCTTAGATTATTCAAACATCCGAATTGTAAATCTTTTTTTTTTTTTTTTTTGGGACGGAGTTTCGCTCTGTCACTCAGGCTGGAGTGCAATGGCGCGATCTCGGTTCACTGGCACCTCTGCTTCCCAGGTTCAAGCAATTCTCCTGCCTCAGCCTCCTGAGTAACTGGGACAACAGGCGCGCACCATCACGCCCAGCTAATTTTTGTATTTTTAGTAGAGAGGGGTTTTGCTATGTTGGTCAGGCTGCTCTCAAACTCCTGACCTTGTGATCTGCCTACCTCCGCCTCCCAAAGTGCTGGGATTATATAAAGAGTGGAATCAGGAAAAGCATATGAATATTCACCCTGAGACACTTATCTCTTTGGCCCCTAACTGTCTGGGCTTTTGAGCAAGTAGCTGGCACTGTGCCTCTGAGGACTACTAAATGCCACCTTCAGCCCAAAAGAAGCCTTGTCAGTCTCTAATCTTCCTTTCCATGCAGATTGCCACTGCCTTGTCTCACGTTCTTCTTTCCTGGGTGACACTGGCTTTCTATTTGTCCCCCTTATCTCACTCTGTCTTTCCTTGAGTCCATCATCTGGTCAACATTTACTGAGCTGAAGCTCCCTGGAGCTTACTCACTGAGCCTAGTAGAGTGCGGTCTACATTCCCATGGAGGAGATAAACCTGCGCTAGGGACTGTGGTAGCTCAGAGGGGCATGTACATCAGACGGAGGCATTCTGGGACTGAGTTTGGTACACCTGGGGTCTGATCTCCTTATGCAGAACATCTACCCTGCAGTCTGCATGACTGTGGTCAAGTCACTTTTCTAAACAAAAATCTGTAGCCTACAGGCTCCCAGATGCTAGCCTGGAGACTGATTCACTAGGTTGGGGTCCCAGAACTTGTATCCTGCTCAAGTTCCCCAGGGGGTTCTGGTGCACAGCTGGGTGTGGGGCCATTACCCCGTGTTGCCTTATTGATTTGATATTTAAGACCCTCTCTTTCCTGGCCTTGCAACCAAACCACCCACTTTTCCGCCACATGCTGTAATTGGAGCGCTCCCCAATCCTCTTACAGGGTTGTTGATTTCCTACACTTTATGCCTTTTTCCATCAGTCCCTTGTGCCTGAGGGCAGGGACCATGTCTTTACCCTGCATCTTCATTGCTCCAAGGACTTTGCACTTAAGGAGCTCTGACAGCATGCCTTAGATGAGCAGATGTGTCAGGGGCCCCGTGGTAGTTGGAATGAACATGGAAATTATCTTTCACAATTCCAATCTCAAAATATATATATATATAATGTATAAATATATATAATTTATATTTATATATTTATTATATATAAATATAAATATATATATATATTGCCTAGGCTGGAGTGCAGTGGTCCAATCTCCGCTCACTGTGACCTTTGCTTCCCAGGCTCAAGCTATCCTTCCACCTCAACCTCCCGAGTAGCTGGGTAGCTGGGACTACACGTGCAAGCCACCACATCTGGCTATGTTGTTGTTGTAGAGACAGAGTTTCGTCCTGTTGCCCAGGCTGGTCACGAATTCCTGAGCTCAAGTGATCCACCTGCCTTGGCCTCCCAAAGTGCTGGGATTACAGGTGTGAGCCACCACATCTGGCCTAAAACACTATTACCCAATATTTTTTCATGCCTGTATCTATTTGCAGTAGTTATTCCTGGTTCCTGCTAACCAGTGGATAAAAGCACATCTCTGTGATTTGGGGTAGTTTCTTGAAACACGTCTGTTCTCCCTTCCCAGACACATCATCTCAGAGTTGGAGCACCTGACGTTTGTCAACACGGATGTGGGCCGCTGCCGGGCATGGCTGCGGCTGGCCCTGAACGATGGCCTGATGGAGTGCTACCTGAAGCTGCTGCTGCAGGAGCAGGCCCGCTTGCATGAGTACTACCAGCCCACCGCCCTGCTCCGAGATGCTGAGGAGGGCGAGTTCCTCCTTAGCTTCCTGCAGGGCCTCACGTCCTTGTCCTTCGAACTCTCCTACAAGTCTGCCATCTTAAATGAGTGGACGCTCACCCCACTGGCCCTGTCTGGGCTTTGCCCGCTTTCTGAGCTGGACCCTCTCTCTACCTCTGGTGCAGAACTACAGCGGAAGGAATCTCTGGATTCCATTTCGCATTCTTCAGGCTCTGAAGACATCGAAGTCCATCACTCGGGCCATAAGATACGGAGGAACCAGAAGCTGACTGCCTCCTCCCTCAGCCTGGACACGGCCAGTTCATCCCAGCTGTCCTGCAGCCTAAACTCTGATAGCTGCTTACTCCAAGAGAATGGCTCCAAGAGTCCAGACCATTGTGAGGAGCCCATGTCCTGTGACTCAGACCTGGGCACAGCAAATGCTGAGGACTCAGACCGGTCTCTGCAAGAGTGAGTACGCTGCCCCCACTCCTTCCCATCTTCTCTCTTCCCTCCTTTCTTTCCTCTCCTCCTCCCTTTCTTCCCATAGCATGTGATTGTCTGTTACTGAACTCTATTAGTAATTAAAGAAAGCCAAGGGAGTCATCGACTTCTCCAGGGACTGGAGTAGCTGGGAACTGTAGCAGGCAATACAGGCATAGTGGAGAAAGTGGACTTAGAACAGCTTAGAGCTGGTTTGGGCTCCAGCTCTGCCCCGGTGACTTTTAGCAAGTTACTTGGCCGGGTGCGGTGGCTCATGCCTGAAATCCCAGCACTTGGGAGGCTGATACAGGAGGATTGCTTGAGCCCAGCAGTTCGAGGCCAGCCTGGGCAATGTAGCAAGATCCTGCCTCTAAATTAAAAATAAATAAATAAATAAAACAAAAACTGAAAACAAACAATAACAACAAAAAAACAAGATACTTAGTCTCTACAAGGCACAGTGTAAAATATTGTTGTCTTCATCTAGAAGGAAGGAAACTAATAGGTCAGAGTACATTTAAAACGTCCAACAAATAGATGAAACATAACGCATAAGAGTGTGACTTCACAGAATACCTCCTGGGGGACACAGGACCTGAGTGCTGCATGCAGGAGGTGGTGGACAGGTGGGGACAGACAGATGTGTGGAAGAGTATGTGGGGCAGATGAACTAGGCTGAAGAGAGAACTGGGCAGAGCCTTCTTCACACAGCCTTTTAAACATTTTTTTGCAGCTGGGCACGGTGGCTCACGCCTGTAATCCCAGCACCTTGGGAGGCCAAGGCAGGTGGATCACAAGGTCAGGAGATTGAGACCATCCTGACTAACATGGTGAAACCCCATCTCTACTAAAAATACAAAAAATTAGCTGGGCATGGTGGCGGGCGCCTTGTAGTCCCAGCTACATGAGCGGCTGAGGCAGGAGAATGGCGTGAACCCGGGAGGTGGAGCTTGCAGTGAGCTGAGACCGCACCACTGCACTCCAGCCTGGGTGACAGAGTAAGACTCTGTCTCAAAAAAAAAAATAAATAAATAAATAAAATAAAAAATTTGCATAGATAATCTTTTTATGGTTAAAAAAAATCTAAAACATATACAGTGAAAGCCTTTCCCATTCCTGTTCTCCCTCTACGCTGTTCTTTCCTCCCACCCCTAAAACCATAATAATTTCCTGTATATTCTTCCAAATTTCTAAATGCATCTACAACAAATACCAGTATAAAGATTTTCAGCTGGGCGCAGTGGCTCACGCCTGTAATCCCAGCACTTTGGGAGGCCGAGGCGGGCGGATCACAAAGGCAACAGATCGAGACCTTTCTGGCTAACACGGTGAAACCCCATCTCTACTAAAAATACAAAAAATTAGCCGGACGTGGTGGCGGGCGCCTGAAGTCCCAGCTACTCAGGAGGCTGAGGCAGGAGAATGGTGTGGACCCAGGAGGCGGAGCTTGCAGTGAGCCGAGATCGTGCCACTGCACTCCAGCCTGGGTGACAGAGTGAGACTCTGTCCCAAAAAAAAAAAATAAAAGATTTTTAAAATTTCTTCCTTATTTATTACTTTCTCTCCTACAAAGGCAGTATATACACACTGTTCTATATCTTGTTTTGGAGAAGATCTTTTCATTTCAGAGCTTCTTCATTCTTTTATTTTTATTTTTTATAGAGACGGGGGTCTCACTGTGTTGCCCAGGCTGGTCTTGAACTCCTGGGCTCAAGAGATCTTCCTGCCTCAGGCTCCCAAATTGCTGGGGATTACAGGCGTGAGCCACTGCGCCCAGCCTCATTCTTTTTTTTTCTATTGCATATTGTTCTAGTGTATGAATGTACCTTAGTTTACTTAATCAGCCCAGTATTTAATGGGTGCTGGGGCCTGTGTTTTCATAAATAACCTTGTGTATGTGGTCTTTTAGTTCTGCGTAGCTATCTCTGTTCCATAAACTCCCAGAAGCAAAATTGCCGAGCAAAAGGATAGACTAATATGGAATGTTCACAGATTATTGCCCATTTACACTCCACCAGGAATGTCCTTGTTTCTTAGCCTTGCCAACTGATGGTATTAGTGAACTTTTGGATATTTGCTCATCTGATAGGTGGAAAATGGGAACTTCTTATTAAAAGCCTCCTTCAGCTGGATCCATGCTGCATCAGCGGAAAAGAAGGTCCCACGTGTTTGGGACCTTCTTTCCACTCGCCCTGTGCCCTCGCCTTGGTTCAGGTCCCTCCAGGGTTCTCACCCACCATGGAAAGAGCACCAGCGTTGGGTGGTGTTACGGACTGGGCTTGGAGCCGACCTAGTTTCGAGTCCTGTTCCACCACTTACAAGCCCAGGAAGGTCAGGCACATTGCTTGTTAGTCAAACAATATAGGAGATTGTCTCGTAGTCCCAGAAATGGCTTCTGAGCATATTAGGTGGAGTTTTCAAATGTTAAATGGAGGAATTTAGATAGAATACATTGGGGAGGAACAGTGTCTGCCTCCTGTGACCACTGGGACCATGGCATGACAGGCCTGCAGTGTGACCCAGGCACAGGGCATGACCTAGGTTCACTCACCTGTCTTAGCCCTTCCTGTGTGTCTGCCTCCTCTGCAGACCAGCCAGCCATCCCTTGTCATATGTCTCGCCTTTATCTCATGTGTCTTGTGATGGAAAATTCCAGCTTAAGGTCACTGAATCAGTGACCATCCTCTCTGTGCAGGAAGTGTTGTCCCGGCTATTATGGGGAAACTGGAGGGTCAAGGGTCAGGATGTATAGACAAATGCCGGACAGTGGTGTGAGTAACTGGCAAATGTAAGACATACAGATGCACAAACACACAGCCAGCACCAGCATTCATAGAGCTGGGTCTTGAAGTTAGTCCTTGAGCATCCACAGAGACCAGCATTTCTTGAAGTGTATATTTCAAGGGTAAAATGTTCTCACCGACACTTAGAGTTCATCAAAGTTGTTACATTATTTAAATATTTGTAACTTTAAATTAGACATAAATTCCTTGTGCTTATCATTACACATATAAAATCAAAACATCCACAAATCAAACATAAAGAAAAGCATAAAAGACACAACATTCAAAATGAAATTTATTAATATAAAGCGGTTCTGTTTGGCAGAAACCAAATTGCAGTTGGCCTAGTGAATTGACTGTCCTAAATAGCTTCTTCCGTGTAGATTGGATCTGTATTATAATCATCACTGAGTGGCATAGGTATAGTCTGGAGGGTTTAAGTACTTAGATTTAAGTACTTAGAATGGTCCCTGGCACAGAGGCATCAATAGTGCTCAATTGATGGTATTGTTGTATTTTATTTTATTCAATATTTTATTTATTTTTTGAAACGGAGTCTCGCTCTGTCCCCCAGGCTGGAGTGCAGTGGCATGATCTCGGCTCACTGCAACCTCCGCCTCCTGGGTTCATGCGATTCTCCTGCCTCAGCCTCCCGAGTAGCTGGGATTATAGGGGCCTGCCACCACACCCAGCTAATTTTTGTACTTGTTGTAGAGAAAGGGTTTCACTATGTTGGCCAGGTGAACTCCTGACCTCAGGTGATCCGCCTGGCTCAGCCTCTCAAAGTGCTGGGATTACAGGCATGAGCCACCATGCCCAGCCTGGGTAGACATGTTTTTAATTCTCTTAGTTACATACCTAGGGGTGGAATTGCTGGGTCATATGTAACTCTATGTTTAACTTCTTGAGGAACTACCAAATTGTTTTCTGCAGTAGTTGCATCATTTTACATCCCCACCACTAATATATACAAGCTTTAATTTCTCTACATCTTTGCCCACCCTTATTATTTTCTGTCTTTTTTATTACAATCAACCCAGTGGGTATAAAGTGGTATTTCATTGTAGTTTTGATTTGCATTTCTCTGATGACTGATGCTGTTGAGTGTCTTTTCATGTGCTTATCAAACATTTGGATATCTTCTTTGGAGAAATGTCTGTTCAGATCGTTTGCCCATTTAAACATCTAGTTATTTGTCTTTTTATTGTTGATTTGTAAGTGTTCTGTATATATTCTGGATAACAGGCCCTTCTGTATAATTTAAAAATATTTCCCCCCATTCTTTGAATTGTCTTTTTACTGTCTTGATAGTATCCTTTAAAACACAAACGTTTTGGCCAGGCACGGTGGCTCACTCCTGTAATCCCATCACTTTGTGAGGCCAAAGCAGGCGGATCACGAGGTCAGGAGATCGAGACCATCCTGGTTAAAACGGTGAAACTCCATCTCTACTAAAAAAAAAACAATACAAAAAATTAGCTGGGCGTTGTGGCGGGCGTCTGTAGTCCTAGCTAATCGGGAGTCTGAGGCAGGAGAATGGCATGAACCCGGGAGGCGGAGCTTGCAGTGAGCCGAGATGGCGCCACTGCACTCCAGCCTGGGCGACAGAGTGAGACTCAGTCTCAAATAAAAAAAAAAAAAACCACACAAACGTTTTTTATTTTTGTTTTTTGAAACAGAGTTTCACTTTGTTGCCCAGGCTGGAGTGCAGTGGTGTGATCTCGGCTCACTGCAGCCTCCCCCTCCCGGGTTCAAGTGATTCTCCTGCCTTAGCCCCCCAAGTAGCTGGGATTACAGGTGCGCACCACCACGCCCAACTAATTTTTGTATTTTTATTAGAAACAGGGTTTCACTATGTTGGCCAGGCTGATCTCGAACTCCTGGCCTCAGGTGATCCACCCGCCTTGGCCTCCAAAGTGCTGGGATTACAATTTATTTTTTATTGCTTTCTTATGCTGTAGATCTCACATCTAAGAAACCATTGCCTAATCCAAAGACATGAAGTTTATACCTCTCTTTCCTTCTAAGAGTTTTACAGTTTTAGCTCTTACCTTTAGGTCTTTAATCCACTTTGAGTTAATTTTTGTATACAATGTGAGATAGCAGTCCAGCTTTTTTCTTTTGCATGTGATTATCCACTTATCTCAGCACAATTGTTGAAAAGACTATTCCCTCCCCATTAAAATGTGTTGGTGTCTATGTTGAAAATCAGTTACTCTTTTTTTTTTTGAGATGGAGTCTCGCTCTTTCACCCAGGCTGGATTGCAGTGGCACAATCTCGGCTCACTGCAACCTCCACCTTCCGGGTTCAAGCAATTCTCTGCCTCAGCCTCCCGAGTAGCTGGGATTACAGGCGCCTGCCACCAAGCCTGGCTAATTTTTGTATTTTTAGTAGAGACGGGGTTTTACCATCTTGGCCATGCTAGTCTTGAACTCCTGATCTTGTGGTTCTACCCACCTCAGCCTCCCAAAGTGCTGGGATTGCAGATGTGAGCCACCACACCCGGCCAAAATCAGTTACTTATACATGTATGGATTGGCCACCTATTCTTGACCATAATGTCTTGAAATGTTGTTTGGGGTTAAGATGGTGCAGAGCTCACTGGAAAGACAATCAGGTAAGCAACTTGAATTCTAAAATCCTCATTTCCCTAAGCCCAAATTAAGCAGAGCTTCATGTATCTTCTGGACCCAGTCCAAGCCATCAGGGCAGATGCAGGGAGGCTTTGGGGCCTTAGACAGCCTGTGGCCACCTGAACCAGGCTTTGCCCATGACATGCTCCACTGGTTTTATAAGCAGAAGAGATAGCAAACGGGTTTATTTTCAAAATGGAGCTTGGATCCTCAGAAGAAGCCTCAGGAGAGGGAGGAGCAGTTGCTAGTCAGTGCACATTCCAGAGGGCCCAGGGCATGTTTCTGTGCAGTGTGTATGTGTGAGTGTGGTGTGCATGCACGTGTACCAAGGCAGTAACATTTGCTCCCTGTGGCCCCAGGAAGCAGCACGGAGGAGACAGGGAGTGGCAGTCCCACCATAGAGAGTGAGCAGGGGCACATCTCGTGTGTACTCATATCCACCCTCACACACCTGGTATACATTGAGCTCCAGCAGCAGTTTCTGGGGATGTGAAGCTTCTCTGTCTCCACATCCAGTCCAGCTCTGAGGGGACCAGCCCTTGCACCTCCCCTTGCTGTCCCAGTGCCTGCACAGGAACAAAGTATGACCTCGCTTAGGAAACCTGCCTAGCCCTCGCTTCTCCTAGTCCCTGCCCCAGGGCACAGAGTCCTGGCATCTCTACTCCCTGTGCTGTGGAGGAGGAGGCTCTGCTGCATACCATGTTTGGGGAAACGATTGCCCACACAACCATGTGTTTGGCTGAGCAAGCTCTCCAGGCCCACAGCTAGCCTGCTCAGAATGCCAGTAAGTCCTCATTCATACCAAGTCCTCTTCCTCTGCTGGGGAGCTTTTTCGCCTGAGATCCCAGGCTCCACAAATCACCTGTCCACGCAGTCTGCCTAAATCCTGGCCAGGAAAAACGTGGTGGGAGTGTCAGAGGAGGACTGCGTGAGGGGGAGTGCAGTGGATCATTTAGAGGGTGTGGGTTGTTTTAAATAATAAAACAGCAGTTTTGCATTCTTCCCTCTGCCCCAGTTGCCTTGGGCATTATCGCAGACAACCTGTCACACAGGTTTCTTTGTTTAAAACTTCTAGGGTATTGTTGGAATTCAGCAAAGCCCAGGTAAACTCTGTGCCAACCAACGGACTGAGCCAAGAAACGGAGATCCCCACACCACAGGCCTCGCTCTCCCTCCATGGCCTCAACACCAGCACATACCTGCACTGTGAGGCACCTGCAGAGCCCCTTCCTGCCCAGGCAGCCTCTGGAACTCAAGATGGTGTCCACGTGCAGGAGCCGCGTCCCCAGGCGCCCAGCCCCCTGGACTTACAGCAGCCTGTAGAGAGCACCTCAGGCCAGCAGCCTTCTAGTACTGTCAGCGAGACAGCCAGAGAAGTGGGCCAAGGGAATGGCCTGCAGAAGGCCCAGGCTCATGACGGAGCTGGTCTGAAGCTGGTAGTTTCCTCACCCACCAGTCCGGTGAGTGGTGCAAGCCGTTCAGGGGGCAGTCTTGGGAAATGTCAGCTGACACAGGGTTTCCCCAGCTAGTGACCCTGAGTGGTCTCTGCCTTTTCCCTGTTAGCCTTCCTCTCCCTGCATAGTGATAGTGTTAATAGCATCATGATGATGGGGCTCATGTTTCTTGGCATGTGAGCTGTAGATATAAGCCCGGCTGTTTCTTGGCATGTGAGCTGTAGATATAAGCCCGGCACTGTGCTGATCACTTCCCGTGTGTATCTCCTGTCATTTTCACGTCACTTTGTGAAGGTTGTTCTTGTCTGACCGCAGTCTCAGCTCTTTAACCACTACCACTCACCAGCATAAGGCCTTGGGCAAGTCACTTCAGCTCTCTGAACCTTCATTTCCTCCTTAGTACTTGTTATTATTAAATTAATATTTTTTGATTTTTGGTTTTTGGTATTTTTTTCAGATGGAGTCTTGCTCTGTTGCCCAGGCTGGAGTGCAGTGGCACAATCTCTGCTCACTGCCACCTTCGCCTCCTGGGTTCAAGCAATTCTCCTGCCTCAGCCTCCTGAGTAGCTGGGATTACAGGTGCCCACCTCCATGTCTGGCTAAGTTTTGTGTTTTTAGTAGAGATGGGGTTTCATCATGTTGGCCAGGCTGGTCTCGATCTTCTTGCCTGGGCCTCCTGAAGTGCTGGGATTACAGGCATGAGCTGGTGCACTCAGCCTATTAAATTAATGTTTTTAGAAAATACTAGGCCTTGAGCATACTCACTTTGCAACATGACCCAGGTTTTAGAGCCGTGCTGTCCAATATGGCAGCTACAAGCCACGTGTGGCTGTTGAACACTTAAAATGTGGCAAGTCCAAATGGAGATGTGCCATGTGAAATAAGCGCTGGATTTCAATAACTTAGTATGATAAAAGAATAGAAAATCTCATTTTTATGGATTACAAGTTAAAATGAAAATATTTGGGGGCTGGGTGTGGTGGCTCACACCTGTAACCCCAGCGCTTTGGGAGACCAAGAGGGAGGACTGCTTGAGCCCAGGAGTTGGAGACCAACCTGGGTAACAAAGTGAGACCCCATCTGTACAAAAAATACAAAAATTAGCTGGGCATGGTGGTGTGTGGCTGTACATATAGCATGAGGCTGTAGTTAATTCTTTTCCATTGTTCTGCAGTATTCCATTGTAAAAATATATTGCAACTTATTACCCATTCTCCTGTTAATGGACATTTGGGTTGTTTCCAGGTTTTGACTATTATGAAGAAAGCTGTAGTGAACATTCTCATACATGCTTTTGGAGAACCTCGGTGCTTATTTCTGTGGGTATATATACCTGGGAATGGAATTGCTAGGTCCTTGGGTGGCTTATGTTTAGCTTTAATAGATACCACCACCAAACAGTTTTCTAAAGTGTTTGTGCTAATTTATACTCATATTGGCAACAAATGAGCATTCTAGTTGCTCTTTATCCTGGCCAATGGTGTTACCAATCTTTTTAATTTTAGCCACTCTGGTAGATGTGTAGTGGTTTTAATTTTCATATCCTTGATGACTAAATGATGATACCTTTTCATTTGCTTATTGGCCAGTCAATCCTCTTTTATAGAATGTCTGTCCAAGTTGTCATTCCGGTCTTAAATTGAGTTGTATGTGTATGTGTTGATTTGTAGGAACTCTTTATATATTACAGATATAAGTCTTTTATTGGACAAAAATAGTATATTTATCAAGTATCTTTTTCTAGTCTATAGGGCTTGACTTTTAAACCTCCTAATAGTATTTTTATTGAACAGAGGTTCTTTTAATGATGTGCAGTTTATCAGTCTTTTTGTTTATGGTTTGCTTGGTTTTTGTCCCATTTAAGAGATATTCATCTCCCCCAAGGATCTGAAGGTATTTGCCTATATTATCTTCTAGAAGCTTTAGTGATTTATCTTTCAAAATTAGGTTTATGATCTTTCTGGGATTAATTTTTGTGTGTGGTGTTAGAAGTCAAACCTCATATTTTTCCATATGGATATCTGATTGGCCTCACTGTTTCTTGAATATGACCATGTAAATCACAAAACTGTCAGTGTGGGTCAGAGTCTTCGAATTTGCTATCCTGAAGATGCTTCAGTACATCCTGAAGATTTGCTTCCTGAAAATGAATGCTCTAGGACCCTGAAGGTTGTGACTGTGCACCTGCCAACTCAAGCTGAAGGCTGAAGAGGAAAGCTCTGCAGCCCCTTCCTCAAGCTGGAGGCAGAGTGACGTCTGCTGGGGATGCAGGCTGTGCGCCCCACAGGACTCCAGAGTGGCACTAAGCATGTTGAGTTCACTCCTGCCCATGGTCTAGCTTCTGCTTTGCAGGCTCAGGCATCTTATCTTGCCGGGGCCTCAAAGCTGGTGGGACAGAATAGCATCTTTGCTCACTAAGCTCTGACCCACCGGCCTCCTTGCAGCTCTATAGTCCAAGCGAACTCCTTCCAACATCAGGCTTCTTTTAAAAAAAAAATTTTTTTTGAGGCAGAGTCTCACTCTGTCACCCAGGCTGAAGTACAGTGGTGCAATCTCAGCTCACTGAAACCTCCGCCTCCTAAGTTCAACTGATTCTCATGCCTCAGCCTCCCAAGTAGCTGGGATTACAGATGCCTACCACCATGCCCAGCTAATTTTTGTATTTTTACAAAATTATGGGGTTTCACCATGTTGACCAGGCTGGTCTCAAACTCCTGGCCTCAAGTGATCTGCCCACTTTGGCCTCCCAAAGTGCTGGGATTACAGGCATGAGCCACCGTGCCCGGCCCAGCCTCAGGGTTTTACATTTGCTGTTCCTTCTTTCCCGACTCACTTCATTGTTGTCTCAGCCTTCCCTGACCGGACCCCCGTAGCTCAAAAGCACCATCCCCAGTGACTCTCTGTCCCATTCATCTGCTTGACTTTGCTTATAACACTCATCACTATGTGCAATTACAGTATATTATCTCTTTGTCTCCTTGTTTATTTTCTGTCTTCCTTACTAGAATATTAGCTCTATGATACAGAGCACCAGGCCTGTTCACTTCTGTATTGTCAGCACCAAGCACTGTACCTGGGAGAAAGTAGGCATGGATGAATAGTTCTTGAACTCCCAAGAGACTCTTGAGATGCCAATTCCTAAGTTTATTTTGTTCCCCCATCCTAGCTATAAGGCTGTTTGGAATGGTTCTTTTTCTTGGTATCTCCAGCAAGTACCTGGCCCAGAATCATACAAGATGTGTGAATAAATCATGACCATCCCAATGTCTTTAATATAAAATAACAAAGATAAGTCAAGGGGACTGGAAGGAAGGAGACAAATGTGAAACTTAAGATTATGGACGTTCAGGCGAGGCGTGATAGCTCACGCCTCTAATCCTAGCAATTTGGGAGGCCAAAGTGGGTCATCGAAGTGTACCATCGAGTGGACAGGGTGGTCAGGTTGGTGTGATCATGGCAGGCTCTGCCTCTGTGCCAGCTACAGGGGACTCTGATTGCTGGAAGGTTGCTTAGGGAATGTGACATCTAAGCGCTTGGTGCTGAGTCCGATGTGAGAATCTCGGATCCTGCCCCCGTCCTGTGTCTGTCTCACAGGGAAGTTGTGGATTCATTCACTGCTTATTCAGTAGGTAGTCACCAGGTGCCACTGAATAGCCTGCCAGCTCATGTGGGCCTGCTGGGCTCCTGGCCTGTGGACAGTGCCAGGCTGTGCCCTGCATGTCTGCCCCTGTGGTCCTCATCTTTCTATACTTCTATCAGTTAGCCACGTGCTTTTTATTTGATGTTATTTTGGGGGAGATGTTGGGGTCGCTGTCAAGTTTTATAGTGTAGAGACCCATTCAGTCTTTCTTTTAAAAACATTTATTTTTAATTCATTGAACCCAAAGCACCTACTATAAGCCAAGCACCATGTTAGGTCCTAGGAGTAGAGTGATACAACAGGACAGACAAAGTCCCTTTGGGGACAGACATTAAATTAGACAAATGATTATCCACATCATAATTACACTTGTGCTAAGCACTGGGAAGGAGAGGTGCAGGGAGTAGGGGCCTCTCAAGGGTGATGCATGTCTGGGATCTGGGGGTTGTGAGTTCGTTTCAGTTTAACTCCCAAAAGGCAGTGTGAGTTCTAGGACTTGCTCTTAATCACTGCCCCCATGGACCACCTGCCCATGGTATGTGGTTCCCCTTCCACAGTTATGAGTACAGGCAGTTCCTTTGCCTGGCATAATGAGGACTGGCTGGACAAAGTCTCATCCTTCTGAAAGTGTCCCAGAGACCTTCGTCTCACTCCTCAGCCACACTCCTCTTGGGGATTCAGCTGTTGTATATGGTGTCATGAGCCCTTTAGTAACGCAAGGTGGCATTTCTCTGTCTTGGGTCGCTGGTGGCAGTTGCAGCTCTGGTATAGATCCTTCGTCGATGATGGTTTCTCTCCACTGTTAAAGGGCAGGGTGCTGGCCAGACATGGACCCTGAGTGAGCAGGTTGTCGGAAGGTGGTGGGAAAAAAGGAGAGAAGGGGGCCGGGTGCAGTGGCTCACGCCTGTAATCCCAGCACTTTGGGAGGCTGAGGCAGGTGGATCACCTGAAGTCGGGAGTTTGAGACCAGCCTGACCAATATGGTGAAACCCCGTCTGTACTAAAAATACAAAAATTAGCCGGGCATGATGGCGTGAGCCTGTTATCCCAGCTACTCAGGAGGCTGAGGTAGGAGAATCACTTGAAACTGGGAGGCAAATGTTGCAGTGAGCCGAGATCACACCACTGTGATCCAGCCTGGGCAACAGAGTAAGACTCCATCTCTAAAAGAAAAAAAGGAGAGAAGAGAGAAACAGTGGTGTTCATGCGTGCACTCTCTCTCACACCCTCTCTCTGCTCCCCACCTGCCTGGGGCCAGGGGCACACAGCCTCAGAGCTCTGTCCAGGCCCATGTGCAGAAGCTCCGAGGAACCTGCATTTCCACTGTTTTTTCCCTGTTGCTTAAGAGAGTAAAAGATGTTCCCTAGTTTCATTTCCTGGCAGCTGTGCTCAATGGACTGTGTCTGAACATTTCCTAGTAGTCTTTTTCCTCAAAGGAGAGAGAAGTCCTCCCCAGTGAATGTCCATAAACTTTTTTTTTTTTTTTTTTGAGACAGACTCTTGCGCTGTTGCCCAGGTGGGAGTGCAATAGCTCCATCCATCTCGGCTCACTGCAACCTCTGCCTCCAAGGCTCAAGCAATTCTTGTGCCTCAGCCTCCCGAGTAGCTGAGATTACAGGCATGCACCACCATGCCCAGCTAATTTTTGTACTTTTAGTAGAGATGGGTTTTCTCCATGTTGGCCAGGCTGGTCTCAAACTTCTGGCCTCAAGCAATTTTCCTGCCTCGGCCTCCCAAAGTGCTGGGATTACAGGCATGATCCATCATGCCCATTCTGAATGTCCATAATCTTAAAATTTACATTTGTCTCCTTCCTTCCAGTCCACTTGACCCACCTTTGTTATTTTATGTTAAAGACATTGTGATGGTCATGATTTATTCCCTCATCTTGTATGACTCGGGCAGGCACTTGCTGGAGATATCAAGAAAACCATTCCAAACAGCCTTATAAATGCTAGAATGAGGGTAAGCATAGAATATTGTGGGATCCCAGTAGGGGCCCTAACCCAGCTAGGGGGTGGGAAGGGGTGGAGGCTGGGGAAGGGTGAGAGAAGCTTCCAGGCAGAGGCGATGGATGTCTCCTGAGCTGAGTCTTCAGGGACAGTGCCCTCTCCCACCAGGCGCTGGAGATCACACAACTTCCCAGGTATATGTGAGGCTGCCAGGACAGCCACATGGTTGCCAGGGAGCTGTTTCTCCCACCCATTTTCCTCAGGGAGGTCCCCCAGTTCTTGATGACCTAGGCAGGCTTTGCTCAGAATCTAGTGTTGTGGATGGTCCCCAGTGGCTGCCCTGACTGACACATCATCTGTCACTGGCAGGGGGGAAGCACCTGCCAATTCTGAAGGCCCCGTGGAGGAGTCTCTGGGGACCTAGTTCTGTGAGCTACCCCTCAAGTTGCCTGAGTCAGAACTTGCCACCCTTGGCTTGAGGAGTCGTGTAGCATCTGAATGGATCCAACTGTCCAAACCAACCCTTCCCTGTTTACAAAGCAGGGAGTGCACTCTTGATTCAGGGACTGGAAATAGCGATGTCAGGGTGAGGTTAGTGGCACTTAACAAAACAGTGGGGCTGGTCCCACTGCTTGTGTGACTCATTTCCTCTGTGTACACAGCCACTTAGAGTGGCCCAGCCAGCTTCCTTGCCTCTGCCCTTCCATGTTGAGGCACAGAATGCCAGGGAGGACTTGAAATACTGGAGAAAAGGAACCAGAATCCACTCCCACAAGCCCACTCACCCCAGATGCTCCCCGCAACCCCATCTTCCCCAGCCAGTGAGCAGCTTCAGATTCAAAAGAGAACAACGAAGGGAAGGGGCAGGGCCTGGCTGCCTGGGGTTGCAGGGGCCTGCACAGAAGTGGGCGGCAGAGACAGAGGCGGCCAATGAGGACCCTGAGGCCTGCTCGTCAGGACTCCCTCATCTCAAACCCAAAAGCAGGACTGAGAAAGCTTACATGCTGGGACAGCTGAATACCCACATGCAAAATAATAACACCCCTTCCTTACACCTTACACAAAAACTAACTCAAAATGGACCAGAAACCTAAATGTAAGAGCTAAAACTATACAGCTCTTGGCAGAAAACACAGAAGTAAATCTGTGATACTGACTTAGGCAATGGTTTTTTAAGATGCCACACCAGAAGCACAAAAACAACAACAAAAATAGATAAACTAGACTTTATCAAAACTAACAACTTATGTGCTCCAGAGGGCACACCATCCGGAAAATGAAAAGACACCTCACAGAATGGGAGAAATTATTTGCAAATCGTAAATCTGATAAGGGTCTCGTATTCAGAATATATAAAGCACCTTACAACTTGAATTAGTCCCTAGGGCCACCATAACAAAGTACCATACACAGGGTGGTTTAAAACAACAGACATTGGCTGGGCGCGGTCGCTCATGCCTGCAATTCCAGCACTTTGGGAGGCCGAGGCGGGTGGATCATGAGGTCAGGAGATCGAGACCATCCTGGCTAACATGGTGAAACACCGTCTCTACTAAAAATACAAAACAAAATTAGCCAGGCGTGGTGGCAGGCACCTGTAGTCCCAGCTACTCAGGAGGCTGAGGCAGGAGAATGGCGTGAACCCGGGAAGCGGAGCTTGCAGTGAGCCAGGATTGTGCCACTGCACTCCAGCCTGGGCGACAGAGCAAGACTCTGTCTCAACAACAATAACAACAACAACAAAACAAAAAACAAAAACAGACATTGCTGGGCAGGTGGCTCATGCCTGTGACCTCAGCACTTTGGGAGGCAAGGGTGGGCGGATCACTTGAGTCCAGGAGTGCAAGACCAGCCTGGCCAACATGGTGAAACCCCATCTCTACTAAAAATATAAAAAATTTGCTGGGCATGCTGGTGCATGCCTGTAGTCTCAGCTATTCAGTGGGGCTAAAGCAGGAGGATTGCTTGAGCCTGGGCAGTCAAGGCTGCAATGAGCCCTGATTGCGCCACTGTACTCCAGTCTGGGCAAAGAGCGAGACCCTGCCTCAAAACAAAACAAAACAAAATAGGCCAGGCACAGTGGCTCACGCCTGTAATCCCAGCACTTTGGAAGGCTGAGGCAAGTGGGTCACCTGAGGTCAGGAGTTCAAGACCAGCCTGGCCGACAAGGTTTTGTCTCTACTAGAAATACAAAAATTAGCCGGGCATGGTGGCAAGCATCTGTAACCCCAGCTACTCGGGAGGCCGAGGCAGCAGAATTGCTTGAACCTGGGAGGCAGGGGTTGCAGTGAGCTGAGATTGCACCATTGCACTCCAGCCTGGGTGACAGAGTGAGGTTCTGTCTCAAAAACAAAACAAAACTGGTATTTATTCTCTGATCGTTCTGGAGGCTCCTTCTGGAGAATCTAAGGAAGAATCTGTTCCCGCCTTTCTCCTGGGTGGCGTTGCAGGTGCTCGTTTGCATTCCTTGGCTTGTAGACATGTCACTCCTGTCTCCCCTCTGCTGTCACACATGTTCTACTGTCATACAAGTTCTTCCTCTGTATCTCTGTCTTCACTTGGTGTTCTCCTCTCTTTGTGTATCTTTTCTCCTCCTCTTATAAGGACATCAGTCATACTGGATGAACAGCCCATTCTACTCCAACATGACCTCATCTTAACTAATTACTTCTGCAAAGACTCTATTTCCAAAAAAGGTCACATTCTGAGGTACTGGGGGGTAGGGTTTCAACATGTCCTTTTGTGGGGGGGTCACAATTCAACCCACAACACAACTCAGCAACAAAAAGACAGCCCCATTTTAAGACAGACAATGGATTTGAGTAGATTCCAATGGATTTGGATAGATTTCCCAAGGAGAGAAATTGGAACCCTCGTACATTGCTGGTGGGAATATAAAATGGTGCGGCCACTTTGGAAAACAGCTTGGTAGTTCCTCAAGAAGGGAAACATAGAGTTACACATGACCCAGCAAGTCTACTCCTAAGTATATACCCAAGACAATGAAACATGTCTACATAAAAACTTGTGTATAAGTGATCATAGCAGCACTATTCATAATTGACAAAAAGTAGAAACAACCCAAATGTCCATCAGCCGAGGAGTGGATAAGCCAAATGTGGTGGATCGAGACAATGGAATATTATTTGGCAATAAAAAGGAATGAACACTTAAACATGCTTATATAACATGGATGCACCTGGAAAACCTCCCACTAAGAGAAAGAAGCAGGCACAAAAGGTCACATGTCGTATGGTTCCATCTATATGAGATGTCCAGAACAGGCAGGTGTGTAGGGACTGAAAGTAGGTAAGTAGGTGCCTAGAGCTGAGAGTGGCCAGGGGAAATGGGGATGACGGCTAATGGGTACGGGGTTTCCTTTTTGGGTGAGGAAAATTTGCTAAACTTAGATGGTGGTGACGATTGCCCAACTCTGACTAAGCCAAAATGTTTGAATTGGACACTTTATTTATTTATTTTTTTAGAGATGGGGTCTCATTCTGTTGCCTAGGCTGCAACCAGGCTGGAGGGCAGTGGCGTGATCACGGCTCACTGCAGCCTTGACCTCCCTGGCTCAAGCAATTCTCCCGCTTCAGCCTCCTCAGTAGCTGAGACTACAGGTGTGTGCCATCACACCCAGCTAGTTATTTTTTGTAGAGATGGGTTCTCACTGTGTTGCCCAGGTTGGTCTCAAACTCCTGGGCTCAGGTGATCCTCTCACCTCAGCCTCCCAAAGTGCTGGGATTACAGGTGTGAGCCACCATGGCTGGCCGAATTACATACTTTAAGTGGGTTAATTTTATGATATAAGAGCCATATCTAGATAAAGACTTAAAAAAAAAAAAAACTTCAGGCTGGGCACAGTGACTCACACCTGTAATCCCAACACTTTGGGAGGCCGAGGTGGGTGGCTCACCTGAAGTCAGGAGTTCTAGACCAGCCTGGCCAACATGGTGAAACCCCGCCTCTACTAAAAATACAAAAATTAGCTGGGCATGGTGGTGGGCGCCTGTAATCCCAGCTACTCAGGAGACTGAGGCAGGAGAATCGCTTGAACCCAGGAGTCAGAGGTTGCAGTGAGCCGAGGTTGCGCGATTGCACTCCAGCCTGGGCAACAGAGCGAGACTCCGTCTCAAAACAAAAAAACTTTAAAACAAACAACTGTTGTCTTCTTTCCCAACAGAAAAACAAGAGCTGGATCTCAGAGGATGACTTCTACCGGCCTTCCCGGGAGCAACCCCTGGAGAGTGCTTCAGACCACCCAATAGCTTCTTACAGGGGGACTCCAGGGTCAAGGCCTGGTCTCCACAGGCATTTTTCTCAAGAACCAAGAAAAAACTGCTCCCTGGGGGCGTTAGACCAAGCGTGTGTACCTTCCCCAGGAAGAAGGCAAGCCCAGGCAGCCCCATCCCAGGGGCATAAGAGCTTCCGGGTGGTACACCGGAGACAGATGGGTAGGTTACCAGGAGGGTCCCGGGTGGGTCCCATCTGCAGGGACCAGGCCTTTCAGAAGGCAGCTGTGAAGTTCTGTTTTCCATTGCTAAAGGGGTAGTGTGTTCCCACAAGTGTTATAAAACCTCATTCCAGAATGCCATCATAATCATGTTCATTCAGGGAAGCATTTCAGGAAAAGTAGTATATTGTCTCAAAACTGCCTACAGAGGACAAAAATACTGTTTCACCAGTCAAATAGGAAAATATTTTCCCTGAAAACTATGCAATTTATGATTATAGAAAACTCTTGATTCCACCTGTAGCTCAGAGCACATCCGGCCCCATGAAGCCCCAGGTGTTTTAAATGGTCCTTCCAAACGTGTTTACCCTCAGTAGTTGGTTTATGTAACAGCTCTGGGTGGCTTGATCAAATCTGCTATTTGTTTTGTTTGTTTGTTTGTTTTGAGATGGAGTCTCCCTTTGTTGCCCAGGCTGGAGTGCAGTGGCATGATCTCTGCTCACTGCAACCTCAGCCTCCTGGGTTCAAGCAATTCTCCTGTCTCAGCCTCCCAAATAGCTGGGATTACAGGTACCTGCCACCACACCTGGCTAATTTTTTTTTTTTTTTGAGGTGGAGTTTCCCTTTTGTTGCCCAGGCTGGAGTGCAATCATGTGATCTCAGCTCACCACAACCTCCGCCTCCCGTGTTCAAGCAATTCTTCTGCTTTAGCCACCCGAGTAGTTGGGATTACAGGCATGAGCCACCATGCCTGGCTCATTTTGTATTAGTAGAGACGGGGTTTCTCGAAATTGGTTAGGCTGGTCTCCAACTCCCGACCTCCGGTGATCCACCCCGCCTCAGCCTCCTAAAGTGCTGGGATTACAGGCATGAGCCACTGCGCCTGGCCAATTTTTGCATTTTTAATAAAGATGGTGTTTTGCTATGTTGGCCAGGCTGGAGGATCTGCTATTTGTTTAATGTCCTCCAGTGCTTCTTTTTTTTTTTTTTTTTTTTTTCTGAGGCAGAGTCTTGCTCTGTCACCCAGGCTGGAGTACAGTGGTATAATCTCAGCTCACTGCAGCCTTTGCCTCCCAGCTCAAGTGCCTCAGTCTCTCCAGGAGCTGGGATTACAGACATGCACTGCCACACCCAGGTGATTCTTGTATTTCCAGTGGACATAGGATTTTGCCATGTTGGCCACGCTGGTCTGAACTCTTGGCCTCATGTGATCCACCCACCTTGGCCTCCAAAAGTGCTGGGATTACAGGTGTGAGCCACTATGCCCGACCTCCCCAGTGCTTTTTACAGCAAGGTCAGCTTGATCTCCACACACTGAAATTCCAGAAAGCCTTAAATAACCATAACCAAATTTTTCAGTAACCTTCATGATGGGTTTCCTCTTCAAAACAAACAAAAAAAGTACGCTCTAGAATTGGTCTCTTTCTCTCCTCATTTTCTGTCTGCAGTGACCCAGCAGAGAATCCTGCCCAGCTCAGGGGGCCTTGCTGTGGGTAGCCCTGGCATGGGTTGTGTGGGTAGAGCCCGGTCTCCGGGCTGGCTTCTGTTAGGTTTGTCTGTTGGCCCGTGTGATGGCTGTGGTCTCTAACCTGCCAGCGAAGCTGTGCTTCAGGTCTAGGCCATCAGGTTTCTTGAGGGGCAGGGAACCCCCATAGAATAGTGTGAAATCTCCAAGGCTATTCCAGGCTGGCGGAGAGAGAATTGTGTGTCCTTTGGACACCCTGGTTGTTGTCACACCCCAGGCAGCAGGGAGCTGTGGGCAACATGTGATACATAGGCACTCACCTGCTCATTCATTCAGCAAATATTATTGAGGCTCTGTGATGTGCCAGGCACTGTTCTAAGTGCTGGAGACATAGCAGGCAGCAAAGCAGTGTCCCTGTCTTCATGGGATTTAGATTCTAGTAGAGGAGACGGGAAATAAAATTAACAAGTAAGCATAGTGTGTGGTCAGGTGGTCATAAGTGCTATGGAGGACAGTAAATCTCTACCTGTCTACAGAGGTAGAGAGTGGACCACTGCATATAGGATGGCCAGAAAAGCCCTCACCAATAAGGGGATGTTTGAGGAGATGCAAGGGGAGAGAGGGAAGGAGTCATGAGGCAATGTACGTGTTTCAAGCAAGGAGAACAAATGCAAAGACCCTGCGCTGGGGCTGCGCTTGACACATCCAGGGACAGTGGAGACCAGAGTGGCAGGAGAGAGGAGATGGGGGCGTGGCAGTGAGCGATGAGGTCAATCTGACGAGGCCTGTGGGCCACTGGAAGCACTTTGGCTTCAGCTAAGGGAGATGGCCGCCACTGTGGAGTTTTGGGGCAGAGGGACATGCTCTGACTTCCCTTTAAATGGGTCATCATGGCTCCTACGCTGAGGGACTACAGGGGAGAAGGGGAGAAAGACCAGTTAGGAGGTTGTCATCACAAGCCAGGCCAGAGATGACAGTGGGTGGGGTGCAGCTGGGGAGAGGCGGGGATTCCGGATGTGTGGAAGGCAGAGCCAATGGGATTTGCTGATGTAGGCTGCGAAAGAAAGAAAACCTGGGGTAACACCAAGATTTTTAGCCCAGGCATCTGGAAGGATGAATTTTGCTATTTGGTGAGATGAGGACCATTCAGGAGGAAGCAGGCTGGCAGCAGGAATTCATCCTGGACATGTCAGCTGAGATCCTAGTGGACATGTATGGCACAGGTGGATATATGAATGTGGATTTCAAGAACAAGGTCCAGGCTGGCAATAAAAATTGGGAGCTAAAGCCTGAGAGCAGGTAGAGTGGTGAGAAAGTGGCATCTACAGAGAGGAGACAAGGACCCAGGACTGACATCTGGGCACTCTAACGTGAGAGGCCACAGGGAGGACCGAGCCAGAGAGATAGAAGGGTGGGGGCGAGGGCTGAGGAGTGGCCTTGGGGTTTGGCAACGAGGAGGGCATTGACCATCTCAGAAACAGTGTCAGTAGAATGGGGGGAGAGAAGCCTACTTGGAGCAGGTTCGAGAAGGAATGGGAGCAGGGAAACTAGAGACCAAGAGGTTTTTTGTTTTGTTGAGACGGAGTCTCACTCCTCTGTCACCCAGGCTGAAGTGCAGTGGAGTGACCTCAGCTCACTGCAATCCCCTGCCTTCCCGGTTCAAGCCATTCTCCTGCCTCAGCCTCCCTAGTAGCTGGGATTACAGGTGCTCACCACACCTGGCTAATTTTTGTATTTTTAGTAGAGACGGGGTTTCACCGTGTTCACCAAGCTGGTCTCAAACTCCTGACCTCAAGTGATCCACCCACCTCAGCCTCCCGAAGTGCTGGGATTACAGGCATGAGCCACCGCTTCCGGCCAAGATGAACAGTTTTGATGCCTCTTCAAACAGGTTTTCTGTAAAGGGGCCTGAGAAATATGGTGGTCATTAGGGAAGTGCATGGAGACGAGAGGTGTTTCTAAAGATGGGAGAAATGACAGCGTGCATGTGTGCCGATGGGAGTCACCCCATAGAGAAGGAAGAAAGCAGTGACAGAGGAGAGGACTGCTCCTTGTCCTTGAGTAGTTGGCCAAGGGAGAGACCTCCTGCACAAATGGAGGGTTTGGCCTCACGCAGAAAGAAGCACACTTGGTTCATCCCTGGCAACAGGAGGGAAGGCGTGGGTGTAGGGAACAGGGCGTGTGGAGGGGATCTTTTGGGTGCTCTTATTTTCTCAGTGAAATACAGGACGCAAGAGCAGCAGTGGACGGTGAGAATGGGGATGTTCCCATCCAGCTTTCAGGGTCCCATGTGATAGTGCCCCGTGGCTGGCCTGTGTTCTGGGGACAGTCACTGGCCACATGCACTGCAGGGCATCAGGCAGCAGAGGCTGCCTTGGGCAGGACAGAGACAGGCCCGCCAACTAATGTGCCCCTTTTTGCCTCTGCCTCCAGGACTGTCCAACCCATTCCGGGGTCTCATGAAGCTGGGCACCGTGGAGCGGCGGGGGGCAATGGGCATCTGGAAGGAGCTCTTCTGCGAGCTCTCCCCGCTGGAGTTCCGCCTCTACCTGAGCAACGAGGAGCACACCTGTGTGGAGAACTGCTCGCTGCTTCGCTGTGAGTCTGTGGGGCCAGCCCATAGTGATGGGCGCTTTGAGCTGGTCTTCTCTGGCAAGAAGCTGGCCCTGCGCGCCTCCTCCCAGGACGAAGCTGAGGACTGGCTGGACCGGGTGCGGGAGGCCCTGCAGAAGGTCCGGCCTCAGCAGGAGGATGAGTGGGTGAACGTGCAGTACCCAGACCAGCCTGAGGAACCCCCCGAGGCGCCCCAGGGCTGCCTCTCTCCCTCAGACCTGCTCTCGGAGCCCGCGGCCCTCCAGGGCACACAGTTTGACTGGTCGTCCGCCCAGGTTCCAGAGCCAGATGCCATCAAGGAGTCCCTGCTGTACTTGTACATGGACAGGACCTGGATGCCCTATATATTTTCTCTGTCCTTGGAGGCTCTGAAATGTTTCCGCATCAGGAACAATGAGAAGATGCTGAGTGACAGCCACGGCGTGGAGACCATCCGGGACATCCTGCCAGACACCAGCCTTGGGGGCCCATCCTTCTTCAAAATCATCACGGCCAAGGCTGTCCTGAAGCTGCAGGCCGGAAACGCCGAGGAAGCCGCCCTGTGGAGGGATCTGGTCCGCAAAGTCCTGGCATCCTACTTGGAGACAGCCGAGGAGGCGGTGACCCTGGGCGGGAGCCTGGATGAAAACTGTCAGGAGGTGCTGAAATTTGCCACCCGGGAGAATGGCTTCCTGCTGCAGTACCTGGTGGCTATCCCCATGGAGAAAGGCCTTGACTCCCAAGGCTGCTTCTGCGCAGGTGCCGATTTGCTCTGCTGCCACCCCCAGCCTGCCAGCCTCACTCCACCTCCTGCTGGTTCCTGATTTAGGCTCCCCACCCTTCTGCCTCCCCGCAAATGCCCCCATCCTTCCCCTAGGGATGAGGCCACAGATCAGGCTTGCCCTACAGCTTCTGCTCCTCCCCAGCCCCGGCTGGGGCCAGTGCCCTGCTCATAGGCAGTGGGCCCTGCTCACCCGTCCCTCTCCTGCCACCTCCCACTGATGGGCGGCAGGCTGGCTACTCACTGCGCTGCTCAGGGAGTCCCAGCCTGCTTCATTTTCTTCTTGCTCTACCGTCCTGTTCTTTCAGAGCAGGGGCATGGTTTCCTTCCAAATATTTCTGCTGCTTTTATAAGTGTACACCCTTTTTTTTAATTATAAAAATGGGCTCGTGCTATTCAGTGCTGTCCAATAGAACTTTCTGTGATGATGAAAATGTCCTAGATCTGTGTGTCCAGTGCCATAGCTGCGAGCCATGTAGTGCTACCAGGTGCTTAAAGTGTGGCTAGTGTGGTTAAGCAACTGAATTTTCTATTTAAATTCATTTGCATTTAAAGGGGACACACGGGGCTCTTGGCTGCTGTGTTGAATGCTGGATATATTGTTCCACAACTTGGTTTTTTCCTACACTGTGGATGTTATTCCAAGTCAGTACATCTGCTATGTCTTCCTCATCATCAAATCTAATACTTCTGTGCTGGGCACTGGGCCAGCTGCTTTATTTGGATTATCTCATTTAAGTCTCATAACAACCCTGTAGAGATAGGCGCTACTATTATCATCTCTGTTGATAGGGGAGGAAACTGAAGCACAGAGCTGGTAAGTACCTGGTTGGTGTCTGCTACTGAGCTCACACAGCTAGTAAGTGGCAGAGGCAGAATTTTCCTTTTTTGTTTGTTTGTTTGTTTGTTTTAGTAGAGATGGGGTCTCCACCTGTTGCTCAAGCTAGTCTTGAACTCCTAGGCTCAAGTGATCCTCCTGCTTCAGCCTCCCAAAGTGCTGGGATTACAGATGTCAGCAACCATGCCTGGCCAGAGGCAGAAATGGGACCCTGACAGTCAGGCCCCAGAGCCTTTGCTCATAGGCAGGACCCTAGAGGGCATCCCTCTAGGGTCTTATTCAAGGTTGAGTGACATCCCCCTGCCCATGTTCCATTGTTAGCCCCTCCCACTCCCCCCACCATCCAGGGGCAGATGGCATCCCATCACCATGGGACCCTTAGGTGACCTGTGAGGGGGTTGTCCTGCTGCAGAAGGCCAGAGCAAGAAGCTGAGCCTTGGTTTGGGAGCTGTCCTGTTGGCACAGACTGGAGGGAAGCCTGTTTCAAGCATCTGAAAGGAATTGGTCTGCGGTTGGCCCCGCGAGGATGGGAGAAGCTAGGCAGAACAGAGCTTCCTGCAGAAAACATCTGCAAGCCTCGCTTGACCTCTCCCCCGCCTGCCCCAGCGCTCACACTTTGCTCTTCAGCCTGTGAAGGCCAGGCTCTGAGGGGGCCAGGACTCCAGGGCTTGCAAGAAAGGGTTCCTCGCCTGTGGGTGTGAATGCTGCGGGGGCAACTCTCACCATGGCTGCCACCCACCAGCGGGTGGGACTGTGCCACCGGGGAGTTTGGGTTTCCTTTCTACCCAGCAGGCATGGCTCAGTGGCAGACACCAACCACTGGCATCTGGGTTGTATTTCATAATTTGCAGGGTACTTGCAGAACCTTGTCTCATTTAAGCTTTGTAATAACCCCACAAAATAGCTGGTAGTAGCTGAATTTTACAGTCACTGAAATGGAACCTTGAAGAAATCAGGTGAAGGTCAGGGTGAGGCAGCTGGTGAGGAGCAGAACCCGCCCTCTGGTCCCAAGGCCCGGGGACCCTTCTGCCTGCCCTTGGAGGAGTTAGGGCACATGTTCAGGGTTTGAGTCAGGGCCTCTGCTTTTTGCCCAGGGCACATCCCACTCCCATTCCCACTGGCTCCGGCTGTGGAGACACCTCCAACCAAGGGGGCTGAAGCCAGCCCTACCCCACAGTCCCGAGGCATCAGACACTGTGCACACTCCCCTGCCCCCTGCTGGCTGCCCATCCGCTCCCTGTTGCCAGCCCCGACCCTGGTCCCTGTCCCCCAGCTACTTCGCTGCTTGCCACAGCCCCTACTCTGCTGCTTCCATTCTGGGGCCCGAGTGGAGGGGTGGACCTAGAGGAGGCTGGCATTGCCAAGCCAGCAGTGGGGACACCGGACACAGGCAGCAAGGGGTAGTGGAGCAGAACTCAGGCTCTGGAACCAGCCAAACCCAGATCTGAATGCCAGCCATGCCACTTCATCACTATGTGACCAGACAGATTTCCTAACCTCTCTGAGCATCCATTTCTTCAGCTGTAAAATAATGATAGTTCTTACAGTGTGTTGTTGTAAAGATTAATTAGTAGGGGAGTTCTGAGTGGTGGAAATACGAGTGGTGGTTATTCTTGTGTTTGTGCCTACCTTAAAAAAAAATCAACCAGCAGATCCTTTCCACCACAGCAGCTCCCAAGTTACTAGGAGCTGACTCTGGCCACACCACTCACTCTCCACCCATCTCCCCAGGCTGCTCCCGGCAGATCGGCTTCTCCTTTGTACGACCCAAGCTCTGTGCCTTCTCTGGCCTCTATTACTGTGACATCTGCCACCAAGACGATGCCTCAGTGATTCCGGCCAGGATCATCCACAACTGGGACCTCACCAAGCGCCCGGTAAGTCTCAAGCCCAGCAGCCCAGCTGCTGAGGGACAGAGGGGTGTTCACTCCTCTTTGCTGCTGCTGTTCATCTGTTTAGAGGAGTTTGGCTCCTCTAAACAAGGGAAGCCAGGGTCACTGGTTCAGGCACTGTGATGTTGGGGAGCTAACCAAGAGAAAAGCTTGGTGCCTGTCCACAGCCTTGGGCAGGGCTCTATCGGTGGCTGTCTTGGTCCCCAGGAGGAAAGAGTTTGAGGATGGTTTCCTGCAGCTACAAACATAACTGCTTAAGGCACCAGCAGATAAATGATAGATAGATAGATAAAATAGATTTGATAGATTAGATAGATGGATGGTGGATGGTCAGGTAGGTAGGTGGATGAGCAGGTGGCTAGGTGGATGGTTAGGGGGCTGGGCAGGTAGGTAGGTGGATGAGCAGGTGGCTAGGTGGATGGTTAGGTGGATGGATAGGTAGGTAGGTGAATGAGCAGGTGGCTAGGTGGATGAGCAGGCGGCTAGGTGGATGGGTAGGTAGGTAGGTGAATGAGCAGGTGGTTAGGTGGATGGTTAGGTGGATGAGCAGATGGTTAGGTGGATGGGTAGGTAGGTAGGTGGATGAGCAGATGGTTAGGTGGATGGGTAGGTAGGTAGGTGAATGAGCAGGTGGTGGCTAGGTGGATGGGTGGATGGGTAGGTGGATGGGTGGATGGGCAGGTAGTTAGGTGGATGAACAGGTGGCTAGGTGGATGGTTAGGTGGATGGATAGGTAGGTAGGTGAATGAGCAGGTGGCTAGGTGGATGGGCAGGTAGGTAGGTGGCTGAGCAGGTGGCTAGGTGGATGGGTAGGTAGGTAGGTGAATGAGCAGGTGGCTAGGTGGATGGGCAGGTAGGTAGGTGGATGGGTAGGTAAGTAGGTGAATGAGCAGGTGGCTAGGTGGATGGGCAGGTAGGTAGGTGGATGAGCAGGTGGCTAGGTAGATGGTTAGGTGGATGGGTAGGTAGGTAGGTGAATGAGCAGGTGGCTAGGTGGATGGGTTGGTGGATGGATGGATGGGTAGGTGGTTGGGTAGATTGGTGAATGGGTGGATAGGTAGGTAGATGGGTGCCTAGATAGGCAGATGGGTAAATGGTTAGGTGGATGAGTGGATGGCTTGGTGGGTAGGTGGATGGGTAGGTAGATAGGTAGATAGGTGGGTGAATGGGCAGATGGCTAGATGGGTAGATGGTTAGGTGAATGGGTAGATGGGTAGGTAGATGGGTAGATGGGTGGGTGAATGGGCAGATGGCTAGATGGGTAGATGGTTAGGTGAATGGGTAGATGGGTAGGTAGATGGGTAGATGGGTGGACGGTGGGTAGATGGCTGGGTGGATGGGTGAATAGGTAGGTGGATGGGTAGATGGGCTGGCCAGCGAGCTGGCTATACCTTGGAGCAGTCATCCTTGCCTTTGCCAACCCTATGAGGCCCAGGTGACTGCACTCCCCTGTAGGCCCTACATGGGCTTATTTATTTCATGTTTTTGAAAAGCACTTTTTCTGTGACTTCCCCCATTATTAAGATAATACACAGTTATTGTTTAACATTTTAAAGTTACAGAAAAACCCAAAGACCAATCAAAATTCTGTGTCATAACCAAGAGATCACCATTATTAACATTTCGGGGTATACCCTTTTCTGTGCATTTATTGACATATGCATCTATTTTTTATAAAGTTGGGATCACACAGGACTCATACTGCTTTATAAGAAGCTTGGTTCACTTAATATTATGCCTTGGGTACTTTTTTATGTTCACCAAATGCTTTTGAATAAGATGTATCTTAAAGTCTTTCAGAATTTTCCTTTTCTCCAGCTGAACTTAGCCACTTTCCTACCTGTGTTACCATGAGCAAATTAGCTTCAGTTTCCTCATCTGTAAAAGGAGGGTTAACAACAGTGTCTGTGTCGGGGTTGTTGGGAGGGCAGGTGTGGCAGTGTGTGCCTGTCAGTAAGAACAGTGTCCTTTCTCTCCCTGGGGCCTGTCACACCTCCTGCCTATATTCACCCACCCATCCACCCATCTACCTAATTCACTTGGTTAGTGTCTGCCTCAAGGGGTGCAAATTTGGTTTTCTTCCAAGGGCACAGATTTCTACTAAGACAGACACAGAAACACAAGGAAGAAGCTGTTTGCTCCTCTGGAGAGCCAGGGCCTGCCAGCTATGTAGTCCTGATGTGTGGATGTGTCTTCATCATAGTGCAGGGTGATTCTCTCAGTCAGTTCTACCTCAACCTCCACCTCCCTGGGGCGGGGAAACCCCGCAGAAGTTGGCTTCATTTTGATTTTTTTGTTGTTTGCCTTGTCCCCGCCCTCGCTCTCAGTGTTAAATATTTAACTAACTACATAGAGGAAATTAAGCCTCAAAATCACCAAAAATGCAAAGAACCCTTTGATCATAAAACACGTTAACTATTTACAGGACCCTGATACTTCCGTTGAGCCATCTCCTTATTCACTGCCCTCATCCTTGTGCCACTTCCTTTTCTAACTAGAAAAGTACAATCCTAGCTGGGCACAGCGGCTCATGCCTGTAATCCCAGCACTTTGGGAGGCTGAGGTGGGCGGATCACCTGAGGTCGGGAGTTGAGACCAGCCTGACCAACATGGAGAAACCCTGTCTACTAAAAAATACAAAAATTAGCTGGGCGTGGTGGCGCATGTTTGTAATCCAGCTAATCCGGAGGCTGAGGTAGGAGGATCTCTTGAACCTGGGAGGCGGATATTGTGGTGAGCTGAGATTGCGCCATTGCACTCCAGCCTGGGCAACAAGAGCGAAACCCCACCTCAAAAAAAAAAAAAAAGAAAAGTACAATCGTTTTCTAGGCATATCTGAGATCAGGAAATCCTCAGCTCGCTCTCCCTCTCAAAGATTGCTGGCCTAGGAAAGACAGGGAAACTCAAGATAGAAAGTAGGGGGCCCACGGGTTTGGGGCCTTATTGTTCGCTGTTGCTGTTCTGGCTGACCCACTGGTGCTGAGGCCTGGCTGACCCACTGGTGCTGAGGCCTGGCTGGCACTGGCAGGATGTCAGCCCAGGAGTGGGGCTTCTTTCTGTCTCCTCCATTCCCGCAGGATAGGAACAGTCGCTGGGGAGCACAAAGCCCCTGCCCATCTGCAGTGTTTGGCAGTGTTCAGCGCACATTCCTGTGTGTTATTTCACTGGAGCCTCACCCAAGGCCTGGGGCCAAGTCATGGGAAGAGCTGAGTTAGGACTGGAGAACAGCAGCTTGACCCAAGTCACCAGGAGTTTGCCATTGGGCTGTCCCTGGGCTGGGGGGCTGGTACCTCAGGGCCCCAGGCTTTGGGAAAAGAAGAGGTTGTCCATTGCTGGGGGAGGTGAGAGATGCTGGTGGAGCTGGGAGACAAGAGGTCAGAGGCCCCCTCAGCCCCCAAATACAGGGGCAGGTCTCCTGAGGGCCAGTTTAGTCCCCCAACCCTCAAGAGGACAACAGGGCCACACCAGGCACTCACACAGCAGCTGATAGCAGCTCACATTTACTGGGGATGTGCCACCTGCCAGGCCCTATGCCAGGAGCTCTCCTGGAATACCTCTTTTAATCTGAATTCAAAATAATCCCATGAAAAAGAAGCTCCAGTCCTGGGCTGACATCCTGCCGAGTGCCGGGCCAAAGCACTAAAGCAGCAGCAGCGAACGAAAAGGCCCCAAACCCGTGAGCCTTAATTGCTCTCATTTTCCCCATTTTACAGATGAGGAAACTGAGTCACAGAGAGGGATAAGTTTCACCAATTCATACAGGTATAAAGTGGTGGAGGCAGGATTCAATTCCATTCTGACTCCGAAGCCAGACTTTTTTTCCCCTACACAATTTATCAGAATTTGAAAAGGTTGCTGGATACGACAGTCAAATAAATCAATTTCATTTCTATATATCAGCAAACAAATTACTATTTTAAAAGATAATCACTTATAATAGTATCAAAAACAAAGCCACCAGAAATAAAATATGTAACGAGAGGACTAGTTAAGATGTTAAAGATCTGAGCCAGGCCAAAGCCAGACTTCTAGTCACTGTGCACTTGTCGGCTGTGGAGACAACAGCTCCTCCGTCCTTATGATACAGCGAGATCACTGCAGGGGAGGGGGCTTCTGATTAGTGCAGCAGCCTGGTGTTCAGAGATGACACCTCAGCTCAAACCTGGCAGGTTCTGCAGGCAGGTTGTATAAGCTACGTTAGCCCCTCTAAGCCTCCGTTTCCTTATCTAGAAAACGGGGACAGGGACACCCTCCCTAACGTGTTGTTCTGAGAATGACGGGAGGATGTGGTCAAGTTCCTGACCCAGTGTTTTGCAAATAGTAGGCGCTCGATTATTGGCATTGGTATTAGGATCAGGGCCAAGGGTAGAACCTTCAACACCCTGTCAGCCAGGAGAGACTGAGATGGATCACTCAGCTGCACACGGAGTCCCGGTGTTGCTACTGGTGTGAGCCGAGGGAGCTCAGGGAAGCCTGTTGGTGAGCTGTGTCTGATCTGTAGCTTCCTGTGGCTGGAGCCTGACTCAGCCCGTCACCTGGTTCCTGAGTCAGGGCACAGAAGGGAGTGCCTGTTTCCTTCAGTGGGGGGGAAATAGGGGCTGGGAGGACAGGAAAGAGTGGGAAGGATCTGTGAGGCCCAGAGGGAGGGGGCGTTATCAGAGCAGTCCCTCCCTCATCTCAGCATGATTGGGGAGGGGGCAGTGACCCTTGTCATTAGAGGGAGAGCGGGTTTGGGAGTCAGATAAACTGGGTTCAGAGCTTGACTGTACCATTTACAAGCTGGGTGACCCTAGCCAAATCTCTTCATCTCCTTGAGCCTCAGTTTCCCCATCTGTAAAATGAAGATAGCCCCTCAGGTAAGTGAGCAGGTCATGTGGCACCTGGCCAGGCAGTGCTCACTGAACAGCCATTCCTTCCCATCCCCAATGCCTGGTGGTACCCCCAGATCTGCAGGCAGGCCCTGAAGTTTCTGACACAGATCCGGGCCCAGCCCCTCATCAACCTGCAGATGGTGAACGCGTCTCTGTACGAGCATGTGGAGCGGATGCACCTCATTGGGAGGAGACGGGAGCAGCTGAAGCTCCTGGGGGATTACCTGGGCCTGTGCCGGAGTGGCGCCCTGAAGGAGCTCAGCAAGAGGTGAGCAACCTCTACGTGTATGCGTGTGAGTGCACGTACACACGCACATGCATGCAAACACATACTTATATGCACATGTACACACAGACACACATACACATGTGCACACATACCCACACACATAAATTTATACACAAATGCATAGACATCCACACCCATGCACATGTGCACAAATGTACACACATGCAGGCACTCGTGCACATGCACACACACACAGGGGCAGTGCCCAGGGCAAGGCGTCCACCTGGAGGAAACCTGGGCAGAGATCTTCCCACTGGGCCTGCGAAATGATCACATCTTTTGGGGGTGATTTTGGGGTTTTGTTCATGTATCTATTTGTTCACTCAAAAACATGGACTGAGAACATACTAAGCACTGCACACCTGGCGAGGCATGTAGGCTCCAACAATGAGCAGGACAGAGCCAGGGCCGACCCGCCGGAAGTCTCTGGCCTGGCAGGGAAGACAAGTGGGAAAGCCAGCAACTCCATCCGGGGGTGAGGGTGAGAGGGAGACAGGTGGGAAAGCCAGCAACTCCATCCGGGGGTGAGGGTGAGAGGGAGACAGGTGGGAAAGCCAGCAACTCCATCTGGGGGTGAGGGTGAGAGGCAGGACGTCCTGGAACCACAGAGGCTTGACATCCAGCCCAGATCAGAGGAGGACAAAGCAGGAAGGACTTCCTGGAGGAAGTGACTTATAAGGTGAGACTTGAAAAATTAGGAAGAATCAGAAAGGAGAAGCAAAGGGGGAAAGAGCATTCTAGACAGAAGGAATGGCACGCACAGGCCATGAACGAAGGCACCGTTGGTGGAAAGCCCAGGGAGAACTTTGGCTACAGTGAGGAGGGAAGTGGGGAGTGTGGCGAGAGGCAGGTGAGGGCCAGATGTTCCCATCTCTTCCCTGTACCAGCCAGTCGTCTGGCCCATGCCAGCCTCCCTCCTGAAATTCTCCAAAGAAGACGTGATCCGGGCGGGGCCCTCAGGATGCCCTTCAGGAAGCTTCTCTTACCCAGGGCCTGGGGCCTTTGGTGCTCAGGAATGGGATGTGATGCTGGGCTTCAACAGGGACTTAGGCCTCTCCATGCCTGTCATAAACGCTTCCTAGTCCTCAGGTCACGCCCAGGCTGCAGTCTTCCCAGGGCTGTACTCTCCCAGCACCCTCAGGAGGGCAGACCTCAGGCGGAGAAGCCTGCCGGTGCCTACTGCCCAGAATGGGCTTCAAATCAACCTCTGCTGGGTTTCTGGGGGCAGGGACCAGTTCACAAGCCCCTCCAGGTTCCCCCGTCTGGCCTTCCCTCCCCACAGGGCTGGCCCAGAGAGCGCCTCTCTGAAGACTGCCTCCTCCATCCTGGCTGCAGTGCTCCCAGAGCCGGGCCTCCTCAGGGCCAGGGTGTGCCTCGAGCAGGTCCCCAGGGGCTCTCAAGGGGTACTGCAGGGGGCTCTCCCCTAGGCAGAGAGGAGAATTTGGCCCCACAGCTGCCAGCTGAGCCTTGGTCTCCTCTGTAGGGCCTGGAAGAACAGAAAGCCTTCCAGGGACCACCATGTGGGACCCTAGACCCTAGAAGACTTCACCCCAGGAGGCTCTGCCCATCCCAAGCATCGTGGGTGACTGGGTCTCCACCTCTTGGCAAGCGCTGACTCACTCCCTACCTCTGAGAGTCCATGACCCAGGCCTCCAGAGAGACTATCCTCCTGCCCACCTAACCAGGTGGTGAAATCTCTGGGGTCAGGTGGGGCCTTATCACCCTCCTTGGTCAAGGAGCCAGGTACCTGCACAGGCATGCAGACCTGTGTAGACCAGATGCCTGTGGGGTGGGTTGTGGACCCCAGCCCCATTCACCCATCCCCACCCTGCTGAGAGAGTCTGTTCATCGGCTTTACAGACCTGTCTCTGTGGGCACCAGGGGCAGCCCTGTCTCTCTCCCTGACCCTCCTGCTCCATCCCTGGGCAGCAGCGCTGTACTCCTGCTAGGCGCTCAGCCTGCTTCCCATGCCTGTGGAAGTCCCATGGAAACAGCATGGGGCAGGGGAAAGAGTGTGGGAGGCCCTCACCCACTGTGAGTCAGGAAAGTTGCTTCACTTCTCCGGGTCCAGCTTTCCCGTCTATAAAATGGGCCAGTGATTCCTCTGTTCCTGTGGCCTCCTGAGCAGTGGTGAGGGCTGCATGAGGGACCCAGAGTCTGGGCCACAGATGGCCCTGGGTCAGCATCGTGTGTGCCCTGAGGGCACCTGATCCAGCCTTGGCAGGGGCCAGAGGAGCTCCCAGAGGAGATGGCATCTGAGCTGAGGGCATGCAGAGATATTTTCCTTTTTCCTTCTAAAATGTTTTTCTTCTTTACAAAGGTCAATCTTCCAAGCGAGGAAAATTTATGAAAGGGAATAAAGCAGACCATTCAATCAGCCCTTCTCAGAGCCCACCACCACCTGTTTCTGCACCTCACTCCATCCACACACACATGTTGCCACACCAGTGGCATTGTGTGTCTGTTGAACTGGGGCTTAGAAAAATGAGAAAAGAGTAGAAAGGGCAGAGGAGAACCTGGCTTTCCTGGCTAAGAGACTGGTAGCAAGAGGCTGGCAGGAGCACAGCTCACTGACACCCTTGAGGGGCTCTGGGCAGCTGGGCTTCAGGTGCAGGGCCCAGAACTCAAAGGGCCCTCGAGGCCTTTGGATTTGATCTGCCACCTGTGGGGAACCATTGAAGGGTTTTGAGCACAGGGCTGTCACTTCCGGTCAGCGGCTTAGAAAAGACCACTCTGAAAAGACCAGGTGCGGTGGCTCATGCCTGTAATCCCAGCACTTTGGGAGGCCAAGGTGGTTGGATCACCTACGGTCAGGATTTTGAGACCAGCCTGGCCAACATAGTGAAACCCCGTCTCTACTAAAAGTACAAAATTAGCCGGGCGTGGTGGCAGGCACCTGTAATCCCAGCTACTAGGGAGGCTGAGGCAGGAGAATCACTTGAACCCAGGAGGCAGAGGTTGGAGTGAGCCAAGATCACGCCACTGCACTCCAGGCTGGGAGACAGAGTGAGACTCTGTCTCAAAAACACAAAACAAACACACAAAAAGACCATTCTGGCCCCAGTGGAGTGCAGTTGGTGAAGGGGAGAGCCCTGGGTGGCAGCTGGTGTTAGTAATTAGCCCAGGGAGCTGGGCCTGGACCGAGTCAGCCAGAGGGAAGGTTGAGAGGAGAGGGCTGAGACATGGGAAGGTCTTGGATGTCAGGGAGTCAGGGAGGAGCTGTCCTGCACTAGTGGCAGCTGCCTGTCAGGGTTCTCTCCGGCAGACCTGGGACATGTCTCCAAGGGCCAGAGAAGCCCCTGACAGTGTCCTCTCCAGCCCTTGGGAGGAAGCCATCACAGAAATGCCCCACACCCTGTCCACCCACCAGACCTCATTGTCCCTCCCGACAGCCGGGAAGGGGTGGGCAGAGGAGGAGCCAGGGCTCAGGAGACAGGTGGCACCCAGGCCCCCCACCCATGTCCCCCGGATCTTCCAGCCCTTGCCTGGCCCTTTCCTTCCCCATCACTTCATCGGTTCCAGGAACTAAGATTCGACCTTTCCCCTCATCTTCTTCTCTCCCGGAGAGCCGTCCAGATTCCTCTGGTCTCTTTCCCAGGTAGCCAGCCTCACGCCAGAGGACAAAGAGGGTTCTCCTCATTGTGTGGGTGGAGAAACTGAGGCCCCAAGTAGGCCTGACTGTGCCCCAGTGCATGAGAGTTTCTCTCCTGGAGGCCAGGAGAAGTGGCCTCTCACCCCTGGGTCAGCGCCCTCTCCCCTCTGGCCTTGACTGAGCACTGCGGAGAAGCCACTTCCAAGTCCTTGCTGAGAGGGTGACAGGCCCAGGGCACAGGGGCTCCCAGGGCTTCCACGACTGTGGTCAGAGGACAGATGGCAAAGCTAATTCTCCATCCAGATCCGCCCACCCTCCTGCCAGCTGAAGGCCAACCTGTGTCCCCCCAGCCTGCTGTGTCCCATGTTTTCTTGGTGACAAATGGCAGCTTCCCTTCCTAGAGTGCAGGAAGTTTACTGGGGACACCAGCATGGTAAACTGAGGGGCCAGTTGGCATCTTGGCCTGTGTGGCTGCTTGGTGAGACTCACCCTCTCCACCCCGGATTGGGCTCCCCTGGACCACAGCTGAGCCACCAGCTGGGACAAGGCCAAGCCCCCATTCCAGATGCTCCACAGTTTGCACCCCGGAGGCCCAGACCCAGGGCTGGCACCATCCTGTCCCCAGATGTCTGGGGCATCCTGGGGCAGGTTCCCAAGCATCCTCTGACTTGGAGTAACCTCCCACCCCCAGTACCCATGTAAACACACACAGCCAGGCCAGGCAGGTTTTGCACTAAGGGACTTTCTGCAGGTGTTTCCTCCCCATCAGGATGGGGCCCCCTGGATCCCTCCCATTGGTGTGGTAGAAACTAGAGCTGCGTTGGCGGCTGAGCCCTTGTTCTCTGCTCCCCCGGCCACCTCTGAAATGGGATCTGCTGTGCTTAGGACACGTCTCAGCACTGAAACCAGTGTAGCACTGAAACCAGACACTTGAATGTCTGTCCCTCGGCCAAACCAGGGGCCACAGGAGGGCAGAGGCCATATCCTGTGCATTGCTGTCCCCAGCACTGTCCCTGGTATGTAATGGTGGCAATAATGACAACAGCCTGCATCTCTAGGCATTTGCCAGGTGGACAGGGGTGCAGGCTCTGGAGCCAGGCCCCTGTGTTCAAACTCCAGCTCTCCCACCTACTAGCTGTGTGACCTCAGGCAAGTGATTTAACCTCTCTGTTTCCTCTTCTCAGAGTTGGGATTGTGATAGTACCAGCCTCACAGAATTATTGTGAGGATCAAATGAATGAATGCGTATGAAGCTCTTAGCCCAGTTCCTGGTCCCAGGTGTCTGCACCCATCCTCCTTCTCATGATTAATTACGTGTTTACTGTGAGCTTGGCACCAAGCCAAATGCTTTAAATAAGTTACTTAATCCAGACAACTCCATTTCCCAGAGAGGGAAACCCAAGGTTCAGAGAGGTTAAGTAACGTGCCCAAGGTCCCACCAGCTAGTTAGTTACGTTGAAGACCAGGCCCCAAGCCCAGGCAGGCCGAATTACACTCCTAGCCCCTGCCCCGCCCAGGCGGGGGGTGTCTGCCTGGTGAGCAGCGCCAGGGGAGTGTAAACAAACAACACAGGCTAGCCTGGGTTCTGGAAACCTTTCTAAAGAATCGCTTGTGTTTTGTTTGAAGGCTCAACCACAGGAATTATCTCTTGGAATCTCCGCATAGGTTCAGTGTTGCTGACCTCCAACAGGTAAGAGTGTCATGCTTCCCCCGCCCAGACCTCTAGAGAGACTTCATTCCCAGAGAAGTCAGCAAGGAAGATGGAAGAGGGGGTGTCTGTAGTTTACTGAAGAAGACAGCAGTCTGTAGCTTTTCTGCAGCTCAGGGTGGGTTGCCCTGCTGCCCCAGCTTCCTGGGCAGGGACGGATACCCCCAGCACCCCTGGAATAAACAAGCACTCCAGCAACCCCAGGATCACAGGGAAGAGAGTTTGGAATACTCCTTTCCCCAAGGGGAGGGTACAGTGGATTTGGGTCTCAGCTATAAATCCCATTAGCCCCCAGTGACCTCAGTGCCCACGGGCTGGACGCTGGCATTGCTCAGCCTGATTCAGGGAGGTTTTCTTTTCTTGCCCGTGTGGAAACGGGGGGTAGAAGTTCTCCAGGCAGGGTGCCATGGCACCTCAGTGCAGCTGCTTGAAAGGCCTGGGGCCTCAGTTTACCAGTCCTCCGCAGATCGCAGACGGGGTGTATGAAGGATTCCTACTTGCCCTCCGCAGATCGCAGACGGGGTGTATGAAGGATTCCTCAAGGCCCTGATTGAATTTGCCTCCCAGCATGTCTACCACTGCGACCTGTGCACCCAGCGCGGCTTCATCTGCCAGATCTGCCAGCACCACGACATCATCTTCCCCTTTGAGTTTGACACCACAGTCAGGTATGCGGGACACCCAGCCAGCCGCCTTCCAGCCCCACCCTTCCCCACACCCACAGCCTGGCCCAAGCACGCAGGGCAGCAGGCTTCGCTCTGTGGGCAGGAATGTATTGAACATCCACTTTGTGCTGTGCCAAGGGGTGGTGCAGTTGTTGGGGCAGCCCATGCTCTGGGCAGTCATGGCCAGCTCCAGTCCAGCTCAGGGGACAAGACAAGCTTTCCCAGGACTCCTCTGCCTCTATGGAACCATCTCTCTTCCTAAAGAAGAGGTGGCTGCCGGCTCTCTGAGTGGAGCCTCCTGGCGCCTCAGTGTATGCATGGGTTGAGGAGGGTTGTATGAGTTACCACCCTGCACTGTTGGCATGAGACCAGGCACAAAGTGGCACCTGGTGGGTGGTACCTGCCACTGCCACTGTGTCTGTTGCTGAAATGATCACTCTTGTCCCCAGTTATTGCTCATTATCCGCAACCTCTCAATGGAAAAATTTGTCCAGACCTTCCTGCAACCCATGTGGGAGCAGAAAACTGAACTGGGAACATTAGTTCTTTTTCTGTCGGTGTCCACTGGCCGGGATGCAGCCCTGAATGGGCCTGGGGCTGAGTTTTTAAAATTATACCATCTTGGCCGGGCGTGGTGGCTCACGCCTGTAATCCCACAACTTTGGGAGGCCAAGGCAGGTGGATCACTTGAGGTCAGGAGTTCAAGACCAGCCTGGCCAACATGGTGAAACCCCGTCTCCACTAAAAACACAAAAGTAAGCCAGGTGTGGTGGTGGGCACCTGTAATCCCAGCTACTTGGGAGGCTGAGGCAGGGGAATCACTTGAATTCGGGAGGCAGAGGTTGCAGTGAGCCGAGATCGTGCCACTGCACTCCAGCCTGGGCAACAGAGCAAGACTCTGAAAAATAAATAAATAAAATAAGTAAAAAAAATTTTTTTTTTCTTTTTGAGATGGAGTCTCGCTCTGTCGCCCAGGCTGGAGTGCAATGGTGCAGTCTCAGCTCACTGCAAGCTCTGCCTCCCGGGTTCATGCCATTCTCCTGCCTCAGCCTCCCCAGCAGCTGGGGCTACAGGCACACACCGCCACGCCCGGCTAATTTTTGTATTTTTAGTAGAGACAGGGTTTCACTGTGTTAGCCAGGATGGTCTCGATCTCCTGACCTTGTGACCCGCCCACCTCGGCCTCCCAAAGTGCTGGGATTAAAGGCGTGAGCCACTGCGCCTGGCCGTAAATATTTTTTAAATATAGGCAAGAGATCTTTAATGAATCTCAAGCAGCATTTATAAAAAATGCAATAGGACAGAGAATATCAGTGTGCATTGTGTGACGTATGGGTAAGCACTGTTTCAAGACTCTCCTGTTCCAGAACGGAGAGGCACGGTGTGCGTGCATGGGTTACACAGTACATCACAGCCGTATCGTGGGTTCTGGTCAAAAGGGCTGGCCAGCGTGGCCACAGGGCAACCTCCAGCCCAGCCGGCACCAGCAGGCCTACTGCTCTCTCCCCAGGTGTGCCGAGTGCAAGACCGTCTTCCACCAGAGCTGCCAGGCTGTGGTGAAGAAGGGCTGCCCCCGCTGTGCCCGCCGGCGCAAGTACCAGGAACAGAACATTTTCGCCTGATGCCCATCTGCTGACCCCGCTCTGAAAGCCGGGGGTGAGTGTGGCTCAGCCATCCCGGCTGGGTTTGCCATCAGCCCAGGATACTCACCGTGTCACAGCTGTGTCCCCTTGTCAGGAAGACCCTCAGATGTGGCCAGAGCACCGGCCTCCCAGAGAAAGCCCAGGAAGTCCCCGTGGTGTCCCCTGGCCCTCCCCCCACCCCTCTGCTGCAGGAGGCGTGGCCACCACCAGATGCTCCCTGTCTGGGGCAGGCAGGGCCGTTTACTCACTAGGCCCTGGCTCACCAGCGTCCCGGCGCCTCCGTTAGGGCTGCCCAAACACTGTGGAAAGGGGACTTGGGGAGCATTTTCAATTCCACATTCCTGATTAAAAGGTCTAGTTTTTTAAGGTGGGTTTTTCCCATTCATATTTCAACAGAAAGTATTTTTTTATTCTTGACCCTACGTGAGTCACCCATGAAATCCAGACATTCTCACCCCCAGCGGATGCACAGGAGCCACTCAGGCCTGGCTTAGAGGTAGCGGGTGGCTGGTGGGCAGGCCACTGCTGGGACAGGGTCTATGGGCCCACCCAGTGCCTTTCCTTGGCCCTCACTGCCAGTGCCAAACCGCCCCTCAGCAGGGCAGGGCCAGTCCTGGCGACCCCGGTTCCTCTGTGTCCTCTTTACTCCCCACCCCAGTGCGTCTCGCCTGCTGAGCCCACCGCTTTCTCAGCGTCAGAGCCCCTAGCTCTTCTCTAGCCTGGGGCCTTGGCCCCATTAGGAGAAGGAGAAATGACTGGAAACCAGCACTGTCAGCACTTTGAGCCCTCCTCGGTTTATGGAGGGTCGCCGTCTTGCCCACCCCCGATCCCCGTGCGCTCCTCACCCCTCTACAGACAGGGGCGCTGCTGCAGATGCTCCAGGCCCACCTTGGTGGGTGCCCGGGGTCACACTCTCTGCCTGACTGACCCCTGCCAGGGCACAGATAGGCAGGACCCCAGAGAGGGCAGGCAGCCACGCCCTGCACTGTGGAGAAGTGACCTGGTCCTAAGCTGTGCAGGGCGTGCGGGGGAACTGCCCTGTGGATGCAGCCACCACCTCACAAAGCCATGAATTCCCAAAGCATCACTGAACTTGCCCAGCCGGGACACTGGAGACTGAAGAAGTTCCCCGGAGCAGGACTGCCTTTGAAGGGGCCTTGGGGCTGGGGTGGGAGTCTGGAATTGTTTTCAAAGTGATGGTCAGACCCTCCAGGCTTCGGGGAAATGTGGGTTTGCTGGTCTCTCTGTCGCCTTCCCCCACCTCTCCTGGACCTAGCAGGCCCTCAGTCCTAGCTGTCTTACCTGCACTCAGCTTGGAGTCAGGCCTCAGGTGGAGAGCCGCATGTCACTGTCAGAGATGAGCCCACCCCCACCCTTCCCTGGGGGCGATTAGCTGCTGAGTCACCCACCCAGCCTTGGAGCTGGATGCCTGTGCAGCAGAACAGAGGCAACGGTGGCAGGCAGGTGGAGGCTGCGCACAGCTTCTCCCGGTCATGGCACACACCTGTGCCCAGACGCCAATGCCTCCTAAGCCAGGAGCTGGGTTATGCACCGCCATGGCCCACATTAACGCTCCACCACAAGCCCAGCCTAGTCAGAGCCCTCATTGCCCCATCCCTGAGTGGGCAGGAGCCTGGCCTGGGGAGGGCTTCGGCCTGTGAGGATTCTCCCCGAAGGTGCCCTCGGAGGCAGCAGGTTTGAGGCCCTGGGGGGCCCGTTCCCCAGAAGCTGCCAGTGCTTTCAGATGCATTGACTCTTCCCACCTCCCCTCCCTCAGAAAGGTAGTGCCCACACTATTTTTAAAATGTTATTTTATGCAATACACTGTTCCTAGTGAGCAGGGCTCTGGCCCTGAGGAGTCTTTGCAATGTATTGAAGGAATTGCTGCCGTGTGAGTTTTGAATGATTTTGCAGTAAAGACCTGATCTTTCTCATCACTGGTCTGGCTTCTGAATTCTAACACTGCCACGGCCAGGGGGGAGACCACCAGCCATCTGTTACCATCTGTCAGGGTCCCCTACCCTCATGTTAGTCCCTGGCACGGGGGAAGGCTTGGGAGGTCCGTGGCAAACACTTGTAGGCAGAGGGCTTGCATGCCAGGAGTGGGCAGGGAGAAGAGAGTAAGAAAACCACCTTGCCAAGCCCAGCAGTCAGGCTCTTCCTGGGGTAGGATCTCAGGGTCTCTGGGGAGGTGTACCCACACTTGTATAACAACTCAAGCTGATCCCACGCCGGTGGCTTCTTTTCCTGTGACTTAAATGTCAAAACACAGACCCTTGACACTGGATCATGTGAAACCTCAGGATACAGGGGACATTTCTCAGAGGAGAAATAAAGGAGAGATGGGGCTCAGGAAAGAAGGGTTATTTAAGTGGATCCCCCGATTCAGGGCTCATGGTTTTAGGGCTCAAAATGACTTTTACTTGGCTGCTGACCTTCCTCAGAAGTTCCAGGAGAAGCCCAGGGGACCCCTCCAAGGGGAGGCCCACACCACTGTCCATTTTAAGAACAGGAGCAGGAAACAGACTTAATTCTCAGGGAAATCAGGTTGCAGTAAAATGGGATGGAAACAGACAACATTCAGGTCTGAGATTTCCTGTCCTTAAAGGCCCCTTTCAGATTACAAGGTGGCACCCTCTGCCAATCTAGGTGCCCCAGCTTCCCCCAAGGGCTTCACCTCCCTCCAGGACAGTAGATGGTAGGCCCGGAGAAGAGAAGAGAAACTGGGAGAGGGAGGCCCAGAGGAGGGCCACAGCACGTGACGTGGTGCTGCCCTGCCGGTGGGTTCAGGCCCTCTCCAGCCTCAGCAAAGCGCCCCTGAGGCCACTTGTTTCCCCTTCTCCCCTCCCTTTTTTTTTTTTTTTTTTTTGGATACAGTCTCACTTCAATGCCCAGGCTGGAGTGCAGTGGCGTGATCTTGGCTCACTGCAACCTCCACTTCCCGGGTTCAAGCAATTCTCCTGCCTCAGCCTCCTGAGTAGCTGAGACTTCCCCTTCTCCTCTTCTCTCTGAAGGAGGACAGGTGGTTTGGAGATTCCAATCCAACCCCCAAGAGCTTATCATATAATGTAAGTAGTCATAATAGCTGATGTACCCCGGCATGGTGGCTCACACCTGTAATCCCAGCATTTTGGGAGGCCGAGGAGGTTGGATCATCTGAGGTCAGAAGTTCAAGACCAGCCTGGCCAACATGGTGAAACCCCGTCTCTACAAAAATACAAAAATTAACTGGGCATGATGGCGGGTGCCTGTAATCCCAGCTACTCAGGAAGCTGAGGCAGGAGAACCACTTGAACCCGGAGGCGGAGGTTGCAGTGAGCCAAGATCGTGCCGCTGCACTTCGGCCTGGGAGACAGAGTGAGACTCTGTCTTAAAAAAAATAGCTGATATATTGTGTGCGCTGGGCATGTGGTAAGCACTGCTTAGTGGACCTCATTTAATCTTCCCAATAATCCAGTGAAGTGGGTGTTACTATCCCATTGACAGGAAAGAAATCTGAGCTGCAGAGATAAGGCAGAACTCCCAAGGCCTACCAGCCGCCAAGCAGCAGAGTGGGGCATCATACCTGCCTGACCCCACGCAAAGACCATCACCACTGCCAGCCGCTGCCTGGCTGTGCTGCAGGTGGAGAGGGACCTAAAAGGTAGGGAGGGAGAGAAGATTCCTCCAGCCACGATTTTCTTTTTTTCTTTTTTGGTTGTTGTTTTTTGAGACGGAGTCTTGCTCTGTCGCCCAGGCTGAAGTGCAGTGGCACGATCATGGCTCACTGCAGTCTCCGCCTCCCAGGTTCACACCATTCTCCTGCCTCAGCCTCCGGAGTAGCTGGGACTACAGGCTCCCGCCACCACGCCCGGCTAATGTTTTATATTTTTAGTAGAGACGGGGTTTCACCGTGTTAGCCAGGGTTTCTCAATCTCCTGACCTCATGATCCGCCCGCCTCGGCCTCCCAAAGTGCTGGGATTATAGGCGTGAGCCACCGTGCCCGGCACCAGCCACTATTTTCTAAGCATGTCGGGCACCAAAGACCAGTGCTGAGTTCTGCTGTGTGCCCACCCTGGAGGGTCCCAAGGTGCCACCAAGGCTCAGACACACAGATTCTCAGAGGAAGTGTGGACTCACAGGTGGGCAATGCCTAGCAGAGGCAAAGATATAGAGGTAAGGGAGTTCCTTACTTACTATATCTTACAAAGATATAGAGGTAAGGGAGTTCCTCTGAATCTGGGTGGCCAGATTCAGCTTCCCACCCAACCCTGGGTCCCCAGGAGGTGGTGTCAAGAGAGGCCATGGCCTGGGATGCGGGCCCTTCTTCCTCCCAGAACACTGGCCTGAATCAGCCAGCTCTTGGCACACACAGCCAGGTCCACAGGCACAACTGTTCCTTGGGGCCCCTGAGGGCAGGGGGTGTGCTGGGGCTGTGGCTTGTAATGTCTGGAGTGAGTGCAGGCTCAGATCAGGGCGAGGCTGCTTGTCCAGAGAGGCAGAAAATTCCCCAACAGAAGACCCCCAAGGCGGAGGGCCCTGGGGCTGGACTCCTGGAGGTTGTTCTGAGCTTACCCTGTGGACGGATTGGAGGGTGGCCCTCCTTCCCCACAAGGATCAAGAGGGGGTGGGGGATGGTGGGAGGGCAATCTGGCCAGGCGAACCTGCGGGGGAGGCTCCCGCCCTCCCCAGTCCCACCATCTCAGCCCCGCAGCCTCTTTCTCCCTGGAGACAGCCAGGTGCGGCCCAGGATCCCGGGAAAGGCAGGGGAGGGGGTGGCGTCTTCGCTCCTCAGGCGCTGGCCCGGCCCAGAGGGGACAGGAAGCCAGGACACCGGGGATTGTCTCTCGCAACCGCAGCCCAGCCCCAGTCCGGGAGGAAGTTCTGCCCGGCGCTCTCCGCCGGTGCCTCCCTGGTTATATTGTTGAACAGGAAACCCGGCAGCGCGGGAGCCGCACAGTCGAGGAGGGAGGGCGGGACGCCGAGCCCACGCGCGCCTGCCGGGGCAAGTGGAGGCGAAGCCGGCGAGCGGACGCCCCGAGGTGCCCGGGCAGGCAGGGTCGGGAGTGGGGCGCCGAGCGGGGGTTGGGGGTGGGAAGTGGGGTGGGGGTGGGGAAAGGGCAGGGTTGGGGAGGGAAGGGTGCGGCAGGTGGCGGGTCCGCACCCGGGAGCTCCGCGCGCCTGCTCCCCTTGTCTCCGCGCTGGGGCGGGAGCTGCGCGGGCCGCATCCCACGGGGAGGAGAAGGTAGGCGAAGGGCTGCCCTCCATCTGGGGGCTGGAGGGAAGCAGGCCCAGGCCCCCAGCGCCGACCCAGGCGTTGACGCCCCTGTAGCTTGAGTCGCCTGGGCAGTGGACGCAGGGGACCTCCTGGCGACTGGTGCACTGTCGCGCTCCAGGGATCCTCCCGGCTTCCCCAATCCCTCCCCTTCTCTGCGTTTCCCCAGGGTCGGGGAAGGAACCGAGGTCCGGTCCCCTTCTTATCCAGCCCGAGACATCGAGCTCCGGTGGGCGTCCCTGCGCTGGGAATCCCGCTCGGAGTTTTTCCAGGCCCGGCCGGGCTGCTCCGGGAAAGGCCCTGGTGAGGGAAGAGGTGGGCCCGGAGCGGGCGGATTTGCAATCCGGTTGGAAGGGCTCGCAGTGGGTGATTCAGGGTGCAAATGACCTCCCCGGGAACAGGAACGCCCGCACGAGACAACCAGCCCCAGCCCGGCATTCCCAGAGCCGCGCACAGGAGGGACGCAGGCACTCCCGGACAGCAAATCCCGGGGGGTGGGGGGTGGGGGGGCGGGGAATAGAGGGGGAAGGCGGAGCGGGGGCGGTCCCATCCTCCTTGGGCTCCGCTCACGACCCGCCAGTGCCCCTTCAGACGCAGCAGTCCCGGCTCCAGGTGCCGGCCTTCTGCTCTGGGCCTCGTCCCAATGCCCCCCAAGGTCCCCAGCAGAGGCATTCAGGCTCCTCCTCGCCCCACCCAGACACGGCTGCTTTGGGTATCGGTGACAGCACTCCTGAGCGTCCCTGTCCCTCTTCGCTCTGCTTGCCAGCTCCTGTTCCGCGCAGCCTCTCCGGCCTCGCCCCTGGAAACCCCGCCCAGGGCGATGGTAGGGGCCTAACCTGCAGCCACCGCCGGCTCCGCCCACCCAGCCCATGGGCTCCCTGAGGCCCGCCCAGCCGACGTGAGTGCGCTGCGGGGTCCAAGGGGAGGGGGCGCCGGGGGAGTGTCCTGCTTGGGGTTTGTTGGTTCAGCACCGGGCAGCTCGATGACCCCGCCTCCGGGGCCCAGCGTGCTTAGTGACTCAGTTTACACCCTTTCCTCGTCGAGGAACGCTTGACAAAGTGGCGGAGGAGCCCTGCTGGGGCCCCCGTTGGAACCTGCTCCTCTGCCTCGGCAAGCGGCGGTCTCCTGGCCCCGGGTCCGGGCCACCTTAGGGGGCAGGAAGAGGTGTGGTCAGTGTGGGAGTTTGGAGGGGCCATGCACTTCCGGAGAAAACCGACTCATGGCTTTGGTGGAGGGGCGCAGACAGATTTAGTTAGGCTCTCCCCCATACCTGACACCCCGAAGCCCGGGCGGGAGCGGGGCTTATGACCACCACTCCGGAGAGCTTTGGGTGGCCCTGCTCTGGGACTCCGCACTTATAGTCACTGTCTCAGAGTGCATTCTCCAGGAGCCACTCGTGGGGACACTGTAGGGGTCACAGGGCAGGTGGACAGGCCACAGGGGCAGGGCCTTTCTCGGGGGGCGGCGTGAGAGCTGGAGAGCAGGGGGCGGTGCGGGCCGGGCTGGGCGGGCCGGGCTCGGGCTCACGTCTGCGGTGATGCAGCTGGGGAAGGAAAGAGAAACCGAGAGAACCGGTTCCCCCGCATTGGCAGCGGAGGCCTCTACAGCAAGGCCCTCGGACTAAGGGGGGCAGCGACAGCCCCCAGGTAGAGCTGTTCGCTAGGCCCCCTACAGAGCCCACATTCCAACTCTGACCAGGGGGTCGGGGCGCAAGCTGCTGGAGGGAGGCAGTGCTACGAGACCCTCTGCTGATTCTCTGCGGGCGGGAGGCTTCCAGGCGGGACAGAGCCGGGGAGCGGCAGTAAATGGGGTGTTCTTCCTACTTGACTGACGGAAAACTAAGGCGCAGTCAACTATTAAGCAAGCGTGGTGTCGACCTTAGAGCGGGCAATCACCCCTCGTTTTAAAGCCAAGGCTTCCCTCGCAGTCGATTTGGACCAAGACTACCCACAATCTCCCCACCGCAGGACTGAAGCAAGGGTCAAATCTTAGAATCAACCCCACAGAACGAAGGGCTGTCCTAATTCCAGCACTGAGTGTAAGAATGGAAGCCTTACATGTGATTTTATGCAAGTTCCCATTTTAGAGATGGGAAAACTGAGGCCCGAAGGCGAACGGCGAGTGCAGGATCGGGACTCGAACCCAAGTCTGTCCCCGAGTGCGGGGCTATTCCAGGCTCGGTGGTCTTGACCTCCGCGGCCCTCCTTCTTGTTGCCCGCAGGAAAACGCCGCGGCCGCGATGGCGGCGGACGTGGTGGGGGACGTGTACGTGCTGGTGGAGCACCCCTTCGAGTACACCGGCAAGGACGGGCGCCGCGTGGCCATCCGGCCGAATGAGCGCTACCGGCTGCTGCGGCGCAGCACCGAGCACTGGTGGCACGTGCGGCGTGAGCCCGGCGGCCGCCCCTTCTACCTGCCTGCGCAGTACGTGCGCGAGCTGCCCGCGCTGGGCAACCCTGCCGCCGCCGCGCCGCCAGGTCCTCACCCGAGCCCCGCGGCCCCTGAGCCGCTCGCCTACGACTACCGGTTTGTGAGCGCGGCGGCGACCGCGGGCCCCGACGGCGCCCCCGAGGAGTCCGGAGGCCGAACCAGCTCCCTGTGCGGCCCTGCGCAACGCGGCGCCGCGACCCAGCGCAGCAGCCTGGCGCCCGGCCTGCCAGCCTGCCTGTACCTGCGGCCCGCGGCGCCCGTGCGGCCCGCGCAGTCCCTGAACGACCTGGCCTGCGCCGCCGTCTCGCCTCCCGCCGGCCTCCTAGGAAGCAGCGGCAGCTTCAAGGCCTGCAGCGTGGCGGGCTCCTGGGTGTGCCCGCGGCCTCTGGCGCGCAGCGACTCAGAGAACGTCTACGAGGTCATCCAGGACTTGCACGTCCCGCCGCGGGAGGAGAGCGCAGAGCAGGTACCTCCCCGGGCGCTGGGGCGCGGAGGCGGGTGGCGCGCTAGGGACCGCGCCCGCACGGAGCCGGGGCGCAAGGAGACCCGCTCCGCTCAGCGTCGGGCACGACGCCCACCTCTGTCCGAAGACTTCGGATGAGCTCCCTCTCCCCAACCGCGAAACGTGAGGGGTGCACGCCCGCAGTCCCTCATCAGCAATTCCCAAGCTCCAAAGCTCCCTGGAAGCCCAGAGGCTTTTCGTAATCCAATTGGTGGCAAAATTGCGCTTGAACTGATGTGAGGCTGCTGATGGTCTTTATTTATCGCACTTGTGTGAATATTCATGTTTCGCTGCAGAAATGCAAATGAGCTCGATGGTCGGCTGCTGCCCCAAGCCCTGCTGGGAGGTTATATAACCTACTGCAGGTGTGTGCCCCATATTATCTTTCCAAGTCCCAGCTGTTCTGTATTCCGAAGCGCATCTGGGCACGGAACGGGGGATTGCGGGCCTGCCCCGGCCCAACCGACTTGCCCGTCTCCCAGGAGTCTGGGGTCAGATGAGAGGGTGGATGTGAAAGTCAGGCGTCTGCTTCCCTTTGAGGGTGCTTCCAGCATTTCAGTTCCTTTTTTTAAAGAACTCTTGATGGGTTTGTTTCAGAAAGACGTCCGGTTAAGTGAGGTTGTTTTTTTCCCCCTCTTCAGAGTCCAGTTGTGTTCATCTGGGAAATCGAAAATAGAGCACGTTTTAAAAACAGGTCTTACATCCTCAGAACACTCTAGGCGACCCTGACATTTTGAACTTTAGGAACTTTTCAGAGAGGGGCAGCCCGAGGGGAAAAAAAGATGCTCAGAACCGTTCTGCCATCTGCCACCGGCCGTGTGATGATCTAGGGGCAGTTCTTTTCCTCTCTTAGGGTCTCGGTTTGTTCTTTAGCCCAAAGGGAGGGGTTGGACAGATGACCTCTGATCCTCGGGAGCCTCTGATTTCTTTCGCTGTACCTGATGTCATTACCATGAACACTGATGCCCACTATGTGCCAGGACTGAGTCCGGGATGCCCAGACGAAGGAGACACGCCTCCGTAGGCCCGCTGCTGGGTGTTCCCTCCGCCCGACTCGTTACAATGCAGAGCTCAGGTTTTGAGACTAGGGAAAGGGGAACTGGATTCTGCTGGGTCACCTGCCAGCTGCTGACAGCCACTTAACTTACACGCGAGGACGTTCCCCCAGGCCCAGCGTCCTCTGGTGTAAGCACAATACTTAAGGATTAGGGTTGTGAGCCTTAAACGAGGTAAGGCTTCGAAGCGCTTGACAGCAGCAGGGGGTCCACCCAGGCTGTCTGGGTAGTCCTGGTTTGGCTTCCCTGGGTCTCCGCCGCCTTCACTCAGGCTTCTGCAGCGGTAGCCCGCCGCCTTGTGGCCAGGGTGGGGAACGGCACCCGGCGGGCGGGGCTGGGCACTGCCACTCTGTCCTAGTGACGGTGGGAGGGTGCCTGCCCATCTGAGCAGAGCCCCTGGAGGTGGGGGAATGGCCTTGCTCTTTGAACCTCGCATCTGGCCCAGGGTCTGGCTCAAACAGAGTGCACAGAGAGTGTGTGTTGAGAAGCGCAGAGGTGCGGCAGCCCTTTACCTATGAGCCAGGGCTCTGTAGGTCTGCAAGGGCCAACACCCCAGGCCCCAGGACCAAAGAGGAAGGAGACTGCCCAGGTCCTGACATCTCCTGAGAAGACAGATCACCCCGGCTGCCAGGGCGCCTGCCAGGTGGCCCCTCTGCCCATCCTTCCTCCAGCTCCCAGCAGGTTCCCAGTTGCAGTGGCATATGGAGGGAGGGGCACCGATGATAGGGGTAGGGGACTTACCCAGGGGGGGAATCTAGGACATTGGCCAGAGACAGGCAGCTCTCTGGCCCCACTTGTGACCTCCACAAGTCGCTTTGCATCTCTGGTCCTGTTTCCTCCCCTGTGCGATGTGTGCAATAATACCACGTTCCCTGCCACAGAGCTTTATTCAAGAGGCAGCTGTGGGTCTCCCTGGTGCTCCACCCCCAACAAAGTCCAGGGTAGGGAGTTGGCCCTGCCCCCGCAAGGGAACCCCATCCCTGCTCTTAGTTGTCCCAGGCAGAGTTTCCCCACCATGATCCTCCAGGCCCATTCACTCCTTCATTAGGCATCAACTAGCTGAATACCTGCCAAGCCCTGGTGAGCCTTCGGATCTGGAGAGGACTGAGGCACAGCCACGATCCTGGGGGACTCACCCTCTTGGATAGGAGGCCAGCAAGAGAAGACATGGGGCCGGGGCTCAGAGTGGAGCATAGGGTTGAGAGTGGGTGCCCACCCGGGCAGGGCCTCGTGGGCCCTTGCCAGGAATGTGCACATTATCCTGCAGCCGCTGTGAGGCTTTTAGCAGAGACAGGAATGGGATTGAGAAAAAAATCCCTGTGGCCAGGGCTTCAAGAATGGCTGAAGCTCTTGGTGGTCTCGTGGGCATGTGGTGGAAACAGAGGTTTGGGAGATGGATGGGCAGGGTCTGGGGGCCGAGGGAGGTGGGAGGGAAATCAGGTTGAGTTCTAGATTCCCAGCTGGCACTCGTGGGCAGACAGTGGTGCTGCTTCCTGACGGGGGGATGACTTGGGGAGGAGCAGAGTGGAAAAAAGATGGGGCCCACCTGGATTTAGGTGCCAAAGGGAAGAGAAGCATGAGAGTGCTGGCTCAGAGGCCAAGAAGTGTCCAGAAGAAGGACGCACAGGAAGGTCATGTGAGAGAAAGGCCGTATAACACTTACCCTAAGTGACCACTAGACGCTCAGCTGGTCAGGGGGCTGCTGAAGGCAGAGGGCAGTGGTCAGTAGTGAAGTGAGGGTGCGAATTGAGTGTGTGGACAACGGGCAGAAGGAGAGAGACACAGTGTGGCCAGAGGGGGTGTAGGGTCATGGATGGAACCGTCCCCAGGCTCAGGTGGGTGGGCAGGAGATGGGGAGGCTAAAGATGGGGAGAAGGTTGTTGCTGAGAAGGGATCTCAGAAGAAAGTGGGTGCAGAACAGAGGGGGCAGGATGTGGGGATGGCATGGCACGGGGGCACTGGGGAGTGTGTGGGGATGCCCTTCTGTCAGGCAGCAGCTCAGGGCTTAGGGCAGGCTACCAGACAGGGCCAGGGACCCCCAGAACAGAGGAGCTCCTGCCATGGATGGTGTTTTACAGCCTTGTCACTCCCCATGCACTCTAATCGCGCATATTGAGCACTTGGGGTGGGCTGGTCACTGTGCTGGACACTGGGGACAAAGTGTGGTAAGATGCAGTCCCAAAGGGGCTAACAGTCCTGTGGGCTCTTGCTGAAAGGCTTGTAACCCAGGGTTAAGCTCCCAGCAGCTTGGAAGGCAGGCGTAGGCACCTCCATTTGCCCTGAGTACAAACAGAGGTTCAGAGAGGTTTAGTGACACGACGAAGCTCACACGGCCAGGAAGTGGCTGTGTTCAGGACAGTTCCAGGCCCCCTGACCCCAAGCCCCACCCTGGCCAGCAGGTTCAGTTTCAGCCTGGTGGCCTTTAGGGTTGGCCACCCTGTTCCCCTCAACAAGAACAGTACAAGCTGAAGGCAGGCACATGCTCCTTCTTCTGAGCGTCCTGCGTGCCCAGCCCTGTTGTGGAAGAGTTGATGTCCCAGGAGGGACATCTCCTGTTCTTTTGCTGCCCAGGAGAGGGCAGAAGCAAACCCTTCTGAGAGGGGAGAGAGGGAGATGGGGGAGGTAAGCAGGGATGACTCCTCCTCTCCCACAAAGAGGCCACTCAGGGAGCTCTGGGAAGCCAGGCCAAAGCCAGTGCAATAAAGGGGCCTCTGAGACTCTTCCCTTGGTCCTGACTCTGGGATTTCAGGGTGCGGTCACCATCCCCGCCCAGAGGTGGGAAGGCCCAGGCAGGTGGAGCTGGCCTGGAGCCCGCCCCTGCTGCTGGGGCATTGGCCGCTGGGAGGGAAGTTCCAGCCGGGCTGCTGCACCTTCTTATACAAGCAGCCCCGGAGGCGCTGCACATGAGCAGGCAGCCCCGACTGGAAGGAGCCCGGGGCCCTCATTCCTTCTCCTCCACTGGGAACTGAGTGAGTCCTCGCCCCTGGGGGACTAGGGGGTGGCCACAGCAGTTTCCCCAATCTCTCCCCTCCCTTTCCCGAATCCTAAAACCCATCTGGGGGCCCCTCCCCTCTGGATCCAGGCCCAGCACCCACTTCCTAGGACAAACTCCAAGGGCAGCCCGAGGCCACTGTGACTGAGAGAAAGGAACTGGCCTTGGGACAGACCCTCCTGTCCCCCTTCGGGGCCAGCTAGGGGGACTTTGGCAAGGGGTGTTGGTAACAGCAGGAAGCTGAGGCCAAGTTGAAGGGACTCTAGCTAGCCCCTTGCTCGTACTCCCTCCTCCGGCACCCCCCACCCCCAACCCCCAGGTGGGGCAGCCACCCTGGGGTGGCCCTGCTGGTTTCTTTACACCTGACCCAGTTCCCTCCCGGTGACTCACCTGCAGCCCCAGGCTGTCCCAGGAGCCCCTCTGCCTGCCTAGGACCTGACTTAGGAGACAGCAGCTTCTTGGATCTCCCTCCCACCCTCACCCCACATTGCTGTCCACCCAGAGATCTCCCTGCCCACCCCCCGCACCCCCTGGCTCTCCTGCAGGCCCCATGATCTCTTCAGGTCTCGCTGGAGCCTGTGCCTGGCTCTCACCTCTTAGTCCTTGGCTCCCTTCAGCGCCCAGGGGCCTGCGATGGGCCCCAGGACAAGCCCACCTGCCCCCTCGCTTTCTTCCCAGGCCTCAGCAGTTGACCTCACTCTAGACCTGTTTTTTGTAATGTTTATTTCAATGGTTTTGCGGAGCAGGTGGTGTTTGGTTACGTGAATAAGTTCTTTAGTGGCTATTTCTGAGATTCTGGTGCACCCGTCACCCGACTGGTGTGCACTGTACCCAATGTGTAGTCTTTTATCCCTCACCCCCTCCCACCCTTCCCCCACTCCCAAGTCCCCAAAGTCCATTATATCATTCTTAGGCCTTTGCATCCTCATAGCTTAGCTCCCATAGACCTGTTTTCTCTGCCCTTCTTAGAGCTGACTGCGTCCAGTACAGGGAGGGGTGGGCATCAGTACTGAATGCCAGCCTGGATGGGTGGTCAGTGCCAGGCCCTGGGGAATGGGAAAGTCCATGATCGTGACCAGGGCGTAGCTGATGATCAGGGATGTGGTCGAGTCTCCATGCCTGAATGTTAGGGAGATTGGGAGCTGGATCTGTGCCGGGGAGTGAGAGGTCAGTGGCTGTTGGTTCATATTGAAGGGGAAACAGGGCTGCCAGGACTAGGGCTCTGGGGCACAGGCACAGAGGTGCTCTTGCTAAAATTTGGGAAGCTCTGTTTCCAGATTGCAGAAGGATTCTGGTGTTGAGGGAACTTCCAGAGCTGTTGCCTGAGCCGGGTGAGGCCTGCAGGACCCTTCTGTCCAGCTGAGGCTGCTGTGGGTGCCCACCCTGCCTCCTTGCCCTCTCCTGGCTGGGGGTCCCCTGTGAGGCATGAAAGGAGGGGGGCAGGGGCCCCTGCCCAGGCCTCCGTGTCTGTCTAGGGACTGGGCCAGAGAGAGGAAGCAGAGGTAGCAGAAGGGCCTGCCTGCAGAATCATCCCAGCCTCCCCCTTCCTTTCTCCTCCTTGGCCCAGTTAAATGTGTAAATTACTATTCCCTCCCTATAAAAATAGCTTAACTCCATTACAAATATTTGAATAATAGGAGGAAATCTCAATCGAATGACTGTGAGCATGTTGGTTTCTTCCCATTTATTCTGCCTTCTTATGCGTATCTCTTGGGCAGTTCCCGTAGAGACATCACAGTGTAATGACGATTGTGCCTTCTGCTTTTTCATTTACCATATTCACCTAGTCAGTGAATGTCAGCCGCTGTACTGGGGGCTAGGGAGCAATGAAAAATAAAGGATGGTTCCTGCCCTCAGGTAGCTTACTGTCCAGGAGAAATTGAACAGCAGATCCAGTTATGATATTGTATGGCATGGCAGTTATGGTATGGAAGATATGATATGATATGATATGTCTGCAGAGAGCTGTTGGGGGCATGTTGGAGGAGCTGCCCTCCCAGAATCTTGTTGGCAAGAGGGAAATCCAGGAGTGCTTCCTGGAGGAGGAAGGTGTTGGCAGAGTTGAATTCGAAAGGTTTCTACAGTTCCCGCTCATGAAACCCTCTGGACCGGGTGCCTTTTTCAGTGGCAGATTTTTTTTCTCATCAATGGTAATTAGTTTATTTAAGTTTCTACTCACCTTCTAGTTAATTTTGGCCATTTTATATTTTACTAGGAAAGCATTCATTTTCTCCAGATGTGTAAACTCTCCACTTTTAAAATTTATTATGAATTTCTTTGTGACTAAGTAAATGATTTTGCTAAGTTTTTCACAGACATATAAGAAAAATGCGTATTTTCTTTTTTTATTTTTATTTTAATTTTATTTTTTTGAGATGTCGCCCAGGCTGGAGTGCAGTGGCGTGGTCTCGGCTCACCGCAACCTCCATCTCCTGGGTTCAAGTGATTCTCCTGCCTCAGCCTCCTGAGTAGCTGGGATTACAGGTGTGCGCCACCACACCGGGCTAATTTTTGTATTTTTAGTACAGAGGTGATTTTGCCATGTTGGCCAGGCTGGTCTGGAACTCCTGACCTCAAGTGATCCACCCACCTCAGCCTCCCAAAGTGCTGGGATTACAGGTGTGAGCCACCACGCCTGGCCGGAAAAATGCATATTTTCTATTTAAGGGATATAAGGTACTATCTGCATCAAATCATGTTTATTGATTGTATTATTCAAACTTTCATTTCCTTTGTATCCTTTGCTTGGGGGCAGGGGTCTTTTACTCTAATTCTGATAGAGATGTGTTATGTTAAACCTTCCTCTCACATTTTCTCTATAAAGCTCTTCTGGGGCTTTTCCTAGTTTTTGCTTTTTATATTTAACTACGATGCTGTCAGGAGGATGCAGATTTCGAGCGTTCTTTCGTTACAAATTGTGCTTTTCTATCATTACGTGGTGTCCCTCTTTATCCTATTCTAGTGCTTAACCTTAAATTTCACCCTTCTATTGTTTATATGACCACTCCTTATTTTACTTTATCTTTTTTTTGTACTTGCTTAGCATTCTTTTATTTCCTACTATTACCATTTTTTGAAACTACTAATTTCTTGTATATGTCACATCACTGTTTTGTTTTGTTTGAGATAGGGTCTCCCTCTGTTGCCCAGGTTGGAGTGCAGTGGTGTGATCATGGCTCTCTGCAGCCTCAGCCTCCCTGGCTGAGGCAATTCTCCTGCCTCAGCACCTTGAGAACGTGGGACCACATGGCCCACGTGCCACCATGCCCAGCTAATTTTTTTTTTTTTTTGGTATTTTTTGTAGTGATGGGGTTTCTTCGTGTTGCCCGCCACCACTGTATTTTTATTATTTTCATGGATTTTTGTTTGTTTTTTGAGATGGAGTCTCGCTGTGTCACTCAGGCTGGTGTGCAGTGGTGCGATCTTGGCTCACTGCAACCTCCGCCTGCCAGATTCAACTGATTCTCCTGCCCCAACCTCCTGATTAACTGGGATTACAGGCACACGCCACCACATCCAACTAATTTTTGTATTTTTAGTAGAGATAGGGTTTCACCACATTGGTCAGGCTGGTCTCAGACTCCTGACCTCAAGTGATCCACCTGCCTCACCCTCCCAAAGTGCTGGGATTACAGGTATGAGGCACTGCACCCAGCCTATCACTGTATTTTTAAACCCAAGCTGACTCTTTGTCTTTTAGTGGGAGAATTCAATCTGTTCACATTTCATTTAACAATTGATCTACTGTACTTGATTTGATTACCTTTGGCTTATTTTACATTTATTGGTTTATCTTGCAGTTTTTTTCCCTCTGATCTGGTTATCGATTTCCTTTTTCTTCCTGTTACACTTTCCATTTCATTATTGGCAGCTGTCCCTTCTCTGGGGTTCCTAATCAAACACATATTCTTTAGCACATGCCTCGATGGGGATTCTTTTCTCAGCACCCTCATTTGGAGCTTACAGAACCTGTCACTCTGTAGACTCCGGTCTTTTCTCAGCTTAGGAACATCTATTTGTTGCTTGATTTGATTATTGTTTCTTTATTTTTTATTTTTTTGAGACAGGGTCTACTGTGCCACCCAGGCTGGAGTGCTATGGCACGATCACGGCTCACTGCAGCCTCGACCTCCTGGGTTCAAGTGATCCTCCCACCTCAGTCTCCTGAGAAGCTGGGAATACAGGCGCACGCCACCATGCCCAGCTAATTTTGTTTGTATTTTATGGAGAGACAAGGTTTCACCTTGTTGCCCAGGCTGGTCTTAAATTTCTGGGCTCAAGCAATCTGCCTGCCTTGGCCTCCCAAAGTTCTGGGATTACAGGCATGAGCCACTGCGCCCGGACTGTTGCTCGATTATTGTTTCTTTTACCTTTTCTTTCCTTTGCATGTGAGCGCTCCCAACTGGGTCCCCCCCAGTTTATCTTTGGTCTCTTTATTTCATTCTTGTTGTACTTTTGCTCTGAGGTTTGATGTTTCTTCTTGACCTTCCAGGCTGCAAATTTGAATCTCAAGAGTGAATTTCTTCTCCTTCAACTAGTACAATGACATATTTTAAGTTCTAAAAATCAGTCTTTTTTTTTTTTTTTTTTTGAGATGGAGTCTTGCTCTGTCGCCCAGGCTGGAGTGCAGTGGCATGATCTCGGCTCACTGCAAGCTCCGCTTCCCGGGTTCACGCCATTCTGCCTCAGCCTCCTGAGTAGCTGGGACTACAGGCGCCCCCCAACACACCCGGCTAATTTTTTGTATTTTTAGTAGAGACGGGGTTTCACCGTGTTAGCCAGGATGGTCTCAATCTCCTGACCTCATGATCCGCCTGCCTCGTCCTCCCAAAGTGCTGGGATTACAGGCGTGAGCCACTGCGCCCGGCCAAAATCAGTCCTTTTTTAAAACTCTGCTTGATTTGAGTCTCCTTAAGAGTTTGTATTCAAGTTGTAATTGCATTCTCCAGCCCCTCTATTTTGCCAATAGCCTTGAATTTATTTTACTAGATAGTATTTTTACAGGTTTTTTTTTAAATCAAAGCAATATTTTAAAGTCTATAGTAAAAATGTCACATGTACACTGTTTCCCTGCTCTGTTCTCCATCAACTCAAAAGTCACCACTTTCATTCATTCTTTCTTCATTCTTCCAAAGTTTCTGAGTACAAACTAGTATAATTATGTATCTGATTACTTAATTTTCTCTCTCAAGCAACACCGTCCTATGTGTAAAACAAGGTAAAAAACAAAACAAAACAAAACAAAAACCTTGTTTACTTTTTATTTCTTTGACAATGTATCTTGGAGATTGTACCTAGAGAGGTTCTGTCTCCTTCCCTACAACTACAAATAATCCATTTTACCAGTCTCCTGTTGACAGGCATTTGGAATATTTCCCATTTTTTGCTGTTACAACAATGTCATAATGAATACTGTTATATATGTACAGGTAGAAGTAGGAAAAATTGCAGAAGTGGGATTTTGGGGTCAAAAGATAAATATTAGATATTTGATGAGTATGTCCCATGAGGCGTATACCAATGTGCCCTCACCAACACAAATTAGTGTCTGGTCCCCAAAGCCTTGCCAACTGACTGTTGTCAAACTTTTGTTTTCTGCCAACCTGACCATAAAATGTATTATCTTAAGGTACTTTAAATTTGCATTTCTCTTTCCAGTAAGATTATCTTTTCATATATTTAAGGGCTGTTTGTTCCTCCCCTTTTTTTTCTGTGAATGGTCTATTTATATCCTTTGCCTGTTTCTGTATTGGGTTGTTGGGCTTTTTTCTTATTGAGTTCTAGTAGCTTTTTCTATACTAGGGAAAATAATCCTTTGTCTATTATTACATGAGTTGTAATTCCCTCCCCCACCCTGAGTTGTCTTTTGACTCTGCTAATAGCATTATTTTGCCACACAAGTTTTCTTAAAATATACTTATGTAGTCCAATGTATCACTCATTTATTTTATGGCTTTTATATTTTGCATCTTTGTTACAAAGTCATATATATATATATATATATATATACATACATACAGCATAAGTCTTTTATATATATACACACACAGCATAGTATATATTATATATATTTATATGTACATACAGCATATTGAAGTCTTTTATCTATATAAAGAGACACATATATAAAATATATAGGCTTATATATAGGTATATACATACAGCATATTAGATTTTGTTTTCTTCTTTGTATTTATGGCTTCGTTTTTAAAAACTTAAATCTTTAATCCTTTGAGGGTTATTGTGCATGGACAGAGTGAGATGTGGACCCTCCCTTACTTATATACTTGTTTATTTATGTTTATCTCTGGATGGGCAGCCAGTTGTCCTGTGACCTTTCACTGACAAGTTTGTCTTTCCCCATGACCTGTGATGGCATCTTTAGTGCGTCCTGGGTCCCGGCTGTGCTGGGGTCTGGTGGCGGCAGCTGGTTTGGTGGTTCTCTCTGTTCCCCCTGCTGAGCTGTCACAGAGTGAGTTTATATGACTTTGCTCCCCAGAGCTGGGGTCGAGCTGCAGGAGTACCCACTTGGTGGGGGGGCCCTAGAGTGGAGAAGAGATGGTGGTCTCTGCCAGTGGGCCTGTGGGCATGGGGCATCTGTGATGTCAAAACACCAGCAGGAATTCTCCCTGTCTCCTTGGTGCCCTGGCCTTACGGGTAGAGACTACCTGGCCCACCTGTTTGGCCCTCCTCAGCTCCTGGGCTCAAGGGTACAAAAGCCACCCTGCCTTCTCCCCAGGGTCCCATGATGGGCCAGCCTGCCCCAAGGTTCCCCTGGGAGCCTCCACCTCAGACACAGCCTCTCACCTGTGCCAGCCAGGTCCCACCCACCCACTGTCCCAGCCTCTGCTTGACTCAGGCAGTAGCAGGTCGCAGTTGGCAGCAGAGGGGAAACAGGGCGTGTTTAAGTGGCCTTATTCCCAGAATCCTGGCTCCAGAGCTGTGTCTGAAAGGGAGAGGAACTACTTTGTAACACTTCGGGGGTGGGGGGAGCTGGAAGGGCAAGTCTGTTTCCAGGTGAGAAATAATGAACAACTTTCTTTTCTTTTCTTTTTTGAGACAGGGTCTCGCTCTGTCACCCAGGCTGGAGTGCAGTGGTGCGATCACGGCTCACTGCAGCCTCAACCTCCTGGGCTCAAGCAGTCCTCCCGCTTGGTCCTCCCAAATAGCTGAGACCACACGCTTATATGGTAGTGACAGTGAGGATGGAGAATAGTAAAAAAGTTTAAGGGATTTTTTTTTTTTTTTTTTTTACTTTTTATTATGAAAATGTCCAAATAGGCTGGGCCTGGTGGCTCACACCTATAATCTTAGCACTTTGGGAGGCCGAAGCGGGAGGACTGCTTGAACTCAGGAGTTCAAGACCAGCCTGAAAAACGCAGTGAGACCTCGCCTCTATATTAAAAATAAGTAAACAAATTTAAAACTGAAAAAAAAAGAAAATGTCCAACATGAAGAAAAGTAAAAAAAATTTTTTTTTTTTTTTTTGAGACAGAGTCTCGCTTTGTCGCCCAGGCTGGAGTGCAGTGGCACGATCTCCGCTCCCGAGTTCACGCCATTCTCCTGCCTCAGCTTCCCAAGTAGCTGGGACTATAGGCGCCTGCCACTGTGCCCGGCTAATTTTTTTATATTTTTAGTAGAGACGGGGTTTCACCCTGTTAGCCATGATGGTCTTGATCTCCTGACCTTGTGATCCACCCGCCTCCGCCTCCCAAAGTGCTGGGATTACAGGCGTGAGCCACCATACCCGGCCAAAATTTTTTTTTTTTTTTTGAGACAGAATCTTGCTCTGTCACCCAGGCTGGAGGGCTGTGGCACAATCTCAGCTCACTGCAATCTCTACCTTCCAGGTTCAAGCGATTCTCATGTCTCAGCCTCCCGAGTAGCAAGTGCCACCACACCTGGCTAATTTTTGTATTTTTAGTAGAGACGGAGTTTCACCATGTTGGCCAGGCTGGTCTCGAACTCCTGATCTCAAATGATCCACCTACCTCTGCCTCCCAAGGTGCTGGGATTACAGGTGTGAGCCACCATGCCCAGACAAAAAGAATTTTTTTTTTTTTGATACTGAGTCTTGCTCTGTCGCCCAGCCTGGAGTGCAATGGCACAATCTTGTCTTATTGCAACCTCTGCCTCCCGGGTTCAAGTGATACTCCTGCCTTACCCTCCCAAGTAGCTGGGATTACAGGCATATGCCACCATGCCCCACTAATTTTTGTATTTTTAATAGAGGAGGGGTTTCGCCATGTTGGTCAGGCTGGTCTTGAAAGTCTGACCTCAGGTGATCTGCCTGCCTCGGCCTCCCAAAGTGCTGGGATTACAGGCATAAGCCACCACGCCCAGCCAAAAATAATTTTTGTTTTTTTTTTTGAGACAGAGTTTAGCTTTTGTTGCCCAGGCTGGAGTGCAATGGCTCGATCTCGGCTCACCACAACCTCCGCCTCCTGGGTTCAAGTGATTCTCTGCCTCAGCCTCCCAAGTAGCTGGGATTACAAGCATGGGCCACCATGCCCAGCTAATTTTCTTGTATTTTTAGTAGAGACGGGGTTTCTCCATGTTGGTCAGGCTGGTCTCAAACTCTCGACCTCAGGTGATCCGCCTGCCCCAGCCTCCCAAAATACTGGGATTACAGGCATGAGCCACCGCGCCCGGCCAATAATATTTTTAAGAAATGAATACAGGCCGGGCGCGGTGGCTCACGCCTGTAATCCCAGGACTTTGAGAGGCTGAGGCGGGTGAATCACAAGGTCAGGAGTTTGAGACCAGCCTGGCCAAGATTGTGAAACCCTGTCTCTACTAAAAATACAAAAAATTAGCTGAGTGTGGTGGTGGGCGCCTGTGATCCCAGCTACTCTGGAGGCAGAGGCAGAGAATTGCTTGAACCTGGGAGGCAGAGGTTGCAGTGAGTCAAGATTGCGCCACTGTACTCCAGCCTGGGCGACAGAGCTAGACTCCATCTCAAAAAAAAATTAAAAAAAGAATACAGTTACTTATTGCCTAGATTTAACAATAGCAAGGAGCCAACTCCTTGCTGGCTGCTCTACTAGAAAAAAAAAAGAGAGAGAGAGAGAAAAGAGAAAAAACAATATTTGCCATGTTTATTTTTATTTATTTATTGCTGATGAATTATAAATTCTAGACATCATATTTCACCCCTAAAAACTTCAGCATGAGGCTGGGCGCGGTGGCTCACGCCTGTAATCCCAGCACTTTGGGAGGCTGAGGTGGGCGGATCACGAGGTCAGGAGATTGAGACCATCCTGGCTAACACGGTGAAACCCCGTCTCTACTAAAAAAAAAAAAATACAAAAAAATTAGCTGGGCCTGGTGGCCTGCGCCTGTAGTCCCAGCTACTCGGGAAGCTGAGGCAGGAGAATGGCGTGAACCCAGGAGGCGGAGCCTGCAGTGAGCCGAGATCATGCCACTGCACTCCAGCCTGGGCGACAGAGCCAGACTCCGTCTCAAAAAAACAAAAAACAAACAAAAAAAAAAAAAACAAAAACTTCAGCATGCATCTCTGAAAAGTAAACACCCTACCATTATTATATCTGAGAAAATTAACAATAATTCCTTAGTGTCATCTATGACCTAAGCCATCGTCAGATTTCTGCCTTATCCTAAAACATCTCTCTCACAGCTGGTTTGTTTGGTTCAGGATCCCGTCCAAGTCCATGCCTTGTATCTGGCTGTCTCTTCAATCTCCCTTGAAGAGCCCTACCCTTTCTTTCTGCCTGGACATTGACTCATTGCCCTGCCTGCAAGGTGTCTATTTGCTTCCTTGCAGCAGTGTTTCTGTCTTCCTCTAACCTTGGTGTTACCTGAGAACTGGTAGGCAGGTCTGCAAGGCTTAGGCTGGTCGGATCAATGGGGCTCAGTGTCAGATGAGGCAAAGCCAGCAGGAGGCAAGGATGATTCTACCTTGAGTGACAGAGGTAGATGTCACTCAGATGCTAAGATCGGGGAAGGAGGAGGGAGAGGACAAATTTGATTTGGGGCACACGGTTTTCGACATGTACAAAGGACATCCAGATGGCAATGGGCTATGTGAGCCTGGAGACTGTGCTGCGAGTTGTTGATCTACAGCCGGTGGGGCTGGGCTCTCCCAAGGCGGTGGAGTGAGAAGCCAGGTGAGACACCAAGCATGAGGCCGTGGCAGAGGAGGTGGAGCCTGGGGCCCAATTGCTGAGCAGTAGCAAAGAAAAAGAAGGAAAACTAGGAGGCCTGGCCTGAGGAAGCCCAAGAAGGAGAGGATTTTAAAGAGCAAACACTGGAGAGAAGTCAGGCCAGAGGAGGACCAGATCTATCATCAAGGAAGTGGTAGAAGGCCTCTAAGCAGTGGGCTGATTGTCTAAGTGAGGGAACAGAGAAGTTGGCTCAAAAAGGAGGAAGGGAAAAAGGAATTAGTTGTTAAAAGGAGATGCAGAGCTGGGTCCAGGGAACAAAACTTTTTTTTTTTTTTTTTTTTTGAGATGGACTCTCTCTCTGTCACCCAGGCTAGAGAGCAATGGTGTGATCTCTACTCACTGCAACCTCTGGGATTCAAGTGGTTCTCCTGCTTCAGCCTCCCAAGCAGCTGGGACTACAGGCAACTGCCACCACGCCTATTTTTTTTTTTTTTTTTTTGGTATTTTTAGTAGAGATGGGGTTTCACCATGTTGGCCAGGCTGGTCTTGAACTCCTGACCTCAAGCGATCCACCTGCCTCAGCCTCCCAAAGTGCTGGGATTTCAGGCGTGAGCCACTGTGCCCAGTCAACATTTTCTTTTTAAGATGGAGAGACCAATTGGGTGCAGTGGCTCAGGCCTGTAATCCCAGCACTTTGGGAGGCTGAGGTGGGAGGATTTCTTGAGCTCAGGAGATCAAGACCAGCCTGGACAACATAGTCAGACCCTGTCTCTAAAAAAAAAAAAAAAAAAAATTAGCCGGGCGTGGTGGTGTGGGCCTGTACTGCCAGCTAGCCAGCTACCTGGGAGGCTGAGGCAGAAGGATTGCTTGAGTCCAAGAAGTCAAAGCTGCAGTGAACCATGATCGTGCCACTGCCCTCCAGCCTGGGTGACAGAGCAAGACGCTGTCTAAAAAAAAAAAAAACCAACATGGAGAGGCCTTGAGTTTGTTGAAATGAGAAAGGGACAAAGGTAGTCAGAAAGGAAGGGTTGGAAATTTGAGGTGAGGCCACTTCCGAGCAAGCGGGAGGCTATGGGGTCCTTCAGGACCGGGCTGAGGAGGTTGGCTTGGACGGCAGGCCCCTGTGCCTTCCACTGGGGGAGGGGGAAGGAATGGTGGGTGCAAACACAGATACGTTTGAGGGGGAGGGCAGAAGGTGATCATTCCTTGGTCTCATTTTCCCACCTCCCTAGTCTGGCTCATCCCTACAGCCTTCGCTGGCTGGGAGGTTCCCTCATGGACCATTTCTTTTTTTTTTTTGAGATGGAGTCTCGCTCTGTCACCCAGGCTGGAGTGCAATGGTGCGATCTTGGTTCACTGTAACCTCTGCCTCCCAGGTTCAGGCAATTCTCTTGCCTCAGCCTCCCGAGTAGCTGGAATTACAGGCGCACGCCACCACGCCCAGCTAATTTTTGTATTTTTAGTAGAGACAAGGTTTCGCTATGTTGGCCAGGCTGGTCTGAAACTCCTGACCTCAAGTGATCCTCCTGCCTCGGCCTTCCAAAGTGCTGGGATTACAGGCCTGAGCCACCGCACCCAGCCCCTCATGGACCATTTCTGATCCCTCCTGGCCCCAGCAGCCCTGCTGGGTGTCTGCCAGCCTTACTTAGAGCACAAGCGTTGTGAGCCCTGAGGATGCCCCACCCCAGCTCCCACCCCGCCCTGGAGGAGCAGGCCAGGCAAGCAGCCCCATGAGGTCACCCAGAGGCTGGGGACAGAGTCCAGAGCTGAGGGCACCCAATCGAAACCCGAAGTCAGAAAAGCAGAAGTGCAGGCCTGCTTTCCCCCAATCCCCATGGGTGTGGGAACCCAAGGCCCGCTCAGTTCTTTCATAGAACCAGCCCTGTGACGGAGTAGGGTTGACAGCTCTGTTCTACATATGAAGAAACTGAGGCCCAGAAATTCAAGCAGCTGCTCAGCGAGAAGCTGAAGTAGAGTCTAGACAAGAGTCCAAGTCTCTGGTCTCCGGCTCCACTCTTTTTCCCTCTGAATCAATGGAAGCTTCTGCCCCAAGCCCAAGAAAAGGGTCTCACCTGAAACCGTTACATTTGGAATCTCACCCCACATCCATGCAATAAGATTACACTGAGTCAGCCGGGCTGCTCATGCCTGTAATCCCAGCATTTTGGGAGACCAAGGCGGCGGATCACTTGAGGTGAGGAGTTTGAGACCAGCCTGGCCAACACGATGAAACCCCATCTCTACTAAAAGTACAAAAATTAGCTGGGCATGGTGGCAGGCACCTGTAATCCTAGCTACTCAGGAAGCTGAGGCAGGAGAATCACTTGAGCCTGGGAGGCAGAGGTTGCAGTGAGCTGAGATCGAGCCACTGCACCCCAGCCTGGGTGACAGAGTGAGACTCCATTAAAAAAAAAAAAAAAAAAAAAAAGATTATACTGAGCCGTGGTGCCACACCTGGGAGGCACAGTCAAATCACCCAAGGAGGCTTAAAATTAAACACTTTCCCCAGGTCCCGGCCCAAACCACTTCCATCAGAATCTCAGAGGGCTGAGCTAGGCACAGTTCCCCAAAGCCTACTGAGGCCTGAGGCCCAGGATCCTGTGGGGTCACCCCCAGCTCCTCCGATCCTGCCCCTGGACATGTAGCTCTGGGCCAGGCCGGGATGGTTAAAGGGAGACCCAGTTTCTGTCCTGGAGAACATGTGTTTGGGGGAGGGACCTGTCGTGTGGACATGACTGAGCTCCTTGAGGCAAAGATCACCATTCCTTCTGGCTCTCCCTCCACCTGGCTTGGGTGGCACAGAGCAGACTCACTGAGTCAACAAAGGACACCATGTCCCCTCGCCAGCCCCTGAGCCAGTTCCTGGGCCAAGTCCTGGTTTGGAGGCGTTCATTTTGCCTCTAGCCCCAGAGGACTGGGTCTTCCTAGTGCACCTGCTCCTGCCCCAGCACTTCCTATGAGGGTTTGGGAGGGAAGAGTGAGGTCAGAGTGGGGAAAGGAGGGGTGTTGTGCAGCTGGTTTGTTCTAGAACCTCTCCTGACCCTCCCCCTTGTGCCTCTCAGAGGCATGAGGGTGTGGTGGAGGGAGGTGGACCCCTCTGGGGAGCCACTGTGGTCATCACCTCCTCTCACTGGGGGGAGGGAATCCGAGACAGGGCCTGAGAGCCAACTTCTGTGGCCAAGAGCAGGCAGGAACTGTGTGAGTTTGTTCACTCCCTATAGTTTGGGGCTGGAGCCCCCTGGGAGACCCCCATCATGGGGGCCCAGCTTCCTACTGGGGAAGAGAAGCAGGTGAGATGCCAGGTGAGTTGCTGGCTGCCCATTCTGCAGTCCCAGCCCTGACACTGACACTCCTGGCTCTGCCATAGGGAGTCCCTGCCCCCCATGCTACCTGCAGGGCAATGCTGAGGGCCTGAGTTCCACACCTGTCCTCTTCTCTCCCCTCTCCACCCAGCTCCTCCCTGGTGGCTCAGAGTTTCTGGCCTCTCTGGAATTTACAGAGGCTATTCCTGTCTCTGAGGCCTGGTTGCATAACCCTTGGTGACCTGTCATATGCACGCACACGTGTGTAGTGTGTGTGTGTGTGTGTGTGTGTGTGTGTGAGTCCTCATCCCTGGCCTCAGGGTGGGGACAGAGAGATGGGTCAGGTGTGTGATAAGCATGAGGCCTCCAGCCTTCTGTGATTCCTGCTGTCCTCCACCCTGATAGCGAGGAGGGGATTAGTCTACCCCTGGGGTCTGGGCTTCTGAGTCGGGTACAGGGGATGGGACACTGGTATGAGAGCTTTTGTGGGCAGAGCAGGGCATGGGGCCCAGTCTTGCTCCTAGTGTGATCTCTACAAGTGTCTCGTGCCCCACATTCACACTGTGCCTGGCTCTGCTTGGGGTCCTTGTCCCCAGCCCACAGTGGGTACAGGAGAAGAGGGGCTGAGAGACATGGCAGGGGAGAAAAAGAGATCCAGGGTGGGGGCCGGAGGAGGAAGAATGGGCCTAGAGTGGAAGGGTGGGGGTCAGAGCCTGACCAGGAAAGGAGGTGGACTTCAGCAGGGGTGGGCTGGTGGGCTTAGTGCTGCCTGGCCCTTAAGCCTGGGGAGGAAGCACTTCTAAGGGAGGAGGGAAGACAAGATGGACCCATGGGCTCAGAGGAGGGGCTGTAACTTCTTACTCAGGGCATGTGTCCACTGTGCGTGGCTGGGGTCTGTCATCCCCACACGAGGGGGTGAAGGGAAGAGAGGCCAGGAAGAAGATTTAACCTTCCTCCTGGAAGAAGCTGGTGCCTGGCCCTCTTCTCTGGGTCCTTAGAGAGGAGGGGACAGGCACGGGCATACTTGTACACGTATGTGGACACGCAAGTGAGAGTGGGCACATGTGGGCATGCAGGCATGGGAGGGCATATGCATCTTGGTGACCGAGTCTGGAGGAGACAGACCCAGGTGGTCAGGCGGGCAGATAGTGATGTGGTCAGAATCCTTCCTGTCCTCCTCGGGGCTGGCACAGTCCAGATGCCAGCTCCCTGTGATATCACATCTGCCCAGACCCCTTCCTCTTTGGGAACTCTTCCCCTCCCCCCCACAAGCTTCCTCTTTCCCATTACACCCTCCCTGGGCCTAGAGGGAGTGGACAACCACTCATTGTCCTGTTTCCGCCCCAGGAGCCACTCCAGGCCAGCCCAGGCCCCCAGCACTCAGCGCCCCCTCTGCCCACCCTGTCTGTGCAAGCGCGCCCCTCCCCCACAGGCTCAGCCGTGATTCTCTCTGTGCAGTTCATGCTGTGGCTGGGTCTGGCCGTGATCTTCCCCTGTGCAGCCCACACCATGGCTATGTCTGGGCCTCGGATGCGGCTCACTGGTCATTAGAGCACTGAGTGGGGCAGCCAGCAGTGTTTCTAGAAGCATAAAAATACCCTCAACCTGAGGCCCCTCCACCCCACCCGCCCCAACTCAGGCAGCACTTCCGCAGCCCTGACAGGAAATGGGCTGGAGTCTCAGCCTCCCGCCATCTCGGCAACTTCTTGTTTCCCTGTTGCCCTGTGCCAGCACTGGGGTAGTGCCCCTGGGCTCTACCCCCAAAACCTTCCCAGGGCTCTGTCCCGGCAGTTCAGAGGGGCCAGGATGGTGGACATAATCGCCAAAGTGACCAGGAGGCAGAGTCGAGCCTTGCCGGCACAGGTAGGGGATGCTGGGGTCAAGGGTTGCCCGGTGGGCCTCTACCACAAGCCCTGTTAGGAGCTGGGTGAGCTGGGGCTTAGAGCAGGGAGCCTCTTGGAAGTTGGGGCTCATACTTCCTTTTCTCTTTCCTTCTCGGAGGCCCTGCCCATCCAAGAGGTGGTCAGCTTGGGGCAGGAGTGGCAGGGCTGCCACCTGCTTGTGGACAGGGGAGGGAACTGGAGATAAGGGGTGAACCACTGTAAGGCAGTACCAGGGGGCTGGGCAGCCTGGAGCCTGAGAGCCAGGTCCCTCTTGGCTCCTCCTCTGGCCTGAGGTGGGAAGGCCACTTCTTGTCTCTAGGATGCGACCCAAGAGCCATTGATCCCGTAGTCAGGCCCCTGTTTATGAGCTGCATCTGGGTCTTGTCTGGGCCTCCATGAACAGGAGCAAGGAGGAGGGTAGGGGTGGCAGGCGCCTGTAACTCCTTGAAGGCCAGAGGATGTGGAGGGCGTGACTGCACCTGGCCCCAGGAGCTGGTTAGAACCCAGCTGAGGCTCTGCCAGGAGAGGAGAGCATCTCTATCTCAGCACTGTGCAGGGTCTGCCGAGAGTTCCAGAGTTTGAAGGGGCCTGAAGGACACTGCAGTTCAACACCCACCACAGGGCTATGGCTTCCCTAACAGGGAGTAGACTCTGCTCAGTCACCTCCAGTGAGGGCCCCTCACTACCTCCAGAAGCAGCCTGTGTCTCTGGCAGCCCTAGTCCTCAGAATGCTTCCTTCAGAGGAATGCTGCTGTGCCCCTGCAGCATGATACCCCATCTTCTCTTCCTTGTGACAGCCCTGTCATGCTGGGGACCTAAACTTCTACCTCCGAAATCTCCTCTGTACCTGCTGGGGACATTCCTTCGTGTGAGGACCCCATCAGCCTCACTGGCCTGGGACTCCTCGTGGACCCAGAGCCATGGCCCACAGCCTGCCAAGTAGAAATTCCTGCTCCAAAGAGCCTGTTCCTTATCAGCTCATCCACCCCTGGTGGAGCCTTTCAACTCCTGCCCCAGTGCGTTCAGCTGGGAGGATGGGAGGTGTGTCTGGTTCCTCTGCCTTCCTCTCCCCGCTGCTTCCATCCTGCCCTCCCCAGGAATCTCCTGGTTTCTGTGGCTCCGACCCTCCTCCTCAGAAAGCTCAAGCTCATTCCAGGCTCTTCTGTCATGTCAGGCATGTTTGTTGCTGAAACTGGGCATGGGTTAGACTTGTGTACACAAGCAGTTTGTGGCAGACCTGCTATGTGCTTCAGGGCATTGGCCCAGCTGCTGGGGGGCAAATGGAATCAGCTACATTATCCTTAGTCTTGCTCTCAAGAAAATCCTGCCTTTTGGGGCAGAGGAGGTGGGCAGATGGTTGGACAACTGGCTGCCCACCAAGGCAGAACGCCATTGGGCCTCAACAGAGCAGTGAGCAGAGTGCCAGCAGGTTTGACCTCTCCCTGGAGAGGCTTGTCAGCTGAGCACCGTGAGAGAGCAGGATTTGGGTAGGCAGAGAACCAGAGAAGGGAATTCCAGGCTGAGGGAATGGCTGGAGCAAACGCTTCGAGGTGGGAGGATGCCTTTTCTGTTGGGGGCCGGTGAGAGGCCTGTTGTGGTTGGACTACAGGATGCCACATCAGAGCTATGGTGGGGGTAGAGAAAGGACAAGTGGGGTGGAGGGTCCCCTCTCAGCCACACAGCAGCCTGGAGGAAGGGGAGAGGAGAGAAGAACTGATGGGCTGGGATCCCCAGCTCTCCCTGTCCCCCAGGCGCCTGGGGACTGGCACCCTGTCTAAAACTGTAACATCCTCTTCATTGACAGTGTTTTCATTTCTTGCTTAGCAGTGATCAGCACTGACATGCTGTCCATTTACTCATCACCCCCACCATTTACACACAGGTGCACTTGAGTGCCAGCTCTGCCAGGGAAGGATTTGTGTCCCTTTCTTCCCTGCTGTATTCCCCGTGCCTCAAACAGTGCCTGGCACAGAGCAGGTGAATCTTTGTTGGGTAAACAAATGTTCTTCTTTTCCTTCTTCTTTTCCTTGTTTTGGTTTGGTTTGCTTTTTTGGCATCAGTTTGGTGAAAAATGAATTTTTTTTTTTTTTGGCATCTGCCTAAGGCTCAGGGAGAGACCACCCTGAACAGGTGCTTCCTCTTTCGAGGAGTTTACAGCTTAGTGATGGTGTCACAGTCAGCAGAGGAACTTCTGTGAATTTTTAAAAGTTTTGTAGTACAAAATTTTGAGGCTGCAGGAAAGTTCAAAGAAAACAAAACAAAAACAAACCCCTATAATCACAGTGCTCAGAAGGGACCTCTGTTAGCATTTTGGAAAGTTTCCGAAAACACAAAATTGAAATGTGGAAATCTGCTTTCCCCTGAAGTATTGTGTATGCTTAGAAAATAGTAGTAATTGGCCAGGTGCGGTGGCTCACACCTGTAATCCCAGCACTTTGGGAGGCCCTGGTGGGCGGATCACCTGAGGTCAGGAGTTCAAGACCAGCCTGGCCAACAGGGCAAAACCCCATCTCTACTAAAATACAAAAATTAGCCAGGCGTGGTGGTGCGTGCCTGCAATGCCAGCTACTTGGGAGGCTGAGGCATGAGAATCGCTTGAACCCAGGAGGCGGAGGTTGCAGTGAGCCGAGATCACACCATTCCACTCCAGTCTGGACGACAGAGCGAGACTCCGTCTCAAAAAAAAAAAAAAAAGAAAAAAAAAGAAAAAGAAAAAGAAAAGAAAAGAAAATAGTAGTAATCTCCGTATGCCATGCTGCTGCCTGGGGTTTGAGAATGTAGTCATCTGTCCCTCTGTGGGGCCAAGGGTGCTGGGCTGAATGTGGGGGCACGGGGATGGGGGGAATCTCAGGAAAAGGCTGGAACCTGGCACCTCAGCTGAATCCTGAAGAAGGAATTGGAGTCAGCCAGGCAAAAAAAGGGGTGGAGATGGGCCTGGGCAGGCTGCAGATGAGCCTAGGCCTGGAGGAAACACAGCAGGGAAGGTGGGGACCTCTAGCAACTGGTGCTACTGGAGCTTAAAGTTCAAGGCAAGGGGCAAGGAGTGGCAGGAAATAATAGTGGAAGCACAGGCCGGTGAGGGACAGTCTCTTGTGCCTGGTTAAGGGCTTAGACTTTGCCCTGCAGCCAGCAGGGAGCTCTGAGGTGTGAATCAGGAGAGCCTCTGTTCCGGGAGGCTTACGCATGGCTAGGTTTATGTTCTATGTGATTGAACCCCCAGCTGCCCTCACTCTCCTTTGGGGTGGAGTAAAACAATTCACCTCTCTTTGCCCCTCCATTCTCCAGCCCATCTGGCTGTCCTGTCTCCCTCTCTTGTCTGGAATTGGTTCTGACACCTGCAAACTTCACCTTGGAAAGTTCAGTCCCCAAATCCAGACAGGGTGCTGATTCCAATCCCAGAGCTTTCTGGGCTGAGAGTGGGGTGGGGTGGGAGCTCTCAGTGGAGCTGTAAGAATGCAGCTTGAATCCAGGAGGTGGTGGTTGCAGTGAGCCAAGATTGCGCCACTGCACTCCAGCCTGGGTGACAGAGCTAGACCCCATCTCAAAAAAAAGAATGCAGCAGGGCCCTGAATGGGCACCATAAACAGGGGCACGCCCCAGACCACTTCTCAGTTCCTGCCCAACCTCTGACTTGCCTCTGTGAGTGCACAGTTGTGAGAACTGGGTTATCGATGTTTTATTATTATTGATAAATATAATTAATGTAATTGACCCACCCGTCTGGGGCACTAAATACTTTACAAAGTACTTTCAAGAGCATTTCCTCATTCACTCTTCACTACAGTTTCCGGAATGGACAGAGCAGACATTTTACACCCAGGAAACTGAGGCAGAGAGGTAGTGTGACTTCCTGAAGGTCGCCCAAGGGGCTAAAGCTCAAGAAGAGGCCACTTCTAACAGGCACTTCCCCTTTCAAGGAGTTTACGGCTTAGTGATGGTGTCACAGTGAGCAGAAGAACTTACGTGATTTTTAAAATGCTTTGTTGTACAAAATTTTGAGGCTGCAGAAAAGTTTAAAGAAAATAAAGCAAAAACAAATAAACCCCTATAATCGCACTGCCCAGAGGGGACCTCTGTTACCATTTTGGAAGGTTTCTGAAAACACAAAATTCCTCCTTTCTCCTCCCGCAGGTGGACGACCCACCGGAGCCCGTGTACGCGAACATAGAGAGGCAGCCCCGGGCCACTTCACCGGGCGCCGCTGCAGCCCCCCTTCCCAGCCCGGTGTGGGAGACGCACACGGACGCGGGCACCGGGCGCCCCTACTACTACAACCCAGACACGGGAGTTACCACCTGGGAGTCGCCCTTTGAGGCTGCCGAGGGTGCCGCCAGCCCAGCCACCTCCCCTGCCTCGGTGGACAGCCACGTGAGCCTTGAGACCGAGTGGGGCCAGTACTGGGATGAGGAGAGCCGCAGGGTGTTCTTCTACAACCCGCTGACGGGCGAGACGGCCTGGGAGGACGAGGCCGAGAACGAGCCCGAGGAGGAGTTGGAGATGCAGCCGGGCCTGAGCCCTGGCAGCCCAGGGGACCCGCGGGTGAGGGGCAGGGCCAGAGTGGGCGGTTCTACCTCTGAGCGCCTCTGATCCCGCCTCCTGCTCCCAGAGGCCCAGGGACACACGGGTGAGGGGGTGGTGATGGGTGGGCGGGGCTACCTCTGAGAGCCTTTGACCCCTTCTCCTGCTCCCACAGACCCAGGGACCCCAGGGTGAAGGGCGGGGCTGGAGTGGGCGGGGCTACCTCTGAGCGCCTTTGACCCCACCTCCTGCTCCCACAGACCTAAGGACCAGAGGGTGAGGGGTGGGGCAGGATGGGTGGGGCTACCTCTAAGCGCTTCTGACCCCGCCTCCTGTTTCTGCAGACCCAGGGACCAGAAGGTGAGGGGCAGGGCTGGAGTGGGCGGGGCTACCTCTGACGCCTTCTGCTCCCACAGCCCCAGGGACCAGAGGGTGAGGTGCGGAGCTACCTCTGAGCGCTTCTGACCCCGCCTCCTGCTCCCACAGCCTCAGGGACCAGAAGGCAAGGGGGTGGGCCTGGTCCAAAACGGCAGGGCCAGCAGGCAGTACTGGCACTCAGAGCCTCTGACTCCACCTTCTGTTCCCCGCAGCCCCCCACTCCCGAGACGGACTACCCCGAGTCGCTGACCAGTTACCCCGAGGAGGACTATTCTCCCGTGGGCTCTTTCGGTGAGCCCGGCCCTACCTCTCCCTTGACCACACCCCCCGGCTGGTCTTGTCATGTCAGCCAGGACAAGCAGATGCTCTACACCAACCACTTCACTCAGGAGCAGGTAGGGGCAGGGGGCAGATGGACCCGGACAGCCTCAGAGTCCTCCCCACAACCTTCCTCACTAATAGGTCGCCTCAGTGCTCTAAACCGCAGCTCCCACACAGAGCCTAAACCAGCCAAACACAGTCACCTGCACCTGCCCCTCCAGACTCCCTGGTGCTGTCTTGGAACCTGGTTAGAGGGAAACTTTTCCTCCCCTCTCATAAGCTGGGCTGGAGGCCCTGACCATTCCTCTCCCCACAGTGGGTGAGGCTGGAGGACCCCCACGGGAAGCCATACTTCTACAATCCAGAGGACTCCTCTGTTCGATGGGAGCTGCCCCAGGTAACAACCTGGGGAAAGGGGGGTGTTGGGGAGAGAGGAAGAGATCATATACGACTGTGTCTTTCTCCCCAGGTCCCTGTCCCTGCCCCTCGAAGCATCCATAAATCCAGCCAGGATGGTGACACCCCAGCCCAGGCCAGCCCTCCAGAGGAGAAGGTAGGGGAGGAGCCATTGAGGTCCTGGCAGGACCACCACAGAAGCAGTGGGGGGCTTCTGGAGTTCCTGGGAGGAGGGACTTGGTGGGATCTATCTGTCTTCCCCCATAGGTCCCAGCAGAGCTGGATGAGGTTGGGAGCTGGGAGGAAGTCTCTCCTGCCACAGCTGCTGTGAGGGTAGGCATCACCCCCTACCCCCAGCCAGGTGGTGGTGCTGGCGAGGAGGGTTCAGTGGAGACACGGGCCCAGACCATAGAGAGTGGCAGCTGAGCAGGTGACCAGCCTCTACTCCCCATAGCTCACCCCTTAACTACACACTCTTGCGCCTGCTCTCTCTTCTCTCTCTTAGACCAAGACCTTGGACAAGGCAGGGGTGCTCCATCGCACCAAGACGGCAGACAAGGGAAAGCGGCTCCGGTGAGAGCCCATCTACACTCAGGCCGGGGCAGGGTGGGCCTTGGTGACGATGTTCACTGAGCACTTCCTGTATGCCAGGCTCTTATTAATCCTCACAACAACTTCGTGAGTGGTCCTCTGTGGACCCTGAGACACTGTGAGATAAAGTGACTTGCTCAAGGTCCCTCGGCTGCTAGGTGTTAGAGTCGGGATTCCAGCCCTCATAATGGGGTGCCCTAGCCTGTGTTCCTAAGCTCTGACTTGTTCCTGGGGTAGGAGGGGCCCTCAGCCCAGGACCAAATCTAAGTCCTGCCACCCCCACTTCCCCACCCCCACCTAGGAAGAAGCACTGGAGTGCCTCCTGGACTGTGCTGGAGGGTGGCGTCCTGACATTCTTCAAGGACTCAAAGACCTCGGCTGCAGGCGGCCTGGTAAGGCCAGGCCCTCAGGGCAGGGACCATCCCATCTGCTTTTTTTTATTTTTATTTTTATTTTTTTTGAGACGGAGTCTCGCTCTGTCACCCAGGCTGGAGTGTAGTGGTGTAATCTCGGCTCACTGCAACCTCTGCCTCCTGAGTGCTCCTGCCTCAGCCTCTCGAGTAGCTAGGACTACAGGCATGTGCCACCATGTGCGGCTAATTTTTGTGTTTTTAGTAGAGATAGGGTTTTACTATGTTGGCCAGACTGGTCTTGGACTCTTGACCTCAGGTGATCTGCCCACCTCGACCTCCTCAAGTGCTGAGATTACAGGCGTGAGCCACTGTGCCCAGCCCCCATCTGCTCTATCTAATCTGGCTTGGAGATGACCAGGTCTGAGAGAGTGGTCCATGAGTGTCAGAGGAGCTGGGCCTTGGCAGGAAGGGGGTGATACTGGCAGATTCACTCCAAGACAAGTAGTTTTAGCCCACTGGAGATGGGGAACAGTCTTGAGGGTGGCCAGCTCCAGCCTGGAGGGCAGGGAGGCTGGGGGTGGGCACACCTGCTTGCAGGGATGCAGACTGCACTCCTTTCCTGTCCTCCCCTGGGTGGGTGGGCAGCAGTGGACATGCCAGCCAGCAGGCTCCATGGTTAAGAAGCATCAGGGTCTCTGGGTTCAGGAACACTTGGGGCACTTTTCCCCAGAGTTGTTTCCTGGCCATGCCAGTGACCCCATCCTATTCCTAGGGTCAGAGTGCCACAGCAGACACATCTGAACTGAGGGCTCCCTGTGACCTTCCTCCCTCTCCCACAGAGGCAGCCTTCCAAGTTTTCCACCCCTGAGTACACAGTGGAGCTGAGGGGGGCCACTCTCTCCTGGGCCCCCAAAGACAAATCCAGTAGGAAGAATGTGCTGGAGGTGAGTGGCGGGGTTGGGGAGAAGGAGGGAAGGGGCTTAGTGATGCCTGCCAGCTCTCTGACAACTATTGACCTGGAAATGACCTGGGGGTTTTTGACCCTTAATTCCCTATGAGCCAACACTGAGTGCAGCTTTTGGCTGTATTAATAGAGGTAGGAACCCAGAGCCAGAGAGGTGATATTGGTGCAGTTGTTGGCAGTGCTGTGGGACCCTTACTGTAGGCAAGCCCCAAGAAGGAGGACCTGGGAAGAATTGGGGCTACCATTCTCAGGGCTCAAGGCCAACGCTGCACCCCCGCCCCAGGGGACCTGTCCTTTGTTTCTAACATCACGTATTCTGCAGTTCCCTCTCCAGGAGCTGAGTTAATAATAATCCTTGCCCTGGAGGGTGGTGAGGAGTAGGGCCTCTGGGAGAGGAAATTCTCATGACTAGAATGGCAGCCCTCGTCCCAGCCTGAGAGAGACAGGAGGCTCCCTGTCCCTGGCTGCTTACTGTGACAGGCCTGGTTGGGAAACCTCTTTCTCCCCAGGTCCCTTTCCCTGCCCCTGAGCCAGAGCCCCATTTCCGACTGGACCGCATCCCCAGTGAATAAACTGGGGCAGTGGAGAAGACTACCATGCTACCCCCGCAGGAAGGGAGAGAAGACCCAGAAAGGGTACTCCCAATGCCACACCCTTCACTGTCCATGTGTTGTCTTGTTTTTAAACTACTCTTACCCTGACCTCAGTACCTAGAAGGTTTGAGGCAGATCACAACAGAAACACACGTGGTGAACTGTCAAATTAACTGAAAAGCCAGGACCATGAAAAACAAGTAAGAGATGGGACTCAAGATGGAGAGGAATTAGGGGGCAGATGATGTATGGGTGCTAAGGTGGTGGTTACTGAAGAAAATTTAGCTCCGACTTTCCTGCTAGGTGAGGTGAAAAGAGAAGGGCTATCAGGTGCATGTCTCTTTGTTGTTGAACAAATAATAAAACCCACCCAGATGTTGAGGGAATCAAAGCTTTTTCCTAACCCTTCACTCTTAAATTTCTTGTATGTAGCTCCATGAACATGGGATCTAGAAGCACATGCCAGGTACCCTGCAAAACAGCTCCAGGAAGGTTTAATTCAGGATCCGGGACTGCTTCAGGTAGCATCATTATGATGAAGGCCAAGAGCATGACCTCATGTCTAAGCTCAGAAAAAACAGTTCTGCAAGGAACCTGAGAGTGTAGTTTCCTGATTATTCACCAAGCTCCATTCAGTTCTAGAGCCAGGATATCTATAAAGCAAAGTTGGAAAACTGGTTTCATCTCATGAGCTACTCTGATGAGTAGGTCTGGAGTCTTGTGGGGTTTTGTTTTTGTTTTTATTTTTTGTTTCTGTTTTTAGAGACAAGGTCTTGCTCTGTTGCCCAGGCTGAAGTGCAGTGGCACGGTCAGAGCTCACTGAAACCACAAGCCCCTGGGCTCAAGCGATCTTCCCACCTAAGGCTTCCGAGTAGCTAGGACTACAGGCGCGTTCCATCACATCTGGCTAATTTTAGTTTTTATAGAGATGGGGGCTCACTATGTTGCCCAGGCAGGTCTCAAACTCATGGCCTCAAGTGATCCTCCAGCCTTGGCCTCCCAAAGGGTTGAGATTACAGGTGTGAGCCACTGTGCCTAGCCTGGAGCCTTCTTGAGAAGAATTCTGAAGGCTTCTCTGGGCTTGGCAGGATAGAGTTCTGTGATCAACTAACAATATCTGCTATGGTGTTAAATTGAGGAGAGACATCACTATTATGATTATGATTATGATTATGATTATGATTATTATCCAGAGTCTCACTCTGTTGCCCAGGCTGAAGTGCAGTGGTGCAATCTTGGCTCACTGCAACCTCTGCCTCTCGGATTCAAGTGAGTCTCCTGCCTCAGCGTCCCGAGTAGCTGGGACTACAGGCGCCTGCCACCATACCCGGCTAATTTTTTTGTATTTAGTAAAGACAGGGTTTTACCATGTTGGCCAGGATGGTCTCAATCTACTGGCCTCAGGTGATTTACCTGCCTTGGCCTCCCAAAGTGCTGGGATTACAGGTGTGAGCCACCATGCCCGGTCTGAGACATCACCTGTGCTAGTCATGTTTCTCCCCTGACTTTGAGGGATAGGTATATCCTTCAAACAGTTCTCAATGAAGATCATCACTGATGGACTTTTGATGAAAGTTTCAGAATAGGGCTTTTTGAGTTGTCTTTGCTGGCAAGGACTGGAAGGCAGGTGCTGCTCAGGCCAGTGGGAAGGTGGGCAGGCCTGAATGGAAATCACAAGCCCCTGCCTCCTGGTTGACTGCTGGCCATCCTCCCTCCATGCAGGGCGGCCTGTAGGCAGCTCCAGGGTTTTCCTCAAGAGACAGCCCCAAATTTTATATCATTGAGGATGGATGGCTTTGTTGGGCCCAGGAAATTTTCACAGCAGGTCTTTCTAGTCACCCCGAGTTACAGAAAACTTCAGCAACAGTCCGCCAAAAGCTGCTAGCATTTGCCTGTGCGGTCAGCAGGATAAATGTTTTGTTTATTTGTTTGTTCTTAGAGATAGGGTCTTACTGTGTTGCCCAGGCTGGAGTGCAGTGGCTTGATCGTAGCTCACTGCAGCTTCCAACTCCTGGACTGAAGTGATGCTGTCACTTCAGCCTCCCCAGTAGCTGGAAGTACAGGTGCACACTAGCATGTCTGGCTAATTTGTAAAAATTTTTCTAGATATAGGGTCTCACTATATTGCCCAGGATTGAACTCCTGGTCTCAAGGACTCCTCCCACCTTGCCCTTCCAAAGCACTAGGATTATGGGCATGAGCCGTTGTGCCTGGCTGGGGGTGAATATTTTGTGAAATACATTGCTATGTAATGATACAGCTTTGCCCTCTATATGAAACTTGCAAATATGAACTGATTATGTTTTGAGAGAGCTGCCAAAAATCATGGCTGTTGTTTTAGAAGTGTTGTCAAGCCATTCTCTGGGATAATCTTGAGCAGGGCTCTTGTCTGCTTTGATTAGAGTGAGGCTGTGTTATCTGCCTCTTGAAGGTTCTCTGTCCTTTGCAGGGGAGGGCTAGGGGATGAGATATGCCATTTTCTTTTCTTTTCTTTTCTTTTCTTTGAGACAGAGTGTTGCTCTGTTGCCCTGGCTGGAGTGCAGTGGTGCGATCTCGGCTCACTGCAATCTCTGCCTCCCGGGTTCAAGCGATTCTCCTGCCTCAGCCTCCCGAGTAGCTGGGACTACAGGTGCGTGCCACCAGGCCCAGCTAATCTTTTGCATTTTTAGTAGTGGCAGGGTTTCACTGTGTTAGCCAGAATGGTCTCCATCTCCTGACCTCATGATCCACCCGCCTCAGCCTCCCAAAGTGCTGGGATTACAGGCATGAGCCACTGCGCCCAGCCTCATTTCATTTTAAAAAGCAGTTTAAATAGTCTTCAAGTATAAGTTTAAAAGGACAGCAAAGATAGTCCATTCCAATTCTAGAAGTTGTGTCCTGGGGTCTGAGACAGTTTCTGTTGTCTCTGACTCTCGCTGAACCAAAAGGGCAGGGTTGGTGTGAGCTGTTGCCGCCAAACATTCACATTAACCTGGAACACTGGGTCCTCAGAGCCAGAGGCTGATAAGGAATCCAACTAAGCTGCCATCCAACTCAGAAAGGGCTTTGAGCGTCAGTCCTATGGTGGCAAGTTTCCCTCTGGTGTTCTGTTTAATTTATGCTTCATGATGAAGCGGGCTAACAGAAGATGTGTTGCCCAGGCTGGAGTGTGGGAGGTGGTGGGGACTCCTGGCTGCAGAAGGTGGGACAACGTTTCTGAGTCCTCAGTGTGTGTATGGGGAGGGGCAAGGGGAGACCTTTCTTTCCCTGGGATCAGCCATGATCAGCTTTCAAATCCTCTCTCCCTATATTCACTGTTGCTTCTAGTAGACAGGGGTCTCAACATAGGAAGTTTCTGGGTTTTGTTTTGTTTTTTTTTTTGAGACGGAGTCTTGCTCTGTCGCCCAGGGTGAAGTGCAGTGGCATGATCTCGGCTCACGGTAACCTCCGCTTCCCGGGTTCAAGCAGTTCTTCTGCCTCAGCTTCCCAAGTAGCTGGGATTACAGGAGCCCGCCACCATGCCTGGCTAATTTTTGTATTTTTAGTAGAGATGGGGTTTCACCATGTTGGCCAGGCTGGTCTCAAACTCCTGACCTCATGATCTGCCCGCCTCGGCCTCCCAAAGTGCTGGGATTACAGGTATGAGCCATCGTGCCTGGCCTCACATAGGAAGTTTCTTTCACTTAGTTTGCAGGCCAGTGCTCTGCATGAGGCCTGCCATGTTCTGTGGCTTGCAGGGAGGCAGGATGGGGGAGGGAAAGTGTACCAGACAATTGAGCCATGCAGCTCTGTGCTCATCACTCACTAGCTGTGTGCCCATGAGGAAGCAGCTAAAACTTGCTGAGCCTCAGTTTGCTCATCTGTAACACAGAGATGCTGTCAGCCACTGCTTTACGTGAGGCAGAGATCCAAGACTTAGCCTGGGGTGAGGCCCTTGCTCCATTAAGCTCTGAGTGCCTGGGGGCAGGGACAGGTCACCTCTATCTCTGTACCTACCCCCAACTAGGGCCAACCCCCAGGGCAGACCCAGGGTACCAGAGATGACCCACTGACTTGTGTCCCTCCAGCTACGGAGCCGAGATGGCTCTGAGTACCTGATCCAGCACGACTCGGAGGCCATCATCAGCACCTGGCATAAGGCCATTGCTCAGGGCATCCAGGAGCTGGTAAGCAGAGCCCAGGGCCTCTAGGGGCAGTGGGGAGGGGGTGGCCATTATGAGTGGGGCCCTCTGCTCAGGCTCAGGGAGCTCTAAGGTACCAGTGGGTAATGCAAATGCAGTCCCCACTAATGGCTAGGATGGCAGGGTAGGCGGCTGAAGAAACTGCCTTCTGTAAGTCTGTGAATCCAGCCCTGGGGTTGGCCCTGCAGGAAGACTCTCCAGGTGAGGGTAGGGCACATTCTAAAGGAAGTTCCCATTTCACGGGAGGCAGAAGGCCAAATAAATACTCTGCAAGCCAACCAATGGCAGGCTGAAACTAGCAGATAAAATTTTAAAGGATTGATTTCAATAGTCGACCATTTTTTTAAGGCTGAAAACACCAATTGCATAAGTAGAGCTAGGACAGGGGCCCTCTGACAACTACTGACCTGGAAATGACCTGGGGCTTTTTGACCCTTAATTCCCTATGAGCCAACATTGAGTGAAGCTTTTGGCTGTATTAATAGAGGTAGGAATCCAGAGCCAGAGAGGTGATATTGGTGCAGTTGTTGGCAGTGCTCCGGCCACAGCTGGAGGTGCAGGCTCAGAACTGGGAGCCACGTATTGAGGAATGCTGACCCAGTTAGAGGAGCTGAGGAAAATAGAGAAAGAACGCACCAGGTGGGTAGGAGTCCCCAGGATAGGAAGGGGTGTGGGAGAACAGGATGACTGTCTCTGCACCTTAAGGGCTCCATGCAGCTAAGGGAGGTGAATGTTCTCAGGCTCACTGGTGGAGGTAAGGAGAGTTAACCTGGTTAAGGGAAGAGAGGACTCTTCGCTGAGGGTCTCCAGGCCATGCCTGTTGGGAGTGCATTTCGGGTCCCTTGCCCCATCCTGGAAGGACCCGCAGCTGGCTCAAGGCCCCGCCTCTCTGAGGCTATGGGAATCCAGTCCGCAGAGCTGCCCCCAGAGGAGAGCGAGAGCAGCAGAGTGGACTTCGGGTCGAGCGAGCGCTTGGGAAGCTGGCAGGAGAAAGAGGAGGACGCGCGACCGAATGCAGGTGTGCGCAAGGCAGGATGGGGTGGGGGCTCCAGGAGGCCTCTCCTGGGGAGTGACGGTTGCTGGGGCCTGCCTGGCCTGCCCTGGCGCTGCCTCCTGACTCAGTCCTGCCTTTCCCCGCGGCAGCCGCGCCCGCCCTGGGCCCCGTGGGCCTGGAGAGCGACTTGAGCAAGGTCCGGCACAAGCTCCGCAAGTTCCTCCAGAGGCGGCCCACACTGCAGTCGCTGCGGGAGAAGGGCTACATCAAAGGTACCCGAGGCCTGCGGGGGGCGGGGACCCGGGACCGGGACGGGGCGCAGGCTGGGCAGGAGCTGATGAGCCTCTGCCCTAGACCAGGTGTTCGGCTGCGCGCTGGCCGCGCTGTGTGAGCGCGAGAGGAGCCGGGTGCCACGCTTCGTGCAGCAGTGCATCCGCGCCGTCGAGGCCCGCGGTACGTGCGCTGCGGGGGTGAGGGCGGCAGGCATTGGGGTGCCCGCAGGCCTCCTGCCAGGACCGCAGGCTGGAGACCCCTGGATGGACGCAGGGTCCAGGGGGAAAGTACGGGAGGCCCCGAGTGGGAGTCATAGCAGGGACCCGTAGCCCCACCCTATCCCCATCCCTGAACCCGGGATCAGCGCCTCCCTCTGGCCCAGGGCTGGACATCGACGGGCTGTACCGCATCAGTGGAAACCTGGCCACCATCCAGAAGCTACGCTATAAGGTGGACCACGGTGAGGCCCGTCCCCAACCCCTGCCCCAGGGCCTGAAGGCGCAAGGGGTACTGATTTCCCTTCCGTCCTCCTCCCTTCCTCCGCCACAGATGAGCGCCTTGACCTGGATGACGGGCGCTGGGAGGACGTCCACGTTATCACCGGAGCCCTGAAGCTCTTCTTTCGGGAGCTGCCCGAGCCCCTCTTCCCCTTCTCGCACTTCCGCCAGTTCATTGCGGCCATCAGTGAGCACCTGGGGCAGGTGGGGCGGATGGGGTAGGGGCGTCGCGGGGCACCCCTTTAGCAGGCTCCCCTCGCCCAGCCGATACCCCCTACCTCCCGTTCCGACTCCCTCCCTCTAAACCTTCCCTCACCCAGAGTTGCAGGACCAGGCCCGGCGCAGCCGCTGTGTGCGTGACTTGGTGCGCTCGCTGCCCGCTCCCAACCACGACACTCTGCGGATGCTCTTCCAGCACCTCTGCCGGTGAGCCGGGCGGCCCGCGCGGGAAGGGGGAGGCAGGTCCCGGCTGAAGCCCCCAGCGCCTCCCCGCAGTTCGCAGTTCGGAGCCCTGAACCCACCCACCCCTGCCACAGGGTGATCGAGCACGGCGAGCAGAACCGCATGTCGGTGCAGAGCGTGGCCATTGTGTTCGGGCCCACGCTGCTGCGGCCCGAGGTGGAAGAGACCAGCATGCCCATGACCATGGTGTTCCAGAACCAGGTGGTGGAGCTCATCCTGCAGCAGTGCGCGGACATCTTCCCGCCGCACTGACTGCTGGCCTGTGACTGGGGCGGCGGCCGCGGTCCTGCCACACAAGCTGGGCGGCGGAGGCCACGCAGCCGGGCCTTCTTCTCTCTGGGACCCTCCGCCAGCGCATAGCCGCAGGCCGGTGTGACTTCTGCACCCTCGGTTCTGAGGGTACGGTGACCCCTAGTGGGCAGTTTGCAAAATGTGATTCCTTCTTCCCAACTCCCCATCCCCCCTTCCCTTCCCGTCACGTCCTGTTTGGGGGTTAATTCGGTTTTTTCTCTGTTGCATCGCGCCTACTGTGCGTGTGCGATAGCGTGTGTGGGGGTGAGAGTTTGTTTTCTGGAATGGTAGGTGCTGGGAGGAGGAGTTTGATGGAGGGCTTCCTGGCTGCTTCTGGCCCTCACCTCGTGGAGGCCTTCACAGAGACCCTGTGGGCCCTGGCCCTGTGCTGGCACTGTGCCAGTCATGAGGCAGCTCTGATCACTTCCCCACTGTGGAAACAGGACTGACCCAGCCTTCAGCGTGGGCTGCTGAAGCTATCCTCCTCAGGCCTCAGGGATGACCTCCTGCCTGAGCCTCTCACAGGCTGGCTGTGGGCCAGTTTCATCTGCTTTCCTGTTGGGGGTCCCGGGCCTCTGCTGTCCTTGACCCACTGGTGTTCTGTGCAAGGCTTCTTCCCATTCACCAAGTGCACACCTTGCATCTGCCGCTCGGCATGCACCAGTTCCACACACCATCCCATTTTACAGACAAGGACGCTGAGGCCTGCAGCAGCAGTGTGACTTGCTCAAGGTCCAGTGAGTGACCTCATTCCCCAGAAAAGGCTCCTCCCACACCAGAGTACAGCCTGGGTAGGGGGAAAATCAGTTCTTTCAGCTACCACCCATCCAACCTTTGGGCCTATGTGAAAAGAAAGGAACTAAGCTGGGTGTGTTCTGTCTGGACCTGGGGAGGCCCCTGAAGGCAAAGAGGGAAACTGTCCCAGCTGTTCTGTCCTAGGGGAGGGGGACATAGCCCTAGCAGGAGCTCCCAGCCCCTCTTGGCACTCTGACACACAAGTACACCCATCTGGGGCCCGCTTTGCCACGAAGAGCTGGGCAGGCCTGCAGGGTGTGGGGAAGGAGGACACAACCTCAAGAAAGGAAGCGTGAACCCCAGGGAACAGCGGGTCCCTTCCCTCCTCAGACACAAGCCACCTCAGCTTGTGGCTCTTGGCCCCCAGCCCCACCAACCCACCTGTTCATTTATTCAACAGACAATGACAGCTGATATTTATTGGACATTTGCACCATGCCAAGCATTCGGCTTGGATTATCCCATTTGTTTCTCACAGCCGGTATTTATTGTCTGCTCTTCTGTGCCAGGTGCTGTGCTCTGGGCAGGGGCACTGCATGGGCTGCCTGCCCTGGTGGAGCTTGTGGTCTGATGGGTGAGGCTGACCCAAGCCCACCCCATTGCCAACAGGGCCAGGGCAAGAGTACACACAGGGGCCTCATACCATATGTCTAAATATTTAAAAGTTATCAATCAAGCTAACAACTGTTAAATAAAATATGTTCTATTCTCCTACTTTGACAAATGTGTCTTGATAATGACCTGGAAGGCCAGGTTCTAATTTAAACTTCTTTGACTTTTCCAAGTTCCATGCCCAAATGTGGTGGCCGGAGAAGGGCAGGCCCTGGGCTCAGCCTTCCCTCTCATCTTCCCTCCCACAGAGCCCTCCTCCCCCAAGCAGAGGCTCACGGGCACATATGTGGACATCGTAGTCCATGTGTGCCAACTGCCCATACCCCCTGCAGCCAGCTGCCGCTTGGCTACCCCACTGGTGACGTAGTCCACCCTTGAGGGAATGGGCTTGGAGCTATTTGGGCGGGGCATGCTGGGGCCCCATGTATCAGAAGCATGTTCTAAAGGGCAGGTCCAGGCTTCAAGAGGGCTCCCCAGATTCCTCACCCTGTGGGGAGAGCCACAGACACAGGAGCCTTCTCCTGCAAGAGGACCCATGGCAGGGACCCCTCTCATTTGAGTCCAAGGGTGAAACTAGATAGACAGTAAGCAGATAATTACTTGGTTATCACATTTGTACAAGAGCTAGCAGAAGTGTAGAGTGCTCGGAAGGTGTGTCATGGGGTGTGAATGTTGCCCAGGGACCTGAGATGCTTCTGCAGAAGCCACATTTGAGAGAAGCAGTAAAGAATGAAGAGGAGTCGAGCAGAGGGGTTAAGGGAAGGGTGCTAGTCAGTGGGAGTGGCATGTGTAAAGGCTCTGGGGCAGGAAAGCTTGTGGGGAGAACAAAATCTGAGAGAAGACCATTGTAACTGGAGCCCAGAAAACCAGGGAGCATGGGTATGAGGTGAGGCTGGAGAGCTGTAAGGGACAGAGCATGTGGGGCCTTAAGGCCAAGGACATTGGGTCCCCAAGACAAGGAGCTGAAAGGCAGGGAGATCTTGGAAAGGTGTCCGCTCACCATCTCCTTCACCACCCCAGGCTTCTGACCCTGCCAAGGCCTCAGTGGGCAAATAATACAGCAGCAGGCAGAGAGGTCCTAGAATTATCACATTTTTGTCATGAAGGGGAGCTTCAGAAATCACCTACCACCAATGAGGAAACCTCTAGAGAGAACATCATAAATCACCTGCAGCCACATGGCAGGTTGGTGGCAGAACCTGGCCCAGAGCTTCATTTGCACAGTCTAGGGACCTACCGTGCCCCTCACCAGAAGTCCGAGGCTCAGTCATACGTCCCCAGCCCTGAGCACATGCATGGTGAGCACTGTAGGTGTGCATCGAATAGGTTTGGAATGAATTGGATTGTTCTGAAACACAAAGAATGTAGAAGTGGTGTCTTCCCTCTTGAAGCTCCGTCTGGATGGGGAGAGCTATAAAAAGGAGCGACAGTGGCACAGCTGATAAGGGCTGCCACGGGGATCTCTCCCCAAGCCCACTGCCTCTCAGCAGATGCCCTTAAGTCCTCCTGCAGCCTATAGTCTGCCCCTGAAGCTACTCTCAGAAAGGCCATGGTGCCCACTTGGTTGCTAAGTCTGGGGACGTGCCCAATCCTGTGCAAGTAAACACATGGACTGTCTGTTGTCCTTCTTGAGACATGGACTGTCTGTTCCTTTGCCTGCAGCAACATGGGGTTTCCTTTTTCTTTTTCTTTCTTTTTTTTTTTTTTTTGTTTGAGACAAGGTCTCACTCTGTTGCCCAGGCTGGAGTGCAGTGGTGCGATCATAGCTCACTGCAGCCCCAACCTCCCAGGCTCAAACCATCCTCTTGCCTCAGCCTCTCAAGCAGCTGGAACCACAGGCACACACCACCATGCCTGACTTTTTGTAGAGATGGGATCTCACTGTGTTACTCAGGCTGGTCTCAAACTCCTGGCCTCCAGTGATCCTCCTGCCTCAGCCTCCCAAGGCACTGAGATTACAGTATGAGTCACTGTGCCTGGCTTACATGAGTCTTCTCTACCACTCCACCCCTCCCTTCTCAGCTCCCTGTGTGCTCTGCTTGCCCTATACATGGTGATGCCCCCACTCCCAGATTGTGCCCTTGGCCCGCTTCTCTCTCCCTTCCACCATCCGTCATCCATTCCACCCTGCAGACTCAGCCACCAAGCCTGCACTGGTGTCACCCAAATCTCTAGCACCAGCTTGGAGTGCTCTCTCGCGAGTCATGTGCAAAATCTACCTGCTCAGGAGACACTTCCATGTGGATGGCTGCCAGACACCCAAAGTGCAACCCATCTGCAACAAAGCTCAAACCACCCCTGCTCCCTGTCTCTGAGCATGGCAGCCCCAGTCCCCAGAGTCCCAATCTTCTACTCCTAAATATGTCCCATCCTCCATCAGTCTCCCTCATCTGGGTGATCACAGCAGCCTCTGAATGGGTGCTCTCCTCCCCATTTAATCCTCCACCCAGCAGCCACCCCTCCCACCTATGCATACCAGCTGTGCCCACGCTGCCCCGGGACACTCCAGGTTGCTTCTTGCCTCGATACTTTTGGGCCAACAGTCTTCCTGCCTCCTTCCCTTTCCCCTGGCCAGTTCCTCCTCCTCCTCCCCCAAGCCTCAGCTCACACCTGCCCCCTACACCCTCCTCAGATCTCATGCGTGTGTCTCTCTCATCACACTTAGCTCACTGGATATGATTGTGCTTCCGTGGCCAGGCCTTCCCACTGGGCTGTGGGCTCACAGAAGTTTGCAAGTTTTATCCAGGTCATAGCCTGCATCATTACCTCATTCCTTTTTATTGTATTTATTGTATTTATTTATTTATTTTTGAGACAGAGTCTCACTCTGTCACCCAGGCTGGAGTGCAGTGGTGCAATCTTAGTTCACTGCAACCTCCACCTCCCAAGCTCAAGCAATCTTTCCATCTCAGCCTCCCAAGTAGCTGGGACTATAGGCGTGTACCACCACACTTAACTTTTGTATTGTTTGTAGAGACAAGGTCTTACCATGTTGCCCAGGCTGGTCCCGGACTGCTGAGCGCAAACAATCCTCCGGCCTCTGCCTCTCAAAGTGCTGAGATTAGAGGCGTGAGCCACCACACCTGGCCCTCATTCTTTTTTATTGTCAAATAACGTTCCATTGTATGGATACATCACATTTTGTTTATCCATGTGTCAATTGATGGACATTTGGGTTGTTTCCACTTTTTTTTTTTTTTTTTTTCCTGAGACAGAGTCTCACTCTGTCTCCCAGGCTGAAGTGCAGAGGCATGATCTTGGCTCACTGCAACCTCCACCTACCAGGTTCAAGCAATTATCTGCCTCAGCCTCCCGAGTAGCTGGGATTACAGGCGCCCGCCACCACACCCGACTAATTTTTTTTTTTTTTTTGTATTTTTAGTATCGACGGGGTTTCACCATCTTGGCCAGGCTGGTCTTGAACTCCTGACTCCGTGATCCACCTGCCTTGGCCTTCCAAAGTGCTGGGATTACAGATGTGAGCCACTGCACCCAGCCGGGTTTTTTCCACTTTTTGGCTAATATGAATAATGCTGCCATGAACACTCACGTACAAGTTTTTCTGTGGACATATCATTTCGGTCAGCTAGGGCTACCATAACAAAATACCATAGACTGGGTGGCTAAAACAACAGAAGATTTATTTCTCACAGTTTTGGAGGCTGGAAGTTCGAGTAAGGGGCCGGTACAGTCAGGTTCTGATAAGGGCTCTCTTCCCAGCTTGCGGACAGCCACCTTCTCACTATGTCCTTAAGTGGCACAAAGAGAGCGAGCTCCAGTCACTTCCATTTATTACAAGGACACTAATCTCACCTTTATGGTCTCACATGAACCTAATCACCTGCCAAAGGCCCCACCTCGATGCCATCACATTGAGGGTTAGGGCTTCAACATATTAATGGGGTGGGAGGCACAAACACTCAGTCTATGACTCATGTTTTATTAATTATTTTCCAGGAGTTTGCTGGATTAAATTGCTGGAATAAAAGGTAACTCTACCTTTAACCTTTTGAGGAACCATCAAATTGTTTTCTATAGCTGCACAATCTCCCACCAGCTATGTTTGAGGGTTTCTGTTCCCTCTCGCCTTCTGCAACAATTGTTTTGGGTCTTCATTCCCTCCAACCCCTGGCCCTCCCGGCCTTCCCTCTCTCAACAGGTGACCCACCTCCACCTCCCGGAATGGTGGACACACTTAACATCCCATCACAAAGCTCAGCCCTCCCTCACCACGGCCTCACTGGCCTCCTTTCCTCGGTACCTCAGAGCAGACATTTCTCCAGGGTACAGCTCATCTGTTTTTTCAGGAAATATCCATGATCACTGGCCCCTCTTCTTGCTATTTAGCTGATGTCTCAGGTTGAATGTCCCAGGAAACAGAGACGTTGGCAGGGGGCTTGCTGGGCGTGATCTCAGGACCAATGCCTGAGGGGTGGAGCCAGCAGGAGTGGCTGAGGGAGAAGCTGAGCTGGGGCACAGCCCCTTCTAAGGCCTCAGCCACCCCATGGGAAGCCCTGGAGCTGGGACAGCCTCAGTCTTGTGTCCCATTATGGCCAGGGGGCCAGGCCACTGGATATGGGCTGCCTTGTAAGGTGGGAGAAGAGAGGGCATGGATTTGGGCAGAGCAGCTCTCTTCAGCCCAGGACACATCCTGGAGAGAGACTCAGATGAGTGCTATTGGCTGCTGACCCTCCCTGTCCTTTGGGAAATCATCGCTCAGTCCTGGAGGAGGGCATCTGAGCAGCACCCATGGTATCCACTGCATCTACTGGCCACTTCCCCTTGCCACGGGAACACGCTGAAGTGCCTCTCTCTGAAACCCCCTACAACCCCACGTCTCTCTGCAGCTGCCACCATCCTCCTCCTCCTCCCCTTTGCAGCCAAACTTCTCAGAAGTCATCTAAACTCACGGTATCCATCCGCTTCTCTTGTTCGCTTCTCAACCCCACCCCCCGCCCACATCACACCACTGAGTTTCTTCCCCTAAACTCACTGATGATTTCCCATTGATAGCTGCTGGATATTTGGGGGTCTGTGTATTAATTGCCTTTTTAGTGGCACCCTATCCTCTGCTGACCACCCCATTCTTGGAAATGTTCCCTTTCTCTTGGCTTGCAGATTCCCCTCATTTTCCTCCCACCTCGGGCCATGTGTCTCATTCTCTGCTGCACAGCCAGTACAAGCAGAGTCCTTGGGGTCCACCCCTCCTCTGCTGTCCTCCCTCCCTGGATGAGACTGGCTACACCCACAGCATCAGTGACTCACTGATCCATAGTGCCTGGCCTGACTGCTCTCTAAGCTCCCAATCCTGGTGTCCTCTGACAACCTGACATCTGCTCTGGGACGGTCCTCAGCCCAAGACTGGATTTGTGATTTTCCCCAAACCTTGTACTCCTCCAGGGTTTTACCTGTCCCAGGCAAAGGGTCCATCATCCCCCGAGTCAGGTGAGCCAGAAACCTGGGAATGTGGCCTGCTCCCTCCATCTCATCTGTCTCTCCTGCCTCCATGCCCGATCTGTATCTGTTAGTCCTTCCTGTCTGATCCACCCCTCTCCATCACTAGGGCCCCTTCCTGGTCTAAGGGGTTAATATCTCCGGCCTGGACCCTGCAGCAGCTCCCAGCCCCCTTCCCCATCCTGCGTCCTCATTGCCCCCACTGCATCCAGCCTCATTTCAAAACACATGTCTGATTAAGTTATCACCCTGCCTAAAAACCTTTCCTCTCATCTAAGGAAAAGACCAAGCTTCAGCATGGCCTGCCTTCTCTCGTGAACCAGTGTGAGGCAGTGGCTCAGAGCATGGGCTCTGGAGTCAGGCTCCCTGGATTCAAATGTGAGCTCCACATTGCCCTTGCCAGATGCTTCTGGATAACTGACTCATTCCTTTGTGCCCCAGTTTTTTCACCTGGAGAATGGGGATGCAATAGCAGCAGGTGGTTGTGAAGATGCCATGAGACAATACTCACAAGGCTCTGAGAACACAGTCTGGCTGCAGTGAACACTTGCTCGGTCCTGTGCCTTACATGCTCTTTGGTTTCTGGACTGCAGCTACACTGGCCTCCCATCGATTTCACAAATGTTTCACACTCCCTCTGCCCCAGGACCTTTGCATGTGCTGTGTTCTCTTTGTAGTTCTCTTCTCCCTTTACTTAGTCATCTTTTAGCACTGTGCTCAGGTAACTTCCTTGGGCAGCTCCTTCCAATGCCCAGCTAGGTCAGCGTTGTTTGCTACACATCATCAAAGACCCATATGCTTCTCTTATCTAAATTTGTCATTTTACCCTCATATATCATGATTATTTATTGCTGTCTGGACTTCCCTGCCATGATACTATAAGCCCAGAATGGTGGGGACTCTGTCGTTGCTCACCATCGTATGCACAGTGCCTGGCACATAAAAGGTGTTTAAGAGGCCACGTGCGGTGGCTCATGCCTGTAATCCCAGCACTTTGGGAGGCCGAGGCAGGCGGATCACGAGGTCAGGAGATCGAGACCATCCTGGCTAACACGGTGAAACCCTGTCTCTATAAAAATACAAAAAATTAGCTGGGCATGGTGGCAGGCGCCTGTAGTTCTAGCTACTCGGGAGGCTGAGGCAGGAGAATGGCGTGAACCCAGGAGGCGGAGCTTGCAGAGAGCCAAAATCGCACCACTGCACTCCAGCCTGGGCGGCAGAGCAAGACTCCGTCAAAAAAAAAAAAAAAAAGGTGTTTAAAAGATACCCATTAATGAGCTGATACACGAAAAGGAAGACAGCTGGAGTTCAATCCCTAGCTCTGCCATTTCCTATAAAGTGATCTTGGGCAAGTGGTTCACTTCAGTGTGCTCATCTGTAAAGTTAGGAATTCACGCCTACCTCAGAAACTTCTCACCATTATAAAATGACATGTGCAACACGCACGGCCCAGCACCTGGTGGTGGAACATTTGCACCTGGAACATTTGCAAAGTCTTGATAGTCTTTGTTCCTCAGGCCCAAGGATAGTCCTGGGTCCTGGGGTGAGACAGCCTCTGCGGTGGGACAAGACGTGGAAGGGCTGTAGAGGAGCCCCTGGGGTGCAGCCAGATCGCCTGGTGGACAGTAGAGCACATTGAGCCAGTGACTCTTTGGTTTTCAGAGCACTGGAGCCGTCCTTTTTCAAGTCTTCAGTCCAGCAGTGTTGTAGGGAAAGGTACTTTTGTCTGGCTTGGGCAAGAGCATCAGAAGCAGATGACTGTCTCCTCAGGCCAGTACAGGAGGGGACCCACTGGTATCAACAAGAGAGGCCCTGCCGGGTAGAACTGGAGCTGTGAGTGAGGTACAGCCCCCTGTGTCCTCCAAGAGTGGATATTCTTGTTTCGTTGCCAGTCTCAGAGCAGGGCTTGGTATATTAAGAGAGATGGCAAATGTCATTCCAGAAGAAAGGGCCAGCCCATGAAGGGCTCTGTGCCCTGCTGGGAGAATGGACTTCATCCTTTATGGCCCAGTGGGTGCCACTAGGTGATGACCAGGTGGACAATATGGCCAGAGATGCTTTTCCGTTTTTATAAACTTTTTATTTTGAAAGAATTATTGACTTACAAGAAGTTACATAAATAGTACAGACAGGCCTGGTGCAGCCAGCACCTGGCTTCCCCTGGTGGTGCCGTCTTACGTAACCATTGTGCCTTATCAAAACCAGGAAAGCGATGTAACTAACTATAGACCTTGCTTGATTTCACCATTCTTTGCATGCACTCATTTTTGTTTGTCTTTGTGTATAATTCCATGACATTTTATCACATGCATAGATTCATGTATAGCCAGCACTGCAGCAACCAAGATACAGAATGTTCCATCATCTCAAAAGAAACTTCTTATGCTTCCCTTTCCACTGACATCCTCCCGCTCCTTCCCTAATCCCGGGCAACCTTGTCTTTATCCATCTCTATAATTTGCTTCTTTTGAGAATGTTAATGGATGGAAATATACAGTATGCAACCTTGCAAGGCTGGCTTTTTGCACTCTGCATAATGCCCTTAGGATCCATTCAAGTCATTGTTGGGTATCAATAGTTCATTACTTGTTACTCCTGAGTGGTATCCTACAAATATGCTTTTAAAGAGATTTTCCCAGCTGTGGCTGAAGGAGGGAGGGAGGGGACCAATTAGGAAGCTGCTGGTGTTCAAGGAAATATCACAAGACTTCCGTCCTGGCCCAGGCCCCACACCACCTCTCTGCAGCCTGGAATTGGCCCTAGAAGTGTTCAGGCTGGACCTCACTTCAGACAGGGTTGAAGCGTGAGGGCTTGGGAGTCTTGAAGCTGAACTGCCAGTAGGGGGCGCCAGAGGCCTTTTGCCCAAGGGGCGATTCCGAGGCGGGAACAGCAGGGAGTGTTAGAGGGAGTTTTGGGCTGCTATGCATGGGGCCAAGAGAATCCTGAAGTCTTCGCCCTCTCTTGACCCCAGCCCCCATGTTTCCGGCCAATCCTGAGCTTCGAGGCTGGGGGATGAGGCTGATGACATGTAGTCGAGGAGAAGGTGAGGTGAGGCTTGGACCAGGAAGAGGAGGTCTGGGGTCAGGCAGAGGGAGGTCCCTGTGGGCCTGGGGTTCCCCATCAGAGGGCGGATCTGGGCTCAGGCCACCGGGCCGGGCATTGGCACCTCTGCCTCACCCATCCTTCCCATCCTCAGCAACCAAGGATTCTCCCAAGAGAATCCCTCTCCCAAGAGAAGTCTCCCCAGACCCTGGAGCGTGTGCTAGCCCCTCTTTGCTCCCACGCTCTATACCTGGCTCTTGCCTCCCTGCAAGATGCCTTTCCAGATGCCCCACCGCCCCCCACTCAGTGCCTTACCCAGCATGCTGTGGGCTGCGTGGATCCCGCACTTGTGCAGGGCGCAGAGTGGGCGCTTACTGAGCTCTGGCACCTGCTAAGTGCTGAGGAGCCAGGAAGAGGTGCTCTGTCCCCAGTATCCCAGGGGCCTTGGCATTCAGCCGCCTCTGACTCCTGTCTGCTTGGTGGAACATTCCTGAGCAGCAGGTACTCTCCTCAAAACCCGCACGGGTCCTCCATGCCCTTCAGAGCTCAGCTCACTCTCCCTGTGCGATCTTTGCCCCGTCCTCGGCTCCTTGTCCTCTGGCTGACTCTCTCCGCTCTCACGCCAATGCCCAGCCTCCCGGGATGCCTCTGCTGTCCGTGCAAGCCATGTGGGTCTCGCCGCCACGCCCTCGCCCCCATTCTCTGCCTCCTGCCCCACCACCACGAAGCCTTCCCCAGGGCCTTGCATATATCAGGCTTAAAAAATGTGAGCCCCCATCATCTGTGCCCCCACAATGCATGGGCATGTGGACTTCGTAATAGAATCTCCTTCATGTGGCCTGGTCTCGTCACTGGCACACAACACACCTGTCACCTCCAGAGGCTTCTCATTCATTTCTGATCACCCAGAGCTTGGCACACAGAAGGGGTCAAGTGAAGTTAGATTGAATAAATGCATGAATGTGCCAGTTGTCATATCTTTGAAGCCTCCTCCTGTGACTGGTTGCCCCTCTGATTGCTCCTTGGTGGTTTTCCTTGTGGGCACTCGTTCCCCTGTGGCCTGTAAATGCTGGCAGGCCGCCCTCTCCTCTGCTCAGCTCACTCTGCCCCCTCCCTAGGCAAGCTCACCCATCCAGCCAGCTGTAACTGCTGCCCTTCTGCTGCCAGGCCCCAAATCCATTCCACAGCCTGGAGCCCTGAGCCCCAGGCATACCTCCCACCACTTCCTCTTTATTTGCTTGTCTTTATCTGTCCTTCCCCCTATCTGTCTTTCCCACAAACGTTAAGCTCCATTACAGCAGGAATTTTGTCTGTCTGATGGACAGCTGCATGCCTGGTGCCAGCACATGTTCGGTAAATATGAATGAATGAATGAACGAATGAATGAATGAATGAATGAATCTCCCTCTGAGGTCCTGTAAACACTTCCAATTCAACGTATCCCAGATTGATTTTGTCATCTCCTCTCTCCCCATAATTTCCTTCTCCTGTCTTTGCTACCTCTCTCCTCCCAGTCCCCCAGTTTAGAAATCCCAGTGTTGGCTGGGCACGGTGGCTCACGCCTGTAATCCCAGCACTTTGGGAGGCCGAGGCAGGTGGATCATGAGGTCAGGAGATCGAGACCATCCTGGCTAACACGATGAAACCCCGTCTCTACTAAAAATACAAAAAATTAGCCGGGAGTGGTGGCGGGCACCTGTAGTCCCAGCTACTCAGGAGGTTGAGGCAGGAGAATGGTGTGAACCTGGGAGGTGGAGCTTGCAGTGAGCGGAGATCGTGCCACTGCACTCCAGCCTGGGTGACAGAGTGAGACTCCAACTCAAAAAAAAAAAAAAAAAAGAAATCCCAGTGTCACTTAACACATCAACCCATCAACCAGTCACTGCTTTCCCAGATTCTACCTCCAATCTTTCCCACCCCACGCCACCCCAGCCCCTGGCTCACTCCTGGCTTAGACCCTCCCCGTTTGCCACCTGGATCTCCTCAACTGCTCCTCCCTCAGGCCCCCCTCCTCCGCCTTTGCTTCTGTGCTCATTGCCACTTGATTTCTCTAAAACACCACTCTTATTATGTCAACCCCTGCTTACCAACCTCATTGCATCCACATCCCATACAGTTGTGTTTCCCTAAGTGGAGGACTCACAAAGTGAGTGGCATATGGCATGATTCTAGGAGGTTCAAGGACCCCCATACCATGTACCAAAGGTGCACTGCAGTGATCTTTAGTAGTTGCAAAATGAGGAACTTGTTTCTTCTCTAACTCTGTCCAGCCTTTTGAGTACACCAAGGAGAGTCTCCCTGTTATCCTTCACATCTGTTTTTCTCTTGCTAATCTCTCGTTTTTGCAGGGATCAGGATCCCAGCCACAGCCACCAGCAGCAAGATATCAAGCTAGAATGGAAAGATAACATGGTCTTAATTTTATTTATTTTACAGTTACCTACTATATGTGACATGTGATATTGGGTCTTTAGTTATGGTAGTAATGTTCCATAAAATAAATTTATTTGGGAGACAATATCGCAAATTGCATATCTATCAAAGAAATAACATCCCAAATATATCAAGAACTCTTGGCGGGGTGCGGTGGCTCAGCACTTTGGGAGGCTGAGGCTGATGGATCACTTGAGGCCAGGAGTTCGAGACTAGGCTGGCCAACATGGCAAAACCTGTCTCTACTAAAAATGCAAAAATTAGCTGGGCATGGTGGTGTATGCCTGTAATTCCAGCTACTCAGGAAGCTGAGGCATGAGAATCACTTGAGCCCAGGAGGCGAAGGTTGCAGTGAGCCAAGATTGCACCACTGTACTCCAGCCTGGGTGACAGAGTGAAACCCTGTCTCAAAAAAAAAAAACAAAAAAAAACTCTTACTTATCAATTTAAAAAATCAATAGAAATAAAAATGGGCAAAGGCCTTAAAACTTAACAAAAGAGGATATGTGAGTGGCCAATAAACATGAAAAGTGATCAATTTCATTAGTCTCAGAGATATGCAAAACCACAGCATGATATCACTATACACCCACAGGGCTAAAGCGAAAAAGACAGTATCGAATGTTGGCAGGGGTGTGGAACAATTGGAAGTCTGATTTACTTCCAGTGAAGATATAAACTGTAACAACTACTTTGGAAACTGGCCATATCTGCTGAAGCTAAACATATCTACACTACCCTATGACCCAGGAATTCAATGCCTAGGTATAATTCCAGCAGAAATGAGTACATGGCATTTACCAAAGTCATGCACAAGCATGTTCATAGCAGCTTTATTCATCACAGCCAAAAATGAAAAATAACCTGTATGTTCATCAGTAGAATGGGTAACGTGGTATATTCACATAATAGAATTCTGTATCAAGTGAAAATGAATTAAGCCACACAAATGCTGAGCAAAAGAAGCCAGGCACAAAAAAGAGCAGTTGTTATGGTTCCATTTATATAAAACTCAAAAGCAGGCAAAATTAATCTATGCTGTTAAAGCTTGGAGAGTGGTTACCCTGTGGAGTTGTTCATTGGAGGGGGCTGCTGAAGACTCATAATATTCTGTTTTGGACCTGGGTGAAAAATTATTGTGTTCTTACACAAATGAAAAGTGATTGATTTGTGTACTCTTTCATATGTACATTATGCATCAATAAAAAATTATTTAAATTTTTTTTTGAGACAGAGTCTTTCTCTGTGGCCCAGGCTGGAGTGCAGTGGTGCTATCACAGCTCACTGCAGCCTTGACCTCCTGAGTTCAGGCGATCCTCGACCTCCTGAGCTCAGGTGATCCTCCTGGCTCAGCCTCCTATGTAGCTGGGACCAGAGGTGCACATCACCACACCCGGCAAATTATTTGATTCTGTGTAGAGACAGGAGTCTCACTTTGTTGCCCAGGCTGGTCTTGAACTCCTGGCCTCAAGTGATCCTCCCGCCTCGGCCTCCCAAATTTCTGGGTTTGCCACGGTGGTAAGCCACCGTGATCAACCAAAATTACTTAAATTTTGGGTTTTTGTTTGTTTGCTTTTTGTTTTTTAACGTGAAACATTTAAAGACAAACATTAAGAAAATGATGCCGGGCGTGGTGGCTCACGCCTGTAATCTCAGCACTCTGGAAGGCCAAGGCAGGCGGATCATCCGAGGTCAGGAGTTCAAGACCAGGCTGCCCAACATGGAGAAACCCTGTCTCTATTAAAAATACAAAAAAAATAGCCAGGCGTGGTGGCAGGTGCCTATAATCCCAGCTACTTGAGAGGTTGAGGCAGGAGAATCACTTGAAACAGCAAGGCGGAGGTTGCAGTGAGCCGAGATTGCGTCACTGCACTCCAGCCCGGAGCAACAAGAATGAAACTCCGTCTCAAAACAAAAAAAAAGAAAGAAAGAAAATGAAAGTTCTAGGCTCTGACAGCTTTAACTTGAAGGTACAGTGCAAATAGCAGGTATTTGGAGGAACTTTGCCTTGGATCAAGTCCAAATTGCCATGCCTGGCTTAGAGGTCCTGCATCATATTATAAAGACAGTTCCGCATGGTAGTTGAGAGCACAGATTTGGGAAAGGGGAGCTTAAAAAAAAAGAACACAGATTTGTGAAGTTGACAAACTTGACTTTGAATCTGAGCTGTGCCACTGGCTGTGGCACTCTAAGCAAGTTACCCAGACTCTCTGAGCATCAGCTTCCTTACCTATAAATCACCTTAGAGAATGATGGACTTGCTAAGTCGGGGGATGAAGAGGCCCAGCACTAAACACACTGCGTGAGTGGGATAGCTGCCTGCTGCTCCCTGAACCAGCCCTGCTGTTTCACACACACCTCCTTGCACCCCCAGGTGTTTGCACATGCCGTTCCTCTGTAATGCCTTTCCACCTGGCGATCACACTGCTCATCCTTCCATGTCTAGCTCAAGCGCCTCGTCCCATGTGATGCCAGCCCCAGATGGGGGCTGCATCACTCTTTCTGCATCATTCCACCCATGACATGTGCACGTCCGACGCTAATTATATCCTGTTTGGGCTATTTATATGGTTTGCCATTCCTGTAGCTGTTGGCACCATACTCGGCTCCTAGGAGGAGGCTTTCAGTACCTCCTTACTAGACAAATGAAAGAATGGACAACTCGTCAAATGATTCTAATTTCCCTGCAGCTTCCTGGCAGGGAGGGCCTGGTTCCTTTTGCGTGCTCATAAGAACATCAGACGTGCAGCCCTGTGTTTAGGGACCTTATCCATCTTATGGAGAACTGGCACCACAAGATGTGTTGTGGGTGAGTGGTTATCACCATGACGTCAGCCTCAAAGGTTAGGGATGTCCCCAAGTCATTCCAGTTCCCTTTAGCACCCTATATGGATAGGTCACCCATAAGAGCACCTCCAACTTCTACTTCATTGCAGAAGGGTAACAGGTTCCCTAAGCCAGGCACTTGCTGCATAAGAAAGGGATGCTTTTATTTTTTTTGAGATGGAGTCTTGTTCTGTCACCATGGCTGGAGTGTAGTTGTGCCATCTCGGCTCACTGAAACCTCCAGTTTCCAGGTTCAAGCCATTCTCCTGCCTCAGCCTCCCGAACAGTTGGGACCACAGGTGTGCACCACCACACCCAGCAATTTTTGTATTTTTAGTAGAGATGGGGTTTCATCATATTGGCCAGGCTGGTCTTGAACTCCTGACCTCAAGTGATTCGCCCGCCTTGGCCTCCCAAAGTGCTGGGATTACAGGCTTGAGCCACCACACTCGGCGCTTTATTTTAAACTTTTATAAGTAATCAGCAGGTGCAGGGGGAAGAAAGGGGCACCTTGTTTTGATATGACTTTGCGTGTGACTGAGTTCACAGTTCCCTTTGTGGTTTGATAAATTGGGCCATATTCCTTTAACAAGAAAATTGCCATAGAACCCCTTTGAAACCTGTGCTGCCCTCCAAGATCTGGCGAGACAATGAGCATCTCACTTCACCCCGCTCCCCTGCACTCCTTGCTCTCCCCAAATATGCAGGCACTTACACAGCCCCTGGCTGTGGCCATGCCCGTCCCTCAGCCCCACCTTTTCCACCGGTGGAAGTCAACCCACAGGTACAGTTACCACCAAGTGCTGGCCTTGTGCTGGTCAGAATAAGATGGAAACGGCAAGAACCCTGTCTTCTTATCTCCCACGCGGAGTCAGATACAGAGAGAAATTCACAGTACAGGATGGTGCGTGTCGTGGGGGAGGGGCATAGGGCCTGAGGGAGACCAGAGATTTGGGGACAAGGGTAGGGAAGGCTTCCTGGAGGAGGTTGACGTTTTGATTTCTGGTGAGTTTGCTCTGTCCCACTAGAATGTGAGCTGCATGAGGGCAGGGCCCTCCATCTTGTCCTCAGCTGTTTCCCCAATTATGAATGCTCAGGACCATGGTGAACATACAGTAGCTGTTTAATCAACAACTGCAAAGGAATCAGGCAATTGCTGAGCTAGCTTGGGAGGGCTCCGTGAAAGCTGGCCCTTCTGAAGGCATTCTAGGATGGAGGTCCTTGGTGAGCAGAGGCCTGGCACAGGGAACCAGCAGGATGTGTGAGGGGGATGGGATGCAGTTGGAGTAGACAGTCGGAGGATGGAGTGCCCAGCAGGCAGGGCAGGGCCGGGCAGTGGGAGCCCTCACCCTCCCTCACCCCCTTCCTATTCTGAGACCCCACTGCCCCTGGCTCTTTGTGTACACTTCCTACACACCCTAAATCCCGCCTCGTGTGACACAAGTTCATTTATCAGCACTTATTTAGCACTTACTGTGTGTCAGGTGTGGTGCCAGGGCAAAACACCTACCATGTGCAGCATGAGGCAGTTTCCAGAGTGATTTTCCATCCAGTACCAGCATCCCTAGAGAAAGGGATCCATCCATCCACACATCCCTTTATTTGTGCAATCATTGACAGGCAGGGAACACGGCAGGTACAAAGGTCCTGGGTGGGACAGTGCTCAGGCACTGGAGGAGGAGAGGAAGGTGGTCGGTGTCTACGGAGAATGGGAATGTTTGATGGGGGTGAAGTGGGAAGTGGAAGGTTTGAGGTAGGAGCCAGCAGCCAGACTGGGAAAGGCTTGTAGACATCTGGATTAATTCTGCAGTGAGATGCAAATCCACAGAAAGCCTCTACAAAGGTGAGGGATGCATTCTGGTTGACATTTTAACAAGATCATGGGGCCAAGCTAGAGTTAGAGGATGCAGAAAGACTGGCATTAGCTTAGGGTCTATGTAGGAGGTAAAACTGTGGAACCAACTGCGGAAGCCATTATTTCTCTTCCAAACCGCTTTCTCCCCATCATTTCAGAAAATGGTACTACTAGAACTCTATTGCCCCAGCCAGAAATTTCTAATTTCTGCATCCCTTCTCTCTTTCACCTCTTACATTCGATCAGCTCTGACAGTGTCCGGCAAGAAAGTGGAACAGCTTCCAGGCAGTGCCATGCGTGCATTTCAGGTTAATGTGCACCATCAGGCAGCCTGGCTATGAGATAGGCTCAGCAACTTCGGCTTCCCTGGTGCAGCCGGGGGAAAAGTGCACAGTTGGCTTTGCCACAGTGAGGTTCTGCCAGCTGAAGACGACAAGGGGAGCAAGAAACAAGAGCTGGGGCTGTTGCAAGACAATAATCAACATGGTAGACCAGGGACCCCAAGGTGGAAAAGGAGGGAAAGAAGGGGGGGTTGGATGGCCGGAGAGAAAGTAGAACTTTAGAAGGAACCTGCCCCAGAGAAAGAGAACTGGAAGGATAAGAGGTGTGGTCAGGGTAAAAATTCAGGGATGGTGCTGTGAGAAAAGAGGACAAGGTGTAGGATGTGACGGTGGGAGTGGACAGCTGGGTGCAGTGGAGAAAGTAATGTCTGGAGGCGAGGAGGTCAGGATGCAGACGAGGCACCGTGTGGATGTTAGAGTCATTTTGAATGAGGCTGGGTGGACCACAGGCAGTGAGCCAGGAGCTAAAGGTGCCCCAGTGAGGGGGAGTGGCTGGGAGGTGGGGGGCACCAGCACTGGCAGGGGCATGGGTGGTTGGTGTGTTCAGAGGAACCGAGGGGCTGGGCGAGGTGGCTTACACCTGTAATCCAGGCACTTTGAGAGGCGGAGGTGGAAAGATCCCTTGAGGCAGAAGTTGAAGACCAGCCTTAGCAACATAGTAAGAACCCCGTCTCTACACATGGTTTAAAAATTAGCTGTAGCCGGGCGTGGTGGCTCCCGCCTGTAATCCCAGCACTTTGGGAGGCTGAGGCGGGCGGATCACGAGATTAGGAGATCAGGACCATCCTGGCTAACACGGTGAAACCCTGTCTCTACTAAGAATACAAAAATTAGCCAGGCATGGTGACACACGCCTGTAGTCCCAGCTACTCGGGAGGCTGAGGCAGGAGAATCGCTTGAATCCGGGAGGTGGAGGTTGCAGTGAGCCAAGATTGTACCATTGCACGCCAGCCTGGGCGACACGGCGAGACTCCACCTCAAGAAAAAAATTAGGTGAGTCTGGTGGCATGTGCCTGTAGTCCTAGCTATGCAGGAGGCTGAGGTAGGAGGATTGCTTGAGCCCAGGAGTTCAAGGCTGCAGTGAGCTTTGATCACCCCACTGCACTCCAGCCTGGGTGACAGAACAAGACCCTGCCTCTAAAAAAAAAAAAAAAAAAAAAGCAGCAGCAGCCAAGGGTTGAAGGAAGAAGGGTTTGGAATTGGCCTACCTCCACGTCCTGGCAACGAGGTGCTTCCTCTGAACAGGGCTGCTGGGACGCTTCCCCCCAGGGCCAGGAGTGAGAGGTGGGGGTAAGATAAGGATGTGGGGATGGTGGGAGGATAACACTGGAGGGAGGGAGGGTCCCAAGGAGGGTGCAAAGTTAACTAGCTGTTAGCAGAGGCTAGCTTTTCTAGGACGGCCTTTAACCCCTAAACTGCTCAAATTGAGTTTTGCCTAGGTCTTTCCAGGCCAACAACACTAGTCTCCCCCAGTTCACTCCCTTCCTCTACACTCTGGGGCAGAGCCAGGTGTAAACAGCTGAAAGGCACAGGGGGCAGGCCCCATCCCTTCAGCCCTGCTCCTTTGTAGATAATCTCTGCAGGCACCAGAGAGGTGCCACCTAACGGCACAGAAACTGCTCTTCAACCGTCAGGAGGGTTGGGGGAGCCTGGGGCTCTGTATTAGCCACCAGGACCCCCTCATTCTCTGCTCTGTTTGAAGAGAAAGCAGGTGCCTCCCAGAGGGCCACCGCTACCTTGTCTGTGTGTGCAGGTGGGGCCTGTTTAACGTCAGCATTTCCTTTGTCCTGATAGGCTCAGCATGAGATTCCTACCTTCTGGGCAGGAAATGGGAAGACATTGGCTGTGTGATCCATCGTCTTGGCTTTTTCTTTTTCTTTTCCTTTCCTGTCCTTTCTTTCCTTCCTTTCTTTCTTTCTTTCATCAGGTGATCTCAATGGACGCTCTGAACAACTCATTGTCCATTCTCCAGCGCTGGGCAGGAGGGGGGATAGACCCTGGGATAAAGGGGATGAAGCCTGGTCCTGAAACTCCAGGATTTCAACAAGTGATCAGTGGGCCAGAGCTGGAATTGGAGTACAAACAGGGAGGGAGTATGGGATCTCTAAGGAAGCTCACAGGTTTTGTGTCTTCATGGAGTCTGGGCCAGGGGCAACAGGAAGCCTGGATTTGTCTTTCCAGATGGAGGGACTCGCCTAGTGGCCCTGTGACAACTGAGAAAGGCAACACTCCCAGCAATCCCCATCTGAGCATTAGCAACGTATTAGGTCACCCTTTCCAGTGACCTCACCACACCCCTGATGGGTAGGCAGTGCCACAGCTTCCATTTCACAGAGGAGAGAGCAGTGCCCAGTCTACAGCTGGTTTTGGCCCCACAGTAGTGGGCACGTTATGCATCCATTCACTTATGCATTCAAGGAATGTTTATTAAGCACCTATTATGTGCTAGGCACTGTTGTAGGCATTGAGGATGCAGCAGATTACAATGCAAAGAAACCTCCCTGCCTTCATGGAGCTCACACTCTAATGGGGGGGGATAGGGGAGAGAGCTAAATAGTAAAAAGAGCTGACGTGGTTTAACATCACAGACCACCAGGCGCAGTGGCTCTCGCCTGTAATCCCAGCACTTTGGGAGGCTGAGGCAAGAGGATCACTTGAGTTCAGAAGTTCAAGACCAGCCTGGGTAACATAGTGAGACACCCCCCAATCTCTACAAAAAAAATTTAAAAAATTAGCTGGATATGGTTACATACACCTGTAGTCCCAGCAACTCCAGAGGCTGAGATGGGAGGATCGCTTGAGCCCAGGAGTTCCAGGCTGCAGTGAGCTGTGATCCTGCTACTGCACTCTAGCCTGGGTAACAGAACAAGACCCTGTCTCAAAATAAATATAAATAGGCCAGGCACAGTGGCTCACCCCTATAACCCCAGCACTTTGGGAGGCCAAGGTGGGCAGATCACTTGAAGTCAGGAGTTCAAGGCCAGCCTGGCCAAAGTAGCAAAACCCCATCTCTCAAAAGTACAAAAATTAGCCAGTCGTGGTGGTGCACACCTGTAATCCCAGCTACTCAGGAGGCTGAGGCAGGAGAATTGCTTGAACCCAGGAGGCAGGGGTTGCAGTGAGCCGAGATCGTACCACTGCACTCCAGCCTGGGCAACAGAGCGAGACTGTCTCAAAAAACAAAAACGAAAACAACAACAAAAAGAAAAATCAATCAATAAATAATATAAATGAATAAATAAATAAATGTCTTCCTAAAATGAAATATCTAAAGATACTGACTAAAATAGAAATACAACTCCCATGTAACTGCCAAATCCACAAAATAAATAAATAAGATGACTCCACAAATGCTGACCGCCCTGAGGGAGTCTGAGGGCTTATAAAAAGCAAAGGGTTTGGGATTGAAGAGCCAGAGAGACCCAGGAGAAAAGGTCTTGTGCCGGCTTTGAGGAGAAAAGACACAGACTTCAGTTTCTTTTCTTTTTTTTTTTTTTTTTTGAGACGAAGTCTCACTGTTACCCAGGCTGGAGTAGAATGGCGTGATCTTGGCTCACTGCAATCTCCGCCTCCCAGGTTCAAGTGATTCTCCTACCTCAGCCTCCCAAGTAGCTGGGATTACAGGCACACGCTACCACACCCAGCTGGTTTTTGTATTTTTAGTTGAGATGGGGTTTCGACATGTTGGCCAGGCTGGTCTCAAACTCCTGACCTCAAGTGATCTGCCCGCCTCGGCCTCCCAAAGTGCTGGGATTACAGGAGTGAGCACTGTGCCTGGCCAGACTTCAGTTCTTGACGGGAGGAGTGCCAGATAATTTGCAGACATTTAGAACTGCCAAACAGCTAGGAGTGGTGGCATCAGAAGGTGAACGTGGGGTGTCTGATGACAAAGTCTACACACTAGGACTCCACACGCTGCCAGGCTGCAGGGAAAGAGAGGAGAGGGTCTCTGCTAAGGCGGTGGATGTGTGGATGGGGATGGAACAGAGAGGAGACATGCTGGGAAGGTCAAAGTGTTGTCCTATCTGGCATGGACACCCCAGCTTGCGCAGGCAGAGGCTGGGGAACTGCTGGGTTGGAAGGGGGGCTCTATGGGCTGGAGAGGTACATGCTCAGGAGGCCCCTTCTCCCCTGCTGGGGGCCTGGATCAGTCCCTGGGGCCAGGGAGAAGGGAGAAGGAGGGTCCTGCATTCAGTGAGCCGGGCGGGGTTTTGCAAGGAGCTGGCAAGAGAGCACTGGGGATGCCGCTGCCCAGATTGTAGCCACCACAGCCCTTGGGAAGTGAAACTTGTTCAAGGCCAGCTTTCTCATTCGTTTGAGGTTGACGTTCAGTGGCTCTCCTGTTCAGGGAGGCAGACAGAGGCCTGGTGGCCCCAGCCCAGGGCCTGAAACACACTGAAACTTGCGTGGGGGATGTGGGAGAAAGGAGGCCTCCCAGATGACCCCCGCTCCCAGTGGGGATTCCCAGCTGGGTAAGGGGAGGGCTGTGAACTCCCAGGTCCTGAATTCACTGGGTCCTTCTCCTCTAACACCATACCCAGGGGGTAGGGGTGGGGGTGGGGCAGGGACTCTGGACTGGCTTTTGGTAGCCGCTGCACCAGGAAAGATTTTTGTGACTTTCATAGGTCACTTCCCTCCTGAGTACTCAGTTTTCTCATCCACCAAATGTCAGGTCAGGTGATCTTGAAGGTCCTCTGCTCTCCCAGCATCACCAGAAAGATTATTCACCTCAAGCTCTTTCTCTTAGCTCCCAAAAGCAGTCGGCTGGCCGGACGAATGCCCAGGAGGTGTTCTTAAAGATGAGGGTAGGGTCAGCCCGGATCCACCATGACCTCAGTCTGGGCCTCACCGCAGCTAGACCTACCACCTCCCAACTTGCTCCATTCACTAGCGAAATGGGGAGAGAATGTGGGTGGCTTGGGGTGGGCTGAGGCCTCCTTCATTTTTTTTTTTTTTTTTTTTTTGAGACGGAGTCTCACTCTGTCGCCCAGGCTGGAGTGCAATGTCACAGTCTTGGCTCACTGGAACCTCTGCCTCCCAGGTTCAAGTGATTCTCCTGTCTCAGCCTCCAGAGTAGCTGGGATTACAGGCACGCACCACCATACCCGGCTAATTTTTGTATTTTTAGTAGAGACGGAGTTTCACCATGTTGGCCAGGCTGGTCTCAAACTCCTGACCTCAAGTGATCCTCCCGCCTTGGCCTCCCAAAATGTTGGGATTACAAGCGTGAGCCACCACGCCTGGCTGGGGGTATCATTATTATGCCCCTTTATGGATGCGGGAACTGAGGCACAGAAGGGCTAGGTAACCTACCCAAGGTCACACAGCTGAAAAGTGGCCAAACCAAGGCTAGGGCCTGGGGAGCTGGAGCCCTGAGTCTGGGCTTAGTCACTTGAGATTTCTTGTCTCCCAACAACTGCCTGTAAGTGGTAGGCATTGGCTCTGTGACCCAGGAGGGGAAAGGTCGTTTGCCAAGAAGGATGATGTCTTTGGCTGTAGTGGACAAGGAGAGCTTCCCAGAGGAAGGACAGGAGAGGGAGTGGGACAGACAGGGTAGGCAGAGCCTTGTGTGCAGCCCCGTGAGGAAGACAGGAACTCGGGCTTAGACCCACTGGCTTGTTTCCGGCTGTGACTTGACCTCTCTGAGCCCGGGCTGCTCTGTAAAATGGGTATAACACAGACCCACAGTTTCTTACTTAAAACCTTGGGGCCAGATGTGCTTTGGAATTCAGAATTCTTTAGATTTTAGAAACAATTTGGTGCGTGTATAGAATGGCACCCTCAGGGTACCTGGGACCGCATTCTTGTAATCAAACATGTACTTTTTTTTTCTTTTTCTTTTTTTTTCCATCAGCAAACATGTAAGTATTCACGTGCAGCCAGATAAGTGAAACTGCAACTTAATCTCAGGTTGGTTCAGGTCAGATTTCGCCATCCTGTAAGCTCGGTTTTCAGGCATTTGGGGAATCTGGAATTGAGGAGAGGAGAACGTGGTTCCTTAGGAGATCAGGCCTGAGAATCCCCGCACAGAGAGAGAGGGCGCTTCCTCCGCAGGCTTCCCTGCCTGCTGGGGGCCAGGGAGGAGACCAGCTTGTTGGAAGCGGAGACGTCTAAGGAGTTTCCAAATAGGAAAACCAGCGGCTGCAGGCCTCAGGACGTGGCCGGGCGAGCCGCAGCCTCATCCCGCGAGCGGGCGTTCCTGAGCTGCCTGCACCGTGAGTCACCCGGACGGCCGCGGGCAGCGCGCAGGAATGCGGCCTCGCCAATCGGCGGGGAGCGGGTGGGCGGCGGGCAGGCGAGGGCACCTCCGGGCTGAGCCGCTGCGCGTGACTCAGCAGGGACCCCCTGCGCGGGCGAGCCGGCTGCTGCCCTGCGGGGGACCCACCCGCTGGGACCTTGGTAGGGGATATGGGAAGAAACTGTACACCTTCCATTTGTATTTATTTGTATTTCTTCCTTTTACGTTTAAATTTATTTTCAAATAGGTAGTACCTTCATATGCTTTAAAAATGTAAAGCGGCCGGGAGCGGTGCCTCACACGCCTGTAACCCCGGCACGCTGGGAGGCTGAGGCAGGAGGATTGCCTGAGACCAGGAGTTGGAGGGCAGTCTGGGCGACAGAGGGAGACCCCCCGTCTCGACAAATAAAATAAAATAAAGATATAAAGATCTGGAAGAGATATTTGTACACCCATGTTCATAGCAGCATTATTCACATTGGCCAAAAGGTGGAAGCAACCCAAATATCTATGGAGAGATGAATGGATAAACAAAATGTGGCCCACGCATATATTATTCAGCCTTAAAAGGGAAGGCGCTTCTGTCACATGCTACAACATGGGTGAACCTTGAGGACATTGTGCTCCGTGAAATCAGCTTGTCACAGAAATACGAATACTGTGTGATTCCACTATATGAGGTGTCTGGAGCAGGCTTCTTCACAGAGAAACGGGGGTGCCAGGAACCTAGGGAGAGGGGAAGTGGAGTTCTTTTACGGGTACAGAGTTTCAGTTTCGCAAGATGAAAAGAGCTCTGGAAATGGATGGTGGTGATGGTTGTACCAAAAGGCGAATGTACTTAGCACCACTCAACTGTACACTTAAAAAATAGCTAAGATGGTAAACTTTGTTATGTGTGTTTTACCAAAATTAAAAAGAAAAAATTTAAAGGTACAAAAGTCACTCTCCCAGTCCTGGCCTGCAAGCCATCCACTTCCTTCACCCAAAACACCTAGTCTCACCAGTTTTCGTGTATCCTTCCAGAGCGTCTGTGCAAATCCATATAGGCATGTGTAAGTATAAACATATAAATATAAATCTGCATAATAGTCTATATATACACACCTGTTCCTCTTTAAAAAAAAACAGTGGGGCTGGGCACGGTGGCTCACACCTGTAATCCCAGCACTTTGGGAGGCCGAGGCAGGCAGATCACTTGAGGTCAGGAGTTCGAGACCAGCCTGGCCAACATGGCGAAACCCTGTCTCTACTAAAAAATACAAAAAAATTAGCTGGGCGTGGTGGCAGGTGCCTGTAGTCCCAGCTATTCAGGAGGCTGAGGCAGGAGAATGGCATGAACCCGGGAGGCGGAGCTTGCAGTGAGCAGATAGCGCCACTGCACTCCAGCATGGGTGACAGAGTAAGACTCTGTCTCACAAAAAAAAAAAAGAAAAAGAAAAAGAAAAATTAGCCGGGCGTGGTGGCAGGCACCGATAATACCAGCTACTCCGGAGGCTGAGGCAGGAGAATCGCTTGAACTGGGAGGTGGAGGTTGCAGTGAGCCGAGATTGTGCCACTTCACTCCAGCCTGGGCAAAAGAGCGAAACTCCATCACAAAAAAAACAAAAACAAACAAACAAAAAAAACACCAAAAAAAAAAAAAAAACCAATGGTAGCGTATTCTGTGCTTTGTTTTTCCATTTAAAAATACACCTTGGAGGCCAAGCGTGGTGGCTCACACCTGTAATCCTAACACTTTGGAAGGCCGAAACAGGTGGATCACCTGAGGTCAGGAGTTCGAGACCAGCCTGACAAACATGTTGAAACCCCGTCTCTACTAAAAATACAAAAGTTAGCTGGGCATGGTGGCAGATGCCTGTAATCCCAGCTACTGGGGAGGCTAAGGCAGGATAATCGCTTCTTGAACCTGGGAGGCAGAGGTTGCAGTAAGCAGAGTTCATGCCACTGCACTCCAGCCTGGGTGACAGAGCAACACTCTGTCTCAAAAAGAAAAAAAAAATCTTGGAGACCTTTCTAAACCAGTACCTAACAAGCTTCCTCATTTTTTTTTTAACAACTTCATTGAGATATGATATAATTTACATAAAACACATCCATTGTAAATGTACTATTCAACAGTTTTTTTTTAAATGTATAGAGTTGGGCAGCTATCACCACAAGCCAGTTTTATAACATTGCCATCATCCCCCAAAGTCCTGTTGGATCCATCTGCAGTGAATCCTCACAGCCATCCCAGCTCCAGCAATGACAGATTTGCTTTCTCTACAGATTTGTGTTTTCTGGAAATTTCATATAAATGGAAGCACACAATATGTGGTCTTTTGTGTCTAGCTTCTTTTACTGAGCATAATATTTTTGAAGTTCATCTATGTCGTAGCTCATTTAAGAAGTTTGTTCCTTTTTTGCTTTTTGTTTTTTGTTTTTTTGATACCGAGTCTCACTCTGTCGCCAAGGCTGGAGTGCAGTGGTGCGATCTCGGCTCACTGTAACCTCCACCTCCCAGGTTCAATCGATTCTTGTGCCTCAGCCTCCTGAGTAGTTGGGACGACAGGCGTGCGCCACCACTCCCGGCTAATTTTTGTATTTTTAGTAGAGATGGTGTTTCACCATGTTGGCCAGGCTAGTCTCAAACTCCTGGCCTCAGGTGATTCACCTGCCTCGACCTCCCGAAGTGCTGAGATTACGAATGTGAGCCACTGCGCTCGGCCAGTTTGTTCCTTTTTATTGCTGAGTAGTATTACACTGAATGGATATTTCACATTTTGTTTATCCAGTTACCAGCTTTTGCATATTTGGATGATTTACAGGGTTTTTAAAATGTACAATGCTGCTATGAGCATTCAGGTCTTTGTGTGGCCACATTTTTACTTCTCTTGGGTAGTTTCTGTTTAACTTTTTAAGCAACTGCCAAGCTGTTTTCCAAAGTGGCTGCATCATGTTACATTCCCAACAGCAATGTATGAGGCTTCCACTTTCTCTACATTCTCCACCACACTTGTTATTATTATCTGTCTTTTTGATTATAGCCATCCTGGTGGGTTTGAAATGGTATCTCATTGTGGTTTTAATTTGCATTTTTCAAATAACAAATTGAAATTGAACATTTTTGTGTGCTTATTAACCATTCTTTTTTATTATTGTTAGGAGAGAGAGGGTTTTCCTCTGTCACCCAGGCTGGAGTGCAGTGGCACAATCATAGCTCACTGCAGCCTTGAGCTTCTGAGCCCAAAAGATCCTCCTGCCTCAGCCTCCTGAGTAGCTGGGACTATAGATACACACCACTATATCGGCTAATTTTTTTTTTTTTTTGTAGAGATGGGGTTTTGCTATGTTGACCAGGCTGGTCTCAAACTCCTGGCCTCAAGCAATCCTCCTGCCTCGGCTCCTGAAGTGCTGGGATTACAGGCATGTGTCACAATATCCTGAGCCATGCCAGCCCATATATTTTCTTTGAAAAAAATGTCTATTAGAGTCTTTCATCTTTTTTTTTTTTTTGCAGCGGGAGTTTTGTGGTGGCGGTGGGGGAGTCTTGCTCTGTTGCCCAGGCTGGAGGGTAGTGGCACAACCTTGACTCACCACAACCTCTGCCACCTGGGTTCAAGCGATTCTCCTGCATCAGCCTCCTAAGTAGCTGGGATTACAGGCGCCTGCCAGCACACCTGGCTAGTTTTTGTAATTTTAGTAGAGATGGGGTTTCACCATGTTGCCCAGGCTGGTCTCAAACTCCTAGCCTCAAGCAATCCACTTGTCTCGGCCTCCCAAAGTGCTGGGATTACAGACATGAGCCACCACGCCTGGGTTGTTTTGTCCATCTTTACATTTAGTTGTTTGTCTTCTTATTATCGAGTTATAAGACATCATTTTAAAAAATAGGTCAGTCATAGTTGATTGTATGCATGGGACGTCATTTGTTTAACTTGTTTCCTATTGATATCTCTTAAAATTTTCGTTTTATACGTATTTTTATAATAGGCATAATATATTAATGCAATAGTTTATGTTCCTGACATAAATAAGCAAATACAATTGGAATACATCCTCAAGTTAGTTTGCTGAGAGGGATCATTAAGGCCTGGTGACCCCTGACCTGAGCCTTCCTCCCCCTCCCCCCTCTCCCCGCCTGCCCCACCCCGTCCATCAGGCCCTTTCTAGCAATCTCAAGGTTTGTAGAAACCTTGTTAAAAGCCCTCTTTCCTGGCAGCCTCTGACCTCCAAAAAGTCTGATTGGGATCCCCTAACTGATGAGGGAGGCTGAGGCTGAGGGAGTCCACCCAGGGTAACATCGGCACGGTCTGAATCACAGGGCTTTCTGGAATGACCCAGAGGCCACCCCTTCCTTAATTTGGGAAGCTCCAGGCTAGAGGACATGATGAGTGTTCATGCTGAGGTTCTCCTGAGTCCAGCAGCGTGAGGCGAGCTCAGAGCCCAGGAGTGTGGTTCGGGATGGTGCTGCCCTCAGCCCCCATGCTGCGTCCTGACCCCCCGCCCATCCATCTGCCCAGCCTGTCAATGTGGACTCACACACACCTGGTGTCACCTCAGAGCAATCCAAAGTAAAAGACCCTGCTGGTCCATGTCTCCCCTCCTGGTGGTTCCTTCATCTCCATTATCTTCTTCTTCATCATCCTCATTGTCACCACGTACTGCAGACATGTCCCATGCCTGTAAGTGACTTCTGGGATACTGTTTAATCCTCCAACAAATCCTACGAGCTGGAGCTTATTAGTTCTCTATTGCAGAAGAGAAAACTGAGGCTCCGGGAGGCTATGGGACTTCTCTGTCCCATCTTAGCAACAGAGGTGGAATCCACAGTCCACACCTTTGACTGGGACATGGCCCTACCCACCCTTCAGGGGCTGAGAACTGGCGCAGACTCAGCCTTCAGCTGATTTTCACCTGATTCTTAGCAGACGTCTTGGAAAAACCTCCTGGTGACATAATAAGAGCAGTGTGGCTCCAGGGTCGGGGAGGAATTTAGGGGGTGAGAATTGGGGGTGCCCCCCCTTGCCCTGAGCCAGGGCAGCTGCAGAGAAAGTACTATTCAGGGCAGGGCAGGAATGGACCCTGGAGAGCCTGAGGGTCCCACAGGGAGAGCACGCTGTCTACCCCCAGCACAGCCCCCGCCTCTCCTGGGGCTCAGCAGGCAGAGGGGAGAGGGCAGGTTCAGCCCAGAGAAGAGGGACTGTCACAGGTACCAAGCTTGTCTACTTTGGCAGGAGAAAGCTAAGGTCTGTAATCACACTTTCTGTTTTCACTTTTCTTCCATTTCTGAGTAAGCATTTCTATTGGAAAACTCCAGACTTGTCTGAGCTCAACGAAAGGAAAAGGGATCTGTGGGCACCCAGAGCAGGCCAGGGGTGGGGGTGGGGAGCCGGGCCCCTGAGTGGGTAGTATGCGTTTCCAGGGGCTCAGATCTGATGATCCCATCCTTGGCTCCACAAATTCAATCCATGCCCCTTAGCTTGGCATTCGAGGCCTTTCCTTCATCTGGCTTCAGCCCCTGCTTCTCTCTGGCTTACATCCAGGTTTCTGCTCACATTGTTCCCTATGCCCACAATGCCCTTTCCTCCCATCCTAAGAGATCCAATGCCCAAACTCTGGTCATCCTTCAAGGCCCAGCCCAGATGCCTCCTCCTCCATGAAGCCTTCCTTGACCCCCTCAGCTGGACATGACATCTCCCTCTTCTGAATTCCCACAGCCCTTGGTTCATACTTCTCTGAGGGCGTATTCCATTCTCCCACCAGCAGCAGACCTTGGTTGTGACCCTACCCAGCATCCTTCCTCCTTCTGATCAAAACACTCCAATATTCCATGAGAAATATCTGTCGCCCACCTTCAGACATGTGGTCCAGAAGAAGCTGATTCCACTCCCAGGATCCAGAGAGGCTCATAAGGCCCAGGCCTCGAAGTCGGAGTAGCCCATCTTTTCTCCTACCCCCTCCACTTCTGAACCCTGTGCTTGCTATGGGATCAGTTCAGGTATGGGGCTGTGACTCAGTCACAGCCAGAGCTATATCAGGGCTTTTTTCCTCTTTCTTTCTTTCTTTCTTTCTTTCTTTCTTTCTTTCTTTCTTTCTTTCTTTCTTTCTTCCTTCCTTCCTTCCTTCCTTCCTTTCTTTCTTTCTTTCTTCCTTTCTTTCTTTCTTTCCTTCTTTCTTTCTTCCTTTCTTTCTCTCTCTTTCTTTCTTCTTTCTTTCTTTCTTTTTTTAATTTATTTATTATTATTATACTTTAAGTTTTAGGGTACATGTGCACAATGTGCAGGTTAGTTACATATGTATACATGTGCCATGCTGGTTCATTCTTTCTTTCTTTCTTTCTTTCCCTTTTTTTTTTTTTTTTTGTTTTGTTGTTGTTTTTTGAGACAGAGTCACCCTCTGTCGCCCAGGCTGGAGTACAGTGGTGTGATCTCACTGCAACCTCCGCCTCCCAGGTTCAGGTGATTTTCCTGCCTCAGCGTCCTGGGTAGCTGGGATTACAGGCGCATGCCACCACACCCAGCTAATTTTTGTATTTTTAATAGAGACAGGGTTTCACCATGTTGGCCAGGCTGGTCTCAAACTCCTGACCTCAAGTGATCCGCCCACCTCAGCCTCTCAAAGTGCTGGGATTACAGACGTGAGCCACCGCGCCCAGCCTCTCTATAGATCTTACTCTGGCCCTGGGTTCACGTCACTTGCAAGTGAAAAATCCCTGACTGCTATTTATTCCTTTGCTCTGTTTCTCTGCAGCTAATGTCCTACTTGGACCTGCAGGATGGAGGCTCCTGGAAGTCAGGTGCCATGATCTCTTGCCTTTGTGCTCCCACAGCACCAAGCACAGGGCCAGCCGCACAGAAAGTTTCCACGAGGGTTTGTAGAACCGTCTGTGGGAGGAGTGAACACGCTGGCTGTCCTGGCCCTCCCCACCCCAACCAGGAGCCCATCTCGGGCCTGGGACTCTCCACCTTCTCCCCAGACCTGACCTGGCAGTGGACAGCCCAGACTGGAGCTTCCTGCCTGCCACACTGGCTCTCCAGTCAGCAGAGGCCAGAAAGTGGTGATTTCCTGTATTGCAGGATCAGATGGCAGAATCGCAAGAGCTCCGCATCCCCAGGGACTCATCTGAAAGACAATGTGAAGCAAAGACAATGTGAGGCGTGGGGAGACTTCCAGGTACTTGGTTGCATCTGGGGAGGGGCCAGTGGTGTCTGAGCTTTAGCTTCTGGAAGCCGGCTGCTGCGGGGTGGAGACAGAGGGGCTGTGCCAGAGAGGGAACAGCTCTAGAAACCAGCAACAGGGAGAAGTTTGATGCAGGGCAGAGGGGAACCTGGGATGGGAGGCTGGGCAAGGGGCTCCTGCTCCCCAGGGGGCTGATGAAGACCCTTGGTGTTCTCCCACCTGCCTCTGGGAGCTTGTGGTGTTTTTGTTGTTGTGTTTTGGTGTTTTGTTTTGTTTTGAGACTGGACTGAGTCTCACTTTGTCGCCCAGGCTGGAATGCAGTGGTGCAATCTTGGCTCACTAAAACCTCCACCTCCCAGGTTCAAGTGATTCTCCTGCCTCAGCCTCCTGAGTAGCTGGGATTATAGCGCCCGCCACCACGCCCAGCTAATTTTTATATTTTTAGTAGAGATGGGGTTTCACCATATTGGCCAGGCTGGTCTCGAACTCCTGACCTCAAGTGATCCGCCCACCTTGGCCTCCCAAAGTGCTGGGATTACAGACGTGAGCCACTGCGCCCAGCTGGGAACTTGTGTTTTAGAAAGTCCTTCAGTTCCATCCTTACTCTGGAGCACTGTAAAGTTTATAAAACAAAATGTCTGAGAGCACCACCTTGTTAGTAACCAACTGAGTGGAACCCTACTCTATCTAGTGTCCTGTTCTGGTGTATTGGTCAGGAGAGGCTATAGTGTGCTGAGGTAAACATTGACCTCCAAATCTTAGCGGCTTCTTGATGCAACAAAGGTGTATTTTTCTCGTTCACACAAAACTGCTGCAGGTTGGGTAACTGTCCAGGTTAGCTGTCCCTTGTACAGGCTACTTCCTTCTAGTGGCTCTACCATTTCAAACCATGGCATCTGTGGTTGCCACTAAAGGCCAAGAGAGAACAGGAGGGTTGGACAGCAGCACTTCAGTGTTTCGGTCCAGAAATGACACCTGTCACTTCCATTCACAGCCTGTTGGTCAGAGTTTGCCTCATGACCCCACCCTGACTGCACGGAAGGCTGGGAAGTGTGGAGGAGGACATGAGTAGTCAATGAGCATTGAGTGCCTCTGCCATGCTGGGTATCCCAGGGGAAGAGGAGACACAGGCACAGAGGACTGGAGGACTTTGAGGCTGGATATCTAGGTTCAAACCCAAGCTCTTCTAGAATGACTAGAAGCTATGTGACCTTGGGAAAATTACTAAATGTCTCTGAGTCTTGCTTTTCTCCTGTGCCAAACGGGGATAAAATAAGAGTTCCTACCTCACGAGGTTGTTGGGAAGATAAATCAGACCATGCTTATAAAAAGAGCTAGTGGTGCCCAGCACAAGGTTGGCATTTGTATTAGTCTGCTTTCACGCTGCTAATAAAGACATATCCAAGACTGGGTAATTTATAAAGAAAAAGAGGTTTAATGGACTCACAATTCTACGTGGCTGGGGAGGCCTCACAATCATGATGGAAGGCAAAAGGCATGTCTTACATGGTGGCAGGCAAAAAGAGAATGAGGGAAGCAAGTGAAAGGGGTTTCCCCTTGTACAACCATCAGCTCTCATGAGACTTATTCACTGTCATTTGAACAGTATGGGAGAAACCGCCCCCGTGATTCAATGATCTCCCACCGGGTCCCTCCCAAAACACGTGGGAATTATGGAAGCTACAAATCAAAATGAGATTTGGTTGGGGACACAGCCAAACCATATCAGCATTTAATAAGTGGACACTATTTGATTAGTCTGTTTAGAAAAAGTTGAAGATGCTCAACATATGACTGAAAAATAGAGCTAATTGAAAAATATAGCCAAAGCCTCCCTTTCAATAGCTGGCTCCCTTGTCTGCCCCTGCCCAGGGTCCCCTTGCTCTCCTTCCCTCCCCTCTGCAAGGACTTATAAGGATCCCCCAGTCAACCACTCCCCTGTGTGCGAGAAGATCTGCCCTCTCCCCCAGGGTGCATGTATCTGAAGTCTTAGTGTTGGGTACACGCATCTGAAGTCTTGGTGTTGATCGTGGGGAGAAAACCTTGGTGCTCTGTTGAAGAATACCAAACATTAGCAAGCAGATGAGAGAGGGGCACATATGTTCTCCAAACAGTGCTCCTACTTGTGTTTATGGCAAACAGGGTGCCCAGAGAATGGAAGATGCTGAGATCCTTGAAAAGTGTCTTGGAGGAGGTCAGGTTTAGGCAAGCGACTAGAAGGAGGGGGACCCCGGGTGGCTGAGGGAGGAGGGAGGGGCTGGAAAAGAGCCTGTAACAACCTCAGCAATGGAGGAGACAGTAAGAAACCATGCTGGTGATGGAGTGGGAGATAACTCTTCACATCCAGAGAGCTCTGCACAGTTTAAAAGTAAGGCCACCTGACTGGTGAAAACTCAACAGAGCTCAGTGGCAGGGAGAGCAACATCTGAACTCTCCTTTCCAGTGTTGCTGTCACTGGGAAGCAGTTGCCGAGCCAGGGACCACATTTCCCAGGCCCCCTTGGCCCCATGCCACGTTCTTGCCAATGGAATGGGAGCAGAAGTAACGTGTGTCACTTCCAGGCCAAGGCTTTTGAGGAGTGGTTATGCCTTTCATGGGGTCTCTTTCCCCTCCTATTAAATGAGTGTAGAAGATGATAGTTAGACCAGGCGGTGGTAGGGCCTCAAAATGGAAAAAGCCTGGTCTCTAAATCACTGCATGGGGGAAGGTCACCTGCAAACCAAGAACATCTGCAATGAACTGGTAAATAAGTGGGAAATAAACAAAATATATTTGGGGGTTTATTTGTTGTAGCAACTAGCATTGTCTTGAAGCATGGTGAGTACATCTTTCTTTGAAGGGGCTTCTGGGGCACTGTGAGGGGTACGGAGGGATGAAAGCCCCCTTTGGCACTGCCACTGCTCCTCCCCCAATGGTCCTCTTGCTTCACAAGGGGGAAGCTCTCTTGCTCTCCTTCCTTCCTTCTCCACCCACATTCTTCCCAACAAGACAGGGACAGGACCCAGCATGGGTGGAGTTTTGGACATCCAGTTTGGACATTCTTATTTCTTAAGAATCCTTCCTCAGAGCATGAGTTGGAAGTTTTGGCACTTTTGAGAGATGTGACCAGCTGACTCTATAACTGGGTGGGGCAACATGGGAAAACGAGATGGAGAGACCACCAAGGGAGGCAGTCAATGGAAGGGAGCGGAAAGGAAAGCCAGGCCAGGAGCTTGGATGTGATTTTTTTTTTTTTTTGAGACGGAGTCTCGCACTGTTGCCCAGGCGGGAATCCAGTGGTACAATCTGCACTCACTGCAATATCCGCCTCCCCAGTTTAAGCGATTCTCCTGCCTCAGCCTCCCAAGTAGCTGGGATTGCAGGCACCTGCCACCACGACCAGCTAATTTTTGTATTTTTAGTAGAGACAGGGTTTCGCCAGGGTTGGCCAGGCTGGTCTCGAACTACCGACCTCAAGTGATCCACCCATCTTGGCCTTCCAAATTGCTGGGATTACAGGTGTGAGCTACTGCATCTGTCCTGGCTATGATATTTTGAGTAAAGGGAAGTCCAGGTGTTTCAGACCCCATCTCCTCCCTGCAGGCTGAGCCAGCTAAGCAAGGATCAGGGCCCATTGTGGCTTCTCCTGGAGAGGGGAGAGTATACCACCTGTACCACTGAGGCCAGCTCATCTGTCCCCAGAGGACCATGCTCATCTCAGGCCATGGTGGCAACAGCCCCCACAGAGGGGTGGCTGCATGATGCAGCTCAGAAGGCTTGGGGGAACAGGAACACCTTCCCAAGGCTCCTTGGCATTGTCCTGCCTTCACCTCCCAGGACAGTGTTGAGGAAGAACATTCCTTCTTAGTAACAGGGCAGAGAAAGGAAGACGGTCTTCCCCGAAGTGCTATGCATCCGACTTCCCCCCATCACATGGCCACCTTTCTTTTCCACCCTCCCAGATCTTGCACAGCCATCTGCAAATAAGTGGTGTTCCTCCACCCCACTTCCCCACACCTAGGATAACCTGATGGACTGTCTTTTCTGGTGCTCACCTCTGCTGCTGTCAATAGAAAATGAAATTTTAAAAATTTCCTGGCCGGGCGCGGTGGCTCATGCCTGCAATCACAGCACTTTGGAAGGCAGAGGCAGGGGGATCACCTGAGGTCCAACCTGCCCAACATGGCGAAACCCTGTCTCTAATAAAAATAAAAAAAATTAGCCGGGTGTGGTGGTGGGCACCTGTAATCCTAGCTACTCGGGAGGCTGAGGCAGGAGAATCGCTTGAACCTGGGAGGTGGAGATTGCAGTGAGCCGTGAGCCGAGATCGTGCCACCGCACTCCAACCCGGGCGACCAGCAAAACTCCATCTCAAAAAAAAAAAAAAAAAAAAAAATTCCTGCTGGGCACAGTGGCTCATGCCTATAATCCCAGCACTTTGGGAGGTGGAGGCAGGAGGATCGCTTGGACCCAGGAGTTTGAGACCAGCCTAGGCAACATAGCAAGGCTTCATCTTTACAAAAAATTTAAATTTTTTTTTTTTTTTTTTTTTTGAGACGGAGTCTCGCTCTTTCGCCCAGGCTGGAGTGCAGTGGCGCTATCTCGGCTCACTGCAAGCTCTGCCTCCTGGGTTCACGCCATTCGCCTGCCTCAGCCTCCAGAGTAGCTGGGACTACAGGCACCCGCCACCACGCCCGGCTAATTTTTTGTATTTTTAGAAGAGACGGGGTTTCACCGTGTTAGCCAGGATGGTCTCGATCTTCTGACCTCATGATCCGCCCACCTTGGCCTCCCAAAGTGCTGGGATTACAGGCATGAGCCACCGCGCCCGGCCAAAAATAATGTTTTTAAAATTCCATCTTTAATAGCTCTTTTTAAAACCATGAAATACTTAGGAATACATTTCACAAAAGATATGTAAGACCTCTACGTTGAAGATTACAAAATATTATTGAGAGAAATTCAAGACCTAAATAAATGTTCATGGATTGGAAGACTCAAGATTGCTGGGATGACTATTCTTTCCAAAATGATCTCTAGATTCAACTCAATTTCAGTCATAATTCTAGTAGACTCTTGTCAAAATTGAATGTGTTGATTCTGTGGACACATGAAGGGGAACATCACATTTTGGGGACTGTTGTGGGGTGGGGGGAGGGGGCAGGGATAGCATTAGGAGATATACCTAATGCTAAATGACGAGTTAATGGGTGCAGCACACCAACATGGCACATGTATACATATGTAACTAACCTGCACATTGTGCACATGTATCCTAAAACTTTAATAATAATAAAATTAAAAAAAAATTGAATGTGTTGATTCTAAAATTTTTATGGAAATGCAAAGGACCTAGAATATCCAAACCGCCTTGAAAACAAACAAAATTAGAGGATTTATCCCGTCTGACTTCATGACTTTTATGACTTTTTTTTTTTTTTTTTTGAGATAGGGTCTTGCTCTGTCACCCAAACAGGAGTGCAGTGGTGCAACGATAGCTCACGGCAGCCTGGACCTCCCAGACTCAAGGAATCCTCCTGCCTGAGCCTCCTGAGTAGCTAGGATTACAGGTTCACATGACACCTAGCTAATAGTTAAAATTTTTGTAGAGATGGGATCTCCCTATGTTGCATAGGCTGGTCTTGAACTCCTAGCCTCAAGCCATCCTCCCACCTCAGTCTCCCAAAACACTAGGATTACAGGTGTGAGCCACTGTGCCCAGCCTTCATGACTTATTAATTATAAAGCTATAGTAATCAGAACATCGTGGTAGTAACATACGGTTAAACAAATAGATAAATGGAATGAAGACCTCAGAAATAGACCCACAATTAAACAGTCATTTGATTATTGTATAAAGTCATCAAAGCAGTCCAATGTAAAGTCTATTTCACAAATGGTGCCAGAACAATTGAATATCCATATGGAAAAAAAAAAACTTTTTTTTTTTGAGACAGGGTCTCACTCTGTCACCCAGGTTGGAGTGCAGTGGCGTGATCTCAGCTCACTGCAGCCTCTACCTCCCAGACTCAAGCAATTCTCCCACCTAAGCCTTTTGAGTAGATGGGACCACAGGCGCTCACCAGCACACCTGGCTAATTTTTGTATTTTTTGAAGAGACAGGGTTTTGCCATGTTGCTCAGGCTTGTCTCGAACTCCTGGGATCAAGCTGCTGCAGCCTCCCAAAGTGCTAGGATTACAGGTGTGAGCCACTGTGCCCGGCCTGGAAAAAAATAAACTTCAACCCCTCCTCCCTCACACTATTCATAAAAATTGATTTTAAATAGATCATAGAAATCAATCAAAAGCTAAAGTTATTTTTTGGGTTAAAATGTTAAAATTTCTAGAAGCAAACAGGAGAATATCTTTGGGACTGGGGAATAGGTAAGGTATCTTAAAATAGATCACAGAAAGCAATTTTTTTTAAGATTGATAAATTGACTTAATCAAAATTAAAAATTTCTGTTCATCAAAAGACAGTATTAACAAAATTATATGCAAGCCTCAGGGAGAAAATATTTGCAAAACATATCTGACAATGGATTTATATGCAGAATATATAAAGGATACCTACAACTCAATAATAAAAAGATAAATACCTCAATTTTTAAAATAGGCAAAATATTTGAATAGACACTTCACAAAAGAAGACACAGATGGCCAAGAAACACATGAAAAAGTGCTCAACATCATTAGTCATCAAGACAATATAAAATAAAACCATAATGAGACACCAACATACACCCACCAGGAAAGCTAAAATTAAAGATTGACAACATCAAATGTTGGCAAGGATGTAGAACAACTGGAACTCTCATACATTATTAGTGAGAATGTAAAATGATGCAACCACCTTGGGTAAAAAGCTGGTAGTTTCTTATAAAATGAAACCTATCTATGACCCAGCAATTTCATGTTTAGGTATTTACCTAAGAGAACTGAAAGCATATGTCACAGAAAGACTCATAAAAGAATTTTCACAGCTGCTTTATTCATAATTGCTAAAAACTAGAAACAGCTCCAGTGACTATCAACAGACGAACAAATAATTCTTCTGTTATAATCGCCTAATACAATATCGCTGAGCAACAAAGGATATTAACTACCAATATGTGCAACAACAACATGGATGAATCTCCCACTGCTAGCTGTGAAACTAGCTAGATCCAAAAGAGTATTTACAACTGGGACTCATAATGCAAGTCCTAAAATAGGCGAAAACTAATCTATGGTGACAAAAATAAGAATGACTGAGAAGTTGCATGAGGGGACTTCCTCAGGTGATGATAATGTTCTTGATATCTTTTTTTTTTTTTTTTTTGAGACAGAGTTTCGTTCTTGTTGCCCAGGCTGGAGTGCAATGGTGCGATGTCGGCTCACTGCAACCTCTGCCTCCCAGGTTCAAGCAGTTATCCTACCTCAGCCTCCTGAGTAGCTGGGATTACAGGCATGTGCCACCACACCCAGCTAATTTTGTATTTTTAGTAGAGAAGGGGTTTATCCATGTTGGTCAGGCTGGTCTCGAACTTCTGACCTCAAGTGATCCACCCACCTCGGGTGGCTCATGCCTGTAATCCCTGCTGTTGATATCTTGATAGGGGTTTGAGTGACACAGGTACAGGCATTTGTCAAAACTCACCTTAAACTCACTCATATTTAAGATCTGTGCATTTCCTGTGTGTAAATTTTACTTAAAAAAGGCAAACAAATATTGAACTCTAGTTAATTATATTCATCCTGAAGTGTTTAGGGGTAAAATATACTGATGTCTGCAACTTTCTTTGAAATGATTCAAAAAATAAATAAAAAGGCAGAAGGATGGGTGGATGGGTGGGTAGACGGATGGGTGGATGGGTGGGTAGACGGATGGGTGGATGGAATGATGGATGGACAGATGGACAGATGGACGGATGGATAGATGGAGAGAGAGATGTACAGATATGTGATTAAGCAAATAGAGTAAAACGTTAATTGTAGAATCTATGTGGTAGTTATATGAATGCCCACTGTATAATTCTTTCCAGTTTTCTGTCTGTTTGAAATTTTTCATAATAAAATGTTTTGGAAAAAAGGCAAATCAAATCTTGGGCAGCACAGTCTGGACCATTTTTTCTCCTCTTAAGAGACCACTGGGTTGGGCGCAGTGGCTCACGCCTGTAATCCCAGCACTTTGGGAGACCAAGGCGGGCAGATCACGAGGTCAGGAGTTCGAGACCAGCCTGACCAATATGGTGAAACCCCGTCTCTACTAAAAATACAAAAAAAAAAAAAAAATTAGCTGGGCAAGGTGGCGCGCACCTGTAATCCCAGCTACTCGGGAGGCTGAGGCAGGAGAATCACTTGAACCTGGGAGGCAGAGGTTGCAGTGAGCCAAGATCGTGCCACTGCACTCCAGCCTGGGCAACACAGCGAGACTCTGTCTCAAAAAAAAAAAAAAAAAGCAAAACGAAACAAAAAAACAACAAACGAACAACAACAACAAAAACAAAACACTGAAAACTACCCCATCAGGCCTGCATCCTTGTTCACCAGAAGAAGCCACCATTGATCCACCATTACCAGACACTCATCCCAGGCTGGCCAAGCCTTCTTCTCATCTTCCCAAGCCCTCCCGCTGAGCTCTCTGGAACTCCCACTCTACCCTACTCTCAACCTCTTCTGGAACTCCCACTCTACCCTACTCTCAACCTCTTCTGGAAGTTTCCCCCTACTTCCTGGCCCTAATGGAAACCAAGCAAGTCCCTGAGATATACTTCCTCCTGGCTCAGAGGAAGCTATTGTTTCTCTCCTATTCCAGGATCCTCAGAGCCAGGAGGTGAGAGGGACACGTGTTTTTCTTACTCCCTACTACTCTTTCCAAGTCCTTTCTCTTCCTTCCTCCTTCAAAAACCCTAGTTCTGGCCAGGCACAGTGGCTCACACCTGTAATCCCAACACTTTGGGAGGCACAGGCGGGTGGATCACTTGAGGTCAGGAGTTTGAGACTGCTGGCCAACATGGTGAAACCCCCATCTCTGCTAAAAATACAAAAATTAGCCGGGCAGGGTGGCGCACACCTGTAATCTTAGCTACTCGGGAGGTTGAGGCACGAGAATTGCTTGAACCCGGGAGTCGGAGGTTTCAGAGAGCCGAGATCATGCCACAGCTCACCAGGCAGGCTGGGTGACAGAGCGGGACTCTGTCTCAAAAAAACAAAAACAAAAACAAAAAAACCCTAGTTCCTTTGAAGTGCACACTAACTGGCTAAACCACTCTGTACCTCTCTCCAGTGCATCCATCTGTCTCCTGCCCAACCTCCTTGTTCATTGTGGACTTTAGCTCCAGGCACTGTCTCCACTCCAGCCCTGTCAACATTCTTGTGACCTCACCATCCACATGTGTGAACTTCAATACCCTGGCTTCTCAGTCACTTGAACTCCTCACCTCCAAAGACCTTTTGCTCCACTCCAACTCTGCCACCCGTTTGCATAGCACACTCTAGACCTTGTCCCACCTCCAACATCCTGATTTCAGGATCCCACACTTAGACACCATCACCCACCCCTCTGGCCCTCTGGCTCTCATTCCCCACTGCACCAGTGTTCTGAGTGAGGAGAGCTGCAATCCCGCCACCCCACCACTTTTCCTCCACAATCCTTCTCTTGTTCTCTTCTTCCCATCAAAATGCCCTACCTTCTTGCTTGCTTTACTTTTCTCTGTAGCGTTGGCCATCTTCTAACATCGATAAAACTGACTTATTCATTTTATTAGTTGACACTCTCCACCCAATAGAATGTGTGCTCCAGGAAGATAGCGGATTTTGTCTGTTTATTTGCTGCTATAGTCTCAGTGTCTAGAGCAGTGCCGTGGCATGCAGTAGGTGCTTAATAAATGCTTGTTGAAGGAAAGAGTGAGAGAGGGAAGGCAGGAAGGCAGGCAGGCAGGAAAGCAGGAAGGCAAGAAGGCAGGAAGGCAGGAAGGCAGGCAGGCAGGAGGGAAAGCAGGAAGGCCACCTTTATTTAAAAAACAGAACCTGTCCCTCCTCAGGAATGTCCTTTCCTTCCCACCTCTCCATCAGTGCCATGCTCTCCTCCTTGTGACAATTGGAAGCGTATCCCTGCTCCTCTCCAAGGCCATTTGCTCCACAAGTGCAGTAGACGCTGTCTCCTCTCACCTCCTTAATAACTGATTGGACTCGTAAGACATTCTCCCTCCTCTGCCATCACCAGCCTCTGTCTCTGAATTAGATCCTTTCAGCTGGGCGTGGTGGATCATGCCTGTAATCCCAGCACTTTGGGAGGCCGAGGCGGGTGGATTATTTCAGCTCAGGAGTTCCAGACCAGCTTGGCCAACATGGTGAAACCTTGTCTCTACTAAAAAATACAAAAAAATAAAAAATAAATAAAAATGAGCCGGGCGTGGTGAAGCACGCCTGTAATCCCAGTTACCTGGGAAGCTGAGGCAGGAGAATTGCTTGAGCCTGGGAGGCGGAGGTTTCAGTGAGCTGAGATTGCACCACTGCACTCCAGCCTGGGTGATAGAGTGAAACCCCGTCAAAAAAAAAAAAAAAAAAGATTTCATTTGCCTCTACTATCTTCCATCTTTTAAAATTCCTCTCCTGACGCATGTGCACATGCAACTACTGTGCCATTGCTTTGCTCCCTCTGCCTCAATTTCCATTCATTATTATCATTATTTATTTATTTATTTATTACTCTGTCTCCCAGGCTGCAGTGCAGTGGCATGATCTCAGTTCACTGCAACCTCTGCCTCCCAGGTTCAAGCAGTTCTCCTGCCTCAGCCTCCTGAGTAGCTGGGACTACAGGTGCGCGCCACCACCCCTGGCTAAATTTTTGTTTGTTTGTTTGTTTGTTTGTTTTTAGTAGAGATGGGGTTTCACCATGTTGGCCAGGCTGGTGTCAAACTCCTGACCTCGTGATCTGCCCACCTTGGTCTCCCAAAGTGCTGGGATTACAGGCGTGAGCCACCATGCCCAGCCCCCATTCATTCTTCAACCCACTTCAACAGCCATCTCGGCCCAGGAAAATCACATGCTAGGACGACACAGAGAGACATAAAGAGCCTGAATACCCAGTGATGCCAAGGAAATACAGAACCAGCCCAGGACTACCTACTTCCAGGCTTCTATTTTGTGTAAGTGAAATAAGTTCTATCTCATTTAAGCCATTGCTATTTGGGGTTTGCTCTTACGTCAACTGGTCAACTGAATCTTCAGTGATAGATCTTATCGCTCCTACTAGGCTGAAAGCAATTGAGGGCAATGGCTGTACTTATTTGCTTCAAGTGCTTTTAAGAACATAGGTTCTAAGTAAATGCTTGTTGGGGTGAATGAGATCTTGAAAATTAGCCAGACGCATCACCCTAGAAGATGGAGGACCCACGCTGAGCACCAGCCTAAGGTTAGTGGCCAGGATTCCTTTGTTCTGTGGATAAGTGTGGTCACGTGTGGGATGGGGAAGCCAAGGGGAAACACACTGAGGAGGGAAGAGGAAGCGAGAGGTGGAGGTAATGAGTCATGCTTGGTCTCCTCCTGGGTGTGAGGAGGCTGATGAGCCTTATTGGTCAGGGGGTGCAACTGGAGTTCCATCCCTAGGTTTCTTTTCTTACAGTTTTATTGAGATTATAATTCACATACCATACAATTCACCCATCTACAGTGTACAATTCGGCTGGGCATGGTGGCTCATGCCTGTAATCCCAGCACTTTGGGAGGCCGAGGTGGGTGGATCACTTGAGCTCAGGAGTTCAAGACCAGCCTGGCCAATATGGTGAAACCCCATCTCTACTAAAAATACAAAAATGAGCTGGGCGTGGTGGGGGGCACCTGTAGTCCCAGCTACTCGGGAAGGTGAGGCAGGAGAATCGCTTGAACCCAGGAGGCGGAGGTTGCAGTGAGCCGAGATTGTGCCACTGCACTCCAGGCTGGGCGACAGAGCGAGACTCTATCTCAAAAAAAAAAACCATTTAAAACATTAGCCTGGTGTGGTGGCACATGCCTGTAGTCCCAGCTACTTGGGAGACTGAGGTGGGAGAATTGCTTGAGCCTAGGAGGTTGAAGCTGCAGTGAGTCATGATCACCCCACTGCACTCCAACTTGGGCAATAAAACAAGATCTCCCCCACAAAAAATTAAAATTAAATCAAAAATAAAATAATAAGGTGTACAATTTAATGATTTTTAGTATATTCACAGAGTTGGGCAACCATTGCTACAATCAGTTTTAGAACATTTTTATCACCTGAAAATGAAACCCCATACCGGTTAGCAGTCATCCCCCACTTCCCCAACCCTCATTTTAATCCTAAGCAATCATTAATCTACTTTACATCTCTATGGATTTTTACTCCTTCTGAACATTTCAAATAAATGGGATTATACAGTACATGGCCTTTTGTGCCTGACTTCTTTCACTCAGCATGCTGTTTTCAAGGTTAACCCAGGTCATAGCATGCATCAAAACTTCATTCCTTTGCAAGACTAAAATAATAGCCTTGTATAGATATATCACATGTTATTCATCCATTCATCAGTTGATGGGCATTTGGGTTGTTTCCACCTTCTTTGGCTATTATGAATAATACTGCTATGAACATTCACATGCAAGCGTTCTTGTGTCTGTATATTTGTAGTTATCTTGGGTAGGTACCTAACTTGGAGCGGAATTGCTGGATCATACAACTCTGTGCTTAACCTTTTGAGGAGCTGCCAGTCTGTTTCCCAAAGCAGTTGCACTGTTCTATATTCCTATCATCATGTTTTCTCCCCCACATCCTTGCCAACAATTGTTATTGCCTGTTTTGGTCTTTTTAATCTCAGCCATCCTAGTAGGTGTGAAATGATATTTCATTATGGTTTTAATTTACATTTCCTTGATGGCTAATAATAGTGAGCATCTTTTCACATGTTTATTGGCCCTTTGCATGTCTTCTTTGGGGAAATGTCTATTTAGATCCTTTACTCATTTTTAAATCAGGTTATTTTTTATTTAGTTGTAAGAGTTCTTTATATATCAGACCCTTATCAGATACATGATTTGTAAACATTTTCTCCTATTCTGTGGATTGCCTTTCACTTTCTTGATGGTGTCCTTTGAAGCACTTAAGTTTTCAATTTTGATGAAGTCTATCTTATCTATTTGTTGTCACTGTTGCTTGTGCTTTTATTATCATATCTAACAAACCATTGCCTAATCCAAGGTCATAAAGTTTAACCCCATGTTTTCTTCTAAAGAGTTTTATAGTTTTAGGTCTTTCATCCACTTGTAACTTTTTTTAATATAATGTGAGGTAGAGAGGCAACTTAATTTTTTTGTGTTTGTGGCTACTCAGTTATCCCAACACCATTTCTTGAAATTCTTTCCCCATTGAATTGTTTTGGCATCCATGCCAAAAATTAGCTGATCATAAAGGTGAGAGTATTTCCGAATTCTTGATTCTATTTCACTGATCAATATGTCTATCCTTATGCCAGTACCATACTGTCTAGATTACTGTAGCTTTGTAGTAAGTTTTGAAATTGGCAAGTGTGAGTTCTTCAATTTTGTTCTTCTTTTTCAAAATTGTTTTGCCTATTCTGGATCCCTTGAATCTTCATATGAATTTCATAATCAGTTTATTGATTCCCGGAAAGAGGCGAGCTGAGATTTTGATATGGACTACATTGAATGTATAGATACATTTTGGAAGTATTGTCATCTTAACAACATTAAGTCTTCCAATCCACAAATATGGGATGTCTTTGCATTTATTTAGATCTTAATTTCTATCAACAACATTTTGTATTTTTCAAAAGTATAAGGTTTGTACCTTTTTATTAAATTTATTCCTAAGTACTTTATTATTTTTGATATTCCTACAAATAGGATCATTTTTAAATTTCATTTTCAGATTATTCAATGCAAGTGTATAGATATACAACTGATTTTTTTTATCCTACAACTTTGCTGAACTTGCTTATTAGTTCTAATAGTTTTTTTAAAATGGATTTTCTATATAAAAGACCATGTCATTTGAGAATATTGACAGTTTTACTTATTCCTTTCCAATCTGGATGCCTTTTATTGCATTTTCTTCCCTAATTGCCCTGGCTAGAACCTTCAGCACAATGGTGAATAGAAGCAGCAAGAGTGAATATCCTTGTTTTGTTCCTGATCTTAGGGGAAAAGCATCCAGTCTTTCACTATTAAATATGATGCTAACTGTGAGTTTTTTGTCTATGCCCTTTATCAAACTGAGTTCTTTACTAGTCTTAGTTTGTTGATTATTTTTATCATAAAGGGGTGTTGGATTTTGTTAAATGCTTTTTCTGTGTGGATTGATATATGATGTTTGTCTTTTATTCTATTGACACAATGTATTACATTCATTTTTTTTATTCAACCAACTTTGCATTCCTAAAATAAATCCCACTCTGTCATGGCGTATAATCCTTTGATATGCTGTTGGAATTGGTGGTTGGCATTTTGTTTTTATTTTTATATTTTAAATTTTTCTTATTTTTAAAAAAATTTCAATAGCTTTTACGGTACAAGTGTTTCAATAGCTTTTATGGTACAAGTGGTTACATGGATGACTTCTATAGTAGTGAATTCTGAGATTTTAGTGTACCCATCACTAAGTGTACACTAGTGTACAGCCAGGTAGTGTACGCTAGTGTACAGCCAGGTAGTGTACGCTAGTGTACAGCCAGGTAGTGTACGCTAGTGTACAGCCAGGTAGTGTACGCTAGTGTACAGCCAGGTAGTGTACGCTAGTGTACAGCCAGGTAGTGTACGCTAGTGTACAGCCAGGTAGTGTACGCTAGTGTACAGCCAGGTAGTGTACGCTAGTGTACAGCCAGGTAGTGTACACTGTACCCAATATGTAGTCTTTTATCCCTCACCCTTCTCCCAATCTCTGCCTCCTGAGTTCCCAAGGTCCATTATATCATTTTGTATGTCTTTGCATCCTCATAGCTTAGCTCCCACTTATAAATGAGAACCTGAATTACTGAATTACTTCCTGAATTACTTCACTTAGAATAATGGCCTCCAGCTCCATCCAAATTACTGCAAAACATATTATTTTGTTCCTTTTTATGGAGCAAAAAATATTAGTACTTTTTTGTAGTAGTATTCCATTGTGTATATATACCACATTTTCTTTATCCACTCATTGGTCGATAAGCACTTAGGCTGGTTCCATATGTTTGCAACTGTGAATCGTGCTGCTATAAACAGGCATATGTATGTGTCTTTTTCATACAATGATTTCTTTTCCTTTGGGTAGATAACCAGTAGTGGGATTGCTGGATCAAAAGGTAGATCTACTTTTAGTTCTTTAAGGAATCTCCATACTGTTCTCTATAGAAGTTGTACTAATTACATTCCCACCAGCAATGTCAAAGTGTTTCCTTTTCATCACATCCACACCAATATCTTTTGTTTTTTGACTTTTTAATTATGACCATTCTTGCTGGAGTAAAGTGGTACCTTATTGTGGTTTTAATTTGCATTTCCCACTGATGTTGAGCATTTTTTCACATGTTCGTTGGCCGTTTGTATATCTTCTTTTGAGAAATGTCGATTCATGTCCATTGCCCAATTTTTGATGGAATTATTTTATTTTTTTTCTTGCTGATTTGAGTTCCTTGTTGATTCTGGATATTAGTCCTTTGTTGGATGCACAGTTTGCAAATATTTCCCCCATTCTGTGGGTTGTCTGTTCACTCTGCTGATTATTTCCTTTGCTGTGTAGAAGCTTTTTAGTTTAATTAGGTTCCATTTATTTATTTTTGTTTTTGTTGCATTTGCTTTTGGAGTCTTAGTCACGAATTCTTTGCCTAGGCCAACGTCTAGCAGAGTTTTTCCAATGTTATCTTCTAAAATTTTTATAGTTTTAGGTCTCAGATTTAAGTCTTTGATCCATCTTGAGTTGATTTTTCTATAAGGTGAGAGATGAGGATCCAGTTTCATTATTCTACATGTGGCTTGCCAGTTTTCCCAGCACTATTTATTGAATAGGGTGTCCTTTCCCCAGTTTATGTTTTTGTATGCTTTGTTGAAGATCAGTTGGCTGTATTTAGTTTTATGCCTGGGTTCTCTATCTGTTCCATTGGTCTAAGTGCCTATTTTTATACCAGTACTATGCTGTTTTGGTAACTATAACCTTGTAGTATAATTTGAAGTCCAGTAATGTGATGCTTCCAGATTGTTTTTGCTTAGCATTGCTTTAGCTATTTGGGCTCTTTTTTGGTTCCATATGAATTTTAGGATTGTTTTTTCTAGTTCTGTGAAAAATGATGATGATGTTTTGATGGGAATTACATTGAATCTGTAGATTGCTTTGGGTAGTATGGACATTTTCACAATACTGATTCTTCCCATCCATGAGCATAAGATGTGTTTCCATTTGTTTGTGTCATCTGTGATTTCTTTCAGCAATGTTCTGTAGTTTTCCTTGTAGAGATCTTTCACCTCCTTGGTTAAGTCTGTTCCTAGGTATTGTATTTTATTTATTTATTTATTTATTGCAGCTGTTGAAAAAGGGATTGATTTCTTGATTTGATTCTCAGCTTGGTCGTTGTTAGTGTATAGCAGTGCTACTAATTTGTGCACATTGATTCTGTAACCTGAGACTTTACTGAATTCATTTATCAGATCTAAGAGCCTTTTCGATGAGTCTTTAGGGTTTTCTAGGTATACGATCATATCACCAGAAAACAGGGATAGTTTGACTTTCTCTTTTCCAATTTGGACGCCCTTTGTTTCTCTTGCCTGATCTCTCTGCCTAGGACTTCCAGTATAAATTTTTCTTATTTTTAATTTGACAAAGCCTCATTCTGTACCAGAGAATGCATCTATATTCATAATATGTATTGGTCTGTAATTTTCTCTTTTTTGTGTTATCTTTGCCTGGTTTTGGTATCAGGCCTCAAAGAATGAGTTGGGAAGTGCCTAAGTTTCTTTTTGACTAAACTGTTGGTCAAACTTATATCTTGATATTTACAACACTCAGGAAAAGCCAAGGCCCTGCAAAGTTTATCTGGTATTCTCAAGTGGAACATACATCACCATCAACTGGGCACTGTTCAAAGCAAATTCCTGGTTCCTGAGCTCCGGAGACTCTGATTTGCAAAGTCTGCAGCAGGGCTGGGTACTCTCTATTTCCTTTTTTTTTTTTTTTTTTTTTTTGAGACGGAGCCTCACTCTGTCGTCCAGGCTAGAGTGCAATGGCACAATCTTGGCTCACCGCAATCTCCGCCTCCCAGGTTCAAGCGATTCTCCTGCCTCAGCCTCCTGAGTATCACCATGCCCAGCTAATTTTTGTATTTTTAATAGAGATGGGGTTTTGCTGTGTTGGCTGGGCTGGTCTCAAACTCCTGACCTCAGATGATCCACCCACCTCAGCCTCCCAAAGTGCTGGGATTATAGGCGTGAGCCACCATGACCGGCCAGTACTCTCTAACAAGCACCCTTAAGAGATTCTCAGATGAGCACCCTCTCATTTCCCTTTAAGAAACATTGATAGAGTTGCCCAAGCTGACCCAGCTAAGCAGCCAAAGAGGATGGGCTAGAAAAGTGATGTTTCTTCACCCAGGAGTCTGAGCTTTTAGCGTGTTCGTGTCCATAATGAATATCTAAGGCAGAAGTTAGAGTATGCATTATTTCCCAAAATTATTTGTCCACAAAAATCTCTTATCTTTTGGATAAGCACCTCATAGGATTGATGTTTCACAGCATATACTTTGGGAAGCACTGACCCAGAATTATGCAAATGTCTCTTTGGAATCTCATGGGGCTTTTTTTCTAAGCACTAACGCACTGTGGCTTGAAGCTGCTTTTGTATGTGTCACCATCAGTCAGATGTTTGCCGGGGCCTCCATTAGGATTAGCTGATTTAGGCGCTTGCCTCGAGAGCAAAATTTCAGGAGGTGCCAAAACTCCATAATCAAGAAAAATTATTATTTGGAGGCTGGGTCAACAAGACAGCGCATTGGCAGCCAGTGGAGTAAGGAAGGGATACAATGGTGTAGCGTAGGGGGTGCTTAATACTCACCGTGAGTGGAACCGAGAGCCGGGGTCTATCTCGGTGGGGCAGCAGGGCAGTCAGGCCAGGCATCTGGCCTGTCTCTCCTGTAGAAACTGCTCCAAAGGAGGGGCAGCCCTCTCTCACCTCTTGACTCCCATCCCAGGCACAATACATGGAACACAGGATTATTCAACTCCCTTAGAGACAGAGATGATGCCAAGTTGACTTACCTCCCAGCTCCTGCTCAAGTATCTAACCCACTGAGCACAAGGAGACTCAGTCAATGCCTGTGGGCAGACAAGGGGCTGGATCTCATCTGGAAAGCGTCCCTGGTCTTTGTGTGGGTGCCTTGCTTTGGATGTGCTCCCAAATCTGACTCGGGGGGAGGGAGGCTGGGTGCCAAAGAGTTTCTGGAAAAAGTCTGTCCTTTTCCGAATACCCTTCCTCTCTGTGTCCAACAGAACTTGACCTCAAATGTGCAAGTTCTAACATTCAAAAGAGTTGGGTTTGGGCCTGATTGGGCTAGTGCTAGATGTTTGTGATTTATGCAATCACTGGGGTCTGATTAAGCTCCACAGCTGGAAGGCCTTCAGCCATGACTTTGGGGAAAAAAAAAGAAAAGAAAAAAACACAAAACTCTGAAAGCCAAGAGTAGGAACAGCTTCCTGGGCCCACCCTTCAGGCTGGTTCCAGGACACTCCCTTACTCCACCACTACCCACTCATGTATCTCATTAAAAGGGCTTTATAGGTCTGTCTCTTCTTTGGAATTTCCATTTCTTCTTTATTCCAAGAACTATAAAAGCCTCATCAATTAATTGCTAACCACAGGAATCAGAACAGGGTTCCCTTTAACTAAGTGTGCAAAAGAGTTATTACAGAGGCTCCACGCTGATCTGCTCAAAAGAGGAAATGTTTTCTCTTAGACGACATCTAACTGAAGATAAGCCTCCAGCTGACTATAGAAGATTACTCTCTATGCAACAAAAAGCTGGTTCCCCACGGCCTCTACTTGTCAACACCTCATAAATTTACTTTGAGTTGCTTCATAAGCTCAAAAGTACAGTGATATCTTCTGGGAATTAAGCTTTGTAATAACTTGATTGTGTTAAACAAATAAACTTCAGAAGGCAGGGCAAGCTAGACCCCAGGGAAGCTACCCGGATGTGTGGCCTTGAGGGTTGCTGGAAGGCAGGTTCTTAGAGACTGTGTCCCTAGCTCTAGGATGCTGGCCCTCAAACAAATGTCATTTCACAGAGCAGGACCTGAGACCTAGGGTGAGAGAGGGGGTGATTGGTCCATATTCACACAGTGGCAAAGCTGGGGTTAGGATCTGGGTGTTGTTGCCAGATCCTCTCTCTTTCCCTACCGACCCCCAGGATCCAGCACCTCCACTCTGCTCCCCACCCTCCTAGGAGGGCAGGAAAGAATCTGACAAGACTGGGCGCAGTGGCTCACACCTATAATCCCAGCACTTTGAGGGGCCAAGATGGGAGGATCACTTGAGGCCAGGAGTTCAAGACCAGCCTTGTCAACATAGCGAGACCCCATCTCTATTAAAAAAAAATAGAAAAAAAAAGGAAAGACTCTTACAGCTGCCCAATGGAACATGTGTAGGAATGAGAGTCAGCCATTTTCTCTCCTCAATCAGTCTCTGCATTTTAAGTCATTTATCTTTATTGTGCTATGAAAGTCTTTGGGTTGTGTCAAATGGATTTCAGGCAGGGAGGGAGCAACTGGTGAGAAGTTAGGAGGCTGCTGAAGTCATACCTGGAGTAAAACAGAAGTTCTCACCCCAGACTGCACAGTAGAATCACTGGGGGTCATTTTTTTCCGTGTGTGTGTGTGTGTGTGTGTGTGTGAAGCACCTGTCTGCTGTTGAAAGGGGGGTCTTTTTTTTTTTTTTTTTTTTTGAGACGGAGTCTCGCTCTGTCGCCCAGGCTGGAGTGCAGTGGCATGATCTCGGCTGACTGCAAGCTCCGCCTCCTGGGTTCACGCCATTCTCCCGCCTCAGCCTCCCGAGTAGCTGGGACTACAGGCGCCCGCCACCACACCTGGCTAATTTTTTTGTATTTTTAGTAGAGATGGGATTTCACCGTGTTCGCCAGGATGGTCTCAATCTCCTGACCTCGTGATCCACCCACTTCAGCCTCCCAAAGTGCTGAGATTACAGGCATGAGCCACCACGCCCGGCCGAAAGGGGGGTCATTTTTAAAATCCCAAATGTGCAGACCACATCCCAGACCAATTACATATAAATCTCTGAGGGGGAGCCCCAGACTTCAGGCTGGAGGGCAGTGGCACTATCATAGTTCACTGCAGCCTTGACTTCCTGGGCTTAAGAGATCCTCCCATCTTAGCCTCCTGAGTAGCTAGGACTACAGGCACAAGCCACCACACCTGGCTAATTTGTTGTTGCTTTTTTTTTTTTTTTTGAGATGGGGTCTCACTATCTTGCCCAGTCTCAGGATTTCTTAAAGCTCCCTAGTGATTCCAACAAGCAGCCAAGTTCCAGAACCATGGAGTAAAACCATTCTAGATCAGGCACAGTGGCTCTTGCCTGTAATTCCAGCACTCTGGGAGGCCAAGGTGGGCAGATCAGGAGGTCAGGAGATCAAGACCAGCCTAGCCAACATGCTGAAACCCCCTTCTCTACTAAAAACACAAAAATTAGCCGGGTGTGGTGGCGTGTGCTTGTAGTCCTAGCTACTTGGGAGGCTGAGGCAGGAGAATCGCTTGAACCCGGGAGGCAGAGGTTGCAGTGAGCCAAGATCACTCCACTGCACTCCAGCCTGGGCAACAGAGTGAGACTCCGTCTCAAACAAACAAAAAAACAAACAAACAAAAAATTTCTAAACCAGATGAAGCCAAAAAGGGGTGGGACAGTTGCGGTTGTGGTGATGAATGCCCAACATTTATGTGGACAAAGCTGTGTGATCTTGGACAAATCACTTAATGTCTTGGGGTCTCTGTTTCCTCATCTGTAAAGTGAAGATGATTCTATAACCTTCCTCATAGGGTTATTATAGGGTTGAATGGGACAATGCTTGTAAGTCCTTGGCACAGTGCCTGGCACACAGAAAACACCCAGGAACTTTAGGTTTTGCCTATTATTTTAGAGTTTACAGTGATGTTTTCTATGCAGTATCTCGAAATTATACCTTACCTCCTCAATTATAGGGGTGCACATTTTTGCATTTTAACATCTTTAAAAGTGTAATGCATAGACAGTGTCTTATATTCAGCGACATGACCCTCACCTGCGCTAAGCACTGTTCTAAGGGTTTTATGTTAATTACCTCCTTTAACTCTCACAATATCCCTAGAGAAGAGGATGATTATATCCATCCCCATTTAAGAGACTGGTAAACTGAGGCCCAGAGTGAAGTGCCTTGTCTGTGTTCCCATAGTCAGTGGCAGAACAGGGATTAACCTTGGGTCGGGCTCTAGAGTCTGTGCTCCTGACCACTCTGCTATATAGCAGCTCATGGAAACTGAAAGGCAGGTGAGGTGAGCAGAGTCATCCAGCTGGGATTTGAATCCATGACACCAAAACCACCATGCTTGTTCCCTGTCCTGCTTCTGACTGGAGGCCGATTCCCAGCTGCAGCTGGGGGAGAAGTCCACATGTGGCTGTCAGTGTGTCTGCACAGAGGGGGAGCTGAGACCTAGGGTGAGAAAGAGGGTGATTTGTCCATATTCACACAGTGGCAAAGCTGGGGTTAGGATCTGGGTGTAGATGCCAGAGCCTGTCTCTCTTTCCCTACCCACCCCCAGGGCCTAGCCCCTCTGCTCTGCTCCCCACCCTCCTAGCAAGGCAGGAAAGAATCTGAGAAGGCTGGGCACAGTGGCTTACAACTATAATCCCAGCACTTTGAGAGACCAAGATGGGAGGATTGCTTGATTTACCTACCCTGCCTGGTCTGCCTGGCTGGTGCCCCCTTTCCTTCTCTCCCCTCTTCCTGTGCTAGCCGCGTCTCCTCTCTCGCCGACCTCCATAGGCAACCACTAGGGTATATTCTCTGGCCCATCTGACATGATATTAGCCAGTGTCAACGGCAGGGATGAATTCTTTCCTACCATCCCAAGGCACATCGGGCCCCCCGCCTCACACGTGTTCTGCTCACCATGCATCCGCCTGTACGATGGATCCTGGGCCCTCGCCCTCACCATCCCAGCACAAGAGGGAGTCTCATCATAGTGGCTCCTATCCCTTCAGTGTGTACTCTGCCCCACCCGGCATTCTGCTAATTGTTGCATGTGCACGCCTCAGTTTCCCCACAGCTGCCCCATGAGCCCGGTGGAATGATTACCCCCACTTTGAAGGTAACAAGCCTGAGGGACTCAGGCTGAGCAGCTTGCTGAGATGGAACATGAACCCAGGTCCGTGTGACTTCCACACCCGTCTTCCAGGAAATATTTGTGGAATCCATCATTTTATTACATTACAATATTAATCCATACAATAATGGGTTCAACAAATATTTCCTGGGTTCCTCTCGTGGGCTGGCTGAGCTGGGCATAGCATGGTGAGCAGAGCAGGGTGAGTCTCAGCCTTCAGGGAACTTAGAACCAACTGGGCCAATGGACTCGATTTGAAGACTCACACCCGGATGCGGTGCAGCTTCAGATGCAGAGGGCCGTGGAAGAGGCCAGCGGGAGGCTGGAGCCAGCAGGAACCGTGGAGCCTGTTTCAGCAGAGTGGCAGGAAGTGAGGAAGGGAGGCCTGGAGAAGGAGCCAGCCTACCTTCAGGAGTCAAGGGGGCAGGACTTTGCTGGTATGGGGAGGGCCTCGAGCAAGCGTCCAGCCACGCCCCCTCCTCCCCTACTGGGAGAGCCACAGGATGCCCCAAGAGCAAGAGAGCAGGCAGAGCCCTGACAGGATCCAAGTCGAGTCATTAAGAGACTCTCCGCCTGGGTGGATCCACTGTCAGTCTCAGCACCCACCAGCTCCCATCCTCCTCTGGCAAAGGAGAGGTCATCCCCCAGGTCCATGGCTGACGGGGCAGAGGACCGTATTTGTCATCCAGCTCCAGCTCAGATTCTTAGGAAATAACAAAGTAACAAGAGATCAGAGAGGTCTAACTCAGTCAGAGGCGCTGGCAGATTTTAATCAAAAACAGCACAGAAGTTAAAACCTTAACCCAAACCATCCCTGCCAGATAAATTCAGTCTCTCCTGGAAGTTCTTTATAAAGGGTTCTCCATGCACTGCACAGTACACAGTCATCAGTTTCTGTGCTTAAATAATACTCATGGGCTGTGAATCCTTCTTCACCCTAAGCCTAAATCTTCTTTACTGGAATCTAACATGAATACCAGCTTCTCACTATATTTCTATTTGTGAGATAATATATATTTGAAGATGGTAAATTGTTTTCCAATACAAACTTAAAAATTACACCAGTCGCAGTGACTCACATCTGTAATCCCAGCACTTTGGGAGGCTGAGGCAGGAGGATGGCTTGAGGCCAGGAGTTTGAGACCAGCCTGGGCAACATGGCAAAACCCCTTCTCTACTAAAAGTTTTAAAAATTAAAAAATCCGGGCATGGTGGCACACACCTGTAGTCCCATCTACTCAAGAGACTGAGGTGGGAGGATCGCTTGAGCCCAAGAGGTCAAGGCTGCAGTGAGCTATGATCGGGCCATTACACTCCAGCCTGGGAAACAGAATGAGACCCTGTCTCAAACAAACAAACAAACAAACAAACAACTTAAAAATTTTGTGGCTCACACCTACAATCCAGCACTTTGGGGGGCCAAGGCAGGTGGATCATTTGAGGTCAGGAGTTCCAGACCAGCCTGGCCAACATGGTAAAACCCTGTCTCTACTAAAAATACAAAAAAAATTACCTGGGCATGGTGGTGTGCGCCTGTAATCACAGCTAATGGGTAGACTGAGGCAGGAGAATCGCTTGAACCCAGGAGGCCGAGGTTACAGTGAGCTGAGATCACACTACTCCACTCCAGCCGGGGTGACAGAGTGAGACTCTTGTCTCAAAAAAAAAAAAAAAAAAGTAAAAATTAAAGATGACCCTAGAGCTTTGATGTAAAATGGCAGGGTTATCTTAAGCCACTTTGCTCCTTTGGTTCTGTTGGCACTGAGACAGCCAGTGAGGAGGAGCAGGGGCACAGGAAGGAGGGTGCAACTGCAGCACAGCCAAGGAGACAGGGACCAGGTCCCACCCCAGCCTTAAGCAGGGCAAAGACAGGAGCCCAGATGCCCAGGGACCCCTGTGAACCACCCGTCAGCACATCCCAGAAAGGTCCTGAGGACTCCAGAGTCACTCCAGTCCTTCTCACCTACCTTGTCACAAGAACCATCACACACACACACACATACATACTGACTGGCATGAACATTTTGGGGTGTCAGATGTAACAGTGCCAACTGAGGGTAGGCTTGACAGATCTAAATGCTTGTCCCAACTTTGCCCTTTCTAGCTGTGTGACCTTGGACAGGTACCTAACCTCTCTGATGGTTGGTATCCTCTCTGGGAGAATGGGGTGAAGACTCACACAAGACAACCCTCATGGGGTAGTTCTGAGGACCGATGGAGTCATGGAGCCAAAGTGGCTTGTGAACTGGACTAACACGACGTATTAGATTCATGGTTGCCTTAGGTCTGACCCTGAGCAGGAGTCCAAGAGGGACAGGCAGGAGAGGAGAAAGAAGTGAAAGGTGTGGCAGCCCTGGAAATGTCCCTAAGCCCCAAAGCTAGGCACCTTGCTGCTGTTGGGGTCTCTGCCAGGGTCTGAGGTGAACATACATGGTGAAAACAGTCGGGGGTTATCTGGGTCAGGTCCTGGACCTGACACTTTTCATGGGATCATCTCAAAAGAGCACGAGGGCTGGACATGGTGACTCATGTCTGTAATCCCAGCACTTCGGGAGGCCAAGCAGCAGGAGCCTCACTTGGGGTCAGGAGTTCAAGACCAGCCTGGCCAACATGGTGAAACCCCATCTCTACTAAAAATACAAAATTTAGCCGGGCATGGTGGCATGTCCCTGTAGTCTCAGCTACTCAGGAGCCTGAGGCAGGAGAATCGCTTAAACTTGGGAGGTGGAGGTTGCAGTGAGCCAAGATCATCCCATGCACTCCAGCCTGGAGCAACAGAGGGAGACTACGTCTCAAAACAAAACAAAACAAAACAAAAAAAAGCACCAGGAGGCAAGCATTTTGGTTTTCCCATTCTACAGAAGAGGAAACTGGGGCTTGGGGAGGTTCAGTTTTTAGGCTGGGCTGGCATTCCCCTGGGTGCTAATGGCTATGCTGTATGGCTGTGTAGGGGGTACATGGATTCTGCAGGACAGGAAAGCGTTAGAAGCTTCCCCCACGGGGCCAAATTCTCCATTAGACACAGGAGGCACACTGACGCTTTTGGGGCCCCGTGAAAATGTTGGTGGTGGTGGTTTTTTTTTGAGACAGGATCTCATTTTGTCACCCAGGCTGGAGTGGAGCAGTGCAATTGCAGCTCGGTGCACCCTCCAACACCCTGGGCTCCGGTGATCCTCCCACCTCAGGCTCCTGAGTCTGGGACTACAGGAGTGTGCCACCACACCTGGCTAAGTTTTGCATTTTCTTATAGAGATGGGGTTTTGCCATGTTGCCCAGGCTGGTCTTGAATTCCTGGGCTCAAGCAATCCACCCGCCTCGGCCTCCCAAAGTGCTGGAATTACAGGCCTGGCTGAAAATGTTTTAATTTTATTTTATAATCAGAAGAAATGTTGAACAAAATAATAATCAATAGATAATCATGAATCCAGCTTGGGTTATATTCATCTTTATACCAACACAGTTGTATAATATACTTTGTAATATTTTTCTGTGGAGGAAGGGACCCATGAACGCAAAAGGCAGATGTGGCCCTGGTGCCCCAGGGCTCTGTCTCGACATGGGAGAGAAAAGTCAGGAGCTCCTTCTCCCTCTCCCCACCTCACTGCTTCCTCCCAGCCCCTGGTCTGGCTCAGCAATGCCAGGCCAGACCAAGTCCGGCCGACTGAGCCAAAGCCAAAGCCCCAAGGGCAGCCCAGGTCACCCCGGCTTAGCCTGTGGAGCCCCCACCCCACACCCTGTCCCAGGTTCTTCTCCCAGAGCCCCCTGCCATCCCAGCATCCTTGCAGCCCAGAGCTGAGGAAGGGAGTGTTCCGATTCCTGGCAATGCCCAGCTTCCTGTTTTTCTCCAAGTGGATGAGGTCAGGCTGCTGGAAAGGGACATGGGGGCCATTTGTGGGCCAATAGATCCCAGCCGTGTGGATGGACTCAGTGGCTGGGGGAGGAGTGGGGGAGCTGCACTGGGCCCCTGGGCCCCCTACTATCCACCCAGAGGGCCCTCTCTTCCTGATACCCCCGCAGACTCCGGCAGATCCCCACACACCTCTGCAAGGTCTCCTTGTTCTCTCTGACCTCCTGAGCTTCAATTTGCTCATCTGTGACACAGTGAGGGGGCTTCTGCAAGTGCCTGCCTACCTGCTCCGGGGACCTAGGCCAGACTGAGAGTGGGGTGGGAAGGGCTCTGCCAGCCACCGAGCAGTGAGGCTGGTGACGGGAGCTGCAGGAATCACAACTGCGCCCGTTTACCGCACCCCCGCCCTGTGCCAGGCCCTCCCCCTGTGCAGTTTCAGCTTCACATGGCCTTATGAGGATCGACTTCTTATTTCTATTTTGTGACTTAGGAAAATGAGGCTAAATGCCTCACCTATGATCACAGGGATAGGAAATGACCGATATCAGGCCTGTGCCCACACCACAGCCACCTCCCTCCTCACACTGCTGCTGTGGACAGTGCTGTCTCAGAACCTGGTGAATATAGGTTTCCCTCTGGTGGGAGGATCATAGGATCCTGACCCGAGTACATGAGATGTTACTACATGGGGAAGATAAGACGCTTCACCAGACAGGGCCAAAAGACACCAGGGATTACATCTGTAATCCCAGCAACTGGGGAGGCTGAGGTGGGAGGATCACTTGAGGCCAGGAGTTCAAGGCTGCAGTGAGCTATGATCACACCACTACACTCCCGCCTGGGTGACAGAGCAAGACCGTGACTCTTTTTTATTTTATTTTATTTTATTTTTTTAAACGGAGTCTCACTCTGTCGCCCAGGCTGCTGGAGTGCAGTGGTACAATCTCGGCTCACTGCAACCTCTGCCTCCCAGGTTCAAGTGATTCTCCTGCCTCAGCCTCCCGAGTAGCTGGGACTACAGGCCTGCGCTACCACACCCGGCTAATTTTTTTATTTTAGTAGAGACGGGGTTTCACCATGTTGGCCAGGCTGGTTTCAAACTCCTGACCTCAAGTGATCTGCCTGCCTTGGCTTCTCAAAGTGCTGGGATTACAGGCGTGAGCCACCATGCCCAGCCATGACACTGACTCTTAAGAAAAAAAAAGAGCCAACTCACAGCCTTCAGCCTCCCCCCGCCCCCCCAACACACACACACACACACACATACACACACACACACACACACACAACCCACCGTCCATTCAACACGATTCATTGCACACCTTGGGATGTCTTTTGAGAATTCTGCACCCTTCTGGGGTGGCGGAGTCAAACTATTCAAGTTCAAATTCTAGCTCTGCCAGTTACCAGCTCCAAGGCTTTGGGCAAGTTTCATAGCCCACTTTGCCTCAGCCTCCACCGTAGAGTGGGGATAATAACAGCTCTGACCTCCTAGGAATTAAGGCATGCATTAATCAATCATGTCAGATGTCATCATCAGCATCCTCTCCTCCTCCTCCCTCTCAACCCCTCTTGCCTGACTTGGCCTCTCTCTTTTCTTCCACTTGCCTCTGCCCTCTTCTCTCTCCTGTGAACTCCTCCCTCATCCCTTCCAGGCCCTTTCCTGAGATGGAGAGCGGCCACCCAGAAAAAGGAGACTCAGGCCAGGAGTACACGAGGCCATGGCCAAGGGAGGATCCATGTGGAGGAGGCACCCACGAGACAGGGCAGGGCCCCACCCTGCAAAGGGCCCAAGTAAACCGCTCAGCCTCCTTTCCCGCTGAGCCCTCTGGGGTCTGAAAGCAGGGCCTAAGGGTCATTCTCATGCTCACTCTAAGCCCAAGGACTCAGACCCAGCAGACAGAGATCCAAAAGGGAGAACAATAGGCAGCTGAGCCACACAGAAGCTGGCTTTTCATCTGGATGACCTTGAGCATGAACAAGAAATGATGGGGAATGGAGCCTCCCCTGTGCAGCAGAAAGCAAGCCTAGGTCAGCCTGCCCTTCAGCTCAGTGACTTTTGGGATATAGGAAAATAACACAAGAGTTCAATGCCTGATACGTGAGTAGGCGCTCAAGAAATACTTGTTGAATGAATAAATGACTCCACATGGGGGTAAGGTGTTGGAGATGGGAGCAGACAAGGAGTGCTAACAGCCACATTGGCCACACTGAATGTGGACCAAGATGGTAGCTCCCAGGGTAATACCTGCAGCTAACCCTGGCAGAGCACTGCTCTAAATACCTTACCCATGGTGACTGATTACTTCACCTAAAACCCCTTATGATGGTTCTATTATCATCACCCCTGTTTTACAGACAAGGAAACTGAGGCATAGAGACATCAAGAAGCTGGTCCAAGGTTACAGAAACCCAGGCGTTCTGGCCCAGAAGCCATGCTGTTAACCCCTGTGCTCCCCTGCTCTCAATTTTGTTCTGAAGAGGGAATATCCTGAGCTTTCAGCTCATGTGCTTATCTCTCGGTTCAGATACCATGCTTTTGGCTTTCCTGGAGTTTTCTCAGTGTACGTGCTCTACCTGGGCCTCTGTCCGTGGTCTGTTTCTGCTGTTGTTTTACTGCTGTCATCTGCCTTCTCAGCAGATCCATGCTGTTGGCTACCTGGGCTCAAAATCAAAACAATGTCAGCAGTTAGGGGAGAGATGGTGGTGGTTTGCACCAAGACGGAGGTGTTGAAGACAGAGAAAGGGAATGGTTGGGCTCTGTTTTGGAAGTAATAGGGAAAGGACTGCCTGATAGTTTGGATCCATGGGGTGAGAATAATAATGACACCCACCTCACCACAAATTAAAGAATAGAATGCATGGAAAATGAGTGATAGAATGATACGAAGTAGGTGATGTAGCATGTGACAGCCATGACTGGTTCTATAAAGCAAAGAAGCCAGGCATGGTGGTGCACACCTATAATCCCAGCACTTTGGGAAGCTGAGGCAGGAAGATCACTTGAGCCCAGGAGTTTGAGACCAGCCTGGGCAACATAGTGAGACCCCGCCTCTACAAAAAAATCAAAAAACTAGCTGGGCATGGTGATACACACCTGTAGTCCCAGCTACTCGGGAGGCTGAGGTGGGAGGATCCCTTGAACTCAGGAGTTTGAGGCTGCAGCGAGCCATGATGGCACCACTGCACTCCAGCCTGGGCAACAGAGCGAGAACCTGTCTAAAAAAAAAAAAAAAAAGGAAAGGAAACAGGTGAGAGAAAGGAGAGATAGCCATGAAGAGAATGCAGGTTGAGCAAGCCCCGGGCTTGTTCCTATTGCTGGGAGCTTTCTGCCACACCACATTTGTGCAGGATCCCAGCTGAAACTCCCAGCCAGGTGCTCTTGCTGTGGGTACTTGGGCCAGCCCTGCAAACGCCTATTATCTGGACATAATTATCAACAGTGCTTCTGTGGCAGATGCTGGGAAGTGCCACCCAAATCCTTGGCTATTGGCAATGGGAAGATGCCTTCAGCTGTCAGCCTTCTTTGAAGACTGTCTCAACTGAGAACAGCCTCGCCCAAGGTCATACCTCCTTCCAGAGGTAGCCAGTATCCAGTGACTTATCAACATAATGGTATGAAGGCCAGGCCTCCTCACTCCAACTGGAGATGAAGCTGAAGGGCCATCTCAGCCGAAGGTGCCCTGTGGGATTGGCTGAGGCCTTCGTTGAGACTCCATCACATCCCAACATCTCCCTCTGCTCAATCTTGCTTTGGTCCCTTCCTTTTCACAGGTGTTGATCCTCACGGCCTCCTAATCAACTTTCTGCACACTAATCTCCATTTCAGAATCTGCTTCCTGGGGAACTCAACCGGCAACCATCACTTTTACTCCCAAAAGGTGTCCCAGTTAGGATAACAAGTTATACCATCACCCTAGCTCTATGAGACCTACCAAGTCACAGTGTTTGTTACTACTCACTGTAATTACTTATTTAATGACACTAGACTAGGAGCTGGAGGAGGCAGGAAATGTGTAGGTTTCATTCCCAATCATGCAGAACCCAGGGCCTGTCACAGCAGGTGCTCAATAAACATTTGTTGAATGGATGAATAAACCACCTTATCTAAGCATTTAGAGACCAGGGCAGCTCCAGGGAGAGGAGGAGGAGGAGGAAGCTATAAGCAGTGAAAACAAAGCAAGCAGCTGCCAGACAGGTGCGTCCACACCTCCATCCCAATCAACTGCCCTTGCTTGTAGCTCCCCCTTGGTGGGCCTGGCATATGGGGAGGGCTCAGTCAGGCTCCTTCACTCATTCATGTAATATCTATTGAGCCCTTTCCATGTGCCAAGCCCAGTGCAGGAGGCTGGTGTCCAGAGGTGAATCCAACCCAGGCCTCCATCCTCCAGAACCTCACAGTTTAGAAGGGGAGGCACGTGTGCGAACAACAATTATGACATAGTATGAGAAGTCAACAGTATGCCAAGGCTACCCTTGATTTTTATTTTAGCAAGATTTCACCTGCACTGACAGTGGGTGGAGGGAGGAAATGGGATCCCTGGATTTGTCTGCAACCTCAGGAGTGGTTCCAACCCCAAGTCGGTAAGAATCCCACCCCTGCTGGTGTTCCCTGGCTCCCGCCTCCTGCTCCTGATTCCTTCTTCTCCTCCCTTCTACTGAAATTCATCAGTCCTGCAGCCCAGGCCAGGCTCACAGTGCTTTCCAAGGTGGCAACCACCTAATCATATTAATAAAAATGGCTGTGGGGCCAGTTGTTCCCTCCTATGTAAAGTTCATGTTTTAGAGATGGCTTTCCAGAGATCATGGCCTTGGTTTTGTTGCCTACTCCAGACCAAGTGGGCAGACAGCTTGATGCTGGGTGGGAAGAGAACCTGACTTGTAGACTTGCCCAACCTCTGCTCAGCAGGCAGGCAGCAAGTCACCCAAGTGGGTGAGATTCCCAGGAATCTCAGCTCAGTTCCTGGAGGAAATCTGGAGCCAGTTTGGGGAGCTGGCAGTGCCCAGGAGAGCTGGCAGGCCCAGCCACCTCTCTACCCACCCTCCTCACCTCCCATTCTCATCTCCTGTTAGTCAGAAGGGGCCTTGGCTGCCACAGGAAGCTCACCCACAAAGCAGAATTCCAGGAACTCCAGGCTGAGCAGACTCCTGGCTGCTTTCTCAGTTCCTTTTTGCTTCTTAAAGGTCTCTGGTGCCAGAGCTCAGCCCCCTGACCTTCCAGGCAGAACCCTGGCTGGTTGTCTCTGCACTGCTCCCTCCCTCCCCCACAATTACACTTCTCCCTTCTTGGGGCTTCTGAGACTCCTAGAAGGTCACCGCTGGAAAGGACCGTATAGATAGCAAAAGAGGAAGCTGCGAGGCCCTAAGGAGAGCCTCTATCTAACCGCTCCCACCTGCCAGAGTCCCCAGCCTCCACAAGTGTAGTCATTAATTGGGCCCCAAGTGGTGTGGGCCACTCTTTTGTCCCTGGACCCTTTCTGTAGGTGATGACATAAAAAGATTTAACTGCCTTACAAAAGGGTAGTGGGGGTGGATGCCAGTAACTCATCACATAGCCCAGGATATGAAGGGAAAAAGCAGAGCCCGCCATCTGCAAATTATATGCCAATTATACAATGGGGTAGTATGCAGTCTTTGCAAGGAATAAGGCAGCTCTATATGTACTACGTGGACCTCTAGTGCACAGAGGATACAGAAGTTTCTAGAAGAATGAAGGTATACCTGGAGGGGCTGCTAACTCAAGCGTCTGAGTGCCAAGTAATGGGAACATTGAGTGGAGGAGACTCCAGGCAAGAATTTGTCCCGTAATTAGGATGACGCAGCAGGCTTGGGCAAGTGTATGTAAGTGCCATTTGGGAGCAGGATCACTTTATCCCCTTTCCACTCCCCCACTGCCACTCCTCTCCCTCGAGCCACAGAGAAGAGCCCTAGGTAGGATGGACTGTGTCCTGCCTTCTTGCAAAATGTCTATCCATTTATTTCTTCACTTATTTCTTCAGCAAAGACGTTTGAAGACCTGCTGCAGACACTGATGGCACAAATGTAATCAAGATAGATGTGGTGTCTGTCCTCATGGGGTGCACACAGTCTGATGGAGACAATTAATGCCATGTAGTGTGGGATAAAGTGTCAGGTGAGCAGAGAAAAAAAGAAGGTTCTAAGGGAGCACAGATGATGCCCCATCAGTGAGAGCTGGGTACAAGGGAGAAAGTCGAGTCCTGCCTAACCTAGGGGATGACAATGGGTTGGTCAAATGACAGTACCTCAGGCTCAGAGAGGTTAATTATCACCAAGATCACATATCTAATAAGTGATAGTCACCAACTCAACTGCCCATCTGTATAGACTGACTGGGTTGGAATCTTGACTTTGCCATTTTCTTTTCTTTTTATTTTTTTTTGAGACAGAGTCACCCAGGCTGGAGTGCAATGGTGTCATCTTGGTTCACTGCAACCTTCCCCTCCCAGGTTCAAGAGATTCTCCCACCTCAGCCTCCCAAGTAGCTGTGATTACAGGCACGCACCACCGAGCCTGGCTAATTTTTGTATTATTAGTAGAGACAGGGTTTCACCATGTTGCCCAGGCTGGTATTGAACTCCTGGCCTCAAGTGATCCACCCATCTCAGCCTTCCAAAGTGCTGGGATTACAGGCGTGAACCACCATGCCCAGCCACCATTTTCTTTTTTGATTTATTTTATTTTAAATTTTTTGCAGAGACGAGGTCTCACTCTATTGCCCAGGCTGGTCTTGAACTCCTGGGCTCAAGCAATCCTCTCGCCTTGGCCTCCCAAAGTGTTGGGATAACAGGTGCGAGGCACCATGTCTGGCTGACTTTGCCAATTTCTAGCTTAGTGCCCTTGGGTAAGTACTCTGTACCTCAATTTCCTCATTTGCAAAATGGGGATATAAGAAAACCTGCCTCACTGGGCTCCTTGGAAAAAGTAAATGCATTAGTACAGCTATTCTCAAAGTATGGTCCTGGGACCCCCTGGAAGTCCCCAGGACTCTTTCAGGGGGTCCATGAGGTCAAAACTATTTCCATAGTAATGCTAAGACATTATTTACCTTTAGTGCTCTTTTGTGGAGTTTTCCAAAGACCACGTGATATAGGACATCACAACTGATTGAATGGAGATCTATGAATGCCGCTGTCTTCCATTAAGCTAGATTAAAGGGATTTGCAAAATATAAAACAATGCCACTGTCTTCAGTAATTATTTTTTATTTTTCTAAATAGTTATTTTCAAAAAGAATGTTTATATTCATATGTAATGGGTTATTAGTATTTTTAGTGAAGGCATTTTTTTAAATTTATGAGTTTTAATTTCCAGTACTGTAAATATCAATAAAAATTCCAGCGGTGCACAGTCTGCTTGCACTGGCTTGGGAAAGTTGACTGTACATATCTCTTCCCATTTCACATTCAGTGATGTTAGGTTGGTATCTTGAAATCGGCCACGGTGGGCCAGGCACGGTGGCTCACGCCTGTAATCCCAGCACTTTGGGAGGCCGAGGCGGGTGGATCACCTGAGGTCTGGGGTTCAAGATGCCTGTAGTTCCAGCTACTCAGAAGCCTGAGGCAGGAGAATCTCTTGAACCCGGGAGGCAGAGGTTGCAGTGAGCCAAGATTGCACCACTGCACTCCAGCCTGGGCAACAGAACAAGATTCCGTCTCAAAAAAAAAAAAAAACAAAAACAAAAAAGAAAGAAAGAAAAAGAAATTGGCCATGGTGGAAGTATTTACACTATGGAAATTGGTAAGTGCTACAAATTAGGACTTTTCAGCAGAGAACCAATTGTTAAACATGTACCATCACACCATCGGATATCATCTATAAAAACAAAAGCTCTTTGGAGTCCTCAAAAAAATTTATGAACAAGCCAAAAAGCTTGAGAACCGCTGAGCTGGTACTTATAAAAATGTTTAAGTCAGGCCGGGCAAGGTGGCTCATGCCTGTAATCCCAGCCCTTTGGGAGGCTGAGGCGGGCAGATCATGAGGTCAGGAGTTCAAGACCAGCCTGGCCAACATGGTGAAACCCCACCTCTACTAAAAATACAAAAAATTAGCTGGGCATTGTGGCAGGTGCCTGTAATCCCAGCTACTCGGAAGCCTGAGGCAGGAGAATCGCTTGAACCCAAGAGGCGGAGGTTGCAGTGAGCCAAGACTGTGCCACAGCACTCCAGGCTGGGCAACGGAGCGAGATTCCATCTCAAAAAAAAAAAAAAAAGTTTAAGTCAGGGCCTGGTACATGGTAGGTCCTCAGTCATTAATTGAGAGCTCCACTAGATTTCAAAACTCAAGGACTTGCCCTCTAATGGATGGCCTTACTTTTTGTTGTCTCTTATTTCTCAGGCTCCCAGGTGCTCCTTCAGTTGCCTTGGAGCCCTGCGTGCTCCCACCTACTCCCTCTCCATTCAGCTGCGGTCCCTCTTACTGCCCACCTCAAATGTACTCTGCCCAGGGCCCAGAGGTATCACCCACTCTCCGACCTGTGCCGCAGAGAAAGCCAACAACCACAGCTAGAGACTTACTACCACCTACTTGACCTAAAGAACACATTTGTGAAATGCCCCTTGTTTACCTTTCCAACCACCAAGCTAATTGTTTGTGTCTTTAGCTAACAAGTTGTGGGTGATTACAGCCCCACTTGTGGTTATGGGCACTGTTCAGAAGCTTCTGGCTTTGAGATCTCCTCGAAGGCTTACTTGGTCTTGGTTGTTTCATCATATTATATTTTTAGAGAATTACAGGGCAAGCCTCAGCCAGATTACGAAAATCTGACTAAGGGTGTTGCATCAAGGTCCCCAGCAGGAGCATCTCCAACCCCCTCCAGAGCCAGCAATGACAAAGAGAGCGGGGCCTTTGGGGGATTCAAAGTGAAAGAGATCTTCTAAGAGAATGCAAATTGGTGACAGTTCATGAAAGCAAAACAAAGCGCCCGGCGCGGTGGCTCACGCCTGTAATCCCAACACTTTGGGAGCCCAAGGCGGACGGATCACAAGGTTAGGAGTTCGAGACTAGCCTGGTCAACATGGCGAAACCCCATCTCTACTAAAAATACAAAAATTAGCAAGGCTTGGTGGCATGCACCTGTAATCCCAGCTACTCGGGAGTCTCAGGCAGGAGAATCACTTGAACCTGGGAGACAGAGGTTGTGGTGAGCCGAGATCACGCCACTGCACTCCAGCCTGGTGGCAGAGCGAGACTCCATCTCAAAAAAAAAAAAAAAAAACCCACAAAGCAAAATTTTCATGACCAGGAACTCCAGGAAATCTAAGTATAAGAATCACCAAATAAGTAGTAAACAATAATAAATGATAAGCAAATCAGCTGCCTAGGAAGAATTATGGAGGTGAGAATGTTTCAACATGAAAGATGAGTGAAGATACAAAAATAAACATAAAATACAATATAATAAGCCTAGCCTTTTCTCCTTGCTTTGTTTAATTTGATGATTTCCTAACCTCACTCATTTGACTATCACCTTTGTGGGTTTTTTCCACATCTGAATTCCACCTATGTTATTAATTTACTTAACATTCTTCTCTATATTGACTCATTTTTTTTTTACTTAAATTATTTTGAGGCTGGGCACGGTGGTTCATGCCTGTAATCCCAGCACTTTGGGAGGCTGAGGTGGGAGGATTGCTTGAATCCAGTTGTTGGAGACCAGCCTGGGCAACATAGTGAGACCCTGTCTCTACAAAAAATAAACAAAATTAGCCAGGCATGGTGGTGCATGCCTGTAGTCCCAGCTACTTGGGAGGCTGAGATGGGAGGATTGTTTGAGCCCAGGAAGTTGAGGCTGCAGTGAGGCATGATGGTGCCACTGCACTCCAGCTTGGGTGACAGAGAGAGACCTTGCCTCAAAAAAATAAAATAAAATAAAAAATAAGTTTAAAAAATTATTTTGAAAGGAACCTGCGTATTTTAAAGGGAACCTTCATATTTTGACTATAGATGGAAAATCAATAACATTTGCTATATAGAAATAAATCCAGTAACAACCAAACATTGTTATTCAACTCTAGCTAGGCTCTGTGGTCTGTCATACACTCTAAACCTAAGGCCAGCACTTTCTGTCTTAAAGAAATTTACAAGTGTCAGAGAGAGATACATTAAAGACATATCGGCACTCAGCGAGGTGCGGTGGCTCATGCCTGTAATCCCAGTACTTTGGGAGGCCGAGGCCGGTGGATCACTTGAGGTCAGGAGTTCGAGACCAGCCTGTCCAAAATGGTGAAACCCCATCTCTACCAAAAATACAAAAATTAGCTGGGCTTGGTGGCACACACACCTGTAATCCCAGCTACTCGGGAGGCAGAGGCAGGAAAATCACTTGAACCCGGGAAGGTGGAGGTTGTAGTGAGCCGAGATTGCACCACTGCACTCCAGCCTGGACAACAGAGCGAGACTCAGTCTCAAAAAAAAAAAAAAAAAAAAAAAAAAAAGACACATTGGCACCAAAGTGAGACTTTCTACTTGACTTAATTAGAAGAATTGAAAGTGTGACCCACTTCTAGTAGTTAATCCTATGGCTATTCTCCACTACAGAATGGCAGCTCCATGATGCAGGGACTCCATCTATTGTGTTCACTGCTCTGCCTCTGGTGCCTAGACCTGACCTGGTGCATAGTAGGTGTTCGGAAAATATTTGTGGAACGCATGGATTAACTAATATGCAAAATGAAATACATATAAGGATATTTATTGCAACAATTCTTATAATGGTTGGAAATGGTTGGAAACAAGTCTATCAACAGTGAACTGGGTAAATTATATACCAGTCATACAGTTGAATAGCATGAGTCTTTATAAAAGAAGGAGGCAGTTCTATATGTATGATGTGGAACCCACTGATAAGTGAGATAGGCAAGGTACAGGGCAGTTGTGGATAGTATGCTTCCATTAACTTTTTAGAAAGAGGCTATAGGAATGTATCGTTTGCACATGCTGAAGTACATCTGGAAAAATACACAAGGAACTGGTAAGAATGATTGCTTCGTCTACTGCCATACCACCCTGAACACGCCCGATCTCATCTGATCTTGGAAGCTAAGCAGGGTCAGGCCTGGTTGGTACCTGGATGGGAGAATGGTTGCTTCAAAAGAGCCTGGGGGCCAAGCACAGTGGCTCATGCCTGTAATCCCAGCACTCTGGGAGGCCGAGATGGGCGGATCACCAGAAGTCAGGAGTTCAAGACCAGCATGGCCAACACGGTGAAACCCCATCTCTACTAAAAATACAAAAATTAGCTGGGCCTGGTGGTGGATGCCTGTAATCTCAGCTACTTGGGAGGCTGAGGCAGGAGAAGCACTTGAACCCGGGAGGCAGAGGTTGCAGTGAGCCAAGACTGAGCCACTGCACTCCAGCCTGGGCAACAGAGCAAGACTCCATCTCAAAAAAAAAAAAAAAAGAAAAGAAAAGAAAAGAAAAAGAAAAAAAGAGCCTGGGGCCAGAGGTGGGAGAAGCATGCTCTTTTGGAATTTGTACAAACCGCATGCATCAATTATTCAAGAAATAGACAAATCTAAAAAAGAATTAGAGAATAACTAGCTCAGCATGAGATCCAATGTTTCTTAGAGCTGTGGGCCACCACACATCATCTAGTGCACCCCTCGGGAACCACATGCCTCCCTTTGGGGAACTGTGATTTATAGTAAAGCTCTGTCCAGATGGCACGGATTGCGTGAAAGCATTCTTGTCTCTACAGACAGACATCTGCTCTAATCTCTGCATCTTAACACCTGGGTTTTCCCTCTACCTAATTTGAGCATCCTTTATCTGAATCGGGTGAAATATATCTTGGTCCTGATCAAGACTTCTTGTGATTAGCACAAGGAGTCACGTAATCCTTGACTGACATTTCCGGCATCCTCTCTAGCCCATGAAGTCACTCATCTCCTTCCACAGCTTTCCCAGGTGAGATTCCCTTTCTCAGAAAACAGGAGTAGCTCTCTCTACTCATGTAGGCTACAGACCTTCTTTACTGTTTCCATGTGTTACACAATCCCTAATGAGCATAAGCTTATTACATTTTTTTTTTTGAGATGGAGTCTCACTCTGTCGCCCAGGCTGGAGTGTAGTAGCTTGTGATCTCGGCTCACTGCAACCTCCATCTCCCGGGTTCAAGCGATTCTCCTGCCTCAGCCTCCCGAGTAGCTAGGATTACAGGCATGCGCCACCATACCCAGCTAATTTTTGTATTTTTAGTAGAGACGGTGTTTCAACATGTTGGCCAGGATGGTCTCGATCTCTTGACCTCGTGATCCGCCCGCCTCGGCCTCCCAAAGTGCTGGGATTACAGGTGTGAGCCACTGCACCTGGCCAGCTTATTACATTTAAGGCTTTTGCCGCAGTGTAATTTCATCCTGGGGCTACTTTTCGCTGTTGGGAATTCTCAAGCTGGCTAAATTTTACAACTCTTAACTGTACCAGTCAGTATTGCATGTCACAGAAACCCAGCTGCAGTGGCTTCATCACATGCCAGAAGCTGAAGGTCAGCAGTCCCCAGGAGGTGGGCAGTCCCTGGCTGCATGACGGTTCCATGAGTCTATTGGGGACTCAGAGCCTAGCTTTCTGCTCTGCCATCGTAGAATTCTTATGCTCAAACACTGGCTGCTACACCTCCAAGCACTGGGTGTGCATTCCAAACTAAAGAAAGGGGATAAGGCCAAGGGCAACAGACAAAAGGGCTTGTGCCAGCTAGGTCTGTCCCCCAGCTTTCCCAGAAGCTCCATCCAGAGACTTCCATGTACATCTCACTGGCCAGAATTACATCAAATAACCACCCTAGCTGTAAGAGAGTCGGGGAAGCATTTCACACTGGGCAGGTCACCACTATGAATAAAATCCGGGTTCCAATCAAAAAAGGAGAGATTGGATATCCCCCTCTGAGCAAAAGATATTATGTTATTTTATTGTTTTATTTTATTTTTTTTGAGATGGAGTCTTTCTCTGTCGCCCGGGCTGGAGTGCAATGGCACGATCTTGGCTCACTGCAACCTCCGCCTCCCGGGTTCAAGCGATTCTCCTGCCTCAGCCTCCCAAGCAGCTGGGATTACAGGTGCATGCCACCACGCCCAGCTAATTTTGTATTTTTAGTAGAGACGGGGTTTCACCATGTTGGCCAGGCTGGTCTCCAACTCTGGACCTCAAGTGATCCACCTGCCTCGGCCGCCCAAAGTGCTGGGATTACAGGCATAAGCCACTGCACCCAGCTAAGATATTATTTTAAACCAATTCTATTAGCTGTTAGTATGCATGGCTAATCCACCCTAGGAGAATGCATACTTCTGGAGGGCAGTAATGCCTTTTTTCATGTTTATATCTTTCACGCTTCTACTGAAGGGTTGAAACTGAACATGAGACATATTTGGAGGCAACAGTGGGGGAGTAAGGTTAGATACTAAGATGGAACAGGCTTCTGAAGTGGTCAACAAGGAGCCACAGAAGGTTCTATTTGTATTTTTTATTTTTTGAGACAGAGTCTTGCTCTGTCACCCAGGCTGGAGTGCAGTGGCACGATCTTGGCTCACTGCAACCTCTGCCTCCCAGGTTCAAGCAATTCTCCCGCCTCAGCCTCCCAGGTAGCTAGGATTACAGGCGCCCACCACCACGCCTGGCTAATTTTTGTATTTTTAGCAGAGATGGGGTTTCACCATGTTGGCCAGACTGGTCTCGAACTCCTGACCTCAAGTGATCTGCCCGCCTCAGCCTCCCAAAGTGCTGGGATTACAGGGGTGAACCACTGTGCCCAGCCCACAGGAGGTTCTTGATCTGAAGAATGGTTTTGGAGCCACTTCAGGTCAACATACATTTACCAAATACCAACTCACCATTTGGTGATTACAAGCTGCCATCAAGGTGCATACTGTCTGTTAAGAGAGATAAAGTAGGCAGATACATAGCTGGGCTAAGTGGTGCTTGGAGAGGAGGCGTTTCATCAGGAACTTGATGGATGGGTATGATTTGACAGGCAGAGGCAGAGGGGTGCATTTCAGTCCACAGGGCAGCCTTGGGTCAGGATGTACAGACAGGTGGTTTGGGTCAATGGTAAGTAGTACAGAGGGTGCCCACAGGGAAGCTGTGAAAAGTAAGACCAAAAGAGGTGAGTTGGGGCTAGACTGTGAGGCCCTTGTGAGCCAGATAACAAGCTTGTACTTCATCAGTAGGCAATGGGGAGCCATTGAAAGTTTTGGGCAAGGGAGTGACAGACAGTGTAGGAGGGATTGGAATATAAATGACAGGAAGCAAGAGGAAAGGCTGACATACTACAAGGGCATCATCAGAAAGGGGAGACAAAGGGAAGCCACAGACAGAGGTATAATGGAGAGAGCATCAACATGGCTTGGCATGAGACAGCAAGAAGAGGCGGGTGATGGAGACTCCCGGGGTTGGCGGTGAGGTCATTAACAGAGAGGGGTGGCCAAGGAACAGGTTTGGGGAACAGTGCAAAGCTGGAGATGCCAGATGGCTAGAAGGTGGAAATACTCTATGGGCCCCTGGAAACTCTGGTTTGGAGCCCAGGATCACGGTCAGAACTGAAGGTGTTAATCTGGCAGTCAACAGCAAAGAGAGGACAATTGAGAGAGCCAGGGCAGCCCAGATACACTATGTCCAAAGCTGGCGCTCCTCTTCTTCTTCCAGAATCCTCTCTTCTCCTGCGGCTCCCAACCTCTGCAGCCTCAACCTCCACCTCCCAGGTCAAGCGATTCTCCTGCCTCAGCCTCCTGAGTAGCTGGGATTACACACGTCAGCCACCACGCCTGGCTAATTTTTGTATTTTTAGTAGAGACGGGGTTTCTCCATGTTGGCCAGGCTGATCCCAAACTCCTGACCTCAAGTGATCTGCCCGCCTTGGCCTCCCAAAGTGTTGGGATTACAGGCATGAGCCACTGCACCTGGCCTCCCTCTCCAATTCTTAACAATTGAGACCCTCCAAGTTTCAGGCCTAAGCCCCTCATTTCTCTACACTCTCTCCCTTGGAGTCCTCATCCACTACTGGCTGTATTGAATCATTCAACAAACAGTAGTTGAGCACCTATTTGGTGCCAGGCACTTGACTAGGCCCTGGTGCCGGAGAGAGATGAATGAGTCATGAGGCCTGGCCTCAACAGGGGAGATGGACATGGTAACGATAGATGTGGAGGGTAGAAGGAATCCCTGCGCTGGTCCCGGGCTGTGTGCTCCCCCATCCAGCCCTCACCTGCTCTGCTCTGCATTGCAAGTGACTGACCCCTCTAGGCTCCCAGGCCAGTAAGAGGCTCTGGCAGGAAACCCAAAGGTAGAAGGGAAGGAGAATGCAGGGATTTCTCCCCATCCCTCTCAGTCTTAGTGGTATCTGTGGAAGTGGTTGTGTCTTCTCTATGGTTTCAACTTCTTCCAAGTGACCCCAGTCCCAGCCTTTGATTACACTGCCCCAGTCCAGTCCCTCCAACCCAGGGGTCGCAGCTGGATTCCTGGTTACTTCCCCCATTGTCTGAAGAACTTCTCCATCCTTTCATCCCCTATGTAACCAATTTCCTGCATTCAATTCTATGTTTATTCTGTTTAAAAACTCAGAGGCCAGGCGAGGTGGCTCACACCTATAATCCCAGCACTTCGGGAGGCCGAGGCGGGTGGATCACCTGAGGTCAAGAGTTCAAGACCAGCCTGGCCAACATGGTGAAACCCCGTCTCTACTAAAAATACAAAAGAATTAGCCGAGTGTGGTGGCAGGCGCCTGTAATCCCAGCTACTCAGGAGGCTGAGACAGGAGAATTGCTTGAACCCGGGAGGTGGAGGTTGCAGTGAGTCAAGATCATGCCACTGCACTCCAGCGTGGGTGACAGAGTGAGACTTCATCTCAAAAATAAATAAATAAATAAAATAAAAATAAAAATTCAGAATGAGGCTGGGCTTAGAGGCTCATGCCTGTAATCCCAGTGCTTTGGGAGGCCAAGGCGGGAGAATCGTTTGAGGCCAGGAGATCAAGATCAGCCTGGGCAACACAGGGAGACCCCTACCTCTATCAAAATTAAAAAAAAAAAAACCCTCAAAATGGGTCCTGTTTTCCTGGCTGGATCCTACCTGACATGATACAGTCTCCCCATCTTCTTGCCACACTTGCAGTGGCTTAAGTCCTCATCTGTTGCTACCTGTTCAAGGAAGCTCCCTAAGGGCAGGGACTGGTCTGGAGGTTCCATGCTTCCTACCCAGAGCCTGACACAGAGGAGCTCAGTGCATCACATTTGTGGCTGGCTGCAGATAAGAAACTGAGACAAGGTCATCTACTAGGAGGCAGTTCATGGAGAGAAGGGCTGGTGAGCAGAAACCAGGCTGTAAGGAGCCCACTTGGGTGGGAGATGAAGCAGACTTTCAAGAAGTTTGGGAGTGAAGGGGGAAAGAAGGCTGGGCTAACAGTGCAGGGGAAAGCCAGAACTAGCAAGGTTTTGTTTGTTTGTTGTTTTTAGGGTGTCCTCGGCTTGACCTCATTTGTAGGTTGAAAGGAAGAAGCGAAAGGAGGGAGATATCGAAGGGCAGGAGATGCTGGGACATTGGGAGTGGAATGACAGGACCTATGCGATCTCTTAGGAAGATTCAATTCACCAGAAGGCTTGAGGATAGTGTGGAGAGGAGACTAGAGGTAAGCAGGTGAGTCTGGAGGGGAAAATCTCCAAATCAGGAAATGAGAAGAATTTGTGTCAAGCCAGGGCACCCTAAGAAGGCTCCAAAGTTGGGAGAGGAGGCTAGATCTCTGGAAGGTGTGCCCAGGACCTGTTCTTGTAAGGTCATCTTTGCCCAGTACCCTCCAGAGTCCCCTACCAGCCCTCACCTCCATTCTTTGCTGAAATTGGCACTCCTCTCCCCCTCACCCACATCGCCATGGCCCCTCCTCTTCTACAGCAGCTCTGTGGTTTGTGGTGCCCCCTGCCATCTCCCTATGTGGGGTTGGTTTGGTGGGCAGCAGGCACAGGCCAGAACCAGCACACAGTGGTGTGCCAGCAGGTGTTTAACAACCAACTCAGGATGGGTAGCCCTGATTTATACTGTTTGCCAACTTCCATGGTATAAATACTCCCAACATGTCCAATTTCAAGCTACCAATATGAGATCACTGATCACAAAATAGCTAGAGAGAATGGATCACACTTTGCCTGCATCCATTTATCCATTTCCCCTCCTGCCTCCCTGGCCTCTCCATAGACCTCAGCTAACAGCAGCAGTAGGGCAGGTCCAAGCTGGGGAGGGCAGCAACAGCACTGTGGCTGCAACTTCAGGCAGTCCCGACAGGGAAAGGAAAACTGCTCTCCTCCAGGAACATCCACCCTACAGTCCCCAGTCATCTCTTATCTCAGCCTCACATCTGAATTCTCAAGTGTAACTTCAGAATCTCACAGTAATTTGGGGCCTGAAATCCACATTCAGATGACTCATCAGCCACTTTCTCACTGGACATGGCTCAGCACCATAAACCATGCTGACTAAGGCAATAAAAACCAGAATATAATTTCCTTTCTTCCAAGGCAAACAGAAAAGGAAAAATGATCCAAGGATAGCATTCCTTCACTGATTTACTCACTCTTCAGCACTGTCCTAGAGAACTGATGGGCAATTGGCTCCCTGAACCCTGAAGTCTCTCTGCAGAGTCCGGCATGCAGGAGGGCAGGGGCTCTGAAGTCAGACATGGTTTGAATCCTGGGTCTCCTGTTACAGCAAAGTGACACTGGGAAAGTTACTTCTGTCTGAGCTTCAGTTTGCTCATCAGTGAAATGGGGACAGTAATACTACCTATTCAATGGGGTCAGACTGTAGGGGTTTTCAACCGGGGGCAATTTTGCTTCCTTGGTGACATCTAGCAATGTCCAGAGACATTTATTGTCACATTGGGTGGATGAGGGAGTGCTATAGGTATGTAGTAGACAGAGGCCAGGAAAGCTTTTAAACATCCTGCAATGCACAAGACAGCCCTGATGTGGTTTGGCTGTGGCCCCACCCAAATCTCACATTGAGGCCAGGCGCAGTGGCTCATGCCTATAATTCCAGCACTTTGGGAGGTTGAGGTGGGTGGATCACTTGAGTTCAAGACCTGCCTGGCTGACGTAGCAAAACCCCATCTCTACTAAAAATATAAAAATTAGCCGGGCATGGTGGTGCACACCTATAGTCCCAGCTACTCAGGAGGCTGAGGCACGAGAATCACTTGAACCCAAGAGGAGGAGGATGCAGTGAGCTGAGGTCGCGCCACTGCACTCCAGCCTGGGTGACACAGGGAGACTCCATCTCAAAAAAAAAAAAAAAAAAAAAAAATCTCATCTTGTAGCTCCCACAATTCCGTGTTGTGCAAGGGACCCAGTGGGAGATAATTGAATCACTGGAGCAGTTTCTCCCATACTGTTCTCATGGTAGTGCGTAAGTCTCATGAAATCTGATGTTTTTGTAAGGGTTTCCCCTTCACTTGGCTCTCATCATTCTCTCTTGTCTGCTGTCATGTAAGACATGCCTTTTGCCTTCTGCCATGATTGTGAGGCCTCCCCAGCCACATGGAACTGTGACTCCATTACACCTCTTTCCTTTATAAATTACCCCATCTCAGCTATGTCTTTATCAGCAGCGTGAAAACAGGCGAATACAAGCCCCGTCCCCCAACAATGAATTATCCAACCCCAAATGTCTATAGTGCCAGGCTGAGAAACCCTGGCCTAGAGGGAACATTCAGTGAGGTTATGCACATGAAGTACTCTAAGTCTATCTGGCTTACTTTTTGTAAAGTATCAGAAAACAAGCTGCGATTCTTTCGGAATAGCACAGTCTTAACGCTATTTCCAGACCTGAAATGGATGGGGTGTGAGAACCCTTGAGTACTGAGAACCTAGTTCACTGCTCCAGGTGTGAGTCATCCTGTAAATGTCAATTTCTTGTATTTAAAGCAGAGCTGAGGCTGCACAAGTGACTCAAGGCCAGAAGCTTTCCCAGGTTGTCTTGACTTAAGCTTGGAGGAAGTAATCTCGTCCCGAAGCTCTCCTTCCAGAGGGTGCAAGCATTTCAAGACTCAGAGACACCACACTGCTCACTCTGGGTAGGTGTATTGTTTCTCACCTCACCCACACACAGTGGGGCTTGGAAAGACCTCAGAAAAGTAGCTGAAACGGAGAGGCCTTGCTTATCCCGAATATCTTCCTTACCAGTGTTTAGTGGTTTGCTCCTCCCCTGCAACCTGATGTGACATTCCTTCTCCAGAGTTACAGTTTTGAGTCAACACAGTTCACTGTCTCTGATTAATACACATTAATGTTCAGGGACGGACTTAAAGACAGATCATCTTGATGGGGTAGGTGGGAGTGTACAGGGGACCCAGGACCAGAGGTGTCAAGGGAACCTGGGCAAAGTACAGAGACACTGGGTGTTTTAAAGAAGGAATAGTGAAAGAGAGAGAAGGCAAAGGCAAGCCAGGGAGTGTCTGCAGACTCTGGAGGTGTGCCCACATCTTTCCTGAGAAGTGGTGTGCCCAGAGGCAAACAGGTGGTGGGAGAGGCAATAAGGGCATCCAAGATTGCCGATACCAACCTGTACATCTGGCCAAGCTCTGCCTTTCCCTGAGTCACTGAAATGCAAAACCCTAGGGGTGGAAAGAGATTTGGGGGCCACCAGTCCAGCTTCTTTCTTGTCTGCCATCTCCCAGCTAGTCAGTGGCAGAGCCAGGGTGGGCGCCAGAGACTGTTTGGCTCTAAAGCACGGACTCTACGGGAGCCACAACCTCAAATGCTCCAGGGGCCAGACAGGTGACATAAGGTTAGATGGTTGGGTGGCGGGAACTGTAAGGAACCGCAGGCTCTGCTCTAAGGCATTCAAATTCAAATTTAAAAAAATATTGGGCCAGCCAAACAAAGCATATTTCTGGCCTGGGTGAGTGAATGAGGCCCTCAGGTTGTGAGTTTTTGACCACTGCCTAAATAAATGGTCTTCCCTATTCCCCAGCAGAGATGACTGTTTGGCACAGATATCCAGAAAGAAGAGTTCAGCTTCGGACTGTCTGCAAAGTAGTCTCAAGCAGATGGTGGTCTTTGCTCAAACACTTCCAGAGATGGGGTGTTCCTTACTTTTCAAGACAGCCTTGGGTGGGGCCTGCCTATCCCCGGACTAGAGCCACTCACCACACCTACCATGGACCCTTCATGGAAGTGGGATGCCCAGGGTAGGAGTACATCTTTTATTTTGCAATAAAAAAAAAAGTTTGGATTTTTTTTTTAAAGGACTGCCTCACTCTGTTACCCAGGCTGGAGTGCAGTGGCACGATCATGGCTCACTGTAACCTCAGACTCTCAGCCTCCCCTCTAGCTGGGACTGCAAGTGCAAACTACCACGCCTGGCTATTCTTTTATTTTTTTGCAAGGACGAGGTCCTTGCTATATTGCCCAGGATGTTCTCCAACTCCTGGCCTCAAGCGATCCTCCTGCCTTTGCCTCCCAAAAGCGCTGGGATTACAGGAGTGAGCCACCGTGCCTGGCCTGGAATTTATTACAAATAAAATACAAGCTCAGTGTGGAAACACTAGATAATACAGAGGGGCAAAAGTTAGAAAAAGTTTCTATACCTTCCCTACTCCCCACCCCCGACCCCCATTCAGAAAGAAGCACTGTTGACACTTCAATGCATATTCTGAACTCCAGGTCCTTTCTTTGCATACATCAAGCTCTCATCCTCTTGCTGGCTCTGTGGTCTGCAAACCCAGAGAGCAGATGCTTTGCTCAGCGCTCGTACCACGCCACGCACCCACATGCTCTCTTTGTACCTGGGTTTCAACCCACAGGTCGGGCCCCTGTAAGCCCTTGGCTCCCCAAGCTTCTCGAGGGCAGGCACTGTAACCTTCTTTACTCATTCCAGGGATTCTACAGGACCAGGCACACGGTAAGAGCTCAATAAAAACGTCTCTACCCCCACCACCTCCCGCCTCAGCCGCCACCGCTTGGCAGCAGAGAGGAAGCGGAACGCGCGCGACCCACGAGGGAGAGCGCCTCGCTGTCTCCAAGGTAACCGAAGTCAGTGGCAGGGAGTGCCCACGCATGCGCACACTCGCCCTTCCTTCCCGTAACCTCGAGAACGCAGCTGGTAAGACTGCCAGAAGCCGAGGGCGCATGTGTGGTTCCACCAACACCCTAGTCGCCTCCGCCTTCTGTCAGTCCGCCCGCCCAGCGATCTCCCTTCTACAAACATCGTCCGGAAATAGTGCCCATTTCTGGAAACCAGGCCTCGTTAACCAATCGTTGCTAGGGAGCGGGAAGACGGGCTTGCCGGGACGACCGTCTCATTGGTTGGCGTAGGGGAGTGGGCGGGGCCACGGGTCGCGGTGCGGCCAAAGAAAGGAGGCGCGAAGCGAGGCAAAGTTACAGCCTCCGGGGGAGGCGTGGCCCCGGGGGCGGCCGAGAAGGCGAGGGGGCGGAGCCCGGGACCGGGGCGGGGCGACCACGGGCCGGGAGCTCAGCGGTCGGCGGCCGGCGGCGGGAGATCGCGGGCGAGCGGAGCGCAACACTCGCTTGGTTGGGGAGATCGGCGCTTGGCCGGTAGGTGACGGGGCGGGACCCTGGGGCCCGGTGCGAGGCGACCAGGGAGCGGCTGGGATGGATCGCCTCTCAGCCCCGGGCTGGGCTGCGGCCTGGCCCCTCGCCCCGGAGCAGTGGGGTCGGCGGCCAGGCCAGCGCAGTCCGACGTACCCCGTCCAACCCACTCGCAGCGGTCCGCGGGCGCGCCCTCGCACGCGCTGCCGGTGCCGCGCTCGCCCCGGGCCTCCAGGCCGCGCACTCCTGCTGGCCACACGCTGGCTCCGAGCGCGCGCAGGGGCCGCCTGCTTCCCCTTCACTAGTGCCCCGCGCCGCCGCCAGGCCCGCCCGCCTGCTCTGCGCCCCAGTGCCCCCAGGATGGAGCTCGCCTGCCGCGGGGCGGACGTGTCTCCTGCAGGAGTGCGCCCTGGCATCTGCCCTGGCGTGAAACCCTCCCGGCCTTTCATGGGAAGTTCTCAGGTCACACCTCAAGGCGGGGAGCAGGAGCTAAGCCTGTCCTCAGCATGCAGCGGGGCAGTGCTGGCCGCCCGCAGCATCCTCCCTCCGCCCTCGGACCCCAGTCCTCCTCTGTAATTCTTCTGGGCTCTCCAACTCGGGACTTTATCTGTCGGTTCAAATATAACATTCCCATCTTGGAAACCCATCGTGGCCCTGGCATCTTGCAGCCACTGGGCACCAGGCAGAGAGGGGCCACTTGTACGTACGTTTCCCACCTGCCCGGGAGCCTCCTTAGTGCTGGGTAGCTTCAGAAAAAGTGTTTCCTTCCTAGTCGAGGTTAAAAAGTTGCTCTCGGCCCTAAAGGGTGGACTGGAGGTATGAATGAGGGAGAGGATAAGTGGTGAAAAGGTACATACATCAGCAAAGTAAATGGTAAAACTACTTTTGATCGCTGGAGACAATGAACACCAATGACTTAATTAAGGACTTTAAAAGCACATGAAATTAAATGATTAGAGTGAGGTCATGATATAAAATAGGAGTCTGGAGTTTATTCCAAGAAAAATGTTGGAAACCCCTTGACTAGAAACATGGTCTTTCTGAAAGATTAGAAGGAGACAGTATCTTAACATTAGTGATGTGTTTTTTGCTTAGTGTCTTCATACCTGTGAGCTCCGTTTTCCTTCAGATGGCTGTGTGGTAAGACAGATTGTAGTGTCTTGTTTTATGGGCGAGGCACCTGAGGCAGGTGTGTATGAGGGAGTGGGGGTGGTATATATCTTGCCTGATGCCTCATAGCTGGGACTAAGGATGGGTCTTTCCCAGAATCCTAGATCAGGACCACATTATAGAACTGAGATGCAGAAAGGAGGGAGAAGTTTTTGGTGTGGTTTTTATGCTCTTAATGTGAGAGGACACTTAAAAAGTGCTTGCCTTACTTTGGTTGTGTTTGGATTTACTCTTGGTGTTTTTTAAGTGATATCAATCAGTTTCTTTGGAGCGATGCCAGACCTCTGAATTTTTCAGACACCTTTCGGACATCCTTATTTATTTTGAAGGGTGTGGAGAACTTCTCAGAAGATCTCAAAATAAAAGTAATCGTCTCTGACTCTAATTTTAGAGATAAGTACCCAGGTATGTGTACCAGCTCTTTGTGAAATCAGACAGCAAGACGCTGCCAAGCTTCAGGCCATCTTCTGAGTGTTTTCTGATTATAAGAAGCAGTTCTGAAGGGGGTTTTTTGTCATTGGTATTGTCTGTTAAGAGTTTGTGGGAGCGGCACCACAGAGACCCTGCCAAATCAGTCTCCCTCTATTAAACAAAAATGTCTGGTTGGGCTGTTTCGCCTCAACAGATGAAGGTTTGGTTCCTCATTTTGGTTCTCCTGTTGAACACTGACTCCTTTGTGATCTGCCTGGAATATGTGTATATCATTTACTGCTGAGAAGATGGCTTGCGCTGATTGGTTGTCCAGCCCTCGGCAACTGTTGTGATTTTTTTTTTTTTTTTGGTGATTGATAACAGTTCATCCCTGGCTAGGGTCTGGTGAGAGATCTGCGGAGATGTGAAAGAGATGAAAGCTTTATCCAGGGTTGTTTTCTTCGTTGTTGGCACCCTCTGAACAGTGTTGTATCACTTTGGCCTGTGAAGGCACTTTTAACTTCCTATTTTTTTTCCTGTCTCAATGGACAGCACATGGGCTTTCCTAACAAGCCTGCCTGCCTCGATGAAGAGCTGACAGATTCATATTGGTTGGTTTGACAGATGTTCTTTCTGGGGGGAAAGTTCAGAAATCTTAAAAGCAAAGTCAGTCCTAAGTAAAAAGTCTAAGTCAGCCCAATACGCATAAAGGCAGCGTACTTCTACTAATGGCTTCCATCATCTCAAGGTTGTTTTTTTTTTTTTCCTGGCAAAAGGTTAAAATGCAACTAAAATTCTGCTTTCGTGATTAATAAGTCACTACCACAGTTGTGTCTGATGCTTCCTGTTTGCCCCATTTTAGTATTTCAGTTAAACTGGAAACATCTGAGCATTATGGGCACTATTGATGGCACCAGTGTGAAATTGGTGGGCCGGGGACAATTCCATGTCAGTGGATTTAGGGAGCTCTAAGGATGTCAGCCCCTCTGGTCTCCACACACCAGGATTCCCTAGTAAGGGAACAGAATGGGGCTGAGCATCTGCAAGAGCTGGGTGGGCATTCAAAGTGATGCATGTGTGAAGGTTTTGCATTTACTCGGTGATGCTGGCTAAAATGCTGAAAGTAGTAGCCCAAAAAGGGAAGGCCAGACGTAGGGCAAATTGTAGGGGAGCATTTCTGTTGAGCTGAGCAGGACATTGAAGTATGAGATTTTTTTGTTCTGGGCTTATGACTGCCTGAATGACAATGCAGAAAAAGTCATTTTTCTTCAGTGGCCGGTGTGCTCTTTGTATTCTAGTTTAAAGGAGCCTCTTCCCTTCTTGCTTTTCTACATGTCTTAATCCCTCAGCTCCCTGATAGAAATCCCTTGAAATTATGTGGCATCAAGAATAATTTTATGGCCAGTCTTTGTATTTTCACACCATACTCATGTGAAGAAGGGCAGGGACAAAGATCAGAAAAGTGAAGCCTCATAAGGAGAAACAGACAGGATTGCTCAGAATCTAAACCCCCTTTTCTTGATATCTAGGTCACTGCTTTTTCTACTACCTTGCTCATGAAACGATAAGGATTTTCTTCCCCCAAACATGTCAATTTTGAACATAACGAAACCAGGGTAGCAGCTTTATTTATTTATTGTACCAATCAATTATTAATTGATATTGATTTTTAATTAATAAAAGGCCAAAAGATGAATAGCCTGCTGCCTGGACAGGTGTGCTTGTGCCCATTTTCCAGATGTAGAAACAAAGGCAGAGAGCCCGTGATTTGTCCAGAGCAACAGAACAAGTCCTTGGTGTCTCCGTGTCACATGTGGTGGCTGAGGCTGTCAGGTCAGAGAGACCTGGGTCAGGTCGAGGTCTGCCACGGCCTGCCTGTGTGCCCGCAAGCAAATCACTTCACTTCTCTAATCATCAGGTGCCTCATCTGTGAATGGGATCAGAAATACTTCATGGGGCTGTTTTGAGTAGAAAATGAGAGGAGATATGTAAAGTGCTGAGCCCAGTGCCCAGCACAGAACATAGAGGCTGTAACTGTTGTTGTTGTTGTTGTTGTTCTTGTTGGTGGTGTTTGGTGGTGGTAGTAATAGTAGTAGTAGTAGTAGTAGTAATAGTAGCAGTAGTAGTTGCCAATTACTGCATTGTGACTAAACCTGTTTTCTGTAAGATGATGTCAAGAAGGGTCAGACTGCCTGACAGGCCAGAGTCATTTTCTCAGTAGGACCTTTAGGGGGACAGTCCTTCAGTCTAAAAGCTTCAGCTCTCGGGTTCTCCCTGTCTTACACTATATACTGCCCTCACCATACTCCAAATGAGGCTACAAAGGTCCAGGCTCTGCCCAGTTGACAATCCTAACTCTGAGCTGGAGACACAGCTAGGCCTGTCTAGGGGCTTCCTGTGTCCCACACGTGATCAAGTAGGTTCCTGCATTAATCCTGGAGGTGAGGAAAGGGAAAATACTGTATGGCATGTAGATCAGCAAGGACTTGTTCTTTGGGGGAACAGGAGGGAACATTTGGTTCTGTGGGATGAGGTTCCCACTACCACATGGCATCCCCAGCTCACCACCCTTTCCCCCTCGTAAAGATGTCTTTGTCAGCTTCTCTCTGAGACTCTGTCTGGGGGCCCACGATCTGCAGTCAAGGACTTGCAGATTCCCCTTTAAATCTCACAAGAAGCCTGGAATGGTGACGTGTGTTTCTTTAGTCCCAGCTACTTGAGAGGCTGAGGCGGGAGGATCACTTGAGCCCAGGAGGTCAAGTAGCTATGGGCAACATAGCGAGACCCCATCTCTTGAAAGAAAAACGTTTGTTTTAATCTCACAAGGGAAAAAAAAAGTTTCATGTTATATTTTAAAGTCTTTTTTCACCTTAATACAAAACAAAAATATAGGCTCTCACCAGGCTACTGTTCCCTTTAAATAACATTTTGTTTTCTCTTGGGGAAGCTGACTTGATGGCCGAAGAGTCATTTCTAAAGTGAAGCTAGTTTTTAGAAAAAATAGATCACCGGATGTCAAGCCTCATGTGGAGCTCGGTTCAGATGAAAATGAAACCAGCAGGCCTGGCGTGGCAGCTCTGCACTTGACTTCAGGCTGGAGGTGAGAGGCAGAGTGTGCCTGGACCTTGCTCCATAACTGGTTGGCCCCACAGAGTGCATTTGATAGGTGCCTTAGTCATTTTCCAAGCAGCTTTGCTTAGGTGAGCAGAGCACTTTCTCTGGAAGGTGAGTCACCCATGCAGGGGTGTAGGTGACAGGCGATTTATTCCCCAGCACAGTTGCAGAGAAAGTCCTGAGCAGACCTTCGTGAGGAGCCCTCTGCCACAAATCAGCCTCATCCCAGCCCCAGGGCTATGGAGGCAGGGGGCAGGAGGTAAACAGGAGGCTTCTGGGGCCAGTGGGCTGACAGCGGAGGGGGGATCGTGGACGGGGCACAGAGCCCAGATCAGCAGTGTCACTGACTCCTAAGTCCAGCCACCCTGAGGGTGGAAAATGGCCTGCTTCCAGTGACAGTCAGCAAAGAAGCAGGAGGGGAGCTTTGGCCCTGGGGAGCTGGGAAATCCCTTGGCAGAGAGCAGAGAGACAAGCCCTATTTTGGTGTGAAAAACCTTTTAGGAACGCTTTTCCACCTGCCTCCTTTTCAGCCACCTGAGTTGGAGTCTCTGCAGAGCTCCAGCGATTGTAAAGGCTAGATTAAACCCTGGATTTCAGAAAGCTTTAGGAATCCCAAGCCTGCCACCATCTCAGTTGTCTACACTTCTAGGACCAGGATTTGTACCAAGAAAGAAGCAGCAGGGGGTACTCCTGAGCCATCCCTCCCTCCCAGGTTCTGGTTACTACAGCTTCTCCTGACGCTCTTTCTGCTAAAGCCACTATCAGGTGTCCATTAACGCAGAGATTTTCTTCAGACACTGTTCTGGACTAGTGCAGTTGGTGTTGAACTTGACCGATTATGGTCAGGGACATCTATAAGCAATGTCCAGGACCAACTACAAGGAGGGCTTGACTTTAATGAAGCTGCAGCTCTTGCAAATAATCTCGTTCCCTGTCTCTGGCAGACTACCAACCCAGCCCCTGTACCCATACCCCATCAGTCTGGACCAACCAGTAGTCACCTCCTGCTGGCATGGCTAAATAACCTTAACCTCACTGTCCAGAAAGAGCTGTTAGGATTATAGCCTGGACATGATCATTCACATTTTTTGCAGTGAGAAAATGCAGAAGAGAAAATGGTGGCCCAAGAAAGCCAAGTGGGTTGCCCAAGGCCACACAGCTAGTTAATGGCAGAGCCTGAACTATAAAACCCAGACTCTTCACTGTACTCTGCTGCCAGGGAACGAAGGAACTAATCCTGAAGCAGGATTTTTTTTTTTAAACTAGCTTCTCCTTTTATTCCCCTACCACAACCCTATCACTCTCAGCCTTTCTGCAAGCTCTGCCAGGCCTGGGAAGGGTGGAGCCACAGCAGCTGCTGCCCTGGGTCTAAGAAAAAGTAAACAGAAAGCTATTTGTTGGACGCTGTCTTATACCATGAGGTTCATGTAATCAAAAGGAGGTCAAGGTTGATAAGAAAATACAATTACCAGGAAGTCTCAAAGGTTGCCCACACCTTTAGGGCACTTTCCTACCTAGCCAAGCAGTATCTCACCTAGAGTGGGTATTTAGTAACTTTCAATGATTGATTACAGGGGTCCAAACCCACAGTGCACGAAGCTCTTCTGCATCTTTCTTCTGTGCAGGAGGTGCATGCATACTCTGGGTGTTATCCTAGCTGATCTGCCTGGCTCCTCTCAGTGAGAGGCTCTTCCTTGTGGGTGAAGCATGATGTCATGATGTCATATCTGGATGGTGGCCCCTGTAAGTGCAAAGAATTATTGTAGCCAAAATCTACCACCCACCTTCTACTGACATTAAAGTTTCCTTTTACTGGGCCAGAATTAAAAGGTAGGTGTTTCTGGTCCATACTAGGGATAGCCAGGAGGGTTGGGAGGAAAAGGAGGCTTAGCCAGCCTCCAATGAGGATGTGGTTGCCAGTTAAGATTATAAATGGAGGCTGGGCACGGTGGCTCGTGCCTGTAATCCCAGTGCTTTGGGAGGCTGAGGCGGGCGGATCACAAGGTCAAGAGATTGAGACCATCCTGGCCAACATGGTGAAACCCCATCTCTACTAAAAATACAAAAAAGTTAGCTGGGCATGGTGGCACATGCCTGTAATCCCAGCTACTCGGGAGGCTGGGGTAGGAGAATCACTTGAACCTGGGAGGTGGAGGTTGCAGTGAGCCAAGATCCACCATTGCACTCCAGCCTGGGCGACAAGAGCGAAACTCCGTCTCAAAAAAAAAAAAAAAAAAAAAAAAGATGGACTCCTTTGGCCAAGGGAGTTGATTGGACCCACCAGACTCCTTGAGTCCTGCCCAACAGTCTCCACTGGCAGATGCTGTGCCTGGAGAGGCAGGAATAGCTTTGTATAGATCAATGTGAAGGACAGAGTCCTGCACCACCTCCCTCTAGCATGTATTAGATACTTGCAAATATATGCAAATCCGAGCCCAGATGGGTGTTGTCCAGTTCAGAAGGGTTATCTTCTCAAGCAATTAGAAGTAATTGGGTCTCTAGGTCAGCATTTAGGAAAGGGGATGGCAGGAGAGGCTCCACAGCCATCTTTCAGGACACCTGCTTGCTGGGGTGCAGTTAGAATACAGCCACCAAGTTGTGACTCCCTCCCTTCCAGCCTGCCAGGTGATTGGACAGTGTGGACACGTGTCCCTGTCCAGCCAGGCTCTCAGAGCCTGTGGCACTCATTTATTCCTCAGAAGTGTGTCTGTCCTTTCACTCAGGAACATTTGCCAAGTGTGTCAAATGGGCCATGTCTGCTAGGTGCTAGAAA